>NC_000018.10:45758170-46969912 GCF_000001405.40 Homo sapiens | reverse complement strand
CCTCACCCGAGGTCTCCCAGTCGCGAGCCCAGAGCCGAGAGAAAGCGCCCCAGAATGGCCCCAGCTGATTCCGGCCCCCATCGGGACCCTCCAACGCGCACCGCTCCCCTCCCGATGCCCGAGGGCCCTGAGCCCGCTGTGCCCGGGGAGCAACCCGGAAGAGGCCACGCTCACGCCGCTCAGGGCGGGCCTCTGCTGGGTCAAGGCTGCCAGGGCCAACCCCAGGGGGAAGCGGTGGGGAGCCACAGCAAGGGGCACAAATCGTCCCGCGGGGCTTCGGCTCAGAAATCGCCTCCTGTCCAGGAAAGCCAGTCAGAGAGGCTGCAGGCGGCCGGCGCTGATTCCGCCGGGCCGAAAACGGTGCCCAGCCATGTCTTCTCGGAGCTCTGGGACCCCTCAGAGGCCTGGATGCAGGCCAACTACGATCTGCTGTCCGCTTTTGAGGCCATGACCTCCCAGGCAAACCCAGAAGCACTCTCCGCGCCAACGCTCCAGGAGGAAGCTGCTTTCCCTGGACGCAGAGTGAACGCTAAGATGCCGGTGTACTCGGGCTCCAGGCCTGCCTGCCAGCTCCAGGTGCCGACGCTGCGCCAGCAGTGCCTCCGGGTGCCTAGGAACAATCCGGACGCCCTCGGCGACGTGGAAGGGGTCCCCTACTCGGTTCTTGAACCCGTTCTGGAAGGGTGGACGCCCGATCAGCCGTACCGCACAGAGAAAGACAATGCCGCACTCGCTCGAGAGACAGATGAATTATGGAGGATTCATTGCCTCCAGGACTTCAAGGAAGAAAAGCCACAGGAGCACGAGTCTTGGCGGGAGCTGTACCTGCGGCTTCGGGACGCCCGAGAGCAGCGGCTGCGAGTAGTGACCACGAAAATCCGATCCGCACGTGAAAACAAACCCAGCGGCCGACAGACAAAGATGATCTGTTTCAACTCTGTGGCCAAGACGCCTTATGATGCTTCCAGGAGGCAAGAGAAGTCTGCAGGAGCCGCTGACCCCGGAAATGGAGAGATGGAGCCAGCCCCCAAGCCCGCAGGAAGCAGCCAGGCTCCCTCCGGCCTCGGGGACGGCGACGGCGGCAGCGTGAGCGGCGGCGGCAGCAGCAACCGGCACGCGGCGCCCGCGGACAAAACCCGAAAACAGGCTGCCAAGAAAGTGGCCCCGCTGATGGCCAAGGCAATTCGAGACTACAAGGGAAGATTCTCCCGACGATAAACTCAGGACTTGCCTTACGGATAAAATCTGGGGGGAGGAGGGCCAATGCAAAGTCAATGCGGGTTGGGGAACGAAACTTGCGACGGACACCAGAACCCTTGGCTTGGTGCAAAGTTGAGCCTCCGAATCCTGCAGGTGTCAAGTGCTGGCCCTGTGATTTTTGCCTCCCACACCCAGCCACTGCCTCCCTGCTTGGAGGACACCTCAGAATTCAGAAGATATTATGAACGCATTCGGATCAATTCTACTTTGGTGGTTCACTGATCGTCTTTTAAATAACGCCCTAGTTGCAATCATAAATCAGGTACAAGATGTGAGATTCCCTTTTGTCTTTTCTCCTTTCTTTTGAAATCATCCAGTGCATAAGGAAGGACTTCTTAGACACAAACTCTCAATCCACCAGTTGACACTGATAACTCCGACTACGCAAAATGTTTTGTTGCTGTTGGTGTTTTCTTTTAGGGAAAAGGCCGGGCATGATCCTGTAATCGTCGGCCATCCTCCTCTGGGAGGCCGAGGAAAGCAGATCGCTGCAGCCCAGGAGGTGGAGAACAGGCTGGGCCAAACGGAGAAACCCCGTCTCCACAAAAGATACCAAAATGAGCCCGGCGTGGTGGCACGGCCCCTGTGGTCCCAGCTTCTTAGAGGGCTGAGGTGGCAGGATCGCCTGAGCTGGGCAAGCGGAGGCTGCAGTGACCCTTCCTCATTCCACTGCACTCCAGCCTGGGTGACACAAGCGGAGCACATCTCAAAGAAACCTGCTGTTTATCTGAAGAAAGGAACTCCTGGATTTCATACATAAATGCTAACAACTGCTACGTTCCTTAAGTCAAAATACTTTTACTAAGCACGGCAAAGAATCAATCCCAATCTTTTCAGCCAGAACCCCTGTGAAAGAATGGCGACACCTCAATCAGCTTCTTTAGGTTCTCGATCAGGAAGTCTAAACCTGCCAAGCAGAGTTTCTAATTACCATGAGATGACCGGGTTAACTACCTTGAGTTCACCTCCTACGAGCTCCTGCAAGCTTTGGTGAAAGTTTGCATTCTAACTCAGGGCATTTGTTGGCTTCACGCGGGCTGGTAATCACAGGTCCGTGTGCCAGATACGACACACACACATACACACAAAGAAAGACACGCACACACACACGCACACGCACACATGAGCACGCACACGGACGCGCGCGCGCACACACACACACACACACACACACCATTAAGTAAACTTGGTTCTTAGGCGTTACCGACAGTGAGGGATAGAGAGAGAAATAGAAAGACCTAAGCCGCAAGGCAAAACCCAGCAAGGGCAGCAGAAGAGATCAAAGTCCTGTGCCCTTGGCTGTCAGCAGAGTGGGTGCTGGGAAGCTTCTGGAAGCAGGCACCTGAGTGGATGCCGGTGCACGTGAAAAGAGGCCTTCAAGCCTGAAGAACACGTAAGGAGCCAGAACAGGGTGCCACAGAGATACTACCCTTAAGGAAGACAGAAAAGCATTCGTTCCGGGGAAGGGGACATAATCCAATCAGCGACCCTGTGAAACTCAGACATGTCCGGGCACGGTGACTCACGCCTCTATTCCCATCGCTTTGGGAGGTCGAGGCCGGCGGACCCCCTGACGTCCGGAGTTGCAGACCAGCCTGACCAACATGAGGAAATCCCGTCTCTTCTAAAAAGACGAAACTCGGTTGGGCTTGCTGGCGAGCGCCTGTAATCCCAGCTACTCAGGGGGCTGAGACGGGAGAATCGCTTGAACCCGGGAGGCCGAGTTTGCAGTGAGCCCAGATGCCACCATTGCACTCCAGCCTGGACAACAAAAGCCAAACTCCGTCTCAAATTAAAAAAACAAAACCTCAGAAAAGCTTCCCCAGCGAGGGCCAGAGACAACGCCGGTCTCTATTTCTTGACAGCAATTCAAGAGAGAATCTCGGGTGGCTTGCAAAACTCACAAGAGAGCAGAATATCCTCCCCGAGGCAGAGAAGCCACACGCTCTTTCTGGAGGTGGAGTAGCCACCGATCACCGTGCAGCCCCTCCCCACTCCCAGCCAGAAACCCCAGCCCCTCGGAACCAAATCCACTGGCAACAACCTTTCTTCCTGGAAAACCTTTCCCCTGCCAAAATGGAAAACAAACATGACACAAGCAAACGCATCTCAAAACACAAACACAAGGAAACAATCCGAGCAAGCTCTAGCCCCTCATAGCTCATCGATGCCCCCACTGGCATGCTACTGAAAACAGCGGCTGCACCCATTAAACTCATTCATTACTGGAGAACGAGACAAACCTTAGCAGATCCCTGCTCCCACAGCGACAATCCCGCTCGAAAACACAGAAAGGAAACAACCCCCGCACAAAATATAAATCTACCCCAGATAGAATTCAGCATCAACCTAAGGATCCTGCTGTAACATTACTACACTGACCCAGGACAGCTCAATTCTCCTCCCACCTATTTACAAGATAAACCTCATTCAGGGAGCTCTGGAGGCATCGCCAGTATTGCACTACGATCCTCTTCGTGAGGCAGCTGGAAGTCTGGAAACACAGCAAATTTACTTATTTCTCTGCACAACACGGAGGGTAATTCTCAGAAAAGGCTTAACACCCGAATCCCCATTCCCCGATTCTCAGGCTATAACGATTATCTTTCTGCAGAAGAGACACACACACACACACACACACACACACACACACACACACACACACACTGAGAGAGAGAGAGAGAAAGTCATGTGAGAATGTAAACATTACGCGAAATCGCCGCCGACAGCAGAAACAATAGCCGACACCATAGACACTTCAAATGGTTCTGTTTTCCTCATTTGGACTGAAAGGTGAGAGTGGAACTCGGCTGCCCAAACCGTGGCACCAGTATCAGCTGCAGGCCAGAGCAAGCCTTTCCGAGGAGATTTTAAACAACCGGTGGGAGCAAGATCCTGAAGCATTTCTTCCAAGATTGGTCACAGGAGATGAAACCTGGCTCTACCGGCAGGATCCTGAAGACCAAGCACGAAGCCATGGCTACCAAGAGGTGGCAGTGCTCCAGTCGAAGCTGCAGAGGAGCAGTCAAGAGCAGAGGTCATGGCCACCGTTGGGGGCGGGGGGGGGGGGGCGGGGATGCTAGAGGGATTCTGCTGGTTGACTTTCTGCAGGGCCAAACCCTGATCACATCTGCTCGCTAGCAGAGCGTTTTCAGAAAGTTAGCCAAAGCTGGAGCGAAGAAGGTCCCCACCAGAGACTTCTTCTCCACCACGACAGTGTTCCTGATCATGCCTTTCTTCGAACAAGGGCAGCTGGGCAAGACTTGCCATGGGAAACCGTGAGGCGTCCACCTGACAATCCTGATTTGGCGCCTGCTGACTTCTCTTTGTTTCCTTGTCTTGGAAAACCTGTAAGGGGCACCCAGTTTTCTTCAGTTAACAATGGAAAAAAGATTGCATGGAAATAGTTAAATTCCCAGGACCCTGGGGGCTTTAAGGGATGGGCTAGACGGCGGGGAAAAGACACTGCTTCCAGAAGGGTCTTGATGCTGATGGAGCCGAGGTTGAGGAGTAAAATACGCCTGTTTCCTCTCTCTCCCTTAATCCCACTTTTCTACCAATGTTTCCAAGTCCCCTCACACAACGTCAATCCCAGGTAAAGAGTTGTCATCCTCTGTTGGTTCTTCTTCCTACGATTCTGTCTTGCGGTGTTGTTATTTTCGCTTTTACTCCCAAGAAGATTCTCTCTGTGTCTTTTGGAATCCACAGATGTGGAAGCTGGGTACATGGAGGGCCAACGGTAGAACTCAGTGGGGTGTGTCCAGGCTGCAATTAACCTAATGACCCCGCGGGGCACAGCAGTCCACCTGGCGTGGACCGCCCCGATTGGCTGCGTTGGGCTGACGGAATGAATTCCTATCGGGGCGGGGCAGCCCAGGGGCCCAGGGGGGTCAGGGCTTGAGCCCTGGGTGGGCCCGGGGCTGGCTATATAAGGCCGGGCTCTGGCAGCGGAGCTTCACTCCGCCTTGGACGGCGCACCGCACAGGTCACACTCCAGGCTGCGGCCGCACATCCCGAGGAACAGAAGCGGGCCTGCTCAGCTGTCTGCAAGGACCGGCGTTCCAGACCAAGTGGCCCGCTGCTCCGAGGACCCAGCTCGCTCCAGGCTGTGACTCCACATCCCGAGGTCGCCGCCTGGCGACCGGGCAGCGAGGACCGGCCACCCCAGACTGCCTGTGCCGCCGCCCCGAGCTCGGACAGAGCCGCGACCGCGAGGACAGCGACGCCTGCACAGCTCTGGCGAGATGGCGGCAGGGTCCACTACGCTGCGCGCAGTGGGGAAGCTGCAGGTGCGTCTGGCCACTAAGACGGAGCCGAAAAAGCTAGAGAAATATTTGCAGAAACTCTCCGCCTTGCCCATGACCGCAGACATCCTGGCGGAGACTGGAATCAGAAAGACGGTGAAGCGCCTGCGGAAGCACCAGCACGTGGGCGACTTTGCCAGAGACTTAGCGGCCCGGTGGAAGAAGCTGGTGCTCGTGGACCGAAACACCGGGCCTGACCCGCAGGACCCTGAGGAGAGCGCTTCCCGACAGCGCTTCGGGGAGGCTCTTCAGGAGCGGGAAAAGGCCTGGGGCTTCCCAGAAAACGCGACGGCCCCCAGGAGCCCATCTCACAGCCCTGAGCACAGACGGACAGCACGCAGAACACCTCCGGGGCAACAGAGACCTCACCCGAGGTCTCCCAGTCGCGAGCCCAGAGCCGAGAGAAAGCGCCCCAGAATGGCCCCAGCTGATTCCGGCCCCCATCGGGACCCTCCAACGCGCACCGCTCCCCTCCCGATGCCCGAGGGCCCTGAGCCCGCTGTGCCCGGGGAGCAACCCGGAAGAGGCCACGCTCACGCCGCTCAGGGCGGGCCTCTGCTGGGTCAAGGCTGCCAGGGCCAACCCCAGGGGGAAGCGGTGGGGAGCCACAGCAAGGGGCACAAATCGTCCCGCGGGGCTTCGGCTCAGAAATCGCCTCCTGTCCAGGAAAGCCAGTCAGAGAGGCTGCAGGCGGCCGTCGCTGATTCCGCCGGGCCGAAAACGGTGCCCAGCCATGTCTTCTCGGAGCTCTGGGACCCCTCAGAGGCCTGGATGCAGGCCAACTACGATCTGCTGTCCGCTTTTGAGGCCATGACCTCCCAGGCAAACCCAGAAGCACTCTCCGCGCCAACGCTCCAGGAGGAAGCTGCTTTCCCTGGACGCAGAGTGAACGCTAAGATGCCGGTGTACTCGGGCTCCAGGCCTGCCTGCCAGCTCCAGGTGCCGACGCTGCGCCAGCAGTGCCTCCGGGTGCCTAGGAACAATCCGGACGCCCTCGGCGACGTGGAAGGGGTCCCCTACTCGGCTCTTGAACCCGTTCTGGAAGGGTGGACGCCCGATCAGCCGTACCGCACAGAGAAAGACAATGCCGCACTCGCTCGAGAGACAGATGAATTATGGAGGATTCATTGCCTCCAGGACTTCAAGGAAGAAAAGCCACAGGAGCACGAGTCTTGGCGGGAGCTGTACCTGCGGCTTCGGGACGCCCGAGAGCAGCGGCTGCGAGTAGTGACCACGAAAATCCGATCCGCACGTGAAAACAAACCCAGCGGCCGACAGACAAAGATGATCTGTTTCAACTCTGTGGCCAAGACGCCTTATGATGCTTCCAGGAGGCAAGAGAAGTCTGCAGGAGCCGCTGACCCCGGAAATGGAGAGATGGAGCCAGCCCCCAAGCCCGCAGGAAGCAGCCAGGCTCCCTCCGGCCTCGGGGACGGCGACGGCGGCAGCGTGAGCGGCGGCGGCAGCAGCAACCGGCACGCGGCGCCCGCGGACAAAACCCGAAAACAGGCTGCCAAGAAAGTGGCCCCGCTGATGGCCAAGGCAATTCGAGACTACAAGGGAAGATTCTCCCGACGATAAACTCAGGACTTGCCTTACGGATAAAATCTGGGGGGAGGAGGGCCAATGCAAAGTCAATGCGGGTTGGGGAACGAAACTTGCGACGGACACCAGAACCCTTGGCTTGGTGCAAAGTTGAGCCTCCGAATCCTGCAGGTGTCAAGTGCTGGCCCTGTGATTTTTGCCTCCCACACCCAGCCACTGCCTCCCTGCTTGGAGGACACCTCAGAATTCAGAAGATATTATGAACGCATTCGGATCAATTCTACTTTGGTGGTTCACTGATCGTCTTTTAAATAACGCCCTAGTTGCAATCATAAATCAGGTACAAGATGTGAGATTCCCTTTTGTCTTTTCTCCTTTCTTTTGAAATCATCCAGTGCATAAGGAAGGACTTCTTAGACACAAACTCTCAATCCACCAGTTGACACTGATAACTCCGACTACGCAAAATGTTTTGTTGCTGTTGGTGTTTTCTTTTAGGGAAAAGGCCGGGCATGATCCTGTAATCGTCGGCCATCCTCCTCTGGGAGGCCGAGGAAAGCAGATCGCTGCAGCCCAGGAGGTGGAGAACAGGCTGGGCCAAACGGAGAAACCCCGTCTCCACAAAAGATACCAAAATGAGCCCGGCGTGGTGGCACGGCCCCTGTGGTCCCAGCTTCTTAGAGGGCTGAGCCAAAATCCTATTTGCTCAAGTGGCTGAAAATAGTGCCAGCAGCCTATGCATTTCCTCATATTATATTTTTGGAAGGACTAACATACAAGACCAGTAGACTTAGAAAGGAAAAATGTTAATGCCTGAAGATAACTGTAGCTCTTTCCGCAGACTCCCTGAAATTCAAGTGTGTAGCTCTTAAAAACTTATATTCTTAGTAGCAAACCCCCATCTACATTCTCAATCATATCATACGGTTGCAGGCCCTCCTAAAAATAATCACTGACAAAACTGGCAGTGTTTTGACTTTTTTACCTAGCAGAAAGCCCAAATCAAAAATGCCATTTATCAAAATAGACTGGCCTTGGACTATTTTCTCTCACCTGAATATCAGGTCTGTGAAAAATTCAACTTGAGCAATTGCTGTCTGCCAATAGATTTTCAAAAATTGGTGGTCAAAAATATGGTCAGGGATGTGACAACGTTGGCACATATGCCTGTATAGGTTTGGCAGAGGTTTAATCCTATGTCTGTATTTGAAAAATGTCTTTCAGCTAGGGGAGAATTTAAAACCCTCATTGTAAGTTTATTGCTAGTAATAGGAAGTTGCTTGCTCTTCCCCTGTGTATTACCCTTGCTCCTACAAATGATAAAAGTTTTTGTTGCTACCTTTGTTTATCAGAAAACTTCAACACAAGTGTATTACATGAATCGCTGTCACTCTATCATGTACAGAGACTTAAAAACTGATGATGAAAGTGAGAACTCCCCATAATAAGTGAGATTCTCTACAGGGGAAATGAGGTGGGGACCACCACTTCTCCTGCTACCCACCCCCACCCCCACCGCCCCTGCCACCTTGCCTAGTTTTTAAGACGTGAGGAAAGGGAGAAAGCGAAAAGTTAAAAGGAAACAAAAGTAAGATAAATAGCCAGATGGCCTGGAGCCACCACCTGGTCCTTGTAGTTAAAGAAAAAAATTAAAAAATCTACCCCTGACCTAAACTACTTGTGTTATCTGTAAATTCCAGACATTGTATGAGGAAGCATTGCAAAACTTTCTGTTGTATTAGCTAATGCATGTAGCCCTTAGTTATGTCCCCCATGTTTGCTTGATCTATCATGACCCTTTAACGTGGTCCCCTTAGTGTTGTAAGCCCTTAAAAGGGCCAATAATTTCTTTTTTAGGGAGCTCAGTTCTTAAGACGCAAGTCTGCTGACACTCCCAGCCAAATAAAGCCACTTCCTTCTTTAACCCGGTGTCTGAGGGGTTTTGTCCGCGTCTCGTCCCTCTACAGTTTAGTTACTTGCAAATCAGTTTCTTCATATCAGAGCTTGTTGTTAAGCTTTGTTAGGTAAGGGATATCTAAAGTAGCCTTTATTCTAGGCTGTGCCTGGCTTTGCTTACTCTTATGCATAGCCTTACTTGGAGCTCTACTAAATGCTCTTCTGTCCCACAAGATTTCTCCACTTAAGTCAGTCATAATGCAAATGTCTCTAAATGTTATGAGAGCAGCTTCATATGTTTTTCCTCTATGTATGTGCAGCTCAGTATTCAGCCAAAAATCAATAATTGTGGAGCTCTTTTTTTGCATAGCTCCTCCTCTCTGAAACTCTTCCCTCCCAGTTCTAAGCAACTCAGTCTTCCCAAACTCCAATCTCTATCGCTTCATCTTAGCAAAACTGCTGTTCATTTTTTTTTTTTTTGAAGTTTCGCTCTTGGGTTGCCCAGGCTGGAGTGCAATGGAGCAATCTCGGTTCACTATAACCTCCACCCACCCCAGTTCAAGCAATTAGCCTCCCGAGTAGCTGGCATTACAGGCGCCCACCACCATGCCCAGCTAATTTTTTATATTTTTAGTAGAGATGAGGTTTCACCATGTTGGTGAGATTAGTCTCAAATGCCTGACCTTCAGGTGATCCACCTACCTGGGCCTCCCAAAGTGCTGGGATTATAGGCATGAGCCACAGTGCCCAGCCGCTTTTTTGGGGTTCTCCTTCCAGAACCAGAATCTAGTTATTGCTTCCAAATAGAAGGCCTTCTCTCATAATTACGTTGTCCAAAAATCACATAATCCAATGCTTGAAAAGAGTTTACTCATATGTTTAGTCCAGTTTTCCAGTTTCTTACAGGAGACCTGGTCTGGTGCCAATTATGCCATCTCAGTTGAAAGTAGAAGGTCATATCAATTTTTTAAAATGTTTATAGGATGTATTTGGGTGGTGAAATTTATACTTTGAGTATTTAAAATTAAAACCTGGCCAGGCGTGGTGGCTCACACCTGTAACCTCAGCATTTTGGGAGGCCGAGGCGGGCAGATCACTTGAAGTCAGGAGTTTGAGGCCAGCCTGGCCAACATGGTGAAACTCCATCTCTACTAAAAAATACAAAAATTAGCCGGGCATGGTGGCGGACGCCTGTAATCTCAGCTACTCAGGAGGCTGAGACAGGAGAAAAACTTGAACCTGGGAGGCGGAGGTTGCAGTGAGCGAAGGTTTTGCTACTGTACTCCAGCCTGGGTGACAAAGAGGGACTCTGTCTCCAAAAAAAATTAAATTAAAAGTAAAACCTAACAAACATTATTTTTACAAAAGAAAGCAAGTATGTTTTCACACAAAACATGAAATACACAAATTTATGTCTGTATATTCTCAGTTAGTTTTTTTTAAAAAAAAGGTTCCAAGAGTACTAATGTGGCATTAGCAACATGTTCCAGGTTGTCTAATTAGTCTCTCCTTTTTGGTCCAAGTATAAGAAGAAAGTGGTTCAATAGCAGCCACAGCATTTTAAGAGATGCCCACAGGGCTGTAGCAGTGGTCAGAATTGAAGGGGTTAATCTTCCTTGTATATGAGCGGAACAGAGCACTTAAAACGTAAGAGTTATTTAAAATTCAGCTTAGCTTTATGGTTATTTAGAGTTTGTTTAATTAGTGTTTAGAACTGCACATTTTTTATAGCTATTGGTATTTCAATAGATGCTTAAATGTTTGAACATTTGAAGTTTAATAAGCTTCAGTTATTTGAAGAAAAGCACTGATGTAATTAAATTTTCAATTACTCTTTTTTTAGGAGCCCATGCGATTAATAAAAACTAAGGCATTTTAACAACACTCATTTTAAAAACTAGTCAATGACCTTATTAATTAGCTAACACAGTCGATATTTTGTAATATAAAAGGTTCACCAAGGCAGAGTAGTAACTTTTGAAAAGTACGTATAATGACACATGAGAATAAACAAACATGACTTTGTTTTAGGATTCTTTTGTGCATACACATGAATGTGTGGATCAATTCCAGTTTTCCAAAAACCATTATCGTGCATTGACTCTAATTATTTTTTTGTTTGTTTTTAATTGTGCAGCCAAATTAAAAACAATGACATAATTCTTTGGCCTTAGAGCATTATAGAGGATTCTTACATTCAGGTTAAGAAAAAGAAAGTGGCAGAGGTATACAGATTACGTATAGTCTTATTTGTATTAAACACTAAATTTAAAACGGAGTTGGAGAAAAATCTCTATTTCATATCTTTGCTACCAGAAGATCACCAGCAGCATCAGAAATAAAACATAGAAGCTTGTGATACAAATCTGTGTTAGTCACAGCTCTCCAGACAGGCAGAACAAATTATACAAACATGCATACACACGCACACGCATGCACATGTGTATGTATAAATATATGTGTGTATTTTTTTACTAGATTTATTATTTACTAGATTATTTTGTACTAGATTATTTATTATTTACTAGATTTATTATAGGGAATTTATAATTATAAGGATTTATTATTATAACGCTCATGTGATTATAGAAGCTGACAGGTCCCAAGATCTGCAGTCAACAAGCTGGAGAACCAGAAGAGCCAATGATATAGTTTCAGTCCAAGTCTGAAGGCCCCCGAACCAGGAGAGTAGATGGTGTGGTTCTAATCTAAAAGCAGCCAGACTCAAGACTCAGGAAAAGCCAATATTTCAGTTTGAGTCCAAATGCAGAAAAAAAAAACAAAACGCTGTCCCAGTTTAAAGACAGTCAGAAAGTAGGAATTCCCTCTTACATGTGGGAGGGTCAGTCTTTTATTCTACTCAGACCTTTGACTGATTGGATGAGGCCAATCCACATTAAAGAGGGCAATCTGGCCAGGTGCGGTGGCTCACACCTGTAATCCCAGCACTTTGGGAGGCTGAGGCAGATGGATCACGAGGTCAGGAGATGGAGACCATCCTGGCCAATATGGTGAAACCCCGTCTCTACTAAAAATACAATAATTAGGCTGGGCGCGGTGGCTCACGCCTGTATTCTCAGCACTTTGGGAGGCCGAGGCCGGCAGATCACCTGAGGTCGGGAGTTTGAGACCAGCCTGACCAACATGGAGAAACCCTGTCTCTACTAAAAATACAAAATTAGCCAGGCGTGATGGCACATGCCTGTAATCCCAGATACTTGGGAGGCTGAGGCAAGAGAATCGCTTGAACCTGGGAGGCAGAGGTTTCAGTGAGCCGAGATCGTGCCATTGCACTCCAGCCTGGGCAACAAGAGTGAAACTCTGTCTCAAAAAAAAAAAAAAAAAAAAAAAAAAGGCCAGGCGCGGTGGTTCACGCCTGTAATCCCAGCACTTTGGGAGGCCAAGGCGGGCAGATCACGAGTTCAGTAGATGGAGACCGTCCTGGCTAACACGGTGAAACACCGTCTCTACTAAAAATACAAAAAATTAGCCGGGTGAGGTGGCGGGCGCCTGTAGTCCCAGCTACTCGGGAGGCTGAGGCAAGAGAATGGCGTGAACCCCGGGGGGCGGAGCCTGCAGTGAGCCGAGACCGCGCCACTGCACTCCAGCCTGGGCGACAGCGAGACTCCGTCTCAAAAAAAAAAAAAAAAAAAAAAAAGAAGAGGGCAATCTGCTTTTCTCAATCTACTGATTCAAACGTTAGTCTCACCCCGAAACACCTTCACAGACAGTCAAGGATAATGTTGACCAAATGCCTGGGCACCCCAAAGCACAGTCAAGTTGACACATAAAATTAACTGGCAAAGCAGTCCCACTCCAAAACTTCTGGATCAGAATATGAATTTTCTTTTTCTTTTTTTTTTTTTTTTTGAGACGGAGTTTCGCTCTTGTGTCCCAGGCTGAATGGCATGATCTTGGCTCACCGCAAACTCCACCTCCCAGGTTCAACCAATTCTCTTGTCTCAGCCTCCCAAATAGCTGGGATTACAGGTGCATGCCACCACGCCTGGCTAATTTTTGTATTTGTAGTAGAGATGGGGTTTCATCATATTGGTCAGGATGGTCTGGAACTCCTGACCTCAGGTGATCTGCCTGCCTCAGCCTCCCAAAGTGCTGGGATTACAGGCATGAGCCACCATGCCTGGCCTCATCATATGAATTTTCAAAACCTCCCAGGTGTTTAATGTGCACACTAAAGACTGAGAAGCTCTGCAAAAGCAAGATCAATTTGCTAGTCAGAAAAGAAACTTGCCAGAGTTCTTGCTCTTAAGGAGCCTACAGTCTACTGGGATGGGGGGAAGAAAGCAACCAGTAAACATTCAAATATAATTTCCTGGGATAAGAATGGTGTGGTGATATCTACTCCCTGAATCAAGAAGGGACACTTTATTAAATTGGTAAAGGGGCTGGTCAGAAAAGACAAATTTAGATCCTAAAGAACAAGAATTTAAGGGGCAGAGAGAGAGCAGCTCATCAAGGAGACCAGAAAGAAATGTAGGAAACAAAGAGACGGTAGTATCATGAAAACCAAGAGAAAATGGCCTTTCTAAAAATAATCAGTAGTGTTAGTGTCACTAATCCCATTTAGGCAAATCTCAAAACACCAGTACCATGTTGTACAGAAAGCAGGCACTAAATTGCGTTTATCGTATGAGTTAATGAATAAATGCATATTTGCCTTACTGTTAATCGGTGAAAACCAAGATATAAATTCAAAAGCATCTAATACCCACTCTCATGCTCAGCCACCAGACCCTACAATATCCAAAGAAATAACCATATTGAAAACTAAATTTGAATATATAAACATGTGTGACAAATGCCTAGCTTGAAATCAATTTTAAAAATATTTTAGATATGAATCATATGTTAGTCAATTTTTTAAATATTCACTTCTCTGAAACCAACCTCTGCAAGAGCAACTAGTAGGATTCTTTGTACCCAGTAGGCACTCAATAAATATCTAAATAAAAAGTGTTCTTGATATCACTTATCTCTGCTCCCTCCCAAAGCCTTATTAAAATGATGATAAAGGAATAAAAAATCTATGACCCAAACCAGGCAAGGTGGCTCACACCTGTAATCCCAGCACTGTGGAAGGCTGAAGTGGGAGGATTGTGTGAGGACAGGAGTTCAAGACTGGCCTGAGCAACATAAGGAGACCCCCATCTCTACAAAAAATTTAAAAATTAGCCGGGAATAGTGGTGCATGCCTGTGGCCCCAGCTACTCCAGAGGCTGAAGCAGGAGGGTAGATTGAGCCCAAGGCTGCAGTGAGCCTTGATGGCACCAATGCATTCCAGCCTGGGCAAAACGGTGAGACCCTGTTTCCAAACAAACACAGAAAGAAAGAATGAAAGAAATAAAGAAGGAAGGAAGGAAGGAAGCGTCAGGCGCGGTAGAACGCCTGTAATTCCAGCACTTTGGGAGGCCAAGGCAGACGGATCACCTGAGGTCAGGAGTTCAAGACCAGCCCGATCAACAAGAAGAAACCCCGTCTCTACTTAAAAAAAAAAAATACAAAATTAGCCAGGCGTGGTGGCGCATGCCTGTAATCCCAGTTACTTGGGAGGCTGAGGCAGGAGAATCACTTGAACCTGGGAGGCAGAAGTTGCGGTGAGCTGAGATTGTGCCATTGCACTCCAGCCTGGGCAACAAGAGTGAAACTTTGTCTCAAAAAAAAAAAAGAAAGACAGAGAGAGAGAGAAAGAAAAAGAGAGAGGAAAGAAAGAAAGAAAGAAAGAAAGAAAGAAAGAAAGAAAGAAAGAGAGAGAGAAAGAAAGAAAGACAAAAGGAAGGAAGGGAGGGAGGGAGGAAGGGAGGGAGGAAGGAAATTGACACAGGGGAAGCAAATGGATAAACACCAGCTGACTTAAAGCAAAGAAAGCCAAAAGCAAAGAAAACCAAAAATAGAGAAAACCAACACCTACAGGGAAAGAAGCCAATAAGAAGCAGAGGCCAGGCACAGTGGCTCATGTCTATAATCCCAGCACTTTGGGAGGCCGAGGCAGGTGGATCACTTGAGGTCAGGAGCTCAAGACCAGCCTGGTCAACATGTTGAAACCCTCTCTACCAAAAATAAAAATAAAATACGAAAATTAGCCAGGTGTGGTGGCATACGCCTGTAGTCCCAGCTACTCTGGAGGCTGAGGTGGGAGAATTGCTTGAACCCAGGAGGCAGAGGTTGCAGTGAGCTGAAATTGCGCCATTGTACTCCAGCCTGGGTGACAATCAAGTCAGACTTCTTTTGTCTCAAAAAAACCCAAAAAACAAAAGAAGATGCCAGGCGCGGGGGCTCACACCTGTAATCCCAGCACTCTGGGAGGCCAAGGTGGGCAGATCACGAGGTCAAGAAATCAAGACCATCCTGGCCAACATGGTGAAACCCTGTCTGTACTAAAAATAGAAAAATTAGCTTGGCATGGTGGCACACACCTGTAGTCCCAGCTACTCAGGAGACTGAGACAGGAGAATCGCTTGAACATGGGAGGCAGAGGTTGCAGTGAGCCGAGATCATGCCACTATACTCCCGCCTGGTGACAGAGCAAGACTCCATCTCAGGAAAAAAAAAAAAAAAAAAAAGACGAAGAAGAAGAAGAAGAAGGAGAAGAAAACATATAACAGAACCCTAGAAAGTTACAGGAATGGGGACACCAGGTTCCTCTGGAGTCATCAGGCACCTCCAAGGGCAGAAGTGAGGTATAAAGAGCATGCTGAACAGGGTATTGCAGATTCCCTCCCCTTCTCCAATCAGGTTACAATTCCTCCCCTACCCAGGCAGAAGACGGGACTACCAGGACTACCTGGACTACCTGAAGAAAGGGATAATTCAGTGGAAGCGTATATACTGAAGAGAGAGGTGAAACCCCACCTTCCATTCCCTGCTTTCACCCCCACAAAGTCTTCCTCTGTTCTCTCCAACACTGCTGGCAACCAAACTTATTTTGCCCTTATTCCCTGAAGGAGAGCATAGAAATGGAAGGCCTCAGAAAAAAGACCTACACATAACTGACATTTGGCATCCCCCAATGAAAAGGGCCCTGGTACCTGATTATCCTACAGAAAAACTGTCTTTGTGAGACAAGCCTCCTCTAAAACACAAAAATTCTAATTAAATTTTAGGTGTCTCATTTTTTATATCTTTTTTTTTTTGAGACGGGGTCTCCATGTGTCGCCTAGGTTGGAGTACAGTGGTGTGATCACGGCTCACTGCAGCCTCAACCTGCCGGTCCCAAGTGATCTTGCCACTTTAGCCCTCCAGGTAGCTGAGACCACCAGCACTTGTCACCATGCTCAGTTCATTTTGCTTATTTTTTGTTGAGATGAGGTCTAACTATGTTGCCCACGCTGGTCTCAAACTCCTGGACTTAAGCACCCCTCCCACCTCTAACACAGGGGTGGTGCCACCATGCCCAGCTAACTTTCTATTTTTAGTAGACACAGGGTTTCATCACGTTGCCCAGGCTGGTCTCGACCTCTGGCCTCAAGCGCTCCGCCTGCCTTGGCCTCCCAAAGTGTTGGCATTAGTGGTGTGAGCCACTATGCCCAGCCTAGATGACTCATTCTTAAAAATAAATGGACAACCCTGTATCACTGACTTTTGAGGAAAATATCCCACATGAAAGACAAAACCACAAATTAAAAAATGCAAAAAGGAACATAAGGGGAAACAGAGAAAATGTTAGAAGAAAGAAAGAAAAAGAAAAGGAGGAAGGTGCCGGGAGCGGTGGCTCACGCCTGTAATCCCAGCACTTTGGGAAGCTGAGGCGGGCAGATGACGAGGTCAGGAGATCGAGACCATCCTGGCTAACACGGTGAAACCCCGTCTCTACTAAAACTTAAAAAAATTAGCCAGGCATGGTGGCACATGCCTGTAGTCCCAGTTACTCAGAAGGCTGAGTCAGGAGAATCGGTTGAACCTGAGAGGCAGAGGTTGCAGTGAGCCGAGATCGTGCCACTGTACTCCAGCCTCGGCAACAGAGCGAGACTCCGCCTCAAAAAAAAAAAAAAAAAAAAAAGAAGGAAGGAAGCAGGGAGGGAGGGAGGGAAGGAAACAAAGAGAAGGGAGGAAGGAAACAAAAGAAAGAAAAAGAAAGGCAGGCAGGAAGGAAAGGAAAACCTCCTCAGAGAGACGAAAGAAAGCATGACATCTTGCAAGAACAGGATACAGTGAAAAAGGAACATTCAACCATCAATAAAAAACATACCTGGGCCAGGGGCAGTGGCTCACGCCTGTAATCCCAACACTTCAGAAGGCCGAGGCAGGTGGATCATGAGGTCAGGAGTTCGAGATCAGCCTGACCAATATGGTTAAACTTCCGTCTCTACTAAAAATACAAAAGTTAGCCGGGCGTGGTGGTACGCACCTAGAGTCCCAGCTACTCGGGAGGCTGAGACAGGAGAATCGCTTGAACCCGGGAGGCGGAGGTTGCAGTGAGCTGACATCGCACCATTGCACTCCAGCCTGGGTGACAGAGTGAGACTCCATCTCAAAAAAAAAAAAAAAAAAAAAAAACATACCTGCAGGCTGAGTGCAATGGCTCATGCCTATAATCCCAGCACTTTAGCAGGCCTAGGTGGTGGGTGGGGGAAGATCACTTGAGGCCAGGGGTTTGAAACCAGCCTGTGCAACATAGTGAGATCCCTGTCTCTACAAAAAATAAAAAAATTTAACCAGGTGTGGTGGTGCACATTTGTAGTCCCAGCTACTTGGGATGCTGAGGTGGGAGGATCATTTGTGCCCAAGAATTCAAGGCTGCAATGAGCTAAATCATGCCAATGCACTCCAGCCTGGGAGAGACTTTGTCTGTCTCTAAAAAAGAAAGAAAGAAACTGGGGCCTAGCATGGTGGCTCATGCCTGTAATCCCAGCACTTTGGGAGGTCAAGGCAGGTGGAGCACTTGAGGCCAGGAGGTTGAGACCAGCCTGGGCAACGTGGTGAAACCCCATGTCTACTAAAAATAGAAAGTTAGCCGGGCATGGTGGCGCACCCCTGTAATCCTAACTACTTGGGAGGCTGAGGCCTGGGAATAATAGCTTGAACCCGGGAGGTGGAGGTTACAGTGAGCCAAGGTCGGGCCACTGCTGACAGAGCAAGACCCTGCTCAAAATAATTAATTAATTAATTAAAAAAGTAATGGAGCAATGCCTTCTCCATTGAGATGAAATCAGTCCCAACCTAGAGTATTAACCTGAGCCAAATCACCAATCAAGGTGAGAGGAGAAGTTTCATAGATACTTTGTTTCCAAAACTTTACCTCCCATATATCTTTTCTCAGATAGTTATTGGTTGATATGTTTCACTACAAGAGGGATATAGGGCAAGAAGGGGAAGACATGGAGCCCAGGAAGCAGGATTTCTAACACAGGGAAGGGAGGAAGGGATTTCCTAGGAAAAAAAAAAAGCTGTATAGTACGCCCAAAGAGCAATGAGTTGACACAGCAGGAGAATCTCAGAGATCCAGAAAAGATACCACCCAGTAAAAAAAAAAAAAAAAAATCAGACTTAGAAATTACCTGATTAGCTTCCCCACATTGAGAATTTTACAGTTCTGTTGGAAAGTCTAGGAAGGAAGTGGTATCAAATATACAGAAAAGTAAACCAAAGAAGAATGCATTGGTTAATATATGATTGAGTCTTGTCCCAAAAGTTAAATAAAATATAAAATATAACCAAAGTGCACTGTATGGCTCAGCTCTAAATAGTATTTATACAATCGGATTAATATTAATACTGAAAATTGATTTAATGAAAATTATGATAGAATTTCTCTCCGTGTTGAGAGAATGAGGGAAGGGAAATACATACTGATGGTGGGAGGAGGCCAGGGACAGGGAGAAGTAGAAGGGAGTTCAGTGCTTATCTTCATAAAAGTGAGTCGACTATAACTGAGAATGAAAAATCAAGCTTCAGGAGTATGAACATCGCCGGGCACGGTGGCTCACGCCTGTAATCCCAGCACTTTGGGAGGCCGAGGCAGGCAGATCACCTGAGGTTGGGAGTTCGAGACCAGCCCGGCCAACATGGAGAAACTCCGTCTCTACTAAAAATACAAAATTAGCCGGGTGTGGTGGTGGGCGCCTGTAGCCCCAGCTACTCAGGAGGCTGAGGCAGGAGAGTCGCTTGAACCCAGGAGGTGGAGGTTGTGGTGAGCCGAGATCACACCATTGCACTCTAGCCTGGGCATCAAGAGTGAAACTCTGTCTCAAAAAAAGAAAAAGAGTATAAACATGTTATTTTGAAGAAGCTGCTACAAGTCGAAGCAGTTGCTTCTGGGGAGCAGTAATTAAGTAAGGGCCAGTTGAGGTGAAGCAGGAGATTCGTTTTTTTTCAAATTTTGTTGAACTATTATAATTTTAAGTGATGTGCTGCCATTACTTTGTTAAAAATTAAAAACTGAAAATATATTTGTAAATAAATAATTTGAAACAACAAAAATAAACCAAATACAAAGAAAATATTCTGAAAATCCCAATACAGTAGATGATGTAGGTAATCAGAATGTCTTGTGGACGTGCAGTCCTCTTTATATCTAACACACTGGATCACATCCCCTCCTCCAGCTTCTCCAGACCCCTACTCAGCACAATTCCTTGCACATAGACCCCAAGAGATCAAACCATCAGTGAGCATACCTAAATATTGCTCTTAGCGCCATCTAGGGACTAAAACAAAAAATAAGGCTTGAGTTCCTGCCTTGCTTTCAAGTTCCAAGAAATTTATATTATCTGTTACATGCAAGCAACAGATAACAATATAATTAATCCAATTAAATACTAAATTTATGGCATAAATGCTATGGAGTTGTCAGACGTTAGATTAGGGAGAATGTGGCTGGAGCACTGAGAGGCAACACAGAAAATGGAGAGGAAAAGCATGGAGGCAGAGGTTGGGCTTTATTGCAGTGCTTTGTAGGTCTTGTCAAGATTTGGAGGGTTTATCCCAAGTGTAATGGAAAGGCATTAAAAGGATCCCATTAAAAGAGTGGCACTATTTTAAGAAAATCACCCTGATCATTGGATGAAGGTTGGACTGAAGAGAGGCAAAAACCAAGGGGTAATAGCTAAGATGCTATTAATGTGGTTCCAGTGACAGGGCATGGAGGTTTAGATCAGGAGGTGGATGTGAATATATGGATTATTAAAGATACAATATAGAAGTAGAATCAATAAGATTTGCTGATGTCTTCCTCTTGTAGAGGACAGAGGAGAGGGACTAGGAGAAAGAAGGAGCTAAGGATAACCCCCAGAATTACGATTTGAGCAATCGGATGAATGGTGGTTTCACTGGGGTGGCTTCCCCTATGGGGAAAGACTGGGAAAGGTACAGGTTTTAGAGAGGACATTCAAAAGTTAAGCATTAAGCCAGACACGAAGGCTCACGCTTGTAATCCGAGGACTTTGGGAGGCCAAGGCAGGCTGATCACTTGAGCCCAGGAGTTTGAGACCAGCCCAGGCAACATGGTGAAACTCTACAAAAAATACAAAATTTAACCACGTGTGATGGTACATGCCTGTGGTTCCAGCTACTTGGGAGGTTGAGGTGGGGGAATCACCTGAGCCTGGGAGACGGAGGTTGCAGTGAGCTGAGATCACACCACTGCATTCCAGCCTGGGTGACAGAATAAGACCCTGTTGAAGAAAAGAAGAAGGAGAAGGAGAAAAGGAAAAGGAGAAGGAGGAGAAGTAGTTAGGCATTAAACAAGTTAAGATGCAAGGCACAGTGGCTCATGCCTATAATTCCAGCACCGTGGGAGGCCGAGGTGGGAGGATCACTTGAGCCTAGGAGTTCAAGACCAGCCTGGACAACATGGCAAAACCCATTTCTACTAAATATACAGAAAAATTAGCCGGGCATGGTGTTGCATGCCTGTAGTTCCCGCTACTTGAAAGGCTGAGGCAGGAGGATCCCTTGAGCAGGGTGAGACTACAGTGAGCCATGATTGCACCACTGCACTCCAGCCTGAATGACAGTGAAACCCTGTCTCAAACACACACACACACACACACACACACACACAATGCAGATACTTGCAACACCCCAGTAGATATGTCAAGTAATCAGTTGATCCATTGTCCTACCCATATTTTATCTTCTGGATCATTGGTCTGGGGCTTAACAAAGAAGTCCAGTTGAGGTAGGTTGGGGGAGTTTTTGGTATATAGATAGTATTAGAAGTTTGGCCGAGCATGGTGGCTCATGCTTGTAATCCCAGCACTTTGGGAGGCCAAGGCAGGCGGATCACCTGAGGTCAGGAGTTCAAGACCTGCCTGACCAACATGGAGAAACCCCATCTCTACTAAAACAAACAAACAAATTAGCTGGGCATGGTGGCACATGCCTGTAATCCCAGGTACTCGGGAGGCTGAGGCAGGAGAATCACTTGAAACCAGGAGGCAGAGGTTGCGGTGAGCCAAGATCACACCATTGCACTCCAGCCCGGGCAACAAGAGCAAAACTCCGACTCAAAAAAAAAAAAAAAGAAGAAGAAGAAGTCGGCCAGGCATGTTGGTTCATGCCTGTTATCCTAGCACTTTGGGAGGCTGAGGGGGGAAGATTGCCTGAGCTCAAAAGTTCGAGACCAAACTGGGCAACATGGTGAAACCCTGTCTCTACTAAAAATACAAAAAGTTAGCTGGGCATGGTGGCGCATAACTGCAGTCCCAGCTACTCGGGAGGCTGAGGCAGGAAAATCACTTGAACCCGGCAGGTGGAGGCTGCAGTGAGCTGAGATCATGCCACTGCACTCCAGCCTGGGCGACAGAGCAAGACTCTGTCTCCAAAAAGATAAATTTTTAAAAGATAGTACTAGAAGTCATGAAAATATATGAGAACGTTTACGGCTGTGTTTTTCAAACGTAGAGTTCGTGCTTAAAGTGCAAGTTTCAAGAAATCATCCCGGGGGTTTCTGATTCAGTGTCTTCATGAGGCCCAAGAATCTGCTCTATTAAAGGGTAACCCAAAAGATTCTGAGGCGGGTAGTTCATGCTGAGATTAAAATAGGCTTAAGTACAATCCGGAGGTGAGGAATTAGCAACAACATGTGTAGCCAACCTTTTCTAGAAGATGGAGAGAAATAAACAGAGGCTGGTAACCATAATGGGTATGAAGCCAGAGGGTTACCTTTTTGTGTATTATTAGTTTTTAAAAGGTAGGAGATACTAGAGCTGTGGTTCATAACCTTGGCTACACACTGTAATCACCTCTTGAGCTTTCTAAAAATACTGATGCATAGAACTCATCCCAAGCCAGTAATTCTGAACCTCTAGGAATGAGATCCAGGTAGAAGTATTTTTTAA
The DNA here is from genome assembly GCF_000001405.40 of Homo sapiens. NCBI lineage: Eukaryota > Metazoa > Chordata > Mammalia > Primates > Hominidae > Homo > Homo sapiens. The sequence continues at coordinate 46,947,609 of NC_000018.10, read as the reverse complement.
CTTTATTTTTATTTTTCCTTCCCCCCGCCCCCACGTTGTTTTTATCTCCCCAGTGCCTGGCAGACAAATGTGTCCTCAATTCATGTTCATCGCTGTGGAAAGAATTGCTGGCCAGTAGCAGGTGATACAGACCACGGTAAACCACTTAATGTATTGTAGAGCTCATGTAATCTTCGTGTGAAAAAGATTACAGTCCAATTCCCTGACTTTCAGATGGAGAAACTGAAGCCCAAGAGGGGAATTAAATGCCTAAGATCTCTCGCCTTAGTGATGGCAAATCAGGATCAGAAGCCAATATTCTAACTAACTCCCAGGTCAATGTTTTCCTGTCTTTCAACAATCTAATTTTGACCACTCCCCAAATCCATTCACCCAATCAAGATCCAGAGTCTAATAACACCTCCCCGTCAATACCTCATTTCCTCAATCAGGAACCGACCCTGCCGTCCCTTTCATCCGACCCGTTGTCACCCCCAAACCCGCCTGTGTCTCATTTATTTTTCCCTCCATCACGGCTGCAAGCCCAGCCCGGGATTTAACCACCTCGGCCGAGCGCCTCTCACTGCGTTTGCGCTTCTCTAGTAGCGGACTCTGTCGCCATAGCAACCGGAGACTCGGAATCGTCCCGCAGCAACAGTAGGAGAGGGGTTCTTGGTATAATCATGTTTTATATATGCGTTCCTTACCGCTTCCCGCGCCTGATGCGTGAATTTCAGGGTCTGGTAGGAAAGCTCCATCAGACACTGTGCTAGGACCCTAGAGAAGGGAGAAAAGTAGTCAGTTACTGGGCTGACCGGTCGATCCAAGGAACCTGACGCTTAACCAGCCCGCCCCTTTCCGGATTGGCTAGAGCCCAGACACGCCCGCCAATCGCTGGCCACAGAAGGATTCTTTAACATGCCAATCAATGTTAGACCATGCATGTTTAATCCAGAGTGTTTGCATGACACTGGCCAATGAAGAGATCGAAGAGGGAAGATTGTTAGAGCACAGGGCGGGCTTTGCAATTGTTTTGGTTTTCTTAATTCGTTTCTAAAATACAAGCTGACCCAGGGCCATGTACCATAATATTTGTCCTTGATTTCAGCCGTTGTTCAGGTCTTTGCGACCCAATGCTTCTATACCCAAGACTATATTTTGACGTCCCGTCTTCTCCTCCCTGGATTAGGGTAAAGGTTTGGAAATCTATTCTGCTTTTCTTTGAAATTCTCTGTGCATGGTCTATCTAGACTGGACGAATCTGCTGTGGACACTTTGGTTGTCAAGAGCCTTCTGGGATGCAAACTGTGCATCACCAAACTTCCCCTTCTCCTCCAATTCCTTTCACATCAGACCTGTTCTCATTAGACGTGGAAAAACATGGACGTGTTTTCCTCTGCTCTATTTTTTTCATGTGTTAACTAGTCTGTTTCTTCAATGTCTTTCCCTTCTGTCTCTCTTGCTGTGAATCCTATTCCAAATTATCCCTTCATCATTATCTTCGGTCTTCTTCATCCATTTCTTCTTCATCCATTTCTCCCTTCAGGATACAAAAATATTCAAGTTTCCTCAATCTACAAAAAAAAAAAAGTTCTCGTAAGTGTTGAACTGAATCACCTTTCTCCCATTCAGGGCAAGCTTTCTGAAAGGACTAGCTATCCTCTTCCTCATTTCCTCACCTTCCACCCATTTCTCAACACATTCTGGTCCTGCTCCTTTGAAGCAGTTCTTTCCAGAGTCGTCAATAACTTCCTAATTGGGAAATCCGATTACAGATTATTTAATATTCTTTATCTTATTCCAACTTGGCACCATGTGAAATTGTTGACCACTTTCTAATTAATAATCATAACTGTAATTTATTAAACATCTACAGCACCAACGTACTATGCGATTTACTTGGCTATCTAATATAATCCTAACACAACATGGAGAAGTTATTAATGCCCCAATTTGCAGTTATGCAAACAGGCCCAAAAAGCCAAATTATTAATAAGTAGTTCTAGATAGAGTTAGGATGCAAACCTGTTTCCTGACTGAAGCCAGTGCTCTTTTCACTATGCCTTGCTTCCACCCTTCCTGTCCAGTCTCACCTCTAATTCCCACCTGGATACAGGCAACCCCACTCTAACACAAGCGAACTGCTTACAATGCTTGTGAATGACTAATGAGTAGTTTATTTGGCTTGGAGAACCACTCTCACCCCTGCTGCATAAGAAAAGTCTATATTGCCTGCTAAGACAGCTCAAATGTCACTTTCTAGGATAACTCAATGGCGTTTTCTTCTAACAATCACTATACTTAACCTAGGCGAAGCTTAGGCAGAGAACAAATTAGTTCCTGATTCCACAACATACTTTTCATACTGCACTTATCACATTGTTTTGTTGACATATGGTTTTCAAAAAGTTAAAAATGTGATTCTTTGATATGAATGAACACCTGTCAATGATTTTGCCTAACTCATTAATGAGGGAGCCAATAAGATGGTAAAGCTGGTTTAAAGAGCATTATAAGGAACTGAATATTTACAGACATTTTTAGAAAACAATGTTAGTATAGTGTCCCTTAGCATCTACTGGAAACTGGTTCTATGGTTCCCACTGATACCAAAGTTGGGGATCCTTATGTGAAATGCCATGCTACTTGCATGTAAGTACGCACATCATCCTGTATACTTTATTTATTTATTTATTTATTTTTTGAGACAGAGTCTTGCTCTGTTGCCCAGGCTGGAGTGCAGTTGCACGATCTTGGTTCACTGCAACCTCCGCCTCCCGGATTCAAGCAATTCTCTGCCTCAGTCTCCTGAGTAGCTGGGATTACAAGTGCACGCCACCACGCCCAGCTAATTTCCATATACTTTATTTTTTATTTTTATTTATTTATTTATTTTGAGACGAAGTCTCGCTCTGTTGCTCAGCCTGGAGTGCAGTGGCGTGATCTCGGCTCACTGCAACCTCTGCCTTCCTAGTTAAAGCGATTCTCCTGCCTCAGCCTCCTGAGTAGCTGGGATTACAGGCACCTACCACCACATCCAGCTAATTGTTGTATTTTTAGTACATGTGGGGTTTCACCATGTTGGCCAGGCTGGTCTCGAACTCCTGACCTCAAGTGATCCACCCCCACCCCTTGGCCTCCCAAAGTGCTGGGATTACAGGTGTGAACCGCTGCTCCCAACCCATCCCGTATACTTGAAAACATCTCTAGATTGCTATAATACCAAATACAATGTAAACTCTGTGTTAATACTCATTATACCGCGTTTTTTATTTGTATTAATTTTTATTGTTGTACTACTTATTTTTAATATTTTCAATTCTTTGTTGGTTGAATCCCCAGATGCCAAACCCATGGGTACAGAAGGCCAACTTTATAAGACTGCTAGGTTAGATACAAAACTTGTTAATGTCTTACAAGGCAATGAAACTATAACCTTTGAAATTGTCTTTTCTAAGGGACACAAATCTGCTAGTTAACATTTTGCTACAGAAATATTTTCAAAGAGCTTCTTCCTCTGGCCATATCAAGTAACTAGTACTGGACTAGACCTGCTACTCTAAACAACTAGAAAACTAGACCACTACACAACAAACCAGACAAGATAAATGAGAAATAGTTTTCGCAAATAAGACAATAGGCATCACAGAACTGAGATACAAGAGGGAAGAAAAACAATTAAGGTGAGCCCTACAATCATGCTAGATCTCTGTGTGGAAGTCCTTTTTGGACTTTAGTACAGGAAGAAGGAACAAAAATAGAGCATGTTAGCTTCACTAAGTTGGGAGGTAGAAGTTTGGGGATGCTAAATCAGGTTAAACTTGCAGGACAAATTGTTAACAGAAAGGAGTCCTGATGCAGACCCCAAAAGAGGGTTCTTAAATCTTGCACAAGGAAGAATTCAGGGTGACTCCATAAAGTGAAAGCAAGTTTATTAGGAAAGTAAAGGAATGGCTACTCCATAGGCAGGGCAGCCCTGATGGCTGCTGGTTGCCCATTTTTTGGTTATTTCTTGATGATATGCTAAACAGGGGGTGGATTATTCATGCCTCCCCTTTTTAGACCATATTGGGTAACTTCCTAACATTGCCATGGCATTTGTAAACTGTCATGGTGCTGGTGGGAGTGTAGCAGTGAGGATGACCAGAGGTCACTCTCATCGCCATCTTGGTTTTGGTGGATTTTGGCCAGCTTCTTTACTGCAACCTGTTTTATCAGCAAGGTCTTTGTTCTGTATCTTGTGCTGACCTCCTATCTCATCCTGTGACTTAGAATGCCTTAACCTTCTGAGAATGCAGCCCAGTAGGTCTCAGCCTCATTTTACCCAGCTTCTATTCAAGATTGAGTTGCTGTAGTTCAAATGCCTGACAAAATTACTGGAAAAGAATGAGTACACAGAAAAAAAATTCTAGAAATTTGTATAGGAGTCTCCTTGGGTCTTTGGATGGATTCTAACTTGTGTGTGCCAAGGATGAGAGTCTATGAGACCATACACATCAAAAAACGCGGAAAGAACAACTTCCGGAGTGCTGCAAGTAGAAAAATTACCATTACTCCCACAGGCCTGAGAGAAATTCACAGTTGGAGTAATCAGAGTACTACTCCAAACCCTGTTGGCGAAACCCTGACAAGGTTTAAAACAAACCTCAAAAGGATAGAGTTGATCTGCAAGTAACTTATCTGCCTGACAAAATAAAACCCGGCATTCTTTAAAGGAAGAAAACAAAATTTAGGTACTCAACAACATCTTATTCACAATATCCAACATCCAACCAAAATTGCTAGATATGCAAAAAAAAAAAATTACAAAAGCAGAATAATGTGACCAATGAACAGGAGAAAAATAAATCATTAGAATCATATCCAGGAATTACAGAGATGATAGAATAGCAGACAAGGACTTTAAAATAACTATTATTGTAATCAAGAAAGGAAAACTATGAGCATAATGAGGAGACAGATAGAAGATATTATAATAGAACAAAATGAACTTTTGTTTGTTTGTTTGTTTGAGATGGAGTCTTGCTCTGTTGCCAGGCTGGAGTCTGGAGTGCAGTGGTGCAATCTCAGCTCACTGCAACCTCCGCCTCCAAGGTTTAAGTTATTCCCCTGCCTCAGCCTCCCAAGTAGCTGGGATTACAGGCACGCACCACCACGCCCGGCTAATTTTTGTATTTTAGTAGAGACAGGGTTTCTCCATGTTGGCCAAGATGGTCTCAATCTCCTGACCTCGTGATCCGCCCACCTCGGCCTCCCAAAGTGTTGGGATTACAGGCGTGAGCCACCATGCCTGACCCAAAATGAACTTCTGAAATTAAAAATTTACTGGATGAGCTTAACAGCTGATTAGAATTGCAGAAAAAGGATTAGTGAACTTGGTAATGTAACAGCAGAAACTATACAAGGTGAAATATATGGAGAACAAAACAAAAGGCTGTATTAGATATGAGTTCTAAATTTCTTTTCAAAGAATATGTCAGTATCTTCAATTATTTGCCTTCTACTTTTAAACTTAACTTCCTCATAGAGCAACCTTTTTCGATTACCTACTCCACCTTGACTCATTCCGATTACCTGATACCTGCTCTGCCCTGACTCCCGCCAAAGCACTCACCCTTTAATTTAAATTAGCCAATCGGAATTAGTTTAGCCTGTGCCCTGTAACCCTAGCTGGTAGGAAACGACACAGCAACAGGCGCACCCCTTCCCCTCCCCTGTCCAAGTGTGCGCTCACCATTGCTCCATCTGTAAGGGTAGGCACCCTTCTATAGAAGTAACTTGCCTTGCTGAGAATTAAAAAGAAAATTTTATATTCGAGTGCTATTCCTTTTGCCACACCAAAACTTTATGTGTAACAGTTGGAAAACAAGAATAAACAGAGCCTTTTTAGGATAATATTAGGCATTCTAATGTGTGCAAAATTGACTCCAAAATGGAAGAAAGCAGCACTTTTTTTGAAGAAATTATTTACACACCTATAGTCCCAACTACTCAACAGGAGTGAGACCCTGTCTCAAAAAAGAGAAACAAAATTATACTATTAGGTGGATACGAAAATAGAGCTCAAGCCTACCATTTGTTTCTCAAGGCACTTTATTTTTATTTTTATTTTTTGCTTTTCCTCCCCACCCCTCCCCACCTCCAAGGCACATTATTTTTTAAAGTATTGAAAAAATATAATCCAATTTTAGTTGGAGAAAACCAATTATTCCACTTATTCTTTCTGTGACAGCAAGGATGTTTTGTAAGGTGATTTCTGAATGGGCTTTTGTTTGTTTGTTTTTTGTTTTTTGAGATGGAGTCTGGCTTTGTTGCCCAGGTTGGCATGCAGTGGCATGATCTCGGCTCAGTGCAACCCCCACCTCCTGGGATCAAGCGATTCCCCTGCCTCAGCAGCCCCCCTACCCCTACCCCCAGTAGCTGGGATTACAGGTGCTTGCCATCTCACCTGACTAATTTTTGTATTTTTATTAGAGATGGGGTTTCACCATGTTGGCCAAGCTGGTTTCAAACTCCTCACCCCAGGTAATCCACCCGCTTTGGCATCCCAAAACGCTGGGATTCTGAGTGTTTTTTAATCATAAGTTTTTTTGTTTGTTTGTTTTTGGAGACAAGGTCTTGCTCTCTCAGGCTGGAGTGCAGTGGCACCATCACAATAGCTCACTGCAGCCTGGAACTCCTGGGTTCAAGTGATCCTCCCACCTCAGCCTCCCAACTATGTGGGACTATAGGAGTATGCCACCATACACAGGTAATTTTTAAATTTTTCTGTAGAGCAGGAGTCCAGCTATGTTAGCCAGGCTGATGTCAAACTCCTGGCCTCAAGTGATTGTCCCAACTCGGCCTCCCAAAATGCTGGGATTATGGCTAATCATAAGCTTTTTGTTTTATTAACTCTGTTCAAATCATACATTAATTCATCAAACCCTTTCTCTCCTTGTCCCCTCCCTACCTTGGAATTCTGTCTTCATAGCCTCATTCATGTCAAACTGTCTTCAGCAGAGCTTCTCTAGGCATGCAAGATTGAGAGGGAGTTTTCAAGAATGACAAGAAATGTGCCTGCCTAACTGCAAACCTTGTGACAGTCAACTACAAGCCATCTCTGAATATATATTGTTAAAACTCCATTTTTCTATGTTTCTAAAAAATGTATCCTGTCATTCTTTAAACACTGTCAACTCTGTCAAAGAGAGAGAGAGCGTTTTAATCACACAGACATTCTGTGTTGGTATATATCCTCTCTGCCAAAGATTGTTGGAATGTAAGACTAAAGAGCTTTTATTGGATCTTATCCACAAACAGAGTGAAATCTGGTTTTTGCCCCATCACTGTGTTATTTTCTAATTTACCCTGAATGGTATCACAATGTTGGCCCTGTCTTCCCAACTTCATCTCTACTGCAGTCCTATTACTGGCCTTCCTGTAGCCCCACATAACAGTTCAGAGCTCTGCTCTGGAGTCATACAGGCCAGGGCTGGAATCTTGCCCCATCACTAACTCCTAATTTTAGGAAAGGTATTGGACCTGTTCAAACTTTGTTTCTTCATATGCAAAATGGGAACAGTAATAATCTCTCATAATGTGGTAGGGATTAAATGAGACAAGGAGTGGAAAGGACTGCCTTACTCAAGTTTCCTTGATTTAGAGATTGTTTGCTTTTTTTGTCTGTAAGAGACTGAATAATCAACAAAACAAAGAGACTTAGCTCTGTTAGTTTTAAAAATGAAGGGGGTGTATTTTACTGGAAGGATAGCAGGGTAACCTATGTCATTAAGCCAAGGAAACATTGAGCAACAAGGTTCAGAAAGGGCAGAGACCAGTGTAGCTTCAGGGGCCTCAACAGCTGTTCCCTTCACTCCAAAGTGTCCTGCCATTAGTATGACTCATCTTCAAACTTCTTTAGCCTACACATCAATCAGCTCAAACTTGCAAGGAAAAGAATGCTGTCTCTGACTAATGGATGGACTTTTCTCTCAATCAGTGTTGCTTTCAAATCAAATCAACTGTGGCTAGCATGCAAGATCTCAGATATGAATAGGTCTGCAGGGCCTATAAGAAGGAAAACAAAGTTGACATGCACCCCAAAAAGTATGTGATTCCAGTGCTTGGAAATGCCTGGCACACGATGAATACTTTATGGGTTTTGGCTATTAGTGTTGTGACTGTTGATAGAATACCCTGTAAGTTTCAGCCTCCATACATTTGATTCTGCCATATTTTACCACTGAGATGACATCCCTTCTCTTTTTGAATGAAAATAAATCATTCTTTTCTTTTCTTTTTTTTTTTTTTAATTGTGAGATGCAGTCTCATTCTGCCGCTCAGGCTGGAGTGCAGTGGCACAATCTCGGTTCACTGCAACCTCCGCCTCCCGGGTTCAACAATTCTCCTGCCTCAGACTCCCAAGGCACTGCAGGTGCGTGCCACCACACTCAGCTAATTTTTGTCTTTTTAGTAGAGACGGGGTTTCACCATGTTGGCCAGGATGGTTTTGATCTCCTGACCTTGTGATCTGCCCGCCTCGGCCTCCCAAAGTGCTGGGATTATAGGCATGAACCACCATGCCTAGCCTCATTTCGTCATTTATTCTGAAAATACTTATTTCATACTTGACGTGAGTCAATCAATGGGGATAGAATAGAGAATAAAGTCCCTGCCTTCACTGAACTTATATGCTAGCAAAGGACTGGGGGTGCAGGAATTGATCATACCCATAATACATGTATTAATATAATTTGAGGTAGTGATATATTCCATAAAGAAAATCAAGCAGTTTGAGAGGATAGATAATGATACTGGAGGAAGGATAGTGACACTAAGTGAACCAGGGATAAAGGGAGTTGAAACAAGGGACTGCGGAATGTGATAAGGCATTTGATTCTTATTTTTAGAGTAATGTAAACCCATTGAAAGATTTTGAATAGGAGGGTGGTGAGATCTAATTTATATTTATAAAATATTATCATGGATGTTATATGGAATGAGAGAGAAAGCAAGGAGATAAGATAGATGGCTACTGAAAGTTATCCAGGTCAAATGGTGGCAGTAGCAGTGGAAGTATTGAAGAACGATCAGAGTTAGGATATATTTTGTGTTTATTTTGTTATAAAATATCTTAAGCATACAAGTGTAGAGAATAATACATTGATATATTCACCTTCCAGATCTATCAAATCCTAACATTTTGCCATATTTGCTTCAGATCCTTTCTTTTTTAAAGAAAGAAAACTGTGTTAAGTATAGTGGAATACCCAAAATAGCCTTTACAGATCCTATTCCCATCCCCCAGAGGTACCAGCTGTCCTGGTTTTGATAGTCACCATTCACATGTAAGGTTTTGAATTTTTATCACATATGTATATATCCATGAATATATAGCATTTATGTTTTTTGAAAAACATATATAAAGAGTAGATAACTTTTTCCAACTTGACCTTTTCATTTAACATTGTTTTTGAGATTTGCCCATGTTTTTATATGTAGCTCTAGTTTATTCATTTTTTTCTTATTCTACACAAAGCATTTTTTTTTAATTTTTTGAGACAGAGTCTTGCTTTGTCACCCAGGAGTGCAGTGGCACAAACATGGCTCACTGCAGCCTCAACTTTCCAGGCTCAAGTGATCCTCCCACCTCAGCCTCCCAATTAGCTGGGACTACAGGTGTGCACCACCATGCACAGCTAATTTTTGTATGAAGGGAGATCTCCCTATGTTGCCCCAGCTGGTTTCTAACTCCTGGGCTCAAGTGATCCTCCTGCCTCGGCTTCTCAGAGTGCTAGGATTACAGGTGCAAGTCACCGAGCCTGGCCCACATAGTATTCTTTTGCAGGAATATATCACAGTATCTACTATCATGTTGATGGACAGGTTCAGTTTTCATTTTTTCACGATTACAAACAGTGATGCAATAAATATCCTTGTACATGTCTCCTAGTGCACATGTACATGTATGAGAGTTTCTCTAGGTCAGTGCTTCCTAAACTTTTTCAGGTCATAGAACTCAGAAATGATAAAATTTGTGTGTTACATTGGTAAGCTGGAGGGAATTTAGAAGCATGTATATATGCAGCTTGGTGAAAAAGATCACACAAACATTGATACATTATTATTAACTAAAGCCCATACTTTATTCAGATTTCTTTAGTTTGTACCTAGTGTTCTTTTCTGTTTCAGGATCCCAGCCAGGATACCATATAACATTTAGCTATTAAAAAATAAAAATAAATAGAAAATAATAATAATAAAAATTTTAAAAAACAAAAAACATTTAGCTATTATGTCTCCTTAGTCTCCTCTAGGCTGTGACAGTTTCTCTGACTTTGTTTTTGATGACCTTTATATTTTTAGGAGTACTGGACAGGTATTTTGTAGAATGCCTCTCAATTGAAATTTGTCTATGTTTTTCTCATGAAAAACTGGGGTTATGCGATTTAGGAAGATCACAGAGGTAAAGTACATTCTCATCAGACCATATCAAGAGTTCATACTCTTATAGTGGTTTCTAACACCTCATCAGAACCTGGAAAGTGATGAAAAACTGCCTCATGACAGCCTTCCTGATAGAGAGGTGAGTGAAAAACAGATTTTTAGCAGTTCCTCACAAACCTCCCACATTGGTTTATAGTCACTTAATCTTGTTTTCTGGCATACCTAGTAATTTTTTTGTTTTTCTTTTTGAGAAGAAGTTTTGCTCTGTTGCCCAGGCTGGAGTGCAATGGCATGATCTTGTCTCACTGCAACCTCCGCCTCCCGGGTTCAAGCGAATCTCCTGCCTAAGCCTCCGGAGTAGCTGGGATTACAGGCACCCGCCACCACACTTGGCTAATTTTTTAAATATTTTTAGTAGAGATGGGGTTTCGCCATGTTGGCCAGGCTGGTCTCGAACTCCTCATCTCAAGTGATCCACCTGCCTCAGCCTCCCAAAGTGCTGGGATTACAGGCATAAGTCACCGTGTCTGGCCCATAAATTTGGATATGTAGTATTTTCATCATCATTCAGGTAAATAGTTTTAAAATTTTCATGGTGATTTCTCTTTTGACCCCTAGATTATTCATTTGAGATGGAATCTCGCTATGTTGCCCAAGCTGGTCTCAAACTTATGGGCTCAATCGATCCCCCCACCTGAGCCTCTTGAATAGCTGAGAATACAGGTGCATACCACCATGCCCAGCACCCCCAGGTTATGTAGAAAAGTATTTCTTAATTTTTAAATATAAAAATTAAGATTTTCTGGTTATTATTCATTATTGACTTCTAGCTTAATTGTGCACAGACTGTACTCTGTATGATTTCAGTTCTTTAAAATTTATGGGCACTTGCTCTATTGTCAGAGTATGTTAAACTTTTACAAATAATCCACGTGCACTTGAAATAATGCATTTGTGAACATTAATATATAAATTGGGTTATGTTTGTTAATCATGTCATTTCAAAAATCTATATCTTTAATGATGTTTTGTTTGATTTTGGGGCTCAGTTACTGAGATAGGTATGGTAAAATGTTCCACCATAGAAAAGTGGATTTTGTCTGTTTCTCATTGTGGTTCTGTATCATACACTGAGGCCATATTATTAGGTGCATACAAACTTGAAATTGTTTATTTTACTGGTAAATTTAAGTCACTCAAGGAAGTCTCAACTATGGCATCCTCAACAGATATTTATAGTTCATTTATAGTTCCTACTGGTCCAGAGGGTCTTTTTTTTTAAATTTTGAGATGGAGTCTTGCTCTGTTGCCCAGGCTGGAGGGCAGTGGTGCAATCTCAGCTCACTGCAACCTCTGCCTCCCAGGTTCAAGTGATTCTCCTGCCTCAGCCTCCTGAGTAGCTGGGACTACAGGCACACACCACCATGCCTGGCTAATTTTTGTATTTTTAGTAGAGATGGGGTTTCACCATGTTGATCAGGCTGGCCTCGAACACCTGACTTTGCGATCCGCCTACCTCACCCTCCCAAAGTGCTGGGATTACAGGTGTGAGCCACCATGCCCGGGCTCTTTTTTTTTCTTTTTCAATGTAAACTTATTTAAATACATAAAACTATCCTGTTGCAGTGGCACATGCCTGTAGTACGAGCTACTCTGGAGGCTGAGGTGGAAGTCTTGCTTGAGCTCAGGAGTTCGAGTCCAGCCTGGACAATATAGTCCATTTAGCCTTCGAAGGCTCCAGAAGAGATATTTTTGCTGCCCCAAAGAGGTGGCGGCACCTCCTTAAAATAACTGTGCTGGCTGGGCCACTTTGTCAGCAGCTTCCTCAGGAAAACAAGGCTGCAGAGTTTACTTCCTGTTGGGCTTCCTGTGCCTTGGTTTCTCCTCCTAGCTGACTCAGGGAGTCAGTGGGTGTTGCGGCCCTAAGTAGTCTTCTAGCATGTGTTCTGGTTAGTAATTATCTTAAACTGTGTGCAATATGCTATTAAATCTATACACTGGGTTCTTAAACCTATTAATTCTAGAGTTTCTATTAGGTTATTTTTTTCAAGCATGCACATGTGTAAGCATGCTCTTATTGCAGTCTTTTTCTGGTTGCTCTGGTAGGTTTCCTTTTGTTTGACATTTCTGTTAGTTCTGACTCAAAATGTTTGTTTCCATGTATGGTCTGCTAATTTTTGACTAAATACTGGTCATTTTTTGAGCAAATTATTTATAAGATATTTTGACATTTAGCCACATATCTACAACTATCTGATCTTGACAAACCTGACAAAAACAAGCAATGGGGAAAGGATTCCCTATTTAATAAATGGTGCTGGGAAAACTGGCTAGACATATGTAGAAAGCTGAAACTGGATCCCTTCCTTACACCTTATACAAAAATTAATTCAAGATGGATTAAAGACTTACATGTTAGACCCAAAACCATAAAAACCCTAGAAGAAAACCTAGGCAATACCATTCAGGACATAGGCATGGGCAAGGACTTCATGTCTAAAACACCAAAAGCAATGGCAACAAAAGCCAAAACTGACAAATGGAATCTAATTAAACTAAAGAGCTTCTGCACAGCAAAAGAAACTAGCATCAGAGTGAACAGGCAACCTACAGAATGGGAGAAAATTTTTGCAACCTACTCATCTGACAAAGGGCTAATATCCAGAATCTACAATGAACTCAAACAAATTTACAAGAAAAAAGCAAACAACCCCATCAAAAAGTGGGCGAAAGATATGAACAGACACTTCTCAAAAGAAGACATTTATGCAGCCAAAAGACACGTGAAAAAATGCTCATCATCACTGACCATCAGAGAAATGCAAATCAAAACCACAATGAGATACCATCTCGCACCAGTTAGAATGGCGATCATTAAAAAGTCAGGAGACAACAGGTGCTGGAGAGGATGTGGAGCAATAGGAACACTTTGACACTGTTGGTGGGACTGTAAACTAGTTCAACCATTGTGGAAGTCAGTGTGGCGATTCCTCAGAGATCTAGAACTAGAAATACCATTTGACCCAGCCATCCCATTACTGGGTATATACCCAAAGGACTATAAATCATGCTGCTATAAAGACACACGCACACGTGTGTTTATAGCGGCACTATTCACAATAGCAAAGACTTGGAACCAACCTAAATGTCCAACAATGACAGACTGGATTAAGAAAATGTGGCACATATACACCATGGAATACTATGCAGCCATAAAAAATGATGAGTTCATGTCCTTTGTAGGGACATGGATGAAACTGGAAACCATCATTCTCAGCAAACTATCGCAAGGACAAAAAACCAAACACCACATGTTCTCACTCATAGGTGGGAATTGAACAATGAGAACACATGGACACAGGAAGGGGAACATCACACACTGGGGACGGGGACTGTTATGGGGTGGGGGGAGGGGGGAGGGATAGCCATTAGGGGATATACCTAATGCTAAATGACGAGTTAATGGGTGCAGCACACCAACATGGCACATGTATACATATGTAACAAACCTGCACATTGTGCACATGTACCCTAAAACTTAAAGTATAATAATAATAAAATTTTAAAAAAAGATATTTTGACATTTAGGCTGATGATACCTTATTGTGGAGATAATTTTTGTTTGTTTATGCCTGGTGCCTATGAATTGCCAGTCTAGGACCAGTTTATTCAACATTCTGGGTTTCAGATTTCCTGATTAGTATAAAACCAGACTGCAATTTGTGGAAGTGCTGACCTACCTCTGGTTTATTTTTACCCTATGGGGCCTCATATTAAATATGGAGCATGTTTATTAACCTCTTCATCTCCTGTGGGCACTAGATTTAGATTTCTTTTTCTCTTGCCCCATAATCTTGCAAAAATCACAACTCAGTTTGTCAATTTTGCCTTTGCATTGGTAAATTCCTTCAGAAAAAATGCTTGGCTTAATTTCCTTGAATATCGTCATCTAGATTTTGGCCAGATAATTCCTTATATTAGATATTTGCTTCTATTTTTTTTAATCCAGCTTTTTTGTTGTCCTCAGATGGTGAGTTGGATCAAATTACCAAGTTATAAAATATATATGTTAACATGAGATCGTCCTTGAATTCCTGAGGTAAATTTGCAGTTTATAAGTGAGATTTAAAAAACTACCTTGGCTGGGTGCAGTGGCTAACGCCTGTAATCCCAGCACTTTTGGAGGCCGAGGAGGGCGGATCACCTGAGGTCAGGAGTTTGAGACCAGCCTGGCCAACATAGTGAAACCCTGTCTCTATTAAAAATACAAAAATTAGTGGGGCATGGTAGCGCGCCTGTAATCCCAGTTACTAAGGAGGTTGAGGCAGGAGAATCGCTTGAACCCAGAAGGCAGAGGTTGCAGTGAGCTGAGATCGCACCATTGCACTCCAGTCTGGGCAACAGAGCAAGACTCTGTCTCAAAACAAACAAGCAAACAAAAAAACTACCTTTGCCTGGTTTTGGCATCAAAGTTATAATAGCCTTGCGAAATGAGTGAAGAATGCTTTTTTTTTTTTTTTTTTTTTTTTGAGACAGAGTCTTGCTCTGTTGCCCAAGCTAGAGTGCAGTGGCACGATCTCGGCTTACTGCAACCTCCGCCTCCTGGGTTCAAGTGATTCTCATGCCTCAGCCTCCTGAGTGGCGGTGCATACAGGCGCACAGCACCATGCCAACTAGTTTTTGTATTTTTATTACACACAGTGTTTCACCACATTGGCCAGGCTGGTCTCAAACTCCTGACCTCAGGTAATCCACTCGCCTTGGTCTCCTAAAGTGCTGGAATTACAGGTGTGAGCCACCGTGCCCAGCCCTTTCATTTTTTAATTTCTTTTAGTAGTTTGTGTACATTTCTTCTGTGTTCTCATATTTATTGGAAGGAAACTATTTATTCTTTTATTTTAAAATTTCTGCAGAATCTATAATTATGGTTGGCTCCTAAATGTAAATTTTGTTATTGTCTTCTAATGCTTTTCTTGAAAATTCTTGCTAGTGGGACGGGCGTGGTGGCTCACGCCTGTAATCCCAGCACTTTGGGAGGCCAAGGCGGGCGGATCACGAGGTCAGGAGATCGAGACCATCCTGGCTAACACAGTGAAACCCTGTCTCTACTAAAAATACAAAAAAATTAGCCGGGCATGGTAGCACGCACCTGTAATCCCAGCTACTTGGGAGGCTGAGGTGGGAGAATCACTTGAACCCAGGAGTCGGAGGTTACAGTGAGCCAAGATCGCCAGTGCACTCCAGCCTGGCAACAGAACGAGACCCCGTCTCAAAAAAAAAAAGAAAAGAAAAGAAAACAAGAAAAAAAAAGAAAATTCTTGCTAGAGATTTGTCTATTTATAATTGCTTTCAAAGAGCAACACTTTAACTGTATTGGTCTCTATTTTATTGTTTTTTCCATTTAATTATTTTCTACTGCTGTCTTTATTTCTTTTATTCTACCTTTATTTCCTCCCTCCCCCTCTCCCTCTCTCTCTCTTTTTTCTCTCTTTCTCTCTCTCTTCCTTCCTTCCTCTTTCTTTCTTTCTCTCTTTCCCTCTCTTTCTTTCTTTCTGACAGTCTTGCTCTGTTGTCCAGGCCGGAGTGCAATGGTATGATTTTGACTCACTGCAACCTCCGCCTCCTGAATTCAAGTGATTCTCCTGCCTCAGTCTCCTGAGTAGCTTTGACCACAGGTGTGTGCGACCACGCCCAGCTAATTTTTTGTATTTTTAGTAGAAACGGGGTTTCACCATGTTGGCCAGGCTGGTCTCGAACTCCTGACCTCAGGTGATCCACCCACCTCTGCCTCCCAAAGTGCTAGGATTACAGGTGTGAGCCACCACACCCTGCCTTTTTAAATTTTGAATTCTATTTAATTTTAAATTTTTTATTTTATTTTGATTTATTTCTTTTTTTATTTTGAGACGGAATCTCACTCTGTTGCCCAGGCTGGAGTGCAGTGGAGCGATCTCAGCTCACTGCAACCTCCGCTTCCTGGGTTCAAACGATTCTTCTGCCTCAGCCTCCCAAGTAGCTAGTACTACAGGCACATGTCACCACGCCTGGCTAATTTATTTATTTATTATTATTATTATTATTATTATTATTATTATTATTTCCTGAGACGGAGTCTCACTCTATTGCCAAGGCTGGAGTGCAGTGGCATGATCTCAGCTCACTGAAACCTCCGCATCCTGGGTTCAAGCAATTCTTCTTCAGCCTCCCGAGTAGCTAGGACTACAGGCGTGTGCCACCATGCCTGGCTAATTTGTTTGTATTTTTAGGAGAGACCAGGTTTCACCATGTTGGCCAGGCTGGTCTCAAACTCCTGACCTCATGACCTGCCTGCCTTGGCCTCCCAAAGTGCTGGGATTACAGGTGTGAACCACTGCGCCTGGCCTATTTATTTTTTTTAACATGGAGTCTCACTCTGTCACCCAAGCTGAGGTGCAATGGTTGCTCACTGCAACCTACACCTCCCAGGTTCAAGCAATCCTCCTGCCTCAGCCTCCCAACTAGCTGGAATTACAGGTGCCTGCCACAACACCCACTAATTTTTGTATTTTCAGTAGAGACAGGGTTTCACCATGTTGGCCAGGCTGGTCTCGAACTCCTGACCTCAGGTGATCCACCTGCCTCGGCCTCCCATAGTGCTGGGATTATAGGTGTGAGCCGTCGCACCCGGCCTGCTTTTCTTTTTTCTAACTTCATTCACTGGACATAAATTCCCTCTAAAAGCAGATTTATCTTCATCCTACTAGTGTATGTTATGAATCTATGTCAAAAAGATATCTTGAAGAAGGTTCTGTTCTGGAATCTAGGTCATTTAACTCATAGTCTATAAATTTTAATAGTAGTGACAAATTATGAGAATAGAAGATATTTGAAACTGAATATATTAGTGATATGTAAAAAGAGGCATATAGAGATAACTTGGCAAAATAGAAAGAAGACAACAGAGTTCTATCATGAAGTCAAGAACAAGCATTTCAAAGAAGGGCTGATATTCAATATTATCAAATAATTTCAAGGTTAAGGAAAATGTTGAGCAAAAATATTTGATCATTGAAAAGTTATTAACCACATACAATGCTGGTGAGAGTCTGAAAAGTTGTATAAATATTTGACAGTTTAGTAAAAAGTTAAGGACCAGGTGCAGTGACTCATGCCTGTAATCCCAGCACTTTGGGGGTCGACGAGGGCGGATCACCTGATGTCAAGTGTTCGAGACCAGCCTGGCCAACATGGTGAAACACTGTCTCCACTAAAAGTACAAAAATTAGCCCGGCGTGGTGGCATGCGCCTGTAATCCCACCTACTCGGGAGACTGAGACAGGAGAATCACTCAAACCTGGGAGGCAGAGGTTGCAGTAAGCTGAGATCACATCACTGTACTCTAGCCCGGGTGACAAGAGTGAAACTCTGTCTCAAAAAAATAAATAAATAAAAAATTTAAACATACTTCTTCTCTATGTTCCAGCAATTCCATTCTTAAATATTTATTTTAGAGAAATAAAATAAGATATCTATAAAATGCCCCGTATAAGAAAGTTGATAGCATTTATTTACAATAATCAAAACCTGGAAACAACTTAAATGTCCATCAGCAAGAGAAAGGATAAGTTGGGGTCTATTCATACAATAGAATACTACTCAGCAATAAAAAGAAATGAATTGTGGCCAAGCGTGATAGCCCATGCCTGCAATCCCAGCACTTCGGGAGGCTGAGGCAGGTGGATCACCTGAGGCCAGGAGTTTGAGATCAGCCTGGCCAACATGGTGAAACTCCGTCTCTACTAAAAATACAACAATTTGCTGGGCATGGTGGCACACACCTGTAGGCCCAGCTACTTGGGAGGCTGAGGCAGGAGAATTGCTTGAACCCAGAAGGTGGAGGTTGCAGTGAGCTGCGATCATGCCATTGCACTCCAGCCTGGGCAACAGAGTGAGACTCTGTCTCAAAAAATAAAAAAACAAAAAAAGAATTGAAATATGCAACATGTCAACCTCAAATAATTTATGCTGAATTTAAAAAGCCAAGCAGAAGAGTATACGCTGTATGATTCCACTTATATTAAATGTTAAAATATAAAAAACTAAACTTTAGTATTAGAAATCAGAGCAAAGCCGGGCACAGTGGCTCACGCCTGTAATCCCGGCACTTTGGGAGGCCGAGGTGGGTGAATCACAAGGTCAGGAGTTCGAGACCAGCCTGCCCAAATGGTGAAAACCCGTCTCTACTAAAAGTACAAAAAAAATTAGCAGGGCGTGGTGGCGCATGCCTGTAATAACAGCTACTCAGGAGGCTGAGGCAGGAAAATTGCTTGAACTCTGGAGGTGGAGGTTGCAGCGAGCCAAGATCGTGCCATTGCACTCCAGGCTGGGCAACAGAGTGAGACTCTGTCTCAAAAAAAAGAGAAAGAAATCAGATCAAAAGTTGTTTCTGGTGGGAGGTTTGACTGGGAAGGGGGAATAGGGATCTTCCTGGGGTTGATGAAAATGTTCCGTATCAGGGGGGAGGAGCCAAGATGGCCAAATAGGAACAGCTCCGGTCCACATCTCCCAGCGTGAGTGATGCAGAAGACAGGTGATTTCTGCATTTCCAACTGAGCTTTGAAGAGAGTAGTGGTTCTCCCAGCATGCAGCTTCAGATCTGAAATCAGGCACACTGCCTCCTCAAGTGGGTCCCTGACCCCCGAGTAGCCTAACTGGCAGGCACCCCCCAGTAGGGGCAGACTGACACCTCACACGGCCAGGTACTCTTCTGAAACAAAACTTCCAGAGGAACGATCAGGCAGCAGCATCTGCAGTTCACAATATCCGCTGTTCTGCAGCCACCGCTGCTGATACCCAGGCAAACAGGGTCTGGAGTGGACCTCTAGCAAATTCCAACACACCTGCAGCTGAGGGTCCTGTCTGGTAGAAGGAAAACTAACAAACAGAAAGGACATCCACACCAAAAACCCATCTGTACGTCACCATCATCAAAGACCAAAGGTAGATAAAACCACAAAGATGGGAAAAAAACAGGGTAGAAAAACCGGAAACTCTAAAAATCACAGTGCCTCTCCTCCTCCAAAGGAACGCAGCTCCTCACCAGCAACGGAACAAAGCTGGATGGAGAATGACTTTGACGAGTTGAGAGAAGAAGGCTTCAGACGATCAAACTACTCCGAGCTACAGGAGGAAATTCGAACCAATGGCAAAGAAGTTAAAAGCTTTGAAAAAAAATTAGACGAATGGATAACTAGAATAACCAATGCAGAGAAGTCCTTAAAGGACCTGATGGAGCTGAAAACCAAGGCACAAGAGCTACGTGACGAATGCAGAAGGCTCAGTAGCCGATGCAATCAACTGGAAGAAAGGGTATCAGTGATGGAACACGAAATGAATGAAATGAAGCGAGAAGAGAAGTGTAGAGAAAAAAGAATAAAAAGAAACGAACAAAGCCTCCAAGAAATATAGGACTATGTGAAAAGACCAAATCTACGTCTGATTGGTGTACCTGAAAATGACGGGGAGAATGGAACCAAGTTGGAAAACACTCTGCAGGATATTATCCAGGAGAACTTCCCCAATCTAGCAAGGCAGGCCAACATTCAGATTCAGGAAATACAGTGAATGCCACAAAAATACTCCTCGAGAAGAGCAATTCCAAGACACATAATTGTCAGATTCACCAAAGTTGAAATGAAGGAAAAAATGTTAAGGGCAGACAGAGAGAAAGGTCGGGTTACCCACAAAGGGAAGCCCATCAGACTAACTGCTGATGTCTCAGCAGAAACTCTACAAGCCAGAAGAGAGTGGGGACCAATATTCAACATTCTTAAAGAAAAGAATTTTCGACCCAGAATCTCATATCCAGCCAAACTAAGCATCATAAGTGAAGGAGAAATAAAATACTTTACAGACAAGCAGATGCTGAGAGATTTTGTCACCACGAGGCCTGCCCTAAAAGAGCTCCTGAAGGAAGCACTAAACATGGAAAGGAACAACCAGTACCAGCCACTGCAAAAACATGCCAAATTGTAAACACCATCAAGGCTAAGAAGAAACTGCACCAACTAACAAGCAAAATAACCAGCTAACATCATAATGACAGGATCAAATTCACACATAACAATATTAACTTTAAATGTAAATGGGCTAAATGCTCCAATTAAAAGACACAGACTGGAAAATTGGATAAAAAGTCAAGACCCATCAGCGTGCTGTATTCAGGAAACCCATCTCACATGCAGAGACACACATAGGCTCAAAATAAGGGATGGAGGAAGATCTACCAAGCAAATGGAAAACAGAAAAAGACAGGGGTTGCAATCCTAGTCTCTGATAAAACAAACTTTAAACCAACAAAGATCAAAAGAGACAAAGAAGGCCATTACATAATGGTAAAGGGATCAATTCAACAAGAAGAGCTAACTATCCTAAATATATATGCACCCAATACAGGAGCACCCAGATTCATAAAGCAAGTCCTTTGTGACCTACAAAGAGACTTAGACTCCCACACAATAATAATGGGAGACTTTCACACCCCACTGTCAACATTAGACAGATCAATGAGACAGAAAGTTAGCAAGGATACCCAGGAATTGAACTCAGCTCTGCACCAAGCGGACCTAATAGACATCTACAGAACTCTCCACCTCAAATCAACAGAATATACATTCTTTTCAGCACCACACCACACCTACTCCAAAATTGACCACATAGTTGGAAGTAAAGCACTTCTCAGCAAATGTAAAAGAACAGCAATTATAACAAACTGTCTCTCAGACCACAGTGCAATCAAACTAGAACTCAGGATTAAGAAACTCACTCAAAACCACTCAACTACAAGGAAACTGAACAACCTGCTCCTGAATGACTACTGGGTAAATAACAAAATGAAGGCAGAAA
This sequence comes from Homo sapiens, assembly GCF_000001405.40. NCBI lineage: Eukaryota > Metazoa > Chordata > Mammalia > Primates > Hominidae > Homo > Homo sapiens. The sequence continues at coordinate 46,926,318 of NC_000018.10, read as the reverse complement.
TAAAGATGTTCTTTGAAACCAACGAGAAAAAACACACAACATACCAGAATCTCTGGGACACATTCAAAGCAGTGTGTAGAGGGAAATTTATAGTACTAAATGCCCACAAGAGAAAGCAGGAAAGATCTAAAATTGACACCCTAACATCACAATTAAAAGAACTAGAAAAGCAAGAGCAAACACATTCAAAAGCTAGCAGAAGGCAAGAAATAACTAAGATCAGAGCAGAACTGTAGGAAATAGAGACACAAAAAACCCTTCAAAAAATTAATGAATCCAGGAGCTGGTTTTTTGAAAAGATCAACAAAATTGATAGACCGCTAGGAAGACTAATAAAGAAGAAAAGAGAGAAGAATCAAATAGACGCAATAAAAAATGATAAAGGGGATATCACCACCGATCCCACAGAAATACAAACTACCATCAGAGAATACTATAAACACCTCTACGCAAATAAACTAGAAAATCTAGAAGAAATGGATAAATTCCTCGACACATACATCCTCCCAAGACTAAACCAGGAAGAAGTTGAATCTCTGAATAGACCAATAACAGGCTCTGAAATTGAGGCAATTATCAATAGCTTAACAACCAAAAAAAAGTCCAGGACCACATGGATTCACAGCCGAATTCTACCAGAGGTACAAAGAGGAGCTGGTACCATGCCTTCTGAAACTATTCCAATCAATAGAAAAAGAGGGAATCCTCCATAACTCATTTTATGAGGCCAGCATCATCCTGACACCAAAGCCTGGCAGAGACACAACCAAAAAAAGAGAATTTTAGACCAATATCCTTGATGAACACTGATGCAAAAATCCTCAATAAAATACTGGCAAACCGAATCCAGCAGCATATCAAAAAGCTTATCCACCATGATCAAGTGGGCTTCATCCCTGGGATGCAAGGCTGGTTCAACATATGCAAATCAATGAATGTAATCCAACATATAAACAGAACCAAAGACAAAAACCACATGATTATCTCAATAGATGCAGAAAAGGCCTTTGACAAAATTCAACAACACTTCATGCTAAAAACTCTCAATAAATTAGGTACTGATGGGACGTATCTCAAAATAATAAGAGCTATCTATGAGAAACCCACAGCCAATATCATACTGAATGGGCAAAAACTGGAGCATTCCCTTTGAAAACTGGCACAAGACAGGGATGCCCTCTCTCACCACTCCCATTCAACGTACTGTTGGAAGTTCTGGCCAGGGCAATCAGGCAGGAGAAGGAAAAAAAGGGTATTCAATTGGGAAAAGAGGAAGTCAAATTGTCCCTGTTTGCAGATGACATGATTGTATATTTAGAAAACCCCATCATCTCAGCCCAAAATCTCCTCAAGCTGATAAGCAACTTCAGCAAAGTCTCAGGATACAAAATCAATGTACAAAAATCGCAAGCATTCTTATACACCAATAACACACAGACAGCCAAATCGTGAGTGAACTCCCATTCACAATTGCTTCAAAGAGAATAAAATACCTTACAAGGTATTGAATCCAACTTACAAGGGATGTGAAGCACCTCTTCAAGGAGAACTACAAACCACTGCTCAACGAAATACAAGAGGATACAAACAAATGGAAGAACATTCCATGCTCATGGGTAGGAAGAATCAATATCATGAAAATGGCCATACTGCCCAAAGTAATTTATAGATTCAATGCCTTCCCCATCAAGCTATCAATGACTTTCTTCACAGAATTAGAAAAAAACTACTTTAAAGTTCATATGGAACCAAAAAAGAGCCTGCATTGTCAAATCAATCCTAAGCCAAAAGAACAAAGCTGGAGTCATCACATTACCTGACTTCAAACTATACTACAAGGCCACAGTAACTAAAACAGTGTGGTACTGGTACCAAAACAGAGATATAGACCAATGTAACAGAACAGAGCCCTCAGAAATAATGCTGCATATCTACAACTATCTGATCTTTGACAAACCTGACAAAAACAAGCAATGGGGAAAGGATTCCCTATTTAATAAATGGTGCTGGGAAAACTGGCTAGCCATATGCAGAAAGCTGAAACTGGATCCCTCCCTTACACCTTATACAAAAATAAATTCAAGATGGATTAAAGACTTAAATGTTAGACCTAAAACCATAAAAACCCTAGAAGAAAACCTAGGCAATACCATTCAGGACATAGGCATGGGCAAGGACTTCATGTCTAAAACACCAAAAGCAATGGCAACAAAAGCCAAAATTGACAAATGGAATCTAATTAAACTAAAGAGCTTCTGCACAGTGAAAGAAACTAGCATCAGAGTGAACAGGCAACCTACAGAATGGGAGAAAATTTTTGCAACCTACTCATCCAACAAAGGGCTAATATCCAGAATCTACAATGAACTCAAACAAATTTACAAGAAAAAAACAAACAACCCTATCAAAAAGTGGGCAAAGGATATGAACAGACACGTCTCAAAAGAAGACATTTATGCAGCCAAAAGACACATGAAAAAATGCTCATCATCACTGGCCATCAGAGAAATACAAATCAAAACCACAATGAGATACCATCTCCCACCAGTTAGAATGTCGATCATTAAAAAGTCAGGAGACAATAGGTGCTGGAGAGGATGTGGAGCAGCTGGAACACTTTGACAATGTTGGTGGGACTGTAAACTAGTTCAACCATTGTGGAAGTCAGTGTGGCGATTCCTCAGGGATCTAGAACTAGAAATACCATTTGACCCAGCCGTCCCATTACTGGGTATATACCCAAAGGATTATAAATCATGCTGCTATAAAGACACATGCACATGTATGTATGTTTACAGAGGCACTATTCACAATAGCAAAGACTTGGAACCAACCTAAATGTCCAACAATGACAGACTGGATTAAGAAAATGTGGCACATATACACCATGGAATACTATGCAGCCATAAAAAATGATGAGTTCATGTCCTTTGTAGGGACATGGATGAAACTGGAAACCATCATTCTCAGCAAACTATCGCAAGGACAAAAAACCAAACACCACATGTTCTCACTCACAGGTGGGAATTGAACAATGAGAACACATGGACACAGGAAGGGGAACATCACACACCGGGGACGGGGACTGTTGTGGGGTGGGGGGAGGGGGGAGGGATAGCATTAGGAGATATACCTAATGCTAAATGACGAGTTAATGGGTGCAGCACACCAACATGGCACATGTATACATATGTAACAAACCTGCACGTTGTGCACATGTACCCTAAAACTTAAAGTATAATAATAATAAAATTAAAAAAAAAATAAGTTGAGATCTTACTAAAGGTCTAAAAAAAAAAAGTTCTGTATGTTGATAAGAATTTTTCTATATGGACTGAAGTGTTTACTTCAGATCTAAGGATTTAACTATATTATATATACAATATCATATATAATATTATATATTAAATATATATTATATTAATATGATATTATATATTAAATTATAAATCTTATACAGATAACCATACTGCTATGCTTTCGAAGTTTATGTTTCAACTTTTTATTATTTATTTATTTTTGAGATGGAGTTTCACTTTTGTTGCCCAGGTTGGAATGCAATGGCATGATCTCCACTCACTGCAACCTCTGCCTCCTGGGTTCAAGCGATTCTCCTGCTTCAGCCTCCCAAGTTGCTAGGATTACAGGCATGCACCACCACACTTGGCTCATTTTATTTCTTTAGCGGATAGACATGAGGTTTCACCACGTTGGTCAGGCTAGTCTCGAACTCCCGACCTCAGGCGATCCACCCACCTCAGCCTCCCGAAGTGCTGGGAATATAGGTGTGAGCCACCGCGCCCAGCCTCAACTTTTTATTTTTTAATTATTTGGTTTTTTTTTTTAAAAGGCTAGTCAAGTGATGCAGTGAAAGTGGAGAAGAAACAAATTTGTGATTAAGGTTTTCAGAATAAAAAGTTGAGGCCGGGAGCAGCGGCTCACATCAGTAATCCTAGCACTTTGGGAGGCCAAGGTGGGAGGATCATTTAAATCCAGGAGTTTGAAACAGCCTGGGCAACATGGTGAAACCCTGTCTCTACAAAAGATACAAAAATTAGCTGAGAGTGGTGGTGTGCCCGTGGTCCCAGCTACTTGGGAGGCTGAGGTACGAAGACTGCTTGAGCTGGGAGGTGAAGGTTGCAGTGAGCTGTGATCATGCCACTGCACTCTAGCCTGGGCGACAGAGTGAGACCCTGTCTCAAAAAAAAAAAAAAAAAGTGAGGAAAAATTTTTTTTTAATTCCTTGTTCAGTTTCCTTGATACTAGTTTTGGTAAAGTCTAAGACTAAGACAGTATTGGCAAAGTGTGTAGGAGTTAGGAAATGTGATATAAATAGATATATGCTTAGCAAAAGAAGTAAAGTGGCTTGGAAAACATCTGGGAGGCCTGAGCACTGTTATAGGGAGAGAGGAAGTAATCAGTGGGAAGGAAAAGAGAGATATTAAAATCAGTAAAGTCTAATGGGTTCAGAGACAGATGTGAAAGGATTAAGAAGACAGGTGCTTGGAACTAAACTCAAGGTTACATGGTTGGTCCAACCAGGTTGGAATGCTCTTTGCTAAAATTACTAGGATATATCATATGGTTCTTAATTATGTTTCTTAATGAAGTGCTTTTTTTTTTTTGTTATGTGTTTATCAGCTGTTTAGATTCAAAATCAGCTTAGCTGTTTAGATACAAAAAATTTACCATCTTTCACTTTATAAATTTACAGAGTACACTCATACACCTGATCTATCAGATCAGGTATCTCATCCTGAGATAGGTGTAGTCATTTTTCTTTTCCAGATTAGAAAAATTAAGTTGAGACTTTGCTAAAGTTACACAGCTAGTAAATGGAAAAGCTACTCCTGAGATTTTTGACTTCGTGTATTAAAATCTTATGACACTTTATGCCAGGCGCAGTAGCTCATGCCTGTAATCCCAGCACTTTGGGAGGCCAAGGCAGGTGGATCACGAGGTCAGGAGTTCAAGACTAGCCTGACCAAGACGGTGAAACCCCATCTCTACTAAAAGTACAAAAATTAGCTGGGCATGGTGGCGGGTGCCTGTAATCCCAGCTACTTGGGAGGCTGAGGCAGAGAATTGCTTAAATTCGGGGGGGCAGAGGTTGCAGTGAGCCGAGATCGTGCCACTGCACTCCAGACTGGGCAACAGAGCGAGACTCCGTCCCAAAAAGCAAAAACAGAAACAAAAAACAAACAAACAAAAAAACTTAGGACACTTTAATCACAGTACTTATAATGAATCTTCTAATTTGGAGCCATTTTAAGACGGTAGCCTAGTCAGGTAATTGCCTGGAGATTCAATCCATAAAGAGCACTAAAACATTTTACCATTGGAAATGTAATAAAGAAAAAGGATATATTTAATAGAATTCCTCTGGTAGAAGAGTTCAGCATGTGGCTGGCACTGGTACTTTGATATGTGGCCTTTTGTGAGTGATAAGATTACTGCACCTCCCTCCTTCTCCACTCCCCTTTAAGGGTATACCACATTACTATGTTATAAGGAAGTTGGATTCAAGTAAGTGCAGGGATTTCTTTTTAATGAGGATATATAAATCTAGACCAGAGCAGAAATGATCACAACAGTGAAGAGAAACATGCCCTTTCTACCCTTTACCACTCAGCCATTCCTTTGAACATATATTGAATGATTATTGGGGAGTATAGATTAGAAAAAATGCCAAATTAATAATCTGGTCTGGTGAGACAAAGTAGCACCCTATTTCAGAATTCTTTCTATTGCAACTAATAGAAATCTCAACTCAAACAATCTAAAACCTTACAAGAAAGGCATTGGCTCAAGAAAACTGGCCAGTACAGAGGCAGAGTGAGTATCAAAGTCAATGCTGAGATTTTGTGTGTGTGTGATTTTTCTGCTCACAAGAAGGGTTGGTTCTCAGGTTGGCTCTTCACTGTAGCAAAATGGCGAGTGTTCCACATGCCAGAAAGTCTTATCTCTAATCACTGAATAAATGTCCTAGGCTTCCCTCTGATTAGCCTACCTTAGGGCACGGGTCCACACTTGATCTACTTGGCAAAGCCTATAAATGCTCAGTACTAATCAGATTTATATGCCCAGTTGTGATCTAATACTGTGGCCAGAATGACATAACAGTCCTTAATGACTCAGGCCAGTCTAGGGCAGCACCTAGAACTCTTTGCAGTCAAACCTACCCAACCCATCCAGGAGCTGCTACACATTGAGGAAGGGGCAGAATGAATGCTGGGAAGCAACTACAAAGAACACTGCACGTAAGTTTCAGTGGGGCTTTGCTTTTCTTTTCTTACTGTTTTGTGTTTATGTTGGTCCTCTTTATGGGTGTAAGCTCCTCTGTGGCAGGGCTGTATTGTACTCTATTCGTCTATTCCCCGAAAACTCCTCCCACAGTGGCATTCACTTAAAGCCTACTAAACAATGTTAAATTCTACTGAGGTGTAAATCAAGGTCTACGGAGAATAAATCAAGAGTAAGAATAAGCCAAGCGAAGATCACAAAGTTAATGGTGGAGAGACAGATTTAGAACCTGGACATTGTTCATTCATTCCTTTATTCATTAAACAAATACAAGGCCAACTATTTGTTAGGCATTTATCAGCCATTATAGTCTAGTGGGTTTACAATTTTTTAACATAAAATTTTAAAATAATAATTTTTATTTTTTGAGACAAAGTCTCACTCTGTTGCCCAGGCTGGAGTGCAATGGTGCGATCGCAGCTCACTGCAACCTCCACCTCCTGGGTTCAAGCAATTTTCCTGTCTCAGCCTCACGAGTAGCTGGGATTACAGGCATGTGCCACCACACCCGGCTAATTTTTTTTTTTTTGAGATGGAGTTTCGCTTTTGTTGCCCAGGCTGGAGTGCAATGGCGCTATCTCCGCTCCCTGGAACCTCCGCCTCCAGGGTTCAAGCGATTCTCCTGCCTTAGTCTCCGGAGTAGCTGGGATTACAGGAATGCGCCACCACGCCTGGCTAATTTTGCATTTTTGGTGGAGACGGGGTTTCTCCATGTTGGTCAGGCTGGCCTCCAACTCCCAACCTCAGGTGATCCGCCCGCCTCTGCCTCCCAAAGTGCTGGAATTTAGAGCGTGGGCCACAGCTCCTGGCCTAATTTTTGTATTTTTAGTAGAGACAGGGTTTCACCATGTTGGCCTGGCTGGTCTGCAACTCCCGACCTCAAGTGATCCACCTGCCTCGGCTTCCTAAAGTGCTGGGATTACAGGCATGAGCCACTGCACCTGGCCAAAACAATATGTGTGTGTGTTGTGTATATATACACAACACACACACACACACACACACACATATATATATATACACGCACACACATATATATCAAATAAACAATTACACAAATACCTACATAATTACCATGGAGACATCTCAGGAAGAAAAAGTTCAGGGTCCTAGGAGAGGTCATAACAGGGGAATTTGAATTAAAATGTGGGATGTGGGTGAGGGATGGTCTTCCTGAGGAAGTGACACTTAAAGTGAAACCTGAAGGATGAACAGGAGTTAGGAACAAAGAAGAGAGTGGGAAATTATTCTTGGTTCAAGGATCAACATTTAGAAGCCTTAAAACTTGAGGGGAGGCCGGGTGCAGTGGCTCACGCCTGTAATCTCAGTACTTTGGGAGGCCGAGGCGGGCGGATCACCTGAGGTCCGGAGTTGGAGACCAGCCTGACCAACTTGGAGAAACCTCGTTTCTACCAAAAATACAATCGCAGCTACTCGGGAGGCGGAGGTAGGAGAATCGCTTGAACCCGGGAGGCAGACATTGCGGTGAGCCGAGATCGTGCCATTGCACTCCAGCCTGGGCAACAAGAGCAAAACTCCGTCTCAAAAAAACAAAACTTGCGGGGTGCGGGGGCAGGGGAGTGGAAGGAAGACCTGGAAGTGCAGTGCGGATGAAACGAGGGGTAGTGGGAAGAGGCGGTAGGTAGGAGGCTGATTAAACAGGGCCTTAAAAGTTACATTGTTTTAAAGACCTCTCGTGTGTGGGTTCCACCCAATTCTTCAAGGAAATTGAACCCTGGACACCGTCCAGCGATTTTTCTGGCCATCTTGACTCAGCATCTTCCTTCATCCTATATCAGCACATTACGGGGGGGCCATCAAGCTTCCTTCTATCTACTTACTCTGCCTTGGCGTTTGACTCCTTCCTAGCTATCAGATTTCCCCGACTTTTTAGCATGGCCCTTCTGAGCGCTCTTATTTCACTTCTCCCCGCCCCCAACCCCACCGCCTAACTCTCCCAACTCTGCAGTCCGTGACCTTCAGGTGCCCTTCAAGGTCAGAAAAACTCGGCAAGGTTGGTACTTGCAGGACATTAGCAATTCAAAGAGGTGTCACACAACCTCACCATTAGATGGGAACAATAGCTTACCCAACACCCATATTTAGATTATTCCGCCACAACTACTCTGGGGGATGGTTTTATTTGCGGCGGCTTTCTCCGTCCATAGGCACCGCGTGAAGGGCACCGTAAGAATCTTCCCGAATGCTCCTGTCACGCGTCCCGGCCGCCTCTTCTTCCTCCCCGCCACTTCCCGAGGCCAGGCCCGCGGATAACGCCTCAGTTGCGACCCAGCTCTAGGCAGTCCGCAGGGGCCTCCGCCGGGGAGGGAAGGCACGACCTGGGGCCGAGCGGGGCCAAGCCGCGGGGCAGCACGCCGGGGCAGGCGCGGGCGGGCGCTGTCGCCGCGCGGACTGAAGGCGCGGGCGGAAGGCGGTCGCGCGGGTGGGCAGGGGGCACCGCTAGGGGCGGGGCTTCGGCGCGTCGGAGGCGGAGCTCCCGCGCCGTTCACGTGACGGGCCCGGCTGTAGCGGCGGCGGCCGCGGCGTCTTAAGCGGCGCCCAGTGCAGGATGGTGCTGGAGGCGGCGGCGGCCGTGGTGGCGGCAGCGTCGTTGGCGGCAGCGGGAGTGGGTGCGGCGGCAGCGGCGGCGGCGCCCGCGGGTGGTATAAAATGGCGGATTTCGAAGAGTTGAGGGTAAGCGGGAGTGGAGAGCGGAGGCCGCGGGGGAGGGGATGGGAGAGGAGGTGGGGAAACCGCAACGTCGCCGGCCGCCGCCTGCTCGTGCCTCTGGGGCCGGTTGGCGGAGCCCTGAGCCCCGGCCCGCGGACGAACGGGCGCCGAGGGCGCGGGGGAGGGGAGCGGGCCGGCGGAGGGCACGCGGGCGGCGCGGGGGCGGCGGGCCTGGGCCGCGGCGAGCCGGCTCCTGAGTGCTGCCAGTGGTCCGCACACCTGGCGCGGGGGGTCGGGGCGCCCTCCAGGAGGGGCACATGGGGACCCGACATCCCGGTTCGCAGTGAGGGCCGATGTGGGAAGCAACGTTTGATCTTGCACCTTCACCGGGGTGTACGTGTCTGTGGCTATTCACAAGTCTGCATGCTACTCACTTGGTGGAGGACTGTTTTCTGAAAGCTGAAGTTGCGTTTAGGAATCTCTCCTCTTCTTATGGCTGATGCTACCGTTTAGTCAGGTCTGTCACGAGAAAAGGCCCCTTCTCCCACCCTTGCCTCCTAACATCTTCGAGGAACCTAATGTTTGGGGATCCCTGCCTTCAATAATCGGCCTTAAACCTCGATATTTTCTTAGTGTTTTAGTAAGAAATCTGCAAAGTCTATGTTGTGAGGTTTGTGCACCCCTTTTACTCTTGAGGAAAAATATTTTTTTCTTCTCAGTCTTAAAACAAGATCATAACTTTATTGTTGATACCCTTGTATAGCAGAGGTCTGGAATAGGGCTGTGATGGGGGTAGAACAGAAGAGACTTTTTCCCCCCAGACTGATAACCTTTAAAGTCCTAACTAAGTGTGACGAATGAGATGGATTTGTGTGTATCGCTGAATTACTGGCGACATAAATGAGATGTTTACGGACAGAAACCCTGATTTTTTTTTTTTTTAAATGTATCAAGGTAGAGATGAGTGTAAACTTGAAATTACATTTACTGCAACTCGTTTGTGTAACACTTATGATATTAGGATTTCTTTTTCAAATAAGGAAGAGGAATCCGGTAAAAGGTTCAGTTTTGTATATTTATTGTTTTCCGCAAGAGATGGGATGGGGGAAGGATGTTGGCTGGTTACCTGCTTAGTGGACGTGAGCAAAAGAACGTATCCTCTGCTCTAAACGGAGATTGTTGGAGTTTGCACAGTGCCTGCCATATTCCCTCCTGCTGTTTCAAAAATAATTATTAAGTTCCCAGTAAACACATATTAATACATGTTATGCCCCATACTAGTTTATGCAGAGAACCATAAGTGTAGGTAAAGGGTGTTCATACTTGATAAGTTTAAGGGTTTTAGTGGCTCAGAGCCCCAGCTGTAGAGCTTTTAACACCTGTGGAGCTTTTCAAACAACGAACCCTGAACCTCACCTCTGTAAATTCATGCGTTAGATTTAGGATGGGTTGAGAAGACTGAACTCTGAAGTTATATTTATTTTTACCTGCCATTTTTAATTTTTGTGTAGTAACAGATGTATACAAGTTTTCTAAGTTCTTTTTTTTTTTTTTGTTAATGAAAACTTTCCAGGATTTTTATTAGACTCTTGTGAATGTTGTTGGCCAAAGCTTAATGTAAAGCGAAGAATTTACTCGCTCTTATAGAGCAGAGTAAAAGCAGTCAGTGCTCAGATTGGAGTGCAACCAGCAACTGGAAAGTGATAGAAACCAAAGAAGCTTTTTTTTCTCTTCCTTTCTGCCTTCCTCTCTGTTTTGGTTTGTGGATCAGCTTCATCCTCTTTTCCTGTAAATCAGCTGTCTTTACTTCTTGCATTTTTAGAAGATGGCCCCTCTCCCACAATTCATATGACGTGCCCAACAGAGACTAACTGGGGAGAATTTTCAGAGGAGTGAGGGGTGCAGGCTGGGCACATGCAGTAAGCATCATCTGCTTTTCTTTGCCTTAACTGCTCTGTGCAGACCCATGTTACCCTACACTTGAAGATGAACTGTACCCCGCCCTTACATCCCATTACAGACAGTAATGATGATGATGGTATATACCCATTTTAATATAGTGGTTATTCCATGCCTGGTTCTGGTCTAAGCATTTTTTCTATACTTATTTAATTCTCACAATTTTTTCAAGAAATTGAAGCACAGAGAGGTTAACCTGACCTAAATCACACAGCTTGAGATTTGAAAAGCTAAGATTTTTAATCTTAGACATGTAGCTTTTAGAGTCTGGGCTTTTCAGAGCCCGGGCTACACTACTTTGTTCTGGTACCTTGGGGTCTAGGTGGAGCTTCTAGCCATCATCCTGCGATTGCTCCTAAATTAAATGATTGGTAACATCCTTCTTGTGTGACATTATAATAAAGGAAGAAAAACAGACTAAAAAACGGAATAGAAAGAAAGAAAAGGGGAAGAAATAATCTTGGATTCTCAAAATGATGGTCCTTGGATCAGAATATATTGTGGTGGTCAGAGTGATGCTCAAGTAAATTATAGGACCAGGAAAAATTTTGGGCATTAGTTTGTTGGCTAACTTCTTGGCAGTAGAGAAATTGGTCAGCCGATCTGGATGCCACATATTTGGCTGCTGATATGCCACAGAGAGGATTTCCATTACCCTTCAAGGCTACTCATTTTGGACAAGTATAACCAGAGCAGTTCATATCCTGGCTAGTGCTGCATCTATACTGGAGATAGGGAATTTTGGGAAAGGTAATCCTCAGTGTGGTTTGGTGACCCTGGTGCCTTTGCTTTTCAGACTTGTGTGTCGGGGGTGGAGTTGGGGGGGGGAGGGTTGGTTATTCGATTAGGCAACTGTTAAGGGGGTCGCCTGACTATTTCAGTTTTGGAGACTGCTGCGTGAGCCAGTACCAGAGATCTTGGCTGGTCATAGCAGAATATGGCAGCTCTATACCTTGTTGCCTTTCAGTCCGGGTGACCAGAATACCAGCCCACCTCTCTTCCAGTTCTTCTGGGAGAGAGAATCTGATTGGCTGAGTTTAGGTCTCTACTTCTGTTCTAATCATCCATAGCCGGGGGCTTAGAGTCAAAGCACACAAACCTGATCAGCAGATTATCCTGATGGATTGAAGGAAAGGAAGTGGGGAAGTTCTCTGAAAAGGGAAAATGTGGCCTGTGTGCTCAAAGATGGTTACAATAATGTGTTATATATTAGAAGCTTTCAAGGTGCCAGAGAAGAAATTACTCAATTTACCAGTTGCTTATTTATGGCATCTGTGTTGTTAGGAGCTGAAGGAGTGATTAGTTTGTGAATGAACAGATTTTGAATTAACTAGTTGTGAATTAATGTGGGACAAGATCATAAGATTTGATGGCCTGAACTTCTGTCACTGCTGCCTTGCTTCCTCCTCCAAAAATGGTCTGGAGGGCAGGGCTTGGTAGCTCACACCTGTAATTCCAGCGCTTTGAGAGGCAAGAGGATCGCTTGAAGCCAGGATTTCTGGGTTACAGCTAGCTCTGATCTTGACACTGCACTCCAGCCTGAGCGACAGAGGGAGACCCTGTCTCAAACTAGTCTGTAGAAGAGCTAAGCACAGGGATGGAGGAGAGCAGGAGTTGAGTTTCTGGAATCACTTACCTCTTCTTTAACCAGAGCAGCTTTTTCTTTACCCTTCCAGTTGCATATTTCCAATATTGTGGTCTGCTGGTGGCAGTCATTCACAAAAAGGTCCCTGCTACACTTTAACCTGGTTAATCTACTTTCCCTACTTCTCATCACTCAATGGGGAGGAGGGGGATCTATTGTAGTGACTTTTTTTTTTTTTTTAAGGATCTCCCTTCTGTATTCTTCATCCCCTTCTTTTCATGCATTGAGAATTTATTCTGTGTGTGTCTCAGAATGAGAGAGAATGTGCCTGTGAGAATCTGGTTGTGCATTTGGCCTGAGAGAGCCAGCGATGATAACTTTATCAATAGATACTGGGTAAACCAGAACATTTACCAAACTGGGTAAATTTGTTGTGTCATAATTCGAAGATCAGATTTGGGTCTTTCATGCTAAGAAGCCTAAGTAATTCTGTAACAGAAGGTCTTCTGTCTAGAAGGCTTAAGTGTTTGGTTTCCTTACACCTACCAGGAGTCACCATCCTGATAACTTCAAGTGCTGTTAGGATGCAGCAGGAGAATGGGAAGTTAATGGGGGATTTGAGGTTAGAGGTCCTCATCACGCTCCTCTCCCCATTTATTGGGCAGGGATACAGACTAATAGCTATGATAGATATAACAGAATCTTCCATATGATTCAAAGCTATTATGGGATGCAACTAAAATTTCCAAGGCTTCACCTGAGCTCATGTCTATGAAAGCACGTTCGAAACAAAATATATTTAACTTAAAGTGAAATAGGCTGGGCGCAGTGGCTCAAGGCTGTAATCTCAGCATTTTGGGAGCCTGGGGCGGGTGGATCACCTGATGTCACATTTTTTATTCTCTCATTTCCATTTCTCATATTTTTTAAATGAAAGCAATATTTGTGCAGACAGTACTGAAAAAATTCAAAATAGTGAAAGTCTTCCCTTTTCCATTAAATCCCACTCCCATTATGCTTTTAACCATTTTTGTTTGTTTGTTTTTAGGGTTTTATTGTTGTTCCAAAAGTCTAAAAATATACCATGCCTTTCTCTCTATATTTTTTCAACTCAAAAAAAATATTTCTTAACTTTTTGCTAGATAAGAAATTTAGGTCATTTTCCACCTGTCCTAGACTTTGATTTCTATCAGTTACATTTTGGTTCCTAATTTTGCTGTTATTTTTAACTTTTTATTATAAATTTCTGTTTATTGACCTATCACTTTTAGACAGTATATTTGGCCCTTCATGTCTGTGAATGACTTATCTTTGGTTTCAACCAACCTTGGATCAAAAATATTCAGGAAAAAAGGTTGGTTACATCTGTACTGAACATGTACAGACTTTTTTCCTTGTCAGTATTTCCTAAACAGTATAGTATAACAACCATTTCATAGCATTTGCCATATATTAGGTATTGTAAACTAGAAATGATGTAAAGTACGTAGGAGGATGTGTATAGCTTATATGCAAATACTATGCCATTTCATGTAAGAGACTTGAGCATTCTTGGATTTTGGTATCTGCAGGGGACCCTGGTACCAGCCCCCTACGGATACTGAGAGACAACTATATTTCCTCACTTCCTGGTCTTTCAGAAAAAGATATAACACCGATCCCTTTCCTTTTGGGATTTAAAAGCCAAACCTTGCCTTTGTTTTTCCCTCCTCCCTTCCTAGCCTTTGTTTTCTTTTTTCCTTTTTTTTTTGAGACAGGATTTTGCTCTTGTTGCCCAGGCTGGAGAGCAATGGCGCCATCTTGGCTCACTGCAACCTCCGCCTCCTGGGTTCAAGCGATTCTCCTGCCTCAGCCTCGCGATTAGCTGGGATTACAGGCACCTGCAACCATGCCTGGCTAATTTTTGTATTTGTAATAGAGACAGGGTTTCACCATGTTGGTCAGGCTGGTCTTGAACTCCTGACCTCCGGTGATCCACTCCCCCTCCCTTGGCCTCCCAAAGTGGTGGGATTACAGGCATGAGCCGCTGAGCCCGGCCCCAGCCTTTGTTTTTGGTTAGTACTGTTACATTGGCAAGATTTATTGCATTTATATAATGTTTTATAACTCTTCTAAAGTTTTCTGTGCTTCTGCAGGAAAATCTAGAAATTGAGTACTAATAGCCACTCTTTTAAATATGTATGTTGACATGAGTATTAGTTACTATAGAACCAAGTACTGTGGAGCCATAGAGAAACTTCACTTCTGTTAAACCTGTGATCCTTAAAAAGGAAATATAACAAAGTCAGCCGGGCACAGTGGCTCACGTCTGTAAGCCCAGCACTTTGAGAGGCCCAGGCAGGCGGATCGCCTCAGGTCAGGAGTTAGAGACCAGCCTGGCTAACATGGTGAAACCCCGTCTCTACTAAAAATGCAAAAATTAGCCCGACGTGGTGGTGGGCACCTGTAATCCCAGCTACTCGGGAGGCTGAGGCAGGAGAATTGCTTGAACCCGGGAGGTGGAGGTTGCAGTGAGCCAAGATCATGTCATTGCACTCCAGGCTGGGTGACAAAGCAAGGCTTCGTCTCAGGAAAAAAAAAAAAAAAAGAAATATAACAAAGTCCTGGTTGAATGAGGAAAGCTCATTGAAGTTATTTTTAAAATTTAATATTATAATGGGTTCTCATGTTGTAGCCATTCAGCTTGTCTTGGTAGACTTTCCGGAGTCTTGGCCTGCCTTTTCTAATTTGGGAAGCTTAGTAGACCTGTTACCCAGCTGTCATCCTGGGATTACTTCACATTGTTCTCCTGGGTTAGATCTATTGTTATTTGGATCCCATGTTTTTCTCTTTTAGATACCTTTTTTATTTTACAGGAATACAGCCTTCAATAGTTGTTTCTGGAAGGATATGCTGGTGATAAACTTTCTGAGTTCTCGAATGTTGAAAATGGCTTGTCTTTGTTCCTGATTGAAAGTTTACATGTGGAATTATAAATTCCTCAGAATTTTGAAAACTTTGCTGTGGGAATCTAAAATACTTGGTGTGCTAATCAGAGGTCCATTGCAGATCTGATGGTTATTCTCCTGTAGAAGATTGTAATCTACAATTGTAGTCTACGATCTACGGGATTTGTTTACATTCTGAAAGGTTTCTTTGATTTTGTCTTTGAACTTTTCTATAAAATTTATTTCAGTAGTTATCTTTAATTTATAAGAGTTCTTCTATCATCTTTCATTTTTCTTTCTTTTTAAATAGCAACCTGTCCTTGATTTATGGGGAAATACCTTGAATTTCTCTGATGCTAATTTCTCTAGAGTTCTTGAGACACTTCCCTGAATTGGTGACTCTAACAGTGGGTTTGTATTTAGGTATTCCATACTAATTTTTGTATTTTAAATATTTAAGTTATTTGATAAGTACAAAAGATTATAACAGGTAAGGCGTATGTAAACAAACATACATATAATTACCAACCAGTTTACTAATTCATTAGTGTAACTTTAGCAGGATGCACTTTCCTGATCACATCCACTGCAACCATGTCCACCTTCACCAATGACAGTAGCCATTGTACTGAATTTTGGATTCATCATTCCTGGTCTGTCTTTATACTTTTAACATATATACATATGTAAAATTTATTTATTTATTTATTTATTTTTTGAGACGGAGTTTTGCTCTTCTTGCCCAGGCTGGAGTGCAGTGGCGCGATCTTGACTCACCGCAACCTCCTCCTCCCAGGTTCAAGCAATTTTACTGCCTCAGCCTCCCGAGTAGCCGGGATTACAGGTGTGCACCATGCCCGGCTAATTTTTTTGTATTATTAGTTTTCACCATGTTGGCCAGGCTGGTCTTGAACTCCTGACTTCAGGTGATCCACCCGCCTTGGCCTCCCAAAGTGCTGGGATCACAGGTGTGAGCTACTGTGTCTGGCCATCCATATTTCTTAAATCCAAATGTTTGAAAATGAAGAGAAAAAAACTGTAAAGTTTCACCAAACTTGTCTTGCAGAAAAACCCTGACCTGCACTGATATTGTAATCTTTGTTGATCTCACTTAGTGTGAATATTTGTATGTTTCACTGTAGAGATTCTAGGAATAGAATTGCTGGTATTTAAGAAGAATGTGTGCATATTCACCAATATTGGATAATGTCAGATTATCTTCCAAAAAAGGTGGTGTCAGTCTTCGTTCTCTCCAGCAATGCAGAAGTTTTCATTACTCAGCTTTCTTGCTAACATCTACTTTTGTCACACTTCAAAAGGTTTTATCGGTTGGGCATGGTAGCTCACGCCTGTAATCCTAGCACTTTGGGAGGCCATGGTGGGTGGATGGCTTGAGACCAGGAGTTTGAGACCAGCCTGGGTAAAATGGTGAAACCCCATCTCTACCAAAACAAAACAAAATTAGCTGGGCATAGTGGCCCACACCTGTAGTCCCAGCTACTTGGCAGGCTGAGATGGGAGGATCACCTGAAGCTAGGAAGTGAGCTGTGATCATGCCATTGCACGCCAGCTTGGGCAACAGAGTGAGACCCTGTTTCAAAAAAAAAAGTTTTTACCCACGAGTATAAAATACCACCTTTTAGTTTTCATTTGCTTTGCTAATGAGTTTGAGCATCTTTTACTATACTGATTAGCCATTCTTCCCTTTTCTCACATTCCTATTCATGTCTTTTGCCCATGTTTGTACTAGTTTTTTAAAAAAATTATTTCATACTGATTTTTAATAGTTTCACAGTTGGATGCATGTGGTGCAAATTTCTCCTTTCAATTGGGCTCACTTTTAAATCATTTTTATTTTTATTTTTTGAGATGGAGTCTCACTCTGTAGCCCTGGCTGGAGTGCAGTGGCGTGATCTCAGTTTACTGCACCCTCCACCCCCAAGGTTCAAGAGATTCTCCTGTCTCAGACTTCTGAGTAGCTGGGATTACAGGTACCCGCCACCATGCCTGGCTAATATTTGTATTTTTAATAGAGACGGGGTTTCACCATGTTGGTCAAGCTGGTCTCGAACTCCTGACCTCAGGTGATCTGCCCACCTTGGTCTCCCAAAGTGCTGGGATTATAGGCATGAGCAACTGCATCCAGCCTTATGCGTTTTTTGATGAGTAGAAGTTCTTAATTTTTATGTGATTGCATTTATCAGGCTTTTCTTTATGGATAGTGCTTTTGAATCTTGTTGAAGAAATTTTTCAACAGAGTTCTCGAAGATATTTTCCATTATTGTAAAAGTATAAGACGTAGTTTTTTTGTTTTTTGTTTTTGTTTTTTTTTTACCTTTTCTCATTTAAGGTTTTAATCCACCTGGAGTTGATTTTGTATACAGTGTGAAGTGGTGACCAAGATGCATGGTTTTTCCTCAAAGAATAATAAATTGTTCCATCACCTTTCATGCAAATTTTTTTCTTCACTGGTTTGGATGCCATCACTCATCTGTGCTTTGGTTCTGGACTCTGGGCCGTTAGTCTGTTTTTACAGAAATTGTTAAAAAGTTACAGTAACTAAAACAAGATGATGCTGCTGCTAGCATAAACAAACTTCTTGCCTGGTGAGGTGGCTCAAGGCTGTAATCCCATCACTTTGGGAGGCCATGGTGGGAGCATCACTTGAGCCAGGAGTTCAAGACCAGCCTGGGCAACATGGTGAGACCCCATCTCTGTGTAAGATAATATTTTTTATAATAAAAAACCAAACTTCTTTTGATATATAGCATACACATAGGAAGTACACAGATAATGAAATTATAGCTGGATGAATTTTCTCAAAATAATAATCGTGCAGGTCAAGAAAGAGAACATTACCAGCACTCTAAATATTCCCCTCCCCAGTGGCTAACCTCACCTCATTCTTCCAAAAGCGACCTACTATCCTAACTTTAACAGATTAGTATTGCCTGTTTTTGAACTTTATATAAATGGAACCTGTGTAGTATATATACAGTTGCCCCTTGGTGTACCTGGGGGATTGGTTCTAGGATCCACCCTCCCAACAGGAAAATCATGTGTACTCAAGTCCTGAAGTTGGCCCTGCAGAACCCATGTATAGGAAAAGTTGGCCCTCTGTATATGTGGGTTTCACGTCCTGCAAATACCATATTTTTGATCTGCATTTGGTTGAAAAAAAAATATGCGTATAAGTGGACCTGCACAGTTCAAACCAGTTGACAAGATACAGTTGACCTTTGACTAACACAGGTTTTTGTTATTGGATATGTTATTGTTATTCAATATTCAACTATATGTTATTGTTATTCAAAGGTCAACTGTATTCTGTTTCTGTATATGTATTCTGTTGTTTCTGCCTTTTTTTCTGTTTCGTTTGCCAGATTCATCCTTATTGTTGTCTGTAGTTGTAGTTGGTTCATTCCCTTTTGCTAGTGATATAGTAGAGTTCCAGTTGCTCCATATCCTTGTCTACCCTTTTAATTTTAGACACTCTGGTGAATGTGTAGTGGTTTTAATTTGCATCTCCCTAATAAGTAATGATGTCAAGCTCCTTTGAATGTGCTTATTGGCCATTTGGGTTTCTTTTGTAAAGTGGCTTGCCAAGTCTTTTACTCATTTTTATATTGGGACATCTGTCTTTTCCATACTGATTCGTAGGAGTTCATTATACATCTTGGAAACCATCTCTTGCTGGTTATGTTTTGCACATACCTTCTCTTGTTTCCCCTGAGTCTATTCAGAGTTCTGCTGGACTTTTAACCTCTCCATTGCCCTTTTCCATTGGCAGATATCTCCGGGGAAGGCATCAAGAGACTCAGCTTTGCAGGCTCTCCTTCTTTTCAGAGTCTTGGTGTCTCAGGTCCTTACTGCCTTTGTAGTGCCTCCTGCATTCACACAGATTTTTGTTTTTTAATATTATATTCAGTTGTTAAGTTCTCACAGGGAGGGTTGGTATGAAACAGTCTAGTCAGTCATTGAGGGAGACAGAAGTAGCACAAGTCCTCCTGGCTTGTAATTGTTCAAGGAACTTCTTGATTGTTTGCTTCTCCATGTAATTTTAGAATCATATTTTCATGTTATACACCTCCCCCCCCCCCCACACACACACATACATCTTGTTGGTATTTTGATGGGAAATGCACTGAATCTGTAAATTAGCTTGGAGAGAATTACATTTTGCTGCTAAGTTTTCTTAACCACAATCATTGTAATCTCCATTTCTTTTAGGTTTTTTACAACATCTTTCAATAAAGTTTTGTTATTTTCAGTTAAAGTATTGCAAATATTTTGTTAGATTTATTTCTAACAAATTATTTTTATAGCAAATCATAAATATTAACTTTTTATAATTATACTTTGCTGGTGCACAGAAGTACAGTTTGACTTTGTATAATAACCTTGCTATACTCCTAATTGTGATTAATTATCTTTAGATTTCTTTTGGATTTTTCTATGCAGACAGTCCTATCTGTGAATAATGACCTCTTTGTTTCCTCCTTTCCAATTCTTATGCTTTTTTTTTTTCTTTCTTTTTCTTGTCTTAATGTGCTGGCTAGGATCTCCAGTACAATGTTGAATAGAAGCTGTGATGGGGGCATCCTGATCTTGTTCCTGATTTTAAAGGGAATGCTTTCAAAGTTTCACAGTTAAGTATGATGCTTGCTGTAGGTTTATTATAGATAATCTTTTCAGGTTAAGGATGTTCCCTTTCTTAGTTTGCTAATTTAAAAAATCATGAATGAATTTTATCAGAAGCTTTTTCTGCATCTTTTGAGAAAATTATTTCTCTTTTGTAATCTGTTAACATGCTGAGTTATATTAATTTTTTTCCCAATATTTAAACAAACTTTGTGTTGCAAGTATAAATTCAACCCTGATCTATCTGTTCCTTTTTTTCACTGGACTCAGTTTGGAGATATTTAATTTAGGATTTTTGTCTCTCATAATGAGTAAAACTAGCCTATAGTTAAAAAATATACCTTTTCTCTTCTGGAAGAGTTTATGTAACATTAGAAAGGTCTGTTTCTTAAATATTTAGTAGAACTTGCTTATAAAATTATTACTATTGTTTTCTTTGAGGAATGCTTCAATTGCTTTGGTTGTAGGACTGTTCATATTTTCAAGTTTCAAACCTGTTTTAGTAGTTCATACTTTTATAGAAAGTTGTTCATTTCATCCACATTCTTGAATTTGTAGCATTTAGTTGTTAATCTCTTCTTTGCAGTTACTTGTAGTTAATATCCCCTTGTCTTTTTTTAAAATGCCTTCTTTTTTTCTTGATAATTTTTGGCTAAAAGTTTGCCAATTTTTAAAGATTTTTCAGAGAATCAAGTTTTTGATATTGTTTATGCTCTTTAGTGTATCCTTCCTGTTTCATTAATTTTTGCTCTTCTTTTCTTTTCTTACATTTCCTTTGTAGTTCTGTTCTTTTTTTCTAATTTCTTAAGCTGGGTGCCTGTCATTAATTTTCAGCATTTTAACATAGTTATTTAAGATCATAAAATGTCTGCGTATTGCCTCCTTGTTTTGATGTGTGTGATATTTCCGTTATTTTTACTTGTATTTTTCTATTTTCCGTTGTGAATTCTTTAACTTATGAGCTATTTAAAAATTTAATTTCCAAACAGAGTTCCTCTAGTTGATTTGGCTGTTGATTTGTAATTGCATTTTGGTTAGGCAGCCTGTTTGAGTGTGATGCCAATTGGTGTGTATAATGCCAACTCTTTGAAATATGTTTAGACTATTAAAAATGTGGTCCATTTTAATAATTTTTATTTGTACATGAAGAGACTATGTATTGCCTGGTTTTTGGTGCAGTTTTATATATGTTCATTATGTAGCCTTGTTAATTATGTTGTTCAAATCTCATATCTTTATTTTTTATTAAGAGAGCAGAGTTAATCTTTTACTAGAATTTTGTTTCGTTTTTCATTTTTCTTTGTAGTTCTATCGATTTTTAAACCATATTTTAACATTATTACTAGCACATGAAAGAACTGTAATCCTGTAATCTTAGCACCTTGGGAGGCTGAGGTGGGAGGATCACTTGAGCCCAAGAGTTTGAGACCAGCCTGGGTACCATAGTGAGACCCCCATCTCTGTTTTTTTTTTTTTTTTGAGACGGATGGAGTCTTGCTGTGTCACCCAGGCTGGAGGGCAGTGGCGCGATCTCGGCTCACTGCAACCTCCACCTCGTGGGTTCAAGTGATTCTCCTGTTTCAGCCTCCTGAGTAGCTGGGACTACAGGTGCCTGCCACCATGCCTGGCTAATTTTTGTATTTTTAGTAGAGATGGTGTTTCACCATGTTGGCCAGGCTGGTCTTGAACTCCTGATCTCAGGTGATCTGCCCACCTGGGCCTCTCAAAGTGCTGGGATTACAGGCCTGAGCCACCGCACCCGGCCTTCTAGGTTATTTTTCTTTTTTTGTCAGTTTTGCCTAATTTAAAAAATTTCTCCTCACCGTTACATTTTTGTGTCCTTTTATTTCAGTTTTATCTCTTTCAAATATAATACCATTGAATTTTAAGAAAATTAAAAATCTAGTCTGATAGTCTTACTCCTTGTAGTTTTAATTAAACTTTTAATGAAGATAATTGTCAGTTCACTTGCATTTCTAGGAAATAATACAGAGACATTCTGTATACTCTCTCTAGTTTTTTTTCAGAGTTAACATCTTAAAGACCATAGTACAGTATCACAACCAGGATATTGACATGAACACAATCAAGATATAGACCATTTTATCACCACAAGGATCCCTCTCTCCAAAGTATTGTTATTTTATAGTCACACTTGTTCCTGTCTCATCCAGTTCCCTCACTCTCTGGGGCCCGCTCATCTTTTTCATTTCTATGATTTTTGTCTTTTCAAAAATATTACATAAATAGAATCACACAGTGGATAACCTTTTGGGTCTGGCTTTTTCATTCAGCATAATTCTGGAAATTCATCCAAGTTGTTGTATATAAACAGCTCATCCCTTTTTATTGCTGAATAGTTTTCCACGATATGAATTCACTATAGTTTGTTTAACCATTCACCTGTTGAGGGACATCTGGGTTGTTTACAGTTTTTTGATAATTATGAATAAAAATGCTATAAAGATTTGTGCATAGGTTTTTTTGGTAAACTTACGCACACATCTTTCTCGGAGATAAATGCCCAGGAGTGTAGTTGCTGGGTTGTGTGGTCATTGTATGTATAGTTTTTAAAGAACTTGCTAAACTGTTTTCCAGAGTGGCTGTACCATTTTACATCCCTACCAGCAATGTATGGAGTGATCCAGTTTCTCAGCATCCTCGCCAGCATTTGGTGTTATCAGTGTTTTTCATTTTAGCCATTCTGGTAGGTATCTAGTGATATCTCAGTGAGGTTTTTATTTGCATTTCCCCAATGGCTAATGATGCTGAACATATTTTTATGTGCTTATTTGCCATCTGTATATCCCAATCCATGACATGTCTCTTTGTGTCTTTTGTCCTTTTTCTAATTGAATTCTTTTTCTTTTCCTGTTGAGTTTTGAGAGTTCTAAGTATATCCTAGATAGTAGTCCTTTGTCAGATATGTGTTTGCAAATGTTAATATTTTCTTTGAGTCTGTTGATTGTCTTTTTTTCCTTTTAAAGGGGTCTTTTGCGTAGCACAGGTTTTAGTTTGTGTGAAGTCCAGTGTGTCATATTTCCTTTTATGGATCTTGCTTTTAGTGTCAAATCTAAGAACTCTGCCTAGTCTTAGATCCCAAATATTTTCCTGCTTATTAAAAAAAAGTTTTACAGTTTTATTTTTACATTTGACTCTGTGATCCATTTGGAGTTATTTTTGTATAAGGTATGAGACTTAAGTGGAAGTTCATTTTTCTGTCTATGGGTGTCCAGTTGATCCAGCACCATATATTGAAAGGCTGTCTTTCTTCCACTGAGTTAATTTTACACCTTTATCAAAAATTATTTGGGTATGTATGTATATGTCTGTTTCTGGGTTCTGTATTCTCTTTGCTTGATCTATGTGTCTACCCTTCCACTAATACCATGCAGTCTGTCAGTCCTAGCTAAGTTGTAAAATGGGATAGATTGATTCCTCTCCCTCTGTTCTTTTTAAAAATTGTTTTGGCTGTTCTATTAATATTTCTTTTGCCTTTTCATATACATTTTAGAATAATCTCATCTATATCTACAAAAATCTTGTTGGAATTTGGATAGGAATTATGTTAAACCTATATATCGGTTTGGGGAAAGTTGACATCTTTACTATGTTGAGTTTTCCAATCCGTGAAGAATTTATTTGTTTAGGTTTTCTTTTCTCTTTTTTTTTTGAGACAGAGTTTTACTTTTGTTGCCCAGGCTGGAGTGCAATGGCACGATCTCGGCTCGCTGCAACCTGTGCCTCCCGGGTTCAAGCAATTCTCCTACCTCAACCTCCCGAGTAGCTGGGATTACAGGCATGTGCCACCATGCATGGCTAATTTTTTTTGCATCTTTAGTAGAGACGGGGTTTCTCCATTTTGGTGAGACTGGTTTCGAACTCCCGGCCTCAGGTGATCTGCCCACCTCAGCCTCCCAAAGTGCTGAGATTACAGGCGTGAGCCATCGTGCCCGGCCTTTAGATTTTCTTAGATTTTTTTTTTTTTTTTCAGTGTTTTGTAGCTTTCAGCATATAAGTCCTGTACGTGTTTGTTACATTTTTACATATGTATTTTAATTTTCTTTGGAGTGTTATAAATGGTGATGTTTTTAACTTGTTTTCACATGTTCATTTTTAGTGTATAAAGATGTGGTTGGTTTTTGTGTGTTGATTTTATATCCTGGGACCTTGCTGAACTCACAAGTTCTAGGAGTTGTTTTGTAGATTTGTTGAGATTTTCTATGTGAACAATCATTCCATCTACAAATATAGTTTTATTTTTTCCTTTCAACTCTTACTGCTTTTATTTCCATTTCTTGTCTTATTCTGCTAGCTAGAACTTTTAGTACTGTGTTGAATGAGGGGTGATAGTAGGCATCTTTGCCTCAGTCCCAATATTAGAGGGAAAGCAATCTTTCCGCCCTGAGTATAATATTGGCTTAATTTTATTTTTTTGGTAGACCTGTTTATCAAATTGAGGAAGCTCTCCTCTATTCTTGTTTTTGAGGGTTTTTAAATCATGAACAGGTGTTGAATTTGTGAAATGCGTTTTTCGCATTGATTGATTTGATCATATGATTTGGTTTTTTGTAACTGTTAATATGATGTATTCTATAGATCTCAAAACAAATACAGAGATAAGACACAGTGAAAATGCTGAGCAGCAGTGGCATATAATGAACCAGTCTTGCATACTGGAATAAACTCCACTTGGTCATGGTGCATAATGACCATGGTGTTTAATTCTTTTTATATATTGCTGAATTTTATTGACTAATATTTTGTTAAGGGTTTTAACGTCTATATTCATGACGAATATTGGTTTGTAGTTTAATTTTTTTTTGGAGACAGTTTTGCTCTTGTTGCCCAGGCTGGAGTGCAATGGCATGATCCTGGCTCACCACAACGTCCGCCTCCCAGGTTCAAGCGATTCTCCTGCCTCAGCCTCCTGAGTAGCTGGGAGTACAGGCATGTGCCATGGCTAATTTTGTATTTTTCTTAGAGATGGGGTTCTCCATGTTGGTCAGGCTGGCCTCGAACTCCTGACCGCAGGTGATCCGCCCGCCTTGGCCTCCCAAAGTGCTGAGATTACAGGTGTGAGCCACCGCACCCAGCCTGTAGTTTAATTTTTTGTGTTGTCTTTGTTTTGTTTTGGTATCATGGTAATATTAGTTTCATAAAATGAATTTGGAAATATTCTCTCATCTTCTGTTTTCTGGAAGAAATTATATTGAATTGTTGTTAGTTCTTCCTTATTTTTATTTTTTAATATTATTTGAGACAGAGTTTCGTTCTTATCACCCAGGCTGGAGTACAATGGCACGACGTCGGCTCACCGCAACCTCCGCCTCTAGGGTTCAGGTGATTCTTCTGCCTCAGCCTCCTGAGCAGCTGGGATTATAGGCGCCTGCCACCGGGCCCAGCTAATTTTTGTATTTTTAGGAGAGATGGGGTTTCACCATCTTGGCCAGGCTGGTCTTGAACGCCTGACCTCGTGATTCACCCGCCTCGGTCTCCCAAAATGCTGAGATTACAGGTGTGAGCCACTGTGCCCAGCCTCTATTTTGTATTTTTTTCAGATGAGGTCTTACTCTGTCACCCAGGCTGGGAATATTGGCATGATTATAGCTCACTGCAGCCTCAAACTCCTGGGCCCAGGGTATCCTCCTGCCTCAGCCTCCTAAGTAATCAAGACTACAGTTGAGCACCACCAAGCCGTGGTAATTAAAAACAATTTTTTTTTTTTGGTAGAACCTGGGTCTCACTTTGTTTCCCAGGCTGGTCTTGAACTCCTGGCCCAAGTGATCTTCCTGCCTCAGCCTCCCAAATAGCTGGGATTAAAAGGTTGGAGCCACTGTTCCTTGCCTATATTATCTTTTTTTTTTTTTAAAGATGGAGTCTCACTCTGTCACCTAGGCTGGAGTGCAGTGGCGTGATCTCTGCTTACTGCAACCTCTGCCTCCTGGGTTTAAGCGATTCTCCTGTCTCAGCCTCCCGAGTAGCTGGGATAACAGGCTCCCACACCACACCCAGCTAATTTTTTATTTTCTGTAGAGACTGTGTTTTACCATGTTGGCCAGGCTGGTCATGAACTCCTAACCTCAAGTGATTTGCCCGCCTCGGCCTCCCAAAGTGCTGGGATTTCAGGCGTGAGCCACCATGCCCAGCCAATTTTTGTATTTTTAGTAGAGACGATGTTGGACCATGTTGACCAGACTGATCTCAAACTTCTGGCTTCAAGTGATCTGCCCACTTGGCCTCCCAAAATGCACCCTTGCACCCTACTACCAATTTATATGCCTTCATTGCTCAGCATTTTCATTCTGTCTTATTTTTATATTTTTCCTGATGCTGTCAGGATGAGATCTGTGTTTTCTTAACCTCACAAATTTGATAGTTACTTCATATAGTAAAGGTTTGTTTAGTTGACTACCTCCCTCCCCACATTTGTTTTCTGTGAAAAACGAACATCATTCTGTGATTTTAATACTCATTCTGGGCCCAGCATGGTGGCTTATGCACTTTTAGAGGCCAAGGCAGGAGCATCACTTGAGCCCAGGAGTTTGAGACCAGCCTGCAAAACATAATGAAATCTCATCTTTACTAAAATTAAAAAGATTAGCAGGCATGGTGGTGTGTGCTTGTAGTCCCAGTTATGCTGGAGGCTGAGGCAGGAAGATCACTTGAGCTCAGGAGGTTGAGGCTGCAGTGAGCAGTGTTTGCACCACTGCACTCTGGGCAGCTGAGCCAAGACCCTGTCTCAAATAGCAACAAATAACTCATTCCTCTAGATTACTCTGGTTCGGCAGTGGTGAGCTTTTTGCCTTTCACTTTCATTGAGTGTGTTAGGCCTGCCTTTGTCTTCAGGACTTTTGCATTTGCTATGGAATGCCTTGGAATGCTTTTCCTCAGGTATCCATAGAGTGCTTTCCTCCTGCTTCAGTTACTTATTCAGTTACTATTTCAGTGAGGCCTTTCCCCTTTAAAATGGCAAATCCTCTACTTCTTCACTTTTTGTGTCCCTTCCTCCTTTGTTTTTGTTCATTTTATTCATCATGACCTGCCATATTATATGTTTTATTTAATTCTTTATTAAGGTTTTGGTCTGTTAAGCTCTCCAACTCATTAACCAGTCGTTGGAATTTTTTTATATTTATAACTTGGAAACAATTGATACCTTTTCAGTGTTGAGTATTTTTATCTAGTAACATGCATGATACAGTCTGTTTAATTTATTCAAAGCTTTTTTTTTTTTTTGAGATGGAGTCTCACTCTGTCACCCAGGCTGGAGAGCAGTGGTGCAATCTCGGCTAACTGCAACCTCCGCCTCCCAGATTCAAGCAATTTTCCTGCCTCAGCCTCCCAAGTAGCTGGGATTACAGGCACCCTCCCATCACGCCCGGCTAATATTTGTATTTTTAGTAGAGACGGGATTTCACCGTGTCGTCCATGCTGGTCTCTAACTTCTGACCTCAGGTGATCCACCTGCCTCAGCCCCCCAAAGTGTTGAGATTAGAGGCGTGAGCCACTGCACCCGGCCTCAAAGCTTCTTTTATTCTATAGTTTTTTAATGTACCTCTTGCAAAATTTTAAAATTTATTCTTTTGCATTTTATGTTTTTGTGTTACTTCGGTTTTTTTAATACTCTTTTTCAGCCATTTGAAAATGTATTTGATATACGGAAAATTCAATGTTTTGCCTTAATATTATTGGTTTAAATTTTTCAGTGGATTGTCTTATATTTCTAATAGAGAGAGTCTTGTCATTTGTAAATAGTAAATGTTACTTTTAAAAAATTTATATTGCCTTGCTGGGCATGGTGGCTCATGCCTGTAATCCCAGCACTTTGGGAAACCGAGGTGGGTGGATCACTTGAGGCCGGAGTTCAAGACCAACCTGGCCAACATGGCAACCCTGTCTCTACTAAAATACAAAATTTAGCCAGGTGTGGTGGTGTGTGCCAGTAATCCCAAGTATTTGGGAGGCTGAGGCAAAGAATCCCAGAGGCAGAGGTTGCAGTGAGCCAAGATGGTGCCACTGCACTCCAGCCTGGGTGACAGAGTGAGATTCTCTCTCTCAAAAAAAAAAAATTATATTGCCTTGGTGTAGTAGCTCACACCTGTAATTCCAGCACTTTGGGAGGTCAAGGTGGAAGGATCACTTGGACCCAGAAGTTTAAGACCAACCCGGACAACACAGGGAGACTCTGTCTGTATGAAAAGTAAAAATTAACTGGGCTGGCCTCCCAGCTACTCTGGAGGCCGAGGTGGGAGGATCACTTGAGCCTGGGAGGTTGAGGCTGCAGAGAGCCAAGATCGTGTTGCCACACTCCAGCTTGGGCAATAAAACGAGATCCTGTCTCAAAAAAAAAAAACCCAAAAATTATATTGCCTTGTATTATCTAGAATTTTTAGAATACTGTCAAATGACAGAACATAGTATACATTTTAGAAGTCTTAGCTTTGTGATTTAGTGTTTCATTTTTAGTATATTAGCTATTGCTTTCTGACAGATACCAGTTATCATGTTAACAGAATTTCTTTCTTTTCTTGTTTATTGAGAGATTTCATCAGGAATGAATAGAATTTTATCAAATGCCCTTCTAGCATTTAGCCATTAATCATATGGCTTTTCTACTCAAACCAAAAATCTGTTTGCATTTTCTCTATCAGTTGTCAGAATAATGATGAATTTTTCCCTTAACATCCTTTAAAGGAGATCAGTGATTTTTAAAGTATTATTATGAATAAAATGAAACATTACTATATTTAATCGGTTTGAATCCAATGCAGTTATTATTCTTTTTGATGCTCAAATTTTCTCATCTTAGGCTACTAGGAGCCCATTCTGGATGTTTTCTTTGCCCTTCTGACAAGGCCCCGTGATCTTTGATAGCTTCTCTGTTTTCTGGTGCGATAAAATGTTATAGGCTTATCTTGTGCATTTCCTGCCCCAGACCTGCAGTCAGCCATTTATTTCCCCAAGGAGTCTGGGTTCCTTTTATGGGAAATAGTATTTATGCCATAACCGCTTTTTTACCTCACCTTCAAACAGACTAACAGTTTTTGTTTAATGAAATCTAGAATACCTTTAGATTTACAGAAAACTTGGGAAGGTGGTAGAGTCCCCACATGCCCACACCCAGTTTCCCCTGTTCAAGCAAACTTTTGAGTTATTGAAACACTCTTAAATTTACAATGATAGAAAATTCTTCGTGTCCCCAGTACACAGCTTCAGAAGTTAATCAACTCCAGTCTTTTGTCATATATGTCCCCACCTACTTCCCCCAAATTATTTGAAAGGAAACTCCATATATTGTATAATTTTATACATAAATACTCAATCTTATGACTGTAAGGATAGAAATAATCTTAACCAAGCAATTTACTTAATTTATGTTAAACCATTCTTATATTGGTAGATTACACTGTATTGGGTGCATTGAGGACTTTTATGTCTACACTCACAGGAAACATTGATGTGTTAATATTGGTTTGTAAATTGTGTTACACAAAGACTTCTTATGGTCCATGTTGATAAATGAGAAAGAATGTATGGTATACTAGGCCCGCCATTTCATAGGCTTTTGCCTAAAAGTTTGGTTGGATAGGGTGGACTTCTCCCTGCTGAAGTTTGAAAACCAATAATTTGCATGTTTTTTGAATTTCATGTTTTGTGTTCAGCATTTTTCTATATTTGTCTTCTAACACGTATGTATTTTACTCCCTGGCTTTTATTCTCTTGAACAGTTTAAGGAACAGAATTCCATCCTTTCCTTGAAAGCTTGGTGGAATTTATTCATGAAGCTGTCTTGTTTGGGTAGATGTTTTTGGATGTGGAGGGAGGGCAAGACAATATACCTCTTCTTGAATCAGATGGAGTAATTTGTATTTTTCTAGGAAACCACTTTTATCTGTATTTAAGTTATTAGAATATATAGTTGCATGCACTATTTTCTTTGTTTAAAGAAATTTGTTTAGTTTTTTTTTTTTCATTTATAAGACCATACGTTTGTTTACTTTCCCTTTTGTGGATCTGACTTCACTGCATTTTGCTTTCTAATTAATTTTTTTTTTTTTTTTTTTTGCTTTTTTCTTTTTATCCTGTAATGCTTCCCCAGCCCTTTTGGTTTATTTTATTATTACTTTTTTGCTTCCTTAATTGACTACTTTATTTTAAATCTCTGTTGTATAATAATAGAAGCATTTAGGGAGATGTTTTCCCTGAATTTGGAATGTAGCATTTTTTTTATTGTTTCTCTTAATAGTTGATTTTCAATTTGATTTCTTTAACCTAGGAGTTATTGTAATCATTATCTTGTAAGGGAGAAACCCATTAGTCTCTCAAATAAAAGTGGATTTAATTATAGGGATTACATGATTTCACCAGGAATACAGGACCAGGAACTGGGGCCTCCAATGACCTTTGAAAAGAGTAAGCAGTATCTTTCTGGCTTGCCACATAGTTCCTCTTATGTATGGCATTAGCTTGGTCACTCTTTTTTGAGGGATTATGTTAATCTGGCAGTTTTTCTTTATTCCTACTTATAAATGAAGATGTAGATGATTATTATTCTTTTTTGAGATGGAGTCTCACTCTGTCACCCAGGCTGGAGTGCAGTAGTGTGATCTCCGCTCACCGCAACCACCACTTCCCGGGTTCAAGCATTTCTCCTGCCTCAGCCTCCCTAGTAGCTGGAATTACAGGTGCGAGACACCACACCCGGCTAATTTTTGTATTTTTAGTAGAGACAGGGTTTTGCCTTTTTGGCCTGGCTGTTCTTCAACTCCTGACCTCAGATGATCCGCCCGCTTTGGCCTCCCGAAGTGCTGGGGTTACAGGTGTGAGCCACCGTGTCCGTCCTGAGGTAGATTATTTTAATATTGTAGCTGGAGTAGGCAATATTAATAATGCAGTTTGTCAGTTGCCCTCAGCAGCTTCTCGTCTTCTCCTGTATTATATACATCATAGCAGATGGGGAATCTACAGAGTTCTTATTGACCTTTACCATGATTTCTAACCTTATTAGCACTTCCCCAAATTCTAGGCCGTTATTGCAGCTTCTGTCTCATGTTTTAGAATTGAAGAGCAATCTCAGGGAAATATTTTTATTCACTGGTGATTACATGTAACTGTCATGTATACCTGTTTGATGAGGTATTTTTTTTTTTTTTTTCCGAGATGGAGTTTCCCTCTCGTTGCCTAGGCTGGAGTGCAATGGTATGGTCTCGACTCACTGCATCCTCCGCCTCCCGGTTTCAAGCGATTCTCCTGCCTCATCCTCCTGAGTAGCTGGGATTACAGGCACCTGCCACCATGCCTGGCTAATTTTTTTGTATTTTTAGTAGAGACGGGGTTTCACCGTGTTGGTCAGGCTGGTCTCAAACTCCTGACCTCAAGTGATCCACCCACCTCAGCCTCCCAAAGTGCTGGGATTACAGGTATGAGCCACCGCGCCCAGCCTAATGAGGTATTTTCTACCTAATGAGGTAGCACCTTCAGCTTGCCTTCATCTTTGTATGTAGTGTTTCAATTATATAATATCCCAGCTTTAAAATTTTTAATAATTTTGTGTTTATTTTCATTTGATAAAGGAACAAGGTTGACTTAAAACTCTGGTCTTAATTTATGTTAGTTTTTGTTTAGAATTTAGATTACGTATCTTTTTACACAATTAATTATGCCAACACATTTCTCTGTAGGGAAATTCGTCTGTAGGAATAACAGTTTTAACTGAAGTGGGCTGACTTGGGAGCCTTTGAGAGTTAGCGCAGTGGAGTGGAAAAACCGCTTGGAAAAAATTAGACTAAAGATACCAACATCAGAGGTTGGTGGAGAAAAACAACTGAAATCCATTCTTGGTAGTGTTCATAGCAGGCTAACCTTAACCCCCATGTGGGCTCTGGTGACCCTCTCTACTCACCACACCCACTCACTGTGGGGGAAGGGCCTGAAACTTGGTGAAAGACTAAGTTAAGAAAAAATAGGTATTACTCCTAGAGGAAGTGGGATCTGGTAAGATTTGCCAAACAACATATTTGTAGAATTTTACTTAGTAAGCTGCTTTGAGATTATTTTATCAGTAAGTGCTAAATAAAGGAAAGGGATTTTTGATTTTTGCTTTTTGAGATGGGGTCTCACTCTGTCGCCCAGGTTGGAGTGCAGTGGCTCAGTCTTGGCTCACTGCAACTTCCACCTCCTGGGTTGAAGAAATTCTCCTGCCTCAGCCTCCCGAGTAGCAGGGACTACAGGTGTGTACCACCAAGCCTGGCTAATTTTTGTAATTTTAGTAGAGACGGGGTTTCACCATGTTGGTCAGGCTGGTCTTGAACTCCTGACCTCAAATGATCCACCCGCCTTGCCTCCCAGAGTGCTGAGATTATAAGCGTGAGCCACTGTGCCTGGCCAAGGAGAGGGATTTTTTTGGGGGGTGTTTGTTATTTTAAAATAGAAATTGATGACCAGAGGGATGAAATGACTTTCCCAGGGTCCAAAGTCTTGGTGCTTGGGCTTGAACCACAACTGCTGATTGCTGGCTTGAAGTTTTTCACAGGGCCCTGTTGACTTAATTACCTTTGGCTATGTGTCCAGCAATACTTTATCTTTGCAGCATTTTGTAATGCAAAGACTGTCCCATCTGCTGTTCAGAATTCTGTGATTCCGCATTCATAGTCTAAGCTCTTATCTCTTTCTTACTTTTTGTTTGTCTATTTACAACAGCCCATAGAGCCAGTTGCATTAACATCCTTTGCCAAATAATGTTATCACTGGAAATATGAGATATGAGACCTCCTAGAAATTCCTCTGAGAGTCAAGCTTAGGTAGGATGACTTTGTGCTTTGTTTTGTCATTTCTGTAAAATAGCTTCCCTTAAAATGAAGAATATCTGACAATAAGTATAAGGAGTGAAGCAAAGTAGTGAATTCTGAGTTAGAAAAAATCAGTTATGTTTTATCTGTGTGATTGCCTTTTTTAGTATTAGTGTTCCACAATCAATTGAAGTATTTACTAAGATTGAGGGAAAGATGCATCGTATTACTTGCTTGGGTAAACCCTTCCCAAGAAGCTGTTGTCTTCTGTTTAATGCATGAGATGTTGAGTAAGCTGTGACTGGTTTGTTATGAGATAGGCCAAAAGTTTTCTTGTTTTCCTTCTTTGTTGTCTGCACTGTAGAGGTAACACACATTGTGGTATGTGTTCTATTAGAGTATGATTTAGAGCTACCACAGTGTGGTAGCTAGTGGCCACATGTGGCTCTTAAGCACTTGAAATGTGGTTAGTCCAAATTTAGATGTATTGTAAGTGTAAAATATACACCAGATATTGAAGACTTAGTATAAAAAAAATCCCACTGACACTTTAAAAAATGATTATTTTTAAATTACAAAAATTGATTGCATGTTGAGATGAAAAGATAGTTTTGATATATTGGGTTAAATAACTATGTTAATGTAAATTATCATTATTATTATTATTATTTTTGAGACAGTCTTAATATTGCCTAGGCTGGAATATGGTGGTGTGATCACAGTTCACTGTAGCCTCAAATTCCTGGGCTCAAGTGATCCTCTCGCCTCAGTCTCCTGAGTGGCTTGGACCACAGGCACACACACCACCATGGCTGGCTAATTTTTAAATTTTTGTGGAGACGGGGTGTTAGTATGTTGTCCAGTGTGGTCTCGAACTCCTGGGCTCAAGTGATCCTCTTGTGTTGGCCTCCAAAAGCACTGGGATTATAGGTGTGAGCCACTGTTCCTGGCCTAAATTAGTTTTTTTAATGTGACTACTAGGAGGTTTAATGTGTGTCTTCTATTAATTTGTGTTGGACAGCACTGAATTAGAGTATAAAATGGCTTGCCAGGATTACAATTTAATATTCTCTCACTTGTACATTATGAAATATAGAGACATATATAGTACACAAAGTACAGTTATGACAGTGTATATGGATTACTTTGGCATATTTAAATCTGTTTGCATTTTAGTAAACTAGCAAGTATTTATACCAACAAGTATTTAAAAACCATATAGGGTTTTAAACAGTTGCTTCTGGGCCGTCCCTGAGACTTAAAAAGTACAGAGCAACTGCCCCACATTTCCACTATACTGATGAGACAAGCAGGTTGAAAAGGAATCCCAAGTGACTGTGGAGTGTGTAGCACGGGCTGGGTTGGGGGAGTGATGAGGATGGGATGGGACACCAAACCACAGGTAGTTCTCCTGGGTAGGTTTCTGACAGGGCTTTGGTCAGCTCCAGGTGTTCTTCCTCTTTCTTGCTAGATGATGCATGTGTGGTATCTGACCCAAGTGTGATTTGCCTCTGAGTTCAGAATTGACTGGAAATCACTAAGTAGGTGGATTCCTGAGGCTGCAAGGGGTTAAAAATATTCATTAAGTTTTGCTGAAAAAATAGAAGGTGTGATGTGAAGCTGCAACTGCTTATAACCTTTGTTTTACGCCCAAGCACAAGCCAGTAGAGTAGTGTGGAGGAAATGTTGCCCTTTAAGATTGATGACTGCTCATTTCCTTGCTCTTCAAAGGTCTTTTTCTCATTTGGATACCCAGCTGGGAATTTCAGTTGTTTTAGAAGTTTGACTGCTAAATAAGATGTATGTGATTTTTTAGCTTTAATATTTTAAAATATCTTTATTATGTTGTTTGTTTGTTAATGTTTGAATTGGGGTAAAAAATTCATTGCATTTTGGATCACAGTTCTGACTTGATTTTTATGGATTTACTACTCAGCATCAAAAGTTACACATCTAACATTGTGAAAATCTGATTTTTTGTTTGGTTAATTGGCGATAATTCTGTAACAAACATTACATTGTATATTGGGAGGGGTTGGTTTTGAAAAGGAGTATATTCATTGGTGATAGATTTTATAGTCATAAAGCAAATAACTGTTTGCATTAGAGCATAATCAGATAATGAAGTGGTTAGTAGAAACCAATAGACTATAGATTACCAAAATTAAGATCTTGTACAACAAAATATAATTAACACCGTAACTTGAATGTAATTTTTACGGGATTGTCTTATGAATGGTAATGATTCTAAGTGGTATGTGAAATGCTGTTACTAGCACATGCCAATTGATAGAATGCTGGAAAAATCACATTTTACATTATATTTTAGATAGGATTTTTGTATGCTTGAGGGTGACTTGGCTTATGTTTTTTTTTCTTTCCTTTTAGAATATGGTTTCTAGTTTTAGGGTTTCTGAACTACAAGTATTACTAGGCTTTGCTGGACGGAATAAAAGTGGACGCAAGCATGACCTCCTGATGAGGGCGCTGCATTTATTGAAGAGCGGCTGCAGCCCTGCGGTTCAGATTAAAATCCGAGAATTGTATAGACGCCGATATCCACGAACTCTTGAAGGACTTTCTGATTTATCCACAATCAAATCATCGGTTTTCAGTTTGGATGGTGGCTCATCACCTGTAGAACCTGACTTGGCCGTGGCTGGAATCCACTCGTTGCCTTCCACTTCAGTTACACCTCACTCACCATCCTCTCCTGTTGGTTCTGTGCTGCTTCAAGATACTAAGCCCACATTTGAGATGCAGCAGCCATCTCCCCCAATTCCTCCTGTCCATCCTGATGTGCAGTTAAAAAATCTGCCCTTTTATGATGTCCTTGATGTTCTCATCAAGCCCACGAGTTTAGGTAAGTGTTTGAGAATTCAGTTTCTTCTGAACAAGATAGTAAATGAAATGAGAGACCTTCAACTATTGATTAATGATGTGCTGTTAATATAGTGAAATTGAGGCATCAATGCCGAATGTTTGAATATACGGATAAAAATTCGGCAACCATGACTGAAATCTAATAGAAGCTTTATTTCATATCATTTGATCTTTCTTCTTCTCCAATTCTTTTATTGTAAAATACACATAATATAAAATGTATCATCTTGATCATTTTAAAGTGTACAGTTGAGTGGTGTTAAGTATGTTGGTAATGTTGTGCAGCCATCACTGCCATCCATCTCCAGAACTCTTTTCATCTTCTGAAGCTGAAACTCTGTACCCATTAAACAATAGCCTTCCTCTCCTCCTCTCCCACTAGCCCCTGGCAGTTACCATTCTACTTCCACTGTCTATGATTTTGACTATTCCAAGTACCTCATGTCGTTGGAATCATACAGTATTTGTCTTGTGACTGGCTTATTTCACTAAATGTAATGTCCTCAAGGTTCTAGCATGCTGTAGTTTATGTTAGAATTTCTTTCCTTTTAAAGGCTAAATAATACAATAGTATACATTTTTAAAGAAAAATAGTAATCTTTTGCTCACTCCACTACTCATCCCTCAATCTCACTTTCAAGAGGCAACAACCTTAATTATTTTAGCTGTTTCTTCTGGTTTTACTTCTATATTTCTGTGTTATAGGATACCACATTTTGCTTATCCATTGGACACTTGGGTTGCTCCCACATTTTAGCTATTGCGAATAATTCTGTGGACACGGGTATACACGTATCTCTTTGAGACCCTGCTTTTCAATTCTTCTGGCTGTATACCCACAAGTGGAATTGCTGGATCACATAGTCATTCTGTTTTTAGTATTTTGAGGCATCACCATACTGTTTTCCGTGGCAGCTGCATTTTACATTCCCTTCAACAGTGCACAAGGGTTCCAGTTTCTCCACATCCTTAACAACACTTTTATTTTCCTTTTTTTTTTATAGTGGCCATTATAATGGGTGTCAGGTGGTATCTTATTGTAGCTTTGATTTGCATGTCTGTAATGATGGTGATATTGTGCATTTTCATGTGCTTTTTGGCCATTTATGTATCTTTCAAGAAATGTATAGCCAAGTCTCTTGCCCATTTTTGAATTGGTTTGTTTTATTGTTGTTGAGTTTTAGGAGTTCTCTGTATATTCTGGATATAATCCCTTATCAGATATATGAATGTGCAAATATTTTCTCCCACTCTGTGGTTTGCCTTTTTTACTCTGTTGATAGTGTCTTTTGATGTACAACTTAACATTTTTTCATGAAATTCCAATTTGTTTATTTTTTGTTGTTGTTGCCTATGCCTTTGGTGTCATATCCAAGAAATCATTGCTAAACTTCATGCTGTGAAGGTTTTGCCCTGTGTTTTCCTTTAAGAATTTTATAGTTTTAGGTCTTACATTTAAGCCTGATCTCTTTTGAGTTAATTTTCGTATATGGTATTAGGTGAGTGTCCAGCTTTGTTCTTTTGTTTGTGGATATCCAGTTTTTCCCCACCATTTGTTGAAAAGCCTGTCCTTTCCCTCACTGAATGATCTTAGCACCCTTGTCAAAAAGTATTTGACCATGTATGTGAGGTTTTATTTCCAGGTTCTCTGTTCCAAGGTCTCCAACCCTCAGGCCGTGGACTAGCACCAGTCCACAGCCTGTTAGAAACCAGGTCGCACAGCGGGAGGTGAGCAGCAGGAGGTGAGCAGCAGGAATTCGAGCATTACAGCCTGAGCTCCACCTCCTGTCAGATCAGCAGTGGCATTAGATTCTCATAGGTGCAGGAACCCTACTGTGAACTGTGCATGTAAGGGATCTAGATTGCATGCTCCTTACGAGAATCTAATGCCTGATGATCTGAGGTGGAACAGTTTCATCCAGAAACCATTCCCCTGGCCTGTGGGAAAATTGTCTGCCATGAAACTGGTCCTGGCCAAAAAGGTTGTGACTGTTGATTTATTCCATTGGTCTAGATGTCTGTCTTTATGCCAGTATCACAGTTTTGATTACCGTAGCTATGTAATATGTCTTGGAATCAGGAAGAGTGAATTCTCCAGCTTTAATTATTTTGTAAGATTGTTTTGGCTATTTGGGGCCCTTGAGATTCCACGTGAATTTTAGAATGAGTTTTTCTATTTCTGATAAAAAAAAAAAATTGGGATTTTGAGAGGAATTGTAGTGAATCTGTAAATTTGTTTGGGTAGTATTGATATCTTAGCAATATTAAGTCTTTCTTTTCCCACATAGGCTGATGGGGAAAAAAAAAATTAAGTCTTCCAGTACATGAACATGAGCTGTGTTTCTATTTATTTATGTGTTCTTTAATATCTTTCAGCAATGTTTTATAGTTGTTATTGTACAGGTTTTCATTTTCGTGGTTAATTTTGAAATATTTTTTCTTTTTGATACTATTGTAAAAACTACATAATTTCCTTTTCATCATATTTATTATTAGTTTATAAAAATGCAATTGATTTTTGCGTGTTGACTTTGTATTCTGCTACTTTACTGAATTCATTTATTCTAACAGGTTTTTTGTGTGAAATCTTTAAGGTTTACTGTATATAAGAGCCTACCATCTGTGAACAGGAATAATTTTACTTCTTTCTTTTCTGTTTGTATGCCTTTTATTTCTTTTTCTTGCTTAGTTGCTCTGGCTAGAACTTACTCAAGCATTCTTATGGTGTAGAAATCAGATTGCTTCCGTGTGAATGGGAATAGATACAAATCTTATTTATTGATCCTGATTTTGTATTTTGATACTTTTCATATTTTTATAAAGGGACTTACTTTCCATTTAATGTAGCTTTTAAACTGATTTTCTAAGAAATAAACCTTTTATATTTAATTTTATTTCTAAAGTGGCACAGGGAGTTTGACATGCAGTTTTTTAGCTTTTATTTAATGCCCATCAATTGCTTACAATGTGACTAACAAATTTTTGCATTGCTGTGTTATAATTCTTACTGCCTAATGAAGTTATTTACAAATATATTTGAATTTCTTTATGAAATAAATTGGGAAGTAACATTTCATAGTTGATGTGGAAGATTGCTTTCTTTTCTTTCTTGGGAAAACCCTTTTTATTTTCAGTCATGTGAAAACACTTAAACATATCAGTGTGCTTTTTTACCTGTCTTACAGGATTGTACTGCAGCCTGTCTTGGTTAAATCGGAAGGTTTTGAGGGGTAGAGCTAGTTAGTGGGGTTAGTATGGCCTGACTAGTGGCAGGCAATGTGGCTATTTTTTTTTTTTTTTCAATTTTTTGCTTTTTGCTTTATTTATGTTTTAGCAAAACTGGTGATCCAAGCAAGTGGAGTATTGCATTTTATCTCTTTATTACGTTCACTTTGAAATAAGGATTGAGTGTTTGTTCATGTTTTATTATTTGTTTGTACAAAGTCCTATGAGTAGAATTATTGGATCAAGTAAAAAGAACGTTTTAGACTCTTGATAACATATTGCCAAATTATTTTAGTGCCAGTTTAAATTCCACAAGCAAAGTGAGAGAATGCTTGTCATATCTCATTACTTTTTGCCTTTACTGGGTGCTATTGAAAACAGATCTCTGTGATTTTTAGATGAAAACTTGTATCTTGCTTAAATTTTTATTTTTAAAATTAGTAACAGGAGCAAGTATTTTATTTTATTCGATTTTATTTGTTTTTTTTTGGAGGGGGGGGACAGAGTCTTGTTCTGTCGCCCAGGATGGAGGGCGGTGGCGCTGTCTCGGCTCACTGCGGCCTCCACTTCCCCGGGTTCAAGCAGTTCTCCTCTCTCAGCCTCCCGAGTAGCTGAGGCTACAGGCATGTGCCACCACACCGGGCTAATTTTGTATTTTTAGTAGAGATGGGGTTTCGTTACGTTGGCCAGGCTGGTCTTGAACTTCTGACCTGAGGTGATCCACCCGCCTTGGCCTCCCAAAGTGCTGGGATTACAGGTGTGATCCACTGCACCTGGCCAACAAGAGCAAGTATTTTAAATGCTTATTACCCGGTTGTCTGTCTTTTATGATTTTACTTTCATCTTTAGCCTTGTTTTTAAAGAGTTGATTTATCTGGTTAACGTATTTCCCTAATTTGTTTTCTAATTCCTCCTTTATCATGGCATTTGGACAGTATCATGCACAATGTCGTGGTTCATTTATATATTCTGTCCCAGCAGTTATTATAAATTTATTACTTAAAAAAATTTTTTTTCCTTATCTATGTTGAAGGACTAGCAAATTTATTACTTTCTATTATTCTGAGAAAGATTCAGACTAGTGATATGGCTTGGGTAGCCCTGCTTCATGAGGCCCCTCAGGAATGTGGCTAAGCACAGGACAGAGAGGATAAGAGGGTCTGTAGGGTAGTGGTTACAGTGGAATGTGTTTTAGAGACATGGACAGAAGACTGGGGGGGACTAAGTGAAGATGCTGTAGTAGGCTTTTGCTCAGTGGTACTCCAAGAGGGAGACATGGGAGAGGCCTTGTCCTTTTCTCTTTCCTTACCTTCCTGCTTTTTTCACAAATAGAACTAGAAATTTTCTTACTTTGCTCTGTTCATCACAGAGTTTCTCTTTTATTAACCTCAGTAAAGTTAAATAGTATGCTCTTTATAAATTTACTAAAATAAAACTTTTCATATTTGGTGTTCAAAACTATCTCATTTGGCTTAGATAAAATAATGCCAGAGATATTTTGTTTAGAAGAGTAACTAAACTCCCTGCATTTTGGTCGTAGCTTCAGTTAGAATGCCAGAAATACACGTATCCTCATGGCTTATACACTTTCTACCCTTGAACTAAAAACAATGTTTTTCAGGAATCCTACCTATCACTGTTTTTTTTTTTTGAGACGGAGTCTCGCTCTGTCACCCAGGCTGGAGTGCAGTGGCGCGAAAAACAGACATGAGGTCAAAAATGTCATTCCAGAACCTCTTGGGATTTTGAAACCAGTAGCTGTATGTCAAAAAACCATAATGAGTATATGCTCTTTTTTTTCTTTTTTTTTTTTTGAGATGGAGTCTTGCACTGTCACCAGGGCTGGAGTGCAGTCACATGATCTTGGCTAGCTGCAACCTCCGCCTCCCAAGTTCAAGCAATTCTCCTTGCCTCAGCCTCCCAAGTAACTGGGATTACAGGCACCCGCCACCACGCCCAGCTAATTTTTTTTGTATTTTTAATAGAGACGGGGTTTCACTATGTTGGCCAGGTTCGTCTCGAACTCCTGACCTCGTGGTCTGCCCACTTCAGCCTCCCAGACTGCTGGGATTACTGGCATGACCCACTGCCTGTGGCCCATAATGAGTATATTCTATTTAAGAAGATACATTAGTATATTGTTTTGCAGCTTGGGGTTATTTCTATTCAAAAGGGTTGATATAAAATTTTTTTTATCACTTGAAGTGAAAAATTGTGGTATCTTGAAAACATGAGTGTATACAATAATACTAAATAAAGTGCTCTGTAGCTAAGGTTCTACTGTTAACAAAATGGATAATCCCCTAATCTAAAAACAAACTAGCAAAAATCTCCATTTTCTTTCCTTAAATAACCATCCTGATGTGCTCTCACAGGCAGTCTTGATTTCCTCTTCAATTTTTTAAGTTTTTTTTTTTTTGAGACAGATTTGCTCTTGTAGCCCAGGCTAGAGTGCAATGGCACGGTCTCAGCTCACCGCAACCTCTGCCTCCTGGGTTCAAGCGATTCTCCTGCCTCAGCCTCCCGAGTAGCTGGGATTACAGGCATGTGCCACCACGCCCGGCTAATTTATTATATTTTTAGTAGAGACAGGGTTTCTTCATGTTGGTCAGGCTGGTCTCAAACTCCTGACCTCAAGTGATCTGCCTGCCTTGGCCTCACAAAGTGCTGGGATTACAGGCGTGAGCCACGGCACCTGGCAAGATAATTTTTAAAAAACATGAGGCCAGGTGCGGTGGCTCACATCTGTAATCCCAACACTTTTGGGAGGCCGAGGTGGGCGGATCACGAGGTCAGGAGATGGAGACTATCCTGGCTAACATGGTGAAACCCCGACTCTACTAAAAACACAAAAAATTAGCCGGCGTGGTGGCGGGCACCTGTAGTCCCAGCTACTCGGGAGGCTGAGGCAGGAGAATGGCGTGAATCTGGGAGGCGGAGCTTGCAGTGAGCCTAGATCGAGCCACTGCACTCTGGCCTGGGTGACAGAGTGAGACTCTGTCTCAAAAAAAAATAAAAAATAAATAAATAAAACATGAGATCCTTTGGGAATTTTCTGTTTTAAAAATTTGTCTGTATTCTATCTGTATAAAGGAATATGTATATAAAACATGTTAAGTTATAAAGATTCAAGGGAATGAACACCTGTGAAGCTGCTACTTTCTGAAAAAGGAACATTACCATATCTTTAAAGCCCTCTCTTTTCTGAGTTAAATCACTATCCTGGATTTGTGTTTCTCTTGTTTGCTTATTTCATCATATATGTGTATTTGTAAAAAAAAGTTTAGTTAGCTTGCTTCTGAAATTTATATAAGGTATTCCTTTTGTTTTTGTTCTTTTTATAAGGTCTTGCTCTTTCATTCAGGCTGGAGTACAGTGGCATCACTGCACCCTCTACCTCTCAGGTTCAAGTGATCCTCCCACCTCAGGCCTTCCAAGTTGCTGGGACCCACAGGTGTATACCACCACACCTGACTGATTTTAATTTATTTATTATTTATTGAGAGAGGGTCACTTAATTGCCCAGGTTAGAGTGTACAATCTTGGCTCACTTCAGCCTCAACCTCCTGGGCTGAAGCAATCCTCCTACCTAGGCTTCCTGAGTAGCTGTGACTACAGGCATGCACCACCATGCTTGGCTAATTTTTTTGTATTTTTTTGTAGATATGAGATTTTGCTATGTTGCCCAGGCTGGTCTTGAACTCCTGGGGTCAAGAGAGCTGCCTGCCTCAGCTTCCCAAAGTGCTGGGATTAAAATGCATGAGCCATTCTGCCAGGCTTTGATTTTTTTTATTTGTGGAGAGGAGGTCTCTCTATGTTGTCCAGGCTGGTCTTGAACTCCTGAGGTCAAGCTATCCTTCTGCCCCGGCCCCCCAAAGTGCTGGGATTACAGGCATGAGCCACTGCGCTTGGCACTATATAATTATATTCTTATATGTATTCTTCTGTGACTCTTTGTTCGCTGTTTATATGCATCATAAATGTTGATATGTCTGGCTGGCTGGTGTTATGTGAAATACCTTCAAAGTTTTATGAACCTTTGATTCCTTAATTTCTTCATTGTTCTTTTCAGATTACAAAAGTAGTTAATATTTGGAATCAAAAATCATAAGAAAGGGACAGTCCTTCGTAATCTCATTCATTGCTCAGCTAGAGTCATATCAAGTTTATTTTTTCTCCGCTTGTGTTATGTTAATGCTTTTTCTCTTCTCTCTTTTTGTTTTTTTTTTTTTCTTTTGAGACGGAGTCTCCCTCTGTCGCCCAGGCTGCAGTGCAGTGGTGTGATCTTGGCTCACTGCAACCTCTGCTTCCCGGGTTCAAGCGATTTTTTTTTTCCTGCCGCAGCCTCCCCAATAGCTGGGATTCTAGGCACCCGCCACCAGGCCTGGCTAATTTTTGTATTTTTAGTAGAGACAGGGTTTCACCATGTTGTCCAGGCTGGTCTCTTAAAACCTTTTCCAACTGCAGAGTGTCTGGTTGAGGGAGTGGGGGCACTATTCTGTTTGTAATATCTGTGAATAGTGTTCCCTAGAGTTTTGCACCGTGACAATCTTTCTTAACAGTATTTCCTGGAAATTTATTACAGCAGATTTATTGCAGTAGTTCTATTATCTTATAGATGTACCGTAACTTACCCAGTACTTTTTTGATGTACATCTTCAATGGGCTTTCACTGTTTATTCATTCAGAAGTATTTTTGTGTATAGCATGTATCAGGCACTATTCTTGCAGTTTTACAGACATTGCAGCTATGAACAACTTTTGCATATATTTCTG
The DNA here is from genome assembly GCF_000001405.40 of Homo sapiens. Classification (NCBI taxonomy): domain Eukaryota; kingdom Metazoa; phylum Chordata; class Mammalia; order Primates; family Hominidae; genus Homo; species Homo sapiens. The sequence goes on along the minus strand of NC_000018.10, from coordinate 46,882,558 downwards.
AATACTTGTACACATATATATGAAGGATAAATGCCCGGATGTGAAGTTGTTGGGTCAAAATATGAATATTTTATATTTTGATATTCACCTTTAGAGGGAAATTCGACAGTAGCTTCCACAGCATTGCACCAATTTGTAGTCCATTTGTGTGTGTGGAGGTACTGTTTTCCCTATACACTCATCAGCATTGTATTGTTGGTCTTTTAATTTTTGCTAATCTGAAAGGTGAAAAATTAATAAGAATCAATCTCTTTTTATCCTTAAATTCTTGAACATTAGGACACACTCATTAAGCTTTTGGATATGATTAAACAGTATTCAAATGATATGCACATTAATGTTAAAGCCATTAAAATATAATATTCTAATTTACTGTATATATTATTTTTATTAACTCAGTTAATAAGTATATAATAAGGACTTAATTTGGATATGGCTATGTAGTCTTCCCCCACCGCCACCGAGACAAAGTCTTGTTCTGTCACCCAGGCTGGAATGCAGTGGCGGGATCTTGGCTCACTGCAACCTCTGCCTCCTGGGTTCAAGTGATTCTCCTGCCTCAGCCTCCCGAGTAGCTGGGATTACAGGCATGTGTCACCATGCCCAGCTAATTTTTGTATTCTTAGTAGAGACAGGGTTTCACCATGTCGGCCAGGCTGGTCTGGAACTCTTGACCTCGTGATCTGCCTGCCTTGGCCTCCCAAAGTGCTGGGATTACAGGCGTGAGCCACCGTGCCCGGTGTCTGTGTATTCTTAATTGTGGAGAAGCCAGAAGTATGAGATGGGCTTTAAGGTGTTTGTTACACAGTTAGGGAGGTAATGTTCACATTCGAAATAAGTAGCAAGTAGATAGGTGTTTGCATGATGAAGCACTGTCAGTTGTACATCTAAAGGTCAGTTACTGCATTGGCCTAATGAATGGAGAATTCAGTCAAGGCTTCTTGTAGTGAGACTTGAGGGAGCTTTGAAGGATGAATGCGCCTACTTTGGATTGGCAGAGTTTGTAGGAGAAGAAATGCCAAGAAAGGGGAGAACTGTGAGTGGTCACAGAAATAGAAAATAAAATGGTTTATTTTAGAAATAAATAGAATAAAATACAATTGCATCTATATAGCAATATTCAGTTTTTTACAAATACAGTTTTCACTTATCACTGCTTTAAATTATAATCCCATTACATACACCAAAGTTTTTCTAATTTAATCAGATTTATTTAATCAGAATAAAATAGAAAATAAAATGGTACACACCCACAGGTAGAGTAAGCCCTTTGAACTGAGTAAGCCCTGGAGGGGGCTTGAAGAAATGTAGGTTTGCTAGGAAAGAGCCTGGGGTCGTTCAGAGATAGGACGTTGGTGAGCATTTTGAGCAGAGGAAGGGGGTTGAAAGTAATAAGGTGGACTAACTCCACACTGGTGGGAGACTGGCAGGAGTTGGGGCTGCTGTTTCATTTGAAGAAGGTTATAATAGGCTTTCAGTAGGGTGGTGGTAGTGAAAATGGAGAGGAAGCATCACTGGTGATTATTAATAAAATGATAATTTCTGTATAGATAAATCACCTACAAATAACTCAGTTTTGCTATGTTCTATTTAAATCTGATTAAATTAGAAAAACTTTGCTGTATATAATGGGATTATAATTTAAAGCAGTGTTCAGTGAAAACTGTATTTGTAAACAATTGGATATTGCTATATAGATGCAGTTGTAAAGTGTTTCTTGAAAGCATTGTGTGTGCCTGTTAGTTCCAACATGTCAAGACACAGGTTATCAAAAATGAGCTAGTTTGCTAATATAGAAGAGAGCCTGTATTGACTTTATGTATTTCTTCTGTTACAACTGTATGAGAATGTTCTTTTTGTGTGTGTATTTTTATTTCTACATGTTTGAGGGTCAGCCCCTATTTATTTTTGAAGAAATTTAAATTTTTTGTCCCAATTTTTAAAAATTATTTTTTACTTTTTTAGTAGACGGGGGTCTCACTGTGTTGCCCAGGCTGGAGTGCAGTGGTTATTCACAGGCATGATCATTGTGCACTGCATCCTTGAACTCTTGGCCTCAAGTGAACCTCCTGCCTCAGCCTCCTGAGTAGCTGGGACTATAGGTATGTGTCACTGTAAGTGTGTGTCACTGTACCTTGCCCTGCCCAGTTGTTTTGTTTTGTTTTGTTTTTTTTGAGACAGGGTCTCTCTGTCTCTCACCCAGGCAGGGTATAGTTGTGAGATCACAGCTCACTGCAGCCTAACCTTCTGTGCTTAAGTGATCCTCCTAAGTAGCTGGGACCACAGGTGTGCACCACCATGCCCAGCTAATTTTTACATTTTTTTTGTAGAGACCAGGTCTTGCCATCTTCCCTAGGCTGGTCAGGAACTCCTGGGCTCAAGGGATCCTCCCGTCTCGGCCTTCCAAAGTGCTGGGATTATAGGCATGAACCACTGTCCCCATCCCCAATTTTTTTTTTTTTTTTTTTTACTGTGGTAAAATACATACTGTCTGACCATTTTAAAATCCAGTGGCATGAAGTATATTAATATTGTTGGAACCATCGCTGCCATCTATCTCCAGAGAACCCTTTTCATCTTGCAAAACTGAAACTCTATATGCATTTAACAGTAATTCACTATTCCCTCTTCCCCCAGCTCCTGGCAACCACCATCTTGCTTTCTAAGATTCTGACTACTCTAGATTTCTCATATAAGTAGAATCATACTTATATGTCTTATTATTTGACTTACGTGTCATATTATCTGTCTTCTTGTGATTGGCTTATTTCACTAAACGTAATGTCCTCAAGGTTTGTCCATGTTATAACATGTCAGATTTTTTTTCCTTTTTAAGGCATAGTAATATTCTATTGTATGTATACATGGTGTTTTATTCATTTATTCTCCAATGGACACTTGGATTGCTTCCACATTTTAGCTATTGTGAATGATGCTGCTATGACTGTGAGTATACAAACATCTCTTCAAGATTCTGTTTTTTAATTCTTATGAGTATACACCCAGAAGTGAAATTGCGGGATCGTATGGTAATTCTATTTTTAATTATTTGAGGAACCACTAAACTGTTTTCCACAGCAGCTGCACCATTTTACATTCCCCACCAGCAGTGCACAGGGGTTCCAGTTTCTCCCTGTCCTCATCTGCACTTACTATTATTACTATTTTTTTTTATAGTGACCATCCTGATGGGTGTGAGGTGGCATTGCATTATAGTTTTGATTTGCATTTCTTTAATGATTAGTGATGTTGAGCATGTTTTCATGTGCATATTTGCCATTTGTATGTACTTGGAGAAATGTCTATCCAAGTCCTTTGTCCATTTTTGAATTGAGTTGTTTTTAGCTGTTGAGTTTTAGAAGTCCTGCTCCTACCCTACTCCCTTTTATTTTAGTGCAGCATTGCAGTGGGAGAAGACATTCTTTAGTTGGTGATGATACAGTAGCTGGTAGGTGATGAGAACCGGATAGCTCAGGATCTTAGAAAATGCAGAGTAATTAAACTGATTCATTCATTGTTACTTTATGAATTATTTTACTGTTAGATTGGCTAGACTGAGCCATTTTAATCCACAAAACTCCCTAAAAAACCTCTTGGTTTATCTTTTCCCTATGTTAGCCATAGTATGAGCCCCTGTTAACCTTGGCAGTAACCGCTAGGAAGCATTCTTGTTTTTGTTTTTGTTTTTTATAGACGGAGTCTTGCTCTGGTTGCCCAGGCTGGAGTGCAGTGGTGTGATCTCCGCTCACTGCAAACTCTGCCTCCCGGGTTCTAGTGATTCTGCTACCGCAGTCTCCTGAGTAGCTGGGCTTACAGGCATGGGCCACCATATCTGGCTAATTTTGTATTTTTATTAGAGACGGGGTTTCGCCATGTTGGCCAGGCTGGTCTCGAACTCCTGACCTCAGGTGATCCGCCCACCTTGGCCTCCCAAAGTGCTGGGATTACAGGAGTGACCCACTGCACCTAGCCTAGGAAGCATTTTTACTGAAATATAAACCAGTTTATTAAAAGGTGTCAATATAGTGCTTGCAGGGGGTGATGGTGGGGGATGACTTGGCAGGTTTTATATTAAGTATATTTAACATTTAGGCACATTAAAATATTAATTTTTGACCTAAATGTCTTATCAAGATAAAGTCAATGTTACAAAGTAGGTGACAAAATATATCTGTTGAACTGCTTGTTTTTTCCTGAAATTTTGGTATCTTAAAAAGCATAGACTTTTGATGAGGACTTCCACAAGTGAAAATATATTACATGTATAGTATCTTACTGTTTTCAGAATGCTTTCACATGTTCCTGCATTTAGTCCACAAAACCATCTTAAAAAGGCAGGTGAGAAAAGTGTTACTTCCATTTGAAATGAGGTGTAGAGAGACTTGTAAATTTCCTAAATAACTTGGATAGTAACCAGTAGGGCTAAGGCTAGGATATAGGACTGTTATATTCTGGTCTAGTTAAGTTTAAAAATTTATAAAGAGGAAAAAGGGATCCATAGATTTAGAGCTGTCATAACTATTATACCAGTAGCCTACTCATTTAGTAATTATAAATGAATCTGAATACTTGGAATTGATAAGATTATGCCAAAATTCATGAAATTGTGGCATTATTTCATTTACTGTTGCTGTATAATATAGTCTTCCAAAACATAGTGGTGTAAAGCAGGTATTTTATTATGCTTGTTAGAAACAAGAGCTCGGAGTCATAAGGAAAATGAGTACTCAAACGAAGGATTTCTCAGCAAGGCAAATTTACTTCTGCAAAAGGGTGCTGCTTGCACTTTTGGCCACTGCGAGAGCACACCAAACAAAGTAGGGAAGGGGTTTTTATCCCTAACGCGGTTATTCCCTGGTTCTGTGTCGTGTCCCCATTGGCTGGAGTCAGACTGCACAATCTACACTGACCCAACTGGCTACTGTTTAAAATTGAATATGAATAATTAGGTAGGAAGGGGGAGGCTGTTTGTTACGGTACAAGACGTGTTTGGGCATGTCAGGGCGCGGCAAAGGCAGGAAGGGTAGTTTTGATGGGAAGAGCTGTTTCGGCGGGAGGGGCAGTTTACAGAATGGGTGGTCAGGAGTGAAGAGGACGCTTTCCAAATAAGGAAGAGATGTGACTTACAGATTGGGACTCGCAGGAGAAGTTGTTTACAGAGCAGGTAGCTTAGAAGAAGAGACAAGGAAGTTGATCTCGAGAACAAAGAACAAGGAAGTTACAAATTAAACCTTTGAAGAGGAACTTAGCCATATCTGACAGTTCCCTTCTTTTGATTTTTATAATTCTTCCTCTTCAAACGTTTTTAACATTTCTTGACTCTGTTATTCTGCCTGGTTTTCTAAAAGTAGGAGCTTATCTGAATAAGGTGGTGGGGAGATTGAAAAAGGTTTTAATAAGAGCTGTTTCAATAAGCCTTTGTGCTAGGCTTCTGGCACAGGGTATGATATAACATCCTACAAGAATAAGCACACCTGTTACAAAGGCAAGAGAAGTAAGGATTGAGGACATAAGTCCTTTCCATTTGCCAAACCATTTTTCCATTAAATTAGTGAAGGAGGCCGGGCACTGTGGCTCACGCCTGTAATCCCAGTACTTTGGGAGGCTGAGGCAGGTGGATCATGAGGTCAGGAGATCGAGACCATCCTGGCTAACACGGTGAAACCCCATCTCTACTAAAAATACAAAAAAAAATTTAGCTGGGCTTGGTGGCAGTCACCTGTAGTCCCAGCTACTCGGGAGGCTGAGGCGGGAGAATGGTGTGAACCCGGGAGGCAGAGCTTGCAGTGAGTTGAGATAGCGCCACTGCACTCCAGCCTGGGTGACAGAGCAAGACTCCATCTCAAAAAAAAAAAAAAAAATTAGTAAAGGGATCATTTATTCCTGAATTTTTAGCTAGTTCATTGGATAAAGCAGTAAGACCTTGTAATGCTTTTGTTGTTATGGTTCCATCGGGAGCAGTATTATTAGGTATAAAAGTACAACATTGAGTTCCAATGATGACACAAACTCCACCTTTCTCTGCTAGTATCATGTCTAATGCTATTCTATTTTCTGAAGCCATTTGGCTGGTAGGTCCTAATTGTTTAGCTGTTCCTTTACTAGCATCTCTAATATAGTTAACAAATCGTTGCTGGTTGTAATAGATGTAATTTATCCAATCTACATTTTTATTTACAGTTAACCACCAGAATAGTATGGACTCAAACCCTGCACTATCTGATTTTGCACCTTAAATTCATCTGGCACTCCTCTCGGGACTCCAGTGGCATCTATATAAACGTGAGGGTCAAAGGACCCATGAGGGCTATCTCTTGTTATACAATCCTTTGTCTTTATCCTTTTTGGTTGATGAAATTCTAGGGTGAAAGGGATGGCCAATTGGATCAGAGCACAAGTGCTGCTCTAGTTACTTGGCAGAGTGTCCAGTGATGGTCCGCCACAATACCACCATACATCCACTTGCGGATGGATCAGGGCAGACTGATAGGTCAGCTCTCGGAATGGCTTAAACTCACTGCATCCCTTTAGGTCTCCAAGAAATGCTAAGTTGTCCCCTTGTTGTGAGAGACATGAGGTAAAATTGACGTGGCCCTCAGGGCCTGACCCATAGGGTGCCGAACTTCAGGGAATAGCCAAGAGAGAGCTTGGCATAATTCATTACCCTAGGCTGTGGGGCGTTGGAAGAGAGCTACCATACAGTTCATGCCTGGTCGGCTGGAGGACCATCTGAGTGGAAAGGGGACAGTCTGGGCCTCTGGCCTGCGGTGCGCACAAGCATAACAATCTCTTTTGTTTAGAGTGCGGATGGAATATTTAATCCGTTTCAGCCAGGCATTTGCATCTTTGTATCCTGTCTCTAGAGCTATAGTCTGCCTTAATTCTTTCACCTCCACAGCCGTTACCTTAGTTGGGTGGTTCTGGAGATGGGAGGAGAATGCTGGGCATGATATGTTTGGGGAAAGTGTTGGATCCCATATATTCCCCGGACTCTGGGTCTGGATTTCTTTATTGTTTTCAACCGACTCAGAGAGAAGATTCTTATGGGGTCCCGTCCTATAACATCTGCTCCTAACCCATACCATTCGAATATGGAGGGTTCTTGGGCCATTGTTTGGGGATTATCTATAATTAGCAACAAGGGGATAAGGGGTTACATTGCAGTGACTTACAATTTGATGGGGTGGGACCACGTAAGTTGGAGTTTCTGTTTCAGTCCTTGCAACTTGTTTGAAGAAGGGGGCCTGGCTGTCCATCCTCCATATTGGGTGGTCCACCAAACATCTGTCCAGTCACCACAGGGACTTTTTAAGGCTCCATGCTTATACTTTGTTGACTCACTACAGTACGGACATAGATACTTATCTACATTTGATAGCTGCCTTTGAGTTCGTTCATCTCCATATGAGATGACTGAACAAGCGTCAAACTGAAGGGTTAAGGGATGGTTAGTTTGAGTCACATAGATGACAAGGTGACCTTCTGTTGGAAAGAAAAGGGAAAATAATATTAAGCCCTTTTTAGAGGTAATTTGGTGGGGGTGGGCCCTGGGGTGACGGCTCATTTTTCTCTGGCTGTGGAAGCCACTCCTTTCACTCGCGTGTGGTCTGTCCATCCCCTTTTGGCCGTGCAGATAGTGGTTTCTGTAGTTAGAAGCACTAGATAGGGTCCTTCCCAAGCTGGTTCGCGTTTTCCTTCTTTCCAGCTTTTGATGAGAACGTGATCCCTAGGCTGATGCTGACATGCTGGGAACTCCAAGGGTGGTGTCTCTGCTAAAAGGCCTTTAGTTCTGAGGGAAGAGAAAGTGGAAGACAGACTAAGTATGTAACTCCTGAGAAATTGATCTTTAGTTTCAAACGTAGGAATGTCAGCAGTGGAGTGTAAATAAGGCAACCCGTATAGCATTTCATAAGGAGATAAGCCAATATCTTTCCGAGGGGTAGTTCAGACCCTCAGTAAGGCAATGGGAAGGCATTTGGTCCATGGTAGTCGAGTCTCTAAAGTTAATTTGGTGTGGTGGCTTTTTAGGGTTTAGTTCATTCTTTCTACTCTTCCTGATGAAGGTGAGTGCCAGGGGGTATGGTATTCCCATCTTATTTCTAATAGCTGGGCTAGCTTTTTAATGACGTGCAGCGAAGTGGGTTCTATTATCTGAATCAATATTTTCTAGTGATCCAAACCTAGGTATGATATTTTTGATTAATGCCTTAACTACATTACTGGTGGCTGCACTTGAAAAGGGAATAACTTCTACCCAGTGAGGAAGGTGATCCAGTATTACTTGTAGATACTTTAGGCGACCTATTGGGGGCATTTCAGTGTAATCTATTTGGATGCTTTGGAATGGCCCTATTCCAGGGTTCTTCCTCCGATGGGTGGTTTTCTTAGGATTCGCTTATTAGTTTTTTTGCATATTAAACAATTATCTGTAACTTGTTTTGCTAGAGTATAAATTCCTCTACATCTGGAGACTCCAAGAACTGCATCACACAGAGCTTGAGGTCCCCAGTGGGTTTCTTGATGCAACTGAGATAAAACCTCCCTCATGAGACATTTGGATAGCATTTCTCTTTGATCTGGTAACACCCATTTCCCTTCTGAGTTTTCCTTGGCTCCTATTTTTATTAACTTCTCCTTTTCAGCGGGGGAGAAGATGGGAATGGCGGTAGGGGGAGAAAGGCAAGGAGGGAGGTGAAAAACGGGCGTTTCAGAGGAAACGGCAGCTTGTTTGGCTATTTGGTCTGAAGGTTATTCCCTCGGCTTTCAAAAGAAGGATTTTTCTGGTGTCCTGGGACATGAACAATAGCTATTTCTTCTAGCAACTGAAGGTTATCTAATACCTGGGTGATTAATTCTTTGTGGACAAGGTCTTGGCCTTTGCTATTAATGAGACCTTGTTCAGTCCAAATTTTTCCAAAGGTATGGGCTACCCCAAAGACATATTTAGAATCAGTATAAATATTCCCTTCTTGGTTTTGTAAATGTTTTAAAGCCTGATTTAATGCATGTTAAACATGCATTAACATGTTTGGGCCAACCAATTATTGGGCAATCTTCCTGACTCTACTTCTGCAAGAGCTTCTCCATCAACCACCGAATACCCATTACTCCTTTTTCCCCCAATTACCCTAGAGGGGCCATCTATGAATAGATGTCCTGTTTTGAAAAGGGTCTCTCTTAAATCAGCCTTGACCTTTGTGTGATAATCAATTAAATCTAAACATTTACGCCCAGGGCCTTTTAGATTTGGGTTCCCTGTCAGGAAACCTGCTGGGTTAAGTGAATTATCAGTGGTTAATGTTAAGTTACCTCTTTCTAGTAAGATAGCATCATACTTTAAAATCCTTGAGTCGGTGAGCCATCTTCCTGCCTTTTAAGATTGTTCTAACCTGATGGGGTGTGGTCACCACCAAGTTTCCCCCAAAGGTTAGCTTCCTGCTTTTGTTAGTTAACAAGGCGGTAGCCGTGATAAATTGAACACATTTGGGCCACCCACAGGTTACTGGGTCAAAAACTTTTGATACAAAGGCCACAGGTTGTCAGTGGCCCCCATGTTCTTGAGTAAGCACCCCTAAAGCTACCCCCTTGTTTGCGTTAATGAAAAGGTGAAATGGTTTTTCTAGGGAAGGAAGGGCTAAGACAGGGGCAGTGATGAGTAGGTGTTTTAGCTCCTCAACCTGGTGGATTTCATCAGAAGTCCATAGGAGAAAGTCAGGCTTTTCCTGGGTGAGCTTCAGGTATAAGGGTTTCATCTCTAGGGCATATTAATCAATCCATAGTCAGCAATACCCAACTAATCCCAAAAGTTTTCTGAGTTCTTTCTTGGTTTTAGGCAAAGGTAAGGACACGATTCCTTTGACCCGTTCGGGCCTTATCCTTGGCTTGCCTTTACTTATTAAGTGTCCTAAATACTTAACCTTGGGTTCCACAGATCGGAGCTTTCCTTTTGAAACTCGTAACCCCTTCTCTTGTAAATGGTTAAGAAGGTGTGTGGAGAAGACAGCCACCTGTTCTATAGCTTCACCAGATATAAGCAGGTCATCCACGTATTGGAGCAAGCATATGTGTTTTGGGGGTACAAATTTGTTCTAGAATCTGTTCTAGGATTTGACCAAAGAGGTTAGGTGAATCTCTAAACTCTTGGGGCAAGACTATCTATTGGTATTGTTGCTTTCGCTCAGAATGAGGATCTTCCCATTCAAAAACAAATATGTCCCTGCTGTCCTCAGCCAAGGGGCATGCCTAGAAGGTGTCTTTTAAGTCTATCACTGTAAACCATTGATGGTCATATGGTATTTTGCTGAGGATAGTGTAAGGGTTGGGAACAACAGGGTGGGTAGTCTGGACTGTTTAGTTAATAGCTCTGGGGCCTTGCACTAGTCAGCATGACCCGTCTAATTTCTTTACAGGCTATATTGGAGTATTATAAGGGGACATACAGTGTTCAAGGCGCTTATCTTGAATGAGACCTTCGACTACAGGTTTTAGGCCTATCCTGCCCTCTAGGGGAATGGGATATTGCTTTCTTCTTACTATTTCCCCTGGGGGTTTTAACTTCATATGTATTGGAGCAACTTGAAGTCTTCCTCGATTTCCTTCTCTCGCCCATACATCAGGATGAATATATTTTTCATTTGCAGTGGTAAGTAGATTTAATGAGGTGAGAAATCCGTTTGGACTGACATGTAGGCCTATACCTAGTTTTAGCATTAAATGTCTTCCTAATAGGTTAGTTCCTGCCTCAGGGATTAACAGAAATTGAAAGTGGGCTGATCAATTTTTATATTTGACCTCTGTGTCTTCTAAGATTCTTGCTTTAAACCTTTCTCCTTTCACCCCCAAGACAAAAAGTTCTTCTGAGGAGCAAGGGACATTAGGTAAAGGGAAACAAACAGGAACGAGCTGCTCTTGAATCTGTTAAAAGGGTTATAACTTCATGTTTGGGTCCCACCTCTAAGTTTATCAAGGGCTCTTGGTAGAATTCAAGATAAAAAGAATAGAGCCCCTGACTCCCTTAAATGGAATGACTTCTTTCTCCTTCTCCCATTCAGGACATTCTCTCTTAAAATGACTGCTCCTCCACATTTGAAGCATGTATTTTGTCCTCCCTCCCTCCCTGTTCTGAGGTTACCTGGTCTTGTCTCTCTATGTCCTTTATATGGTTTAGCATGTGAGGACTTAAATCCTTTGTAAGCTTTGGCCCCCTGTAGCCCTTGTTTAGGGGTGTGGGGTCTGTAGGTAATGGAGAGTAGTATCAGTGGGCCTTGTCTTTTGGAACCCCTGTTGGAAGGTGGGTAACGTAATTTTTCCCTTTTGTTTCTGCTTTTCTTCATCTCTTCTCACATATACTTTTTGAGCTTCTCTTAAAAGCTCTTCAATAGTCCAGTCTTTCCAATTCTCTATCTTTTGTAATTTCTTAGCAATATCTGGCCAACTGTTCATAACAAAATGTAACTTGAGTATTCCCTGCCCAAGAGGGTCTTCTAAGTCTAGGCCTGCATATTGTCTCATTTGCTCTTTCAGCCTCTCTAGGAATTCCATAGGTCCTTCATCCTTTCTTTGTTGTATATGGAATGCTCAGGAAATATCTTGGGTCTGAGGTACTGATTCCTGAATTCCTTTTATTACCATTTCCCTGAGATCTTTCATATTCTCTTGGTGAGCTGCATTGTTATTGACCCATCGAGGGTCTTGGGCTGGAAATTTTTGGTCGGCTGCAGGAATGTTTTGGCCAGGAGGATGTTCACGTTCCCAGACTACCATAGCAACCCTTTGGATCATGCTTCTTTCTTCCCCTGAAAAGAGGATGCCCAGGATGGTCATTAACTCTGCCCAAGTATACAGCTGTGGCCCTAAGAATTGATCAATTTGATCTGCTACCCCACATGGGTCATCTAATAATGACTCGAGTTCCTTTTTTTTTTTTTTTTTTTTTTTTTTTTTGAGACGGAGTCTTGCTCTGTTGCCCAGGCTGGAGTGCAGTGGCACGATCATGGCTCACGGCAAGCTCCACCTCCTGGGTTCACGCCATTCTTCTGCCTCAGCCTCCCAAGTAGCTGGGACTACAGGCGCCCGTCACCACGTCTGGCTAATTTTTTTGTATTTTTAGTAGAGACGGGGTTTCACCATGTTAGCCAGGATGGTCTCAATCTCCTGACGTTGTGATCCACCTGCCTCGGCCTCCCAGAGTGCTGGGATTACAGGCTTGAGCCACTGCACCCGGTCTTGAGTTCCTTTTTTAAATTTCGAACTTCTGAGCTAGTGAAGGGGGAGCATTTACAAAGCCGATTCCTTCTCCTCCAAGGGGCACTTCCCTCAAGGGGAAAAGAGTTGGGGCTGATTCCTTAGAGGTGGAGGGGAAAAGGAGTTCTGAATATCCTTTTTACACTGTTCTGTCTCACACTAGAGCCTTCCTGGAGGAGGCATAGACTCAGACGTGTGGTTAGGGAGGGCACGGGGCATTGGGGCAGGCATTGACTCAGGGTTATATGGAGGAGGAATTGAGTGAAGGGGGTCCTGTGCACCTGCTTGGGGTGGGGGATTTGGCGGAGGTGGGTGGTCTGGTGGGTCTCATACATTGGTGGATTGTTTTGGGGTAGAGGTCTTACTTTCCTCAGAGGAACTGATTTCTGGCTTACTTCCTATAGCTTTTAGGGGGTAAAGAAGGATGGGTCCCTGCTGCCAATACAGGGCATAATCTATTTCCTCCTGGGAGATGGGACTCTTGTCATTGACATACTCTATTAGAAGTTGACAAATTCAATCCTCATTTGACTGAAACTTTGGCCAGAAAACTGAGGGTGTGAGGATGAGCTCTGTGGTCCAAATGAAACAACAATATTTTGTCATTTGTTGTTTTTTATTATGTTTAGTCCTTTCACTGTCCCTCCAGTATGTTAACATGAGACCTAAGGGACTACCAGAGGGAATGTTGTTATCATCACTAGCTTTATATCTTTCATTTCCTGTCTTACGTGGGGTGTTTCCCATCCTGGAGGTTTGATGTGAGGCTCAATGCCACATGTTAGAGATTTCTTGCCTTCTCTTCTCTAGAGGTTTGCTGAGGCTCAGTCCCTCCTTATATTAGAGATTTCTTGCCTTCCCTTCTCTAGAGGCTTGCTGAGGCTCAATCCCTTGTATTAGAGATTTCTTGCTTTCTCTTCTCTAGAGGTTTGCTGAGGCTCAGTCCCTCCTCATATTAGAGATTTCTTGCCTTCCCTTCTCTAGAGGTTTGCTGAGGCTCAGTCCCTCCTCGTATTAGATATTTCTTGCCTTCCCTTCTCTAGAGGCTTAACCCCCCTCTACTGGAGGTCTTTTTTACTCTCCTTTTGCTTTGTCCTTCTCTGGCTGCTTCCCTCACGGGAATTTAAGTCCCTCTTAGCATCGGTGTGTCGGTATAAGCCCCACAACAGGAATCTGCCATAAGCCATATGAGGTGACCACAGAACTGCAGATCCAGACTCCACGCTTGCTTTGTGCTTAATTGTACATCTCATTCACACACATTCAAGCTCCAAGTTGTCCCAACCACCAAGGAAATACTTTGTCACCCCCACGACTTTTCTTACCTTGGTTTGTGTACAGAGTTACCTGGTTGCCATGGTGTGTGAGGATCCTTTTCACCTGCGTTGCTGAGAGTCCAGGTTTATTCATCATGCTGGGGGAGGTCTTGATCCCTCATCCCTGAGGCCACCACAGTGAGGCAGGGGGACGCATCTCCTCATGAGAGATGATCAGGGACCTCTTCCTGGATGAGAAAGGCAATCGCGGATGAGCCCCCAAGTTGTTAGAAACAAGAGCTTGGAGTCACAAGGAAAACAAGCACCCAAATGCCAAATGAAGGATTTCTCAGCAAAGCAAATTTACTTCTGCAGAAGGGTGCTGGTCACACTTCTGGCCGCTGCGAGAGCACACCAAACAAAGGAGGGGAAGGGGTTTTTATCCCTAACACGGTTAATCTCTGGTTCTGTGTCCTTTCCCCATTGGCTGGAGTCAGACGGCACAATCTACACTGACCTGATTGGCTACCATTTAAAATTGAATATGGCTAATTAGGCGGAAAGGGAGAGGCTGTCTGTTACAGTACAAGGCATGTTTGGGCATGTCAGGGTGCGGCAAAGGCGGGAAGGGTAGTTTCGGCAGGGAGAGCTGTCTCAGCAAGAGGGGGAGCTTACAGAATGGGTAGCCAGGAGTAAAGAGGACTCTTTCCAAATAAGGAAGAGATGTGAGTTACAGATTGGGACTGGCAGAAGTAGTTGTTTACAGAGCAGATAGCTTAGGAGAAGGGACAAGGAAGTTGAGCTTAAGAGCAAAGAACAGGGAAGTCAGAAATTAAACCTTTGAAGAGGAACTTACTGTGTCTGACATGCTCATGGATTCCTTAGGTCAGGAATTTGGAAGGGCAGTGTGTGGGTGGCTTGTTTCTTATCCCAAGATCTCTGGGGTCTTAGCTGAGAAGACATATGCTTGAGGTGCACTTGGCCAGAAGCTCAGATCACTTGGAGGCATCTTCCCTGATATGTTTGGCAGCTATGCCACCTGATGACTTGGACTTAGCTTGGCTGTTGGCTGGAATACCCATATGTGGCTTCTTCATGTGGTCTAATTTGGGCTTCTTTATAGCATGAGAGCTAGGTTCCAAGAATGAGTGTCCCCACAGAGCAAGGAAGATGTGTGTGGTATTTTTATGGTTCAGCCTTGGAGCTGTATAGCATCACTTAAACTGTACACTGTTGGTTGATGCTATTACAAAAGGCCATTCAGATTCAAAGGGAGGTTGATAAAGACCCCACTACTCAGTTGGAAGAATGTCAAGTTTACATAAAAAGGAGGACATGATGGGAGATAATGTGGTTATATTTGGAAAATAGAATCTACATTATGAAGGGTTGTTGAAAAAGGAAAGGTTTGAATAAAGCCATATTTAATTCATGCCCTTGAGCCATGATCTTTTTTCATTTCATTTGCTCTTAACTTAAAGGCATTCATGGAATCTCTGCAGAATTGGTTTTCTGATTCCCAAATTGTAGACAATGGGGAGAAAATAAACTGCAAAACCTGCATACTTTGCATCCTGCATTCTTTCTCATGGTTATGTTAAAATAACCATTTAGCTAACAAATTCACTTTATGGAAAGTTTGGTATGCTTTTGGCTGCTGTTCTGTCATAAAATTGACTTATCTAAGAACTGTCAATGTTAATACAAATTAGATTTTTATTAGCATATGCACAATTTTTTGTTGCTGTAAGTTCCTGGAGTCTGGTTATAGTATATAGCAATGACACAGATCCATTTTTCTATAGATACTGGGTGGTTATTTGAGATTATAATCTGGATTGAAAATTTGACAGCAAATATAGGTAAAGTCAAAGATATGTCAGAAAAATAAAAGGCACACCGAGAATATGTCTGTTATGACACAGACTACTAACATTAAGCTGCCAGTTCTATAAATTGTACATATATATTGCGTATGTGCAACATGTAAGTACAATTTGATATAAAAGTACATGTTGAACATACATGTACAACATGACTATGGAACCATTCTCTTTTCAAATGTTAAGGTTCATGGGTTTTGGAAACTTTTCAGGGTAGGTTGTCTCCAGTCATTCAGACAGAGCCTCAAATACTGGCATTTATATTCGTGAATTCACAGAGGGTCTTGTGCCCAACTTTACAGGTGTAGATACCTGCTGCTTGTGGCACGCTAAGAGTGGATTGGTCTTTAGGGAGATTTAGGTTTATCAGGGTCTTTAGGGAGATTTCAGGTTTATCAGAAAAAAGCAGGAAACACAACTGTTGGGGAGATAATTTCCTTTATCTACCCCCTCCATTCTTTTTGCTGTTCTCATATTTCCTCCCTGTGTTAGAAATCCTGCCTTTCAATGCCATCACTTTAGCTGTCAACAGTCTTTTGAAGGAAATTACAAGAAGAAAATACAGCATACTGTTTTACATTTATGCTTATTTACTGTATGATTTTCATTCCCAGAGATCCAGTTTTGAATTTATGTTTTAAAATAATCCTGGTGATTTTGTTTTACATTTCTTGTAATGCATGTCTGCTGTCAGCAAATTCTTATATCTTCTGTTTATCTGAAAAGTTATTCTTCCACTCTGCTTTTGAAGGGTATTGAATTTTCAGTTGAGTTTGTTCTTTCACCACTTTAAAGATACCTTCTGGCCTATATTGCTTCGGATGAGAAGTTGGCCTTGATTTGCATTGTTCCCTTGTTTCTTTTTTCTCTCGTTGCTTTCAAGATTAATCAAACATAATCAATAGTATGACTATGATGTGACTAGGTAGTTTTCTTTGTATTATTTTACATGGAGTTTGATTTGTAAATCCTTTTTTCCCCTCCATCAAAGGTAGAATTATTGATTCATTATTTCTGCAAGTAGTTTTCTTTTTTAATGTCTCATTTTGCACTCTCTTCTTTTAGTTCTCCATTTGTACTTACTTTAGACCTTTTGAGGTTTCTGGCTGAAGAGACTGGATGCTCATGTCATTAATTAATTAAGATTAAAATGCAGCATGTTTACTTGTAATCTCAAAATACACGTTATTACATTTGGCAGTTAAGAGGTCATTGGTGACCTTAGCCACAGATAGTGAAAAGTGGAGTCCGAACAAGAAAAAAAGGGTTGAGGAGTGAATAGGAACTGGAGAAATGGAGAGGCTTACTTATGTTTCTGTGTTTGATGCTCCATAATTATGTTTATAATCCAAAGTTTTATTTTACTTTTTGGCCTTCATCTTAAACGGCATCTCCCTCTTCCCTCCTTTTTAAAGCGTTCTGAAAAAATATGAACCATTTTGTGACATTTCTAGGAGAATAATTGCTATAATAAACTGTGCTTATAGAAAAGAATATTTTAGCTAGGGAATTAATATTTTTCTGACTTGATGTGACTTGTGGTTGAACCGCTCTGACATTGGATATCCAACTGGCATCTTTTTTATCTTCATGTAGCAGGAAAACTGGACAGTGTTATATACAAGGACCATTTGCCTTTTTTTTTTTTTTTTTTGAAGACTATCGCTGTAGTGCACTGGTGTGATCTCAGCGCACTGCAACCTCCACCTCCCAGGTTCAAGCGATTCTTCTGCCTCAGCCTCTGGAGTAGCTGGGATTACAGGCACGTGCCACCATGACTGGCTAATTTTTGTGTTTTTAGTAGAGATGGGGTTTCACCATGTTGGCCAGGCTGGTCTTGAACACTTGACCTCAAGTAATCCACCTGCCTCGGCCTCCCAGAGTGCTGGGATTACACGTGTGAGCCACTGTGCCCGGCCTCATTTTGCCTTTACTTGGGTGATGTTGCAATTGTTAGGAAGCAAAAGACTTGAGGCCTCTATATATATTAACTTTTTTGTTTGTTTTAATGGACACTAGAACATTATTGAATAATTCATTATTAACCTATTGCAGGTTTTTGTGAAGTCATAAATACATTTCAGGTAATAATATACATAAGGGTGACTTCATTAAGCAATATTTTTTAACTGGGAAGACTTTCATATGCAAATTAGGTATCTTCAAAACTTAAAAGTTTTGACATTCAAAATTTTCTTATATGAGTGTTTTGTGTAATTAAATACAGAGCACCAAAAGCAAAATACAACAAAGAAAAATAAACAAAAAACATTTAATTCTTGAATACAGTTCTCCTGGGGAGCATTTTGACTTCCTTTCATTAGATAATATTATAGTTAAGAATGAAATGTAATATTGAAGCGTTTTGTTATATTTTTACTGTGCATTAGTATTTTTTTTTTTTTTTGAGATGGAGTTCACTCTTGTTGCCCAGGCTGGAGTGCAATGGTGCAATCTTGGCTCACTGCAACCTCCACCTTCTGGGTTCAAGTGATTCTCCTGCCTCCGCCTCCCATGTAGCTGGCATTACAGGCATGCACCACCATGCCCAGCTAATTTTATATTTTTAGTAGAGATGGGGTTTCTCCATGTTGGTCAGGCTGGTCTCGAACTTGCGACCTCAGGTGATCCACCCACCTTGGCTTCCCAAAGTGTTGGGATTACAGGTGTGAGCCACTGCACCCAGCCTGCATTAGTATTTTAGAATAAAGAATGGTTACGTACTTAACGTTAAAGAAACCCCTTTGTAGTGACTTTACTCATGATTCCAAGATGAATGCAGTTTAGTACTTCCTGATTTTGGAGTATTTTAACCATAACGTTTCAGAATTTGGCAGGTACTTTATAAAAAATGCCTGGTTATTGCAGGTGGTTGTAGTGTTGGATTTGTTATTGAAATATTATCTTTCTTTTTTTTTTTCTTCCCAGTTCAAAGCAGTATTCAGCGATTTCAAGAGAAGTTTTTTATTTTTGCTTTGACACCTCAACAAGTTAGAGAGATATGCATATCCAGGTAAGAGGAATATTTGGAATATATTTCTCATGAATATTGGTTTATTCACCTGTAGGGCTGCCATAACAAAATTTCACAGACTGGACAGTGTAAACAACAGACTTTTGTTTTTCAAAATGCTGGAGGCTTCTGTCCAAGATCAAGGTTTTGGCAGGTTTGATTTCTCCTGAAGCCTTTCTCCTTGGCTTGCACGTCTCAGATGGCCTTTTCTCTGTGCTAGTGCATCCGTGGTGTCTTTCTTTTCTGGTAAAGACACTGTCATATTGGATTGGGGACCTACCCTGTGGCTTTATTTAACCTTAATTTCCTCCTTAAAGGCCTTGTCTCCAAATACAGTCACATTGGGGGTTAGGACTTCAACGTATAAATTTTGGGGATACACAATTCAGTCCATAACAGTTGACCTGTTTCTCTCATGAAAGGGTAGTATACTTTGACTAAAGTCAGCCAAATATTTAGTAAATACTGTGTGTTAGAATAAAATTTTTAACCTTTGAATAAAACCTCAATGTCTTTTAGATTACTTTTTGTTATATTTGGCAATAATTTTTTAAATGAAAAATTTATTCCCAGGTTGGGCATGGTGGCTCATGCCTGTAATCCTAGCACTTTGGGAGGTGGCAGTATCACTTGAGCCCAGGAGTTCAGACCAGCCTGGGCAACATGGTGAAACCCTGTCTCTACAAGAAATACAGAAATTAGTGTCACCTACTCAGGAGGCTGAGGTGGGAGAATCACTTGAGCCTGGGAGGTCGAGGCTGCAGTGAGCTGTTGTGATCATGCTGCAGCACTCGAGACTGGGCAACAAAGCGAGACCCCATCTGAAAAAATATATATATTGGGTAAAGCAATATAAAAAGAATTTATAGTAGCCCAAAGACAGGGTGACCATAAGCTTTATCATTCCAAACTGGGGCATTTTTGAGAGTGAAAGTAAACATTACTAATAATTATTCTGAGATAAGAACATAAACTGAGGTAGTTATGGGTAAAGTGAGCTGTATAGTCATCCTGACCAAAAAATTACCAGATATATGAAAACAATTATGAAAAGTATTGGTAGACCCATTTGTAAAGAGCAGATGAACTAAGAGATGTAAGAAGAAAGAAAAGGAAATCTGTAGCATTTAATTTTCCAATTAAAAATATTTTTAAAAAGGCTGGGCGTGGTGGCTCATGCTTGTAATCCCAGCACTTTGGGAGGCTCTGGTGGGTGGATTACTTGAGTTCAGGAGTTCGAGACCAGCCTGGCCAACATGGCGAAACCCATCTCTACTAAAAATACAACAAATTAGCCGAGCATGGTGGCGGGCGCCTGTAATCCCTGCTACTCGGAAAGCTGAGGCAGGAGAATCACATTAACCCAGGAGGCAGAGGTTGCAGTGAGCCGAGATCGCACCACTGCACTCCAGCCTGGGCAACAAGAGTGAAACTCTATCTCAAAAGAATATATACATATATGTGTATATATATGTGTGTGTGTATATATATGTGTGTATATATATGTGTATATATGTGTATATATATGTATGTATATATGTATACACACACCTTTAGTGTTAACAAAACATTATTTATATGACTCTTTAAAGTTGCATTCTTAAAAGATTCAGCATGATAAAACTAAGGCTTCTGGGAGGTTAATGATTTTTGGGGGGCTGTAATGTTAAAAGCAGAGCAAGGAATTGAGTAAATTAGAGGTGTTTACTTCCTTTTCAGATATTAATTAGAACACTCTTTGAGATGATAGTAAGAGTTTTTCAAAAATAAGATTGTTGCAGTTAAGTAAGTTTGGGAAATTCTGTACTTAATTACATAATTTTTTTTTTGAGACAGAGTCTCGCTCTGTCATCCAGGCTGGAGTGAGTGCAGTAGCATGATCTTGGCTCACTGCAACCTCCACCTCCCGGTTTCAGGCGATTCTCCTGCCTCAGCCTCTTGAGTAGCTGTGACTACAGGCAGGTGCCGCCATACCTGGCTAATTTTTGTGTTTTTAGTAGAGACGGGGTTTCACCACGTTGGCCAGGGTTGTCTTGAACTCCTGGCCTCAAGTGATCCACCTGTTCGGCCTCCCAAAGTGCTGGGATTACAGGCGTGAGCCACCATGCCCGGCATAAAAACTTTATATTTTGTAGTAATTTTTATTTAGATAAAAATTATAGAAATAATACATATATTCTTTATCCCTGTTTCCTTTAATATTAAATCTTATATCACCATAGTACAATGATCAAAACCATGAAATCAACATTGGTACAGTACTATTAACTACAGACTTTATTCAGATTTCACCAGTTTTTTGGTCAATAAACGTCTTCTGTTCCTAGATACAATCCCAAATCACATTTAATTGTTGAGTCATCCTACTCTGCTTCAATCTGTTACAGTTTCTTAGTTTTTGTTTGTTTGTTTTTTGTCTTTCACAGCGTGACACTTTGAAGAGTACTGATCAGGTGTTTTGTAGACTCTTTCTGATTTGGGGGTACGGCTGATGTTTTACCATGATTAGATGGAGGTTGTGCATTTTTGGCAAGAATACCTCAAGTTATGTGCCCTTCTCAGGGTACCATATCAGGCAACATAATATTGATATCTTATTTTTGGTGATGTTAACCTTGATCACTTGGCTGATACTAGCTGCCAGGTATCTGCACTGTAAAGTTACTGTTTGTTCCTTTGTTGATAAATATTTTGCAAAGATAACTTTGCAACTAGGCACCTAGTATTCTGTTTTTCCTCAAACTTTTGCAGATTAATTCAGTGTTCACTCGTGAATCTTGGCTTTAGTGGTTACTTTAGCAAAAACATTCTTGTGTTCTGTTGTCCTTAATCTTTTTTACATTGAGATTATTTTATTTTTACAAGGAGGAGCTGTCTCCTTTTCTTTTCTTTCTTTCATTCATTCATTTTGTTTGTTTATTTTTTGAGACAAAGTCTCACTCCGTCGCCCAGGTTGGAGTGCAGTGGCACAATCTCGGCTCACTGTAACCTCTGCCTCCCAGGTTCAAGCGATTCTTCACCATGCCTGGCTAATTTTTGTATTTTTAGTAGAGAAAGGGTTTCACCATGTTGGTCAGGCTGGTCTTGAACTCTTGACCTCAGGTGATCCGCCTGCCTCGGCCTCCCAAAGTGTTGGGATTACAGGTGTGAGCCACCACACCCGGCCTTTTATTTTATTTTATTTTTGAGAGAAGGTCTTGCTCTGTTGCCCAGGCTGGAGTGCAGTGGTGGTGATCATGGCTTGTTGCAGCCTTGACCACCTGGGGTCAAATGATCCTCCCATCTCAGCCCCACAAGAAGCTAGGACTACAGGTGTACAACACCACACCTGGCTAATTTTTATGTTTTTTATAGAGATGGGGTCTCACAGTATTGCCTCGGCTAGTCTCAGACACCTGTGCTCAAGTGATCTTCCCTCCTTTGTCCCCCAAACTATTGGGTTTACAGGTATGGCTTTACAGATGTGAGCCAGCATTCCCAGCCCGTTTATTCGTTTATAACAGTGTGGACTCATGGGTGCTCTATGAGTTATATTCCAGTGTTACAGTAATTGATATGCTCAAATTGTTCTATCTTTGGCTATTAGAAGTTCTTTCAGGTTGGCTCCTATGCCCTTTTGATATACCTCTCTCCCTGAAACCCACTTTGAGCGCTCTTTAATTTCTTGCAACAAAAATGCTGAAGGCTTATCTTGTATTTTCTCTGCTGCAACTGTGGAATTGATCAGTTCTCCAGGGAGCCCTGGTTTCTCTCATTAGGCTTTATTTTGTAACACTACTTTCCAAAAAAAGTGATCTATTTGATCTAGCATATTGTACATTCTGGATTCGGATGATTGCTTCTTGTGTCATTTAACTACTTCTCTCCCCATGTTTCTCAAACTTTGCTGCATATTAGCATCAGCTGGGGAGATTTAGGAAATTCTCATACTCAGGTTTTATCCCACATCAGTTAAATTAGAATCTCAGGATTGAACCCAAACATGAGTGGTTTTTAAAGTTTCCCAGGTTTCTGGTATGCAGCCAACTTGAGAACCACAGCTGTGTTTCTAGCTCCCTCCCCTTTGCCTGTAGTGGTAGTAAGATCTAGACTAGACGCTTGAATACATTCTTGTCCAGGTTTTTTTGTTCTTTCTGTTACATCTTGTGAAGATTGAACATTGGATTCAGTTCTCTTTTTGGCTTTAGCGCTGCTCCTTCCATTTGGTACTAGTATATTTTTAACCATGCTCTCAGTTCCTCACACTGACTTCTTGTACCCATTTTAAGGGATCAATCTGGGATTCTCTTCTTGCTACTCTATGATAATATTCATTAATGTGCTTTGTTATTTTTATATGGGTGGCTGCAAAATTACCAACACCTCCCTCTAGACACCTTTTTCAGTGCCTCTCCTTTGACCTACAAGGGCATCAAGCACAACACATCTAAAATTGAGCTTGCCTTCCATCAAACCTGCTTATCTTTTGTTCTTTTATTCATTCATTTAGCACACATTTATTAACTGTCTACTATGGACCAGACAATATTCCAGGCACCAAAGATGCGAAGTTGAAAAACAGACTGGCCTCAAGGAGATTTTTGCTTAGTATATTTCCTTCTGCATTACTCGTTTCCTTAATGGCATTGGAATCTGCCTTGACAGAGGCCTCTTTGTGATAGGCCACTCTTCATTTACCACATCCTGTCTGTTTGCTGCACTTCATTGATTCTTTTTTTTTTTTTTTTTTTTTTTTTGAGACGGAGTCTCGCTCTGTCACCCAGGCTGGAGTGCAGTGGCGTGATCTTGGCTCACTGCAAGCTCTGACTCCCGAGTTCACGCCATTCTCCTGCCGCAGCCTCCTGAGTAGCTGGGACTACAGGCACCCACCACCACGCCTGGCTAATTTTTTGTATTTTTAGTAGATACAGGGTTTCACCATGTTAGCCAGGATGGTCTCGATCTCCTGACCTCATGATCCACCCGCTTCGGCCTCCCAAAGTGCTGGGATTATGGGCGTGAGCTACCGCGTCTGGCCCTTCATTGATTCTTTTATGTCATTCTGAATATTTAAAACTCAGCAAGGCAACTCTACCTTTGAGGGAGCTAGTATGGTCTTTAGAGTAATACTAAGTATAAAGTGAATTCTGAACCAACCACTTAGGTCCGTATGCCCCTAGACAGGTGACTAAACCTCACTTTCTCAGCATGCAAAATTGGAATAATGATCACCACCTCACTGGGTGGTTTGGGAGATTGATGCTATAACTTGCTCTGCCTCTTCTTGTCCTGGTGAGTAGCATGGCCATCTCTTCAGTTGCAGCATTCCAAAACCTGGATACCCTCCTAGAAACTCCCCTTCCCTTATCCTGCCTTCTCACATCTAGTCATTCATCAAGTCTTACCATTTTTTATGTGTGAATATCACTCAGTGGTATTTATGTTTAATAGCTTTCAGGCCCTCATTTGAAATTACTATTATTTTTTGAGCCAGGGTCTTGCTCTGTCACCCAGGCTGAAAGTACAGTGCCGCAATCAAGGCTCACTGCAGCCTTTAATGTCCGGGCTCAATTGATCCTCCCACCTTAGCCTTCTGACTAGCTGGGACTATAGGCATGTGCCACCATGCCTGGCTGATTTTTCTATTTTTTGCATAGATGGGGTCTTGCTGTGTTGCCCAGCCTGGTCCTGAACTCCACCTACCTCAGCCTTCCTAAATGTTGGGATTACAGGCGTGAGCCACTGCGCCCAGCTTCAAGCCCTTGTTTTTTGCCTCTTCAATTGTAATGGTCTCCTAATTATGAGATCTTTCCATTAGAAAGCTCCTACATATGATCTTTCTAAAGCCCATTCAGTTTTTTCTCTTTGATGCTTTAAACACACTCTAATGGTACCTCATAAAGTCCACACTCCATTGCCTGGCAGTTGTTTTCAACATCTTGCTCTGCTTTTTTTTTTTTTTAATCTTATCTCCTGTTACTCTTTTCTAACAACCTGTACTCTGACTAGGCTTTCCCATTTGTGTTTCCTAGGTTAACTATGGTGTTCACATCTTTGCACCTTTGCCGCCTTTTTTCTCTGTACTCTGCCTGGCAAACTTCTTGAGTCATGTTTCAAGGGCCAGTTCAATTCATACGTCCCCTGTGATGCCTTTCCAGATTTGCTTTAATGTGTCATTTGTCTCTCACTGTGCCATGTACTTATTTTCTGTTAAGGCATCATTGCATTTATTTCACTGCTTGCATTTGCAACCTTCTTAATGAAAGCAGCATTCTTCTACTCATTTTTATCACCTCACAACCCATTACAGTACCTAGCATATGGTAAATGCTTCTTTTGTATCTGATGGACCAGTATGTAAAACTTCCTAGAACAGTGATTGGCAGAAATGAATGTCAGAAGATGCCTTGGTCATTACTCATAATGTTTGTGAAGATATTTAGCACATTGTATTTCCCAGTTTTTGTTAATTTCCCTTGCCAGAATAAAGTGTAACTCCTTAGTGAGCTGTTCAAAACCCTTTATGCCCCCATCCATCTTTCTAGGCTCATGTCTTGTCTTTTCTCTTTCTTCACATCGTGTTTCCCATCTAACAAGTTTCTGATCTGTATCTCTGTCCTTTCTTTTTTTCTGGGAATTACTGCACTAGATACCCACAGTTACTCATGTTCCTAGTGGAGCCACTAAGCAGAAGTAGGCAGAACCACTGCTGTAAAAACCCTGTTTTCTAGTTAGATTGGACTAATTGTGATAATGACCTTGAACTTTCAAGACAAAAATTTTCCCTTTTTCTGTAGCACTTACTTTTTATAATGTACTGTACCACTTACCATATTTTATTTTAGGTGTTGTATTTCTGTTACCTACTTAGCATATAAATCCTTTGAAGCAAATACTGTGTTGTATTTGTCTTTGAAGCTCCAGCACCCAGAATATGAAATGTGTCTTGATATGAATGAGTGGAGTGATATGGGTTGCTCAGAAGAGGTCAGTATTGTCAAGGATATGGGGATGTTTTGAATAGCCATTTGAGAAGGCTGCTCTTGGTAAGGAGAACAGTGGGAGCAGTGGAAACAGTCACAGCAGCCAGCTGCTCCCATGTGTTGAGCACATCTTATATTTAGGCACTTGACATGTGTTGTTAACATGTTTAATTGTCACAGCAACTTGATGAGGTTGGTGCAGTAATTTTCCATCTTTAACAGATGTAGAAACTGAGGCACAGAATGGTTAAGTGATTTGCACAATGTTGTGCAGCTTGGGACTGTAGAACTTAAGGTGGTTGTCACTGCTGTGCTTTACTGCCTTCCAGTGGAGCTCGAGGATTGGGAACGGTGAGTAGACTGGCCCAGTTAGAGCACCATGGGGGCTCAGTGTACTCCAGTCTTCTCAAGAAAGGACTACACTCTAGTGATCTTCTCTCTGACAGAGTCCAAGATTTATGACAATGGCTAAGGGCAATACTTTTTAAAACTGTAATGTGTATACATGTCACCTGAGGATCTTGTTAACATGCAGATTCTAATTCTATAGGTCTAGGATGGGGCCTGAGAGTCTGCATTTCCAACAAGCTCCTAAGGAATAAGTGCTGCTTCCCCGTAGACTCCATGTTGCGTGGCAAGAGTTTGGAGGGTTCAGTATGAAATATATTTTACATGGGACCATTAGATTCTCATCTAGAAATTATAAGAGGTTCTGTATCTTTAATTGGATACATAATTATGAAGTTGCATGGTATGGAGATGCTGAGACTCTAGGCACTAATTCTTTATCCTGGGTCTATATTAGAATCCCCCTAGTAGCTATAAAAACTAATGCTTAGGCTGTACTTGAGATCAATAAGAATATCCAGTGAATAGGTCTTTATAGTAAAAGAAAAGTCTTTGGCCAGGTGCAGTGTCTCATGCCTGTAATGAGACACTTTGGGAGGCCAAGGCGGACGGATCACGAGGTCAGGAGATCAAGACCATCCTGGCTAACACGGTGAAACCCTATCTCTGATAAAAATAAAATTAGCCGGGCGTGGTGGCGGGCGCCTGTAGTCCCAGCTACTCGGGAGGCTGAGGCAGGAGAATGGCGTGAACCCGGGAGGCGGAGCTTGCAGTGAGCCAAGATCGCGCCACTGCACTCCAGCCTGGGCGACAGGGCAAGACTCTGTCTCAAAAAAAAAAAAAAAAAAAAAAAAAACAAAAGAAAAAGAAAAAAGTCTTCAAGTGATTAGAATGCTCTAAGCAAATAGATTTGCTGATTAAAACTCTTTCCGAACTTAGGCTGCTTCCTTGCATGTTACCAAGTTTGATGTCTATTGAAATAAATTTTGCATCATCAAAGTTCCTGTGCATTGAAGGTACCTTAAAATTGCCATAAAGACGTGGCTAGAAGTTAAGCAAGTCAGGTTTATCATCATTACAGTGATTTCATTAAGGCTTATATTATTGGTAGTATATTGATCACCTTTCAGGGAATAAGAAAAATACAAATAATGCTTTTCCTTTTTTTCCTCCTGGGGAGACTGTTCTGAGAATTCTCATTGTACTTTTTTAACCCATTTTCTTTCTCTTTCCAACAGGGATTTTTTGCCAGGTGGTAGGAGAGATTATACAGTCCAAGTTCAGTTGAGGTGAGTTTGAAATTTTCTGTTACCTTAGTTTTATACTTGCTTACTATGTGCATGTAGTTCTGAATTTTAAAACATATAAGAATGTTTGAGCACACTATTTAAGAATACTTTTTTCTTTTATTAATGCAGACTTTGCCTGGCAGAGACAAGTTGCCCTCAAGAAGATAACTATCCAAATAGTCTATGTATAAAAGTAAATGGGAAGCTATTTCCTTTGCCTGTAAGTTGCTTTTTATTCACCAGATTTGCATATAAGTTTAATATAAACACTGACAAGGCCTAGAAACAGTGCAACAGTGACAGCTGAATACCAGTGAACAGTTTTAGCATCCAGATTAAATACTATTTTCCACTAGGGTAACCCATGGCTTCTTGGATAAATAATAAATGGCTTATTTCAGGTCTGAAGGAGATGGAAAACATAAGCCTGGAATTTTTTTTTTTTTTTTTTTTTTTTTTTTAAAGAGACAAGGTCCTACTGTGTTCCCCAGGCTTGATTTGAATTTATAGGCTCAAGCAATCCTCCTACCTCAGCCTCCTGAGTAGTGGGGAATACAGTTGTGCACCACTGTACCTGGCTAGAGCCTGGAGCATCTTACTTAAGAAATCAAGGATGCTGTGAAACACTCTTGGGATCATATCAAACAGCATAGTTGAAGGGGAGGACTTGGGCACTTTCATGTATAGGACAGCATGTGTGGGATGTCTGCATTAGCTGGGCCTGGCCTGTGGATGGCATGGGGAAAAGCAGAGGCTGCTGAGAGTGGCTAACTACAGAGATCAAAAATTCCCAGCTTGGGCCTTGATGATGCATTCACTTGTGGTGGGTGGGTGCAATAATAGTTGGTTGACAACACATTTAAGCAGTGAGAGAGTATATGGGCTTCAGCACCTAGGATGTATACAATGTAAATGCATGCAGCCTGTCTCTGGCCTAATAGATGGCTTTTGACTCTTCAAATCCTGATAGTCAAGTCTTAATAAAATAAAATAATAAATGTAGAACTGGACTATGTATTGGTTTCCATTTTGGATACATTACTAAATTGGTACCATTCTGTAAGAAGGCCAGCAAAGCCATAATCAAAAAAATAGTACAACATGGCACGTTTGTCAAGCACTACAAAGTTGGAGGTGTATTTACTGTAACTGAATCACTAAGAGAGCAGTGACTCCCTGACTAGGCCCAGTTGTCATTTCACCAGAGCTGACACTCTTCGCAACTATTGAGGAAATGGGGAAGCTGTGTAATATCCCTGCTGAACACGAGACTGGGCTCTGGACTAATATATGAGCAGTACTCACGAGTAGCCAAGCAAGTCAGACAATATGATCTAGGACTCTGGGCTCTCCAGAGCCAAGTGCTAAGAATTGGGCCCCAAAGTGAAGAAATTCCATGACTGAGACTGACCCTGGTCTTGTGGACAGAGGGATCTGACTTCTCTTGGTTGTCAGGAGTCTCATTTGTCGCATACACAGCCTGTGGACTTAGAGACCTGAGAAATACTTGTTTTGTGAACCTTTAAAGGGCTTGAGCAACACTGCATCACTGACGTGACTCTTTTTGAAAGATGCATCTGAGACTGAAATCCATTGAGACAGTCCTGGGAGTGAAGGGGAATTGCAGAGGCTGAGTAGGTATGGTCAGGGGGGATTGCTTACATGGCCCATACATGTTTCCCCGGGTGGGACATTTAGTTTGTCAGGTTTCCGGCTACTAGCAACAAGATTCTCAGGAGCTATCCTTTTTTTCCCACTCCCCTCCCATCCCCACCCAAGATAGAGTCTTGCTGTGTCACCCAGGCTGGAGTGCAGTGGTGTGATCTCGGCTCACTGCAACCTCTGCCTCCTGGGTTCAGGCAGTTCTCCAGCCTCAGCCTTCTGAGTAGCTGGGATTACAGGTGCCTGCCACCACACCTGGCTGGTTTTTGTAATTTTAGTAGGGACAGGGTTTCACCATGTGGGCAGGCTGGTCTCGAACTCCTGACCTCGTGATCCACCTGCCTTGGCCTCCCAAAGTGCTGGGATTACAGGCGTGAGCCACCACGCCTGGCCTATCTTTTATTTGGCTAGTTTGCACAAAGATCTGAACCAAGGGAAGAAGCAGCCCTACTTGGAGCTGAAAGATACCAATGGGTAACTGCATGTGTGACAAAGAAAGCCTGGCAAAACAGATTAATACACAACCCTGTGCACCTGTCCCATGGCCTTTTCATAACCATTTTTCTTTGCCCTAGATGTGCTAAGATTTCATTTTTTCCTTTTTTTTTTTATTTAAAAAAAAAAAAAGGCTCTCAGGTCTGTTGCCCAGGCTGGAGTGCATTAGTGTAGTCTCGGCTCACTCTGCAGTCTTAGCCTCCTAGAGGCTCAAGCGATTCTCCCATCTCACTCTCCTTAGTAGCTGGGACTACAGGCATGCACCGCTATGGCTGGCTCATTTTTGTATTTTTTGTAGAGACAGGGCTTCGCCGTGTTGCCCAGGCTGGTCTTGAACTCCTGGGCTCAAGTGATCCACCTATGTTGGCCTCCCAAGGTGTTGGGATTACAGGTGTGAGCCACTGCGTCTGGCTGCTAAGATTTCTTTGACCTTTGACTCTCATTGCTATTTGCCCCTCCCATTATCTGTGATGAAAGATAAGACTATGGAGGGCTTCTTGGTGTCTGTGGACTCACCTTGAAGGCTTATCCTGTATCATCGTGTGACTGTGCCAGTGATGGGAGCTGCATCTGAAATGTGTGAGGTTGTGCCTAAACTCTGTGGCATTGCTATGGAAAATATGGTGGCTACAGATGTGTAAACATAGACGTTACCAGAATTTCCAAATGGACCAGTCAGTGTCACATTTTGGGATGATACCTTCCTGTAGGAGGTCTACAGTACCACTGAGGATGGCTTGGAGTTTGTTACTCTTCCAGTTCTTTTGAGGGAGAAGAATTTAGGCAGTTGAGTACTTCCTCTGGGGCATTGTTACTTAGTTACTGCTGATTTCTGTCCCAAAGCACCCACTAACCCCTGATTACTTGTATTAGACTATTTGTGAACATATTGACTACTACATAAAGCAGCCTTTGTCTGATGAGTCTGGCATCCCTGGAGCCAGGGGCCTGCAGCAGCTCCATGGGCAGTTGTGAAGGAGGAGAAGAAATAGAGCATTGAGAGAAAGGCAAAGACATATTTTCAAAAATAGAAGGCAATGGGGAGGATTTGCCTGACCCTTATAGGGCCATCCCAAAGAAAATCAAATGCCTGCCTTTCCCAAAGAGTCTTTTTACCCTAGCTCCGTAAAGTCCTATAGAACAGCTGACAGAAATTCACATGCGCATCTGATGGAAAACATCTTAAACCACCACTTGATCCACAGTTGCTATTGATTGGGATAATGAAATGTGGAGTCTTTTTAAATATAAAACAAGATTCTGCAGTTTTTAAGAATTACGTGAGTATGCTGCAGCCTCAGAAGAAGAAAGCTGCTGTGGCCCTATAGGAGTTATAGTGAGCTCTTGCCACCATGGAGAGCCTCAGGGACTTTGTTCCAGTTTTAAGAAGCATCAACAAGCCACAAAAGAAATTTGATAGGTGGTCCTTGCCCGTGATCCTGGTGTATTGAACCATGAATCCTGGAGGGAAAAGCTTGACACAGTCATGAATTGCCCATTAGAGCTCTGAATATGGTGGCATTTGTCTGTGTCCTGGAAGAAGTCCTTATGTGTATGATCTTACTGTAATACCCAGTCTTTATGGACCCATGGCAGTTGACCACTATACTTCATGTACAAAGTAAACATAGGAATGGGAAATGGTATTACTTTGAAAATGGCAACGTGTCCCTAGACTGTTAAGGATCAAATAGTGATGCAAGCAGCATATGTGCTTTTTAACCTACATCAAGATGCTGAGTTTTACAAAACACCTTCATGCATTCATTTTCCAGGTTCCCTTGGTGCAAGGAAGACAGCAGCTCATAGTAGGGCTTGTGGGATGGTGACATGCAGTGTGGACAGACAAGAACCTGCTGCAGAGACCATCTCCCATCTTTGACTCCAAGGGCTGCCAGTGTACAGACTGACAGCCAGATGAGAACATTCCATGTTTTTAATGGGCAGAAGAAAGAAAAAGGCCCTCTTTGTTTAGGGAGTTATTTTAAGAAGCTGGATTATTTTTCTTCTAAACAATTTGTGAGAAATATCTATAAATCTTGTGTAGCTCTAAGGTTGAAGAAAGGAAGAAGGGTTGACAAGAATATTTCTTTTAAAGATCCCAAAGAGTAGAGAGGATATGTGCTGTAATTCAGCTGGCAGCAATCTCCAAGTAGTTCCTTTGGTGCAGCCAGAAGACTTAGCAGTACTGGCCCCCTTCTCCTTATAAATTGTATTTCTGAGTTCATGGATTTATGTTCCCTGATGTTGTGTGTTAGTTACCCTGATGGCCTGTCTCATAGTAAATCAGGACTGACATAAACTCAACATTTCTTCTTTTAAAACACATAATTGTGTGCACACTCACCCCAATTTGAAGAGGCACCTCCTTACCTGAGAAGGGATAATTTTGACATCTGAAAGAATAATGATTATAGTAGACTCAAAACTATCAAATATGTAAGTGTGCTTATAATAATTATACTAAAGCCACTGGAGGTTGCACTAACTCACTGCTGCTCCGAAGATTGATGAAGGAAGAGAATCATTTATTTCAAGGTGACCAGCTGTTGATGTGGTCAAGCTCTTTATGGAAACATTTCGGCTAATACAATCAAAAGGGTAATAGAATTAGAAAATCATTATTCCACAATTCATAATCATATAATGGGTCTAGGTAGCTATCATCAATGGATGCCGAAGCTTGACGGGGAACTTCATGGTAGAGGAATCAGGCTGACATCCCCTGAACTCCTGATCAATCTTGACACCACTGAAAACAGGGCAAACCACCTTCTGTGCCTTATGATGTAGCACCATATGAAGTATGCAACATTTTCTGTGAAGTTTTTTGTTTCTAAAATTTTTACCCCAAGTTTAATCAAGCTTATACAACTAATGACTGGCTTTAAAAATATATGGGAGGTAGAGCAACAAACCTTATACTTCGAGGAAGCAATATACCTAATCTAGAATGCGAAGTCATTCTTCAGGTCAAAAGTCCTGGTTTCTCCAGTAGAACAACAGCATTGGGGAAAAAGTGTGTGTGTTTGGAGATGGCAGGGGTTATGTTTATAGAATAAAGGAGACTTCAGAGACCTAACTAAGTGCGGTGTGGGGCTCTAGTTTTGAATTCTGATTCAAGCTGTAAAAGGACATCTATACTAAACTACATCTGGAGAAAATAGAAAATGTATCTGAGATTTGCTTTAAAATAATCTAGAGTGGGAGTTGGGTAGAGTAGGTAAAGATTGTTCATGGGTAAGTACATTACTGAACTGGTAGATATATACATATTATACTTTTTTCTCTATTTTTGTATATGTTTAAAATTTTCAACAATAAAAGGATAACAGGAAAAGAAATTTTGAGGCACCTGGGAGATCTGAATCGAAAGACAAGGTGTTAGGTGATTTTTTAAAATTGTGATTATTTTTGTGGGGTTGTAATGCTGTGGGTTTTTAAAGTCTTATTAGAGATGCATGTTAAATATCTGGGTTAAATGGCATGTCTAGAATTTGAGTTTAAATAAGGACAAAAAGAAATGTGTATTTTTGTGGTGTGTGTGTTTTAGGGCAGACTGGCTTTGGGGCCAAAAGCATTTGAAACAAGAATGGCAACATGTTGATAATTATTGAACCTGGTTGGTGGGTCCCTGCTATTTGTTCCTTTCTTGTGTATGTTTGAAATTTCCGTAATTTAAAGTTAAAAAGTAAATCTTTGTTAGAAGTATTCAAGTAGTAGTGGTAATTAGAAAATTTGGAGGAAAATGTTAAAGTACAATAATTGTGGACAACTTTTGTCACAGTTGCAAGTAGGGTAGGGTGTCATCAGAGCATGAAACATAAAAAATTCTTTGAGTGTGTCACAGTACTACCACAAAGTGTTCCGCTGGTGCTGTCCAGTGGCCTTTGCTTAGAAAGCTCGCATATTTGCCCCACTGGTTCCCTGTCACATGAACTTGACTTTATTTTTGCTTTAAATATGGAAAATTGTTAGAAATATGTGTGAAGGCTAAACTTTATATTTTATAAAATTCCAACTATTAATATATTATCAATAACCAGGAAATTGATGGTTGGGTAGGGGTGGTGCTGATGGTTACAGGTAGAATACAAGTTATCAGATAACTCAGAATTACCAGTAAAGTCACACTACTCAAATGGGATACAGAATAGATTGAAAACACTTTATGCTGAGTGAGACTAAAATGATTCTGAGTTTGCTGACACTTCATTCTTACATGAGTGTTACTCTCCCTGCTTCTGTTGCCCTTTTCTACTGTGTCAGACAGTGTTATGTCTTAAATTCTAATTTCCAGAGTGCACATTTTAGTTCATGAGTTATTTCTATCCTTCTGACAGACCCTGTAACATTATTTTTATTTGGTTAACCTACCAGTGGACATACCAGCAGACAGAATTATCTTCCAGGCCCAAAACAGGCAAAACAAAAGTTTTGTTCAAAATTACCTAGATACTGGTGTTGATACTCCTTGTGCTTGATGCTCATTGAATCAGCTCCTTGAGTCTTTATGAGAGGACTTTTCTTAGGAGTTGTTTTTTTTTTTCTGAGCAACTTTTTTTTTTTTTCACTTGAGCAACTTAAGATGGGCATAACCTTCCTACTCTCTCTCTCTCACACACACACACACACACACACTGTCTCTCTCTTTCATTTCCATATTATAATGCAAGTTATTGAAGTTCTTCTCTTTGTCTTTTATTCCCCTGCTCAAACGTTTTTAATGATTTTCAGAATTTTGTTGCAAGTTATAGATTACACATTATCATGTGGACTACCATTTAATAATTACTGTCTTGCCTCTTATGAGACAGTGAAGGGTGTTCCCAAGTTGTGGTAGACAGGGTGTGTTCCTCTTTGCTTGTGATACTACCAGTACTAGTTTTCATTGGTCCTAAGGTGCATATTTTAGCATTGCCGAAATCCAGAAGTGTCTTAAAATTGCTGGTGACCAGGTGTCAGCTGTGACGTATTATCATTGCCTGCACCTGTGCAACTTTGATGTTATTGGCATGGCGTGACTGGTTAGCTGTACTCCCTGGCTTTTCAGTTAATAAATAATTTAAGGACATTTTGAGAAAGAAGCATGAATCCTGGCTGTTGTCTGAAAACTTTTCATTGATGGATTCTCATAAGATCCAGATTGTATCCCCATTAACACATCCAGTTAATGGTGTCAGTGACTTGCAGAGAAATCTGAGACATTAGTGGAATGAAATACAGTTTTAAAAGATACTTTTCTCTCTAAAATTCCTGCTTGCACATAGGAGAGTGTCATGTGGAAAAATGTATGCATTAATGACTGAGTGAAAAGTGATTCAGAAGTTTCTTCTGTACAAAAGGGAATATGTTAATTCATTTTGCTTCCATTTCTTTGCCATATATACATAGTATTTTCTCTTTCTCAATAGTACATAATTAAATTACATCACTGACATCCTAGCATCAGTGAAATATGGTATCTACTTTTCAATATGTAGATTTTTTGCAGCTAAGACATTTTAATTTTCTAAAAAATATATTATTTTGGCTCTGAAAAATCAGAGTGAAGTCTTGCGGTAATTGGGAATTGGATATACTGCGAATCAGAAATGAGTATACTTGCTATTTAAAACGAACAGTTGGCCGGGCACTGTGGCTCACGCCTGTAATCCCAGCACTTTGGAAGGCCGAGGCAGGCTGATCACGAGGTCAGGAGATCAAGACCATCCTGGCTAACATGGTGAAACCCTGTCTCTACTAAAAATACAAAAAAATTAGCCGGATGTTGTGGCAGGCGCCTGTAGTCCCAGTTACTCAGGAGGCTGAGACAGGAGACTGGCGTGAACCCGAGAGGCGGAGCTTGCAGTGAGCCAAGTTCGCGCCACTGTACTCCAGCCTGGGCGACAGAGCCAGACTCCGTCTCAAAAAAAAAAAAAAAAATACGGTTGATGACTACATAAAAGTAGATTAAAGCATAAATAGCAGTATTTTGATAGCCATCAGGCTCATTTAATGACAACTGAAATGTTGATTATCCTTATTTGTTAACTTAACCTGGTTTAAAAGATTACCATTTCTGTTCCACCCAGAGAAAAGGCAGTGGAAAATATTTTTATCACTCACCAGATTTTAAAAATGAAATTCATTAGTTTGTTCTTTCTTTCCCCTCACTTCCCAGTTTGGTTTTTTTCTTTCCCACCTCCAATATGTGCATGTATTTTGAATGGGGACTGCTAAGGATGAATCGTTATAAAAAGTTGTGACTTTATCTGTAAAGCTTGGTGTCCTATGAAAAAGGAAAACCATTCATAGCCAATGTGGCAAGATGTCAGCATCTTTAATTTTAATGTTGGAACATGGATTTTTTTCCTACCTTTCTGGACTTGTGAAATATTTTGTAACCTTTTTTCAAAGGTTATTTTCCTATTTTGGGTTGATAATGATCATAAGGGCTATATGATTTTTAGGCTAAAATAAAAATAGTGTAACTGAAATTGGGCAGGATCCTGTATCTATCTTGGAGAAAATGTTTAATCTTCCTGCAGATGATTTGAAATAATTTTTCTTTCTTACGGTTATAGGGCTATGCACCACCGCCTAAAAATGGGATTGAACAGAAGCGCCCTGGACGCCCCTTGAATATTACATCTTTAGTTAGGTTATCTTCAGCTGTGCCAAACCAAATTTCCATTTCTTGGGCATCAGAAATTGGGAAGGTAAAAGCTCTCCGTTTTGGGTAGCAGGACAGTGACCCCACTGAGGGTTGACTTTCTGTGTTTTTTCTTAAGCTGTTGGCTTCAGCTCTTTCTGTTTTTGGATTGTAATCTCTAAAAAGCAGTAATTTTCAGTTTAGAGGTGGCAGTGTGGAGATTCTTAAAGTTAAAAACTTTAACTCTGAGCTTTCCTGAATATCATCTCTTTATTTTCCTGGAAAGGAAATATGCATATTTATATTTCTTAAGGTAATGGTTTAACCACAATTGTATGTATGTTTGTGTTTAGTATTTTAATAAACTAGAAGCTTTGGATGATAAATATTTATGAAGAGGAACAAAGAAAGTTTTATCCGTTTGGGGGAGAAATGGTTAAATGTACACATGTTGTGATTAGAAATAATCTGTTCTAGCCTTTCTATAAACAACTGATATTTCAGATAACCTGTAAGCATTTGTATAAAAATATTTACTTAGAATTATAATATTTTCTCTATACCTTCAAGTTGATGAACTTGACTTTCTGTTGATTTTTGGTCTTATAATAAATTATGTCAATTTTGAGATACCAGTTAATACAACAAGGAATTTACATTTTAGAATTACTTGTTTATATAACTGAAATAATGAATGGAAAGGAGATTTCAGTTAATTTCTGACCATCAGCTTCAGTGTTAATATTACATGAAGCATCAGTTTCAGTGTTCTTATTACATGTTCCTAAACAGAATAATATTCCTGTTTTATGGATGGAGAAATTGAGGCATTATTTATAGCAGGAATTTTTTGTTTTACCACCAAGGTAATTGCAGAGCTGGGAGTAACTTTACAGACATTGGAATAAATGATTGTAGACATTGAAAACTTTTGCCATGTAATGGGGATAATACTCTTCCTTATAATTAAAATGATTAATTGACCTAGAATTTACACCATAAGTTGGGTATTTAGATATCTAAAAGAACATTAAAAAATATTTAAAATACTTGGTTTGGCAGCTATTAAAAGTATGATGTTTATTGTAGAATCAATTGAATGAATATATTTAATAAAATGGGAAGATAGGTTTTTTTTTTTTAACATTTATGTGAAATTATATTTTGTCTGTTCATAGCTCTATAAATAGCTAATGAAGGTTCCTTTGTGCCAGATCTAACAGGTATGGGATTGGACGCTGTTGTTTTCTGGCTTGACTTTTTAATTTTTATCATTCTTCATGTGTCTTACATACTATAGTAGCTGCTGCTTGTCAATAAAATACCCATTTGGGGTACAGGAGTTAATTTATCAAAGCTTTCCTCAGAAGAAAGCTGATACCTGGTTCATTTGCGTGATTTACTCAAAGGCCATGTAGTAGCAGGTGGTTTCTTCTGCCAGAATTAGAACTTTGGAACTCTGGATTTGCAGTGTTAATTCAGACCACTGGCCTTTGGAATTTGTTTCTGCAGTGGAATTCCTCTTTTAAGTGAAAATATGAGAACCTCATTACATAAAGTCGATAAAAGCAGAATGATTTTGGTTAGCAAGATTCTGGTTAGTCATAGGAGGGTACATTTTCAGGGTGGCCCCTAAGGTACCAGTTTTGCTAAATAAGAACCATAGTTTGGAAACCATTGATCTAACCTATATTCCCATACCAGCGAATGTTTTAAAGTGATAAATGATCAAGAAATACCTTTAAAATGATTGAGCTTTTATTTTCAGTGAAGTAGCTTGGTGAATTTTGTCCCCTTCGCAGTGATTGACCATTCCATGGAAGTTATTTTGAATGTTATTTTTAGAAACCAGAGTTTCTTAAATAAGTATTTCATGTAAACAAAGAGAATATTATCTCTCATCTTTAATGCAGGTTTTTTTTGTTTGTTTGTAGAATTACTCTATGTCTGTATATCTTGTACGGCAGCTTACATCAGCCATGTTATTACAGAGATTAAAAATGAAAGGTATTAGAAACCCTGATCATTCCAGAGCACTAAGTAAGTAATGTTTAATAAGACCAAGCATTTAAAAAAAAAAAAAAAGATTGAGCATATGAGATACTTTAATGCTTTAAATATTGCTCACATCAATATATTAGTATATATTTGTTAGCTTGTGTATATACTAATTTATATACATTACTGGTGAGTAAAATTGTAGACACATTACCACATAGTAGTTTTTAATTATCAAAGGAAGTATAAATATTTTTATCTTTTCTGTTTACAAATTTAATAATTGTTGGAAACAAACAATAGTGCATAATAAAAACTGTGATGAATGTGTGTTGGAAAAGCTTTGACGCTCAGGGTACTGCTGCATTCCAGCTTCCTCTCCTAATTGTTGTTTTGTTCTTAAGTCTTACATAGCTTTCTATTTTGAAAGTCTTGCTTGCCAGCAGTTTTACTTTTAAAAAGAAATTTTAAGAATTTAAACAAAGAAATTTGCATGTTCATAATTCTTTAACTTATATTGGGAGTGTGATCGTGTTGTCAATACATTAATATGTAACATTTTGTTTTAAGATGCTATATATTTCTATAATTCCATTTCTTTGTCACCCTTAATTTTTTTAAATTTTTTTTTTTCTCTTCTTTTTAAAGTTAAAGAAAAACTTACTGCAGATCCTGATAGTGAAATTGCTACAACTAGCCTTCGGGTATCCTTGATGTGCCCTGTAAGTAAAGCAACAAAACATTTTGGGGAATTTGACTTTTTATAAATGATTAACTTTCCTATAAAAGTAAGTGTGGGAATGAATGATATATTATGAAGAATGCTGAACTTTTGTCTTTTCCCATTAAGGAATCTTCATGATTAAGTCACAATTCTTTGTATTATTTGGGCATGCAAAGAATACAAAGAAGAGGGAAGATAGCTTTAGGCTCAGAATAATCTGTTGTAATTAATGTTGTAGATAATATACAGCTAGTAATAAAAATATATTAAGAGCTGACTCCTTTTATCAGAATATAAATGATACTGAAAAATAGCAATAAAGTGACTAGGGCCTGATAAATGCTAATTGATGGTCTTAGTTTAGTGAGTTAGGATGTGTAGGATGTCTTTGTAATGTTCTTTTAAATTGCACAATAATTTTTCTTTTATATCTCCTTACATAGAAAGTATGAGGGAGAAATCAGTCAGCAACTCTCACATCCTCCTGTGTACTTGCCACTGAGCTAATTGTGGGAGAAAATATTGAGGCTTGCTTAGAATGTTAATAATTGAGTTTGAAAAATAAAACCAACTCCCATAAAAATGGTGCAGACTTCACTTACAGTTAGGCTGTTTTACTACCAAGAGGAGATGGGAGGGTCAGGAGCAGTGAATGAATTGGAGGGGAACCCTTTCCGGTTAAGAAGAACTTAATGAGAAAAAGTCATGGAATCAGGAATTTATAATGTAGTTTTGTGGGTATTTGATGACTACCCACCATTTTGAGAAATGTGCAGTTTTTTAAATGGGGAGAAATTGTGTCAG
The DNA here is from genome assembly GCF_000001405.40 of Homo sapiens. Classification (NCBI taxonomy): domain Eukaryota; kingdom Metazoa; phylum Chordata; class Mammalia; order Primates; family Hominidae; genus Homo; species Homo sapiens. The sequence continues at coordinate 46,843,247 of NC_000018.10, read as the reverse complement.
AAAAGAGAATGATTTGTTGAGTCTCTACTGTATGTTCTTTTATTTAACTGTCTTAGCAAACCTGTGTGGAGGAGTTGTCTTCATTTTGTAGATGAAGAAACTGAGACTGAATGAGGTTGGCTAACCCAAATTACACAGTTATTGGTAGAACAAGGATAAAGATTGTAGTGTTCTGATATTCCTGTTCTTTTTCCAATATACCATGCTGCCAGATTGGGCTGAAATATACATGTCCTGATTACAAGTACATCTCTTTTATTCTGGAAAGTGGTATTTGCAGATCTTTTTTTGAAGTGTCACTCTTTTAATCTTCATTAACTTAAAAACATGAATTTGCCTTTATTGAAATATAATTTTTTGATATGAGGATTGCTTGGATACTGGGAACCTGCTCTTAGCAAACGCAGGGAAGAGGTGTGCAGTTCCAGTAGGGTAAGACCTGAAAGCCCTGAGGGTGTTGGCAGAGGTTCTAGGAGGCATGCGGAAGGACACACGACTTCCTCTGAGTGCAGGCTCTATGCAAACCTTCAGGCATGAGTTCTTTTCAGTATCTTCAGGTTATTATACTTTTCTTCGCTCTCATGTTAAAATCAAAATTGATAGTAGATTGAAACAAGTGAAATTGCCTTTTTGTTGGTTAAAAAACAGTTGGATATTGACGATTTTTTATTATGTATCCCTAGTATATTCAGCAAACATTAATTGCCAGCTCTATTCCACATACAGTCACCATATGGGGAGGAAACTCGTGTCACCATTATGTTTTAGATGTCAAACTATTGTATCAGGAAGAAAGTCTACACAACTTACCTAAGGAGTTTTACAGTTGTGCAGTGCCATTTTCTTAGAATCTTTTAAATTTTTTTTCTTCATACAGTTTGCCATTCTACATGAGAGCAACCAAAACAAAATACAATGGCCAAACATACTAACAGATTCTCAGGCTTTTTAAATTTTTTTTTTTTTTTTTGCATTCATAACATATCCTTTTTTTTTTTTTTAATTTATTTTAAATTTTTTTTGAGACAGGGTCTCTCTCTGTTGCCCATGCTGGAATGCAGTAGCATGAACACAGCTCACTGCAGCTTCAACCTCCTGGGTTCAAGTGATCTTCCCATCTCAGCCTCCTGAGTAGCAGGGACTACCGCCACACGCCACCACACCTGGCTAATTTTGGTGTCTTTTGTAGAGATCTTTCGCCATGTTGCCCAGGCTGATCTCAAACTTCTGACCTCAAGTGATCTGCCCATCTTGGCCTCCCAAAATAATGGGATTACAGGCATGAGCCATCTCACCTAGCCAAACTTTCAATAATAGTGAAAGTAGTGTATCAGAGAGGTTAGGATTCCTTCTATGTAAGAATAGGGAGCAGTTCCTTCCAAACATTACCAATTTTTAAGAAAATTAACTTTTCAGTTACTTGAAGAAATGAAGTAACAGATCAAATAGGTTTTTGAAATCTTGTTTTAAGTTTCTGAAATGTTTTTTTCTCTCTGCTCAGAAGTGACAACAGGTCTATTCGTGAGACTGTCTTTTGAGCTTTTCCTGGGGGTTCATCAATCTTTTCAGAGCACTTTCTAAGAAAAGAATGAATGCTACTCTTTGGGCTATAGTAGTAGTGTTAACATAAAGTTGGGTAGCTAAACTGTAATATGTGGTATATATTAATTAGAATACCAGACACAGGTGTTTTGATTAGATTTGGTGGATGGATGACAGAAGTTAGATGATGAAAGCAGTGTTTGAGAAAGAGTAAGTCCTATTATCAGTTGGAGAAAGCAGAATGGAGTCCAGCCAGCTAACAATGGAAATAACATGGGATCTGGTGCAGTAATGGGAAACGGAGAAGGAAAAAAATAAATCCCAGGCACTTAAATAAGAAGTGAACCCTGGGTTATTTGGCAAAAACAAGAGAAAATGATAGTGTAGGGTGATAGAATAAATGTTTATTACATTTCACAGTATTTTCGTAAAGTGATTTGCAGTGGACGTGAGTCTGAAAAGTGGGAGCAAATTCTAAAACCTCTGTCCTTGGGACTAAAGGAAGGTAATGTCACAGTAGTTACTGAAGAGGATCTAATTGAGTGTGCATAATTATATTTCTGAACACCATATCTGAATTTTACATAGGAGTTTCACTTTGGTGATTTCAGCTAGTGATTTTCAGTCTGTCCTGCAGAGGTGGACTGGGTAGCTGGGGGAGAGAAAAAGAAAGAAAGAAAGCTAGGTTTGATTTTATCTCTTGAGATTCTAGTATGTTTAAAAAAAAAAAAAAAGTCCTGCTGAAAAGAGTTGGAAACCACCATTTTGGGCCTTTTCAACTTAAAAACTCTCTTAATTTAGATTGGTAGTAATTAGTCTACAGTGAATAGAATTTGGATAATGCCAGCTTAACATTTTATAGGAAAAAAGTGTTGCATTACTTAGATAACCATTCATAAAAATAATAAATTTCAAAAAAGCATCATCATCTGATTAAATTAGAATTAGAATTTATTTTGGTGGCACATTCAGGTCCTTTTTAATAACATGCCATAGTCACTAGGCAATTGATAAAATTTTGCTAGCTGGTAACAAATTCCTTCTTAGGAAATGCTCATTAGTTCTTATAAGACCACTAGAGTAGAATTAAATTTAGGGTCAGCAACTTTTATAGTCCTGGATATTCTCGTTTCTGTATGCTGTGGAAATTTTAAGGCTGTGACAGGAGAGATGGAAACAGCATAGAAGAAAACGACAAAAACAATCCCTAAACAGCAGTTTGCAAAATGTGGCCCATGGATACCTGAAGGTCCCTGACACTCTTTGAAAAGAACTACAAAGTTAAAACTTTTTATAATAATATGGACACACAATTTTGGCATTTTGTGTTCTTTTTCTCTTAGGAGCATAAAGTGATGTTTAACGTGGGTTACCCAATAGATGATGATGATGTCATTGCTCTGATGGCTAATGGAATGTGTGCTTGTGTACTCTTGTCTTTTAAAAATATGTTTTAATTTCTAATATACAAATATTGATAACTATAGCCCACATACATAAAATGTCTTTGAGGTCTTAATTTTTTTTTTCTTTTTCTTTCTTTTTGAGATAGAGTCTTGCTCTGTCATCCAGGCTGAAGTGCAGTGGCACGATCTCAGCTCACTGCAACTTCCGCCTCCTTGGTTTAAGCAATTCTCCTGCCTCAGCCTCCCAAGTAGTTGGGATTACAGGCACCTGCCATCATGCTCGGCTAATTTTTATATTCTTAGTAGAGACGGGGTTTCACCATGTTGGTCAGGCTGGTCTCGAGCTTTTGACCTCGTGATTCCCCCGCCTCGGCTTCCCAAAATGCTGGGATTACACGTGTGAGCCACTGTGCCCGGCCTTTTTTTTTTTTTTTTTGACAGAGTTTTGCTCTTGTCGCCCAGGCTGGAGTGCAGTGGTATGATCTCGGCTTACTGCAACCTCTGCCTCCCAGGTTCAAGTGATTCTCCTGCCTCAGTCTCCCGAGTAGCTGGGATTACAGGTGCCCACCACCACACCCAGCTAATTTTTGTATTTTTAGTAGAGATTGGGTTTCACCATGTTGGCTGGGCTGGTGTCGAACTCCTGACCTCAGGTGATCCACCCTCCTCGGCCTCCCAAAGTGCTGGGAGCCACCGTGCCTGGCCTAGGTCTTAATCTTTAAGAGTTTAAAGGGGTTTTGAAACCAAATGAGAACTGATAACTGTAAAAACCGTGGTAGGCTGAGTTAGAACGTTATTTTAAAGAAAAAATTATAAAAATTGACAAATAGGTACTTATAGATTATTCAAATAGAACCAAAAAGTAAAAATGATCATTTTAAATTCACAAGGTCTGTTATTCAGAAGTAACATTACTAGTAGCATGATAGATTTTTCCAGATTTAATTCTCTATATAATTATATGTATGTTTATTGGAAAGTATATATACTGTCCTATGGCTTGCTGTTTTTTAATTAACAGTGTATCTTAAGTATATTAGTATGTGTAGATTGGTCTTATTTTAATCATTGTGGGCATTTTGTTGAATAGGTATAGTGTAATTTAATAATAAGTTTAGTGATTGAGTTGTTTCCACACAGTGATTGTGTAAAAAAGCCAACTCACTTACATTGGTGGAAAATTTCTAAATAACCAGCCAATATTTATGTTGGTACTACTTAAAAAGAATAACATGTGATTTTTAAAAAGGATAATATGAAAATCTATTAAAATTATTCATTTTATAATTGAAAGGATATAAAAAACCGGTTATCTCATTGGGTGCTGAATAGGTATTTAGTCAACGTTCATTTTTAATAGAACAAAAACTTAGCAAAGGAGGAAAAGGTGGGTAATTAAATTAAAAAACTAACACCATTTGTAATGTTATAAAACTGGCATGTCTCTGGGATGTGAGGACCATTTGGATTTGTGATATAGCTCCATCAGCTGTGTCTCAGTGAGTGTGTGGTTTTAACCTCTTGTAGCCTCAGCATCTTCATTTCAGAAATAGAAATGTAGATACCAGCTTTTCTGGAGTCATAGAGTTATGAAGATTTTATGAGATTTATATAAAAGCCTTGGGCATACTGTAAGATTCTGTTTAAGAAATAATTTGTTTTTAAAGGCAGGAAAAATATAGAAAGATGTATCATAAGAAGAGAAGCTGCCCCAGGTTTTATTCTGACCTTTTTCTGTTCTAAGTGATGAGTTATATCGTGCCACATACCTTGATCGAATCACAGTAATTTCGAGGCTCCCTTTTAGAACTCTGGTTAGACACTTAGATAGAGGCAGTATAGCAGTGAGAGAGTGGACTCTGCAGGGCTGGAGCTTCCCAGGTCAGACCTGCTCTGCCATTTTCTAACTTTGTAACGTTAGGTTACTTAGCTTCTTTGTGCCTTAGTTTCCTTATTTATAACATGGGGATGGTAATAATACCATCCTTTTAGTATAATTGTTATGTAATTGTGAAAGTGTTTTTGAGAGTAATGTGAAGTAGTAGTCAACACTGTACCTTGCACGTAGGTAGAACTATATAAACGTTACTTCTGTGTTGATGATTCAGCTAAATTATTTTCTTTTTAAATTACCACATTACCAGGTGTTCATTTTAGAGGAATTAGAAATTACAGATGAACCAAAAGAAAAAGAACATCCTAAAAAGCCTGCCTCCCAGGCAGAGCTAAGAATGTTTTAATTTTGCCATGAATTCTTTCAAACTTTATAGCATAAAAATAGGTCCGTCTTCTTCGTTTCCTGTTTGTTCTTTTCCCCATTTCCAGTCCATGTCCATTCATTCTCCTATCTGGTCAACAAATACTGAGCACATACTGTCAGCTAGTATTGTGCTAGGACAGTAGGATTCAGTGGTGAGCAGAGATCTAGACCGTCTTTTTGGAGCATAAGATCTAGTGGGAGAAACAAATTTTCAATCAAAATAGCAGGACTGGTTATAAACAGTGATATTTTCTGTAAAGGAAATATATGGGGAGGTTTGAAGGATTATGTAGGAAAACCTGGTCTGATCAAATCTGAGTGTTGTGTACGTCTTGGTGCCAGTGGACCACTACTAGTTGGAATAAGAATTTAACAGCACTAAAGTTAATCAAAAGTATGTTGAAAAATTGACACAGTTGATTATATAAAAACAAATTTTCATAAATGAAAAATATATTTGCAGTTCATATTACACACGATTTCTTATATAAAGAGTGCCTATAAATAACATAAATGAAAAATATATTTGCAGTTCATGTTACACACGTGATTTCTTATATAAAGAGTGCCTATAAATAGATAACAAAAGATTAATAACCAAATGGGAAATGAGAAAAGGTTATAGGTAGAAAGTTCTTAGAAACACAAGTGACTCTTAGAAGTAAAAGAAGAGGCTCAACTACCACTTAAAATAAGAGGAATGTAGTTCACAACTGTAATGGGATATTTGTCACCTTCCAGATTGGCAGAGACCGAAGAATTTAATAACATTATATTGAAAAGGTTGAGTGGAACAAAGCATGTTAATACACATGTATGCATAACCCAATAGGTACTTTTTGTGGAAGATAGTGTGTTAATGTGACAAAAATTACAAATGTACTTTTCTTTCCATCCAAAAGTTATACTTCTAGGAATTATAAATATTATAAATATAAAAATCTTAGAAATATTCATTACAGCATTGTTTGTAGTGATAAAAGATTGGGAACAATTTAAATGTCAGTCATTAGTGTACTGATTAAATAAATTATGATACCTTCATATAATGGTAGCTTTTTATATACCGATTTGTGTGCAGTAGTCACCAAGTTATATGACAGAAGTGAGTTGGAAAACAGTGTGTATTGTATACTATCATTCCTGGGAAAATATTTCTTTAAATACACACTTGGTTTATGCTTAGAACATCTGTGAAAGGACATGCAAGAGATGGATAACAGTGGTTCTCTAAATAGGGAAACTGGGGACCAGGTAAGAAGGAGTCATACTTTCAATGTATATGAATCTGGATTTACATGTTAACCCGTTTTGAAAAAGTGAAATGGTTTTTCAAAAATCATAGGGCAGTCAATGAATAAAAATATATTGTAATCTTCTTGGGAATACATTCTGATTTGGATTTCTATTTCATTTTTATCATCTTCTTGTATGACATCTTCCGACTTTTACAACTGACCATGTTCCCTCTGAGCTCATTCTCCTTTCTGAAATAGTTTTCCTTGTGTTTCCTGTCCTGTAGTTAGGAAAAATGAGGCTGACAATCCCATGCCGTGCAGTGACTTGTACACATCTGCAGTGTTTTGATGCTGCCCTCTATCTACAAATGAATGAGAAAAAGCCCACCTGGATTTGTCCTGTGTGTGACAAAAAAGCTGCCTATGAAAGTCTAATATTAGATGGGTAAGTATATCCCTTTTAACAGCTGATATGGACTAATACAACAGCTGTTGGCAATGCCTTTGTTCACTACAACTTACTGAACTAAATTCTAAATAAATTCTACTCTAGCATAAATCCAGATGTTTGTATGTTTTCCGTCTTATACCTAATTATACTCAATCTTATTTTTTAAACTGTGGTTAGTGGCATTTTTATCTCTATAATATGATTTGCGTTGAGGGCAATGTTTTTGCTTTCCAAGATTATATTTTATAAAGCCCACAGGAAAGAGGGAAAAGTTTGCTTTGTGATGTCATTTTGCTTACCTAGAATTTCTTGAAGTAGCAATTAGGGTCTATGCAAAAACCAGAGGAAGTGATAGGGTAGATACAGACATAGCTCTTAAGTTCAAAACTGGAATTCATGCCCAGGTATTTCTGACTCTGGAGTCCAAACTTTAAGCATCATCTCTCATATTATATTGCATGTCAGAATTTGGAAAATGACATGAACTAATTTTTAGTATCTTGTTTCAAATAATACTTTTTTAAAAATTGCACGTCATCCATGTACCATGTAAGATTTGGAAAATACAGTTACTGAAAAGATGAAAATAAAATTAGCAGTACCATCCTATGGTGATGACTTTGTTATTGACATTAAAAAAGACTGAAATGATACTTTATGTAATGATTTATATTAATATATACATATGATTTTTACTCAATATATAGTGAAAAGTATCCTAGAGTTTTAAAGATACTTGTACAACTTGAAAATGTTTTAAGCCAGGCACTGTGGTACATGCCTGTAGTCCTAGCTACACAGGAACGTGAGGTGGGAGGATCACTTGAGCCCAGGAATTCAAGGTGAGCTTGGGCAACATAGTGAGTTGCATCTCTAAAATAAACAACAAAAGTTTTACAAGAGTATTATCTGTGGAGAGGAATGGGGAATGAAGAGTGAATGGGACTTTAATGTTCCTTTCTGAACTTTCCTTTGCTGAATTTTTATTTTTAGCTTATTTTGAAAAAATTTTAAACCTACAGAGGAGTTGGAACACTAGCACAAAGAACCTCCCATGTAACTATGACCCAGATGCTTCAGTTGTTAACATTCTATCACAGTTGTTTTATCACTTTCTCCCTTAATATGTGTGCATATACACATTTTTGGTGTGTGCATTTGTGAATGTAGAGAGAGATGATTATTACCATTTTTAGAATTCTTTTGAACCATTTGAGAGTTACATATGTCATGCCCCTTTGCACATTAATATTTTGTGATGTGTTTACTAAATTCTTGATATTCCATATTTGTTTCTACTTTTTCAATTTAAAATTGCCCTGTGATGTTAGCATTTTTGAAGGTGGCATTTTGTGTATGTCTGTGGAGTTTTCTTCAAGTTCTTAGAAATAGAAATACTCAAAGGGAATGTAAGACTTTTACTATTTATTATTAAGATGCCTCCCAGGAGGAGTAAGCTATTTTTCCCTTCTAGTAAATCATTTCACTCTCATGCCAACAGGCATAACATCGTCCACTTCTCAGCCCTCTTAGCAGCCTTACGTATTAAAACTTACTTTAAAAATGTCTACTCTTGGGTGTGGTGGCTCACACCTGTCATCCCAGCACTTTGGAAGGCCAAGGCAGGATGATTGTCTGAGACCAGGAGTTTGAGGCCGCAGTGAGCAATGGTCATGCCATTGCACTCCAACCTGGGTGATGGAGAAAGACTCTGTTTCAAAAGTAAACAAAACAAAATGGAACAACAAATAAAAATGTCTACTAATTTCCTAATTGAAAAGATAGCTATTTTGATTTTTAATTTTTGTATTATAGGAGTTATCAGATATTTCTTTAATTCCATATATTGGTCATTATAATATCTTTTACAAATTGCCTCTTAATATTCCTTTTTTAAAAAAGATTTTGCTATGGGCTTGCTCATCTTTTTCTTACTGGCCTATACATAGTCATTATAGATTGAGGATATTAATTTCTCTGTCCACATGTGCCAAATGTATTTTCCCAGTTTCCCTTTTATTTGTATTTATTGTGACCTTTGTTCTCCATTCAGAAGGTTTACATTTTTTTTTATCAAGTCTTGTCTTTTCCTTTTTGAATGTCTTCCTTGAAAGTGTTTAGAAAGTTGTAGAGATTTTATATGAGCACTTGCTTGTTTTCATCAGGCACATTTGTGATTCCTTTTTCCAGTTGTGCAGTTGTTCCGTCATACATTGCTTCATGAATTCATTCAACACAGTACTTACTAAATACCTATCATGTGTCAGATACTAGGTCTAAAAATGGTGAGCAGGGCACTTCTAGTATGGGAGATGGTAAAAAAAAAAAAGTATATTAAGTGTAAAGTGCTGTGAAGGTAAGGAATGACACTGTGGGAGGAAAATTGGGGATGAGGAAGGAACTTTACAGTAGGGAATAGGTGATCCCATTAAGGTAGGGATCATGTCACCCTAGCACCCAGATTATTCTCAACCACATTTACTTGAATAATCTCTCCCACAGATCTGAGATACTACTTGCATTATCTAATACATTTCTTGTAAATACTAGTGTTAACTTCTGAACTGCTATTTGTTCCATTGATCAAAGTATTACTGGGCCAATACGAAACTATTTTAATTATTAGATTTCTATTATGTGGTAGTATTTCTTAGGCCATTTCTTTTCAGAATTTTTTTGACTAGTGTCATAATACATTCTGCCATGTTCACTTGAATAAAAGCATTCTCAAATTACACAGAACCTTTTTGGGTTTTGATTTACATTATGCTGAATTTTCAGTATAATTGAGAAAAATAAACCTCTTATGAAGTAGGCATTTTTGGCATAAGAACTACTCATGTAAAATGTACAATTTGATAAATTTTGACTTATTATATACCTATGAAATCATTATCCCAGTCAAGATAATGAACACACCCATCACACCTAAAGTTTTCTCATGTATGTTTTCAATCTCTCCCTCTCAGTCCTCAAGCAAACACTGATATGCTTTCTGTTTCTATAGATTAGTTTGGATTTTCTAGACTTTTATATGAATGGAATCATAAACTATGTGCTTCCTTTGTCTAACTTCTTTTACTCAACATACTTGTTTGAGATACATTTATGTTGCATATACCAATAGTTCATTTTTATTGCTGAGTTGCATTCTAACCCACAGTTTGTCATTTCATGCGTTGATGGGTTTTTTCTGTTTTGGGGCTGTTGGAAATACAGCTACTGTGAACATTCATGCCCAAGTCTTTGTGTGGACTGTTTTCATTTATCTTGGGTAAATACTTAGGAGTAGAATGCCTGGTCACATGCCAGGTGTGTGCTTAACTGCAAGAAACTGTCAAACTGTTTTCCAAAGCGGTTGTACTATTTTATATTTCCACCAGCAGTATATGGAGAGTTTTGATTGCTCCTCATTCTCATTAACATTTGGTATGGCTTCTCTTTTTTTTTTTTTTTTTGGAGACAGAGGCTTGCTCTGTTGCCCAGGCTGGAGTGCAATGGCACCATCTTGGCTCACTGCAGCCCCCACCCCCCAGGTTCAAGTGATTCTCCTGCCTCAGCCTCCCCAGTAGCTGGGATTACAGGCACCCACCACCACGCTTGGCTAATTTTTTGTGTCTTTAGTAGAGATGGGGTTTCGCCATAGTGGCCAGGCTGGTCTCCAACTCCTGACCTCAGGTGATCCACCCACCTCAGCCTCCCAAAGTGCTGGGATTACAGGCATGAGTCACCACATCCGGCCAGTTAATCTTTTTAATTTTAGATCATACTAGTGGTATATAGTGGTACTCCATTGTGGGTTTATTTGCATTTTCCTTATTACTAATTGTTTTGAGCATCTTTTTGCGTATTTATTCTCCATCTGTACGTTTCTTTGGTGAAGTGACCAAACTTTTGCCCACTTTTTTTTGTTTGTTTGTTTGTTTGTTTGTTTTGAGATGGAGTTTCGCTCTGTCGCCCAGGCTGGAGTGCAGTGGCATGATCTCAGCTCAGCGCAACCTTCCACCTCCTGGGTTCAAGCAATTCTCCTGCCTCAGCCTCCCAAGTAGCTGGGACTACAGGTGTGCGCCACCACGCCTGGCTAATTTTTGTATTTTTAGTAGAGACAGGGTTTCACCATGTTGGTCAGGCTGGTCTCGAACTCCCGACCTCGTGATCCACCCGCCTCAGCATCCCAAAGTGCTGGGATTACAGGCATGAGCCACCGTGCCTGGCCTTTTGCCCACTTTTTAGTTGGGTTTTGTTTTCATGTCATTGAATGTTGGTGGTTCTTATGTATTCTGGATACAAACGTCTTACCAGGTATATGATTTTTAAATGTTTTCTATCATTTTATCTTTTCAGTCTTTTAACAGTGTATGTCAAAAAGCAGAAGTGTCTACTTTGAATGAAGGCTGGTTTACCAAGTTTTTCTTTTATGAAAGATTGTGCTTTTGGTATTATTTTAAGACATTTTCCCTAACTCAAGGTCACAAATATTTTTTCTGAGCTTCCTGTAGAAGTTTTATAATTTACTTTTACACTTAGGTTTATTATTTCTATCAAGTTAATTTTTATGTATGGTGTAAGATAAAGAACAAGGGTTTTGTTTTTGTTTGGTATATGGCCATGTGATTGCTGCACCATCATTTGTTAAGATTTGTTTTTCCTCATTGAATTGCTTTTGCACCTTTTACAAAAATTAATTGACTATATGTGTGATCTCTGAACTGTTCTATTGATTTATTTGTCTGTAGTTATGTCAATACTGCATTTGCTGGAAGTCAGGTAGTGTGACTCTTCCAACTTTGTTCTTCTTTTTCAAAATTATCTTGGCTATTGTAGATTCTTTGCATTTTCATACAGATTTTGGAATCAGCTTGTCAATTAGGGGAAAAAACCTGCTGGGATTTTGATTTGTTTTTCATTGACTCTGTAGATAAGTCTGTGGTGACATAAGAGTATTGAGTCTTCTGATTTATGAACAGGATGTATCTTTCTGTTTATTTGTCTCAACAGTGTTTTGTAGTTTTCAATGTGTCTTGTACATCTCTTGTCAAGTTTATTCCTAAATATTTCATATCTCTGTGGTATTTAAAAAATTTTTGTGATTATGGCTAATATATAGAAATATAGTTGACCTTTGTATATTGCTGTCATATCAACATATGTTATTCCCATCCCTTAGTAGTTCTAGTAGCTTTATTATAGATTACATAGGATTTTCTATATAGTCAGTAATGTTTTTTAAATAGAGACAGTTTTACTTCTTCTTTCTAACGTGGATGCCTTTTGTTTTCCCACCGCCTTGCATTGACTAGTCTGGTAATACGGTGAATTATGTTGATTGACTTTTGGATATTAAACTAATCTTGTATTGTGGGAATGAACCCCATTTGGTCATGATTTGTTATCCTGTGTATATTTGTTGTTGGATTTGTTTTGCAGAGTTCATGGGGGAATGTTGGGTATTTAGTTTTGTTGCAATGCCTGCCTGGTTTTATTATCAGAGTAATGCTGACCTTGTACAATGAGTTGGAAGTAGTGGTATTATTTCTCCTCAAATATTTGGTAGAATTCCCTAGAGAAGACATTGGGCCTAGGATTTTCTTTGTGGCAAAGTTTTTAACTACAGATCCAACTTATTTAATAGACATAGGGCTTCTTAGATTATCTGTTTCTTTTGGAGTGAGTGTAAATAAGTTTGACTAGAAACTGATTTTTCTGTTTTTCTTTTTTTCTATTTGTTTGTTTTGTTCTTTGTTATTTCTCTTTTCTTGCTTTTACTATAATTTGCTTTTTTTTCTAGTTTCATAAAGTTACTGATTTGAGACTTTATTTCTAATTAGGGAAGATTAATGCTATAAATTTTCCTTTAAATACTACTTCAGTGTTTAAATAATACAGTCCACAAATTTTATTACATTTTTATTTTCATTCAGTTTAAAATCTTATTTTTATCTTTGACTCATGTTTCTTTTGTTTAGTTTCCAAGTTTTCAGGTTTTTCTGGTACGGACTTAATTTGAACTTAATTCAAATACACTTATTTTAAATTTATTGAGACTTCTTTTATTTCCCTTTTCTTCCCTCCTTCCCCTACCCCATTATCCTTTTTTCTCGAAGTTAAAGTTTATAAATTATTTTACTATATAGTAACCTTTATCTGCTGATGTTTGTTTTTTGTGCTGTGTTAGAGGTTGTTCTTACTGCCAGCCTCAGCTAGGAGGCTCCAGGTATCTACTTCTCTCTAGCCATTTATACTCATTGAGTTACACAGGTGATGCTCAGTAAGTTACTTAACTATTATGTTGCCTGTTACAGATTTAAAACATAGGACAAAGGGAGTGTAATAATTGTTGTAAAGTATAAAGTATTGCAATACCAAAAGAAAAGGGGGTCAGCTAACATTACTTATGTTTTCAAGGTAATGTGTATTACTTTCTTATTTCACCTTTAGGCAAAGCTGTTGATCACATGTATGTACTTCTTAATTGTTTTTTAGGCTTTTTATGGAAATTCTCAATGACTGTTCTGATGTAGATGAGATCAAATTCCAAGAAGATGGTTCTTGGTGTCCAATGAGACCGAAGAAAGAAGCTATGAAAGTATCCAGCCAACCGTGTACAAAAATAGAAAGTATGTGTAGAATAGCAGCAGAGAGTAAAGCAGTGAGACTCGTGCAACATTATCATTAATCTTGGCCCCTAGAACTATACGTTTGGAATTCAGCTTGTTGACTCAGTCTTTTGATGATATATAGTTTTCCCCCAAATGATTTTTATTCTTTCCTGAAGGAATGTGCTAAAGTTTATACCATCTTATCAGCTATTTCATAGTATATTTTTCCTGTGTAGAATAAAGGAAACATTCATCTAAAATCATTTTAAAATATGATGTTTGTTACAAAACAAAAAGTCACAAATGAATTTATATGGACAGTTTTTCAGAATTGTTCTTAGAGTATCTGTAGGTGGAACCCTAGGTGGAGGTGAGGTTAGAGAGGCTGCATCATTGGTTAATGGCCTTGGTGGTTTGGGGATGGTCACAGGTTAGTTGCTCAGAAAGTAAACAAATTGTTACCTTCCATTTCTTTGTGGAGAAGAATTTTAACATTGCCTTGATTACCTAGAATGTATACTCATCCATCAACTGCCTGCATCCATCCACACTAAGTAGGGAAACTGAGGGCATTTGGAGTAATTGAAACGCACAGGTGAACTTAGAGTTTCTTTTTATCTAACAGTCTCATTGAAACCCACACGTGAACTTAGAGTTTCTTTTTATCTAACAGTCTACTCACTGCATTTCAGTTTTGTTCTGATTACATTTGAAGTTCTAACAAACAATGTAATGAATGGAGTAAGAAGAAAGGGGAAAAAATAAAGGATTTATGCCATTATTAATTATTCCTCTGCGATTGACACTAAACCTGAGTGCAGTGACCAAGGTTTCTCTCATCTTTCAGAAAAATGGGGAGTGATTTAGTTGATAAGTTTCTGTTGCTTTTCCATTATCAACTGTCATTCATTTTTAACTAAATACATTACAGATAATAACATACTTTTCTGTGAAAATGTGAGTTAACAAATATGGTATGTGAGACTGTCTTTGTGGGTAGAAAGAACCTACGTGATTAGCAGATAATTCATAAGAAAAGTTTAAATGTCTTAGTAACTTAATTGAGAGGTTTGGGTTTTTTTCAACTTATCAAGATGAAAGTTTTTATCAAGTTCTGGCTTATGGTGAAAAGTCTGTACTTTCTTTGATATAAGCATAATTGCTAGAATGGAAATATCTGGTTCTGAGCTAACTGTGCCACATGTGTGCGAGAATACATAGCTGTTGAACTCACCCATTCTTGTCCCATGACCTGAGACCAGTTCCCTAACTCTGCGTGTCTTTCTGTAAAACGACTGCTGACCTGCAGAGACAGGATGAGCAGTAGGAGCTGCACAAATCCTTCAGTGGTATTGGAGGCATAACTAAGAACATTCTGTCTGAATGAGACTTCTAACCATCTGTCAAGGAATAGTGCTCACCTGTCTCCCTAGGTGAACAACCATTTTACAGACAGAGGTCTGGAGTTAGGGAGTTGGTATTTGTCCATGGGTTGGAGTATGTGGCTTCACTGGCTATATGTTGTCAGGAACATACTATACTGAATATACTAGACTCTACCACTAGAGTTTATTTGTGTTATACCTTTAATTTTTTTTTCCTTTTGTTTCTTTACATGCAGGTTCAAGCGTCCTCAGTAAGCCTTGTTCAGTGACTGTAGCCAGTGAGGCAAGCAAGAAGAAAGTAGATGTTATTGATCTTACAATAGAAAGCTCTTCTGACGAAGAGGAAGACCCTCCTGCCAAAAGGAAATGCATCTTTATGTCAGAAACACAAAGCAGCCCAACCAAAGGGTTTGTTAATTTATAGTTCACTATTGTTCATTACCCTTGCAACTAATTGCTCTTGGATAGATTTATAAATGTCTCTTTGGGAAATGGCATAACTGTAGAAGGCTATTTTAATTTGCCTTTGTTGAGTTGAAATATTTTCGAGTAAGCACATTGTTTATAGGAAGCAAATTTTGATGGAGAAAATATTTACATCTTTGGAAAGTGAGCGTGTGAGGTATTTATTTCCTACCTGAGACTTTTTGTTATTTTCTTGAACCTGTTTGTAAGGAAATTTGGCATCTCAGACCAGATGAGAAAGTCTGGTGTAATGGAGTGTGGAACTGGGAATCTGACAAGTATGGATTCCAATTTTGGCACACCATCGCTTACTTGTTCTGTGATCTTAGATGAAATACTTAATTTGATTGAGCCTCTTTTTTGTGTTCTGTTAAATGGAGCTAAATAACGCCTATATTACAGGATCATTTTCAGGTTTTAATGAGATGAAAGAAAGCCTCGGTGTCAGGCATGTGGTAATTTCCCAATAAAAATTGATTCCTTTCCCTTTTCACCCTCTCCAGGGCAAAATATAGGTGGGTAGGATGGCATTCTACCTGAATTTTAGCGTGGATTCTCTGTAAGTTATCTGGCAGAAGGCATTACTGACCTGCATTAAAAATCAGGTTTGGGTATTTAACAATAGTTGCTTTTTCAGAGAGGTTTTGAACCATAAAAGGAGATAACAGGAGAGTTCTCCTGGCTGTCTACGAACACATTCTTTCAAACTTGGGTTTGCTAGTGTCATCTTTTTGGCCTCTTGGTCCACTTGGTTTTCTAATGGCTTTACTGAGTTATAATTTACATAGCATAAAATGTACCCATCTTAAGTATATAATGGCACAATTCAGTGATTTTAGTAAATACATAGAGCTGTGCAATCATCACCATGATTCAGTAGTAGAATATTTTCAACACCCAAAAAACTTTCTTCATGTTCTTTTGTAGTTTATTCCTATTTACACCCCAAATCTAGGCAATCGTTTTTTTGTGTCTATAATGCCTGTTTAGACATTTTATATAAAATGTCTTGTTTTGCAACATTGTTTATTTTTATAATTTTAAGAATTAAACCTTTTCAGCTGCCTTCTTTGCTGTTAAAATACTTACATTTCCAAATATAATTTACACATATATTAAAGGCATATATTTACTTCTACCCATTTAATTAGAATGAGGTGGGGTTTTTGTGTGTGTGGAACAAAATGAGGAAGTATTTCAAGTGGATTTTTTCCTGGTGTGCCAATCATTTATTGCTCCTTTGAGACAAATTGGTTGGTACATCTGTAATTTAAATGATAAACAGAAAATGAAGTTATAATTTTGAAATGGTTACGTTCAAAATGTATTTTGAAGGGGAATGAATGCTTAGATGTGATGTTTCTGGATTTTACTCTGTAATGATACGCTTTAGAATATAGTGGAAAAACATGAGTTGCAAGTACTGCAGTTGGCTGAATTCATGCCAGGTTGAGAGGTCATGCCTAGTGATGCTGACTCATGAGTTGTTGTGATCTTGGAGCATGTCTCTGGTGGCATGCCACAAGGGTCTACCCTCTGTCCTTTACTACATTTTTATCTGTGTTTGATAAGTCCATGAAACAGGAGGGATGGCACATACACAGTGGGCGACAAAATCTGAAATGACCTCAGTATGCAGAGGAATAAGGATAGTTTACATCTGTGATCAGCTACTATAGAGATAAATGTTAAGGTTCCTCATTTAGGCTGAAAAGAAAACAAAAACTAACATTGGTAAGTATAAGATAGAAATTTGTGACTAAACCAGCAACACATGAAAGTTTATTTTAAAAGTCTGTATAAAGCGCAGCTACCTAGTTCGTTCCATGAAGCTGATGTAGCCCTTAACACCCAACCTAGACATACATACACATTAATACACGGAAGAACTCTTAAGAAACAGACTCACATAGAAAGATAAATGAAAATTCTGAATTCAGTCTTAGGAAATCATTTAATTATATATTAAAATGACATCTGTGACCAACTAGAGTTTATCCCAGGAGTGCTTTAATATTAGGAAATACATTGATAAGATGGATCTCGTCATAAGGACAACTTTGTAGTCATCTTCATGGATGTTGGAAAGGCCTTCAGTAAATTAATTGCCATTTCTGATAGAAACTCTTTCAAATGTCAGGTTTCAGTTAATGGTTTGAAGAGTTCACCACTGAAATCAGTTTGTTCTTAGCATTAATAAAATAAGCATAGTGTCCAGGATCCATACCATGCCAGTTTTGTTCCATTTTAGGCTATATGACTCTCAGAGCATTTCAGTCAGTGCTGATCATCAAGAATGGTATTAACAAATGAGTATGGCCAGAGCAGGGGAACGGGAAGGTGAATAGTGGAATCTGGAGCAAGATGGATGAGTGGATCTTAAGGACTGAAGCTGTTAAACCAGGAGAAGAGATTATTTGATACCCACCTTGTAGTTCTTAAAAGGGAGACAATGACTAGCTGGATTAAGTTTGTTCTTTATTACCAGATTTAGGTCCAGTGGACTAAAGATACATGGATAAACTTTCTATTGGAGCTTTCTGAATACTAGGAAATTTAATCTTTTGTCCCAAAATCATATTTTCTGTGTTAGAGTGGCTGCCACCTGTCACAGTGTCATAGTGGAGGCTCATGCTATAGTTATATCATCTCTGTGATCCCCTCCTACTCTTAGACTTTTGTGACTTTGTTCTTGGTTGTCCTTTTCATATCCTTTCTTGTAGTTCAGCATCTAGAGTTTTTATGGTTTTCCTGTGCTGTGTAAGTTTATCATAGGATTTCTTGGCCATCAAAGATAGTAAGCAAATGAGAAAGAACAGAGAATGAGAAATCAGGAAAACTTACTCTAATTTACAGCCCCGAAATTATGTGAGCAACTATTTTTTTTTTTTTTTAATTTTTTGAGACAGGGTCTCAGTTTGTGACCCAGGCTAGAATGCCGTGGTGTGATCGCGGCTCACTGCAGTCTTGACCTCCTGGGTTGAAGCGATCCTCCTGCCTCAGCCCTCCAAGTAGCTGGAACTACCACCCCCAGCTAATTTTTTTGTGTTTTTTTTTTTTTTGTAAACATGGGGTTTTACCATGTTGCACAGGCTGGTCTCGAACTCCTGAGCTCAAGCCATCCACCTGTCTTGGCCTGCCAAAGTGCTAGGATTACAAAATGCATAAGCCACCACGCCTGGCCTGTGAGCAACTATCTTTTAAGAGGTATTATTATTTTAGTAAAAATTATTCTTATAAACAATTTTACAAAGCACCAAGAAGAAAGCAAAAAATATCTCACCTAGAGAGAATCATTGCCATTTTGATGGCAGTCCTATTCCCTTTCTTTGCTTACGAACCGGAGTCTTTAAATGCAGTCTTATAATACCTGTCAGAAGAAACTTGTATGTTAATCTTAAGACATTTAGAAAACCTCTGATGTTTTTCCATATTAAAAGATAATTTTACATATTGTGCCCCTTCTGAAAAATGAGTGGTTGCTTTGCCTTAATAAGAAGGTATTCTAAAGACAGGAAACATAATAAGGATAAATCTATATGTCTCCAGATTGATAATCATTAAGAATTGGTAGCAAAATTGCATCTTTTTTATACTTTTATGATCATAAAGTGGGAGCATACAGTGAACTTCAGGGTTATAAATAGAAATGGTCAACCTATTTTCAGACATCCAAGTCTGAGCAAATGTGAGTTTCATGCAATTCTCTGATCCAGCATATAATCCGGAATACTAATATTTGCTATATAGCAGCATTCTAGCAATTCACTTTTGTGCTGTGATATTATGGATAAAGTTACAAACGTTTAAAATATAAATGGTCACTTGCATAATGTATACACGTATCTGTGTGTGTTTACCAATCCTATGAAGAGGCAGTAACAAGTTTTAAAAGCTTTAAATCTTTTTATTAACATATAGCATCACATTTTTACATCCATCATTTCACCATCCATAGCCATTTACATTTTTTCATGGAATCTGTTACTCATATCTATTTTTTGCATAGGCTTTAGAATCATTTTGTTTCTGAATGTGGTCTTTGTGAAGATTTTGATAACAAAAGCCTGCTCCCAGTATGTAATTTGATAATCCTAACTAATGACTACTTTAAGCCATTCTATGTAAAGTTGAATTTGTATTAATGGTTGCAACATTCAGGTAATGGGAATTAACCAACACTAAGTAGTTTAGCTTTTCATATGTTTGCTGAGGTTTTAGATGTTGATTTACTAATTTGTACCGCCATTGGATTTTCACATTTCACATGTTTTGACAGTCAACCTTTTGGTGTTGCCTAAGTAAGGAGTAGCTATTTACTCATTTAAAGTTTCATGTTACTAAGTGACAGGACACGTACAGTTATTAGGTGTTACTGTAGTGACAGACAGGTGTGTAGGTACATTCACTTGACTCCTTTTATAGATGTAAGTCAAAGGGTCAGGGAAGGAAAGGGAGCTCTGTTATTGTTGTTACGTGTAAGTCTATTTCAAGTTGAAAGGGCAATCAGGATCAAAACAAAAGAAAATCTCCAGTGTGAAATAGCAAAGGAAGAGAAGGGGGAGTGGGAAAAAGACATTCATTAGCTTTTTCTTGTACCAGAAAGTCTTTTAGTTTCTTTCAGTGGCAGAGAAAAAAAAAACACGATAGGTTAAATGTACTTTTTTTTGAGACGAGGTCTTGCTTTGTTGTCTAGGCTAGAGTGCAGTGGAGCATTCATGGCTCACTGCAGCCTCTACCTCCTGGACTCAAGCAGTCTCAGCCTCAGCCTCCCAAGTAGCTAGGACCTTAGGCATACTTCAGCATATGTGGCTTTTTTTTTTTTTTTGTAGATACAAGGTCTCCCTATGTTCCGTAGTCTGGTCTCAAACTTCCAGCTCAAGCAATCCTCCTGCCTTGGCCTCCCAAAGACCTGAGATTACAGGTGTGAACCACCTTGCCTGGCTCTAAATGTACTCTTAAGTAGAAACTTTTTAAATTAAATGAAACTTTATATATATATTTGGTCTTCAAAAGCCTGCCTGTTAACATTTTTAAAACAATAAGATATTAATACTTTGAGACAGCCAGAATAATCAGACCACTTCTTTAGTCCCCTCCCCAGCACTCACGTATACCCCAGTCTCTCTCTCCTCCTTACCCACTGTGTCCTTCCTCCAGTTTCTCATATAAACTCTTGTGTGTGAGAGGTGGTCTCATGTTATTTGAAAAACTTTTGATGATGTCCTGTTCGTTTGATCCCTGTGGAGGACCACTGTTTTCAAACCTCCAGAAAAGATGAGCTTTAGATACAATATAACTTATTTTATCTCCTCCCAACTTCTCTTTTTCCTCCAGAGTCTGCCTTTTCTAACATTGCTCACATACTGCTTGTGGTTTTAGGTCTTCGAGTAGCACTGGAGGCCAAGAAATCTCCAGATTCTAACCTACAGACATGTGGTTGATTTTTGGAAGATAACTTCCTTCTGTCTTTATCTACCTCGGGAAAATGTATTTTCAAATACCAGGCTTATGTTATTGCCTCAAGCATATTATATGTCATAAGCTTCCTAAATGGATCAGTTTTTGATCAAAGATTTCTGAACTCTGACCTGTGTTATTTATTCACTTTTCTGAGACTAACATAGTTGCCAACTCAACAATGTATGTACTCTCAAGATGACTGTTTTCCACATTTGTATTGATATCCATATTTAAGTGGTTTGACATTTAAATTGAGGTTATGAAATAGTTTTCCAGAGTACAAAGAATGTCATGCAATTTGTCATCATTTCTCATTACTGATATTTAATAATCAGCAATAACAGGAAAGGGAAAGGATGCCCAGAGGTTATCCCAGTCTAGCTTTGTGACCATGGTTCCCACCATCAACCATAAGACCAGTAACAGTGCTCAGTTTCCTACATACATTCAAGGATGTCTTTCTTGTGAAGTTGTAGTTGTTTACCCTGGGCTAAGAGAAAATGCAGGTTAAATAGGAAGAATGCAAAAAAAATCTCTGTTTAAGCTTGAACTTTTTCAAAAGTATGTTTAATTATACTGCTTCTTGAAATTATAAAGTAATTCTATAGTGTATATACAGTTTTATATAATACCAATTGTGAAGTATTTATTACATATGTTTAATTTGTATTTTTGGTAGCATGAACAGCTAATTTTAAAATCATAAACTCTCTTAGGATTTCACCTACCTGGTAGGTGCTATCATGGTAGCCAGCATTTTTATTTCTGGATATTATATTTTAAATCCTGAACACTCATCCTCGTTTCTGATTGTGGCCTATTGCCATCAAGTTGGTCGGCTTTAAGATTGGGTAATTTTGCTCAGATGATTCCCAGGAAAGATTGCAAATAATTAATACAATTCGAGTTAGACTTGAAGAAATTTGGATTGTGCTACAGTGAGTAGCTTCACTTCTCAAGGTTCCCTGATTTAAATCAAACCTTAGGGATCTTCTATGTTAGTTTTAAATTTCTTTATAGATAAAATTACTGATACCCATATACATATTACATACATATTAATAAAAGTGATGTCTATTTCTATTTGTGGATGGAAGTGTTATATCTCACTCCAGCACTGTACATTGTGTTTGAATGTCAACTTGCTCTTATGTCGCAGCTGCTGTTGAGAGCCAAGATATGTTCATGTTAAAATGAAGACTATTATGGGAGAGGAGAGTAGAGTGGAGTGCTGTGTAGTGAGTAGCTGCCATATAGTTGTGCTGAAACTGGTGAACGAACGACTGAGAATGCCCAGTGGTGCAGCTCTTCTCTCCTGTGAACTAACAGCCAGATTGTTTGTAATTTCCCGTGCTATTTAAAACAGGGTTCTCATGTATCAGCCATCTTCTGTAAGGGTGCCCAGTGTGACTTCGGTTGATCCTGCTGCTATTCCGCCTTCATTAACAGACTACTCAGTACCATTCCACCATACGCCAATATCAAGCATGTCATCAGATTTGCCAGGTATGTGGAGTGTTTTTGTTTCTTTTGTTTTTTAATGAAAGTTTATTTTTTTTAATCTTAATCTGTGAAGCCAGTATAGTTTTGAAATTTTCAGTAGAGGTGCTAAGGAAATTTGAAAGCTTCGGGTAAAGGTCTTATCTGTTTTTATACATCACATCCAGTTGTTATTTTAACTACAGAGCAATCTATAGATTCCTGGTGATAAGAAATATAGTAGAATAGGAAATGTTAGAGATTTTATTCTTCCTTTTGAAGAATTTGTACTTAGAGACTTCTTCTTGGTTTCTTTATTATAGAACCTCACAGGTGAAGGGAGAATATTTTCTCATACTCTTCTTGGTAGCTCATCAGAACTTCAGAATATATTGATGTTGTTTGGGGCTGATTTTTCCTACAAGCTGTGGATTTTATTCTCCTTACAAAGATAGAGTCTACCATCTGTTTCCCTAGAGTGGGGCTTAATACTTGGGATATCTTTTATATGTACAGTACTTTCCCCTTATCCACGGGGGATAAGTTCCAGGACCCCCAGTAAATGTCTGAAACCACAGATATTACAGAACCCTATATACTGTTCTTTTCTATACAGATATACTCATGATAAAGTTGAATTTTTAAATTAGGCATAGTAAGAGATGAACAGCAATAACTAATAATAAAATAGAACAATTATAACAATATGCTGGCATCACTTTGGTGCCATTATTAAGTTAAAATAACGGTTACTTGAACAGAAGCACTGTGTACTGAGATAGTTAATCTGTTAACTTAAATGGCTACTGAGTGACAAAGCTGGGAGCCACTGGACAAAAGAATGGTTCATGTCCTGGGTGGGATGGAGCATGATGGAGCCAGGACAGCATGAGATTTCATCAGACTATTCAGAATAGTGTGTAATTTAAAACTTATGAATTATTTCTGGAATTTTCCATGTGATATTTTCTGACTGCAGTTGACCACAGGTAACTGCAATCACAGAACGCAAAATCTTGGATAAGGGGGAATCTACTGTAAAATATTAAGGTTGCTAGAATTACCTTAGTATCAGGACTTCTGCAACCAAGGCCATATTACAAAATTTAAACTTCCCTCCTTTACTCTTCTTCCCTCTCCATAGCTATTGCTTTTGCAGACATTTCTGTCAATTATATTTGAGCAAGTTAGAACCAGTACATTCATGACTTCCCTTCTCTCCGAAGGCCCTTTTAGTGGAATACAATTCTCTCCTCCTGTTACTAGTTTTCTTCTCTAGGTTTATGAAGTTAATTTTGACCTATGATTTATTTTTTTTCTCCCCTTAGTGAGGTCTTTATTTTAAGCACAATGCTTATCCTGTTGGTGAAAGTTTATGTTACTGAAACAATTGATAATTGGCTCGGTATAATTTTGCCACTTGAAATTTGTTTAGATTATGTGAATAAAATTTAGTGGAAAAGAATAGACATTTTATAGTATCCATAGAAAAAAATGGCTTTTAAAGTTATTCTTTGCTTCTTAGATATAGTTACTCCACATGTAATTTGGGAGTTGGTATTTTAAGAAGTTCTTTGTAGACCCAGCTAGCACAAATTGTAAAGTATTTGTAAAGTATATACAAAGTCTAATGCCAAGGTACAGGTGAGGATTCATGTCGGTGACAAAGATGGAAATTCAGAGATTCTTAATTCCCAACTGCCTTTTATGGCTGTAACATGGGTTGTTGGAAGAGTGTCTGCATGTCATCTCAGTATGTGTTATAAGCAAGCATTCTGAAAGGATTTGTTTCCTAAAGACCTTGAATTAAAAATTAATCCTGAAAAAAGGTAATGAGCATTTCTGTTCATTAAAGTGATCCTACCATTTAGCAGTAGCATAGACACAATTTACCAATCACTTGCCCTGTTAGTTTTTCAGTTCTCTGAACCTGGATTAATTTTTAATTGGGGGAAATTTACATTATTTCAGAATTTGGGCATAAAGTGAGACTTTATTTCTTTTTAGAAATGTGCAAACTTGAGAAAAATGCAGTAAAATATGTCTGAACTGGCTATTTGGTAAAAATGTGTTTCAAGCTGATATTGAGCAAACAAGACTAATATCCAAGGCTGATATTTAGCCAGTATTAACAGTTATGGTGATACTGGTTGTTATTATTGAAAAGCTTTCTTACCAGTTGATAACTGAATAGAATAGGATCTATTTTGCTTTAGAAGAATTGCTAGTTTATCATCATGTATGAATTATGTAGCAGTTACTATATCTAAATAGTTTAGTTTTACTTTGATTTTATTGTTAATGTGCTCTTTTGTGATTAGTAATTTGGTTTTATTTTTATGCATAATTTTTATGTAGTTAGTCATACTGTGAAGAGTTTTGGTATTGATAAACTTAATAATTTATAATAAAATATTAAATAGAACACCAAGAATGGAGAGATAACAAAGTTTTAATACATTTCTTAACATTCCTTTTAAACATCATAAACATGAATCTTCTGAATCTGCAGGAGAACAAAGAAGAAATGATATTAATAATGAACTGAAGCTTGGAACATCTTCTGATACTGTGCAACAGTGAATACAAAATAAAACAAATAATTTGTATTTATGGAGTGGAAAACAGCTTATTTCAAGGAAAAATATGACTGCCTTATTATTGCTAGTGCCATATTGTCAGGTGCGAATGGTGCTCAAAAGTTGTATCATTAAAATTTGAAAGTGCTAAACATTTACATATTTAATCATGTAGCAGTTATGTTTTGTTAAAAGTTTATGACTCAAATAAGGAAAATGTGTTGTCATCAATGAGAAAAAATCTAATGAGTCAATTTCACAGTGAAGCACTTAAAATTTTTAAATTAAAATTTTATCAGTGTTAATAAAATAATGTTAACACTACCTGCTTTTTAGTTAAAAGTAATTGAGCATTTTCAACCATGAAATACTTCGGAGGGCATAAAAATATATCAGTATGACACGCTGCAGTTGAAACTTATGGTGAAATAAGAAACAGCATTTTGCTAAACTTACGAAACAAGGCAGTAAAATTTTAATCACTACTGATGAAACTTGATTTTATATAAGAGTTTTAATATTCTGCTTAAAATGTAAAATGCAAGAAGACTTTGATGGTTTCGTTTTTTGTTAGAAAGAATAACATCTAAAATACCATATCAAACTTCACTGTTAGTACTTGAGAAAAAAATGGTTTCAGTGAGAGAAATATTTACATTAAACAGGTTTTATATAGACAGCACCCTTGTAATGCTTGGTAAACAATCTAGAATTCCAACCAATATTTTAGAAAAATTTCTAGGTATTTTATTATGGTGTTGTATAAGTCACCACATTCAATTTTCCGTGGATGAGGTATCAATATACAGATAAGTAAATCTCTTAATTGTTTTCTAAATAAACTTTATATTTACCACACACATGAAATCATCAAAGAGAATTACAGTACATCTGAAGAACTGGAATTGAAATAACAAAAATAGGATCCTCAGTGGGTATTCTCTGGTGATAGAGCTTCAATTTTTAATTTCAATTAAAATAAATAGGCTTGATATAATTTTCAAACTGTTTTATATCAAGCTTGCGTATTTTAATTGAAATTCTGAAATTGAAATAGTTGAACATTTAGAAAATGAGCATTTTTGAGTGGCTTGGCTTCAGTACACAATATTCCAACACCATTGTCAATACTTAGCGTTATAAAAAGGTTTCAGTTACTAACATGAACTGAGAGATACAGCAAATATTAAAGATGATTGAACATATGAAACTGAAAAACTATAAAAAGGTAGAAGCTATTGTAAAAATGAAGAAAACTGAAAAACTGAAAAGATAAGAAGTTACTGTAAAAAGAAAACGGTTATACCATTTGAAGCAGAACAAAATGTTCCAATAAACTTTTTTTACTTAATAATAGAAATATTGAAAATGCAAAACTCTGAAGGTATTACAAGGGCTAGACAAATTTTGAATTGTTTGGCATAAGAAGGGAGAGGATTTATTGAATATTATTAATATGAAGACAAAATCTGCTTATTGAGATATCTCACCTATTATCATTTTAATAGAGAAGTCATTGGAAAAGTTTGTTGTAATTCTCTTTGGTTTAGTATTGGCTCAAACCACTGTGTCATATAGCTAGTGACAGACATATGAAATGAAAAATTACAGCAAGCTGGGTGCGGTGGCTTATGTCTGTAATCCCAGCACTTTGGGAGGCTGAGGCGGGAGGATCACTTGAGCTCTGGAGTTCAAAACCAACCTAGGCAACATAGCGAGACCCTCTCTCTACAAAAAAAAAATAATAATAATAATTAGCTGGGCATAGTGACACACACCTGTAGCTCCTGCTTCTTGCGAAGCTGAGGCCAGAAGGTAAAGGCTACAGTTACCTATGATTGTGCCTCTGCACTCCAGCCTGGGCAACAGAGCAGACTCAGTGTCTCCCAAAAAAAGGAAAAAAAAAAAATCTGTAGCAACAATTTTCAAAAAGGCTTTAGAAATCGTTGGAATGATTTCTTTCAAATGATTGGTGCTATAGCTTGTATCACTTGATAAGCATTTTTGTAATACCCTTATTTGGAGATTATAAGAGAATAAATATACTTAAATTTTTTGAGTTATAAATTCATACTGGTTAGTAGATATTTTAAATGTACCCACTGATATTCTCTATTTTGCATAAAAGCATAATGTCAGACTTTCTCTGTGTGGTGGTTATATTCGGGGTGTCTCTGAATGCCAGCATAAAAATTCACGGAATTGAATAGAAATTGGCCTGTCTTAATGACCTATGGTTTCTTTTTTAATGTTTTGAAATAATTAAAGAGAGTTTAGTCACACAGGGAGGTCTAGGTGAACTGATGTTGAAGTTTATTACTAGACTTTTCAGACCTAAAAATTTTATTTATTGTTATTACTTGAATATGTCAAAAGTATATTACTGGACAACCTTTTACACATTCCTCTTTCTAAAATCGAATTGGACAATTACAGTTCTCTGGTTCAGAAAATTACATTAGCTCAGAACCCAGTAACCCTTGATAACCCTGTTAGCGCAGCAATTCCCGAGTGTGTGCTTTGTGCAGAGCGTTGGACTATGTACTGCTCTTGATGTGGGGACAGCGGGGACAGAGAGCTGTCATTGAAATAGACATCTGTTTAAGAAGCGATACTTAGATGAACCTCTGTATTTCTGAAAAATAAATGTGAAATATCTTAAGAGCTTAAGTATGTTTTTTTTTTTAGATGGTTCAAATCCAGATCATTAGCTCATCATTTTTATTGCTTCTCATTCTGTTAAGCGGCAAAGGGGGAAATATTTGTTTTGACTAGTCCTTCACTGGAAAGTTTTGGACTTCTGCATTTGAGTCTCTGGGAGCTAGTTTTTCCAGTTGTTTTATCAGAGAATATATTCATCTTTGGGTTTTAAACACTTCAAATATCACTGATCATGGTATAGAACTTCTCTGTGACAGAGTGGTAAGCACTTACCACAAATGTTTTGTGATTTGTGATAAAGATGATTTAGGGAAATAATTCTGGTCTCCCAAAATATGAGACAACTATTAACAAAGCATTTTTGTTTTAGGTTTGGATTTTCTTTCCCTTATTCCAGTTGATCCCCAGGTATGTATCCTGAATTTAAGCAACTAATTTGTATTTGATTGTTGGTTATGTCATACTAACTAAAAATGACCAGTTGCATAAAATCAGGACAGTCATCTCTGAATTACTTACATTGATGGAAAGGAAGTACTGTGCAAATATTTCACAATTTTATTTGAAGGAATAAAGTTGTTTTCAGTTTATGATTTTTGTCTTTAATATCTAAATTTTAAATTCTGTTTTATTTAGCTTAATCAGTTGGCATCTCCTACAAGCATTTGAATGATTAGAATGAATAGAAGCAGTGCTGGGTGGCTAGAAGTTAAAATTTTACAAATACAGTTTTATTTTTTAGCTAAAACATTCTGTATATAGAAAATCAATAGCTAAACCTGATTAGACAGACTTGACTCATTAACTTGATTCTTCATTGTTTTTAAAGACATTCAGATTTGGACTTTGGGGAGGCCCCAGTTTAAAGTTGCTATATGTCAATCATCCCCGTTTTCTCTGTCAAAGATGAGAAACCCTAGTAGCTCGGTGTCCCAACATGAAGACCTTGCAGTGAGCCTGGATTGCACAGACAGGCTTATAGCAGAGGCAGAGCAGAGGAGGAGAAGGCATGAGAAAAGTGAAGGGAGAAAATGACATAGAACAAAAGACTTTGAGAGGAGTTGAGTATAGGGAGGGATAGAGGAAGAACCACGGGTCACTGCTTCATGGGCTGCTCAGTCAGCTAAGCACAAGTCCTGTATCAGCCTCCTGTTTCAGTACTCTGTATCTGATTACATGAACAGCAGCAGAAATTTGGGCCCAAGGTAATGTGCAGACTGAGGAATTTCTTATCATTCGGAGTTGACCTCATTACAGCAGTATATATAACGAAGGTACCTAGTGAAAGTGTCTATGTATTTTTCTAGGAAATGGATTCTTCAGATGTGAGGATTACTAATTTTTATGTGACCAGTTCTTTTAAAAAAAATTATCTTGGAACCTAGAGGTTTTTATTTCATAGCTCTGTTTTGTATATTTAGTAGTGGTCTAAGTTATTTGGTGAGTCAGTAGTAGAAGGGTGATGTGGGGCCTTCAGTTTGCCATAGAATCCTTAGGTTTTACTACTTGACCTCCATATTATCCCTTAATTCTTGTCATTGTAGCTACAATTAGGGATGCAGGGTTAGAACTTAAGTGGCTGCAATCTGAATACTACTAAGAATTCAACGCACAGAGCCTGTTGATGGCAGCACTGTAGCATCTAGCACAACTTTCATGAATGAGTATCTTTTTCCTATAAGGCAATCAAAAACTACCTGAGAGGCAGCAGGAATAAAATGTAAGTTTCTGGGCTTTGTTCTAGATTTACCCCCCAGTTTTAGTGGAAAGTTAGAAATTGATTTGATTTTAGAAAAGAGTTTTAATACTGGACAATTCAACCATCTTTAGAGCTCCTTGGAAGCTCTTTAA
Organism: Homo sapiens; assembly: GCF_000001405.40. Classification (NCBI taxonomy): domain Eukaryota; kingdom Metazoa; phylum Chordata; class Mammalia; order Primates; family Hominidae; genus Homo; species Homo sapiens. Next base: position 46,813,868 of record NC_000018.10, on the reverse strand, counting down.
GAACTGTTCTCCCTGTAACTAATGTCCCTTGACTCTGTATGTGGCATTCATTTTATTGATGAACCAAAACAGTTATCTATCCAAAGCATTAAATAACTTGTTCTTTTGAAGAGCAGTCTGAATTTTACTTGTTGCTGTCCCTCTGGCTGGCAACTTAAACCTGGGACTGTTGTTCCTGTTTTATTCACCGGCCTTGGAAATCATGTAGTCTAAACAACTTGACTTAAATTCCTGTTCCATAATCCAGTGTCTCTAATGATAAGCTGCATAATCTTTAGAATGGGGAATATGAATCAGATATCCTTACTGATCTTTCATACAGTTGAACTAATGACAAACTTAAACCATCTCTTGCAGGATATCACTAGACCTCTTGTTTTACTAAAGTCAGTGCAGTCGTTTCTCACATAAAAATATTCTATACTGATATAATGCTTTTGGCTTGTCTCTCTTCACTCCTCTGTTAATATTAGAGTAGTACATTCAGGTTTGTACTTGTTTGGGATCAGTAATGGGATCAGTAACCAGGATTGTAAGGGGACTTGTGAAATATGAGCACTAGGAAAGGGGTGTTAAGCAGGCATCACGAGAAGATTAGGTTAGATCTTCTTTAACATTTATTGCAAAACTTGGTGATTACCTGAGATAATTTTCTGTCCTGAGGATCCTGTGATAGCTAGCTACCGTGTAGTCTGTGTTTTAGAATGAATGTTGTCATTCTGATGACACAAGTATTTTACGTTTATGTACAAAGGAGTCCAATGCCATCATTCAGCTGGTCAGCCTTAACATTCATAAAGGATCTGTTTGATACTCAATCCATACCGGGAAAGGCTAACAAATACTTTTAAAAATGTTATTAAGCAAAAATGCTGGTGTAAGATCAACAATTCTTTCAAAATTGACACCCAACTAAATACAGTTAGGGAGCAAATTCTTTTTGAGATTAGGGCCAATATTTAGTATTAAATGACTTCAGTTATTGTTGACATTGTACTTTTACCTTTGTATGTGGTCAGCAAACAAGTTCCACAAGTTTAGAGAGAATCAAGAATATATGCTGCATTCTCTAAATAATGTAAAATAGCTAAATTCATGCTATCTTCCACCCAAAGATGTGAAGTTTTGAGCAATTTTTAAATCCCACTGGGATTTAAATATGTGACTATTGCTTGTGCATATCTAATAATTTCTAGTCTCTTTATTTAAAATCAAGTAGCCTCTTCCTCATTGGCATCATTGTTTGTTTCAAGCAGTACTGTCCTCCTATGTTTTTGGATAGTCTCACCTCACCCTTAACAGCAAGCAGTACGTCTGTCACCACCACCAGCTCCCATGAAAGCAGTACTCATGTTAGTTCATCCAGCAGCAGGAGTGAGACAGGGGTCATAACCAGCAGTGGAAGTAACATTCCTGACATCATCTCATTGGACTAAAGGAGGACTCACTTGATTCTGGGAATCATTCATCAGAACTGCTTTTTCTTGGATCTCTAGTCTGTGGAAACGTTCTTTTTTTTTTTTTTTTAATAATTTGGTATTTATTGAAAGTCAGATGGATTCTTTTGCTTTCTGAGGGGTGAACACAGAAGACTGCAACAAGAACCAAATGACATGCAAGGATTTTTCTTAATTATGCTGTACTCTCAGCATCAGATACATTCAACCATAACTGTATCTTCCTGAGAGATGGATTTCACTTTCATACGTTAATGGATGGAGTCTACAAATCAGTGAAAAAAGTTTTTGTTAAAATAAAGAGCAATAAAATTATGTAAATATTCAAGTAACCTTTTTTCTAATTAAAAAAAAAATTGTAATCACTGATTCTAGAATGACAGCAACTTCTGTTTAACCTTACGTGAAGGAAAAAAAATATATGGAAAGAACTTAATGTTTGCTGAATGAGTCCTTTCCATGGAGATTTGCTCTGTTTCATTGAAGTAATGAAGTTTCAGTACGTGGCCAAAGCTTGGATTCCACTTTTCGTCCTGCATTTCCACTTTTCTTCGTGATTGCATCAAAGAAAAATGGCATTCGTGTTACTTGGTTTTTTTCCTGCTTATCATTTACACTTTGACGTTGTTTGCTAATGAGTGCTGTGTGAAGTTCTGGGATTTGGCTACTCTTCATTGGTGATTATGTTTAAAAGCACTATGCAGATTCTGCCCTGACATAAAGTGTGTTATTATGTTTTTAGTAATTGTACATTTTTCATTCTAGAGTTTTCTATAAATTTGAGGCTTGCCTTCTCAAAAAAGAAACTATGCAGCCATTGAATGAAATGTCTTTGGGGTACGGTGTGACTGGAATGTTTGTTAGAAATTTGTTCACACTATCAAATATTGATATCTTGGAGCCAGCAGAAGAGCAGATTTTGGGAGGTGGTAATAACAAAATTTAATTTCTTCCCAACAACTTAATTTTCTCATTTATTTTACAGAATAGTAGTGAAATATTTGATGAAACTTTGTATTTTGGTAGCACTACATAGAAAATGTGTTTTAGATTTATGATGATCATATTTCTCACCAATGTAATTTCAGTCTCAGCAGTGATTTTCAAACTTAGGGAAAGGGACAGCATTAGATTTTTTTTTTTTTTCATTTTTTTAAAATGATATCTTACCTGAAACTACAAACGACAAAAGAGAATTAGAAATGTTTGAATTAAAGTGAAGAAGGGTTGGGGGAGATGGGCCTGAACCCACTTCCTGTCTCAATCCATGCTACCCCAAACACTCCAGGGAACCTCTGAGGTTTTATTGGGTGCACTTTGAAAATTTCTCTTCTATAGTGTGTTTGTTTGATTTTAAATCACAGAGAAAACTGGGTTTTACTCTTAGAGAAACATTTTCATCCAGTTTTTTAGTTTGCTTCATTTGACTTCCTAAATCATTTTTGAGTTCACAAGGATTTGGTACTTTTCTGTTTAGCTTTCTCTCTCTAAGCTTTATCTACCTTAAAAACAAAGTCCTTTTTTTAATGGCCAGTCCAACCAATTGATTTCTCAAACTGAAGTGCCCAGGTGTGGACTCATCAATTTCCGTTAGAATAGGGACATCCTACTTAAGAGTTGGTGCAGCTCCAAGGAGCTGACTTGTCCTTGCTTGGGGTTTTTTTTTTTTTTCTTTCACCTTCTCAAGTTTCCATGGCCTTTGTGTGTTCTTTTTATGTTGATTTAAATTCATATGGTTTTCCACAAATCCCTTCTTTGGCTACATTGTCTCCTTATTCAATGGATTATCCCTTTGTGGGGGCTGCTTATTTTAAAGATGTTGGGGGGGAAACAAACCCAAATCTACGAGCAGTAGTTGCACATAGTTGCCAGTTTTACCTTCTTAGTCATTAGATTTCCAAACCATGTTGCAGTTTTTTGGTCCAGATATAGTATTTCTTTCTAATAAAGTTTTATGTTGCTGCTCTAAATACAGATGCAATATTTATTGACTCTGTAATCAGATAGAAAAAACTTAACTTGGTTTGTGTGGTATGACTTATAAAGAAATGATGTATATTTGTTATTTTGTTACCCTTTAGATTGTCAGAGACTCCCCCAATTTAATCAACAAAGTTTTATAAAGTAAATGAAAATATTAATAGAAATTAGTTTATTTACTTGGTTCTTATAACTGATATCTCTGTGCTTTTATAATTGTGATTTGTTTTTTTGTTTTTTTTTCTATTTTCTGTGAACAGTTTTAATGTTCGGTTTTGGTGTTTTACACTGAAATTACATATAAATTTTTAATTTATTTCATACAGGCAACTTGCATTTTAAAAAATACACTTTGAAGTTTATCATCTTGAAATTGGGGCTTACGTTGTTTATCTGTCTTGAGCATTAGTACTTTATGACTTTGGCCTTATGGCAACATCATGATTATTAATCCGTCAGCCTTTAATGTGGTCACTGTTTCTTATCCAGACCCTGACTTTCTAGTAGTTTATTTTGCTAGCCCAGATTTCTGCTTAACCAAATATAAGGGAGTTTCAGAGGGGTGATCTTAGCTGTCACCTAGATTCTGTCAGCCAACCAGTGATTGTCTGGAATATCTTAGGAAATGAACTGTAATTGTCAGCCTCCTAAAATCAATTTTTTTTTTTTTTTTTTTGAGGCTGAGTCTTGCTCTTGTTGCCCGGGATGGAGTGCAATGGTGCGATCTTGGCTCACCGCAACCTCCACCTACAGGGTTCAAGCGATTCTCCTGCCTCAGCCTCCCGAGTAGCTGGGATTACAGGCATGTATCACCACGCCCAGCTAATTTTGTATTTTTAGTAGATACGGGGTTTCTCCATTTTGGTCAGGCTGGTCTCGAACTCCCGACCTCAGGTGATCCGCCTGCCTTGGCCTCCCAAAGTGCTGGGATTTACAGGCGTGAGCCACCGCGCCTGGCCAAAATAAAATGTTTTTATCTTTCTTCACTTAGAACTATGAAGGCCTTTTCTTGTTCTGGTAACCCCCCACAGTGTAATTGGTGCTGAAAATAGTTTCGTGCCTGAGGTCTGTTGTCACTCACTCACTTTCTGACAATTAGGTGAGCCACTTGAGGATTTTCTGGCCTGAAGTTATAAAAACTTGGCATCTGTCCTAAGGTAATTGTAAAGGCAAAATGAAAGCATTGAGGTGAATTTAGGTTATATGGCATTTATCTGGTAATGTGTTTCAGAAAAGCTAGAATGAAAATGTGATGTAAGGGATAGCAAGTGTAGGTTGATTCATAATTCTTGGTATAAAACCAAGTTTTCCTTAGTCTTGAGGAATTTGAAGAAAGGTAAAATGTTGGATTTTAAGCAAAGTAGGATTGACCAGAGACTGTTCTGACTTTGACATTCAGACCTTTCAGATGTTCTTCCTTCAGACCAGTCCAAGACACTCAGCATTTCCAGCCAAGTTGTCTTTTTTTTCTGCCAATAAAGTATTCATTAGTTGACGTTTGTTTGTATTTTAAGTAAAGTCAATTTTTTTTAAAGCATTAATTTAATTCACGGGTATGCCTTTCATTTCTCTGGCCTTCAGTTGGTTTAAAAAAAAAAAAAAAAAAAAAAGCACTTAGCCGGACCATTCTTTCTTTAGTAAACATTTTTATTTTCTTAATTTTTCCTGAAAGATTTTCTTCATTTTCATGGAATGTCATAATGACACTACCATTATTTTCTAGCTCTTTGCATAATAGAAAAATGTAGAGCAGTGCACCATTTAAACACGTCTGACATTGGATTTAGTGGTCCTAGGTTCATGTGATTTGGGAGCCTTAAGTTGTTATTTAGATTGATTCAGCCTGATTCACCATCTTTTTTACTACAGTTCTACATGAATGTGGTGAAACAGGTAGAAGAAAATTAAGCATTTCTCTGCTTTTGGAGTCTAATGTTCCTGCCTAGTGACTGGTTTGTAACACCCCCCTCACCCCTACTTTGTTAGGAACCTGCAATTCCTAAAAGAAATAAATAAAGCTGTACCCAATGTCCATTCTTTAATGCTTGCCTGGTTGAATAATGTTTGTTTTTTCTGTTTATGTCAGTAGTACATGCTTATTGTGGAAAATTTAGACAATACAGAAAAGTATAACAATTAATTGCCTATGATTCTGTCACCAGAAAAAATCACTTGATATTTTTGCATCTTCCTTGCCATTGTCTTTGCTACTTCTGCATATTTTTACTTAGTTTCATCATTCTCAGTGTAATTTATATCTTGGGGTTTTTCCCCGCAACCTACAGGCATTATTCCATGTCATTAAAACTGTGTCAACTATTATTAATTTTATGGTACTCCATTGTTATGGATGTGCCATGTTTCATATAACCTTTACTTATTTTGAACAGTTTAGATTATATCTCATAATGCCACAATGAATGTCTTTGTGTATAAATTATTTTCTTAGGATAAAATACTGGAGGTGGAATTTCTAGTCAAGGGTATATGAACACTTTTGTAGTTCTTGATTCATACCACTTTTCCACATGGGTATGTTAATTTATACTGCAGCTAGATGGTATGGGAAGGGTGGTCTAGCCATATTTTCCAAGAACATGCAACGTTTTATCTTTATGCAGGCATCTGCACTAAGACCCTCTGCCTTTCTGACTCTATGGAACGGGGTTAACTGATATGGAGATCATTGGCAGAGATTTTCCCAAGCTTTCTTAGTTTTAAATATATCTGACATGGGCCGGGTATGGAGGCTCACGCCTGTAATCCCAGCACTTTGGGAGGCCAAGGCGGGCAGATAATCTGAAGTCAGGAGTTGGAGACCAGCCTGGCTAACATGGAACATGGTGAAACCCCATCTCTAGCAAAAACATAAATTAGGTGGGTGTGATGGCAGGCGCCTGTAGTCCCAGCTACTTGGGAGACCGAGGCAGGAGAATCGCTTGAACCCAGGAGGCGGAGGATTTGCAGTGATCCGAGATTGTGCCACTGCACTCCAGCCTGGGTAACAAAGCAAGACTCTCTAAAAAAAAAAAAAAAAAAAAAAAAAAATATATATATATATATATATATATATATAAAATCTGACATGTTTCAGAAACACCTACGTATGGCTATCCAAGCTTTTCCCATGATTTTACTGGCACTGTAAAGTTGCACAAATATTCTTTGTCAGACTACGTTTTCCATCTTTAGTTCAAAAGTTTTGTCACTTTTTAAAAAAAGCCTCTTGTACCTAAGGCCTGCCCTTAAGAGGTCAGCTCTCTTTTTCCTCTTCCTGTAGGCCCCATTATGGCCTTTCTGAGCTCCCCAAAGCCAGTAGAATCTACTGAGCCAAAGGCATTCCATCCCCAAACTGAAAAGTGGTAAGGCTAAAAGCTATAAAAACAGGCAAACATTGCCTGTTTTCACTTTATATTCCCTTATGTTTCCAATAAGGGTAGCTGCAGGGAAAGAAAAAAACAGATTGCTACCTTCAGATGTTTGAGGTACAACATTTTCTTGATTGGCGTAGCACAATCATTTCCCAAACTGCTTCCTATTTCTGAATGGCTTTTTTAAAAAGCTTTATTTTGTGTTCTCAAAGCTTAATTATTTTAAGTGACGAAGAGTGTTACCGTGTTGTAGAATAGCATATGCCTCTTATTTTGGCCTTCATCAAACTGTTTAATAAATGTTTAGAGTGTTTTGTAAGTACACGTGGAATAGAGTGTTACAGAAGTTTTGGTTCCAGACATCAGGCAGCTTATAATCAAGGTTCCAAAAATCAAGAATTCTTAAGCTGGGCATGGTGGCTCATGCCTGTAATCCCAGCACTTTGGGAAGCCAAGGCAGGCAAATCACTTGAGGCCAGGAGTTTGAGACCAGCCTGGCCAACTTGGTAAAACCCCATCTCTACTAAAAATACAAAAAATTAGGGCATGATGGCTCATGTCTGTAATCCCAGCTACTTGGGAGGCTGAGGGATGAGAATTGCTTGAACCTGAGAGGCGGAGGTTGCAGTGACTCAGGATCATGACCCTGTACTCCAGCCTGGGTGACAGAGTGAGACCAAAAAAAAAAAAAAAAAAAAAAAAAAAAAGTAACAGGCATTGTGCAAAGAATTTTCCAAGAATGTCTCATTCTTGCAATGGCTTCTCAGAGGAAAGTGGTGTTATTCCCCATTTTACAAATGAAACAGGTTTAGGTAAGTTTCCCAAGGTCACAGTGAATGAGTAGTGGACTTGGGAGTCTGACCTAGACTTACCCCAAAAGCTCTCTGCGTAAACTGAAGTGACGTTAATTAGCTGTGCTATCTAGGAGACTGATATGGGAATCTAGACTTAAAATTATGAGAACTGGTTTCAGATGATGGCCAGAGTAATAAGGAAGGAGTGGATGCTGAAGCCATTTCAAAGGAAGACTCAAGATTCAGTGACTGAATATAGGAGTAAGGGTTGAGTGCATTTTTCATCCATTTTTCAAGCCTGGGTAACTTGGATGTTAATGGCACTATCTACAGAGACAGGAGGCAGTTTAGAGTGAAGACGAATCATGTATGGGAGACAGTGATGAATGTTAAGCATGGGATTTCAGAAATGAAGCATCCATGAGGCTCATTCCTGGTTTTTCTGCAGTCTTTTAAATAAAAGTACAAACCTCCCTTGTCATCCATTTTTGCCTTCACTTATCTCCATTCTGTATTATGTTCTAGTCACGCCCCAGTCACTGATCCCTTCCTAGGCCATACTTGGCTACATCTTAGCCTTTTCTTTTGATTTTTCTCTTCACTGCCTTGCCCATTACAAATTTGGCTGCCACCTGAGGCCCTGCCATACCCTACAGCTCACACCAGCGTGGGCTGTGTTCACATTCTACATATCTCAAGATACAGTGGTTGCTGTCCTTCCCCCCTACTGCATCGTTACACGTCTCTAAAAAATCTCTGCCTCTGAAGCTCATGCCAAGAGGTTATACTATCAGCTACCTCTAGTCTTATAACTGCCTGATCATTCCCTTTGATTTGCTGGAAGCTTTGACTCACAGTGTTCCTTGCCTTCCTTGATTCTGGTCATTATTATTAATATCTTGAACATTCTATAGATGATTTATCCAAGTTGGTCTGTGAGGTATTGGTTACTTTACCTCCAGCATTTTCGTCTACTGAACCACGCTTTCTGTTTTCCTCTTTGCTACTTGTCCAGACTGTTCTTTCATTATTGCAGCCTTGAAGAAATCCTCAGTAACCTATCCATCCTCCGACATGACGTAGCATAGTTCCTTTGCCCATTCTCATCAGTTATAACAAATGTTATTGCCCTCTTTTCAGGCCACTTCCTTCTCAGAAGATGACTTTGCTGCTTAATTCAAACAGAAGGGACAGTCCGAAAGCATGATTTCTTCCCCACCTATGACCACCTCCATCCTTTTTTGTTTCCAGTTTCAGAGAATGAGGTAGGCCTTTAAGGCCAACTGACTCTGGTCTCCTCCTGTCATCTTCAGGACCTTCCTCTGTCAGACTTCCCCTCTCTTATCTCCATGTCTCTCACCTCTCTACTGCTGCTTTTCTTGGCTTACAAATGGTCTCAGTCATCCAGTATTTGAGATTATATTAGGTGCCAGGCATTGTATCAGGCACTTGGAACACAAGGCAGGATCCTGCCCCCACCAAAGTTGTGCTCCAATAGCGTCAACAGAGGTGTGAAATAGGGAGATTACAATGTTAATGGTAAAAGACAAAGTATAGGGTGCTACAAGAGCATGTAAATGAGGCACCTCAATGATTTAATAGAAGTAATGTGGAGAAATGTGAGGATTGATGAAAAGCTTGTCCAAAAAGGGCCAGAAATGTTTAGAATTGCTGGAAGTTTGCTAAGGAATATTGAGAAATATGCATAGATAGATCGTGAAGGGCCTTGTAAAACAGTGATGAGACATTGAAGAGTTTTCATGATCATTAGTAGTAATGAGAATTTGTTGAGTTTGGCATGATTATCTCCATATTACAAATGTGGAAACAGATTCTGACAGGATAAGCGACTTACTTGCCCAGGGTCATGCAGCTTGTAATTGAGGAGTCAGGTTTCAAATCCAGTTTTAACTACTTTCTCAGAGGCCTTTCTTGATCATTCTATCTAAAAAGCAAGTGTTCCCTAACTATTATCCCAGTACCCTGGTTTATATACTCTTAATACATAAAATAATCCCTGCATATTGTGTGTTTCCCCTACTAGATTGTAAGCTCCATGAGGGCAGAGGTGATAACTTTTTTCACTTGCATCCCAGAGCCTAACATGATATGGGCTACATAGAAGGTGCCCAGTAAATATTGGTGGATGAAGAAATGGTGGATAACCATTTGCATTTGACTTATGCTGACTGGAAATTCAATACCTTTGGAATATATAATACCTCAGCAGTAAGCATTCACCAAGAGAGGAAAACAGAAGGAGGTGCATGTTTAGGGTAGGTGGTACGGGAGATGGATGCTGAGGTGTTGAAAGGCAGCATACTCACCTTCTGAACTCCAAAACTTACAGGGGCAAGGGCCATTAATGAGGGGTGGGTAGAGCAGTGCACAGTGGGGATAATATGGGAGTAGGTGTATTAAACCTGGAAGTGTAAGCAACTCCTTGTAGACCCACCCTACTGTGTATAAAAGGCTGGAGAAATTCTTCATATGATCTACTCTAGGTTATGTACTGAGGACCACCTTATCTGGGTCAGGTACACTACACAGAGTGCTACAATATAATTGTAAACATAATTTATCCTCACTGTGATGGCTAGCCACCTGACCCAAATCATTATTAGACTCAATACTTTGGAACTGGAACAAAAATCAGTTGACCTGATGTCTGAAAGACATGCCCACCTGCTATTTGACAAGCTATAGACATATCCTACCAATTGATGGGTAGTAGCACTGAAACTATGAAAGTGGATGAACTCATCCAGAGGAGTTGATGAGTGAGAAAAGAAGACTGGAAAAGGAACACAAGGAAATCAAGAAGCAGCAGCTGAGACTGAAGGAAAATAACGTGGTATTACAGAGGCCAAAAAATAGAGTATTTCAAGAAGCAAGTGGTTAGTGGAGTTAAAAGCTGCTGATACAACCTAAAAAAGTAAGTATCCATTTTTTAAAAAACTTTCATTTAAAATACCACCATATTTTATTGAATCTAAGTACCTGATTGTAAGACATTAAAGAAAAATTAAACCTGCTAATTAAACTATGACCCATTGCTTTCATTGGTCAATGAAAATACTTCAATATGTATCCTATTAAAATGTAGGAGAGGGAGGAATATGAATCTTATAAATGAGGAATTATAATTTTTGTCTTCCTTTGGCTTTCTTTTTTTTTTTTTTTTTTTTTTTTTTTTTTTTTTTTTTTTTTTTTTTTTTTTTTGAGACGGAGTCTCGCTCTGTCGCCCAGGCTGGAGTGCAGTGGCGGGATCTCGGCTCACTGCAAGCTCCGCCTCCCGGGTTCACGCCATTCTCCTGCCTCAGCCTCCCAAGTAGCTGGGACTACAGGCGCCCGCCACTACGCCCGGCTAATTTTTTGTATTTTTAGTAGAGACGGGGTTTCACCGTTTTTTAGCCGGGATGGTCTCGATCTCCTGACCTCGTGATCCGCCCGCCTCGGCCTCCCAAAGTGCTGGGATTACAGGCGTGAGCCACCGCGCCCGGCCCCCTTTGGCTTTCTTAACCAGGCCGTATCGTAATTTCATCAAGAACAATTTCAGTGGAGTGATCAGGGTCTACCTAGTTTGTGGTGGGAGAGGACCCCAAAGTAAAGAAATGCAGTAGCACGTATGGGCAACTGTTTAAAAACTGTTAACGAAGGGCAGAGCTACAGCAATAGAATTATATGTGGTTGAAGGATTTTTTTTTTTTTTTTTAATGCGGAGCCTCTCTGTTGCCCAGACTGGAATGCAGTGGTCTGATCTCGGCTCTCTGCAACCTCCACCTCCTGGGTTCAAGCAATTCTTCTGCCTCAGCCTTCCAAGTAGCTGGGATTACAGGCACGCATCACCACACCCAGCTAAATTCTGTGTTTTTAGTAGAGAAGGAGTTTCACCATGTTGGCCAGGCTGGTCTTGAACTCCTGACTTCAGGTGATCCGCCTGCCTTGGCCTCCCAAAGTGCTAGGATTACAGGTGTGAGCCACTGTGCCTGGCGTGTTTTGTTGATGTTGTTGTGTTTTTTTTTTAGTGGAAGAAACTTGAATTTCATGTTTAACTGCTAATAGGATAGTGAGATGGAATCAGTAGAGGTAAAAATGCGGGAGGTTCAGGAGGGGTTGACTAAGATCATTGGTACACCAAGGTTCCTGAACAGGAGGAGGAAGTTGGGATCCAGATCAAAGGCAGATGAAGGGATGGTTGTGGACATAGGCATGTGTGTCATTTGAACAGCAGAGAGTTAAAAGAGTTACTTAGTGGTTTGGCTTTCATGTCTTTGAGAACCATATGATTGATGTTATTGGTTCCAGAAGCAAGGAGGAGGTAAGGATGATGTATGAGTATAACAGCTAGTTTGAAATAGCAATCCTGGAGAATTAGAGAATGGACTAGCGGTGAGTTGGACACCGTAGACTTACAGTGATAGCTAAATGGCAGTGCTTTCTTCAGTAATGCCCATTGTCGAAGCCATAGTTGTGGAAGCAGTCAAAGGTTGGATTTATTCAGGGTGGGTTTTGTCACATTGGCGCAACAGAGTGGCTCAGGTAATCTCCTAAAGTCGCTGGCAAGTAGTTTACATGCTAGAATCTCAGCTGCCATCACACTCCTGGAATTATTTTTGTTGAAGTCAAATGTACTCCTAATTGCCAAGTCTCTTGGACTTGATTTTTACTAGTTTCAACATCTGCAGTTGACACAGTCTCTTCCATTTCTTGGCTATTGTGCCAACATGTCTTTTTCTGTCTTTGGGAACTCATTTTCTTCTCTCTGCCCTGGAAATGTAGGTGTAATCTTGCCAGTCAGTGGCATTTCCCCCAGCCACTTGACCTACACTCCTTGATATGCTCAACTATTAATATTCCACTAGAATGTAAGTTCCGTGAGGGCCAAGATTTTTTGTTTTGCTAATCGAGTGTCTAGAACAGTTTTTACTTACAACTTAACTATGCCATTATATTTGAAGTTACTTTCTTATAAGTTTGTGTGTGTATATGTATATATTCACGTTCCTTTGTGTGTTTATACATATATATGTAAAGTACATATGTGTATAGCTATATGTACATATGTATACATGTATATATGTGTATATATACACAGTATGCAGGTTGCTGTGTATGTGTATATATATATATACACACATGTAAAGCTTTACATATATAGCTTTACATATATGCTGGGGCTGCCTTTACAAAGCTGCACAAATAGGGTGTCTTAACAGAAATGTATTGTCTCAGGATCTGCAGGCTACAAGTCTGAAACGAAGGTGTCAGCAGGGTTGTTTCCTTCTGAGGCCTCTTAGGGAAGAATGTGTTGCAGGTTTTTCTCATTGGCTTGTAGGTGGCAGTCTTCTCCTTGTGTCTCTTTATATAGTCTTCCTTCTGTGCATGTTTGTCTCTGTGTCCAGATTTCCCCTGTTTGTTAGGACAAGAGTCATATTGGATTAGGATCCACCTTAATGACCTCATTTAATTAGATTACCCCTGTAAAGACCTTATTGCCAAGTAAAGTCACATTCTGAGGAATGAAGGGTCAGGATTCCAACATACACACATATATATATATATATGTATATATATATGTGTATATATATGTATATATGTGTGTATATATGTATATATATATGTGTGTGTGTGTGTGTGTGTATATATATATATATATTGCCCCATTGGTGAGACACATTTCAACTCCATAACACATATACAGTTCACCCATTTAAAGTGTATGGTTTATTGCTTTTTTTAGTATTTTTCACAGCATTGTGTAATCATCACCACGATCAGTTTTAGTGCATTATTCTTACCCTAAAAAGAAACTACATACCCATTAGCAATCACTCCCCATTCATTGCACTACACTTCCCAACACTAGGCAACCACTAATCTACTTTCTGTTTCTAGGTATTTGCTTGTTCTGAACACTTCATATGGAATCATGTATGTGGTCTTGTGACTGGCTTTATTCAGTTAGCCTAATGTTTTCAAAGTTCATCTATGCTGTAGATGTATCAGTATTTTATTCCATTTTATGGCCGAATAACAACAACATTGTATGGATATACCATGCTTTGTTTATTCATTCACTAGCTGGTAGACTTTTGGATTGTTTCCACAGTTTGGCTATTATAAGTGATGCTGCTGTGAACATTGATGTACACGTGTTTGTATCCATATGTTTTCATTTCTCTAGGTTATATACGTAGGAGTAGAATTGATGGGTCATATATAATTCCATGTTTAACATTTTGAGGAACTGCCAGGCTTTTCCAAAGTGGCTGTTTACCGTTGTAAATTACCCCCTGCAATATGCGATGGTTCCAGTTTCTTCAATTCTCACCATTTGTTACTACTATTTTTTATTACAGCCAGCCTAGTGGGTTGGAAATATTATCTGATTATGGTTTTGATTTGTATTTCTCTAATGATCATTTATCAAATGATGTTGAACATTTTTTTTCATGTGTTTATTGGTCATTTGTATTTTTTTTCTTTCTTTTTTTAGAGACAGCGTCTCACTCTTTCACCCAGGCTGGGGTGCAGTTGCATGATCTCAATCACTGTAACCTCCACCTCCTGAGTTCAAGTGATCCTCCCACCTCAGCCTCCTGAGTAGATGGAACTACAGGTGCACACCACCACACCTGGCTTTTTTTTTTCCACCATGCCCAGCTAATTTTTTTTTTTAATTTTTTGGTACAGATAGTTGCCCAGGATGGTCTCAAACTCCTGGGCTCAAGTGGTCCGCCCATCTCAGCCTCCAAAAGTGCTGGGATTACAGGTGTGAGCCACTGTGCCCAGCCTGGTGATTTGTATATTTCTTTGGAGAAATATGTATTCAGATCCTTTGCATATGTTTTAATTGGGCTATCTGACTTTATTATTTAGTTTTAAGAGTATTTCATATATTGTAGATAAAGGCCCTCATTAAGAAATACAAAGTTGCAAACATTTTCTCCCATTTTGTGGATTGCCTTTTCACTTTCTTGATACTATCCTTTGAAGCACACATAAATTTTGATGAAGTCTCCAATCTGTCTTTTTCTTTGTTGTTCATGCTTTTGGTTTTCTATCTAAAAATCCACTGCCAACCAAATTCGAGGTCATGAAGACTTACCCTCATTTTTTCTTCCAAGAGTTTTATAGATTTTAACTCTTACATTTAGGACTTTGATCCAATTTGAGTTAATTTTTGTATAGAGGATGAAGTCTGTTTGTAGACTTATTTTTTACATGTGGCTTACCAGTTCCAGCACCATTTGGTGAAAAGATATCTTTTTTCCATTGCCTTTGTTCCTTAGTCAAAAATCAGGGCCAGATGCAGTGGCTCGTGCCTGTAATCCCAGCACTTTAGGAGGCTGAGGCGGGCTGATAACTTGACATGAGTAGTTCGAGACCAGCCTGGCCAACATGGTGAAACCCTGTCTCTACTAAAAATACAAAAATTAGCCAGGTGTGGGGGTGTGCGTGCCTGTAGTCCCAGCTACTCAGGAGGCAGATACAGGAGAATCACT
This sequence comes from Homo sapiens, assembly GCF_000001405.40. Lineage (NCBI taxonomy): Eukaryota > Metazoa > Chordata > Mammalia > Primates > Hominidae > Homo > Homo sapiens. The sequence continues at coordinate 46,798,758 of NC_000018.10, read as the reverse complement.
TGAACCTGGGAGGTGGAGGTTGCAGTGACTCGAGATCATGCCCCTGCACTCCAGTCTGGGCAACAGAGCGAGACTCCATCTCAAAAAATAAAACAATTTTAAAAATTTAAAAAAAACTAGTTGACTGTATTTATGAGAGTCTATTTCTAAGCTCTCTTTTCTGTTCCATTGATCTGTTTGTCTCACCTTTTGCCAATACTACACTGTTTTGATTACTATAGCTTTATGGTTAGTCATGAAGTCACGTAGAGTCAGTCCTCAGACATTGTTCTTCTTCATTGTTGTATTTGTAGGAATCCACAAAATAGCTTGCTGAGATTTTGACTGGAACTGTGTTGATTCTATAGATCAAGTTGGGAAAAACTGACATCTTGATGATATTGTCTTCTTATTCATAGACATGGAATTGGAATATCTCTTCTAGTTATTTAGTCCTTTGATTTCTTTCATCAGGGTCTTATAATTTTCCTCATGTAGATCTTTCCTCATGTAGATATATTGTGTTAGGTTTATACCTAAGTATTGCATTTGGTAATGAAATACTAATGTAAATGATGCCAATGTAAATGATACTGTGTTTTTATTTCAAATTCCAACTGTTCATTTCTTATATATAAGAAAGCAATGGACTTCTATATATCAGCTTTGTATTCTCCAACTTTGCTGTAATCATTTATTAGTTTCAGAAGTTTCCCCATCAATTCTTTTTGATTTTCTTTATAATCGTAATAATCATGCCATCTGTGAAGAAAGTTTCATTTCTTTCTTCCCAGTCTGCATACCTTGTCTTATCTTACTGCATTAGCTAAGATTTCCGGTATGATGTTTAAGTATATTAGTCCTTTTTTATTGCTTACGTGGTTTCTGAAGAGAAGTACAAAGTAATTTTTATTTATGCCCCTGTATAGGTAGAGTGTTTTGTTCTTCTGGATTCTTTGAAGATTTTCTCTTTGTCTGATTTTTTGCAGTTTGAATATCATATGCCTAAGTGTAGACTTTTTTGGTATTTACCCTTTTTGGTGTTCTCAGAATTTCTCGGATCTGTGGTGTGTCTATCACTAATGTTGGGAAATTCTCTGTTATTATTTCACATATTTCTTCTGTTCCCTTTCTTCTCCCTCTAGTATTCCCATTTGTGTATTACACTTTTTGTAACTGTTCCATAGCTCTTGAATATTTTGTTGTGCATTTTTTCATTTTTCCTCTTCGCATTTCAGTTTTGACAGTTTTTACTGACATTTGTTCAAGTCCATCAGCTCTTTCCTCAGCTGGGTCCAGTCTGTTGATGAGCTCATTGATGGGATTCTTCGTTTGTATGATGGTGTTTTGATTTCTAGCTTTTGCCTTTGACTCTTCTAGTTTTCATCTGTCCTTGCATGTTGACCACTTTTACACTAAGTGAAAATAGACTAAATGCTCCAGTTATGAGACAAAGATGATCAAATATTAAATAATATACTATTTATAAAAGACATAAAACATAAGAATAATAAATGTTGAAATTTAAAAGATAGCAAAAGCTACACTGAGCAAATTGTAACCTAGAGAATTCTGATGTAGTTGTATTAGTATCAAACAAAACAGCCACAGAATTATTACTAGGTAAAACCATCCTAAAGTTATACGTGGCCGGGCTTGGTGGCGCATGCCTGTAATCCCAACACTTTGTGAGGGTAAGGATGGCTTGAACTCAGGAGTTTGAGACACCAAACTCAACAAGGATAGTATGAAAAAGAAAAAATGTAAGCTAGTATCACTGATAATTACAGTTATAAAAATTTGAAATACTTGCAAACTGAATATGAAGTTTTAAAAAGGATAACAAAATACTGATTTGTTGGATTTATCCCAGGAATTTAATGATGGTTTTACCTCAGAAAAACTGAATGCAGGCTGGATGTCATGGCCTGTCTCCAAAATTAAATAAATAATTAAAAATAAAAGTGAATGCAATGTTTTGTTAATGGATTAATGTAGTTAAGAGATAACCCTCATCAGGTAAGAAAATTCGCTCCTATTCCTAGGTAAATGGATGCTAAATTGTATCAAATGCTTTTTCTGCATTTATTTTATGATTTTACTCTGTAGACTGCCTCCTGCTTTGAGTAAGATAGTTCACATCTGTAATCCAGCATTTTGAGAGGCCAAGGCAAGAGGATCGCTTGAACCTAGGAGTTCGAGACTAGCCTGGGTAACATAGGGACTCTGTCTCTGCAAAAAATTTAAAAATTAGCTAGGCATGGTGGCACATGCCTGTCGTCCCAGCTACTTGGGAGGCTGAGGTGGGAGGATCACTTGGGCCGGGGAAGTCGAGGCTGCAGTAAGCTGTGATCAGGCCACTGCACTCCAGCCTGGTTGACAGTGAGACCCTGTCAAAAAAGTTTCCTCCGAAGTTACCAGAAAGAGCGAAAAGACTGACTATATGCTGTGAGGAGATACTTGGCAACATTCATCATACAAAGGACTAGAATTCAGAAAATACAAAATCTTCCTGTGAATTAAGAGACAGACTATAAAAATTTTTTAATATATATTTTTTTGAGATGGAGTCTCATTGTCACCCAGGCTGGAGTGCAGTGTCGCAATCTCGGCTCACTGCAGCCTCCCACCTCAGCTCCCCAAGTAGCAGAGACCACAGACACGCACCACCACACCCGGCTAAGTTTTTGTATTTTTGGTAGAGACAGGGTTTCACCATGTTGCCCAGGCTAGCCTCAAACTCCTGAGCTCAAGCAATCTGCCCGCCTCGGACTCCCAAAGTGCTGGGATTACAGGAGTGAGCCACTGCACCCAGCCAGACTACAAAATGTTAAATGGGTGAAAGACTGAACAGGCAATTCACATAGGAGGTATCTGAAAATCTTCGTAAATGTAAAAAAATATTTAATCTCAGTACAGGGAAAAACAGAAACAGATGCCATTCCACACTTTTTTGTCTGAGTTGTATGACACATAAAATTTACCACCAACCATTTTAAAGTGTACATTTCAGTCATTACACACTTTTAATTAAAATCTAAAAGCACTGAGAATGCAGGACAAAGGGAACTTTAATTCACTATGGTAGAATAAGCATAGCTATTTTGGAAAAGTTTGGCATTATCTAGTAAATTTATACATGTGCACACCCAGTAGACCCAGCAGTTTCATCAAGAGAAATATATGTAGGTTTTGCATCTATAAAATAAAGCTACATGCTGATTATAAAAAAATTGGAGATAGTGGTTGTTTCTGGGGCAGGGAAGAGGATGAGCCACAGAGAAAGACTTCAAGGTCCTGGCAACATTTTCCTTACCTTGGTGGTGATTACAAAGATGTTTTCCTTATTCTTCAAAATATACATGGTTATGTACATATTTTATATGAATGAACCAGTTTTTACTTTAAAAATAACCCTATTATCATCTGAACCCTCCATCAATACTTCTTGTCCTCATTTTTTAACATTCTCCCTTTATTCCAGGCACCCTAGCTTCCTTGCTGTTCCTCAAATACTCTGAGCATGACCCCACATCAGGAGCTTTTACCCTTGTTTTTTTTTTCCTCTTAGAATGCTTTTTCTTCCAGATATCTACATGCTTTGCTCCCTCATTTCTTTTAGGGCTCTACTCAAAAGCCATTGAACTAGTATTAGTTTCTGTCACAAATACCAAGACAACCCAAGCTGTCAGTGGCTTAAATAATCTAGACATATATTTGTTTAGAACTTTGCTATCCAGGGCTGGTAAAAAGGCTCTGCTCCATCGTCTTACGGGACCCTGGTTCCTTTTGGCTTACTGCTCTGCCAGTCCCGGGACATGTTTTCTGTCCTTATGGTCTAAGGTAGCAGCATTCACAAACCAAGCAGCAGGATGGAGGAAGGGAGGAAAAGGAGGGACAAAGGCTAATCCTCCTCAGAAAGGTTCCTGTAAGTTGCAAATTGATGCCTACCTCTCATTGGCAGGAACTTAGCCCTGTGGTCTCAGCAGCTGTAAGGGAGGCTGGGAAATGCAGTCTTTTTTCTGGATTGCCATGTGCCATGCTCACATTCTCCTGCTTTATAAGATGGGAAAAAAAGATATTGTAGGACAAGCATCAGTCTGCCATAGTTGTCTTCACAGAGAGCTCTTACCTGAGTACTCTGACCCAAAGAGCCTCCTATACTCCTTTTTCCCCCCTCACACTGGGGGGAAACGTGTGAGGGGGGAAAAGGAGTGTAGGAGGCTCTTCATTGAATTTGTCACTTTCAGACAATGTCTATTATCTGTGTTCCTGGACAGGTAAGCTCCTGAGAGAGGGACTTTGCTGTGTTCCTTCCAGGAGTCTTAGCATCTAGAGCAGCACCTGGCATGTAGCTGGTGCTTGATTGTCGTTGAATATGTTTTCATCCCATTATCCACATCCTTCAGCTTGCCAGCTCTTACCTTTCTGATTCCAATTTGGCCATCCTTTCCTCTAGGACAGTGGTTCTCATTAATTGTGCACCGTGACAACCAGTCAGAAATGCATATTTTTGGTTCCCACCCCAGACCTATGGAACTAGAACCTCTGGGGGTGACCTAGCAGTCTGGGTCTCAGTATGCTTTATATACAGCGATCTGTATTTTAAGCAACCCTGAAAGGATCCTGATGCCTGTTTAAGCTTCAGAACCACTGCTCAGACTTTAGTTTGCATCGAAATCCCCTTGAGGGCTGGTTTAGTAAACCTGGCATGGGATTTCTAACAGGTTCCCAGGGGATGCTAATGCTGCTCTTCAGGGACCACTGTTTTAGGGCATGAGAGGTTCTAATGTAATTAGACTGGTTTGTGGTCTGGGGTTGGCAATCTTTTAAAGTCTCTCCAAATGTTTCTAATACATGGCCAAGGTTAAGAGCCACCTCTCCAGGAACACTTTCCCATCAGTCCTGCCCCTCCCCAGCTCTGGGTCCTTGCCTCTGTCAGGAGCTATCTTAGCAGCATGTGCTTCCCTCCATTGTGGCAATTATCTCACTGCCCAGCAGAGGCAGCTTATCTGTCTCCCTCACTAGGTGGTAAACCTTCTCTGGGCAAGGAAAGACTGGATTCTTCTCTCCTTTACCTCAGTGTTTTTATAGGTGCTTAATATTTGTTGATTGGATTAGTCTAATACATGGACCGCCTCCAACTCTTAGAAGCAAACGTAAACAGGATCAGCTAATGTGCTCACCAGATGAAGGACGATATTCTCCTTTGATACTGAGAAGTGCAAAGAAAGACAAGTGTTCTGTGGTTTGGGATGATGTTTCTGGAAGGAGAATGGAATGGAAGCTGAATCAGATGTTCCACCTCACTCGGAATTGAAATTAAGATTTTTGAGCAGGGTCTAGCAGGATAGTGAAGTCATTGTTAAGAGCATGGGCTCCGTGGCCAGACTGCCTCAGTTTGAATTCTGCCGCCTTTTCTGTTGCTTGTATGATCTTGGCAAAGTTACTTAATTATTCTGTATTCCAGTTTCCTGTTGTGTAAAATGAGGTTAATCGGAGTACTTTCCTTTTGGGTTCATCAGTTTTGAGGATTAGAATACATGTAAAGCTATCAGAGCAATACTGAGCACTTACTAAGTGCTATTACACTACCTTTTAATTAATGGAAATGTATAGAAATTAATCTAATTATTAAATCTTAGGTTGGAATAAATGGTTCTCATTTTCCTAGCCCCTACTTAAGCCCAAATACGAACATTTTCCCTCCTCATTAGGACCATGAATGCAACTAAAAATGTAAAAAGCAGTGAAGCAATGCAAGCTGATAAAATTATGAGACCAAAGGTATCAAAGTATTTGCCAGCATGAGCTCATTCATATATTTCACTCAGTTTGAATTTCTAGTTTGAAATCAACCTGGTTTTAAACTGCTCATTAGTATATTTTGTAATTGAATGTATTTTGTGTATAATAAACTTACTACATTTTACTTATTTTGTGACTAGTGCCAGGTTACATTTTAATTGCTCTTACTAACTTGGCAATACCACCACCAATTTATTTCCTTTGAAGGTCTCAGAGCTGAGAGGGGATAGTGTTTTAAGCTCTCAAGAGAGATAAAGGTATTAAAACATACTGTTTGTATTAGGGTACTGACTTTTTTTAGAGATATTAAAACGTCTTTTATATAACTTTTCCCCCAAAAAGCTACATTCCAGAATCCCCTGAAGAATACAGGGCAGAAGTCTTTTCACCTCCTAACTTCTTATTTTCTAAAGGGAAATCAGGCCACAGACTGTTCACCAAAAATGAAATAATTAAGACTCCAAACTGACTTTCAACCCAAGACATTTCCCATCAGGCCCTGCCATCTCTTGGAAGAACAGTAACTACACTATATAAGGCTAGGGAGGTGGTGCTGGTGGGCTCCAAAGGACAGTGTAAGGTCTCTCTCTATATATAATACACCCATTTCATCCATATCCACAAATCCTAACCCAGTGATTCCCAGCCCTGGCTGCACATCAGTTACCTGGGGAACTTGCAAAAATTCATCTGTGACTGGACCCTACTTCAAACTGAGTCAATGTCTGGAGGATGGGGACCCAGGCATGGGCACTTTTTAAAGCTCCCTGGTGGGATTCTGAGGTGCAGCCAGGGCTAAGAACCATAATGCCTAGTAAGTTTGGATGCCTTTGATAAATAACAATAATTGAGTAGCGGAATGAACGTTTAGGACTGTAGGAAATAGTAGCTTCCTGAAGCTCTCATCTGCCTGTAAATAGGCCTACTTATTCCAGAGGCTTCCATCTATGCAAGAGAATCCCAGTTGCAGTGGAAAGTCTGCTGGAGTAAAAAAATAGTAGTAGTAGGAGAAATATACATTGAAGCCCTCTGTTGTCCCCTTACACCCAAGTCTAGCTGTTGGAGCAGTTGCCAGGCTTTGGGGGAGCTCTTATTAAGATAGAAAGCCACCCTGGCCTTCCCAGTTGCCTCGTAGCTGCCCTCCCTTCTAGGGAATGTTGCTGGAGGTTCTGCAGGGGTTGGGAGGGAGGAGGGGATGGTTCTTCCTGCCCAGACTAAGACAATCTTCCAAGACTGGGAGAGAGGACAGTAGATATTGAATGAGGACTCCAGAGCAGCTGTAGGAGCTGATGACCAATACCTGGGACCTCTTGCAGCACCTCTTAGACATGGGCGTGGGGGAGCTCTGTCTGCCTGAGGCTGAATTTTCTGCCTGCCCTGCCATAGAGGTACAGGCAGGATTATATTAATTTAAAGGAAATAAACACAAATGCCCAAGTCTATGCACAGATTTATGCCATAAAACAAAGGAATTAGCCTTCATTGAATGTCTAATAGCCAATATTTATTGATTCCTCCTTATGTGCCAGGCACTGGCTAGCTCATTTAACCATCATAGTGGTCCTGTGAGGTAGATGCTCTTGTCTCCATAACATGATAGACACATTGAGGTGAAGTGAAATAACTTGCCCCAAGTCACACACTAGCAGGTGAGAAAAATGAAATTCAAAGTCAGGGCACCTCATTCCAGATCCTGTGCCCTTAGGCTTTACCCAGATTGCTGGCTAGGTCTTTTCACCTACATCTTCTCACTTAATCCTCAAAACAACCTGTAAGGCAAGTGGTATTTCAGCAAGTGGTTTTACGGCAAAGAAACTGAAGCACTGAGAGAAACTTGCCCAACATCTCACAGCTAGTCAGTGATGGACTCCATGTCTGTCTGGTGATGAACACAAATTCTGATTCTCTACCTGTCCTCTGTCTCCTCTCCCTCCCTTTCTGAGAGAATCAAAATGACAGAGCCAGTCCATTCCTGGTCTAGCAAGGCACACACACATGCATCTGTAATGTAAGGTAACCACATTCTAATGCAGTAAGTGCTAAAGCAGCTCTTTGTAAAGTATTATGGGTGGTGGGGATGGAGGAACTGCTCTGACAAGGAGGACAAACTTCTGGCAAAGAACCAAACGAAGAACAGAATTTTCAGGTGGATCAGTTCAGCAGACTCATTCCAAGTGAAGATAGCACCATGTGTGAAGGCTCAGGATGTGAGCATATACACAAGGGTAGGTCCAGGTTTTGTGGAGGTGGAAATTAGACAATTTAGGGTCCTTATTTAGGAAAATGCAGTACTGGGAATACTAGTATTATACTAAGAGGTATGAAAGTCAGTGTTCATTAAGAATGAGAAAGGTCATGGCAATTCAAGATTTTAAAAGCTGACTTTGTTGGGAGTTCTTAAAGAGTACCCACAGGCTCAATTATAAAGGGACTCAGAGAAGATGTTTTGGACCAGGCACGGTGGCTCATGCCTGTAATCCCAGCACTTTGGGAGGGCAAAGCAGGTGGATCACCTGAGGCCAGGAGTTCAAGACCAGACTGGTGAATATGGGGAAACCCTGTCTCTACTAAAAATACAAAAACTAACTGGGTGCGGTAGCTCAGGACTGTAAATCCCAGCTACTTGGGAGGCTGAGGCAGGAGAATCACTTGAACCTGGGAGGCGGAGGCTGCAGTGAGCTGAGATTGCACCACTGCACTCCAGCCTGGGTGACAGAGTGAGACTCCATGTCAGCAACAAAAGCTGTTTTCCTCATGGTAATGGTTTACTACAACAGAAGGGTATGGATGAAACTCAGCAAACAAAACGGCACATGGGGTGAAGTCCAGGAGAAATTATGTCCAAGTTTTCATTTGTCCTCTCCCAGTGGAGTTGCACAGACAGCACTGAATTATCCCAGCAACAATGTGTCATTGTAGGTAGAGTGCAGCCAACCAGGGAAGCTCAGTTGAGCCTTGGTGTCCATGGTTTTTATTGGGGAGCGGGGGGGTCAGTCACAGGCATCAACATCTGAATGACTGACCTTAGCTACTTGGTCTCTAGTCCCCAGAGGTCAAACTGATACAGCATGGCTCAGGGATTCAGACAGACAAAAACAGGATATTCTAGGGGGCCAGAAGTTCTCTTCCCAGGAGCTGATCAAGGGACAGTCCTTTATTTGGCATGTGCAGGGTTTGAACAATCTGAGCCTGCTGAGTTAACCCTTTTTGGCACATTGAGCAATACCACAAAGCCTAGAAAAAAATTTTATTAATTAACTGCTTGACATATCACTATAAACATTTTTTCTACATTATTGCATTTCTCGAGTGCATCTTTATATTTTGAAATATTTTCTATAGTGACAAAAGATAATTCATTGTTCTAGAAAAGTTGATAAGAACTTAAAGAGCATGCAGTTTCACAAATCTGCTGTTTGTGGTACTGTTACCAATGGAGGGTGTCCAGGTTCCTGGCATCTTGAAGAAAGAATTGGACAAAATGCAGAAAGCAAGGAAAGAATGAAGCAACAAAAGCAGAGATGTATTGAAAATGAAAGTACACGCCACAGGGTGGGAGCGGGCCCAAGCATAGGGTCTCAAGAGGCCCGTTACGGAATTGTCTGGGATTTAAATACCCTCTAGAGGTTTCCATTGGTTACTTGGTGTACACACTATGTAAATGAAGATGATGAAGTAAAGTTACAAAGTCATTCACTTGGTGTACACCCTATGTAAATGGAGAGGATGTTTCCTATCATAGCTGAAGTGTTTCCATTTGATTTAGTTCTAGGAAATCAGCATGAATTGGCCTTATGTTCTCTGCCTCCAGACCCCATTGTCCTGCCTCAATACCACTGCAGGTTGTGCCTGAAAAACACAGCATTCCAATAAATTGTTTTTCACAATTCCTATTAAAAAATAGTAGTGCATTTGTTTATAATTGTATATGCTACATTATCTACAATTATCTGTATTTGTATACACATGACCAGGTAAACACATTACTAGAGTTTTTCTGAGGCCTTTGAAGGGGCTGTAGAGCTTGGACTCCTTCAACTTAATGGTAAAGCCTCCTCTGAGTTCAAGAATTTTTTTTTTTCTTCAAGATGGAGTCTTGCTTTGTTGCCCAGGCTGGAGTGCAGTAGCTCAATCTCAGCTCACTGCAACCTCCACCTCCTGAGTTCAAGCAATTCTCCTGCCTCAGCCTCCCAAGTAGCTGGGACTACAGGCACGTGCCACTAGGCCCGGCTAATTTTTGTATTTTTTGTAGAGATGGGATTTCACCACGTTGGCCAGTCTGGTCTCGAACTCCTGACCTTGTGAGCCACCGCGCCCAGCCTGCAAGAATTATTTACTAATACCCTACCCTGTACTTAGCATGGTGCTGAATTTTTATGGAAGCATCTGAGAACTGTACCTATCCCTGCTTATAAGTGTACATAGTCCTGTTAGGGAGAAACAAAATATAAAATTGCACAAGTAAAGTACATATATATGACCTCAGAAAGGACTTCCAGACCCTAGGAGAACCTAAAAGGTCTGCAAAACTTTCCCTCTTGAGGCCCCTTGCCCCATTTCGCCTTCCAATCATTTAGAATTTGAAGGCAAATTAGAGGATAACTGAAACTGACAAATCAGGAGCTTTTCTTGTTACCAGAATGAATTTTGTAAAACTCAAATCTGAATTCCTACTTCTCCAGCACATGATAGTTTTTTAATAAAACTTTATACTAAGCAAGATAGAAATTTATAAAATTCAGTGTATATTATTTTTTAATGTGTAAATGAAACTGGATACTAAAGGCTAGTATTATGATAAAGGTAACTTAAAAACCACTGAGTGAACTGATGAATAAAATAAGTTTGACACATATATTTTTAAATAAATGAGGTTTAAATTAAAAGTTAAATGCAAAGTGTAGAAACTTAAAAATATTACAAAGTTAGCTACAAAAATATTTTTAAAAGGTGACCCACAAGGGATTGTGAACAGGTTAGCATGCTTTTAAATTAAGAAACAGAAACAGAATGCATGGCTGCTCAAAAAGAGTATCTTTTTGTGCTTTCTTGAGGGAGAGGGTTGTGGAGGGGAAACCCTCCAACTCGGGCTGGCTAACAGGGATGCTTCCTTATGAAACGTGCTCACCTAAGAATACCAGTGAGACCATCGGCACTTTCTGTAATTGGCAGCAATAGAGCTATTAGAAGAAACATGAAAGAGATAGATGGATCTGAAATCAACATTTGTAACAAAAGGCCTCACCATGTTCCCCAGCACAAATGTGCTACTGATTAGCAGCTAAAATGTGAGCATCCCTACTCAAATTCACCCTGTTCTCCCCATCCTGAAGGTTCTGATATTAATGCATAACATTGTAGCTTATAATGCTTTTACTTAACATTATCTTATTCATGCATCATCAGAGAATGATCTACCAAAATGTATGGAGAGAAAGCTAAAAATGTAAAGTGGCTGTTCTCAATCTTAGCTACATATTAGAACAACTTGGGGAGTTTTTAAATTCTGTGATAACCACACTGCCCTCAGACCAATCCGAATTCTGGGGCTTAAATCCAGGTGGAGTGCTAGCCACATGTAGAGCAGCTTTCTGCTTTCATATATATCTGGGCTTAGGCCTCGGTGAGGGTTGGGAAGGGCCTATGACCTCTGAAGAGCCTTCACATTACAGCCCAGGAACAGCTGGCCCACAGCAGGAGAGATGCAGAGCCTGAGGTGGAGGGCCAAGCCTGGGGAATAGGGGGTGCTTTGAAGAGCGTGGTGGTGAATGGAGGCTTAATGAAGCAGAAACTCTACTGCTGTCCAGCTGCCCCAAATTACCTGAATTTAGAAAGGAACACAAAGTTACAGTGAGTGCATTTTATTTTAGCTCAGACAAATCCAACACCATGGATAGAAGGAGGGAAAGTAAAGATCCCATTCAGAGCCTTCCTCCTCCAAGAATTGAGGGGCTTTCTCATTTTTCTCTCTGTAAAGGATCATTTCATAATTCAGCTCTCTTACTTTTATAAGCCACTTTTAAAACCCACATTCCTGTGTGTATTTATATCTATTTCTGTGCTTTCTATTCTGTTCTATTAGTAATCAGTCCATTCAAGTGTCAGTACCATGCTGTTTTAATTATGGAGGCTTTATACTGTGTTTTAATAACTGGTCAAGCTATGTCCCTTACTGTGCTGCTTTTTTCAGAGTTGAAAAAGATTTAATAAAATCACAAATTTAATTGGATTTAATCCTTCATGTAAACAATATACAAATTATTTTCCTCCTTGCCTCTGGTTCTTATTCTTTTTTAATCATCTTTGGTGAATTTTTTTCTTTCATATAAGATCTTAGGAGTAGATGGAGAGGAGTGACTAAATCTCACAAGAACAGACTCAATATTACCACACAGTACCGAGGGGAAAATCCACCCCCATGATTAAATCACCTCCCACCAGACCCCACCCCTAACACCGAGGGTTACAATTAGACATGAGATTTCAGTGGAGACACAGATCCAAATCATATCAGCTACTTTGGAAGACAGTATAGAAGTTTCTCTTAAAACTGAACGTACTCTTACCATATGATCCAGTAATGATACTCCTTGGTATTTACCCAAATGAGTTGAAAACTTAACACACACACAAAAAAAACGAACCCACACATGGATATTTTTAGGAGTTTCAGTCATAATTGCCAAAATTTGAAAGCAACCAAGATGTCTTTCAGTAGGTGAATGGAAAAATAAACTGTGGTATATCCAGAGAGTGGAATATTTTTCATTGTTAAAAAGAAATGAGCAGGCCAGGCACAGTGGCTCATGCCTGTAATCCCAGCACTTTGGGAGTTCGAGGTGGGTGGATTGCCTAAGGTCAGGAGTTCGAGACCAGCCTGACCAACATGGTGAAATCCCGTCTCTACTAAAAATAAAAAAACTAGCCGGGCGTGGTGGTGGGTGCCTCTAATCGCAGCTACTCAGGAGGCTGAGGCAGGAGAATCACTTGAACCCGGGAGGCGGAGGCTGCAGTGAGCAGAGATCACGCCATTGCACTCCAGCCTGGGCAATAAGAGTGAAACTCCAGCTCAAAAAAAAAAAGAAAGAAAGAAATGAGCTATCAATGATGAAAAGACATGAAGGAACATTAGATGCATGTTATTAAGGAAGCCAGTCTGAAAAGGCTATATAATGCATTATTTCAACTATATGACACTCAGGAAAAAGTAACACTATAAAGATAGTAAAAAGATCAGTGGTTCCAGGGGTTAGGGAAGGAGGAATGAACAGGCAGGGTACAGGATCTTTACAGCAGTTAAACTATTCTAAATAATGGTGGAGGCATTTCATTATGAATTTGTCAAAACCTATAAAATGTATAACGCAAAGAGTGAACCCTAGCATAAACTATGAACTTTAGGTCATAATATTTTGTCAATGTAAGTTCATTGATTATTAACAAATCTACCACTCAGGTGTGGGATGTTGACAGTGGGAGAGGTTGTGCATGTGTGGGGGTAGGTGGTATAAGGGAACTCTCTGTACTTTCCCCTCAATTTGCTAAGAACCTAAAACTGGTGTAAAAAACTGAAGTCTATTTTTTTTTTTTTAAAAAAAAGTGTACACGAGCAAACAGTTTGTAAACGTCATTTGCTTAAAAATTGCATAAAATATGTCAATAATTAACAGTCAGTTGACTCTAAATGAAGGCATTATTAAGAAAAACTAGATTATATACCAAAAATAATTCCTAAAACTGAAAAATATAGAGGAAAACACCTTTATGCTCTTGTGTTAGGCAAAGGTTTCTTATATCAACCCCATAGACATCCATCTTTAAAAAGATACACAGACCGGGTGCGGTAGCTTATGCCTGTAATCCCAGCACTTTGGGAGTCCAAGGCAGGTGGATTACCTGAGGTCAGGAGTTTGAGACCGGCTGGCCAACGTGGTGAAACCCCGTCTCTACTAAAAATACAAAAATTAGCTGGGCGTGGTGGCATGCACCTGTAATCCCAGCTACTTGGGAGGCTGAGGCAGGAAAATCGCTTGAACCCCAGGGGCAGTGGTTGCAGTGAGCTGAGATCGTGCCATTGCACTCCAGCCTGGGCGACAAGAGCAAAACTCCATCCCCCCCCCCCCCAAAAAAAAAAAGAGATACACAAAGCTTCAGAATAAAATTTGATATGGTTTGGCTCGTGTCCCCACCCAAATATGTTGAACTGTAATCCCATTAATCCCCATGTGTTGAGTGAGGGACCTGGTGGGAGGTGATTGGATCCTGGGAGCGGTTTCCCCCATGCTGTTTTCATGACAGTGAGTGAGTTATCATGGGATGTGATGGTTTTATAAGTGTCTGACAGTTCCTCTTTCATACCCTGTCTTTCTTGCTTGCCACCATGTAAGACCTGTCTTGCTTCCCCTTCAACTTCCACCATGACTGTAAAGTTTCCTCAAGCCATGTAGAACTGTGAGTCAATTAAACCGCTTTCCTTTATTAATTACCCAGTCGCTGGTAGTATCTTTACAGCAGTGTGAAGATGGACTAATACAAAGCTTTATTTTAAAAAAAAAAAACACATTATTTAAAAACTGAAATGATGAGGTCTAGGCTGGAAGAAAATATTTGCAAAAGACATATCTGTATCCAGAGGAAAATACAATGTATATGTGTGTAAACAACTCAATTCTAAAATAGGAAAAATAATTGAATAAAAATTTTACCAAAGAATAGATATGGGCCAGGCACGGTGACTAATGCCTGTAATCCCAGCACTTTGGGAGGCTGAGGTGGGTGGATCACAAGGTCAAGAGTTCGAGACCAGCCGGGCCAATATGGTGAAACCCCCGTCTCTACTGAAAATACAAAAATTAGCCAGGCGTGGTGGCAGGCACGTGTAGTCCCAGCTACTCGGGAGGCTGAGGCAGGAGAATCACTTGAACTCGGGAGGCAGAGGTTGCAGTGAGCCGAGATGGCACCAGTGCACTCCAGCCTGGGCCACAGAGAGTCTGTCTCAAAAAAAGAAAAAAATAAATAAATATGGATGGCAAATAATCAAAAAGGTGCTAAACACCATTAGTCTTTAAGCAAATGTAACTTAAAACTACAATAAGATATCATATGTGCCTGTTAGAATAACCAGAAAATAATATAATGCTAGTATTTGCAGCTAAAACTCTCATACACTGTTGGGGGAATAAAAAATGGTACAACCACTTTGGAAAACGTTTTGGGACTTTCTTTATAAAGTTAAACATACACTTACAGTATGACCCAGCAGTTCCACTAAAACCTGTATATGAATATTTATAGCATTTTAAATTCATAATTGCCCTGAATTGGAAAATCAAAATATTTTCAACTGTGAGGTGATTAGAAACTGTGGTACATCTGTACAACAGAATACTTAGCAATAAAAAGGAAATATACAATAACATGGATGAATTTCAAAGGAAATTCATTTTTCAATTTTCAAATGAATTGCTAAATGAAAGAAACTAGACTCAAAAGACTACATATAATACCATTTATATGACATACCAGAAAAACTATAGGGACAGAAAGCAGATCAGTGATTTCCAGGGAATGGTGGTGGCAGAAGGAGTTGACTACCAAGGGTCACATGGAATTCTCAGGGTAATAGAACAGTTATTTAATTTTTATGGCAGTTACACAACTCTGCTTTTGTGAAAATGCATAAAATTGTATATGTGGGGAATTTTACTATGTAAATTATATATCAATAAACGTGACTCGTCTAAATAAAAAATTTGTACCAACAAAATAAAGGAGAAAACAATCATCTCAATAGATTCAGAAAAATGCATTTGAAAAACTTGTTAAAAATCATAACAAAAATAAATAAAAATAAAAATAATATCAACACCCATTCGTGATAAGGGCTCTTGACAAACTAGGAATGGAAGAGATTTTCCTCAACTTGATAAAGCATAACTATGAAAAATTTACAGATAGTATCATTATTAATGGTGAGATATGCGCTTTTCCTTTAAAATGTTAATAACAAAGCAAGAATGGCCACTTTCTCCAGTTCTATTCAATATTGTTATGGAGGCCCTAGCAAATATAAGAAGACAAGACAAAAAGATAGTAGATTTACAAAGGAAAAAGAACTGTATGCACAGACAAAGTGATTATGTATGCAAAAATCCCAAAGGAATTTATAAAAAATGTCTAGAACTAGTAAGTGACTCACAGTATCGGATACGAGGTTGTATTAGGGTTCTCTAGAGGGACAGAACTAATAGGATATATATATATGTATAAAATGGAGTTTATTAAGCATTAACTTACACGATCACAAGATCCCACAATAGGCTGTCTGCAAGCTTGAGGAACAAGGAGAGCCAGTCCCAGTCTCAAAACTGTAGAACTGGGAGTCCAATGTTTGAGGGCAGGAAGCATCCTGCATGGGAGAAAGATATAGGCTGAGAAGCTAGGCCAGTCTCAACTTTTTATGTGTTTTTGCCTGCTTTATATTTGCCGGCAGCTGATTAGATGGTGTCCACCCAATTAAGGGTGGGTCTGCCCTTCCCAGCCCACTGACTCAAATGTTAATCTCCTTTGGCAAAACCCTCACAGATACACCCAGGATGAATACTTTGTATCCTTCAATCCAATCAAGTTGACAATATCAACCATCACAAATCCACTCGTTGTCAACTTGAACCCATACACATCTCCTGAGATCATACATAATCTTCAAATAAAGAGTAATAAGGTCATAATTATGCCTAACATGATACAACTATTGTTCGTATAACCAGAAATGCACCAATCCTCAACCCAAATACTATTACATAAAGTTAACAATACTTAAATGCTGATATCAAGTCAATAAATCTTATGAACATGATAAAGGAAATGAAGGTATTTTCTTAGTACAAGTGTAGACATGCACAAACATGTTTTTAACAAAAGAAAGAGAAAATACTCGTGACAATTACAGTCCCCGGTTCTGCAGCTGGTCACGTGGTCATAGCTGGTATTGACTACCTTCTCTATTACCCATTCTGTATTCCCTCTGCCTTTAGCCAGCACCTCAGCAGGTCATGGTTTTTTTCCTGGTGGAGTGACCCAAACCTTCATTCCTGAAGGGTCTGGGCCATTGTAGTTTCCCATTGACCTTAATCACAGGGCATGGTAATACTAAGAGACATCCTAATGGATCTCCCGTATTCCATGCATACTATTCCTTACCTCCGTTGTGGAGTAGTGGACTGCTTTCATCTTGATAGTCTGGGTCAATCACCCCAGCCAACACTAACTCCTTAGCCTGTTGACTTAAAGGTAGGAGGAGCCCAAAGTGTCCAGGTGGCAATCTTAACCTCCAGTTTAATGGGATTGTTGTCATGTCTTCTGGTGGCAATATCCCTCCCTCTGGAACTAAGACCTCTAGGCCAGAAGAACGTAATGTCGCGGGAACAGGAAGCAAAAATTTTGCTAGTGGATCACTAGGGGTGATGATGAGTGGTGCCACTTCCGCTTTCACCCCTTGATTCCTGGACCTGTGAATCCTGGCTATGGGAGAGACAGTACCATATATTGGATGCTGATTCAGAGTATATACGGCCTTCTGGAGAACTTTGTCCTGGCCCTGAAAAGTATTGTCACATAGTTGGCATTGTAATTGTGACTTCAAAAGACTATTCCACTGTTCTATCATTCCAGCTGCTTCAGGATGATGGGGATCATGGTAAGACCAGTGAATTCCATGAGCATGAGCCCACTGCCGCACTTCTTTAGCCGTAAAGTGAGTGCCTTGGTCAGAGACAATGCTGTGTGGAGTACCATGGCGGCGAATAAGGCATTCCATGAGTCCGTGGATAGTAGTCTTGGCAGAAGTATTGCATGCAGGGTAGGCAAACCCATATCCAGAATAAGTGTCTATTCCAGTGGGGACAAACTTCTGCCCTTTTCATAATGGACGAGGTCCAATATAATCAACCTGCCACCAGGTAGCTGGCTGATCACCCTGAGAAGTGCTGCCATATCAAGGGCTCAGTGTTGGTCTCTGCTGCTGGCAAACTGGTCACTCAGCAGTGGCCATAGCCAGGTCAGCCTTAATGAGTGGAAGTTCATGTTGCTGAGCCCATGCTTAACCTCCATCCCTGCCACCATGGCCACTTTGTTCATGGGCCCATTGGGCAATAACAGGGGTGGCTGAGGAAAAGAGGCTGAGTGGTGTCCACAGAACAGGTCATCCTATCCACTTGATTATTAAAATCCTCCTCTGCTGAGGTCACACATACATGGGATACAAATATCTTCAGTTTTTGACCACTCAGGGAGATCCATCCACATACCTCTTCCCCAAATTTCTTTGTCACCAATTCTCCAATCATGCTTCTTCTAAGTCCCTGACCATCCAGCCAAACCACTGGCTACAGCCCATGAATGAGTATATGATCGCACATCTGGCCATTTCTCCTTCCATGCGAAATGCACAACCAGGTGCACTGCTCAAAGTTCTGCCCACTGGGAAGATTTCCCTTCACCGCTATCCTTCAGGGATGTCCTAGAAAGGGGCTGTAGTGCTACAGCTGTCCACTTTTGGGTGGTGCCTGCATATCATGCAGAACCATCGGTGAACCAGGCCCTAGCCTTCTCTTCCTGTCAACTGATCATAGGGAACCCTCCATGAGGCCATCGGTGCAGGCTGAGGGAGAGAAGGCAGGGTGGCAGGAGTGGAGACCGTGTGTATTTGAGCCACTTCCTCATGTAACTTACTTGTGCCTCAGGACCTACTTGAGCCTGATCACGTATATACCACTTCCATTTGATGATGGAATGCTGCTGTGCGCAACCCACTTTATGGCTAGATGAGCCAGAAATTACCCAGTTCATGATAGGAAGTTCAGGTCGCATGGTGACTTGATGACCCGTAGTCAAACGTTCAGTTTCCACCAAAGCCCAGTAACAGGCCAAGAGTTGTCTCTCAAAAGGAGAGTAGTTATCTGGAGAAGATGGCAGGGCCTTGCTCCAAAATCCTAGAAGTCTCTGCTGTGATTCACCTATGGGGGCCTTCCAAAGGCTCCAAACAGCATCCCTCTCTGCCACTGACGCCTCAAGCACCATTGGATCTGCTGGGTCATATGGCCTAAGTGGCAGAGCAGCTTGCACAACTGCCTGGACCCCACATGGGCCAGAATAACACACCCATATGAGGAATGTGTTGCCTCCAAAATCCAAATAGGTCCATTAGGTGTTGTGCCTTTCTTGATTGTAGGATGGACCAAATGCAGCAATTTATCCTTCACCTTAGAAGGAATATCTTGACAGGCTCCACACCACTGGACCCCTAGAAATTTTACTGAGGTAGAAGGTCCCTGAATTTTAGTCAGATTCATATCCCATCCTCTGGCACACAAATGTGTTACCAATAAGTCCACTGTGTTTGCTACTGCTTGCCCACTGGATCCAATCAGCATAATGTCATCAATGTGATGGACCAGTGTGATATATTCTGGAAGCGAAAAGCGATCAAGGTCTCTCCGAATAAGATTATGGCACAAACCTGGAGAGTTGATATACCCTTGAGGTAGCACAGTAAAGGTATATTGCTGGCCTTGCCAGCTGAAGGTAAATTGTTTCTGGTGGGCCTTATGGACGAAATGGAGAAA
This sequence comes from Homo sapiens, assembly GCF_000001405.40. Taxonomy (NCBI): domain Eukaryota; kingdom Metazoa; phylum Chordata; class Mammalia; order Primates; family Hominidae; genus Homo; species Homo sapiens. The sequence continues at coordinate 46,779,346 of NC_000018.10, read as the reverse complement.
AAGGCATTTGCCTGGTAAATGGCTGCATACCAGGTACCAGGAGATGTGTTAATTTGCTCAAGCAATGAAACCACATCTGGTACAGCAGCTGCAACTGGAGTCACCACTTGGTTAAGCTTACGATAATCCACTGTCATTCTTCAAGATCCATCTGTCTTCTGCACAGGCCAAATGGGAGAGTTGAATGGGGATGTGCGTCCTGAGAGGTGCGTCCTGAGTACAGTCAACATTATTTTGCCTAGCAACTGCCTCAGGGGAGGCCATCACTGTTGCCTCAGGCAGTGCAGAGTTTTTCTTCTCAGACAAAGGTAGAAAGGCTGATGGCAGCATGGGTCTGGGAGGGGATGTTGCCACTACTGGGGGTGGGGAAGCTGTTCCTTCTGGTAACAAAGGTTCATCAGAGGTTACAAACTCAGTGTCCCCAGCTTCATCAGGGTCCTCCCACATGTCCCCATTCCAAGTTGCAGGGTCCCATTCTTTTCCAGTCAATGCCCTCACTTTAACAGTAGATGGCTGGGCGTGGTGGCTCACGCTTGTAATCCCAACACTTTAGGGGGCCAAGGTGGGCAGATCATGAGGTCAGGAGTTCAAGAACAGCCTGGCCAACATGGTGAAACCCCATCTCTACTAAAAATACAAAAATTAGCTGGGCATGGTGGTGCACATCTGTAATCCCAGCTACTTGGGAGGCTGAGGTAGGAGAATCACTTGAACCCAGGAGACAGAGATTGCAGTGAGCCGAGATCATGCCACTGAACTCCAGCCTGGGCAACAAAGCAAGACTCTGTCTGAAAACAAAAACAAAAACAAAAACCGGTAGAAACAGTAGACACCTGGCGAGGCTGTTCATGCACTTTTTATTGCAGGTCAGCCACTAGCATGATAAGAGCTTGTGTCTGTTTTTCCACAATTTCAGCTCTTTCTCTACAGGAGATAAGATTCTCACTCAGGGTAGTCTTAGCAGATTTGAGGCTCAGTATCTGCTTCTGAAGCCAAGAGACAGAATCCCTGAGTTAATCATTTTATTTCATCACTTTGTCCAGTGAACTTAGGAGCAACCAACCAGCTTCATTACGTTCCTTGGTTCTCCACACATGGTCAAAGGTATTATGTATAGAGTCACTAAACTCCTTGCCTCTCATGAGTGGTGACTCAGAAGTGTCAAATGCATTTATTTTGCATAACTTTCTTAAACAGTTTATGCTAAGGACTATCAGTGTTCTCCATACTATTAGAAGTAGAGTCCTTAGTATTTTTGAGTCGAATCATATTAAGCTGCCAACTCCAGAAAACCCCAAAACCAACAAAAGAACTCCATCCTTAATATTTTGTTCCTCTAGAACCACTCCTGGTTTCAAAATCTATATTAGTCAGGGTTCTCCAGAGGGACAGAACTAATATGATAGAACTAATAGGATAGCCTTTATATGTGTATAAAGGGGAGTTTATTAAGTATTAACTTACATGATCACAAGATCCTACAACAGGCTGTCTGCAAGCTTGAGGAACAAGGAGAACCAGTCCCAGTCTCAAAACCGTAGAACTTGGAGTCCAATGTTTGAGGGCAGGAAGCGTCCCGCACAGGAGAAAGATATAGGCTGGTGGGCTAGGCCAGTCTCAACTTCTCACATTTTTCCGCCTGCTTTATAGTTGCTGGCAGCTGATTAGATGGTGCCACCCAATTAAGGGTGGGTCTGCCTTTCCCAGCCCACTGACTCTAATGTTAATCTCCTTTAGCAAAACCCTCACAGACACACCCAGGATCAATACTTTGTATCTTTCAATCCAATCAAGTTGACACTCATTATTAACCATCACAGAGGTAAATGTTTAAAAATTATTTCTATTTCTATATGCTAGCGACAAAAATTTGGAAAATGAGATTTAAAAGATGCCAGGCCAGATGTGGCTCATGTCTATAATGCCAGCACTTTGGGGGTCTGAGACAGGAGAATTGCTTGAGGCCAGTGGTTTGACACTAGCCTGGGCAACATAGCAAGACCCATCTTTACAAAAAAAAAAAAAAATAGCCAGATGTGGTGGCACTCTTCTGTCGTTCTAGCTACTCAGGAAGCTGAGGCTTGAGGATCACTTGAGCCCAGAAGTTTGAGGTTGCAGTGAGCTATTATTGTGCCAGTGCACTCCAGCCTGGGTGGCAGAGGGAGACCCTGTCTATAAAATAAAAATAAAAATTAAATAATGAATAAATATTAAAAATGTCATTTTTATGCAGCAACTCCTCAGTAGCAGTGAGCACACCTAGTTGCCAGATCTTGGTTTCTAAAGCCATTCTCAAACAAAAGGAACCAAGGCTCCTTGGAGATATGGCTGATTCTAAGACTGGGGCATAACATAGATGAGCCTGAGCATCTTGTAGTGTCAGAATGTTAGGGAGTGATAAAGAAACAAACAAAAGGAAAAATCACCGATGGAGGTATGTCAGAGGGACACAGAAGCCTACTGAAAAATGCCCTAAAGACCAAAGTTGGGACAATTTGTGCAACAAAATAGTATTAGACTATAACCCAGATTTACAGTAAATATCCAGTGTCCACACTGATATAAACAAATGATATTCAATCATTTGTTTATTTATTCAAAATAAATTCGTGGATGATCAGAGAAAATTATATGCAGAAGAATTCCAAATAATTTATGTAGATACACTACCCTAAAAGAAATGGAGCATAACTCTCTACCACTTAAGTGTGGCTATGCACAGTGACTTCTTTCCAATGAGTATAGTGTGGACAGGGGAAACAAAGTAACTTTACAGTGGAAAACATGACAAACACTGCCTCAGCCAGATGATCAAGGTCAAAATCAACAGTGATAAGTCATGTTGATAGTATGTCCCTGTCTTAGTCTTTTTAAAATTTTATTTTATTTTTATTTTTTTGAGATGGAGTTTCACTCTTGTTGCCCAGGCTGGAGTGCAATGGCGTGGTCTCAGCTCACTGCAACCTCTGCCTCCTGGGTTCAAGCAATTCTTCTGCCCCAGCCTCCCAAGTAGCTGGGATTACAGGTGCCCACCACCACGCTTGGCTAATTTTTTTGTATTTTTAATAGAGACGGGGTTTCACCATGTTGGCCAGGCTGGCCTTGAACTCCTGACCTCAGGTGATCTGCCCACCTCGGCCTCCCAAATGCTGGGATTACAGATGTGAGCCATGGTTCCCGGCCCCTGTCTTAGTCTTTTTTGTGCTATAACAGAATACCACAGACGGGGTAATTTATAAAGAAAAGAAATTTATTCTTCACAGTGCTAGAGACTGGAAAATCCAAGAGTATGGTGCTAGCATGTGGCAAAAGCCTTGTGCTGCATTATCCCATGATGGAAGAACAAGAGACAGATAGAGGAAACCTGGCCAAACTCATCCTTTTTTTGAGGAACCTACTCCTGTGATAATGACATTAATCCATTCATTAGGGCAGAGGTGTTATAACCTAATCACCTCTTGAAGGCGCCACTGCCTGATATCATTACATTGGCAATTAAATTTCAACATGAGTTTTGGAGGTGACATTCAAATCATAGCAGTACCATTGATAAGATATGATGAAAATGGCAGTTTATTTCTGTGGTCTTCCTGCCAAAAACCCATAACCCCACTCTTATCATGAGAAAAACCCACAGTTCCCAATTGAGGGACATTCTACACAATACCTGACCAGTACTCTTACTCCTCTCACCTGCCAATATCATCAGAAACAAGAAAAGTTTGAGAAACTGTCACAGTCAAGAGGAACCTAAGACGACATGATGACTAAAAATAATGTGACATCCTGGATGGGACCCTAGGACAGAGAAAGGACTGGGTAAAAGCTAAGGAAATCTGAATAAACTCTGGAGTCTGGTGAGTAATAATGTATCAATATTGGTTCATTAATTGTGACAAATGTACCATACATTATAATGTAAGTTGTTGACAATAGAGGAAACTGACTTTGGAGTATGTGGAAACTCTGTTCCTCACAATTTTTCTTTAAAACTATTCTAAAAATAGAGTTTATTTTAAAAATACCAGTTACAGAGCATCAAAAAGCATAAAATACTTAGGAAGAAATATAACAAAAGATGTGGAAGGCCTCTATGCTGAAACTATAAAACACCGCTGGAAGAAGCTCAAGAAGACCTGAATAAACATAGATCTGTGTTCATAGACTGGAAGAGTTGATGTAGTTAAGATATAATATTGTTAAATGAATCCCAGTTTTAATCACATCAGACTTTTTGTAAAAATTGATATGCTAATTCTAAAATTTGTAGGAAATGTCAGAAGGACCTAGAATAAGCAAAACAATTCTCAAAGATTGAGGTTGGATGATTTCAGGATATACTATAAAGCTATAATCGTTAAGACAATATGTTATTGTGTATGGATAATTATATAGATCAATGGAATAGAATATCAAATTGAGAAGTAAACTCATACATATTTTGTAACTTGATTTTCAACAAAAACACCAATGCATTTCAGTAGGGGAAAGGAATCTTTTCAGTAAATGGTACTGGAATAACTGAATGTCCTTAAGAAACAGAAAAGGACCTTGACCTCTACTTCATAGCATACACAAAAATTAATTTGAGATGGATCACAAATTTAAACATGAAAGGTAAGTCTAAAAGTCTTCTTTTAGAAGAAAACAGGCCAGGCATGGTGGCTCGCGCCTGTAATCCTAGCACTTTGGGAGGCCAAGGCGGGCCGATCACGAGGTCAGGAGTTCGAGACCAGCCTGGCCAACATAGCAAAACCCTACTAAAAATACAAAAATTAGTCAGGGGTGGTAGCATGTGCCTGTAATCCCAGCTACTTGGGAGGCTGAGGCAGGAGAATCTCTTGAACCTGGGAGGGGGAGGTTGCCATGAGCGGAGACCACGCCATTGCACTCCAGCCTGGGTGACAGAGTGAGACTCCATTTCAAAAAAAAAAAAAAAGAAAAAGAAAACATAGGAAAATATCTTTTCAACTTTGGGGTAGGAAAAGATTTCTTAGGCACAAAAATTCCTAATCATAAAAGAAAATGATAAATTTGGCTCCACCAAAATCAAAACTTTCTGCTCAGTAAAAGACAATGTTAAGAAATGAGAACACAAGCCACATTGTTGGGGGAAATGTTCACAACATATAGAGACAGAGATAGAGAGATCTCCTACAAATCAATAATAAAAGAGAAAAAGCAGCATTATGGCTCTTCACAAAGGAAGGCTCTTCACAGAGGAAGGTAGAAAAATGGATAATAAGCATATGAAAAAAGCTATCCACTTCTCTTCCTCCAACACCTTCTTTAGCCACAGGTATCAGATAAGTGTGGGGGGAGGGTGAAGAGGGGGGAAGGATTGAATTACTTAGTGTATTAGTTGGGTTTCTCCAGAAACATGGAACCAATAGGGGGTGTGTGTGTGTGTGTGTGTGTGTGTGTGTGTGTGTGTGTAGACAGAGAGAGAGGGAGGGAGAGATTGATTTGTTTTAGAGAATTGGCTCATATCATTGTGGAGGCTAGCAGCTCCAAAATCTGTAGGGTATGGCTGGCAGACTGGAGCTCCAGGGAAGAGTTGATGTTGCAGTTTAAGTCTGAAGGCACCCTGGAAGCAGAATTCCCTCTTCCTTTGGGGACCTCAGTCTTTTTTTTTTGTCTTAAGACCTTCTACTGATTGGATGAGGCCTACCCACATTTTGAAGGGTAATGTGCTTTACTCAAAATCTACTGCCCTATTTAAATATTAATGTTAACCTCATCTAAAAAATATCTTCACTGAAAGATCTAGACTAGTGTATAACCAAATATTGAGGTACCATGGCCCAGCCAAATTGACATGTAAAATTAATCATTCTACTCAGCAAACATAAACTGAAGCTGCCTTCCCTGGGTGTGTCCATTGATGAGACAGCAGGGAAGGAGGGAAAGGTTCCTGCTTCTGCTGTGTTACAATCTCGTCAGGTGTAGCAGATTGCACACCAAGGAGGCAGTGATCCTGCCCTGCAAGAAGGCATAAGGAGTGAAGTGAGAGAAGGCTTTCTGGGAGAGGTGACAACTGAACTGAGTCTTGAAGGCTTGTTGATGTATCCTGATCTCCTAGAACAGTGCTTGACACATAGGAGGTGCTCAATAAATATTTGTGAATGAAGTCAGAAGCTATAATAAGAGAGGTAAATTGAGATGGTGGCTGAAAAGTTGGATGCAATGGAAAGAAAGCAACAAATAGATTTTAAATGGAACATGAGATCAGCATTGAGGAGTGGTCCAGGGGCAAGGGGGATAACAAATGGCAGGAGGTTAACCCAGGAGGCTGGAAGAACAGTCCAGAGTCTACTACATTAGACCAGACATGTTCATAAATAGGCAGCTAACTAAGGCATTGGCGAGCCTAAATGGTGAGAGATAGAAAGGAGGGAGATCTAGGAGGTGGGACCGAATGTGGGAGAGGCTCCAGGCATGGACCCAGCACTGGAAGGGCCTTCTTATACCCTTATTTTTACAGATGAGTCTGAGACCCAGAGAGGGAAAGCAACTTGTTCATGGCCACACAGCATGCTGACAGTGTAAACTGAACCAAAAATCCAGGTCCTGTCTCTGGTCACATGTTCTTTTCATGCCATATGGCCTGTGCTCTCTCTTGCTCTCCTAGCCAAGCTTGTCCTCGGAGTTACCAGTGTCATCCCAGTAGGGTCCTGGGGCCTCCTCACACAGCGCCACCTCTGACTACTGTTAAGAGTCTTGAGAGTCAGTAGGACGGTGATGAAGCCTCACCTGAAGCTTCTTCTGGGCTCAGTCCTTGTCCTGGAGCCGCTGCCTGCTATGCATGGCTGTGAGGCTGACCCCAAGTGGTGGTGGTTATTTTAAGTAATTCACGTTGGAGGGAGGAAGTGACTGAGGAAAATGTGAAAATGAGTAGCTATTGCAAGATGTGTGTGATAAATGAAACAGGGAACATAAAGACAGATGAAGAGGCACATCTGTTATTTTTGCTCCTTTTTATAGCAACCTCTAAGTTTGACTTTTCACACTAAGTAGGAACCCTTTAGTTCCTGAGCAATTTCCTGACCCAGTCCCTCATTAGCTCAGTGGGAGCAGAGGAGGATGGAGGGGGCCAGGGCCCTGAGAGCCAATGTGAGTCCCTAGAAAAGAGTCCCCCACCCCAGTCCTCCAGGTTCCCCAAGTGTGGCAGGAATTGGAGGCTTTGTGCAGACGAGGTTTGGTGGGCTGAGAATCCCAGCTCTTCTCTGGCTTCTGCTTCTCCTCCCTTTACTGAAGGATGGTGTGGCTGACCTCAGTCAGTCCCTAAACCCAAGACATCCGTACTCAGGCTGTTCCTAGCAAAGCAGCCTGGTTGCAAAGGAGATGCTTTCTGTAAGAATATGGACACTTTCTTTTTAACATGGGACAATACTGGCATTCTCTCCTGAGTCATTTTTCCTCTTTTTGGAGGTGGACAGTATGCCCGGTGCTCATGTGCTAGTAGGGCCTGAGCATGGGGACTGGCTGAAGTCACAGAGGAGCAGGGGTGATGGTGTCACATGATTCTGGGCTTTTTTCAGGGGGAACTGTTCTGCATTTGGAGGTCCATCTGCTGCTGTGAAGGTTTGAGGGCTGCTAGGGGCAGGGGACCACTGTCCCTGAAATAACCCCAAGTTAGTCTGCTTGGGCCCTTTGATTCCCCGAGGTGCCTCCTTTGGAGTGGAGCACCGAAGGCTCTGGTTAAAAGCAGATTATCGTGGGAGAGTGTATAGATTAAGCTGTTTAGTTATTCACACCTCAGCTCTCATCAGTTTGTTTCTGTTGATTGTATGTTCAGCTCTGTGCTAAGTCTCACCGTGTGGTTCAGGGGGAAGAGAAGGCCCACTCTTGCCAGGGAGGAAGTCACCCCCTGGGTGGAGCTGGAGCAGCTTCAGAGGAATGAAAGGGATGTCTGAAGGCTGATGAGAGGGAGGATGGAGGCAAGACTGCCTGCCAAGAGCAAGGGGTGGGAAGAGCGATTCAGGAAAGTGATTGAATACTTGGAATAATTGCCATGTGGCATGCAAAAGAGAGGAAAATGGCTTTTTCTAGGAGTGTGGGGGGCTTGGTTGGGCTGGAAGCCAGGAGTCTGCAGAGCTGCCTGTCAGCTCAATTATGTTATTTTCTCCAGTAGTGGGGACAGCTTGGAAGCAGAAGTGGATGACGAAGTCATCACTGACTGTGGATTGGCCAGGAAGCAGGTACAGCAGTAGAACCAACCTTCCCCTTTTCTCCTTTTATTTGGGACAGCAAGTAAGCAGCAACTAGGTGTGGCTATGGAACTGAGTTCTTGCCAAGGATATATGAGAGGAAGGCACGGGATGGAAAGGCTCCTGAAAAGAAGGATAGACTGTGGGGGCACTCCATTTTGTTCTTCCTTCTTCTTGCTTCCTCCTCCTGCTGTCTGGAATGTGGACATCATGGCAGGAGCTCAAGCAGCCATCTTGGACTACAAGACAGTGTTCTAAGAATGGGCAAACAGCGAGAGAGGAGGAGCAAGGGTTCCTCAGGCACATAGAGTCTCTATGTTATCTCTGGGCTAACCACCTCTGGATTTCTTTAATTTGAGAGAGAAATAAACACTCATGATTTTAAGAACTGTTATTTTGGGTTTTCTGTCATATGTCATGAACCTAATCCTTTTTTTTTTTTTTGAGACGGAGTCTGGCTCTGTCGCCCAGGCTGGAGTGCAGTGGCATGATGTCGCCTCACTGCAAGCTCCGCCTCCCGGGTTCACGCCATTTTCCTGCCTCAGCCTCCCGAATAGCTGGGACTACAGGCGCCTGCCACCGCGCCCAGCTAATTTTTTTGTATTTTTAGTAGAGACAGGGTTTCACTGTGTTGGCCAGGATGGTCTTGATATCCTGACCTCGTGATCCGCCCGCCTTGGCCTCCCAAAGTGCTGGGATTACAGGCGTGAGCCACCGCACCCGGCTGAACCTAATCCTAATAGAAACAGACCACATGTGAGGGAACCATGGGTATTATAAGAAAGTAAGTTGAGTGATTGACCGTGGGGTCTTAGCAAAGGAGAAAGGATGAGAAACCAGGAGATGGCAAGAATACTGGAGAATGGGGACCCAGCCCTTGGGCTACTAATACAGCACAGTAGCTAGTGGGGGTAGAAGGTCTTGAAAAGTGGAGAACAGGAAGTTGTGGTTAGAAAGTGGAATATCTGATTTTATGATTTCAGACTTGTTTGACTAGATGGGGTCATAGTAAGTGCTAATATTTCCCAAATACTTCCTATGCAGCCAGCTCCCTTTGAAGTAATTGGCAGGCCTAATCTCACTCCTGGTATAACTGTGAAGGTAGTTGTTTCTTTTTTATTGGCCTATCTCATAAATAGGGAAACTGAGGCTCACAGAGGTCAAGAAACCTATCTGAGGGGACAAAACTGGCAATGGTCTGGGTTGGCATTGGAACCCCAGCAGTGTGATTCCAGAGCCCGAGCTCTTAACACACCAGCTCCTCTGCCCTGTACCTCCCTGGGGACTGCCCAGTGGACGGGAAAGCGGGCAGCAAGCAAGGTCAGAGGAGGTGGAGGCCTGCGAGGCTGGCTGCTGGCCACAGCTCTGGATAGATGTCCAAATCCCTAGAATGGGGGCAGGAGGTGAGGTGGAGGGAAAGACGGGCAAGTTGTACCAGACATTGAGGATACAGGCCAGGGCAAGGAATGGCATGGTGCAGCTGGGCGACCAGAGCCTTGACAGGGAGTGAAAGAGCAGAGATCTGGTCCCCAGGAGTGCACCGACCCTGCCTCTGGCCCTGGGGTTCTGAGGGCTTGGAAGAGTCGGCAGGAGTCTAGGGAACCAGCACCCTGCACTGATGATTTTGATGGAAGCAAAAGAAGGGTGGGCTCTGGGAGCAGACAGCCTGGGTTCGGGTCCCATTTCCACATCCTCCTGGCTGTGTCACCTTGGACAGTTACTTAACCTTTTGTGCCTCAGTTTCCTCATGTGTATGGGCATCATAATAGTTCCTACCTCATAAGATCATGAAGACCAAATGCACTAACACCAGGGAGGCACTTACAACAGTGCCTAGCACCCAACAAGAACCCAGTGATGCTGTTGTTGTAGCTGTTGTTGCTTTTCAGAGCTTTGGAGAACCTGAGGAGCAGGGACAGGGTGGAACATGGTGAGGACAGACAATGAGGGGAGGCTCAGAGTGGACCAGGAGAGACCACAGGCTGTGCCTCTCTTCCCGTAGCCAAAGTCCCTGTCAAGGAAGGCTCTGACTTCTGTACGTTACTCTGGACAGGCCCTTGGCCTCCTCTCCTAGGATTATTTGCATGGTAGTCTTGTGTTTCCAATGTAAGGAAAGGCTCGGTCCCTTCTAAATAAATGTCTGAACATCTTGGGAAAGGTGAGGAGTTTTCCTCTGAACCTCCAAACTCCACATGCCCACATATTACCCAGCACCTGCACTAGGGTCACTGTCCTGTAGTACTTGTTGGTTGATGGCATGGACTGCCTCAGCTTTGCCTTTGTGGCCAGGATGGGGCCTGCTCTCCTTGTCCTGCCAGGTGTCCCATCACTGGCCCCAGGCCCTGGGTGCAGACGCTGCCTTTGGCACTAACTGCTACACATTCTGTCTGGCCCTGGAGGGTCCCACACACTTTGTGTGGCCAGCTATTTACTCATTCACGCCTGTAGCTATTATTAGGCACCACGGGAACCCAGTCCTACTGAGGGGGTTTATTTTTATTAGCAAGTGTCATAAAGTTGGCATTCGTGTGTCTGTTTAGGAAACATTCTGGGAAGGCTGAAATAAATATTGGTGAGGGCAACAGTGAATCTTTTAGAGAGCCAGGCACCCCTGGGCCAAACAGTCGTCTAAACAGCCACAGGACCATGGCAGGTCTGGGGCCGGAGGGCACAGCTCCGGGTCCTGTGCTGCTGTGGCCTCAGAGCCTAGGGTCCAGGCTTCACTCTGCCCTTGCCCCACTGTGTGATGCTGGGCAAGTCATTTCACCTCTGCAGGCATCATTGTGGCAATCTGTGAAATGGAAACAATGAACATCCCTCGGGAGCTTTCAGAGACCCAAGCAAAAGCATAGAAATGAAAATGCAGTGGGTGTATTTGAGCCCCATGCTGAGCAGCAGGCACTCGGTAGCCACTCTGGGAAGTACCCAATCAGCACCTGTGACCCCAGGATAGTGCCTGGGGAGCTGAGAGGGATTAGGTCTCTTGCTTGGATTCACAAAGCTAGTGAGTAGGTGGGCTGAGATCTAGATCTTGGAGAGCTGGCTCCAGAGCACATGCTATTTCCACTGTGCCAAAAGGCAAACCAGCCTCAAAAAAGCCCCCCACTGCCCGGGGTATCGGGGAGGCCTGGGAAGTGAGGTGGCCAGAAGAGAAGAGGGGGCTAAGACAGACTTGAGGAGAAAAGCAGAGAAAAGGAAAACATTCCGGATGGGCACATGAGGCTGGGAGGAGCACAGGGTGGGTTCTGGGGTGTGATGGTTTCTCTCTTTTTTTCTTAGTGGTAATGACATGGGTGTCTTCACTCTGTGATAATTTATGGAGAGCTGTATGTTATGATTTGAGCACTTTTCTGTACATATGTTACACCTTTTTGAAAAGGTTAAAAAGATGGTGATTTTGTAGCATGCAGTTTTGAATCCTAATGTATTTTTAAAGTTCATACTCAATTACTTATACAGCTCTCCTCTGCATCCATTCAAATGACATTAAAAATTATGTTTAAGAATCTGAAAATATCCAGGTAAAATTCCCAAGAGTCTGGGTCAACATACAGATTTCAGAACTGAAATTCTGGGAATTTCTGACCTTTCCTTGTGGCTGGCAAGCCCCTGACATGGAACCCACCACTGTTCATAGGTCCTCCTTCCTTTCCTTCTGCCCAGCAAGATGACTGTCTTCTTCAGCCTCCCTGCATCCAGGTTCACCATGTGACTCATGTTAGCCAATGAGATGTGAGCAGAAGAGTTCTGTGAGACTTTGGGGAATGTCCTTCTTTATCTCTTCCTCCATCTTGTTAACTAGACTGAAACAGGCATTAAAAGAAATTTAAAAATGTGTAAGCAAAAACTCAGTTGTATGTAAAAAACCTCATTCCCCCTGAGGAAGAGAAAGAGGTGGAGTCCTTTAAAAATTAACTGCCTGTTTTTCTGTCTATGGCTAGTGAGCCTTATCTCTCCCTTTCTAGGCATTGTGAAGACCCTGTTTCTCTAGCTGTGCAGCTGCAAGGTCACTAGGCAGATAAACTCAAGTCATACATGTTTTTCCTTGAAAAGTAAGAAATAATATAATGCATGTCTCAATTGAATAACTGTCTTTGTTTCTCACTTCTGTAACATACTTCCCCCTGCACAGATCTCCCCCAACCCCAAGAAATGCTTAAAAGGTAACCTGACTCTTTGTTCCGGGCTCAGTCCTTTAGATGTTAATCTGACTGGGCCGGTGCACCTAAATAATAAATAATAAGTATCCTCCTCAACCCCTCAGTCTCTCTGATTCCTAAATTATCCCACTGAAGGACCTTGGATGTGATGGCTAGAGCTTTAGTGTCCACCCTGGAACATGAGCACAGGGATACATCTTTGGGATATTAGAGTAGTGAGTTAAAAAGGCCTGGATTGTCAAAGACTTTTTAAATGGAGCCTCTCTGCCAGCCTTGGATTGCTTACCCCTGAACATCTGTCACATGGTAAAGAAAAAACAACAACACATATGTATCTTTATATTAACTCTTGTCATTTTGGAGATTTCTGTCCTTCAAAGCTGAACCTGATTCTAGCTCATGCACGCCCCATGAAAGACATAAAAGCCTTTCCTTGACCTCCTTGGGCCACATGGTCAACCAAGGATCTGATAGGAACCTACTCATTGATGTGCCCAGTATTGGGAAACCAGGAGGTCATTCACCATCCTGAAAATGCCATTCACCACCTCAAGCAATTAAGCCCTATATGATCAGTGGATAACCCAAGTGGTATGATTTTAGGAAACCCAGGGAGTCTCCCAACTACCTCTTTGACATACATGGTACCCGAAATTCCATCTTTATATATTAACTAATAAGATTATACAGCTATGAGGATTCCTACTCAAATACAGGTGATTCTAGGTAGAGGTACTATATCATCGCATCTCACATTAGCATGAAGCCATTTCTCTTAGAATGAGAGACTAAGTTAGAACATTTTCAAGATGAATGAGAACTTGGGGGACCATTTGGCCCAGTTGTTTTCAAACTTTGCTGTAGCAAGCCCTTGCATTCTGTGACGGTGCCCTCAGAGCTACCATTTATGAGAAGGGGAATGAGGGCAAGAGGAAGGTCACAGAGTCAGGGTTTGAGGCCAGCATTTTAGTGTTAGAAAGTTTTAGAAACTGTAGCTCTTTTTTATTTTATAGGCTGAAAATCCAAGGTTGCCGATAGGTTAATGAAGCCTGAATTCAGACAGCCAGTTAGTGGCAGAGCCAGACCTAGGATTCAGGTTTCTGACTCTTGGGCTTGTGCCCTTTCCACAATCCCAGGCTTCCTTAGTATTAGTTTCAGACCTGCATTAAGGAGATGAGATAGTGAGACTCCGAACAGGTGAGTCTTGGTGAGCAGAGAGTGTAGGGGGCAGATCCTGGTCTGGGCTTCAGTGGGGACAGTCATGGTCAGCAGACAGTCCTGGGTACTTGGACTAGTCAAGTGTTGAGGCGAGGAAAAGGAGACCACCGAAGATACCTGACCAAATTCACAAATTTGTTGAGACTCAGCATTTATGAAATTTCCTCCCCTATCTAATGTCATAGTAAATAATGCTGTTTACCTTAGGACTGTATAGCTTCACTGTTTTCAAAATGCCCCTACATTTTTACTTTGACCCTCACAAACTCCTACTTTGAGGGATAGGTATTATTTTTCCAGTTTACAGGTGAGAAGACCAGTGCATTAGGGATGTTAAGTGCCTTTCCTGAGCTCACAGAGTTGTGACATAAAGCATGTCTCCTCCTGACACCCCATTCTGAGCTCTTTCTCCCATCCTACAGCACCTCTCACATTCTAGGACATTGCCAGCCACTTTCTTCAGCCTTCTCACCTCCTTGCAGGTGAACACCAAGGTATTTAGGCAACAAACATAATCTGTTTTCACACTTGTAAGTTGGCTGACCTGTTGCCTGGCTTCTTGCTTTTCCTATGGGCTTCATGATTGTAGTCATAGGTGCTAGCACCAGTAAAGAGAGAGAGAGAGAGAAAGAGAGAGAGAAGAGAGAGAGAGAGTTGGGGGGATGGGCAGGAGACTGCCACAATTCTACATATGGTTCTGAAACAACATTTCTGGGAAGTTGGAGGAGGACATCTCACCATCCTCTTGTTTTTCTGCCATCAACACTACTCTTAATCACAGCAACCGTGTTCCATTGAAAGGAAGAAAGGGGAAAATAAGTAGAAGAAAGTGCCACTCTGGATCATAGAGGACATGCGGGTTGACTCCAACATCCATTGCCTCTCCATCCAGGTAGCAGCAATGTGGTTCTGGACTTGATCCCAGCTCCTGGGGATGGCTCTTAGCCAACTAAGCCAACTATGAGCTATCATACCCTTGTCAGTGATTGGTTCAGGAACCCAGGCATAAGCCAATCACTACATGGATCCCTCTGGTGATTATTATTGGTCTCAGGCTGGAGGAGAATCTTCCCTCCCCTCCCCTCCCCTCTCCTCTCCTCTCTCCACTCTCCTGCTATTGTCCCAGTTACAGCTGGCCTCTATCCCTGACCATGAGGACAGCTCCTCTTAGGCAGAAGCCTATATTGTAGATGGTAGAGCAAAGGATGGAAAGGAGCTGGAGTCATAGGACACTGATCAGCCAATTGTGGAGCCCACCCCTCCTCTAGATTTCCTGATATGTGAGATAATGAATTTCTCTATGGTTCCTGTTACTTTCGTGAAAAGACCTTAACTGACACACTGACTTTTAGGACACAAGAATTTATTGTCTTCATAAGTGGAGGTGAAATCTCACCAAGCAACCCATATATTTGTTTAGTTGTCCATGGTGACCTGGGACGTGTATTTATGAGACCGCTGGTCAAAGTTAGAGGAGAGTGTATGCATAGAAAGGTCATCCTGTGATCTCCAGGTTCACTTCAAGGATAAATAAAACTGTGCTAACATGTTGATGGTGGATAATAGATTAACATGTTATTATTTATTAGGCCTTTGTAAATATGATGTCTAAACATGGAATGCCTTTTATGGTGACTCTTCAGGGAAATGAGGTGGGACTTCTTGCATGGGATCTGCATATCACAAAGTGTGGAGCAGGAGTTAGCAATCCTGTGGAGCAACTCTGGCCATTCACATTCGTTCTCCATTGTCTATGTTTTCACACTACAGTGGCAGAGTTGGGAGTTGCAACAGAACCTGTCTGGGCCACAAAGTTTATGATATTTATCATCTGGCTCTTTCAGAAAAAGTTGGCTAGTATCTGGCATTCACCACAGTCTACTTGGCCTATAAGTAATGGCAATCCAGGCAAACTCATAGCACAGCAAGACTAGGCTGTTATATTGGTAACTACACTTGCGGACAATGATCTATTTTCAGGGCGTTCAGGCAGTATACATCAATCTTGTTGTAGCTGTTCTTATTGTAGTTCATATATAAATATTGACATATTAATAGTTAGAGGGCAAGACATTTTCTATAAAACAAATCATATTTCCATTTATTTCTGTTATAAAATCAGATATGTATTCTTTCAGAAAATCATTCTCCGCTAGATTGCATTGAAAATGTTTGAGGATGTGGTTAAGGTGATGGCTACTTATATAATTCTTTACAGTGCTCTGAGTGCAGTTCTAACAGGACAACACCTTCATTGCAGTCAGAGAGGATGCTTCAGGTTAAATTTCTCCCATCAGGAACACTAGTATTTAAGAGAAAGCTATCAAAGCCTTTCCCAAGAGCAGAGGTTCCAAAAGGGAGGGGAAGAGAGTGTTATTATACCAGGAACCTATAGAGCAGAGGGGGCTGCAGAGTAACAAAAGGGTATATGTACCAAAAACAAACTCTGCTAACTGCACAGTTTTGCGGTGGACCAGCCTCAATCAAGCTTAACCTATTTCCATGCATCTCAGGTGAATTGAATGATGAAGCACTTAATATGGTGACAGCTTCTATAAAGCAGTCAGTAATCATGTTTCTCTACTCTTTTCCTGCTACCCTGGAAGGAGGCAGATAATTAATTCTCAAATTGGTACAATAATATGAGCTCATAGTAGGGCTGCCTGCCAATGAGGTATGTGGTGGGAAGGGGAGGCCAAGGGAAGGGGTCTGGTCTGATCAGGGAAAAGAAAGACAAGCCGGCATCTCCGTGCCTTTTCAGTCTTTGAACCCTCAAACTGTGCTCCACTAGCCTGCAGCTTGATTATCTAAAATGCAAATCTGATCATATCATTCCCCTACTTAAAATCTTGCAATGGTTTCATGGATAAAATCCCAATTCTCTGTGCTCTGTCTCGCACTCACCCACCCAGCCTAATCTCTTCAGCCGTGTTGAGCCAACTGTACCCCATCACCCACTGCCAGCCTCCACCTACAGTACCTTGTCCCACCTCTTTACCTGGCTGAACGTCCTCA
Source organism: Homo sapiens (assembly GCF_000001405.40). Taxonomy (NCBI): domain Eukaryota; kingdom Metazoa; phylum Chordata; class Mammalia; order Primates; family Hominidae; genus Homo; species Homo sapiens. Next base: position 46,762,743 of record NC_000018.10, on the reverse strand, counting down.
CGCATCACAATTCAGGTCAAACACTACCTCCTCTGGAAACCTTCCTTGCCATTCTGCCCCCTGCCCACTGACCTCTCTGTCACTCCCAATTTGGGTTAGACAGATCTTAATCCTACTATAGGGCACTGTCTGTCTTCCTCATGGGAATTTAAACTCCTTTCTAGGCACAGACTGTGAATGACTGATTCTCGTTTCCCTAGCATGTCATACAATGTCTAGCACATAGTGTCCATACTAGCCATGTCTACCCAATGCATGGAGCTTTTAGAATTTAGGATGGTGGTTAAATGACACATGCTTTACTGTGGCCATGGTGTTAGGATTTGAAACATCCCTTGGTGCTTCAGAAGTAGATGATCACAGTGGAACACTCATCCCTTTTCTCTTCTCAGGTACCCAAGGAATATTAAACATTTTTAAGCAGCTGTATTTATAGGGCATTCCTCTGAAAGTCTCAGCATTATACAGACCACCAACAAAATGCGTCTAGGGGCTTGCACTGGCTTGGAAATTAAAAAATACATTCTCTTAGCTGAATTCATCAAAGGGCAGAACCTGATCCAAGTGTTTCTACCCTACAGCCCAGCCTTTAAGGTAAGAAAAGGAGATTCTAGGTCCATTATGTCCAGCATGTCATCTGAATGTGATCTGAGTGACCTTATTCCAGTGATGCTGTTTCTGGCAAGTACAGGAACATACTGTAGGAGTGTGACATGCCTGAGGTGCAAGAGAATCTTTCTGTACTATGATGCATCAGGTGGTTTATGGATTACTAATAATAATATCTCTACCCTTTGAAACAAACTGGATAAATTGGAACAAATGCAGGAGAAGAATATCTGGGAGTGATGCTGAGACAGGCAGGAGGATGCTTCTCAGCTTGGAGATATGAAAGCTGAAAGGTGGCTTCATCTCCAGGTTCAAGATTATAAATGATTTTTCATAAATTATATTGGATACAATTTGTACTTCATAAGGGGACTGAACAAGGGGTTTAAATCATTTTTCTGTTATATAATTTATTAAAAACGAGACTGATGAAGTAGAGTCTTGTGTCTGCAGTTGACCATGTAATGGCAAAACCCTGGCTCTCTGATTACAAGGTTATAACTGGGCATTTCTGCTCACCTGACAGCAAGATACCCTCATCACAGACAAAGTGTCCCAGAGCCAGGAATCAGCCTCTTGAAGGCCTGGCTTGTTAACATAAATGTAAAGAGGCACAAAAACAGCATGTACTTATCACATACTCCTCGAACACATGGGTGAAATGTCACTTACATAATCTGACAGGTTGCAGTTGTGCTGTATGATATAAAAACTGGCTTTTTAAAACTGGTAGAAACCTCTAAGTTTTTGAAAAAGTCTTTCCATTTTATATTGGAGACAATGCTCACAGCATGAGTAATGCTCATCAGTTATCAGTAATTTAGCAGATGGTGCCAGTGTTGACATTTGTTCTGGCTTAATTGTGCATGAGTGTGTGTTTTAAACAATGATGCAGCTGTCCCCATTCCTGGCAATTAGAATATAAAAATGGTGTTCACTGAATCTGGCATAGTGATCATTTATCCATGTGTTTACTCTTTTGTTTGCAAGGCCTTCTGAGTGTTTGCTGCAATTCTACAATCAGAATATAAATTTGGCTTAAAATGGAATCTAGCTCCATACTGATAGGAACAAAAGGGACTTCAGACCTCCATGTTTTGAGATCTTAGGTCTCCAGCTTCACTAGAGATGCCTGTGAGGTGTTTGTGTGTGTGTTAAAGATACCTCTGATATGAAGATAGTCAGAATTAAAATGCCATTAGGATTAGAAGAGCAGTGTCAGCAGAGACCACTGGACTATTGCTGATCATGTGCAGAGGATCAAGTGACCAAAATCTATTCTACATAGAGTCTTGCTGCAAAGTTCTAGCTATTCCTAATGCCAGCATCAATCTCATTCACTGCCAATTCATGCAGGAGACCTAACTGTTGAGTACCTCCTCAAGGGAGAGTGGGTGCCTTTGGAGCTGTTGTTGTCCCTCAACTATCTTGGCTCTTGATTGGGTGGGCTTTTTGCTATTAGGTTAGCCAGTTAGTTTTATTGTGGGGACGAATTCCTTATTAGGTCGTGGCAAATCTGGATAAAATACCTATTAAAAATAATTTTCCCTTTGGAAAAACTTTGGCAGTAATTGCTAAAGCTGAACATATGTATACTCTCTGACCTAGCAATTTTACTTCTAGAAATAGATACCCAGCAGATATGCATGCATGTTTTCACCCAAAAAACCATGCACTGGAAGGCTGATGGCAGCAACTACCCAGATGTCCATCAGCTGTAGAATGGATAAGTTGTGCCACAGTCGTTTGATGGCATACTATATAGCAATAAGATTGAACAAACTATAACTGCACACAGAAGTATTAGTTTCATATTGCAGTGAAACATATTACCACAAACTTAGTGGCTTAAAGCAACACACACTTACAAGCTCACAGATGTGTAGGTCTTACATCTGGGCACGGCATAGCTGGGTTCTCGGCTGAGGGTCCCAACAGCTGAAATCAATGTGTAGGCGGCTGGAGCTCAGAATCCTCTTTGAAGTGTATTCAGGTTGTTAGCAGAAGTCGGAGTCTGCTTCATGATTGGAGGACTGAGGTCCTCATTTCCTTGCTGGCTGTCAGCCAGGAGCCAGTCTCAGCTCCTACAGGCTGTCTGCATCCTTTGCCTTGTGGACCTCTTCTGTCTTCGAAGGCAACAGCAAAGAATTTCCCTCATATCAGCCACTCTCGTGATTCAAATCTTTTTCACCAGGAAGAGCCCAGTCCCTTGTAAGGGCTCCATATGGCCATGCCCACTGAGGACAATTTCCTGATATTAAAGCCAACTGATTTAGGCCAATTACATCTGCAAATTCCCTTCACAGCAGCGCCTAGATCAATACCTATGGGAATGTGCATACAAGAAGGGGTGAGGAATCTTGGGGGTCTTCTTGTAATTCTGCCCACCACATGCAACAGCATGGATAAATCTCATAGCAACGTTAAGCAAAAGAAGGCAGACACAAAATAATATATAATGTATAATTGCATTTATATAAAACACAAAACAGGAAGCACTGATCTTTGGGGTTAGGATTCAGAACAGTGGTTACTCTTGAGTACATAGTAACCAGATAGGAACATGAGGGGACTCCTGGGGGCCGATAATTGATCTGTGTACTGGTTACATGGGTGTGTTCAGCTTGTGAAAACACAGCGACCTGAACATTTATGATTTGTGTACTTTTCTGTAAATGCATTATATTGCAATTAAAAAGTTCTTAGGATAATTTTGATTCATTTCTTGAAAATAGATTTGTTTTTCCAAGAAAACAGCACTCAAAGACAGGTATCAGAGTGAGCACCTGATGGGGTGGAGAATAAGCAGGAATACAAAAGAAACAACAGTGCCTTGCCTGGAGTGAAGATGATAGTACCCCTCAAACTCTACACTTGAGCACCAAGTAGAGAAAAATTAGTGAAAAATTAGTACTGTCATCTTGGAGCCTGTGTGTAGGACCTACCTCATAATTTGGCCCAGTGCAAAGAGAAATGCAAACCCCCTTGTTCAAAAGTTTGAAGACAGCAAGAGTGGAGCAATCAGTCAAAATCAATGGTGGTGGTGGGGACAAATGAACAAGTCCCACTCCCAAGAAGCCAGCCTGCCTGTGTGTGTGGGAGAAAGAACCTCATCTCAGAATCCCAAGACTTGTTGCTAGGTGAGTTACTTTGGGCATCTGTTGCTTTAGTCCTTTCAGCTGTAAAATGGGTTAGCCAGGGGCTAGGAGGTGAAAATTCATTAATATATGCAAGTGAAGCACGTTTTTATGTGCCAGACAGCAAACAAATACAGGAATTATTATAATAATGGGCCCTCTAAATGTTGGAGTTTTTCTTTAATTGGTTAAAAAGCCTACCTGTGGCCGGGCGCGGTGGCTCACGCCTGTAATCCCAGCACTTTGGGAGGCCGAGGCGGGTGGATCATGAGGTCAGGAGATCGAGACCATCCTGGCTAACAAGGTGAAACCCCGTCTCTACTAAAAATACAAAAAATTAGCCGGGCGCGGTGGCGGGCGCCTGTAGTCCCAGCTACTCGGGAGGCTGAGGCAGGAGAATGGCGTGAACCCGGGAAGCGGAGCTTGCAGTGAGCCGAGATTGCGCCACTGCAGTCCGCAGTCCGGCCTGGGCGACAGAGCGAGACTCCGTCTCAAAAAAAAAAAAAAAAAAAAAAAAAAAAAAAAAAAAAAAGCCTACCTGTGACCTTGCAGAGAAATACAGAAACTCTTCATGGATAGCACAGGGGCCACTTCTGCCTTATGAATTAACACAAATCCCGAATTCTTGGTGGAACCCTTATCATGAGATTTTACTGTGCATTATTTGATCTTTCCAGTTCAAAGAAGAAACTACTAAATGCCAAGGTCGAGAGTATTGGAGTCTGGGCACTTCCCCCATCAAAGTTCTTGTGCTGAGGTTTGAGTTTCGGTCAGGTTCGCTGTTGAATCCCTGGCCTGACTCTAGAACATCCCGGAGTGCCTGCTGGAACCTGGGAAGGGGCACCCTAGAATCTTCCAACCGGCCTCAGTGGCGAGCGCCGCGGGCACACGACTCCCAGCGCTTGGAGCCTCTGCGGTGTTAGGATGACAGGACTGTCGCCTGGCCGGGTTGGGGGGTGGGGACGGTATTTCAGGCTAAGAATTTCTGAGAGGCACGACATTCGCATTGCGTTTCTGTGATTATTCTCCCTGGCTTGCGTTCTGAAGCACGAATCTTTCCGGATGTAGTAACTGGCTTCCTAAAGCTTTGGGGGGACTGTGGTCCCCGAAGGCTGCCGGCTGCCTGACCTAAGATTTACGAGTGGTTCCAAGGATGAGACAAGGTCCCAGTGTCTCGGTGACAACAGGGTCTTTGACGAACGGCTGCCGAGTTGCAGCTGGGGAGGGGGAAGAGGACTGTGGCGGGGGCGGGGAGCCCCTGAATTTCTTCCTTGTAGGAGTTGGGCGCCGGGGCACGGGCAGGCAGCCCCGCAGGCCATCAGCATGCAGGAGCGGCGCGCCGTCCTTGAAGGGCTGCCCGGCTGACCTTGCTCCGCTTTCTCCGGAGAAATCGCTAGGAGAGCGCGAGGACGCGGCCACGATGGTGACTCAGTGCCCTGCGCGCCGCACGCAAATGCTCCCTTCCATCAAGTCCAGCTCCGCAACTGTTGTTTCCTCTTCCTGCCCTCTTTTTTTTCTTTTTTTTTCTTTTTGAGACGGAGTCTCGCTCTGTCGCCCAGGCTGGAGTGCAGTGGCGCGATCCCGGCTCACTGCAACCTCCGCCTCCCAGGTTCAAGCGATTCTTCTGCCTCAGTCTCCCAAGTAGCTGGGACTACAGGCGCGTGCCACCACGCCTGGCTAATTTTGTTTTTTGTATTTTTAGTAGATACGGGTTTTCGCCATATTGGCCAGGCTGGTCTTGAACTCCTGACCTTGTGATCCGCCCGCCTCGGCCTCCCAAAGTGCTGGGATTACAGGAGTGAGCCACCGCGCCCAGCCCCTGCCCTCTTTTTAATTCCAAGATTCAAACCCGGCGTTTTGCGCTCCGCCCCTCCCCCTCCCCACGGCCCGCCTATCATTAGCCAGACTGCGCGGGTGTTTTGTACGCCCCCTCCCCCCGTCCCTATCGGCAGAACCGGAGGCCAACCTTCGCGATCCCTTGCTGCGGGCCCGGAGATCAAACGTGGCCCGCCCCCGGCAGGGCACAGCGCGCTGGGCAACCGCGATCCGGCGCCGGACTGGAGGGGTCGATGCGCGGCGCGCTGGGGCGCACAGGGGACGGAGCCCGGGTCTTGCTCCCCATTGGCCGCCACCTCGGCGGGAGGGGCCGCCTCCGGCTCGTGGCACCTGGCGTCTCCCCTCCGCGGGGAAATCGGCGGCTACCCGGCACCGGCGCCTGGAGGTAAAGGTACCCGGGGGTGGGGAAGGCCCCTGGCCGCGGCAGAGCTCCCTGCCACCGGCCCTGTCCTGCTTGCCGCCCCAGCGCCTGCGACGCTTGGATGCCCCCAGCTCCGGCCGCGCCAACCAGAAACTTTGCCCCTCGAAGTCCCCCGCCTGCCTGACCGCACCGTGAGGCGCCAAGTCGGCCGCGCGCCCCCCGGGGCCCCGGAACCCCGCGAGTCATTGCCTGGCCGCCCCGTACCCCGCGCCCGCGGCGCCCGGTAGCCAGGATGCGCTACGCGGACCCCTCGGCCAACCGGGATTTGTTGGGGAGCCGAACTTTGCTCTTCATCTTCATCTGCGCCTTTGCCTTGGTGACCTTGCTGCAACAGATCCTGTATGGCAGGAACTACATTAAGAGGTAAGAAAGTCCATTGAGAGGGCGGGATGCGCGGAGCCGGCCGGCGAGCCCCCGGGTGGCAGTGGCCGCGGCAGCTTCGGTCGCAGCGCCCCGGGGTGAGTGGCCGTGGGGTCCGCTCCTAGCCCCGAGCATGGCCGCTTAGGCTTGGGCCACCGCGTTTCCAAGAGCATCCTTGCTTGCTTCTGCCCAGCGCTGGCTGGAGGGTCCAGACAACTTTGTTCCGCTGTGAAAAATGAAGGACAGAATAGAATTCCAAGCAACCAGGCTGACGATAAATCCATTTAATACCCGGAGAGACCGCATGGATCGGAGCGGTGTCCTCCAGACCCACAGTTCTATGGCCATTTGTTTGGACTCCGGGGTCGGAGGGCTCAAAATCGTATCGATTGTTTGTTTGTTTGTTTGTTTGTTTATAACCTCGCGAGTCCTGAACTTTCGTAAGGACCCTTGGGAGAAAAAGCATTTTCCCCTCCAGGAGCTTCGGGTTCGGTGGGGGTGGTAGTGTGGGCTGTGGCTATGCGACAGGGATAGTGATAGTGAAGTCTTACAATCCCACAGCCACTGGATCTGTGAAACTCAACAACCTGATTCCTTCTGAAACAGATGGCTTTTTTTTTCTCATCCTTAGCGCAAAAGGTCAGAGCTGCAGCATAAGTTAACCCCTCGTTGGGCTCTCCCCCTACTCCACCCCAATCCACGGTTAAACTCCAAGAGAAAGAGCAGTAGGAGGTGTCACTCAGAAATTCAATTCGGGCACAGCCTCAGCCTCTCTATTTGCAGAAGATACACTGAAATGCCAGCCACTTCCTTCTGCCGGCTCTGCTGGCTTAAGGAAACACTTGGGGTTCCTCCGCCTGGTTTGAGAGATTAGGGGAGGTTCTTGCTCTAGGATACACCCATATCAGAGCCTCTCTTGGCAAGAGCCCTCTCTCCTAGCTGCTGGGCTGTTTTTTAGTTTGCTGCTAGTGTCTCCCTACTCTCACCGCCCCTCCCCTAGGTTGATAGGAAAATAAATGTCTCTCTAGCTAAGTAAGCATCCCACCTTCTTCTCTAAACTTCCCCATAACGAAACAGCCCTCTTCTCATCCTTTGGGTGAGGTGGATACATCAGGTATGGGTGCTCCCAATCTGGGCTGCCCACGAAGGTGGGAGGGTGAGGATCGCTGCTAGGTGTCGCTGTCCAGTGGAAAAGCCGAGCACTTAGGCTGTTTCCCCTCCTTGTAACTCCCCCGGAGCTGGGGAGTAATGAGGCACCTTGTTCTGAACATTTGTTTACAGCCAGTTGCTGCTCCGGACCTTCCCAGGGAGCGTTCCCTGGTTGGTGGCAGCTCCTGAGTGCTGTCTGACACTGGTGGCTTTAAAGGCCATCTTCGGAGTCTCCTGGCTTCTTGGATCTGATTGGGCCTGCCTCTTGTTTTGGCTACTGCTGCCCCTGAGATGATCCTATGCAAGGACAGCTGGGTCCCCCACAGCTTGCTGCGGCCCTGCAGGCCGATTGCCTGCTGCTGTCTTGGCACTTGCTCTTCAGCAGGGCAGCTCTGGGTTCCTGCCCCCTCCCGGCACCTCCCCAAAGTTGCTGGGGCTGCTGGGATTCCTTCTGCCTTGTCAACAGGGGGAAAATACAACCGCCCATGGCAAACGCCAACCAAACTACCTGCTTGCTCTGGCAAGTCCTCCCTGGTCTTGGGTGGGTGGGCTAGCTGCCAGGAGTTCAGCAGGCACACAAGGTGCTTCCCTTCCTCCCTCACAGAGACCCTGACCCCCTGAATCGCATAGATGCTATCTTGCAGGCCTCACTCTAGAGACTCAACCCAATCAACCAGGCAAAACTTGTATAGGGCTGATCCTGGAAGCGTGCCTGTAGATAAGGGTCTGTAAAGAAGGAGATGATGTGGTCTTGGTACTCAGAGGACTCGAAGTCTATTTGGGGCAACAAAATAGCCACAAATGAAACAGAAAGTGAATGTTAAACTGTCTGAGAAGAGAAGCACTGATAGGCTGGAGAAGTTAGGCAAGACTGTGCCCAGAGGAAGTTGAACTTGAGTGGGCCTTGAAGGAAGGGTAAGATTTGAGGGTGGGGGCAGGGGGCATGCACATCCAAAAAGTGGGCAGGAGCAAAGGTGCAGAGATGCAAGTGTGTCACAATTTCCTCCCGTCTCTCCCACACCTGACCCTACCTACACTGCAGCACTTGGCTTAATCATTGGTTAGTCCTGATCTTGAACTGGATGTGGCTGTCACATCAGTGTCACCCCTAGCACCTGCTTACCTATCTTGTTTCCTCCATATATCATGATTGTAATGAACTGGCCTGATGTGATTATCATCAGTCTGTCTCCTGTCTACAAACACTTGACCAGTGTTCTTCAAGCAGAGGCTCTGGGAGGGCCTGAATCAGAACCAACTGGAGGACCATTGAAATGCAGACTCCTGAGCCCCTGAATCTGACTGTCTTCGGGTGAGATCTACTAACCTGCCTTTGTAACAAGCTCCCCAGGCGATCTGCAAGCTGCAACAAGCTCCTCCTGCTGCTCTAGACCAGTGGTTCTCAATCCCCTATTCCCCGTGGCAATGTTTGGAGACTTCTGTGGCATTCACACTGGGGAGAGGAGAGTGCTGCTGCATGCAGAGGGAAGAGGCCAAAGAGGTTGTAAAGACCTATAATGCATAGTTTGCCCCCAGCAACAAATAATTTTCCAGCCCCAAATGTCAGTAGTGCTGAGGTTGAGAAACTGCTCTAGACCGAAAGCTCCATGCAGTGGGGATTTGCTCTTTTTTCTTTTTCTTTCTTTTTTTTTTTTTTCTGAGATGGAGTCTCACTGTGTCACCCAGGCTGGAGTGCCGTGGCGCGATCTCAGCTCACTGCAAACTCTGCCTCCCGGGTTCAGGCCATTCTCCTGCCTCAGCCTTGGCAAGTAGCTGGGACTACAGTGGCCTGCCACCACACCCAGCTAATTTTTTGTATTTTTAGTAGAGACGGGTTTTCAGCCTGTTAGCCAGGATGGTCTTGATCTCCTGACCTTGTGATCCGCCCGCCTCGGCCTTCCAAAGTGCTGGGATTACAGGCATGAGCCACTGCGCCCAACCAATTTGCTCTGTTTTGTTCCCAGCTGCACTGTGAACACCAAACTTGGTGTCCAGCACATAAGATGTTCTCAATAAATATTGGATAATGAATAAATAATTGAAGGTAGGACTATGTGTGTGCGCGCAGGGATTGTAACAGGAAGAGACACAATGAAGAAATGGATACAACTGCTGTGAGGTGGAAGGAAGGGACGAAGAGGGCAGATGTAACAGTGGGTCACTAGCCTCAGCAAAGTGTTTTGAAGATTGAGAAGAACAATTTGCATTTGGTTCATTGGGCCATTGGGAGCTGTGTTTGGCCCTGGAGTAGGGTAATGGCAGGATAAAAGCCCCTAAGAAGGATGTTAGCTGGGTCTCCTACAGGAAGGGTTAAAGAGGTAGAGAGGCTGGGAGGTACTGTCACAGCCCAGTGAAAGTGAGAAGAACTTGTTGCAGGGAGCAGGTCCACTTCAGAGCCAGGGGATTCCTGAAGGCTGCCATTCTTTGCTTCTGTGCTGAGCTGGTGCGATGCCACCTCACAAAGATTTCAGGGACACAGCAAAGGCAGGCTCTTCCAGGGAGAATTTAGCGACAGCCCAGAGCAAATGGCAGTGGGGCTGTGAGTCGATGTGTGCTTACTTCTTTGGACCCTGGGCTCTCCCTGTGCTCTGCAACCAGAGCTTTTGGGAGGACCCCATTGAGAGCAGTCAGAACTCTGGGGGTCCATTTGCAGCACCTCCCTTGGTCAGGAGGGGAGAAGGTGGGGCAGTGCAGGTGGCTTAGTGGGCTCAGTGTCTCTAATGGAGAAAGCATGTGCTATGTGAATGAGGAGAAAAAGACAAGAAACAAAGTTGTGAACGTACTCCTTGATGCTCTTGGCTTCTCCATGTCTGTTTTGATTGATTGAACAAATACTTCATGCAGATTTACTCTTTAAGTGCTAGGGATACAATGGTGTGCAAGGCAGGCACAGTCCAGGGTCTCCAGGGAGCCGGTGGCTATTGGGAAGACAGAAAGGCACGCCTAGAGGAATGGACGAGGGACTCTAAAAACAAGGAGGAGGCGCCAGAGAAAATCACTGTGTTTCAAGGTACATGGAGGCATTTGAAGGGGTCTTCAAGAAAGGGGAATGATCCACAGGCATAGGCAGAAGTGAAAGGAAGGGGGATGAAACCGAGTTTGAGCAAGGATTGACAAGTGCAGGCAAGAGTTGAGTGAATCTGCATGACTCAGGGGTTAGAGCTATATTGCTGGGGACAGAGTGAGGCAGGCAGGGCCCAATTCCTGAGAAGAAAGTAGGGACCCTGTGAGGATGGCGTGTCTGGGAGGGAGCGGGGAGGGTGACAGCTGTGGGTCTGGATCCTCGTGCGTGGAGCTACCCAGAACTGCGTTGGGAAGAGCCAGACTAGTAATGTAGATTTGGAGTCACCAACCACTGACATCAGTGTTTTTCAAACTTTTATGATTGGGAAGCACAGTATGGCATATGTTATAGCCGGAGACCTTGAACACAGTTATGTACACACTCAACTGAAACATTTTGTGAAGCAATACTTGGCCTTATTACGAGAAATGTACTCTAATGTTTTCTATTTTACTTCATTTAAAAAATCCATTTGCCATGTGCGGTGGCTCATACCTGTAATCCCAGCACTTTGGGAGGCCTAGGCTGGTGGATCATGAGGTCAGGGGTTCGAGACCAGCTTGACCAACATGGTGAAACCCTGTCTCTACTAAAAATACAAAAATTAGCCAGGTGTGGTGGCACACACCTGTAATCCCAGCTACTCAGGAGGCTGAGGCACAAGAATTGCTTGAAACTGGGAGGTGGAGGTTGCAGTGAGCCAAGATCGCACCATTGCACTCCAGCCTGGGTGACAGAGCGAGACTCTGTCTCAAAAAATAAATAAATAAAATTTAAAAATTAAATAAATAAATAAATAAATAAATCCATTCTACTTCCTTAAAAAATACAATGGAATATTGGCCTTAAAAAGAAAGGAAGTTCTGAAATGTGCTACAACATGGATGAACCTTGGAGACCTTGTGTTAAGTGAAATCAGCCAGGCACAAGAGGACAAATACTCTATGATTCCAATGATATGAGAGACCTAGAGTTGTCAAATTCATAAAGACAGAAAGTAGAATGGTGGTTCCTGGGGGCTGGGTGTGGGATGGGGAGTCATCTTTTAATGGGTATGGAGTTTCAGTTTGGAAAGATGAGAAAGTATTGGAGATGGATGGTGGTGATGGTAGCACAGCAATGTGAATGAACTTAATGACATTCAACTGTAGACTTAAAAATGGTTAAAATGGTAAATTTTATGTTATTGTGTATTTTGCCACAATAAAAAGAGTTTTTATTAAAAAAATCTGAGAGCAACCCATTAAATTTTACAATCCGTTGGGTTGAAACCCTCAGTTAGAAAACCACTGATGTGAGCAATGGGATTGGATGAGTCACCAAGGACAGAGCAGAGTGGAAAATGATGATGGGTCTGGGCACAAAGGAGAGCCTTGAAGGATGTCTGCACCTATAAGGGGTCGAGAGAGGAGAGCTGGCTCTGGAAGCCGAGGCTGGAGAGAGGTGGAGGGGAATGAGGAGAGGGAGGTGTTAAGGAAACCAAGGGACGAGGGCGTCAGAGTGAGAGTGGCCAACTGTGGCATGCCAGGAAGAGGGCTCGGGTGGGATAGGATTGAGGTGTCTGCTGGGTTGGCAGTAGAGGCAAAGACAGTTTGGGAGAGAGAAGTGGGGACAGGATCCTATTTCAGTGGGCAGGGAGTGAGTGGGGAAAGACAATGTGGAGACAGGGAGCGCAGGTTACCCTTTCTAGGTGTCAATGCTGAGAAGAAAAAGCATTAAAAGAAAGATTTTCCACAATGAGGGGCATGGAAATTGTTCCGTCTTCTTTTAAGTCCCCCACTGACCCCAATCCCCTTTGTTAGTGCTGAAATCTTCATATAAGCTCACAGCCCTAGAGTATTACAACTTCAGGTGTTTACACTTTAACAGAGGGACAGGGAAAGGGCAATGTTTATTTAAAGGTAGGAAAAAAGACATGGTAGATTTTAATAATCTGGTCTGAGTCTATCTTTTAAACTTAATCTCAGGAAAACCAAATAACCTTGGGCCTTGAATGTCTTCCCGTGTCTTTCAATGGAGTTTTATAATTCTCCATAAAGAGTTTGAATGTTTTCTGTTAGATTTACATCTTAGTTTGTTTGGGCTGCTATAACAAATTACCATAGATTTGGTAGCTTAAGCAACAAATGTTTGTTTCTCCTGCTCAAGAGGCTGAAAGTTCAAGATCAAGGTGATAGCATGGTTGGGTTCTGGTGAGGGCCCTCCTGCAGGTTGTAGACTTCTTGTTTCCTCATGTGGGGATGAAAGAGAGGTAGCTAAGTCTCTGGCCTCGTCTTATGTGGGCACCAATCCCATTTGTGACTGCTCCACTCTCTGACCTAATCATCCCCCCAAGCCTCCACCTCTAAATACCATTGCCTTGGGATTCGATTTCAACATAGGAATTTTGGGGGGACACAAACAATTATTTAGTCCGTAACAATTCATGTCTAGCTATATAGTTTTTAACTATTTAAAAACTATGTAAAATGTTTATTATCGTACAAATTATCTTTTAAAAAGTTATATTTTCTAACCATTCGTAGCTGGCATATAGAAATAAATTTGTTTTTTGTGTATTAATTTTATAATCAGCAACCTTGATTATGCACATACTGATAATAGTTTATCTGAAGATTATCTGGGGATTTCTATGTAGACATTTTTCTTTCTTTCATTACTACCATTATACCTTAATATATGGTTCTTGTTTTACTGTAGTGGCTAGGACCTTTGACATAATATTCAATAAAAGTGTCGGAGTGAACATCCTCATTTTAGTCCTCATCGTTTTCTTCTTTCTTTTTTTGACAGCTTTATTGAAATAAAATTCACCCACTTAAAGTGTAGAGTTAAATGGCTTTTAATATATTCATACAGTTGCACATCTACCACCACAGTCAATTTTAGGACATTTTCATTACTCTGCAAAAGAAATCCTGTACCCCTTAGCCATCGCTTCCCAGACCCCTATCCCTCCTAGTCCTAGGAATGAGCAAACGCACTAACCTGTTTTCTGTCTCCCTAGATTTTCCCGTTTTGAGCATTTCATATAAATGGAATCATATGCTATGTTGTCCTATGTGATTGACATCTTTCACTAAGCAGAATGTTTTCAAGGTTCATCCATGTCATATCATGTATCAGTACTTCATTTATTCTTATTGCAGAATAATATTTCATTGTATGGATAGACTGCATTCTGTTTCTCTGTTCTTCAACTCATAGACATTTGAGTTGTTTTTCACTGTTATGTTAAGTTTTTGTGTGGATATAGATTTTCATTTCTCTTGGGTTTATACCTGTGAGTAGAACTGGTTATATGGTAACTCTGTGTTTGCCATTTGATGAACTGCCAGGGTTCTCCAAGGTGGCTGTATCATTTTACATTTTCTCCAGCATTGTATGAGGGTTCCAATTTGTCTACATCCTTGATAACACTTTTATTATCTTTTTTTTTGGATTATAGCCATCTCAGTGGTTTTGAGGTGACATCTCACTGTGGTTTTGATTTTGCATTTCTCTGATGACTAATGATGTGGAGCATCTTTTAATGTGCTTGTTAGCTATTTGCATATCTTCTTTGGAGAAATATCTATTTAGATTCTTTGCCTTTTTTTTTTTTTTTTTTTTGAGAGGAAGTTTTGCCCAGGCTGGAGTGCAATGGTGCGATCTCAGCTCAGTGCAACCTCTGCCTCCCGGTTTCAAGTGATTCTCCCACCTCAGCCTCCTGAGTAGCTGGGATTACAGGTATATACCATCATGCCTGGCTAATTTTTGTATTTTTATTAGAGACAGGGTTTCACCATGTTGGCCAGACTAGTCTCGAACTCCTAATCTCAGGTGATCCACCCTTCCCAGCCTCCCAAAGTGCTGGGATTACAGGAATGAGCCACCACGCCCAGCCAGCCACCACGCCCAGCCCCTTTGCCTATTTTTTTAAATTAATTAATTTATTTATTTATGAATTATACTTTTGAGTTCTAGGGTACATGTGCACAACGTGCAGGTTTGTTACATATGTATACATGTGCCATGTTGGTTTGCTGCACCCATCAATTCATTATTTACATTAGATATTTCTCCTAATGCTATCCCTCCCCCAGCCCTCCACCCCCTGACAGGCCCCGGTGTGTGATGTTCCCCACCCTGTGTCCAAGTGTTCTCATTGTTCAGTTCCCACCTATGAGTGAGAACATGCAGTGTTTGGTTTTCTGTCCTTGTGATAGTTTGCTTAGAATGATGGTTTCCAGCTTCATCCACGTCCCTGCAAAGGACATGAACTCATCCTTTTTTATGGCTACATAGTATTCCATGGTATATATGTGCCACAATTTCTTAATCCAGTCTATCATTGATGGACATTTGGGTTGGTTCCAAGTCTTTGGTACTGTGAATAGTGCCGCAACAAACATATGTGTGCATGAGTCTTTATAGTAGCATGATTTATAATCCTTTGGGTATATACCCAGTAATGGGATGGCTGGGTCAAATGGTATTTCTAGTTCTGGATCCTTGAGGAACCACCACACTGTCTTCCACAATCATTGAACTAATTTACACTCCCACCAACAGTGTAAAAGTGTTCCTATTTCTCTACATCCTCTCCAGCATCTGTTGTTTCCTGACTTTTTAATGATCACCGTTCTAACTGGTGTGAGATGGTATCTCATTGTGGTTTTGATCTGGATTTCTCTGATGACCAGTGATGATGAGCATTTTTTCATGTTTCTGTTGGCTGCATAAATGTCTTCTTTTAAGAAGTGTCTGTTCATATCCTTTGCCCACTTTTAGGTGGGGTTGTTTGTTTTTTTCTTGTAAATTTGTTTAAATTCTTTGTAGATTCTGGATATTAACCCTTTGTCAGATGGGTAGATGGCAAAAATTTTCTCCCATTCTGTAGGTTGCTTGTTCACTCTGATGGTAGTTTATTTTGCCATGCAGAAGCTCTTTAGTTTAATTAGATACCATTTGTCTATTTTGGCTTTTGTTGCCATTGCTTTTGGTGTTTTAGTCATGAAGTCCTTGCCCAGGCCTATGTCCTGAATGGTATTGCCTAGGTTTTCTTCTAGGGGTTTTATGGTTTTAGGTCTAACATTTAAGTCTTTAATCCGTCTTGAATTAATTTTTATATAATGTGTAAGGAAGGGATCCAGTTTCAGTTTTCTACATATGGCTAGCCAGTTTTCCCAGCACCATTTATTAAACAGGGAATCCTTTCCCGATTTCTTGTTTTTGTCAGGTTTGTCAAAGATCAGATGGTTGTAGATGTGTGGTGTTATTTCTGAGGCCTCTGTTCTGTTACATTGGTTTATATATCTGTTTTGATACCAGTACTATGCTGTTTTGGTTACTGTAGCCTTGTAATATAGTTTGAAGTCAGGTAGCGTGGTGTCTCCAGCTTTGTTTTTTTTTGCTTAGGATTGTCTTGGCAATGTGGGCTCTTTTTTGGTTCCATATGGACTTTAAAGTAGTTTTTTCCAATTCTGTGACGAAAGTCATTGGTAGCTTGATGGGGATGGCATTGAATCTGTAAATTACCTTGGGCAGTATGGCCATTTTCATGATATTGATTCTTCCTATCCATGAGCATAGAATGTTCTTCCATTTTGTTTGTGTCCTCTTTTATTTCACTGAGCAGTGGTTTGTAGTTCTCCTTGAAGAGGTCCTTCACATCCCTTGTAAGTTGGATTCCTAGGTATTTTATTCTCTTTGTAGCAATTGTGGATGGGAGTTCACTCATGATTTGGCTCTCTGTTTGTCTGTTATTTGTGTATAGGAATGCTTGTGATTTTTGCAGATTGATTTTGTATCCTGAGACTTTGCTGAAGTTGCTTATCAGCTTAAGGAGATTTTGGGCTGAGATAATGGGGTTTTCTAAATATACGATCATGTCATCTGCAAACCGGGACAATTTGATTTCCTCTTTTCCTAATTGAATACCCTTTATTTCTTTCTCTTGCCTGAATGCCCTGGCCAGAACTTCCAACACTATGTTGAATAGGAGTGGTGAGAGAGGACATCATTTTCTTGTGTGAGTTTTCAAAGGGAATGCTCCCAGTTTTTGCCCATTCAGTATGATACTGGCTGTGGGTTTGTCATAAATAGCTCTTATTATTTTGAGATACGTTCCTTCAACACCTAGTTTATTGAGAGTTTTTAGCATGAAGAGCTGTTGAATTTTGTTGAAGGACTTTTCTGCATCCATTGAGATAATCATGTGTTTTTTGTCGTTGGTTCTGTTTATGTGATGGATTACGTTTATTGATTTGCATATGTTGAACCAGCCTTGCATCCCAGGGATGAAGCCCACTTGATCGTGGTGGATAAGCTTTTTGATGTGCTGCTGGATTCGATTTGCCAGTATTTTATTGAGGACTTTTGCATCGATGTTTATCAGGGATATTGGTCTAAAATTCTCTTTTTGGTTGTGTCTCTGCCAGGCTTTAGTATCAGGATGATTCTGGCCTCATAAAATGAGTTAAGGAGGAGTCCCTCTTTTTCTATTGATTGGAATAGTTTCAGAAGGAATGGTACCAGCTCCTCTTTGTACCTCTGGTAGAATTTGGCTGTGAATCCGTTTGGTCCTGGACTTTTTTTGGTTGGTAGGCTATTAATTATTGCCTCAATATCAGAACCTGTTATTGGTCTATTCAGAGATTCAACTTCTTCCTGGTTTAGTCTTGGGAGGGTGTATGCGTCCAGGAATTTATTCATTTCTACTAGGTTTTCTAGTTTATTTGCGTAGAGGTGTTTATAGTATTCTCTGATGATAGTTTGTATTTCTGTGGGATTGGTGGTGATATCCCCTTTATCATTTTTTATTGCATCTATTTGATTCTTCTCTCTTTTTTTTCTTTATTGGTTTTGCTAGCGGTCTATCAATTTTGTTGATCGTTTCAAAAAACCAGCTCCTGGATTTGTTGATTTTTTGAAGGGTTTTTTGTGTCTCTATCTCCTTCAGTTCTGCTTTGATCTTAGTTATTTCTTGCCTTCTGCTAGCTTTTGAATGTATTTGCTCTTGCTTCTCTAGTTCTTTGAATTGTGATGTTAGGGTGTCAATTTTAGATCTTTCCTGCTTTCTCTTGTGGGCATTTAGTGCTATAAATTTCCCTCTATACACTGCTTTAAATGTGTCCCAGAGATTCTGGTATGTTGTGTCTTTGTTCTCATTGGTTTCAAAGAACATCTTTATTTCTGCTTTCATTTCGTTATTTACCCAGTAGTCATTCAGGAGCAGGTTGTTCAGTTTCCATGTAGTTGTGCAGTTTTGAGTGAGTTTCTTAATCCTGAGTTCTAATTTGATTGCACTGTGGTCTGAGAGACAGTTTGTTGTGATTTCTGTTCTTTTACATTTGCTGAGGAGTGCTTTACTTCCAACTATGTGGTCAATTTTAGAATAAGTGCGATGTGGTGCTGAGAAGAATGTATATTCTGTTGATTTAGGGTGGAGAGTTCTGTAGATGTCTGTTAGGTCTTCTTGGTGCAGAGCTGAGTTCAAGTCCTGGATATCCTTGTTAAACTTCTGTCTTGTTGATCTGTCTAATATTGACAGTGGGGTGTGAAAATCTCCCATTATTATTGTGTGGGAGTCTAAGTCTCTTTGTAGGTATCTAAGGACTTGCTTTATGAATCTGGGTGCTCTTGTATTGGGTGCATATCTATTTAGGATAGTTAGCTCTTCTCGTTGAATTGATCCCTTTACCATTATGAAATGACCTTCGTTGTCTCTTTTGATCTTTGTTGGCTTAAAGTCTGTTTTATCAGAGCCTAGGATTGCAACCCCTGCTTTATTTTGCTTTCCATTTGCTTGGTAGATCTTCCTCCATCCCTTTATTTTGAGCCTATGTATGTCTCTGCACATGAGATGGGTCTCCTGAATACAGCACACTGATGGGTCTTGACTCTTTATCCAAATTGCCAGTCTATATCTTTTAATTGGAGCATTTAGTCCATTTACACTTAAGGTTAATATTGTTATGTGTGAATTTGATCCCGTCATTATGATGTTAGGTGGTTATTTTGCCCGTTAATTGATGCAGTTTCTTCATAGCATCGATGGTTTTTACAATTTGGCATGTTTTTGCAGTGGCTGGTACCGGTTGTTCCTTTCCATGTTCAATGCTTCCTTCAGGAGCTCTTGTAAGGCAGGCCTGCTGGTGACAAAGTCTCTCAGCATTTGCTTGTCTGTAAAAGATTTTATTTCTCCTTCAGTTATGAAGCTTAGTTTGGCTGGATATGAAATTCTGGGTTGAAAATTCTTTTCTTTAAGAATGTTGAATATTGGCCCCCACTCTCTTCTGGCTTGTAGGGTTTCTGCTGAGAGATCCGCTGTTAGTTGATGGGCTTCCCTTTGTGGGTAACCCGACCTTTCTCTCTGGCTGCCCTTAACCTTTTTTCCTTCATTTCAACTTTGGTGAATCTGACAATTATGTGTCTTGGGGTTGCTCTTCTCAAGGAGTATCTTTTTGGTGTTCTCTGTATTTCCTGAATTTGAAGTTTGGCCTGCCTTGCTAGGTTGGGGAAGTTCTCCTGGATAATATCCTGAAGACTGTTTCCCATCTTGGTTCCATTCTCCCCCTCACTTTCAGGTACACCAATCGAATGTAGATTTGGTCTTTTCACATAGTCCCATATTTCTTGGAGGCTTTGTTCACTTCTTTTTACTCTTTTTTCTCTAAACTTGTCTTCTTGCTTTATTTCATTAATTTGATCTTCAATCACTGATACCTTTTCTTCCACTTGATCGAATCGGCTATTGAAGCTTGTGCATGCATCACGAAGTTCTTGTACCATAGTTTTCAGCTCCATCAGGTCATTTAAGGTCTTCTCTACACTGTTTATTCTAGTTTAGCCATTCCTGTAACCTTTTTTCAAGGTTTTTAACTTCCTTGTGATGGGTTAGAACATGTTCCTTTAGCTCGGAGAAGTTTGTTATTACCAACCTTCTGAAGCCTTCTTCTGTCAACTCATCAAAGTCATTCTCTGTCCAGCTTTGTTCCATTGCTGGCGAGGAGCTGTGATCCTTTGGAGGGGAAGAGGCACCCTGGTTTTTAGAATTTTCAGCTTTTCTGCTCTGGCTTCTCCCCATCTTTGTGGTTTTATCTACTTTTGGTTTGTTGGTGACCTACAAATGGCGTTTTGGTGTAGATGTCCTTTTTGTTGATGTTGATGCTATTTCTTTCTGTTTGTTAGTTTTCCTTCTAACAGGTCCCTCACCTGCAGGTCTATTGGAGTTTCCTGGAGGTCCACTCCAGACCCTGTTTGCCTGGGTATCACCAGCGGAGGCTGCAGAACAGCAAATATTGCTGCCTGATCCTTTCTTTGAAAGTTTCGTCCCAGAGGGGCATCCGCCTGTATGAGGTGTCTGTCAGTCCCTACTGGGAGGTGTCTCCCAGTTAGGCTATACGGGGGTCAGGGACCCCCTTGAGGAGGCAGTCTGTCTGTTCTCAGAGATCAAAGACCATGCTGGGAGAACCACTGCTCTCTTCAGAGCTGTCAGACAGGGACGTTTAAGTCTGCAGAAGTTTCTGCTGCCTTTTGTTCAGCTATGCCCTGCCCACAGAGGTCCCTTTGCCTATTTTTAAAGTGGATTATTTTACTTTTTCTTCTTGAGTTGTAAGAGTTCTTTATATATTTCAAGTATAAGTCGCTTATCAGGTACGTGATTTGCAAAACATGTCTTTTCACTTTTTTGGTGTTCCTTTGAAGCACAAAAGTTTTACATTTTTATGAAGTCCAATTCTGCTATTTTTTTTTTGTTGTTGATTGCTTGTGCTTTAGGTGTCATATCTAAGGAACCATTGCCTAATCCAACATCACAAAAATTTACACTTAAACATTTTTCTAAGTATTATACAGTTTTAGCTCTGACATTGAGATCTTTGACCCATTTTGAGTTAATTTTTGTATATGGTATGATTAATCCTAATTGTAAAGGGAATGTTAAAAAAGTGTCATCATTGAATATGTTTGCTTATTTTTTTAAGATATTTTCTAATAGGTAAAGTTCCACACATTTGTAGAATGTGTTAAAAGTTTTGTTTTTTCTTATTTTGAAAATTATATTTATTTATTTATTTATTTTTTACATGGAGCGTCGCTCTGGCACCCAGGCTGGATGCAGTGGCTTGATCTCGGCTCACTGCAACCTCCACCTCCTGGGTTCAAGTGATTCTCATGCCTCAGCCTCCCGAGAAGCTGGGATTACAGGCATGCGCCACCATGCCCAGCTAATTTTTGTATTTTTAGTAGAGAGGGGATTTCACGATGTTGCTCAGGCTGGTCTGGAACCCCTGACCTCAGGTGATCCATCCTCCTTAGCCTCCCAAAGTGCTGGGATTACAGGTGTGAGCCACTGCATCCAGCCAAAAATTGTATTTAGATATTAATTTTATAAGTACTTTTTCTACATCTATTGAATGGTGTGTAGTTTTTCCCCTTTAACCTTTTGATGTGGTCAATTACTTTAATAGATGTTCAACTTATAATTTTAGGGGTAAACCCAGCTTGTTTATGGTATATTATTTGTTTTATATGATGTGAGATTTTGTTTGCTATTATTTTTATTCAGGATGATCTGTTCTGTTTCTTGAATGCTATTGGATGTAATTTTCTCTTATCATGCTATCTTTGCCTGGTTTTAAAATCAGTCTTGCAAATGAGTTGAGAATGTTAAAACTTTATTCTCTGTAATGACTTATGCACGTTTTTGAGATTCATCTATTCTTTAAATGTTTGGTAGACCTCACCTCTACAACCATCTGCACCTAATGTTTTCCATATGGGAAAACTTTACTAATCCATTAAGTCTTACTAATTAAGACTTATTAATCAAGTTACTGATCCATTTCTTTAGTAATTGTAAGAGTATTTAAGTTTTCTATTTCTTCAATCAATTTTGGTAAATTATATTTTTCTAGAAATTAAAAGAAATCAAGTTTATTGGCAAAATTTATAATATGCTGTATTTCATCTCTGTCATATCCATCGGTTTGCCCCTTTTTAATTCTTAACATTATTTACTTGTTTCTTTTTCTGTTTTTTACATTGTCTCTGTAAAATGATCAGATTTTGGCATTGTTGATTTTCTCTTGGATATTTGCTTTCTATTTTATTAATTTTTATGCTTTGATTTTATTCTGTCATTTTTCTAACTTCCTAAGTTGGGTGCTTAGCTCTTCAGTTAACAGTCTTTCTATTTTCTAATGTAAACTTTTGAAGTTATAAAATTTCCTCTAAATATTTCTTTAATTAAATCTCTTCAATTTGGGGATGATGATGATAACAAGAACTCAGAACGACATTGCATTTACGATGTGCCAGTTACTAGTCCATGTGCTTTATGTGTTAACATACTGAATCCATATAACACAAGTAATAGATACTGTTACCAGGGGCTATTTTATAGATGAGGAAACTGAGCCACAGTGAGGTTAAGTAATTTGTTCAAGGTCATACAGCTAGTAAATACCAGATGTATTTTCAATATCTTGAATTCCAATTATTTTCTAATTTCTATCATAATTTACTCACTCATGAAGTTAGAAGTGCTTTAAAATGTCCAGAGGCTTCAAGTTTTTCCTTATCTTTTTGATTTTTTTAACTCAAAGGTATTGTGGTGAGAGAACATGATATTTATGATATTGAATCTTTTTTTTTAAATTTGCATGTCTTTCATTCTATGTCTGTTGTAACTAGCACATACTTACAGTTTTTAATACCTAGTCTGACAATCTCTGTCTTCTACTTAGAAAGTTTAGTATATTTACATTTATTGTGATTACTGATGACTAAGGATTTATTTCTGCCATCATATTTTGTGTGTTTCACATACCTTGCCTTTTCTCCCTTCTTCTCTTTTGCATTATTTGTGCTTTCTTGGCTTTAGGAGGAGGTTCCCAGTGTGACCCTCCTTGGGAGGGCCCTTTGGCCATTACAAGGGAAGCATGAATCACCGAGATTGGCTGACGAATGCATCTACTACTTCTTTTCTTGCCAGACTATTCATCAATTTAATAAGGCAATTAAAAGACATTTTAATTGTTATTTTAGTGTTTTTTATTGGGAGGATGTTGCAGATTGGATTCCCTGGAAAGTAGACTCTGAGTCAGAGATTAGAGTGTAGGATGTTTATTGAGAAGTGTTCTTGGGATCAATATCTGAGAAAGAGAGAAGGAAATATGACTGGCCATAGGGAGAAATTGAGCTGCAATACAGTTCCAGAGAAAGCCTCAGTGGACCCCATAGGCAGCCCTGGAGCTGGGCTGTCTCTTCATACTTGCCCAGAGTTGGGGTGAGGGGGCCTGACCTTTATACCTGGAAGAGGTATATGCCCTGGAAGAGGACATAACCTTGAGCAAGGTGGCTCTGCTCACCTGTGGCAATTCTCAAAGAGGAATGAGAGCTGAGGGCTGTCGGCTCATGGCACCCCCAACAGGTGGGGAGAAGTCCTTCATTCCCGAAGGTGATGTGGTGGGGTATGTCACAGCACCTGCCCCAGAGGGCTTCTCAGTTGGCCACTTTGTTGGAAATAGAAATCTTTGAATGTCTCTGTTCCCCAAACAAAAATCTCATGCCTAATTGTCAGTCTGTGCTGAAGCCCACTCTGGAAGTTGAATGTTTCTCCCCTGTCAGCCAAGGATCTATTTTTTTCGAGGTGGAGTCTCGCTCTGTTACCCATGCTGGAGTGCAGTGGCGCTATCTCAGCTCACTGCAACCTCCGCCTCCCGGGTTCAAGCAATTCTCCTGCCTTAGCTTCCTGAGTAGCTGGGATTACAGGCTCATGCCAATTTAATTTTTGTATTTTTAGTAGAGTCGGGGTTTCGCTATGTTGGCCAGGCTGGTCTTGAACTTCTGACCTCAGGTGATCCACCCGCCTCAGCCTCCCAAAGTGCTGGGATTACAGGCATGAGCCACCACACCCGGCCAGTGAAGGGTCTTTTACGCATGTCACATCTGTCCTAACTCTGGGCCTTCACCCACGCTGCCTCCGACCCGCTGTCCCCTCCCAGCTGTCTTTCAGTCCAAATCCTGCTTCTCTTTCTGGTCTCAGCCCACGGTGTTCTTTCTCTCCTCTGAATTCACAGCACCATGGTGTCTCTACTTAGCACATCCTGCTCAGCACTGTCCCATTGCTTTTCTATGTGATTGTGCAGTGGACAGGAAATGAGACCAGGAGTTTTGTCCTGCCTCAAGTACAGAGGACCCTCCTATGCTTTGTCTTCCCTCCAGCCTTCCTCTCTCCTGCACCTTCAGGGCAAAAAGCTGGGCTGCCTGCATGTGGCTAGTGCAGGCCTGAGACTTGAGGATGCGAAACTGGGTCAAGGAAAAGTACAGCCTGACTTTGTGCTGCCTACATGTGTATATTCGAAGGCCCTCATCACTGAGCCAACTCTCCCCCGACCCAGGGGACAAAGCCTTCTGTTCGACTGCCCCGAGAAACAGGCACAGCCCCAGGAGATTGGGACCACAGGGACTGGAGGATCTATCCAGAGTGTGGTTCTCGAGGGGGAGGGTGCCCTGGAAAGAAGGGATGCTGCTCTGACTGCAGCCTGGGTGTGTGGTGGGTCAGCAGAGTGACTTTACAGTTTCGCTGGTCAGAGCAAGTTTCTCCTGAGCACTTGCTGCAAAACTGAGATGAGGTGAGGCCAGCAAGTGATCCAGGGAACAAAATTTAAGGTGGCCTCTACTCTCAGGCGTTAACTTTGTACTTACATGAGCCTGAGAATGAGGACCTCTTTAAATGTTGTGTGCTGGGTGCCTTGCTGGCCTTCCTCTAATCCTGGCTCTGACCTGCCATATGCCCAGCCCTGCACCAGGTGTTGGATGTGAGTTTCCTGTACCTTCCTCAGATATCTCTCAGGAGCACAGTGATACCCTCTTACTCCCGGATTCCGTCTCTTCTTCCTTGCCCCACCCACCTTTTTTTTTTTTTTGACATTTCTATTTTCCAGGGATTTACCTCTTAGAGAATTTAATTTCTTCTTTTTGATGTATCCAGGTCATTCACTTCTTATCTAATAATTCTCTAATTTAGCTCTTAACCCTACCTATTACCCTAGGGACACCCCTCCTCCCCACAGGTGAAGGATTCATGAGGTAATAATATTAACTATTGGCCAGGAGTGTTGTCTCATGTCTGTAATCCCAGCATTTTGAGAGGCCGAGGTGGGCAGATTACCTGAGGTCAGGAGTTTGAGACCAGCCTGGCCAACGTGGTGAAATCCTATCTCTACTAAAAATACAAAAATTATTCGGGCGTGGTGGTGCATGCCTGTAATTCCAGCTCCTCAGGAGGCTGAGGCAGGAGAATCGCTTGAACCTGGGAGGTAGAGGTTGCAGTGAGCCAAGATTGCACCACTGCACTCCAGCCTGGGCGACACAGTGAGACTCTGTCTCAAAAAAAAAAAATTAATTATTAACATTCACTAAGGGATCATGAGGCAGGTTCTAACCTAAGAAGCTAATCCTAAATGAAGATTATTTCATTTAATCCTCTCCATAGTCCTATTAAATACATAGTCTTCCTCATTTCATATTCTTGCAGAGAGGGGAAGTAACATGTGTAAAGTCACACAGCTGGTAAGACCCTTGTAAGAGATGCTTTATTCATCTCTAAGTTCTCAGGTCCTAGCACAGTGCCTGACACTAATTGTTGAATGGATGGATTCATACGAAGGGAAT
This sequence comes from Homo sapiens, assembly GCF_000001405.40. Classification (NCBI taxonomy): domain Eukaryota; kingdom Metazoa; phylum Chordata; class Mammalia; order Primates; family Hominidae; genus Homo; species Homo sapiens. The sequence continues at coordinate 46,737,503 of NC_000018.10, read as the reverse complement.
CCTGAAACTTTATCCTAACAATCAAGAAACATTCGTTAAACGCCCTCTCAGCTTTGCGCTGGGGGAGAGGGGATGCTACTAAAGAATTATTTGGTATGATTCATGTCCTTAAGAAACTTACAGAACACTTAAAGAGACAAACATGAAAAATTATGTAAGACAGTGTATAAATAAACTCGCAATTTTGTGGCATAGACTATAAATCTTGTAGGTTTCAGAGGAGACAGCAATGGGGCGGGGTGGGAGTACCCTGGTGGGACCTGACAGAGGCTTTGAAGAACTGGTGGGTCTCAGAGACTGGATTTGGGGATATCTGGGGGACAGGCTGAGGTGTTGAGGCAGGAGGAGCAGGTGATGGAAGCTATCAAAGATTTGAAAGTTTCTTTTTAGACACCATAGCTCTGTGAAGCTGACTGACGGCCTGTCTGGTCTCTGTTTAGCCTCATGCAGTGTGAGTGGGTGGGCAAGGTGGCTTCCTCTCTTCCAGCTCTGGTGACGTGGGGCACAAGGGACTGGTCCCTCAGGAGAACAGCTCAGGCTGGGCTTTGCTGGCTCCTTCCAGGGGGCCCACAGGTCCTGCAGAGCCCCTGGACTGTGTGGGTGGAGGGAATGGAAATAAGGCAGGTAAGCCAGGATATGTGTATGGGATGCCACACTGTGGGGGTTCTGGGGGTTTAATGCCACACTGGGTCAGCGGGGGGTGTCCTGGGAGAATAAAATGCATCCACGCTCACTCCAGCCTGGTATTCCATCTGATTTTGTGCTGCATTTGCCGAGTATCTGGGCAAAGGAAGGCCAAACCTCCCTCCCCTCACTCCTCCAACCTGCCAACTCCCCATTCTTCCTCAGCAGATCAAAGGATCAATACTTCCTAAGACCACCATTGCCATTTCTTGGAAATAAACCACACCCCACAACCCCCAAAAGAAGGTTTAAAGGAAGCAAGAATTCCCAAGTGCTTTCTCTTCCTTCCATGTTAGGCTGGGTTTTTGTCCTCCTTCTAATCCAAGTTCATTTTAGGGGGTTCTCTTTCCACCCAGCAGTGCCTGCAGAGCCAATATCCCCACATCTATGTGCCCCTACCCCCACCCGGTGCACTTCTGCTGGTGAGGTGCTATTCTGCAGGTCCAATCTCAGGCCCCTCTTAGTTCAGGTTGGTTAATTGGTTCATTCATCATTCATGCAGAAAGCATCCATTGTGTGCCCTTTGTGTACTAGCCCTGCACTGTCCACTAGCCACTAGCCCCATGTGACTACTGAGCACTGGAAGTGTTGCGTCTGAGTTGAGACATGCTGTCTGTACATATACAATACACGTTGGATTTCGAAGACATAATACAAAAAAGGGATGTGACGTATCTCCTTAATTTTTTTATATTGTTTGTGTGTTGAAATGATAATATTTGAATATATTAGGTTAGAATAAGTATATTATTGAAATGAATTTTACCTGTTTCTTTTTACTTTAAAAAAATCTTTTTGAGAATTGTAGATTCATACGCAGCTGTAACAACACAGAGAGAACCTGTATCCACTTCCCCTAATTTCCTCCAAAGATAACATCTTTCAAAACAATATAGTACAATATCATGTCCAGACATGGTGGCTCATGTCTGTAATCCTAGCACTTTGGGAGGCCAAAGTGGGAGGATCACTTGACCCCGGGAATTTGAGACTAGCCTGGGCAGCAGAGTGATACCCTGTCTGTACGAAAAAAAAAAAAATTATCCAGGTGTGGTGGTGCATGCCTGTAGTCCTGGCTACTCAGGAGGCTGAGGTGGGAGGATTGCTTGGACCCAGGAAGTTGATGCTGCAGTCAGCTATGACAGCACTGCTACATTCCAGCCTGGGCAACAGGGCAAGACCCTGTCTCAAAAACTAAAACACCCCAAACAATATAGTACAATATCAGAACCAGGAAATTCACATTGATACAATCCATCAATTCTCATTTCACCAATTTTGCATGCACTTATTTATAAGTCTGTGTATTTAGTTCTAAGCAATTTTATTACATGAATTTTTACTTTTTTATAATGTGGCTACCAGAAAATTTAAAATTATATATGTGACTCCTGGTATATTTCTATTGGTGCTGCTATAGACGTTGGTTACTGTATTAGTCAGGGTTCTCTAGAGGCACAGAACTAATAGGATAGATGTATATATAAAGGGCAGTTTATTAAGGAGTATTGACTCACATGATCACAAAGCGAAGTCCCACAATAGGCCATCTACAAGCTGAGGAGCAAGGAAGCCAGTCCAAGTCCCCAAACCTCAAAAGTAGGGAAGCCAGCAGAGCAGTCCTCAGTCTGTGGCCGAAGGCCTGAGAGCTCGTGGCAAACACTGGTGTTAAGTCCAAGAGTCCAAAAGTTGAAGAACTTGGAGTCCGATTTTCCAGGGCAGGAAGCATCCAGCATGGAGAAAGATGAAGGCCAGGAGACTCAGTAAGTCTGCTTTATTCTAGCCACATTGGCAGTTGATTAGATGGTGCCTACCCACATTAAGGGTGGGTCTGCCTCTCCCAGTCCACTGACTGAAATGTTAATCTCCTTTGGCAACACTCTCACAGACACACTCAGGAACAGTATTTTGCATCCTTCAATCTAATCAAGTTGACACTTAAAGTTAACCATCACATTTACCAAGATGGATGAAACAGGGTGCTCTCTTGGGGTAGGGCAGGGAAGGCTCAAACACACATGAAGAGTTTACAACTATCTTATATACTAAGTGCCAAGTGGATAGTGCAAACTCTTGTTCATTGCTGCTGGAGTCAGAAGGCAGAGAGACCCCTCTGGCTAAGGGCTGTGTAGGAGCCCATGCTCACCTTAGAAGGAAGGATGCTCTGCTTGAAACAGGATGGGGGCTCCAGTCCTGCCTACCTAGTTCCCTTGTCCTAAACCCTACCTCCACCATTTTCCCTCCTCTCCTCTGCAGAGGCTCAAAGGGTGACCCAGTGTTCCACGGAGTCAATTTGGGAACCACTGGACAAGATTTAGGCTTTGAGTGGAGCCTGGAAAAGGAAGAGTGAAATTTCTGCCCAAAAGATTAGAGAGGCAACCCCAGGTGTACTGCCAGGGTGGAGAGCAGGGGTGGGGGGAGGTGGGGAACGGCCTAGGGGTTGGGGGTCTCTCCGTTCCTCTCCTCCCTCCAGATACTCCTGCCCTGCAGCATCTTTTCTTTTGCCTCCAATGAAAGGCCCCCCAGGTGGACCCTGGTGAATGAAACCCCTTCCTTTTTCTGATGAGGGAATTGTTATCCTCTGGAGCTTCGTAGGAAAGTAACGTAAGTCACAGAGTGAGTCAGGAGCATGGACAGGCAAGGGAGCGCAGAACCTGGTCATTGCGCCCGTTCATCCTGCTGAGAATGCGGCGCAACCAGAAGCATCTCCGCTCTAATCTGGGTGGGAAGGTCCTGGCACCTTCTCTGAGGGGCCCATCTCCTTACCTGGACCTGGGGATGGTGGAGGGCTTCGGGAGGTAGGTGGGGGAAGGGCGGTCAGAGCCCCCTAGGGACGGGGAGAAGCCTACATTCTGGGCCCAGCCCACAGAGACTCCTGGCTGAGTTCTTGGCTCCTCCAGAGATGAAATTGGACTCACCTTCCTCTCACATGGCTTTGAGGGACCCCAGAAAGGCAGTGTTCCTTTCTTCCATGAACTGATGCCCCATCACTGGCCACCCTGCCCCTGGCTCACTTGGCCCCAGTGAAAGCTCATCCTCCCCTCACCTCTGCCTCTGCAGGGGACAGTCCTCACCTAGCGCATCCACCTGGGCTGGCCCCTCATCACCCACTTCCTGTCCTGCTCACATGTCCCCTTCCCAGAGAGGCCTCCCTGACTGCCCTGTGTGGAATAACATTCCTCCCCCACCCCAAGCCCCTTATCCCCCTTTCCTCCCTTTATTTCTCCCACAACACCTTTCACCCTTTAGCGTATGACGCATTTTGTCGCCTGTTAGTTTATTGTCGTCATATCTGTCTCCCTCTGGTAGAAATTAAGAGTCACTGGGGCAAGGCTTTGGTGGCTTGCTCGCTGTTGAGCCTCAGTATGTGGCCTGGGATGGCTGTTGGACCAATATAGAATAATATCATAAAATAAATATTATGCATATATAACAAGATGAAAATAGAATGAATGGGAAAAGGAAAGGTACCCTCGATACACTGTGAGGTCCAATGCAAGTGATTTGCTGATTAACAATAGAAAAGCAATTATACATTTTATTTCACAAGCTTGGCTTGGTGTGAAAGAAATGGCTCATTTTTAAACTTTCTTTCATTAAAAACATGACTAAACCTTACCCACCAATTTGTGGGAAGTTGAATCCACCAGTGTTGAGCCGCCTTCGGGGTCTTCCCCCTCCCAGGGTTGTGTGAAGACCCTGGGGGTCTTGTGTGGGACAGAACAGTGCCGTGGACCCCCTGGGCTGTGCTGGCCCTGCTGATCTGCTCACTGCTTTCTGGAGGCTTCTGGAGCCCTGGGTCCAGCCTCCCGAGCTGCCCCTTTCTGAGGTCCTGCTATCCCTTGTGAGGGATGTGGACAGAGCGATCTCAAGCTGCTAGCATGGGCTTCCTGGTTTGGGCCATGGTCTCACCACTTCCACCAGCCCTCCCGAGACCCAGAGGCACTGGCCCCCCACCTCCCCCAGGACTCTCTCACACAGTTTCTTCACAGCACAATTTCTTGAGCATTGAAGCCTTTCGCCCCCACAACCCAGTTGGCCCTGGGTTGAAGATAAGAAAACCGAGCTACCTTTCTGGAATGGAGGAGGGAAAATACAAATGAATAATTCAATAGATTATCCTCCCACAAAAGTTAAATAGCAACGTTTGTGAATGATTTTCTTCTTTTATTGTTTTTTTACGAATAGAGCCTACTCAAGGTTATCCCTCTAATGATAGGGAGTACAGTCATTCTCATTCCTGTTGTATGCCTGTCAAGAGGGAGGGGGTGGTGACAGGCAGGGCCCTGGAATGCGCTCACCTGGGCCAGTGTGAGGATAGCAGTAAAGGTGAACAGGTGTGTTGTGCATGAGGCCAGAAGGCTGAGGTCACTGACCCAGCACCCCAATATGGGAAGACCCCAATGTGTGCTGGGTGCAACTGACTCCCGGGACAGGATCCAGACCTTGGGTGCTGAGAGGCCTGAACTGGGAGTCAGGACTCCTGGGTTCCAGGCCTATCTTTGCCCCCAGGTGGCTTGAGCTAACTTCCCACTCTATGCCTGTTTCCTCAGCTGTGATGGCTGATGGTGCACTCTACCTCTCTCCCTCACAGGACTGGGGTCAGGATGGAGCAAGATGCTGCAACTCAGGGGCTGCCAATGGGTGGTCTGCAGCCTACAGCGTGTCGTATTTGGTCTGCACAGTGTTTCAAGTTTGGATTCATTGGCAACCTTTAAGAACTGGGAAATGAAAAATAAAAGCCTGGACTTCCTGCCCCTCTTGGACAAATGAGCAAAGTGGCAACCCGAGGCCTGTCTTCCCACAACTTGGGCAGCACAGACACCCTCCCCTGTTCTTGTTGCCTTCGCTCTGCTCGTTCTCTGTCTGGGCCCCTCATGCCCAGGTTTGAATTTGCTCCCTGGTAGAAGTGAAGCACTTTGTAGAAATATAAATGATTAATGTGCGGTTGTACTTTTATTGGCTGTTTTACCCAGGGTGCGTGATGCTCTAAAAGGTCCAAGAAGAGCATAGAGGAGCTCTCTAAGGAGAGCTTCTTGAGCGAAAGTGTGCATGTTATGGTGCCATCCCTAACTTTAGAGATGATGGTCATAGGATGAGCAGGGCCCTCCCCTGGCCAGGATGGGATCCGTCAGGAAGGTAAGGGCGTCTGTTCTGGGGTGGCTGCTGGCTTAAGATTGAGTTGTTTTAAGGAGAAGAAGTGGATTTGGCTTTGTTCTTGGTCAAGACTTGGGTCAGGAAGGACTTTCAGATCAGTGGCTGCAGCCACTCTGGCTACTGATCCTTGGAGTCCTCGCCCTCCACAGGGGCCTGGGCTCTCCTGCTGGGGCGAGAGGGAGGTGAAGGGGCCCTGAGCCCGGTGCTCAGTGACCTCTAGTTCCCCGAGGGGTATGGGTAGTAGCAGTTACTCAGGAGAAAGACATGACATTCTCAGCATGAAACAACTGCCCTTGTTTTGTTTTCCTTATTTTTCATTTTTGTGTTAATACCAGCCATCATCGTCGCTACCATCCCTCCTGTTTGTGCAACGCCAAAAGAGTTACCAAAAGGCCTTTTTCTTTTTCTTTTGGTAGAGAAATAAAATGTTTTTACTATTGAATAAGCATTAAATCAGAACGTAGTGCTCATCACAGGCAATCTGCTAAGAGACTGCAAAGACAGAAAGAAATCTCCCCCTTGACATAACCAGGCAGCTACAGCCCGCTACCTGCATCTTCTCCGGATAAACAACTAGCGCTCACGTAGTTGACAGAGCCATTTGTCACACATAGTTCATCTTCACTTCACCTGGTAGTTGGGGTGACCATCTGTGTTGTTGTTTCTTTTTTCTTTTTTAGACGCAGGGTGTTGTTGCTCTGTCATCCAGGCTGTAGTGCAGTAGCACAATCATAGCTCAGTGCAGCCTTTAACTCTGGGTCTCAGGCAATCCTCCCACTTCAGCCTCCCAAAGCACTGGAATTACAGGTATTAGCTCCTGTGCCCAGCCTACTTTTGCTTATTTCCTTTATTTTTATTTTTTGAGACAGCATCTTGCCCTGTCACCCAGGCTAGAGTGCAGTGGTGTGATCATGACTAATTGCAGCCTCAACCTCCTGTGCTCAAATGATTTTCCTGACGCAGCCTCCTAAGCTCTAATTTTTTGATTTTTTGATAGAGACAGGTTCTCACTATGTTGCCTAGGCTGGTCTCAAACTCCTGAGCTCAAGCTATCCCCCTGCCTTGGCCTCCCAAAGTGCCAGGCCTACTTTTGTTTATTTTTTGAAAAAGTAATGCAAGCATGTATAAAATCAAAAGTTACAAAAGTGTGTACAAATGGAAAGGAAGACTTCTCACCTTGTCCATCAACCACTCCATTATCTTTTCTTTATGCAAACATTGGGTTAAATACATTTTAATTGTGTATATTAGATATAAAAGCCTTTATATGCATGTTAGCATTTATATGTCTGCTTTTGTAGACTGTTTATATCCTTAGGTTGAGGATTATTCATCCCCTTTGACGGATGAGAAAACTGAGACTTCAAGAGGTTCAATGCTGAGAGTCACACTGCTAGTGAATGGTGGAATGCGAGCCCCCCTATCCAAGAATCTCTAGAGGCAAGCATTGCCTGGAGGTGAGTCATCTGCTTGGATGGCTATTGAAGCTCTGAAGAAAGTGGCCACTTCTGGGGCTGGTGTTAACACCTTTAAAGGAACATGGCAGCTGCAGGTTTGTGACTGATGGAGAGGCACTGATAACACCTTCTTATCCAGAACCTTCTCCCTCATCAAACTGGCACTTCTGCCTGAAATCCTGCCAAAGGCTGTTTAGCATTGGAGCTATTTGCCCCTCACTGAGAACTAACAATTTCTGGGATTAGTGCTGCAGTTCTTAGTAGAACCCTGGCCTGGCCTCCTCCAGTTCACTGCATTTTCTGTCCTCTCACCACCCCCTAACCTCTGGACTCTTCCGAGGACCCCACCTGTGCAAGGTGGTCATTTCCCAAATAACAGTTAAAACCGGACTGTCAGTTCTTGAGGGCAGCAGCAGTATCTCCTAACACTGAAGAAGTCCGTTTGTAATTGTTGGTCGCAACACTGTCATTCTTTTGGAGTCTTAGTGACAGGTTAATGGGTAAGATACTTTAGGGACAGGGGACAGCCCCTGTGGGCCTTCAAGTCATACCCCTCCCTGCCTGGTGCCCCTTACTAGCTCTGGATTATCCACTGTAAAACTTGTCTCTTGGGTGGGAGTTTGCCTGGCAACACCTCTAACACCTCTATGGCTGCAGTCCCTTTGCCTGCCCCAGGAGGGTTGGACTCAACAAGCAGTCTGGCATGTGTTTCTGGCTGGCCTCCCCTCTCTCTGTTTCTTCCTCTTTCCCAGGACTGGTAAGACCCTCCTGTTCCAATTTTCCTAAGGAGACCTCTGGGGAGGGTGGAGTTCAAGGCACCCACCCCTGGCCCCCTTTCCCCACTCTGGTTGCTTAAGGACTTTGAGAAAGACAATTTGGGGCTCAGTTTTAGATATAAAGTCTAGTTTCTTCCCTAGGAAGGACCATAATTATGTAGGGGTGACAGAACTCACAGATAGACAGGCAGAGGTGACCGCTGAGTGAGGCAGGATGAGAAGGTGTAGGGGGTTGGAGAGTAAGTGCTGACTTAGTTCCAAGGTGGGACGGCCTGGTGGGCTGGGCCAGAGTGGTCAAGAAGGGCCTCAGGGAAGTGGTGGTGCTTGAGCTGGACGTTGGAGGTTGAGGGACATTGAGGCAGGTGGGGCGCAGGATGATTGTGGGAGCACAATAGTGGCTTAAAAAGCTGAGGTTTGCAGAGGGGTGCAAGTGAAACTGCAGGGCCACTCCTGGGGCACTGAGTTGAGGGTCTGATCCTGTCCTTTGGGTCGTGGGCAGTCTTGGAAGGTTCTGGAATAGGCAAGTGGTGCTATTGGGATACTCCTTAGGAAGCTCACTCTGATGGCAGTGTTCAGGCCGTTGGACAGGGAAGGCATGAAGACCTAGGAGACCATCTAGGAAGCAGCTGCCTTCCTGTCCTCTACTGACCTGAAAAACAGAGCAGAGCAATGACAGTGGCTTCAGTCTCACTCTCCAGAGCATGTGGGGGGGCCTCAGCCTGAAGCAGGAGGCTCTTGGAGGTGGTTTGCAAGGATGGGTTCAGTTGCATTTTGTCTTGAGCACATGGCCAGTCTCTTGGTGACCTGGGCTGCACGCTGTGCCCCACTGGGTTGAGCAGTCAGCACATGGGGTCCTGGGCTCTGGCATCAGGGGTGGGGCTTCTTTGGGGAACCTAAGTCCACAGTGCCAAATGCCCTGTGCCCCATAGATTCAGCCTCTTTTGGTTCAACCACCCTGGAGATTCCAGCATCTGAGTGGGCACTCGCGGATGCTTGGCCCCAGGCCTACCATATGCGAAGGCAGATTGTGCAGGAGCCCACACACTGTGAATGGATAGCTACGCATGTGCCACTTCCTCCCCTTCCTGTGTCCCCCACAAAATTGCCTCCACTGGCCTCCTCCAGTGCCAGAAATTCTGTAACTTTGGCACTTCAATCAAAATGGGAAAGGATCTCAGAGATGATTTTGTTCAGCCTCTTCATTTTATAATACTCTATAGTTTTTTTTTTTTTTTTGAGATGGAGTCTCGCTCTATCACCAGGCTGGAGTGCAGTGGTGTGATCTCAGCTCACTGCAACCTCTGCCTCCTGGGTTCAAGCGATTCTCCTGCCTCAGCCTCCTGAGTAGCTGGGACTACAGGCTCATGCCTCCATACCCAGCTAATTTCTGTATTTTTAGTAGAGATGGGGTTTCACCATGTTGGCCAGGATGGTCTCGATCCCTTGACCTTGTGATCCTCCTGCCTCGGCCTCCCAAAATGCTTACAGGCGTGAGCCACCACACCCATGCATGGTTTGTTTTATATAGACTTCGTCATTAAACAGTCCACAGCAATGGCAGCAGCTCAAATAATATTAAAAATATTGGACAATGGAAAAGTCTTTTTTTCCCCAAAAAAGAGCATGAGAACATGGGGTTAAAGGAGAGAAGGAAGAAACATGGGCCCTGACGCCGGGCTTGGGCTTGAATACTTTCTCTGCTCTTCACAATATCTGGGCAGGTTGTAAATCTAATCTCCCTAGGTTCAGTTTCCTCATCTGTGAAATGGTGATACTAATGCCCACCTATAGGCTTTTGGGAGGATTTGAAATAACATGTAAATCTGTCACAGTGCCTGGAACATATATATATTTTAATCCATTGGCAAAAATTTTAATAAGATAATGCCTTACAATATTTGGAGGGTATTATTAATGGAGGTAGTTCCACCTGTTTTTAAATTGCTTCTCTGAGATGTGATTTTGCCTTCTGTCCTGAAATTCCCCTGGTAGTTGGCTCAGGGAAGCATGGGCAGCTTTCCCCATCCTCTGATGGCTGTAGGATTCATTGCCATGAGAGCAAGGGGCTATGTTACATGGCTGTGGGTTACACAACCAGGGACCTGGCTGAGCCAGGTTGTCAGCAATAACCACACAACAGAGAAAAGCTGAGCCTCCATAAACATATCCCAGATTTTATAATCAGAAAATCCAGACAGAGCTATTTTTATTTTAACAGGCACATAACTTTTGAGTAAGTATGGGCGTGAGGTGGCACCACACACTTTTCAGTGCTTGAGGCCTCTAAATATCTGAATCCAGTCTTGAATAAATCAGTTTACATAATTCTTATATGTTCTGTTTCCTTAGGTTCAGGGCTGTGTTCAATTCTAGCTTAACCTGCAAGGTGCAAAGATTCTGCAAGGCTGACTGAGTCCAGGAAGCTGCCCTTGGCTACTCTAAGGCCTTGTTAGTGATTACGAGTTTAGCACAGTTAAGCACTTGTTTTTTGTTGTTGTTGTTTGTTTGTTTGTTTTTTGAGATGGAGTCTCGCTCTGTTTGCTCAGTGCAGTGGTGTGATCTTGACTCACTGCAACCTCCGCCTCCTGGGTTCAAGCAATACTCTGCCTCAGCCTCCTGAGTAGCTGAGATTACAGGCATGCGCCACCACACTGGGCTAATTTTTTTGTATTTTTAGTAGAGATGGGGATCCACCATCTTGGCCAGGTTGGTCTTGAACTCCTGACCTCGTGATCCACCCTCCTTGGCCTCCCAAAGTGATGGGATTACAGGCACGAGCCACCGTGCCTGGCCTTAAAAATTATTTTAACGTGTATTTTTATTATGGAATTATAGACTACAAAAGAATATGGAGAACAATATAACAAACATTCATGCAGTCATGACTGAGAATTAGCAGTGTTAACAAATGTTAACATCCTGCCGTATTTACTTCAAATCTTTTCTTTTTGAAAAAATAAATTAGACATAAAAAACCAGTTACAGCACTCCATTTAAGCACTTGATTTTGCCCTATCTTGTTTGCTAATATTTCTATGTGTGTTAGTGTAATTATCTCAATTTTATGGTGAGCATTTTGGAAACAAGCGTTTGCTCTTTGCTGTTACTTGGCCCAGCAACTACCAGTTCCTAATGCATAGTAGATGCTCAACAAATGTTATATAAATGAATGAGTGAATAAAATGTTTTATTTTTTAAATTTTTTTACAAATTTATTTTATTTAATTATTATTTTTGAGACAGAGTCTCACTCAGTCACCCAGGCTGGAGTGCAGTGGCACAATCTCGGCTCACTGCAGCCTCTGCCTCCCAGGTTCAAGCAATTCTCCTGCCTCAGCCTCCCAAGTAGCTGGGACTACAGGTGTGCACCACCATTCCTGGATATATATATATATCCAGGATATATATATATATCCAGGATATATATATATATATATATATATATATATATATATATTTTTTTTTTTTTTAAGTAGAGATGGGGTTTCACCATGTTGGTCAGGCTGGTCTCAAACTCCTGACCTCAAGTGATCCTCCCACCATGGCCTACCAAAGTGCTGGGATTACAGGCGTGAGCCACTGTGCCCAGCCATGAAATGTTTTTTCATTTTGTCATCTTCCTTTATACCTCCACAGGCCTTCCTCATTGGGTTTCTTTGACTAATAATAGATCCTATCCTTAGCTCAGGAATGGAATTTAAATTATATAATACATTGGTTTTGAAAATTATGCAGTTAGGTTTTTTTGAGGTAAATGAGTAAACATTGCTAAACTAAAAGAAAAAATAAACTTTAATTCCACCTACAAAAGTAACCAGCTTTCTGGTATAAAACCTTACAGAAATGGAACTACTATTGGGTATCTCCTTTTGTAACTTGTTCCCCCCCCACCCGTGCCATTTAATAATGAGTGTCTTGCTAAGTCATCATATTTTCTGCTCAGTAGTCCCTCGCTTCTATAGTCCTGGGAGGGGACTGCCATGTGAAGGGACATGGGGTCTCACCATGGGTAGGAGGATGACAGTGTGGCTGGCTAGCTGACCCTTCATGCATGCTGTGGGAAGAAGTCTAGCTGGTTAGACTATTTTTTAAGGACCCATGAGTTTCGTAGCAGACTCCTGGGCTGGACATTGATTTGATATGTTTGTGAACTAACTAGTTTGCAAAATCTCGGGTGGAAATATTACTGTTTTCTTGGCCTCTAGGCTGTTTGGTAAAGACTTTTAGGAGTAGAAGCATTTAGAGTTAGCCCTCGGTTTAAATCTTAGCTTAGCTACTTGTTACTTGGGCAAGCTACTAAACCTCTCTAAGCTGCATATTTCATCAGCTGTAAATGGAGATAATGAGATTTTCTTTCTTCCTTCCTTTCTTTCTCTCTTTTCCTTCCTTCCTTCCTTCCTTCCTTCCTTCCTTCCTTCCTTCCTTCCTTCCTTCCTTCCTCTCTCTCTTTCTTCCTTTCTTTCGTCTTGCTCTGTCACCCAGGCTGGAGTGCAGTGGCATGATCTCTCCTCACTGCAATCTCTGCCTCCCGGGTTCAAGTGATTCTCATGCCTCAGCCTCCCAGAGTAGCTGTGATTACAGGCACGCACCACCATGCCCAGCTAATTTTTGTATATTTAGTAGACATGGGGTTTCACCATGTTGGCTAGGCTGGTCTCGAACTCCTGACCTCAAGTGATCCACCCACCTCGGTTTCCCAAAATTCTGGGATTACAGGTGTGAGCCACCATGCTTGGCCCGATCATGAGATTTTCTGCATGAGGCGTTTGTAGGAATTGAGACCATTTATGTAAAGGGCCGGGTTCATAATAGGTGCTCAAAGTGTCTCTCTTCTGAATAAACCAAACCCAAATTTTCTCCAAGAAATACCTTGGTGATCTCTTTGAAAGGAAACAACCACTTCAATAAATAAATAAATGGATAAATGAATAACTATTGAATCAGAACCAGACCGGAGCCCTTCTGTGTTTTGAATGGACTAAGAACTGGACAGGCATTTTGCTTTGGCTTCGGCCTCTGCCCTGTGAGTTGTACCTTTTCCTCTGAGCTCCCCACTGCTGTGGAGCCTGGAGAGTATGAGAACAGGGTCTACTGTTACTCAGCAAAGCATCGCTGGAGCACTTCATGTGTGCAGCAGAGAGCTGCTGGCAGGGCCCCAAGGGGCCTCCTCAGCCCAGGGTCTGGCTGGGAGACTAAGCTGACACACACGTAGGAGGTGAGCTAGACTTCTGAAGAGGGAGGTGCGTGGGCATCATAGAAGAAGGCTCAGATCTGTGATACTTGCAGTCAAAGACTTTGAAGGCAACTGAGACAGTCCTCTTGAAAGATGGGAACAGAGGCCTTGAGAGGTGCAGAGACTCAGGTACTCAGCCTATTAGTGGAGATATGGATGGATCAGTTCCCAGCTCCAGTGACCATCTGCTGCCCCATTCCCTTAGCTTAGAGGCTATTTATTATTAAGGGTTTTATTGAAAAAAAATTCTGCTTTTTTCTTTTTTTTTTTTAGATGGAGTTTTGCTCTTGTCACCCAGGCTGGAGTGCAATGGCACGATCTCAGCTCACTGCAACCTTCACCTCCCAGGTTCAAGCGATTCTCATGCCTCAGCCTTCTGAGTAGCTGGGATTACAGGCACCTGCCACCATGCCTGGCTAATTTTTGTATTTTTAGTAGAGACAGGGTTTCACCATGCTGGCCAGGCTGGTCTCGAACTCCTGGCCTCAGGCAGTCCGCCTGCCTCGGCCTTCCAAAGTGCTGGGATTACAGGCATGAGCCACTACGCTTGGCCTTCTGCTTTTTTCATTTGTCTTTTTCCCCCTGCATTCTTTTTTTAAGTGTTTCACTATTTATTCATTCATCTATCCATTCATTCATTCATTCAAGACAGGGTCTCACTCTCTTGCTCAGGCTAGAGTGCAGTAGTGTGATCTCGGCTTACTTCAACCTCCACCTCCCAGGATCAAGGGATTCTCCCGCCTTAGCCGCCCAAGTAGCTGGGACTACAGGCAAGTGCCACCATGCCCAGCTAATTTTTGTATTTTTTGTAGAGATGGGGTTTCACCATGTTGTCTAATCTGGTCTCAAACTCCTGAGCTCAGGTGATCCACTCACCTCGGCCTCCCAAAGTGCTGGGATTATAGGCATGAGCCATCAAGCCTGGCCTCACTATTTATTTAGAGAAATATTCCACATCCATGATTCTGTCCAGTCAAAAGTTCTTTCTGGGGCGATGCTGTTGGCTTTGGCCAATCGGAGAATGGAATAATCTGACTCACCCATCCTGCGAATGGCCCTCTGGATAACATAGGTTTTAAACTGGTCGTTAAACCTGCCCGTAACCTTGTCAATCTCGCCCATGTCGTTTTGCATGGACCCATGGTCCTCGGCACCAATGGTTGCTGGTGGAGCATTTCCATGGGAGGTACAGGTTTATGAACTCACTGGCATTGTTCTGCATATTGAGACCACACTGGGCATGAGCAGAGAAAGCTGTTCTGTTTTATTTTGTTTTGTTTTGTTCTCTGACTGTTAAAGTTTTCTTCACATGATGATGGTCTTAATAGCTTGTTTATATTTAAGGGCCAGCCAGTCACTAGAAGGTTTCTTGGAAGCTCTGTGGATTGTTATAGACAGCGATTCTCAACTGGGGCAATTTTGCCCCCAGTAGACATTGGCAATGTCTGGAGACATTTTTGATTGCTGCAGCAGGAGGGTCCAGGGTACAATGCTGCTGGCATCTGGTGGTAGAGAGCAGGGATGTTGCTCAGCATCCTATAATGCACAGGACAGTCCCACAACAATGAAGTAGCCAACCCCAGATGCCATAGTGCCAGGCTGAGAAAGCCTGCCCTGGGGCAATTAAGCGGGCACCAACCCTTTCCTCCATATCTGTTTCTTTTGAGCGGATCAGTTTCCCTCCTGAGAAACCCATCCCTCAGCAAACCTGGAAGGCAGGGTGTGTGACCCAAGCATTCAGAAGCCAGGTGCACTCAGTAAGCAGACTTTCAGGCACATCCACTGTTTTCAGTGCAGAGTCTCTGATAAGAGAAAAGAGCGCAGAACTCCTGTGAGTCGGTTTCCCCAGAAAGCAATCTCCTGACATCTGTGAGGTGGGCAGGTGGAGTGGCCAGGCTGCCTGGGCTTGGGAAGAGGGCCTGGTATGGGAATTCACAGGGCGTTGGGGAGAGGGTTGTCTGACTGCTTTTTGTGCAGACTTCAAACAATGCTGCTCTTAGCTCCATTGTGCACTCCCACCTTCGCTGGCCCTGGGGACCTTTCATTCCTGAGCCTTCCTGAGTTGTTCACTGCGAGTAGATCTGCTTTTTGCAGGAAGTAAGATGTCCACTGTCTGGTGGAGGTCCATGACCTTGTGCTTTTCATCATCCAGCATGTTATTGCTGGCCCCTTCTATGGCCTTCTCCCGACATGCATGTCTGTATTTATCCCTTTGCTGTCATTTTAGTGAGGGTTGGGGAAGGAGTGAAGATAAGCATGTGCTGAGTGCACGTCTTGAACCAAAAGTGGTATCCTTGTGTGCTGGAATACTGTAGATTTTATTAAAAGCTCTGAAGTGTGTCTGGCTTTTGAGGAGGACAAAATGTGGTGCTGGCGCTCTTTTGGTTTAACTGGAGGCAGGAATTGAGGGATGGCACGGTATAGGAGGTAGAAGAGCTCTGCGACCTTTGTCTCGCAAAGTCGCAATGTCCCTGTGTGTGAAATGTGTGCTCTCAGCCCTGCTGGTACAGATGGAATGAGGGGATAGATGCAGAACCGCAGAGAGCACTGTAGAGGGCTGTGGTTTATGATCACCATCCTCATGGTTGGAGTCAGTACCATCGCCTCCTTTAATTGCATGACCAAGGCAATGTGTCACTTGGGCACAGCAACAGAATGTGGCTCTCTGGTAGGCAGGCTTAACCCAGCAAATGAGCATGAGTACCGACTGCCTCGTTTTCTTGCCAGAGGCCTCCAGTTTGGTTGGCAGAGTGGTGACCAGCTGACCAATTGGACGGGGCTCTTTAATGTCACGGATGATCCAGCAGTGCAGAGCGGCAGTGACTCCAGCTCCAGGTACAGACCCCGGCAAAAGGCCAGGGAGTGGGGGAAGCTCAACCCGGGGTGGCCCTGCAGCCCCTGCCACATTGTCCACTTCCTAGGGTGGAAGAAGCAGGTCTTGTTCTGGTGGCTCGAAACTCCCTGCACTTTGGTATCCCACCTGGTTCCTTTAACTTGAAGGTGAATGAATTTGAAGGGTGAGGCATAGGACCCAACCACAACCAAGCGGGGATTCACTGGCCCCTTCTATCAGGGGGTAGGGTGGGGAGTCTTGGTCTCAAACCTCCATTTAGGGGTGGGGGCCAAAGCTCTGTCCCTGCTGCAGGGATTTCGGATATCAGCCAGCAAGTGTGTGTAGGTGTGTGTGGGTGGGTGGCATCAAGAAGCGGGTGTCAGGTGGGTGTTCCCTGCTTCTCTGAAGTCCCTTGCCCAGGTACTCCCTGCCCTGCCCACAGGGGAGGTTGCCCTTGGCTGGAGCAGAACCATTTCCATCAAGGTGGTGCTGAGATTTGCTATGCGCCCCATCATGTGGCTATTTCCTCTTGATCAGTAATATTTGTTGAATGAATAAAAATGGAATATTCTCAGGCTGAGCACACTCATTGCAGGGAGGGTATTGTGGAGAATTTTTGCAGATGAGGCAGGATACTGTCTCTGCTGGGAGCTGGGTATGACTGGAACCTGCCAGCTAAGCATTCCCAGGGGCTGATTAAGCTGTTTGGTTTCTTAATTTTTGTATTTTTAAGGAGGGGGTAACTCTCACGTCCGTTTCCCTGAGAGAGAGGCTTGCATTTTTGTTGCTGGTGATTTTGACACACAAACATTAAATTGACCCTGCAGAGAAGTAATGGGTTTTTCAAGGACCCCTGATATGTATGTTTTTATTCAATGCTTTGAGAAAGATGAGATTCTGATGTCAGAAACCAGTCAAGCAAATGTCCACAGACATGCCCGAGGGTGTGGGGATGGTCGCACGCTGTGGCCTGGGCTGGAGGGTCTTATGCTGGCCTTTGGGACCACAGTTCTTTCCATGGAAGTGCAGAGGGAGCTCTGGACATCACGGGTAAGGTGGGGGCCCATGCTTGTCCTGGGAAGCTGAGCCTCCCATGCTGGCCTGTCTGCTAAGCGGCCCTGCCTCCCAGGTGGTGAGCAGTCTAGGTAAGTCAGCAAGTGTGTACCTCCCTACTGGACTCCTGGGAGAGTTCTTCAAGAGGTTTGGGGTAGAAAATGCGAGTCAAAGCCAAGCATGGTGGCTCATGCCCGTAATCCCAGCACTTTGGGAGGCCAAGGCGGGTGGATCACTTGAGGTCAGGAGTTTGAGACCAGCCCGGCCAACATGGTGAAACCCCATCTCTACTAAAAATGCAAAAATTAGCCGGGTGTGGTGGCACATGCCTGTAATCCCAGCTACTCAGGAGGCTGAGACGGGAGAATAGCTTGAACCTGGGAGGCAGAGGCTGCAGTGAGCTCAGATTGTGCCACTGCACTCCAGCCTGAGTGACAGAGTGAAACCCTGTCAAAAAAAAGAAAGAGAGAGAGAAAGAAAGAAAGAAAGAGAAAGGAAGGAAAGAAGAGAGAGAGAAAGAAAGAAAAAGAAAAGGAAAGAAGAGAGAAAGAAAGAAAAGAAAGAAAGGAAGGAAAGAAGAGAGAGAAAGAGAGAAAGAAAGAGAGAAAGAAAGAAAGAAAGAAAGAAAAAAGAAAAGAAAGAGAAAGATAGAAAGGCGAGTCAAGTGAGCAAGGCGGACCGACGGGCCCCTGGGAAGCTGTTTCTTGGCAGATGTCTCCAGTCAGTGGCTGAAACCATTGTCATTGCATGGGCTCCATTCCTAACTTTTCCTGCTGCCAGTATCTTTTGTCTTTCCTTCCTCTTTCCACGGTTTCACCTGTAACTTCTCATAGCCCTCACTGCACCTGTGTTCTCCTCTGCCTTTCTTCCTGTTACCTGTTTTTGTCCATCCTTCCTTTCTTCCTCCCCATTGCCTCCCTCTCTCCTCCACGTCCTTGCTTCCCTACTCCCTTTCTCACTCCTCTTGCCCTTTATTTTCTCTGCCCCTCTCTCCATGATCTGGGCCAGCTTCCTCTTTCCTATCAGCCGGGAGCCTGCAGGGTCAGAGACACAGCTGACCTCTGTCAAGTTGGTTTTGGAATTCAGGTGCCTTTGATGCAACATTGTTAGCAGCTGAGTTGACTTCCTTCTGGAGCGCTCCCATTTGAGCAAGAATTTCCTTAGTCACAGAATAAATGGCATGACCACACCTCCCACATTTTCCTGGGACAATTCCAATTTCAAATCTCTATTTCTAGTTGACCCCGAAGTACCCCCCTAGTTGAAGGACTGCAGTACGTAGAGTCCCCACATGTGGGAAATAATGGTTAACGTAGTTAGAATGGAACTGGAGTTTTTACCCTGGCGTGTGAGCAGCTTCTGCCTTCTTTAAAATGGGCAGGACAGCTCCTGGCAGCAGCTGTGCAGAGCTTGGGGGAGGACCTAACGAGGACACGACGTACATTGTCCCAATTGACAACTCTCCAAATCTGGAAGATGGGATGAGCTTCATGGTATTATTCACATATTGAATAATTCAGTGCATGCCATGTTTTGCTATCTATAGTTGTGTGGTGTTGAAGTGTGGTACAACCTGTTATTTATTATTAACAGTTTGGAAAGGAAGTCAGGAAGTACCAAATATAACCAGAGGATGAAGAGGGGCAAAGAAGCAAATGACTCATACATTGTATATACTCAAGCAGGAGCCACAGGCAGAAGGAGCCAGTCCAAATGATTAGTCCGGAAAACTCCAAACAGCACTACAAAGCAAATTCAAGCCAGATAGTGCTCATAAAAGGCTGTGGTCAGATCTTCTTATTGGTCACAGGCTGGGGAAGTACAGGCTGAATTAGAAAGGTGTGAGCTATAAGATATACATTGACATATAGCTTTATTAATTTCAAGTCTAGGTCTATGAAGTGTTGTCCAATAAGCATCCTTAGGGGAACTGATTTAATGAGCATATAGGAATAATTTTTTTTCTTTTTTTTTTTTTTTTGAGACAGAGTTTCACTCCATTGCTCAGGCTGGAGTGCAGTGATGCAATCTTGATTCACTGCAACCTTCGCCTCCCGGGTTCAAGCAATTCTCCTCCCTCAGCCTACTGAGTAGCTGGGACTACAGGCACCTGCCACCAGCGCCGGCTAATTTTTGTAATTTTTAGTAGAGACGGGGTTTCACTGTGTTGGCCAGGCTTGTCTTGAACTCCTGACCTCAAGTGATCCACCTGCCTCAGCCTCCCAAGGTGCTGGGATTACAGGCGTGAGCCACAGCACCCAGCCGGAATAATTTTCAATCAGCAAATATTTCTATTTAAGTGGGTGTTTTGCACAAGTAGGAAGGCCTGTGAAGACATTTCTCATGTGTTTGTGCTTCCATCGTCTCAGTAAGACAGTTGTTGTGCATCTTCCGTTTTGAATTGCCAGAACCTAGCGTGGCACCTGTTATGTAGTAGGTGCTCAATAAATGTGAATTGTGTAAAAAAAAAAAATGAATTAAGCGAGGAAATAGTAAAGGCTATTGGTAAGAAAGAAAACTTAGATTTCAGTGTTCCTGAGTCTTCCCTTAGAGATTTATCCCTTTGGATTCAACCTTGTCTCCTGGCACTGTCTTTGAAAAGTTGTCCCCTTTCTGGAAACACATTAGAATCAGAAACTCATTCACAGGCTGGAATTGCCAGAGAATTCGCTCTTGAAAAGAGCTGATAGTAGGGCAGGCTGACATTTGTGGGCTTCTGGGTGGGAAAAGGAAGACTGACAGTTGGTGGGGGTGAGGTATAAAAAGTAGAGAGGGTGGAGAAGCCCCGTCTCTACTAAAAATACAAAATTAGCCAGGCGTGGTGGCACATGTCTGTAATCCCAGCTACTCGGGCGGCTGAGACAGGAGAATCGCTTGAACTCAGGAGGCAGAGGTTGTGGTGAGCTGAGATCACGCCATTGCACTCCAGCCTGGGCAACAAGAGCAAAACTCCGTCTAAAAAAAAAAGTAGAGACGGGGCAGTGAAGGCAGATGACGTGCTCCTGTGCTAACTGACTAGACCTCCTCCTGAACACCCCTCACCGAGCATGGCCCCTCTGGGAAGGCAGAGGAGGATAGAGGGTACTTGTCCTCCATGGTCAGCTGCAACCCTGTTCCCTCTGGACTGGCCTAGCTGCCTGTCTGCCCAGCAACTGCTCAGAGAGCAGGGGGAGGCAGCGGTGCCCTCATGGTGATGGCCTCTGTCCTGTAGGGTGGGCAGTGTTGCATGCATTGCCTCAGGAAAACATCCCCCACTTCAGTCACAGGGACAGAGGACAGCTGAGGCAGGAGTCCCCCAGACACTGTCCCAGCAGAGCTGACTGTCAGCCTGGCCCATGGCCACAGCACAAAGGGCTTCACTCAGCTTCTGCCAACTGGGTCTGGCTCCACATCCAGGTCCTTGTCCTCCCTCCAGTATCCACTTCCTCCTTGAAGCCTTCCCTGCTAGCCCCAGCCCAACCGAATCACCTTTAACTCTGCCTTCTGTAGATACGTCTGCCCCCAGGGCAACTTCTGTCATTGCACACACAGAGGACCCTCTGGCGAGTGCACATAATCCTTCTGTGTTTGCTCAGGTATTCCCCAAATCCCGAGGAGCCTCTGGCTTTGGAGGACTGGGCTAGACCACCTGTGCGAGCATCTCCAGGGCCCTCTGGATCCCCTAGATCCAGGCACAGCTGCAGGCTCCTTGGCTGGCCTCACTGGCCCCCTTTCCATACTCCACACCAATCTTGGCCCTCCGGGTCTTACCTCTGGAACAGGCTGGCAAAGAGGAGGTGTGGAAGGCAACTCAGGAGACACTTGTCTCTGAGGTCCGGAGCGGGGCTGGCCCAGGCTGCCTGTGGGTGGGACAGCCTTCTCCCTGCACCCTTCTTCCTGGGCTTCTGGGATGGAGTGTGGAAGACCTCCCAAGGCCAGGGTAGCACCAGCTACAGGAAAAAAGAGCAAGCCCCAAATAGATGACACAAGAGGGTCCTCTTGGCTGAAGAGCGAGCCAAGTGAGTGTCTGGGGCCAGGCACTATACTGGGTGCCTTACATGTATTATCCCATTCAGTCCTTACCCTCAAACATTTGAGGTGGGTGTATTCATTACCCTCCATTTTATAGATGAGGAAATTTAGTCACCAAAAGATTAGGTCACTTCCAGGTGGTGGGTGGAGCTGGAGCACTATATCTATCTATCTATCTATCTATCTATCTATCTATCTATCTATCTATCTATCCTGTGTGACTCCACAGTCCCAGCACTCATGGGAGGGGTTAGAGGGGTTCTTCCTTCTGGGCTGTGGACAGCTCATGCAGGGCTGGGTGAGCCTCCTTGTCTTTTCTTTCCAAGTCCTTTCAGGTCTTCTATTTCTGCCCTCAGCTCCTTGCTGTTAGACCATAATAAAAAGGCCATATTGATTTAAGTAGATCACTTCTGGTCAGGCACAGTTGCTCATGCCTATAATCCCAGAACTTGTAAGAGGCTGAGGCGGGAGGATTGCTTGAGGCTAGGAGTTCAAGACCAGCTTGGTCTACATAGCAAGACCTCGTCTCTACCAAAAATAAAAATAAAAAAAAATAGCTAGACATGGTGGTGCATGCTTGTAGTCCTAGCTACTCAGGAGGCTGAGGTCGGAAGATCACTTGAGCCCAGAAGTTCGAGGCTGCAGTGAGCTGAGATCATGCCACTATGAGCTGAGAGCATGCCACTGTACTCCAGCCTGGGTGACAGAGTAAGACCGTATCTCAAAAAATTAAAAAAAAAAAAAAATAGATCACTTCTGTGCAACTGTTGTCAAAGCTGCAGGGTTGATCTCAGACAAGATGATCTTTAGGGTCTCTCATCTCCTCCTTCCCTATCTCTTCCACTTTCTATCTTCTGTGTCCTCCTCCCTCCTGCCTTCCCAAGTGTGCTTAGTGTTTTTCTGATTGTTGCCTCTGAAAAATGCATCCCTCCACCTGCTCCTGGCAATTATACATTTCAAAGAGGAGCCCTTGGGGGCAGTGCGACCCCTGCAGTCCCGAATGCCATCGTCCAGGCTGAAGGCAGAGCAGCGGAGGAAGCACACTCCTGTGTGGCAGGTGCAGCTGGCTCACTTCAGCCTTCCGGGTCAATGTTCTCTTCTGCAGAAAAGGAGGGAAAAAGGGCCAGAGCTGTTGAGCTTCACCCAACTGGGAAGGATTTGGAGATGCAGGTTTGGTGGAATGTTCTGGGCTGGATGCTGGAGAAACAAAAAGCAAAACAAACTTGGCAGCTTCCCCCATTGGTCCCATGAACCTGATGTGGGCTTCTTGGGGCCTGGCAGAACCCAGGCTGCGGCCGGCTGAGGCTGCTGGTGGAAGTGGAGTTGTTGGCACTGGGAGACTCCTCCTCCTTAAGTCAGGGTTGCTCCAGGAGTGCTCTGAACCCAAAGCTTTATGGCTTTTGAGTCTCTGTGGAGTCTCCTGGGCAAATAACCACTTACACAAACCTTTCTGTGCCTCAATTACTTCATCTGCAAAACTGAGGTCATTAACCCAACTCTGGGGGTGATACAAAGGAGGTCACAGGCTCTGTAACTCCCTGAGTGCTCCAAGGTTAAAGCACCTCACAGGTCCCCATAGGGCTCCGTGGAGGTGGAGTGAGGGGGTCTCTTCCCCCCCTGCTCAGTCACTCCTGGGGTTCTCTGAGTGGGCCTAGGTTCGCCCCAGACGCACAGCACTTCCGTGGGGGGATAGCACTCCCTCCCTGGGCCTTGTCTGCTTTCCTGTAAACTGAGGAGGCCGGATCAGCTGGGTGCAGTGCCTGTCAGGGCCTCACCCCTTCTTCACTGCAGGTCAACTCCCCAGACTCCGTTCCTCCCTTCAGCTTCCACTACCCATTCTCCCTCTTCTCCTTCTTCACGATCCTGTGCTTCCTCCCTTGTAGACCATCTTTGAGAATTTTATGCCAATCACTTGGCAAAGGCAGGAGGCTAGGGGAAGGCATGAGAATGGGAAAGAAGGAAAGAAAAGGGAGTTGGAGTCGGGCTGGAAGGACCAAGCATCCACCCACCCATTAGATTAGGGGATGCTCACAAGGTTAAGGCAGCTGGAGGCTCTTCCAGTTTTCCACTGCATGTCTCCATTTATAGCCCGGCATCCCCCAACTTGATGGCCACCAAGACCTTGCTAAGCTAGTAAGTGATAGCAGGTCATGAAGCTCCCAAAGAGGCCATCCTTCCCCATGCGAGCCTCCTGGTTCGAAGTGCTTCCTCTGGCTGATTGTAAACCTTTCCTCCCTAAGTCTCAGCTGGGGCTCTTAGGCTTGCCTTTTGGAGGCTCACAGAACACTGAAGTCTCTCTTTTCTTCCTCCAGCCATCCCTTTACACTTTGGGAGACATCCCATCCTCTCCACTTGCCCCAGGACCAGGTCTTCGGACACTCACTCAGCCCTCCTTCACCTGCAGACTTCCATGGCACCATCTCCAACATTTCCCACTCCTGGCCTTGCTTCCACCTACGGCAGAGGGGCATCTGTTCCCTTCTCCCTTGAATCTGCTCTTGTCAAGGTCATTGATGACTTCCTGGTTGCTAGATCAGTGGTGCCTTCTCTGTCCTCCTCTTCTTTGACCCCCATTTCCAAGACATATGGGTCAGCACTGCATATGGCCCATCTGTCCTGGAAATGCTCCCTCCTCTTAGCTTCCATGTCCCTGGGCTCTGTGTCTGGGTTTTCTTCCACCTGCAGACCTTTCTTCTCAGTGTCATTTGCTGCCATCTGAATGTGGGAGCTGACCTCAGGCCTGTCCTTGGCCCTCTTTCTTCTTCTCTCTGCACTCTCTCCCAGTGTTTCCTGAAGTCCCTTGTCCTTTGACTCTGGAATGTGCATCCCCAGCCCTGACCACTGGGCCTCAGCCATGTGCATCTGACTGCCTACCTGTGATCTCCTCTAGATGTCTGAGGGCACAGGAAGCTTCACAGGGCCCAACACCCCAAACCTGTTCATCTCTCTAACCTTTAAATGGTTATGTCATCCCGCTAGTTGTTCAAGCTGAAGTCCTAGGAGTTACTGTTGATTTATTCACTTTCTAAATTATCAATGCATCCTGCTGGTTCCATTCCTAAACTATTTCATGGGTCTGTCTCCTTCTCCCCACTTTCTTTGCCACCCCTTAGTGCAATCGACTGTCTTTTCATGCTGCAATAGTTCTCCCTCCCTCCCTTTACAGTCCTTTATCCCCACATCAGATCACGTTGTTCCTCTGCCGAGTCCCCATGATACTGGGTGGCCCACAGGCCCAGCTTGACTTGGCTTTGCTCACCTCTCTGACCTCCACAACCCTGCCTAGCCACATTGGCAGCTGCTACTGCAGAGCAAGTGATTGTATTTACTCACTTCCTTCTCTGGGAAGTTCTTCCCACACATCTGCACAGGGCTCCATGCCTCTATTCATGTCCCCTGTCCAGAGTGGCCTTCCTAGGCCACCCACTATCCTTCCAGGCACCCTCCAATTCCTTGTCCTGCTTTTTTTTTGGAAGAGTTATGGCTATGTGGCATTATATTGAATGAATCATTTATTGTCGCCCCTGTGGAAGTGCCATGAGAGTGGGGACACTGGCCAGTTCATCAGTGCATCCTGGCCTGAAACAGTTCCTGGCACACAGTAGAGGGTCTATAAATCTTTGATGAGTCAAAGAGGAGAAAAACCCTTCTCACGCATCAACAGCGCAGACAGGCCATGGAGGAGCTGTGTGTAATTCCACATAATAAGAGCTGGTCTGGAGGAGTGCCCAGGGGCTGCAGGCACAGAGGAGGGAGGGCCACGAAGGGAGCCAGTGGAAGCTGACCCCTGGGCTGACTCTGCTGAATGAGTAGGCAGGGACTAGCAAGAAAGCAAAGAGTATTCCAGACAGAGAGACTCCCCCAGGGGGGAGAAGACCGAATCCTTTCCCTGGCACTGGGGTGGAGATGGGGACTACTCAGGAAGGAGAAGTGGTGAGAGTTGGCGGAAGATGAAGGAAGGAGAAGGAGGCAGCTAGGATGTATCTCTTGGCTAGGGTGCCTGTGGGCATGGTGGTCAAAGTCCATGAGAAGCAGTAGGGGCACTGGCCAGTGCTAGCATTCACACACTGAGGCATTCCTGGCTGTTGAGCTGAATTTTACAAAGGGAAGCCTTTCAGGGCTCCCTAGTCTGGCCTGGAAAATAAGGTCATCATGTACATACTCTCACAGGGAATATGTTAAACACTGGATCTGGGGCCCTGCAGAACTCCGGGGTGGGGAAGGAGGAATGAAGCTAGACACCAGGCTTTGCCCTGCTACCCCCAACCCCCACCCTGTGCCAGAAATGACCCTCAGGCTTGGTGTGAGGTGCACACCTGGGGCAGATTAATCCCAGGACTATTTAGGGTTGCACTGAGAACATCAGGCTTTTTAGCATCCAGTTCTGATATCTCAAAACAGCTCTGATAATTCCTGGGGACAGATGAGTGAACTGTGGCCCAAAGAGGGCAGGTGAAGTTCAAGGCTGCTGAGCCGGGCCATGGACCAGCCAGGGGTTGGAGCCGGGGCTCTCCACTGCCATGGCATGTCTCCTGACAGCTGTGACCCGCAGTTGTTAACAGCTGAGCTGTTCTTGCCTCTCTCCTACCTATCTGGGAAGACACTTCAGTCCTTTGAATTGTCAGGCTGCAATTTTCAGACTGATTTCTGTGCGTTTGCTGTGACGGGTCGTGTGCTATCTCGAGACGGCAGCTGTTCTGGCTCTAGAAATAGCGCTGAGCTCACTGAAGGGCTGTTGCCTTTGGGAGGGGGAAGGGCTGCTGACTGAGAAAACCCCCCAGAGAACGATGGCTGTCAGAGTCAGGGAGAGGAAGTGCAGTGACACTGTTAAGAGCAGGGGTTCCGGGCTCTCACAGTCCTCAGGTTTCTTTTCCAGTGCCACCATTTACTAGCTGAATGACCTTGGGCAAGTTACTTTACCTCTTGTAGTTCAAGTCTCAGATATAAAATGGGGGAAATTATGCTTGCCTCATAGGGCTATTGGGAGGATTAAATGAGACCAAGTTAAATGGTCTGGTATCAGGCTGTCATGGACAGTTGTGCAGGGTGGGCACTGCACAAAGATACTCAGCCAGGCAGTCAAGTGAGGCTGAAGTACAGCTTACTCTCACTTGACCAGCCATGTGTCTGGTGCATGTGGCTTAATTTATCTGGGGAAAATGGTGCTTTTTCCTTATTTGCACAGAGGCGCTATATGGGCTAGTGGTGTCTCTAACCAGTGTGGAATAAATAAACAACTCCATGGTTCTCTGAGACTCTGCACCAAGCTGGACAGGAGTCTAGGTGTTCAGATTAGTTTCCCTGTTCACCTAGGGCTAGTGGAGATTTAACAGGTGTTTGTGCGTGACACAGGGACCCCCCTGGGCTTCTATTCTCTGGAGTACCATCAGTGTCTGGGGGTGGGGATGGGGAAGTGTTAGATAGAAAGCTGAATGCATGGACCTCATCTTGTAGCAGCCAGTGGTTGCTGGGACCCAGAGTACTGTTGCCCCCAAGAAAGGAAACATGGCCCTGGAGAAGCTCTGGAGAGGGAATCAGGCCAACAGGGGAGCCTCTGTGGGGCAGGCTTTTGGGGAAAGGCTCATAGGAATTACAGACCCAGGCTCTCAGAGGGCCAGACCCTGGGCATGCTGAAAGGAGCCTCTTCGGGAGAATCACTTGAACCCGGGAGGGGGAGTTTGCAGTGAGCCGAGATCATGCCACTGCACTCCAGCTTGGGTGACAGAGCGAGACTCCATCAAAAAAAAAAAAAAGAGAGAAAGAAAGAAAGGAAGAAAGGAAGGAAGGAGAAGGGAAGGGAAGGGAAGGGGAAGGGGAAGGGGAAGGGAGAAGGAAGGAAGGAAAGAGAGAAAGAAAAAGAAAAAGAAAGAGAGAGAAAGAAAAAGAAAGAAAGAAAGAAAGAAAGAAAGAAAGAAAGAAAGAAAGAAAGAAAGAAAAGAAAGAAGGAAAGAAGGAAAGGAAGAAAAAGAAAGGAGGCCTCCTTAGCCCACAGAGCTGGAGCCCAGTCTGGGCAGGGAGAGAACTGATGCCCAGGGCCACTGTGTTCACCTCTTTCTGGCCTTCTGCATTTGTCTTCTCACTTAGTGGAGGGCAGAGAGATGGGGCAGAATGATGCAGCCTGGCACCAGCATCATATTTGGCTGCTGGAAACTGAGTGGCATTTGAGAGGAGTTGGGCTCCTGATATCACCCGCTGGGACTATTTATACCTGTGAGATGCCCTACATGGTGCCAGGGTGCCCTCCCCTTTGATGTGGGTAAAGATAGTCTTTCTAGCATTGAAAGTAGAGACAGTGACGAACTCACCTTGAGAGGCTAGTGGAGTTTAAGAAGGTTGGAGAAAGTGCTTCCCTCAATCTTGTAACAGGGTAAGGGGAAGCTTGAGATAGTTAGAAGAAGGTCTGGGACTTAAAAAAGAATTTATTAGTGATTTCCAATAATAAAAGAATCATAACCCCATTGCAGAAAACTTATAAAAACACAGAAAAGTATTTAAAAAAATAACGCATCATCCCATTTATTCTGAGAAACCCCTATTAATATTGTGTTACAATTCTTCCCTTTGCCCATGCTTTCACATACGTATATATAATTCTTTTTGGAGATCATAGTTTTGTAACTTGCATTTTTTTACTCAACATTGTCATGTGAGCATCTTCTTATGTCATTAGACAAAAAAACTTTAAGCAACATTTTTGATGTCTGTATATCTGTATCCAGACCAAATGGGAATTTCCATGAATTTCCATGACACCCTCCAAAATGCAGTTCTTGAGCGTCCTGTTAGAAGCAGAATATGGGACAGTGCTTCTCAAAATCTTATTTCCTATCTTAGTTCTTTTGGGCTGCCATAACAAAATAGCTTAGACTGGGTCGTTTATAATTATAACAGGAGAAATTAATTTCTCACAGTGCTGGGGGCTGGGAAGTCCAAGATCAAGGTGGCAGAAGATTTGGTGTCTGGCGAGGGCCCGTTCCTCATAGATGGCAGCTTCTTGCTGCATCCTCACATGGTGGAAAGGCAAAAGGCTGTTTGAAGCCTCTTTTATAAGGGCCTAATCCCATCATTGAGGGCAGAGACCTCATAACCTAATTACCTCCCAAAGGCCCTGCCTCTTAATACCATCACATTGTGGATTAAGTTTAAACATGAAACTTAATGTTTGTATTGGGGATACAGACATTTAGACCATAGCAACCTCAAGTCAATCATCTCTACAGACTGAGCTAGAGCAGTACGGACCAAAAAAGCAGAGCCCAGGTAGGATAGAGAAGGAAGCCAGGGCTATTAGCTCCATTTTCCAGATGGGAAAACTGAGGCTTTAGACTCAGGCATGGAATAGTTTTGATGACTTGGCTAAGGTACTACCTGGAGTGTTTTCAGGGTGCCTGGGATTTGTTTTAATCGGATATGGTAAGACACGAAAATATGGAAATGACTGTCATGAAGGAAGAGGTTTTGATACTCACAGATCCCTAGAAACAGGAGGCCCTGCAGGACCATGGGAAGAAGCACCCAGATCAGTAAGGAGGCAGAGGGAGCGAGGGGGAAGTGTGGGCAAGAGCCGTCGTTGGGATTTCCATGGAAAGGAACTGGTGAGGCAGGGTTTGCAGGTTTAGGATTGGTTGATCTGAGTAATTTCAGTGGGTTCTGGGGCATAGGGGTTATCCCTAGTTGCCTAGGACCTGGCCCTGGGGTGAGTGGGGAAGAGCTATTCCAGTGTCCAAGAGTATGGGAGCCTGATAGGGGCATGGGCTCTGGATTGGTTTGCAAATGAAAGGTGCACTCACAGGCTAGTCCTTTACTATCTCCAGGAATTGGCTAGCCCTAGAAGAGGCAGTCCCTCCAGGGTCAGCAAGGCCCCAGGTGTCAAAGCATCAGAAGCACATGGTTAATGAGCCTCAGTGAGATGAGGTGATCAAGCAGGTCCATGTCCAAGCAGGACTTAGTGTGGGCTTTATCCACAGGGTGACAGGGGAGAGGTTTACTAATCACAGCAGAAGGAGGATGTCACCAGTGCACACAGTGAGAAACTTCGAGTTGTTCATCCCTGACTCAGGCCTGCCATCAACCAGCTTACCATCAGAGACTGTCTCTGACTCCCTGGGACTTCCTGGGGCATCCACTGGTATCACGTGCTCTTTAGTGGCGGGACAAAGAGGACAGAGGGGAATGAGCATTTTTGGGGTAGTTCCTGTGTGCCAGTGGATTCCATGAAATGCTCAGCAGTGTTTTTTCTCAACCCTGTCGCACATGCACTGCATTGTTTTTGCTGATTTGCAGCTGAGAAAACAAAGGAGCAGAAAAGTGCCAGGCCTAATGTGGCTGTCAGAATACCATAGACTGAGTGACTTAGCTTATAAACAACAGAAATGTATTGCTCACAGTTCTGGAGGCTGAGAAGTCCAAGATCAAGGCAGATTAAGTTTCAGGTGAGGACCTACTTCCTGGTTCATAAACAGCATCTCCTTGCTGTATCCTTACATAGTAAAAGGGAAGAGGAGTCTCTCTTGGGCCTCTTTTGTAAGGGCAATGATCCCATTCATGGGGGCTCTGCCTGCAGTACCTCCCAGTGGCCCCACCTCCTAATACCATTACCTTGCCTGTTAGGATCTCAACATATGAATTGTAGAGGAGACACAAACATTCAGACCATACAGAGGCCAATGAGGGGTGGAGGGATGTGAACCCAGTTCTGAAAGCCTCTCTACCTAAGCACCACCAAAACCACGGCACAAGGTCATTTGGAATCATGATGCTGCCTAGTTGGGTATATGAGTGATGTTGAGGATGCAGGAGAAAGAGGAACCAAGGAAGAGGCAAGGCAGGAATGCCTTTGTGGAGGAAATGGAAGGGCTGGCTGATTGAAGAGGAGGTACTACCCTAGTTCAAACAGATTGTTTTAAAGAGGAGAAAAAAGAGATGCAGAGAGGGGAAGTTTTACCCAAAGTCACACAGCTGGTTTGTAGCCATATCCGAGATGTGTCTGCAAGTCCCCAATTCCCCAATAACTCTAGGATAAGTCTCGACCTAATGATTTCCTGCATCATTTGAATCTGGACCTTTTCTTAGCAGCAACCTAGGACCATGACTTTACCTGACTCAGTGGATTCCAAAGGGCTTAGTTGACACCAGCTCATGTTACAAACAGTGATCTTTGTGATAGGACACCAGAGCTCACTGTTGTGTGACTGGAAAATTAGGTGAGTTAGAGCCAAGGTCATGGGCTCGTTTTGTGGCCCTAGGCTGACCCCTTGTTCTTATTTGCAGATAACAGAATCTACATTAGCTAGTTAAAGCAGAAAAGGATTTATTAAGGGCACAGCTAGCTCAGATTCATGGGGAAAGCTGAAGAAATGGCTGAACTTCCAAGAATTCCTCCCCAAATTGCAGTGAAATGGGGCCACCGTGAAAGCTGCTGCCTCTGATATAATCATGAAGGTGTTACCACTACTGCAGTTTCCAAGAGCCATGCCACCTCTGCCACATTCTGCACCAGCAAAACCATGCCTTGAGCCTTGCCATTCTTCCCCTATAACAGGTCTGAATCCATCTCATGCAAATGCTTCTAACTGGCTGAACCTAAATTGCATCCAGAACCCTACCTGCAAAGGAGTCTGGGAAATGTCATTTTTAGCTTTCCTCCCTCTGTAGTACAGAAGATATAGAGATAACAAAGACACTGTCTCTGTG
Source organism: Homo sapiens (assembly GCF_000001405.40). Taxonomy (NCBI): domain Eukaryota; kingdom Metazoa; phylum Chordata; class Mammalia; order Primates; family Hominidae; genus Homo; species Homo sapiens. Next base: position 46,706,606 of record NC_000018.10, on the reverse strand, counting down.
TTTGAGATGCTCGTGGTTTGGAAAGGAACACAATTACATAAACACACAATTGTACTATTATGTAGGTGCAAAAGTAATCGTGGTTTTTGCCATTACTTAAAAAAAAAGGCAAAAACTGCAATTGCTTTTGTACCAACCCAATACCATGTTATTTGCTCTAAGAGACAGTGAGCAGGGGTAGCCCAGGGTCAGGGTCAGAGGAGGCTTCCCAGCAGTGTGGTTACTCGAGCCGGGTACTGAAGAATCCATTTGAGTTTGCCAGATGAGAAAGAAAAGGAGCTGTAAGACACAAAGGTGTTTGATATTTTGGGAATCTTCAATACCTAGTTCTTATTAACTTGGTCTAAATTCTTTTATGACATGAGAACAAGGAGCCAATTTATTTTGTAAATAGGGACCAATTTGTTGTGGAAAATATTTTAATATCTTAAAATATTATGTAAAATTATTTAAATATGTAATTATAGTACTTAAAACTATATTAAAATTATTAAGGACAAATATTTATAAACATAACTTTTAAAGTATCACAGTATTATTTTAATGACAAAATGACAATACAAATACAATGATAATAATAATAAAAATACCAATATTTTTAAAAGAAGCCAATATATTGGGTAAAATATTTCAAGATTTCTAAAGCAGCACATACATAAGTTTGTCCAGTGTGTAAGGGTACGTGCGAAATGACCACTGCTGTGTGTAGTGGTTTCTGGGAGATGCTTGAGCGATGCCTAATTTCCAATCCTTGGCCCTGGGGAGCCCCTCTCACCTCTGATTCTTGCAGACTACGTGTTGCCAGGCCACTGATCCCATGTTTATAGTGGTTTGGCCCTGCAGGCTTCTGGATTCATGATGTTAAGGCTGTCCTGGGATCCAACCCTCCAAGCTCCACCCACCCCTGCCTCTGAACAACCGCCAGGAGGAGGGGGGCTGTGAGGAGAGGGCTCACCGGGCCTCTGCCACAGGAGGCCAGAGGGCCCTTTCCAGGGGACACCAGCCGTGCTCATAGCCAAGTGGCAGAAAGAGCAGCCTTGAGTCAGCATGCAGGTTCCCATCTTGGCTCTGCCACCTTCCAGCTCCGGGGGTCTGGGCACCTTAGTTAATTCCTAGAGCCTGTTCAGGATGCTTGTGTCAATTTCCTCATAGGCTGATTAGAAAGATTAAAAGTGAATGCATCCATTCACATCAAATGCTTGGCCTGGTGCTTAGCCTATGGTAAGGGCTTAGTAAGTGTTGGTTGAAATTGGCATTGATATTCTGCATGAAGCTGGCAGAGGGACCCTGAGGTGGCTGTGACATGCCTGGAGCCAGCTGGTGCTGGAAGGGGCTTGTTCTGTTCTGCAAGTAGACCTAGACCAAGCCCTGGTCCTGCCCTACACGGACAGTATGACCTGGAGCCCTGTCTGATTAGCCTCAGTATTGTCAGCTGCCAAATGGGGAGAAAGGCCCATCAGTCTCAGCTATGTCACAGTGTAGGCACGAGGATCAAGTGGGAAAGGGGCAGGGAATGGAAGGGCAAGTTGGAGGCCTGAAGGCTCACTGTCGGACTCCCAGTGCTGCGCCAGAATGGCTCTGGTCTCTCTGCTTTCTCTGATCACAGTACACACAGCATCCCTCCTCCTCCCCTCTCCTTCCCAGCCACAAACTTGGAACCAAACCTGCTTCTGAATTTCCCTGTGTGCTGAAATCTGTTTATGCCTCTGTAAATGCCTACACTCCCAAGGGAGTGGGGCGCTGAGAGTAACTGACCACCCAGTGATCAAGCCAGAGGGCCCCATGGTCTGCCTGAAGCCCCTAATGGGACATCTGCTGGGATGGGGCTGGTTGGCTTTATTTATTTCACTGGGACAGACACTCCACCCTGCAACAAGAGCCCCTGCAGGCCCTGGACATCCTGACCTGCTTCTCTGTTTAACCTGTCTCTGTTGGTCCCCAGGTACTTTGAATTTTATGAGGGGCCTTTTGAATATAACTCCACAAGATGCCTGGAGCTGAGGCACGAAATATTGGAAGTGAAGGTGCTGTCCATGTGAGTGTGGCCATTTGTGGTGGGTGCAGGGAGCATGTGGAGGTGGGGCAGGGGTTGGGGGTGAGTGCGTGGGGGCAAGGGTGGAAGGAAACAGGAAACACATGGTAGGTTCCTATAGAGCGAAAAGTAGGTCTCCTTCCCCAGAGCCACTGGCATTCGGAAAGCCCTGGAGGGCTGGAACACAGTGATGATTGTGCCTGTTTTATGACAAAAGGCCAAGTTTGCAAGGTCACCTCTGGTGACTCGGTGTTAAAGTCCCCGCCTCAATTACTGGTCTCTGATTATCATTACTGGCTCCTCTTGTGTAGAAATTGAAGAGGGCACAGGACTGTTTTGCCTGAAATTCAGTATGTTGCACCGCAGGGTTAAGCGTTGCCCTCTTGCTATCACCTTTGATGGTTTTAATTTTATTAAAAGTTTGGATTTTTAAATTATTTAGGTGATACAAAATTTGTGCAGTACAGATGGTTATTCAATGAAGAGCCACCGAGTTCTCCCCAGAGGTGACGATGTGGCTTTGGGTATCCTTGCAGAGTCAATGCATGAATAAGAATCTATGTATGGAGATTTAAAAAGTTTTTTTTTACATAAATGGTAAAAGAGCTGTGCTCCCCACTCCCCACTTAACAATGCATCACCTATAGCTCTTTTCAACCCACAGGAGGGAAAGCACATTAAATGCTGAACATTTTAGCATGCATGTGCCCACCTGGGTTTCCGCCCTTCACAGAACTGCCATGAATTCAGCAAACCCATTTAGAAGAATTGGTACTATATTAGTCATGACAGAATCTGTATTTATTTGCAAACAGTTACATCTGGATGTGGAAAAAATATAGTTTATTCAGAGGCAGGCAATGTTGGGTGCTCAGATGGACTCATCGGTCCCCTGACATAACCCCAGGGGCATCTGGGGTCCCTGGCCCTCAGGCAGGGACCGTTGTTCCTTTACCCATCTGATGTGATTCCAACTAGTGTGCATCAGGGGAAGAGCATGGGTTTTGGGGTGGGCAGACCTGAGATCTAAAGCTGACTCTGGGCCTTGGCATATGTGAATCTTTCTGCAAATGTCTTAACTTCTCTGAGCCTTTCCTTACCTTTGAAAATGGGGACACTATTACCTACCCTTTAAGGGTTGCTGTAGACTAGCCGAAATAAGGCATGTGAAAATAGATAGCCCAGGATCACAAGGTCAGGAGATCGAGACCATCCTGGCTAACACAGTGAAACCCCATCTCTACTAAAAAAAACACAAAAAATTAGCCAGGCGTGGTGGCAGGCGCCTGTAGTCCCAGCTACTCTGGAGGCTGAGGCAGGAGAATGGCGTGAACCCAGGAGGTGGAGCTTGCAGTGAGCCGAGATCACGTCACTGCACTCCAGCCTGGGTGACAGAGCGAGACTCCGTCTCAAAAAATAAAATAAAATAAAATAAAAAAAGAAAGTAGATAGCCCAGCAGCCTTCATGCTCAGTAGCGCACATCATAGGTGTTCAATAAATGTCAGCACCCGTCTCTCTCTTTCCTTCCTTCCTTTCCTTTTTGGAACTAGTAGCAGCAGCTTTTCTGGACTGTCATGCACAGACTCCATAGCTCAGCGGTTCCTGGAAAGCTCCAAGGGTGAGACCAGCATCCAGCTGGGATTAGCTGCATTGTTTATGGCCCCTGTACTAACCCATGGTCTCTGTACCCTCTCCAGAGAAGGTGGGATACAGACACCACCTATCAGTTTCACTGAGCCCTGAGCTGAACACATACCACTGTGGTGCCCACCCTTGTGGAACTCACAGCCACTGAGGGGGACAGACATTAATAGCTAGTTACCCTAAGGAGCTGGGGTAGTGACAGGGAACTTGACCCAGGCTGGGACTAGGGGGAGGATGTCAGGCAACGCTTCTCTGAGGAAGGGACACTGGAGCTCCAGTCTGAAGTGTGACAGGAGTTAACTAGGCCAGGAGGACTCCAGGTGGAGGGAACAGTCTGTACAAAGGCCCTATGCCAGGAGGGAGCTGGCTGTGTCCCGGGCTCTGAAGGATGGGGCAGCTCGAATGCCGGCGGGGAAGACACGGAAGCTGCATTGCTAGAGGGTCAGGTAGGGCCAGACCATGTGGGGCTTCATGATACAGACCCAGGTTTGGGTTTTACCTTTATCCAAGGGCCATGAGAGCCACGGGAATGGTTTTAAGCAGGGCCTGGGGCATGTGAGCTGGTTGGTATTTTAAACATGCCTCCAAGGAGTTTTGATTTAGTGGCAAAAATGGCTGTTGGAGCCAAGTTCAGAAGCTGGTAGCAGAGAGTCTGTCTTCTCAGAATTCAAAGCTTTCAGGCCCTTCCATGTTTTACTGTGCAAATCCAGAGCACTGTGATTGAAAGCACACCTTCAAGATTTCAGAGAATAAATGACTAATTTCTGTTTTTTTTTTTTTTTTGAGATGGAGTCTCACTTTGTCACCCAGGCTGGAGTGCAGTGGTGCCATCTCGCCTCACTGCAACCTCTGTCGCCCGGGTTCAAGCAATTCTCCTGCCTCAACCTCCCAAGTAGCTGGGATTACAGGTGCCTGCCACTGTGCCAGGCTAGTTTTTATATTTTTAGTAGATACGGGGGTTTCATCATCTTGATCAGGCTGGTCTTGAACTCCTGACCTCATGATCCACCCGCCTTGGCCTCCCAAAGTGCTGGGATTACAGGCGTGAGCCACCGCACCCAGCTGACTAATTTTTTTAAATTATAAAATGTATAGTTTCTTCATGGTTCCTTGAAGGTCTGGACAGGAAGATTTAAGAAATCCTATGAATGGGGTCATCCTTCTGGGGAACTTCCCATCCCTCTATGCATGTATTTTCTGTATGTTGCTGTTAGGTCCTGTATCAGTTTGCTGTAACAAGGTACACAAGACTTAATTCTTCCACAATTCTGGAGGCCAGGGGTCTGAGATGAAGATACTGCAGAGCTGGCTTCTTCTGAGGCCTCTCTCCTTGGCCTGCCAATGGCCTTCTTCTTGCTGTGTCCCTATATGGTTGCCCCGGGTCTGAGTCTTGCCTGTGCTCTAATCTCTCTTTGTAAGGGCATCAGTCATATTGGATCAGGGCTCACTCTGATGGCCTCATTTTAACTTTATTACCTCTTTAAAGGCCCTATCCCTGCGGTAGCTCATGCCTGTAATCCCAGCACTTTGGGAGGCTGAGGCAGGTGGATCACCTGAGGTCAGGAGTTTGAGACCAGCCTGGCCAACATGGTGAAACCCTGTCTCTACTAAAAATACAAAAATTAGCTAGGCATGGTGGCACGCACCTGTAATCCCAGCTACTCGGGAGGCTGAGGCAGGAGAATTGCTTGAACCCGGGAGGTGGAGGTTGCAGTGAGCCCAGATTGTGCCATTGCACTCCAGCATAACTGACAGAGCAAGACACCACCTAAAAAAAAAAAAAAAAAAAAAAAAAAAAAGGCCCTATCTCCAAATACGGTTTCATTATATGGTCCTGGGGGTTAGGACCTAAGCATACGAATTTTAGGGAGACACACTTCAGCCCACAACAGCCCCTGTCACAGCTTCCATTTAGGGCCAGATTAGAAATAACCCAGGGCCATTGTTTTGAGCTCAAAACACAAACACTGTTCAGTGTCATGGACAACCTCATATGTCCCCATGGTCTGACTGTACTAGCCCATGGTCTCTGCACTCTCTTTAGAGAGGAACATGAGAGACAGTCACCTTCCATCGATTCCACTTGCCATCACTTGTCCCTGTTATGGACTCCCATTGGTGGTGTTTGGGCCTCTCCACATTTGGCTTTGGTTCTCATCTCTGCCTTGGGGCACCCTCTCTGTCCCCAGGGGCTGGGCTCCTAGGGTGAGCAGCCATCCTAGCTGGGGCCCCTGGCTGAGCTGGGCTTTGCATGCCCTCCCTCTTCTACAGTAGTTACCTCTCTGTGACCCCAAGCCCTGGGAGTCTGAGAGGGAACGAGAGGCTGGGCTGTTCCTGGGGCATGAGTGTGTGTGCCTCCTTTCCTGAGTCCCCAAGCTGAGGGTCAGCAGGTCCTCCAGGGCTGAAATCAGAGAGCTGCAGAGGCCGGCCTCTGATCTGAGTGGTTCTGACACTATCTTGGGACCCGGGGGCTTCACTGTGCTCCAGCCCAGTGCCATGAGGAGGACTCATAGAGGGTCCAACCCTCAGTCTTTGGGAAAAGGTTAAAGTCCATCTGTGAATGGAGGGGCTGATGGATGTGCTTTGCCCCTTCGGGCCTGCAGAATGTCAGCTGGTGTTTTGTTTGAGGAGACAGGGAGGTGTATGGTTCATCTGGGAACAATTCTGATCCACAATTGCTGAAATCAGTGGTAAAAGTCAGTCAGCCAGAAAATCCCCACATGGAAAATGCCTCCCTCCCTGACAGTGTCAGATACATGAAGAACGACTCCATGATGATTTGTTATGAAAACTCATTGTCACTAATTCTTACTAAAATTATTTACACCTGTCATCTAGAGCCCCTTTATTTTAAAATAAGAATCTTCAGTTGCTGCCTGTGCTCACACCCAGATGGGGGTCATGCTGGAGAATTCCCCAGGCCAGCGTCTCCTGTCACCCTTCCCCATTTTTCTGCCACTGGGAGCTCTGTGCTGAGCCCAGTACTGAGACCAAGAAAGAGGCTGGGAGCAAAGGCCAGCTGGGCAAATGCCCACTCTCTGGACTGGGAGCCCCTTTTGTGCCATTGCAGTGTTCACAAGTCTCTGTCCTCTGCCAGGTGGAGGTTCCTGGAGGGCCAGGACCCAGGCTTCGGCATCTCTGAGTCTGGCCCTATGCCAGCTCAGTACTCATGTGTTAAATGAATAAGTGGACAGAGGGAGTGGGTGAGACCCGGGTGCAAACAGGAGGCTGTGAAAGAAAAGAGGGAGAAAGGCTGGGCGCGGTGGCTCATGCCTGTAATCACAGCACTTTGGGAGGCCGAGGCGGGTGGATCACGAGGTCAGGAGATCGAGACCATTCTGGCTAACACTGTGAAACCCCGTCTCTACTGAATATACAAAAAATTAGCCAGGCGTAGTAGCAGGCGCCTGTATTCCCAGCTACTCGGGAGGCTGAGACAGGAGAATGGCGTGAACCCAGCAGGCGGAGCTTGCAGTGAGCCGAGATCACACCACTGCACTCCAGCCTGGGCGACGGAGTAAGACTCCGTCTCAAAAAAAAAGAAAAAAAAAGAGGGAGAAAGAAGAGTAAAGAGAGAATCACTCTCATTTCATTACAATTAGTGCCCAGCTCCCTCCCACATTTCCACAATTGAGGGGTATTAATATTTTTAGTCTGTCTATAGATTACCTAAGTAATCGATTTCTTGTTCTACCAAATATCAACAGTATCTCTTAATCCTGCACTGTATAAGATAAGGATATTAAAATTATTCCTACTCTGCAGTTCCCCCTCCAGCCTATCGCTTCTGTCATCCATGCGTTGACTTTTAAAATGACAAGGCCGATAACATTTGTATTCTATTTGTAACCATACCAAGCCCTTTTTGAAGCTTTTTCTAGAGATTAACTCTAAAATTTGAAGAATAACAAATAGTGTTTTCCATTATTGGGATGATGTAGATATTGTTCACTGAAGGCCAGGGAGGCACCAGGACTCCATCAACTTTCTTGTACATGTTTCTTTCTTTTTCTGGAGCTTCTAGCCATCTTTTTCCCCTTGTTTCCTCTATTATAGCTGTATCTATTTCCCTGCCTCTCCATCGGTCAGGCATTCCCTTTAGGGTTTCTCTTCATCATCTTGCTCCAGTCTGGCTGCCCTCTTGCTGGGTCATGTGGCTGTTGTTTTGGGGCTTCTTTTCTCTGCCTTCTGAGGTTGGATTCACCTTTGCTTAGAACCTATAGCTTCTTTTGTGTTTACTTCTTCCTTTTACTTCCACCCATTCTCAAGTAAATACCAAGAAGTGACAGGTGGGAGGTAAGGTTTTGAGTCCTTTTGTGTCTAAATGACTGGATTCTTCCCTTTTACCTGATTGTTGGTGTGACGGGTTGTTGGATTGTTGTTTGGACTGTTGGCGTGGTGGGTGGTTGGTTTGATTGTTGGTGTGTTGGGTTGTTGGGTTGCTGTTTGGATTGTTGGTGTGGTGGGTTGTTGGATCGTTGGTTTAATTGTTGGTGTGGTGAGTTGTGGGATTGTTTTGATTGTTGTTGTAGTGGGTTGTTGGGTTGTTGGTTTGATTGGTGTTGTGGATTGTTGGGTTGATTTGATTGTTGGTGTGTTGGGTTGTTGGATTGTTTTGATTGTTGGTGTGGTGGGTTGTTGGGTTGTTGGTTTGATTGGTGTTGTGGATTGTTGGGTTGTTGTTTTGATTGTTGGTGTGGTGGGTTGTTGGGTTGTTGTTTTGATTGTTGGTGTGATGAGTTATTGGATTATTGTTGTGATTGTTGGTGTGGTGGATTGTTGGGTTGGTTTGATTGCTGGTGTGTTGGGTTGTTTTGATTGTTGGTGTGGTGGATTGTTGGGTTGTTGGTTTGATTGTTGGTGTGGTGGGTTGTGGGGTTGTTGGTTTGATTGCTAGTCTGGTGGGTTGGTATTTTAGGTGAAAATCATTTTCCCTTAGGATGTTGAAGACCTTCTCTACCATCTTTTAGCATCTAGGGATACATGAGAAGCATGAGAATGGTTGTTTTATTTCTTTGGAAGTATCCATTTTTTTTTCCTCTGGAATCTTTACAGTTCTGAAATGTGGAATCTTTTTATTTGGAGTTTGTGTCCAGACTCTTCAACTTTCTCTCAAATCTTTTTATATTCCTTCTTCTCCATTTCTCTCTACTTCTTCTCTTTAATCTAATAATCCTATACTTCTGGATTGTACCTCTAGTACTCATATCTTTTTATTGTTGTTGAGACAAGGTCTTGCTCTGTCAACCAGGCTGGAGTGCAGTGGTGTGATCATAGCTTACTGCAGCCTTGAACTCCTGGCCTCAAGCAATCCTGCCGCCTCAGCCTCCTGAGTAGCTGGGACTATAGGCGCATGCAGCCACACCTGGCTGATGTTTTTCAAACATTTTTTTGTAGAGATGGGATCTTGTTACATTGCTCAGGCTGGTCATATCTTTTAATTTTATCTTTTTTCTCTCCTCTTTTTGCTTCCACATACTGGGAAAATCCCTTGACTTCATCTTCCAGCTCTTCTGGTGAACCCCTCCCCCACAAGAGTTCTTTCTTTGTACCCTAAGTAGAATATTTTTAAGTTCTGTTTTGTTCCTCCAATAGTTGTCTTTGTGGTCATTTTATCTGATGGGTTATCTTGGTCTCACTTCAGGTTGACCAGGTGACCCTTGGCTATCTATCCATATTTAACCTTGAAATAAAAACTGATAGGAGCTCTGTGTCTGAAGTTGTTCATGATGCTCCTGGCCCTTTTGTTGCTAGAACGGCCAGATCTTTTAACTGTAAATGATACCTTTTTTTTTTTTTTTTTTTAACAGAGGAACTAATAGTCTGATTCCATCTCTCCTCCTCCTCTGCTGGACATTAAGCATTTGGCTGCCATGGTTTTTGGTGGGGTAGGGGGAGTGTAGGCTTGATGGTTCTGCTTACAGACTCACAACTGATTCTCATTTTTAGGGCCATGCTCCCTCCCCATCCTCCACCCACCTCTTAGAATTTTCCATGTGCAGATTGGCTCTAGGTACTTGGGCTGTGTCATCCTGTCCTTGTGCTACTCTCTTGTACTTCCATACACTTGTTGAAATTTCTCTTCTACTGAGATGCCCTTCCCTGTCATTCTATTCATCTATGGGCTTGTACCTTTTTTAATTCCTCTTCTGGAATGTTAGTGGTGTCTTGGGAGAAAGGAGAAAAGTGCCTGGGGTCAACCCTTCATCTTTAAAGATCTCTGCATTTGTAAAGCAATTTGTAAAATCTTTTTACACATATTCCATTTGAGCTCTCTGACAACCTTTAAGACTGGAAGGGCAGCAGCCAGCCGTTATATCCAACTTACAGATAAAGCAGCTGAGTCTCAGAGAGATTAAATGACTTGCCCAAGGTTACATTGCAAGATTGGGATGGTGCCAGGATTCAAGGCTGGGTGTCCCAGGCCCTGACCTTGGTCCAGGGTGTGATGAGGGCATTGGAGGCAGAGAGAGTAGGGCCCAGACGCTGGTAACAGTAGAGCTTGGAACCCCGCCTAGAGTTTTGCCAGGGCTGTGTTTCCAGAAGGCATTTGAAGCAGTGGCCATATAGGGGGCTGCTCTAGGGGCCTGTGGATTGCAGAGAGTGGGAAGGGGCAGGGGGCAGTGGGTGAGCCAGGGTGTTGCTGTATGATGGCACCTCTCCCTCATACCCTGTGAGGTCCTGAGAGGGGAGGTTTGGGAAAGCTGGAAGGAAGGTTTGCCTTCTGTCAGCCAGGGTGGGAGGAGGAAAGCTGCCAGGCTGGGGCTTTTGCACTCACTTTTCTCTCAGCCCGGAATACACTTTTCCCAGATATTTGCACAGCTCACTCCTGTGTCATTTCAGGTCTCTGTGCAAGGTTCTCCTCCTCAGGAAAGCCTTCCCTGATCACTCAGTCTGAAACAGTCACTTCCCCGTCCCTTTAACCTGCTTCACTTTCCTTCCTGGCACTTGCCACTTCCTGGCAAGGCATTATATATTTGTTTTCCATTTTCCTCCCCAATTGGTGTGTAAGCTCCATGGAAGCAAGGGGTTGTTTTGTTCACTACTGTATTTCTAGTTCCTGCCATATGGAGATAACTCAACAAATAGTGAGACTTGATTTGAACTCAGGTGTTTCAATTAATTCATTAACTTATTGGTATACTCAACAAATATTTACCACGCATCTGCTATGTGCCTTAGCACTTGAGTTACAGTGATGAGCGTAGGCTTGATCCCCTGCCCCCATGGTATTTACTGTCTAGTGGGAAAGATCAGGAATCATGATAGGTCATAGGTTTTACAAAAGTGGAAAGTACAGGGGGCTGTGAGTGAGCATAGTCAGGGCAGTTCAGTGTAACAATACTAATAACTTATATGTACTGGATGCTTTCTGTGTGTCAGGTGCCATGCCTAGTCTTTTATCACATCATCCTATTTAATTATTTCAACAAATTTGGGAGGGCAAGAGACTATTATTACATCCATTTTATAGATGAGAAAACTGAGACTCAGAGAGGTTAAATAACCAGCCTGAGGTCTCATAGTTGGCAGCTATCTGAACTAAGACTTAGGTCTTAGCCCAAGTCCCACTAGTTCCAAAATCCATGTATTTAGTTACTATCTTCCATGACTTTTCCTGCAATCACCCCTCCCCTGCCAGCTATGTATTCTTCCTATAGGGGAGGCTTGCCTTGTTTGAGGACAACTGTTACCACCTCCAATTAAACACAGGACATGCCTCTACAAAATGAACCCTTTTTTTAAAAAGGGTTTTTTTTTTTTTTCTTTTGAGATGGATTCTTGCTCTGTCGCCTAGGCTGGAGTGCAATGGCACAATCTCGGCTCATTGCAACCTCCACCTCCTGGGTTCAAGCGATTCTCCTGCCTCAGCCTCCCAACTAGCTGGGATTACAGGCACGCACTGCCATGCCCGGCTAATTTTTGTATTTTTAGTGGAGACAGGGTTTCACTATGTTGGCCAGGCTGGTCTCAAACTCCTGACCTCAGATGATCCGCCCGCCTCGGCCTCCCAAAGTGCTGGGATTAGAGACGTGAGCCACTGCGCCCGGCCTAAAAAGGGTTTTTAAAGTGGGTATTTGCTTTTTTTTTTTAAATAATGGACCCCTGTAGGAACCTGAAGAAAGCTTCAGATTCTCCCCAAAGATATGCACGTGGGTGGATAGACATGGATTTTGCCTATAACAAAATCGGGGGGTACAGGCACTTCCTTTAGCCCTTCAGTGGACCCCAGGGTAAGAGCCACAGTGATAGTAGTTTCTTGGTAACACTCAGCTCCTGAAGGCTGGTCACTTTCCCATTTATGATCAAACAGGACAGCTTCCTTTCAAGGGCTCCTGTCTGCACCAGCACCCAAGACTAATGAGCTTCTTAGTGGGCCACAGCCAGGTGACCCCAAACAGCTACAGAATGCCTGGCCCTAAAGTGGGGACTGTGCATGATCAAGAGAGAGAAATCATGGTGCTGCCTTTAAGGAGTGTATGATCTGTCTGCATTTCGCAGTTTTACTGTAGAATTACAATTTTTCGAACTACTCAATGGAAAAAGACGATCCAATAATTTTCTTGGAAATTCACAATATATGAGACATATTAAGGGATCTGAGAAGTCTTGCAGTAAAGAAAAGCATTTAACTTTATTTAGCTCAGCTTTCCCCAACTATATTTGACCATAGGATCCACCTTAAAAAACAAACAAAAAAAAAGATGCATAATTCTTTGCCAAAGATCTGGAGTTCATCAGGAAGGGCTCGCCCAATTGTATAATGTGTCTTGTGCTCCCTTCCTTAAGAAGGAGTGGGTGCTGGCCTGGCTTGAGGAGCTTCCTGGATCTTTCTGGATCTCATGACTCTCACCAGGCCAGGGCCTCAGTGGAACCTTCAACAGCTGGGATCCTAGAGAATTCTGGACATTTCTGTAGAATAGGAGAATCACCCGCAAAACCAAGTGTAAGTGAAAGCAGGAAGGAATTGGTTAGGATGCAAGGAACAATTTCTTAACTGAAATGCGGAAGGAGTAACTAAAGATAGGGATAGGTAATGGAGATGCTAAAGCGGATCTGTGACAGAGAGAGCTTGGGAATGTGGACTTGGCTCTGAGCTTAGGCACTGCTGAAAGAGGGGAGAAACTGATAAGAAGGGTGAGCGACTATTTGAGGTTAATGTACATGAGGATCTCATATTGGTCAGTTAGTGTTTGTGGGAATTTGTATTTTTGATTTGGCTCAGTCATTCACTCAATAAATATTTATCAAGTATCTATATTTTGCTAAGCACTGTTCTAGAAGCTGGGGATACAGCACTGAAATGATTATATGTATGCATAATTATAAATAAGTCGATGTAAATGTGTAAATTAAAAATGAGTTCTTTTTGCAGGTTTCGGTCAAAGGGAGAATGCTGTGTGGTTTAGACGTTCCCTTTCCTGAGAGTGCTTTAGAATGTCATGATGCTGAGATGTTTAAATGCCAACTAGCATAGAGGCTGGCCGAGGGTTTTTCAGGGAGAAGGGGCAGTCTCAGGTTTCTCATCTCATCCTTTCTGTCATTTGGAAACTGTGATCCACCCTTGAGAAGGGAGAAAGAGAAGGGCATGCCCTGCTCATGAGCCCTACTGTGTGCTGAACTGTGTGGGTGTTTGATGGGTGTTCCACTGGGGTCTGACTCTCTTTATAGACAGATGTTCCCAAGAGAACTATGCAGGCCCTGGGGGGTGGGCACGTGAGGGAGAAGGTTTCAAAGTGTTTCTGGGATTTGTTTTAATCAGGTACAGTAGGACACGCAGACATGAAAATGACCATCATGAAGTAAGACGTTATACTCACAGATCCCTAGAAACAGGAGGCATGCCCTGCAGGGCAGCCCCAGGGCCGGTCAGGAGGCAGCAGTGAGGGGAAAGTGTGGGTGAGACTATTGAGGTTTTCAGGGGAGGGAATGGATAAGGCAGGGTCGGCAGGGTAGCCAGGTTTAGGATTGGCTAGTTTGAATAATTCTGGCAGGCTCTGAGGCATAGGGACTGCCTCTGTTTGTCCGATACCTGGCCCTGGGATGATTAGGGTGGGGGGTGGGGAGGGGATGGTGGCCTGTCAGTGAGGAGGTGGTTGAGGGTGTGGGCTCTGATTGGTTGGTTTGCACATGAAAGGCACACTTGCAGGACAGTTGTTTGCTAACTAGGAATTAGCAAGGCACCAGGTGCCAGAGCATCAGGAATATAGAAAATAAGAAAATACCAGGTGGGCACGGTGGCTCACACCTGTAATCCCAGCACTTTGGGAGACCGAAGCGGAAGGATCCCTTGAGGTCAGGAGCTCGAAACCAGCCTGGCCAACATAGTGAAACCCCATCGCTACCAAAAAGTACAAAAATTAGCTAGGCATGGTGGTGCACCTGTAGGCCCAGCTACTCGGTAGGCTGAGGCACGAGAATCACTTGAACCCCAGAGGCGGAGGTTGCAGTGAGCTGAGATCACACCATTGCACTCCAGCCTGTACATCGGTGTGAGGCCCTGTCTTAAAAAAAAAAAAGAAACAAAGAAAGAGAAGAAAACATGGTCAATGCCAAGGGCCAGCCCCAGGACTGGACTTGGCCTATGGGAGATCAGGAGGGAGCATTTCTGGGAATGATCGCGCTCTGTCCCGCCTACCCTGCTCATGTACTCTTCTGTCCTCTACTCCCAAGGGTGAAGCAGTCAGAGCTGTTCGACAGGTGGAAGAGCCTCCAGATGTGCAAATGGGCGATGAACATCTCTGAGGCCAACCAGTTCAAGTATCTATGATTCGTCTGTCCTCCCTTCTCCTTGTATGATTCTCCTCACTGCCACCTCTTCTGGTCTCCATTGTCCTGCAAGGCCCAGCTCTCAGCGTGCATCTTCCCCAGAGCAGACCCTGACTGGGCTTAGGAATCCGGGCAGTGGGGGAGATCTGATTCAACATGCAGGCTGAGGCAGGCACCTTGCCCAGGTGCTATCCTCCACCTTCTCTCCCTTAGTCCTTGCAGCAGCCTTGTGAGGTTGGTGGTGCCATCTCCAGTACACAGCTGAGGTTCACTGAAGCTATTAGCAGGGAAGCATGTGTGGGCGGTCTCCAGCAGGCCTGTGTGAAGGTGCATTACGCATCCTCTATAGCCTCCTGGTCCTCACCTCCCCTGTCCTGGGGCAGCGGCTCTGACCCAGTAGCTTCTCTCCTTCTCAGAGCATTTGAGTTCTTCCAGCCTCCACGAGACATTTGAGCCCTGCTGCAGATTATTTTATAAATGCTCTCTAACCAAAATGAGCAGATTATAAACTTCCAGAGAGGTAAGAGCTGGATCTTAAAGTTGTCCTGTGGGAACTCTGCAAATAACAGATGTCCAAAAATTCTTTTTGATGGATGGTGAACTTTAGGGTCTTCTCCATCTCTAAAGTTCTGTAAGCTTATGGGATTATTTTAGTGCAGGTAGACCTTATTTTATGGAGTTGATGTAATCTGGCAATTTGTGTCTATACTGGATTTCAGCACTCAGGTCCAAGTTTAAATGTACTGAGGAGCTCTAAGCATGAAGGAGTCCTGCACAAGATTGTGAAAAGCAAAGATGACTAAGCTTTTTCTTTATAAATCATTTGTTCCAATTTGCTGCAGCTCCAGACCAAGTCTAGAGGTAGAGTAGTAGTTTTAAGAGGCACATTTTTAGAAATGCGAATGTTTAAAGTGATAACACTTGAAGATCAGGTGCCAGAGGCCTCTGGGAGACTACAGAAACCAAGCAAAGGCCTGACAGTAGTTTGCAGAGACTCACCTATCATAAGAAACAGAACATGAGCTTGAGCAAAGTGCTGGGAGAGTAGAGAATAGAACCATAATCTGTGCTGCCAATTGGCCCCTTAGAAATGTTACTGTGCACACTGCACAGAGGTGCCCCTGGGGGCGAGTGAGACCTGACACACTGAGAGTATGGCTGATAAAACACTCAGCCTGGACCAGGTCAGTGAGAGGCAAAAGCCTGTTGTCCAGACTTAGGGCAGAATAGAAGTCTCAGCAGTGGACCAGGCATGGTGGCTCACGTCTATAATCCCAGCACTTTGGGAGGCCAAGGCGGGTGAATCACCTGAGGTCAGGAGTTCAAGATCAGCCTGGCCAACATGGTGAAACCCTGTCTCTACTAAAAATGCAAAGAAATTAGCCAGGTGTGGTGGTGCACACCTGTAATCCTAGCTACTTGGGAGGCTGAGGCAGGAGAATTGCTTGAACCCGGGAGGTGGAGGTTGCAGTGAGTGGAGATCATGCCAATGCACTCCAGCCTGGGCGACAGAGCGAGACTCCATCTCAAAAAAAAAAAAAAAAAAGTCTCAGCAGCAGGACTCACATATCTCAGGAAACATGAAGCAATAGGGAAATGATGTGGCAAGAGAAAAACAGGGATGAGTGTGGGAGCCTTTGGCAGGGACAAGACAGCACAGTGCAGGGGTGGAGCTCTGGGCATGAGGGGTGTGGAGCAGTTTCAGGTGTGAGAAAAGGCAGTGACATCAGGCCTTGCCATGCTCTAAGTGAGAAAACCTTCCAGGCTGGTCATTGCCTCCCTTTGCTCTCATTTCAAGCTCATGGAACAATGATGAGATGCTTCATTCAGGCTGGCAGGAACCTGGTGCCATGAGGGAGTGTCAGGTGGGTGCTAGAAGGCAGGCATGAGCTTTCGAATTACAGGAAATGAATCCTGTAACAGGCCTTCTCCCACCCTGCTGCCTACAAATAGGCACACTGACATTCTGGTTTGTATATCAGTCACTTATGAGCTTGGTTAGTGTGAGTCAGTATCCCTCAATAGGAGTGATCTCCAGTGGGCTGACAAGACTGAGCTTCTGAACTAGCAAAGCTAAAAGGCCCAGATGCCAGTTTGTAATGCCAATCCATGGCCCTGCCTTGCCAGGCCTCTGGTCTCCTCTCTGGGAAGCTTCTGTTACATTCTGAAACCCAGCTCTCCACAGGAAATTCTGCTCTCTGTGACTGGGAGCCAGCTAGGCTTCCCAGTGAAGTACCTGCAAGAGATGAAATTAAAAAAAAAAACATTATAGGCCAGGCATGGTGACTCACACCTGTAATCCCAGCACTTTGGGAGTCTGAGAGGCTGAAGCAGGTGGATCACCTGAGGTTAGGAGTTCGAGACCAGCCTGGCCAACATGGAGAAACCTTGACTCTACTAAAAAAAAAAAAAAAAAAAATTAGCCAGGCATGGTGGTGCTTGCCTGTAATCCCAGCTACTTGGGAGGCTGTGGCAGAAGAATCACTTGAACCCAGGAGGCGAAGATTGCAGTGAGCCGAGATCGCACCATTGAACTCCAACCTGGGTGACAGAGTGAGACCCTGTCTCAAAAAAAAAAAAAAAAAAATCATAAAACATTCCTGGCTTTTGCAAGCTGGAATCACAAATTACAGAGGATTAGAGGTAGAAGAGCCAAGCCTGTATGAGGAAACTAGGGCCCAGAGAGAAAGAGAGAGACCTTCCAGTAGCCTCACAACTGGTCGGGGCAGAGCAGAAGCAAGAATCCAGGCCTCTTGACACCAGGACGGCAGCCCAAGTTTCCATGCCAGGCCTGGCTGGGAGCTCTTTGGAAAGCTCCTCCTTACCCTCTATTAGTGGCCAGGACTCAGGCTCCGTCGAGGAGTTCCATACAGTGCAGACAGGGGCAGCTGGGTGGGGCTTCATGGAAAGAAGCCTGGCCTGGGCCCTGAATGAGTGGCAGAAGGCAGGGGCCTTGGGAGAGGCGTTGAAAAGGGAGGGGACTGCATGAGCAGAGGTGTAGGTTGGGGGCAAGCCTGGGAATGAGTGGGCAGGAGAGGCCTCGGCTCCATGCAGGGTGGGGATGTGTGTGGGATGGGTGGGCAGGAGAGGCCTCGGCTCCATGCAGGGTGGGGGCAAGCGTGGGATAGGTGAGCAGGAGAGGCCTCGGCTCCACCCCTCTGTTCTCCGTGAGGTTGTGCTCTGCCCTCCATCACATCTTTCCTGCATCACGTCTTTCCTGCCTGTCTCCCTGCCTGGCAGGTCTACTCTGTCCAGGTGCTGCAACGCCCCTGCCTTTCTCTTCACCACCCAGAAGAACACTCCCCTGGGGACAAAGCTCAAGTATGAGGTGGACACCAGTGGCATCTACCACATCAACCAGGAGATCTTCCGCATGTTTCCCAAGGTGCTGCTTTGGGCGGGGGCGGTCTGGGTGGGGCGAGGGAGCCAATCCAGCAGTAGCCCTCCGTGGCAATGTCCCTGGGGTTTTGCCTGACTCACTCACGGTCCTCTGGACTCAGTTGTCTTGGTCCTGGTTGACCAGTTGTCTGAGGTGCAGAAGCCCACCCTCTGGATTTCTTTGGGGGTTCTGTCTGAGAACCATGACTGCCAACTGTCTATGATTTGAGTGACTTTTGGCGAGAAAGTGACTAGAAAATTCTGGGTATTGCATTGCTTGCAGAGGATATCCTGCAGATAGGGAGAGAATGACAACACATTCGTCCCCCTCCTGAGGTAGGCACAAGAGCAAACGCACATGCAGAAGTTGTGAGCACAAGAAAGAACAACCCAGTGCAGATCTAGACTCTGAAAGATTCAGCTCACTTGATGACCGTGGGCAGATATTTTGTCTTTCAAAGCCTCAATCTCCTTATTTGTAACACTGGGGCTTGGACTATGAATAGATTTGGCTGATTATAACAGAACTTCTAAAATATCAGAGTCTTAATCAAGATAGATATTTATTTTTTTCCTTTCACATAAAAGAATTCTGGAGGTAGGCTGTGCAGGGCTGGCACGGTGGCTCCCTGGTCATGGAGGACCACAAAATGAATGAGCCGCAGACCTGAATGGTTCAGATCACTGACCTTGGCCATTGAGGACCGCAGTGAGTGAGCTGCAGACGTGAACTGTTCAGATCACTGATGCTGAGCACCTGCAATCACCTGGGCTGACGGTTGGTGCAGACTCACCGCACTACTCTCAGAGAAGGGGCGCTGGAACCTGCGCTTTCAGCCAGTTCTGGCAATTACCCAGGTGTGGTGGCGTATGGACTCTGAAGAGGAGGAAGGTTGCATGGGTGTGTTCATAACCACATTCAGGAGAGCTCTGGGCCCAGGACAGCATTCAGTGAATGTAGTTTATAGAAATTCTGAGTGGGGGCATGTAGAGGTCTTTTTGGAAGAAATCTGAAGGCCTTGGCTGCCTTGCTTCTTGGCTGAGTGCGAAACAAAGCCCAGAGTTCCCTGCATTCTGTGACTGGTACCAAAGTGTATAGGTAAGACTCATGCATTCTGGGGATGTGGGGGAGGAGCTGCAGGTGAGCGGCGTCAAATGTGTTCTCAATCACTGTGGCCCTAAGGGAGGATGGTGCTGAGCCACCTTTATGAGGTGGGTCTTACAAGGCCTGGAACATGAGGCTGGTGACAGCAGGTGGATTTGCATCTCACGCAGGTAATGCCAGTGGGTGTAACACAACTTAGTATGACATACAGATCCAAGGAGAAGCAGCCTATGGACCGCTGAAGGCCAGAGACAGACAGCAGGGCTCACCAGACATTCTCCAGAAAGTGCCAGGCGGTAACTGTTTTAGGATTTGCAGTTCATAGTCTCTCTGTCACTACTACTCACCTCTATCATTCTAGCACAAAAGCAGCTACAGACATGAGTAAACCAATGAGAGTGGCTATGTTCCAGTAACACTTTCAATCTTATTAGATGCCAAAATTGGAATTTTACATAGTTTTCATGTATCACAAAATAGTTTCTTCTTTGGGTTGTTTCCAACCATTTAAAAATATAAAATCCATTCCTGGCTTGCAAGTTACACAAAAACAGACGGTAGGCCAGATGTGGCCCACGGGCTGTATGTAGTTCGCTTGTCCCTGAATTAAAGCAATGTGACATAGAATCACATTTCCTGAACTTCCCTAAATGTAAGTATCTCTTTGTAAAAAATTCAGCTTCCCAGCCTCCTATCTGTGAGACTCTGATTCTGTGGTGCTGGGATGGAGCCCAGAAATTTATATTTTCAGAAAGTATCCCAGGTAATTCTTAACTTACAGAAGTTTAGGAAACAGCCATATGGAACATAATAAACTTTTGATGATTTTTCTGAAAATGACTATTTTTTTTTTTTTTTTTGCCTTTCTCTGGTACAAGTCTAATAGTGCAGTTTACTCACCTACTGGCTGTGAGAGGCCCCTGTTTTCCCCGCCTTGGCTCACTGGGCCTGTCCATCCAGGGAAAATGGACCACAAATAAGGACAGTCTCCCGCAGAAGTCCCCCTTAAATTTAGCCTGATTCCTGATGGCCCCAGGGCAGCATGGCTCTCCATGAGACCCCACCAGGCTGCTGGTCCCACCGGAAGCCCAGGCTGCAGGCCTGGCCCATTTCATGCAGGTCTGCCAGCCGCTGTGTGCCAGGAGGAAAGCTGCCCAGCAGGCCCTGGGCTTCAGGGATGGGAGTGGCCTTTGGTGCCATCTAATAGTAACAAGACTCTCAACCACTCTTCCCATCTGTAAAGTGGAAAGCCGCTTTCCTCCCACATTCCCCACAAGGCTGCCTCTTGGGACCAGGAGCTAATATAGGTGGGTGTGCTTGCAGAGGTGAGAGTAGCAGGTCGAGGCAGGGGGTGGCTTGGCTCTGACAGCTGTGCCTGTGCCTCCCCCAGGACATGCCCTACTACCGGTCCCAGTTTAAGAAGTGTGCTGTAGTGGGCAACGGAGGCATCTTGAAGAACAGCCGCTGCGGGAGGGAGATCAACAGCGCCGACTTCGTCTTCCGGTAAAAGAAACCCTGGCACTGCCCTTGCCACTACCCCATGGCCCTCTCCTCCATATTCTTCCCCCGGTTCCCTAATGCTACCCTTTAAGCAAGTAATCCCCACTTCCCACCCCTGCAGACCCTCAGGTCTGGGATATCCCTTCTTCTCTCCAGCCCCATCCCTTTGGGGAAGTCGTTGAACTCCTAGGTCCTCAGTTTCCACATCTGCACAATGGGAGATGTGTTAAGAGCAAAGGACATCACAGATTTGAAGGCACTGAGGACTTAGGAGCTTGCAGCTGTGTCGGGAGGTCCTCTGGGCACCGTCTCCTTGGGTGGGTGCTGCCCTTCCAGAAGCAGTGGTTGGAACCAGGGAAGCCTTGTGGCAGACACCAATATTGGCTTCACCCTGGCTTTAACTAAGCCAGAGACTGGTCCTTGCACTTCTTCCTTCCGTAAAGCCCCCCTCTTATCTCTTTGTGGATCTTCATTTATATCTTTAGCTGGGGTGAAGAAGGTGGGTTGAAAATAAAAGCTTAAAGCAAAGAGACTTGGGTTGAGTCTGCAGTGGGGTCGCATGAAGCATGGATCCACAATCATCGGGCCACTCAGTTGGTGTCAGGTTAGGGAGGGTAGAGCAGGTTTGGTGTGATTTGAGGTCCTTAAATAAAGGGACTCCTGCATATTTCGGGTTCTTGGCTGTCCAACCCCAGCCCCTGTCTCTAGAAGAAGGAAGCCTTGGACACCCTGCGTCACCTGCTGTCACAGGCGGAGTGTGAGAGACACACCTCTCTCTGTGAT
Source organism: Homo sapiens (assembly GCF_000001405.40). Taxonomy (NCBI): domain Eukaryota; kingdom Metazoa; phylum Chordata; class Mammalia; order Primates; family Hominidae; genus Homo; species Homo sapiens. The sequence goes on along the minus strand of NC_000018.10, from coordinate 46,685,393 downwards.
CTGGAGTCTGCCCATGTGCTCCCTGTGGACGCCTAGTCGAGTCCAGAATTGAAGGTTAAGCTTCCTCCAACACCGAAATCTCTGGCCCTCACTGACTCCTTAGCCCAGCCACATTCCTGCCAGGAAAGGCAAGGAAAGCCTCTTTCAAGATGGTCTTTTGGGGAGAAGCCCAGGTCTCTGGGGTCTCCCTGAACTTTGATCCAGGCTCCAGCATTGCTAGGCACATGACCTCAGGAATGTCATGTCCCCCTTCTGGGCCTTGGTTTCCTCATCTGCAAAATGGGGATAAGGATAGCAGCTCCATCAGTTATAGGATTAAATCACATAATGATTGTATAGCTCTTAGTACCTCCAGCACTGGACACACCATTAGAGCCCAGTTAGTGCCGGCAACTGCGCTTCCAGGTCCTGTTCCCTCTGCCTGGAATGCTGTCTCCCCAGCCCCTACATCCTGCGTTGCCAACTGCCGCTTGTCCTTCCAAGCTTAGCTCAAGAATCACCCACTCCTTCCCTGGCTAAACCCACTTGCACCCTTTTCTGGGCTCCCACGGAACCTGGTGTCCACCTATCATGAGGCCTTTAACAACCTAACCCTATAACCAGGGACCCGCTGAGTGGTCTCGCTCTTGCAGGCTGGAAACACAAAGAGAACTTCTGTTTACAGTAACTGATGTAATTGGCACAACATAACTACTCAGAAAAATTAGTCTTAAATGAAGGAATGAAGGCGTGAATGAAAGAATGGACTTGTGTGATTTTCAGGGCTAAGAAGTGGAGCGTATAGTGGTTCTGTCCACAGGCTCTGAAGCTGGGGAGCCTGGTTTGAGTTAGAAAAAGCTGTGTTACTTTGCGTAAGTTACCTAGCCACTCTGCCTTTATCTCCTAAAATGAAAGATGAGGATGATAATAGTAACTACCCCTTGGGGTCAGTATGAGGAATAAATGAATTAATATGTTTAAAATCTTCAAACACTGCAGGACACATACTAAGTTTTATTATAAGGAAAATGTTATTTTAAAATATTCCTCTCATTTTACAGATAAAAAACAATTTTTTGGGAGGGGATGATATTCCTTGCTAGGGTCATGGGGCTATTCATAGTCAGAAATGGGATACACTTCTGGTCTTGCATTCTTTCTGTGATACCATGTCATTTCTCTAGCTCGATAATATGATAGTAAATGTCTCCCTCGGAGGGGCTGGTCTCTTGTCCCACCACCTAAGATCTGTTAAGATCTGTGAGAGCACACAGTTGTTTGTGCTACTTTTGGAGATGCTGTGGGCCCTTCCATCCTCATCGTCATCATCATCATAGCAGTACAGCAGCAGCAAAGCCTTGCTGGGTGCCTGTATGTGCACGCCAAGATGCCCTGAGACTCCGTCCTGTTCTAGGCATGTCCTAGATGCTATTGCACTAGGAACGAGACCTAGGCTTGGAGTCAGACAGGCCCGTCCTCCACCCTGCCTTGACCACCTAATAGCAGCAAGTCCCTTGACCCTCTGAATGCCTGGTTTCTCATTTGCAACACAGTGAGCCTAATATCTGCCACCCAAGGTTATTGATGTCTCATATAATCCTATGAAAGTTCCTGGCATGCCACAGATGCTCAAAAAAATGGTAATTGACTGCACACACCCCACCCCCTCCCGCACTCAATCTTTAAGGACAATATAAAACCTGCCTTTCATAGTGGTCTGATAGAGAGGGGTATGGTTGGATCATAAAGTAGGTGACAGTCCTGGTCCTGTTATAGAATAGGGTTCTTCTGCACAATTATTCCTTAAACCCATGGCTTCCCCTTGACGAAAGACCGCATTCTTCACATGGCCCACCGTCCCTTATAGTCTGGCCCCTTCTTCCCTCTCTGCCCTCAGCTTGTACCACTCCCACCTTGCCTGTGCTCCAGTCACCGGGCCACAGTCACTCCTGGGTGCTTCCTGTTCTCATCTACCACAGGACCTTTGCACAGGACCTGTGTCTGGAATGCTCATGAGTTCCACATTCAACCAGCTAACACCTGCTTATTTCAAAATTTATTATTCATTCATTATGTAGTATTTGATGTGAAGAATATTTGTACCACATAAGTATGAAGCAAAACAATAAAATGAATATTTGTAGACCAACCACTTGATTTAAGAAGTTGAATGTTTGTATGGTGCCTTTGTATCAACTGGTGTGCTCCTTCCCATTCTACCTCCGTTTCCCCCTGAAGGTATCGCTACCTTGAATTGAGTACTTAATCATTCTCTCATTGTTAAAAATTGTTTTGTCATATGTAGATGTACCCCTGAACAATGTATTGTTAAACTATGCTTGTTTAGGGCCGTATTCGTTTCCTATTGCTGCTATAAAAAAATACCACCAAATTAGTGGTTTAAACAACACAGATTTTATTATCTTACAGTCTTGGAGGTCAGAAGTCTCACTGGACTAAAATCAAGATGTCTGCAGAACTGCATTCCTTTCTGGAGGCTCTCAGGGAGAATTTGTTTCCTTTTTCATTTCCTAGAAGCTCCTTGCATTCCTTGGCTCATGGCAAAGCCCACAGTGGAGTATCTTTCAGTCTCTTTCTCTGACTCCAATTCTGTTGCCACATACTTTCTTCTCTCTCCCTGGTTGTCACATCGTCTCTTATAAAGACCCTTGTGATGACACTGGACTCCCCCAGATAACTCAGGGCAATGGCTCCATCTCAAGATCCTAAACTTCATTGCAGCTGCAGAGTCCCTTCTGCCACGTAAGGCTGCATAGTCACAGGTTCCAGGGATTAGGACATGGACACCTTTGGGGGCTATTACTCTTCCTACTATGGGGCTTTCTACAAATGGTGGCAACTTGCTTTTGCATGCAATATGTGTTGCATTTCTAAGATGCATCTTCGAACATATCGCATGTTTATGTAGCTCTTCTCCTGCCACAGGACATTTGCTCAATTCCTCCTTCAGACCTCTGCTCAAGCATTGCTTCCTCAGGGAAGTCTTGGCTCCCTAGGAAAGGAGATGCTCCCCAGCCACCTGTCCTCTAAGAGCCATAATCCCATCCTCCAAAGGTCCAGGGACTACCCAAGCTTGTAACTGCATTTTACAACCAGTGATTTCTCTGCCCCATGTGTCTGGAACTTCAGCAAGGCCTGTTGGCTGTCCTAGTGCCTGATAAGGAGCAGAAGGACCACTGTCTTATCACCTGGCTACAGAGAACCTGCCTAGCTGGTTGCCTTTGCATCCCTCTGCCCACATGATCACCATCCCTCCCCTCCCCCTGCACCCTCCCCAGCCTGACCTATTGAATGACCAACCACCTTGGGCTGCCTTTTCTCTTCTGCAGGTGCAACCTGCCCCCCATCTCAGAGAAGTACACCATGGATGTGGGGGTGAAGACGGATGTGGTCACTGTGAACCCCAGCATCATCACAGAGAGGTCAGTGGCCCTCTTTCTAGAGCTGCACTGTCCAAAATGGTAGCCAATAGTCACATGCGGCTACTGGGCACTGGAAGTGTTGTTAGTCTGGAGGTGTGCTGGCTGTGAGTGTAAAACACACACTGGGTTTCAAAGACTTAATACAAAAACAGGATAACATATCTAATTAACTTGTTATATTAATTACACGTTGAAGTAATAGTATTTTCGAAATAGTGGGTTAAAGAAAATATAAAAACTTCACCCATTTCCATTTTTTCATATGTGCTTACTCGGACATTGTTAAATTCCATATGTGGCCTGCATTAGTTCTTTTGGACGGTGCTGGTCTACACTACCTTCACCTAGAGATGGGTGGGTCAGCTTTCCAGGGTGTGACCAGGGCAGGCAGCTCCCTACCTGGCTGTGTCCAGGAGGTACTGGGGAGAAGCTCACACTGAGATCTCAGCTCCCCTCCTGGCTCCCCTCCTGGGGTTCATCTGGAAGGTTTTAGGGGAAGTGTTGAAACCCTAGCCCCGGGCGTAGCCACACCAACCAGGTCAGAGGACATGTAAGAGGAGGGGACAGTGGGAGATGAGAGGAGGGGGTCATTGAATTGGATCAGATGCCCAGGGAGCAGCTATTTAAGGGGCGGGAAGAGACAGCAAAGTCAGAGAGGGCCCAAGAGGGAACGCTGCTTAATGTAAAGAAATGGGGCCAGGTGTGGTGGCTCATGCCTATAACCACAGCACTTTGGGAGGCTGAGGCCAGAGTGTGGCTTGCGGCCAGGAGTTCGAGACCAAATTAGGCAACATAGCTAGTCCCTGGTCTCTACAAAAAATTAAAAAAAAAAAATAGGCAAGTGTTGTGGTGCACACCTGTAGTCTCAGCTACTCAGAAGGCTAAGGTGGGGGGATTGCTTGAGCCCAGGATTTCAAGGCTGCACAGAGCTATGATTGCACCACTGCACTCCAGCCTGGATGACAGAGCAAGACCGTGTCTCTAAAAATAACAACACACTAGTGTGTGAGAGAGAAACGGAGGCTGCAGGAGAGGAAGCGTCTGAGCCAAGACAGGCAGCTGCATTTGGGGTTTGTCCCTGGGGAGCTTGGGGATGACAGTACAGGTGAATGGCGTGAGGCCTCTAGAGCAAGCCTCCACTCCCGCAGCCACTTCCCTTCTGAGCCTCCCTTGGGCCACCCTCATCCTTTTGGATTCAGCATTGCCCTGCCCCCTGCAGCCACACCCTGGATATCTGTCCCTTTGGATCCCAACTGCCCTCTCCTGCACCCACTTAAAAAACTCAACTGCCCCTGAGAGAGTTCTCACCTTCATCTGCACAGGTGCGTGAGGTGTCAGGAGGCAGGTGGCCTTATGAGTCCCTTCCGTCCTTTGCAAAGCCCCAGGGTGCAAGGGTGGGGAAGCGAGGGGCCTGAGGGCACGGAGGAGTGGGTGCTCACCTCTCACTCGCGCCCTGTGTAGGTTCCACAAGCTGGAGAAGTGGCGGCGGCCGTTCTATCGCGTGCTGCAGGTGTACGAGAACGCGTCGGTGCTGCTGCCTGCCTTCTACAACACGCGCAACACCGACGTGTCCATCCGCGTCAAGTACGTGCTGGACGACTTCGAATCGCCGCAAGCTGTCTACTACTTCCATCCGCAGTACCTGGTCAACGTGTCGCGCTACTGGCTCAGCCTGGGGGTGCGCGCCAAGCGCATCAGCACCGGCCTCATTCTGGTCACTGCGGCGCTGGAGCTCTGTGAGGAGGTGCACCTCTTTGGCTTCTGGGCCTTCCCCATGAACCCCTCGGGCCTCTACATCACTCACCACTACTATGACAACGTCAAGCCGCGTCCCGGCTTCCACGCCATGCCCTCTGAGATCTTCAACTTCCTGCACTTGCACAGCCGAGGCATCCTCCGCGTGCACACGGGCACCTGCAGCTGCTGCTGATGGCTGCCAGCCAGGCTGCCCGGCAAGCGGCGCCCCCTCTCCTGCTGTCCCTCCTGGTGGAACTGGGAGCCCCGAACCGGGCAGCGTGGGGTCCTGGCGTTCAGGCTGTCTCTCCCTCCATTGTTCAGCTCTGTACTTGGATCCTGGGGTAGGGAGGCAGGGTTAGGAACCGGGGCAGAGTCAGCTCTGTGCTGAGCCTCCTGGCCTGGCCCCCACCGGTGCATCCGCCCAGTGCGTCCACCTGCCCTGGCTAGCATGCTGCTGGGCCACACCCCAAGATCAGGGGCCCTGGGGACGGCAAGTGAATAAAGCACATTTCCACCCAATTTTGTCATCCGAGAGAGAGCACAAACTGCAGGCCCTTGTTGCAGCTGAAGGAAGACCCTACAGAGAATGGAATTGAGAGTGGAGACAGGACACTTCACAGGACACTTGAGCACAGTCAAGATTTTATTCACACTTTTGGTTCCTGTGTTTTATATCGAAGACTTAGCTATGAATTGCTATCTAAATCTCAGAGCTTAGAAGCCAACCCAGTGACTAGACCTTCCAGTGAAGAAAGTGATCTCAAGAGGTCCAGGGACTTAACAGCCAAGCCACACCACCCGACAGGTTCTTCTGTGACACCGAGAGATCTAACCCAAGGCCTGGGTTATGTCTTAGTCGAGACATCATCATCTGAGAAGCACCACATCCTTTCAGACACATCCTCGGACACACATGCGGTCTTGGTGCCCCCAGGTTCAATCCTGCGTTAGCTCTTTTGATGAGAAGGAAATAAACCAAACCAGCCACTTGCACTATGGCTTCCAAGCCAATGTTATTGACTCAATAAGTGCTTAGCAATTGGCTTCCTCTTTTGTCTTCCTATTTTCAGCTCCATTTAAACCAGGAGTTATTTATAAAGACCTCTTCCTCTCATGTCTCTGAATCCTGCAGAATCCTGCTGTATCGTGTTCCTCAGTCGGAACCATAGGCTCTGGGCTGGAAAGCACTGACATGTCAGGTGGTGAGCTTAGCAGAGAGAAACGAGTTGTGGCCTCCGACACCAGCATCACTGAGGCTTCCGCTGTGAAGGCGGGACTTCTCACAGCAGACCCCAGGGCCTGGGCTTGGGGCAGTCAGCTGGGCTTAGGCAGAGAGGGGTTCACATATCATTTCACATCTGAAATTAATTCCCTTTGCTTCTCCCTGTGGTGTTTCCACCATAAATGGGATGGTGTCTAAGAGACACTGTTGGTGAACTAACTGCCTTAGAACTTAGCTTTGTGGAATCATAGGATGTTAGTGCTGGGAGGAGGACTTCAGCCTACCTGCCTGGCAACCTGTCTCCCTCCCTCCTTCCTTTCTCCCTGCCTCCTCCCCTTTCTCCTTCCCTCCCTTCCTCTTTTCTTCCTCCCCTTAAACATTTCTGGAAAGCCTATTCTGCTTTGGTCTGTGGTTGGACTTAGGAAGACATAAGGATAAACAAAGGCATTATCTGTGTCTTCTGGGGGTGCAGGGCCCAGAGATTATAGACCCAGTCCCACGTGCTGGGTGCTCTGGGAGGGTTAGGAGCTGTAAGAGTCTATCAGGGAGTGGGATCTGCTATCCAATCACCTCATTTGACAGGCCCCCCGGCTGAGCCAGTCAGGGACGTGGAGAGTGCAGGCTTTATCCCAGGCCTCCAGGCTCCTGATCCAGGGCTCCGTTCTTGGCCAAACTTTTGTGTCTTGGCTTGGGCTTCCTGTGGGGGGGTTGTTGTGGAACCTGTGCCCTGTGCACAACACTGTTCTCAGTGCTGACTCTCACCTGCATTCTGAGCTCTGGTCCTGGTTGGGAAAACCTCAGGTGGCTCTGAGTCTCAGTCTGCTGGTCAGGAATGTAGGGGAGTAGCCAAGGGGATGAAATGATCCCAAACACCTGCTAAACCAGGAAGAACTGCAAAGGACAGTGGATGGTTATTACTTGCTTGAGCTCTGCCTATTTCTCCCAGGGAGGGAATTTCTGGGAAAGATTCCAGTTACCTGAGATTTCTAGCCACTGCATGGTTAATTGAACCCAGTTCTTGAAACCATGGAATATAAAAACTAGAAGGTTCTTAAAGACCATTTTGTTCCACTTTAGGAAACAGGCCCAGAGCAAAGATGTGACTGGGTCAAGTCATGCCTGGGGCTCTACTGAGTGCCTGCTGTGGACAGAGCCCTCTACTGGAAGCCCTCTGGGTACTAGTTATGTTCCAGATGGGCAGTGTTTGGGGGAGGCTCCCTGGTGACACAGACATCAGGATTCCCACAGCTGAGGGTGTTGCAGGTTGGAATCTGCCCCAGCCAGGGCCCTCGTAGGAGCTGAGGATTGGAGCATCGGGATCCAGCCCACAGAGGAGTTGGGACACCTGGCTGCTGGCCATATTCCTGCCTGTGGGTCTTAGGGCCAGTCCTTCCTCTCCCTCAATGTCTCAGTTTCCTCATCTCTACAACTAGAAGCTTTGTAAAAATCTTCAGCGTCTGTACAATGTCCTTATTTTGGGGGGACATTCATGATGAATGGATCTAAACCATAATTAATATTTCTCATTATACTAGCTAGCATTTATCAAGCTACGTTAAGCACTTTCCCTATATTATCTCCTGTAATCATCATGAGACCCCTTTGGGTAAGGAGGCTCCCATTGTACAGATGAGGAGACAGAGGCTTAAAGCAATTCCAGGACTTGCCCTTGGTCAGGCACCCAATGGAGGGAACGGCACCCAATGGAGGGAACTGCACCCAGATCTGTAGAGCCCCAAAGTCTGTGCTCCAAACCTCTGTCTTAGCTTCCCAGACAGTGACACCAGAACATGAGGGATCCTGACCAAGATGCCCCTGCAGGATAGTACGGGGCCCTCCTCCAGGGACAAATGCTCTAGGAGGCTGTCATCGTCCGGGAAGCAGCCTGTGCTTATAGGTGCCTCTCCCTAACCCTGCCGCCTACAGCAGTAGCGACTTACCCACAGTGGCACTGGAGGGGAACTGAGGCCATCGTCACATTTTTAAGGTGAGGAAAGATGCCCAGAGATAGCACATGTTAAGTGACAACACGAATGACTTGCCCAGGGCTACATGGCCAGCTTGTGGCTCAACTGGGACTCACCAGTCTCCTGACTTTCAGGATATAGTTTTTCTGCTGCAGCCAGTGTTTATAAGAAAAACATTTTTTCAAAGGCTCAGAGAGACCTGGTGTTGACTCTGGAAGCCTTCTGCCATGTTCCTCCACAGCCCTGTCACCACGCCACCATGCAGTGCAGACTACCCATTGAATTATTATTCAAGGGAAATCGATTCCCGTAAACAAAACAACCATCATGTCTTCCTTTGTGCTAAACCCACTGCTCCAGGCTTGAAAGGCAGCAAAAACAAGTAAATGACTCAGTGCTTAGCCAAGCACAAAGAAAGGTGGCTCAAGGTCAGAGGCAGCGTCTGAGACCATTTCAGCAATGCTGCTGCGGCAGCTCTGCCCACTAATCACCTGGTGCCCAGAGACAGCATGTGCTCATCGCCCTTGACTTTGCTGAGAGCAGGGAGGAAGCAGAGCAGTGCTTAGAAACAACTGAGGCAGAGTAGAGTGCTGGCCAATTTAGTGAGTGAATTGGTGAATAAATTATATTTATTGAGTGCTCATGTTGTGCCAGGCATGGTGCCAGGTGCCGGGGAGCTAGTGATGAACAAAACGTCGTCCCTGCCCTCCGGGAGTTTGTGGTCTGGTGTGTGTGTATACAGACGTTAAATGACGAATCCCACAAACGTACGTGGGAGCTGGTTGTGCTGAACACTATCAAATCCAGTCTCAGGGACAGTTATCTGGGAGAGGTGGAGGAGGGGATGACCAAAGTCAATTCCGAATTCTGAAGGTTGGCAGCATAAAAAGTGTAATGAGCAAAGCAGCAGATACTTCTCAGATATCATCCTTGACATCCGTGTAACATTTGACAAGGTTGGCCTCTCTGGTCTTTTTTGTTTGTTTGTTTGAGACAGAGTCTCCCTCTGTCACCCAGGCTAGAGGGTGGTGATATAAATATGGCTCACTGCAGCCTCGACACCTGGGTTCAAGTGATCCTCCCACCTCAGCTTCCCAAGTAGCTAGGACCACAGGCACGTGCCATTGCTCCCAGCTAATTTGAAAATTTTTTTTTTTTTGTAGAAACGGGGTTTTGCTATGTTGACGAGGCTAGTCTCGAACTCCTGAGCTCAAGCAATCCTCCTGCCTTGGCCTCCCAAAGTGCTGGGATTACAGGTGTGAGCCACTATGCACAGTCTCTCTGGTCTTTCTAAAGTCCTCTCCTCTTCTGTTTTCTAACTATTCTTCCCTGACTTTCCTCCTGTCTCTCTGAATGCTCCTTCTCAGGTTCCTTTGTGGATTCATCTTCCGTGAAGCTTCCTCAGGGTTCTCTTCTCTTCCTAGGAGCATTCCTGCAGAAATCTCATCTATTCAAAGCCTTAAGTATCTTCTGCCCTGGCATCTTAACCCCTCTACCTGCAGGCCAGTCCTCCCTAGGAGCATTGGAAGCATGCTCACTGTGGCCTCCTGCATGTCTGTGTCTGCACAGCATCTCAGACCTCAACATGTCCTCAACTGGTATAGTTAAAAGAACAATCTGAACTCAGAGTCTCCTCCTACTACTTCGTAGCTGTGTGAAATTGAGGGAGCTCCAGAAGCCCCTGGAGGCTCTGGACTCATCATCTGAAATGAGGACAGGATACCAACCACAACAGCTGTTGCAAAGCTAAGTGAAATAGTGTTGCACAATGCCTAGCACAGTGCCCAGCACAAACTAGACACTAGCAAGCACAGGTTGCCTTGGCCCAAAACTTGGATCACCTTTGCCTCTTCCTTCTCCTTCACTCTTTATGTCTATTTGTTCACTGTATCTTGTCAATTCCAACTCATAAACATCCCTTTAAGTCATTCCCTCCCTGCAACCCCTCTGCTACTGCCCTAACCCAGACCATCTGATGGATCTTTTTGCTTTCAGAGAATAACCTTCCAAAAATACCTTTTGTGGGGCCCATTGCCTACCTGTATCATAAACTTCAGGTTCTTTACCAAGTCATGCAGGGAATGTCCCAAGCTGGCTTACTCACCTTCCCAGAGATCCTCCTGCCACCTCCCTGCCCTATCCCATACTATTCCAGGCACCTTTGCACACTCTGTTCAAACACCTGGAATGGCCCTCACACTCCTAAGTTCCTCTCTCCTTCCTTTTATCTGGCCACTTTTGCAGAAGTCAGGTAATGGCCCCCTGCATCCTCCCCTCTAGAGACCTGGGCTGGGCACTCTCTCCTCTGTGCTTCTGCTGCAACCATCACCGACTCCATTAGGACATCCTCACAGCACACAGCATAAGGGCCCGTGTGTCCTTGATAGAAGGTTTGCCTTCTCCCCAAGGGAAGACACGATATCTAAGCTCATTTTGTATTGCCAGCACTGGCGGGGAAGCACATGCCATGGCCACTCAACACATGTTTACTACAGTAATGAGGTCTCTGGTTCCTGGGGGACTCCAGCAGTTCAGGATACCCCGCTAATAAACTGAGTAACACCTTGGGGAAATTGTCAGCTGAGGAGAGTCCTCTATTGATTTTTTTACCTAGCACATCCCAGGAAGGCAGAGACTCCTCCTGCCTGTCCAGGGGAGCTCGGGGCTCAGGAGGCTGAAATGTCTGTCTAGTGGGGGCTTATGGGCTTGGCTAGCCTCTTTTTGTTTTCCCTCATTATAATCCTGCTCATCTGCTTTTTGCTGGCTAGCCAATCCTTTTTCCTCTAGTTTAAATGAAAGAAGGGAGAGACATTTTCTGTGTTTCTTGTTGTCTACTTCTTCCCTTCCTCAAAGCCACACAAACATGTCAGGCTCTTACATCACTGTGGCTGAGGTGCAGCCTGGGAAGCAATGTAAGAGGGATTTATCAATGGTGTTTAAAAAACTAGAGGAACATGCTGAATGCTTTGGCTGGGAAACAGGTGAGCTGAGCTTTGCAGGATGTCTGCTCCAGATGCGAAGGGGAAGACCAGGAGCATGGGGTTGTTTCCTGGGGGAAAAAAGGTGCTGCTTCTCTGAGCTCAACACACGCCCTGACCTAGTCTCCTCCCTGTAACCAGAGCACCCTCTGGGAAGAGGCTAACTGTGGCTCAGGGGTCAGGTGAGGCCAGGCGAGGGGTGCACCAGTGGCCAGGGTGTGCCTTGTGCTATTGTTTAGAGGTCTAGTCAAACGAGGCCAGTCTGTGGAGGCTGATTCCATCCTACGGGGCATCCTAATAAACCAGTGTGATCTTCAAAGGGTAGACTGGATAGATCTACAGTGTGATCTTCAAAGGGTAGACTGGATAGACCTACAGTATAGATCTACAGTATAGATCTACAGTCTACCCTTTGAAGATCACATGGGTTTATTAGGATGCCCTGTAGGATGGCCTTCTGATGGCCTGCATCAGAATCACCTGGGTGCTTGTTAAAACTATGGACTGAGAACCTGGGGGAGAGGTGGCGCCTGGGAATCAGCATGTGTGAGGCCCTATCTGTTCCCTGAGCATACAACTGCTTGTGGTTCAGAAGTTGCCACCAGTTGAGTGGCCATGTATGGCTTGAAATTCAGACTGGAGCCTTGAGTAGGAAAAGAATGAAAAGAAGAATTTGGCACACAACCCAACTTCTGCCTTTTCTGTACATACAAATATAATATATAACCCACTATGTACCTAGCAACAAAAGTCAAGTGCTCGGGAATCTAACATTTACAAAATTGGTTTTGCTTTAACACAAACAAAGATTTCTTTTTCATTTGTAATTATGGTAAAATACACATAACATAGAATTTATCATCTTAACCATTTTTAAGTGTACAGTTCAGTAATGGTAAGTACATTCACACTGTTGTATATTCTGTCTCTGGAACTCTTCTCATCTTGCAAAATGAAAACTTTAAACCCATTAAATGACAAGTCTTCACTTCCCCCTTCCCCAGCCCCTGGCAATCGCAATTCTACTTTCTTTCTCTATGAATTTTACTGCTCTAGGTCCCTCATATAAGTAGAATCATATAATATTTGTCTTTCTGATGACTGGCTTATTTCACTTAGTATAGTATACCAGAGACTTTTTAGAATCACTTAGGTGCAAGCAGCTCTCAAATGACATTAACTGTTTTGGGTGTCCCTAAAGCAGAAATCTGATTTTTGTTTTTGTTTTTGCCTTGGGCAGTTGTCCTGGGCTGGTCGTTGGCCCCTGGCTTCCTGAGACCTTGGCCCCTTGCTGAGGGAGAGTGCAGACCTGGCCTTGCTCTGCCACCTGGGCTCCACTGTCCTGGCCAGCATGTCCTGAGAGACAATAGCCTTGCTGATCTTTTAGAAGTCTTTAGGTATTTTCCCCTGCACAGTCTCTTCTGAGAACCTTTCTTTTTTTTTTTTTTTATTTCAAAGGAAAAAAACCAAAAGCAAAAACATACACTTCCATGACTTAGCTGTTGGCCACAAAAGCCAGAAATCAGTGACTCTCTCTTCAGTTGAAGATGGTTCCCATGGCAACAAATCTCTCATTTCCTTCAACTAAATGATCTGCTCAGCTTTGGGGTAAAAGTTCTGTTTTCTCTAGAATTGCCATTTGCAACCTTGTGTGTACATAGGAATCACCTGGAAGTCTTTATAAAATAATCCCCAAGCCAGGTCCTTTACTTCCCGGAGGATCTGATTCAGCAGGCCTGGGGATAGGGCCTGGTATCCCTATTTTGAAAGATCTCATTAAGTGGTTCTGTCTCACATGGTTGGGAGTCATTACCCTAAGGCAGGCAGTCTATGCCTTGGTGCACGCTAGAGTCGTCTGAAGAGCTTTAAGAAATACTCGTGCGACCCCACCCCTTGACATTCTGAGTCAGGTGGTCTGAGATGTGACCTGAATATTAGGATTTCACAAATTCTCCAGATGTTTCTAATGTGCAGCCAGCCTTGAGAACCACTATTCTAGGTCAGCAGTTCTCAAACTGGAGGCTGCCTCAGAATCTCTTGGAGAGCTCCTTGATTATGGGCCCCGCCCCAGAGTTATTTGGTGAGGCCAGGGTGGAGCATCTCTAACAAGTTCCCAGGTGATGCCAATGCTGGTCCAGGGACTGCACTTGGAGGCTCATGGCTCTAGATGATCCTTTAATGAGATTGGCCCTGTTCTGCTGCCCTGTTCTTTTTCCTGGTTGGGGGTTGGTGGACCCTTCCTTCCCTCAGTCTGACTCAGGCGTGAGACTTCTTAAAGGTACCAGCTTTTCTTTTTCTGAACATTTTAGCATTCAGATAAATATTATGACATATTTTTAAAGCAAAGTAACATAGATTTCTTCTCCCGGGGCTAGGAGCCTCAGAGTCTGCCTGAATTAAGAATTTATCTGTGCCTAAGATTAGGATGCATTTAGTGATCTGAGCTAAGGGGTTGGTGGATCTGCAGCAATAGGTTCAGCCTGTGCCTGGGTGAGGGTCACCTTGTGACCGGCGCTGGGTAGGATCTGAGTACCACACACTTGGCCCTCTAGCATGGGGAGGACCTGTCTGGTCCACCTGGGGGAAAGCCTGGTTTTCTGATGCAGACCCAGCCCTCTGCCCACCTCCACATCTGTGCACAAACATGGAAGGTAGCAATGAGGAAACACAGCACCAGGACTGCCGTGAGCCCAGGAGCTAGGGTTAGAGCCTCACTTCTTTATGCATTTCCTTTTCTATCATACTTTGGAACAGGCTTGAGCTGAAACCAGAGAGTTAGTACCTGGTTTCTGCCTCAATCTAGTCTCCCTCCTCCAAAGATGCCCCCACAACGTGGGCAACTTCAACCCCCATGAGAGCTCAGAATTCCACATTCAGCGACAAAGTTGACAAGAGCCTCTGGAGATCTCAAAGACTTATTAAAAGTGGAAATGGCTACTGTTTTACTGAGGCAGGGTGAAAACACAACTCACTTCCTAGGATCGAACCCAGCAAATTCACTCAGCCCCCAGGTAACTGAGGACTCAGTTGAAGGAAAATAATTTTGAGCCCCTGAAAATAGATGCTATAAAGCTGTGTATCAAGGGCCAACCATTTTGCTAATATCACATATCTCACGGCATTTGCTTTGATTTTAAATTCAGTTCTAGTGAACTTGGTTCTGATTTCTAATGACAAAGCAAACTAAGAGAATGATGACATGTGCTAGATAAAGCAAGAAGTGGCAGCTAATAGCCTAAATTGTGATGGCATTAAGAAGACCAAAACTAGTTTACTTGTTCAACGACAGCTTGTCTTTGGAAAAAAAAAAACACTACATTAAGGATAAGAAAATATGTCCAGGCATGGTGGCTCACATCTGTAATCCCAGCATTTTGGGAGGCTGAGGCGGGAGATCGCTTGAGCTCAAGAGTTGACGACCAACCTGGGCAACATGGCAAAACCCTGTCTCAATAAAGAATACAAAAGCACACCTGTAGTCAGTCCCAGCTACTCAAGAGGTTGAGGTGGGAGACTGGCTTGAGCCCAGGAGGCAGAGGTTGCAGTGAGCTGAGATCATACCACTACACTCCAGCCTGGGTGACAGAGCCAGACCCTGTCTCAAAATAATAATTAAAAAAGACCAAAACTAAATACATATCTCAGGAACCATCAAGTAGCCTGAGGTCGTTGGTCGTTTAGTGGGGAAGAGAGGGAGAATATGTTATAATAACCCCGGGAGCAACACAGCATTTCAGCTCAGTTCACCCTGTGACATCCAGGACATGCAGAGGTAAAAAAGCGTTCCAACAATGTTCAATACACTGTCTAAGAAGGCAGGGCTGCGTTTTATCCACTTTAGAATTATTTCCATCCCCAAACAGTTAAAATACTTTCACAAAAGTCTTGGTGCTTAAAAGATAAATGCTCAGTGACCTGGAAGTTCACATAAATGAAACGGTTGATGATCTGATGATGAAGGATAGGCGAGATGGGTAAACTCACTCTTTTTTTTTTTTTGAGATGGAGTCTCACTCTGTCACCCAGGCTGGAGTGCAGTGGCATGATCTCGGCTCACGGCAACCTCCGCCTCCCAGGTTCAAGTGATTCTCCTGCCTCAGCCTCCCAAGTAGCTGGGATTACAGGCGCCCACCACTTTGCCCAGCTAATTTTTGGTATTTTTAGTAGAGACGGGGCCACCATTTTGGCCAGGCTGGTTGTGAACTCCTGACCTCGTGATTCGCCCACCTCCTCCTCCCAAAGTGCTGGGATTATAGGTGTGGGCCACCGTGCCCGGCCAAACTCACTCTTTTGAACTTAACATTTTCCCCCTGACATTGGAGACTCTCCTGCTACCTCTCTCCTAAGAAAAAAGGGCAGGTGGTGGGGGGACAAGCCCCTTCCACCTTCCCATCTCCAAGGGACTTTGCAGTGTGGGTGATGGTGTGGCTGATCATCCTCTTTCTGCACCTCTGATTCTGCTTGTGTTGTCCTTATTGTGTGGGGCAGGAGGGTCAGGACTTCAGCTAGGGGTGTGCTGGCTCTGCAGTGACTCAGGCCTGGGTGTTTTTTGGTGAATTTAAAAAGATGACCATTTCTGGGGGAAAGTGACACTTTTACTTTCTCCACACCTTCACCATCCATTTTCTTACTGGACTTCGCTGCGTTCCTGCAAGGAGGACAGGGCAGAGAGTAGCAACCCTCCTTGCCGAGGCCCAGAAAGATAGCGTGGTGTGCCCAGGGCACCCATGGTGGGTGATGGACATCTCCTTTTGGGTGCCAAGGCTTCCTCAAGGTGGGAGGAACTGGAGGGCAGGGGACGGTGGCCAGTGTCCCGCTCTAGCCCTCTAGGGCACCTTTTTCTCCCCTCTGAAGTTGTTAGGCTGATCTGGAGTCTGCTCCAGGCCTGGGCTTCACCCTGGCCTCATGCCCTGCCCAGCACCTGTGTGGAGGGACCTGTTCGTATTCATTCCTCTTTGGGGGCCAAGCTCAGGGCACCCGAACCAGCAGCCTTGGGTGGCTGAACCTAGTGGGACAGAAGGGAGGCAGTTGTATCTGGCAGAGTCACCCAAGGCCACAGGCCTGAGCAAAGCAGGAGAGCGGGGCAAGCTGGGGTCAGGGACCATGGTGCTGGCCCCCTGCTGCTCTGGCCATGTGGGAGGCAGCTGGAGGGGTCCCAAGTGGCAGCTCCTGCCAGACTACCCCGGACTCCCGAGCCCATCGTCCTGTACTCTTCTCCAGTGGGACGTCTGGCCCTCACTGTGGCTAGCTTCTGGGCAAGTCCCTCTGCTCAAGATCACTTTATGGGGCAGCTGGTGCCCCCTGGGGCTCCCACACTCTGCACATACAATTTAGGGACCTGGCAGGGTCTTGGTGGCCTGCAGCTTCCCTTTCTGGAACCGACTCGCCTCCCATCAGAGAGCCATAACTCTTCTTCAATACAGTATTGTTTGAACTTTGAAATATATGCATTTGTCTATGTATTTTCTTAAAAATTAACACTGTATCTCAATAAGCATACAATGGATTGTTCAATGGTACAGTTTGGAACCAATCCCCCGCCACTTCCCTCCCCAAGTAAAGCCAGGACAGATGCTGGAGTCAGCATGGGAGCTGTGGAAACCTTTTGCCCTGGAGCCAGGTGCCTGTGGCTGTGCCTGGGAGTGGCTTCAGCCCAGGCGTGGTGTCAGTTTCCTGGCACCCCTGCCCAGGAGCCTGCATGAAGGCAGCCGGGTCTCTCTCTGAGTGGCTGGTGCACCGGCTCATTTCTGAGTGGCCTCCTGCGTATGAAGAAAAAGCGGCCACGTGGCATGCCTCCCTTCCCTCCCTTGCTTTCCTCTCAAAGAGCCAAGTCACGCTGCACTGCGCTCCGTGGAGCCTTTCCCGATGGAGAAGAGAAGGGAGGCCTG
Source organism: Homo sapiens (assembly GCF_000001405.40). Classification (NCBI taxonomy): domain Eukaryota; kingdom Metazoa; phylum Chordata; class Mammalia; order Primates; family Hominidae; genus Homo; species Homo sapiens. The sequence continues at coordinate 46,668,179 of NC_000018.10, read as the reverse complement.
AGATGTCCTTTGCTGGGATGTGGAGAAACACCATCTATATGAAAAGCCCCTTGCTTGCTCTGCTGATTTTCTCCCTCCCCTGGCCCTGGAGAGAAAGGCTGTGCCATTCAAAGACAGTTTGGGGACATGGGGGCTGCAGGCCTGATCTTATTTTTATGCAAATTTTGTTCTGGGAGCAGTGGTTTATACAAACTCCTGTAGCATAATTCCAGCTTGTGTGTGGCTGTCCTTGAGTAGTGATTCTGAAGTGATGACTGTGATGCTATGCCTAAAAACATCATCAGGGTACTTTGTATCTGTCACTGTGTTTGAACGGCCCTCAATTTCTATCTAATAAAACCAGTCAAATGGTTCACCTAGCAAAGACTCTGTGGCTGTGGCTGTGTGTGTGTGTTAGTGTGTGTGTGTGTGCGCATATGTGTTTTTGTGTGTGTTTATGGGGATTGTGCCACACTGGGCTGACAGCAGCACAGCCCAATGTGCAGAGCTGCCAGGTATTGTGAAGAGCCCATGGCCACCCTGGGCACACCTTTGGGCAGTGTTGAGGGCACATGAGAATCAGGAGACCTGTGGGTGGCTGGCAGGAGTAGCTATCTGACCCAGGGAGTAGGTGGGCTCACAGCAGGGGCTTAGAGCCCAGATCAAGATCAAGTTGAGTGGCATGCTGAATTGACAGTGTATGAAGGTGTACAATGACATGGAAAGAGGATTCTGGAGCTTCCGCAGGAGGACAGAGGGCCCCTGAGGGCCGGAGCTACCTGCCTTAAGGGCTGGAGCTGCCTGGGACAGGTGGGTTTGAGACACACTCATAATGGAAGCAGATCCCATGGCTATGCGACCTGCCTTTCTCTAAGCAAGGCAGCTCTATCAATGTCCAAAGTCACACTGAGGGCATCTGAGTACTAATTACCCATTTGTAAAGAAAAAAAAAAAACAAACTTCATTCAATGCCAATCTCCTTGAGTGTATTTAAGACAGAATTATATCAAAAGTTGTTTGCATTTATGTGCAAAATACCGGGCTTGAGCCTGTTTGCCCCATGAAATGTAGTTAACATTGCTTGGAGTCCCCAGATCCACATCTTGGAAAAGCCCAAAGCCTTCCCCATGATTTCTGCAAATCCCTAGGGACTGGTGTTTCCATGACTCCACTGCCTTCAGACTCCTGCTTTTGGGCATGTTTCTGTTTTATATTTGTTGACCATCCAGATATTAGATGCAGCACTTTCCTTGATATCTGTGATGGTGTAGTGTGTCCCAGAGTGTAGTGGGAAGCAGTGGGAAAGGGATTGAGACCACTTCAGACATCCTGAAAAAGAGACAGCCCAGCCACCAGCCAAGTTTCTGGTGTGGACACTCCTCATGACTTTGGCCTTACCCTACCTCTCTGGCCTCTCTCTTCCACCTCTTCCCTCTTGGCCTTCCTTTTCTCATCTCTCCATCTCCCCATTTGTCTCTTTGGAGCTATTGAATCATTCTCTGTTTGCTTGGTCTCCTGCTGAGCCTGGGTCTCTGCTCACCTTCTACCTTCCAAAGATATTTTCTCAAAGAGGACCATTTCCTCTCTAAGATGAATTTTGGTGACAGCTATAAGATGTTCAAATGTTTCATTATGACAATTGTAAAATGTCAGACACTCAAGCAAACAATAACGGAACCTAAGGTTACTATTGGAGGGTCATCTCTGAGACCTGGGCATTGCCTTTTTTTTTTTTTTTTTTTTTTTTCTTTTTTTTTAGATAGGGTCTCACTCTGATTCTGAGACTGGAATGCAGTGGGATGATCTTGGCTCACTGCAACCTCTGCCTCCTGGGCTGAGGTGATCCTCCCACCTCGGCCTCCTAAGTAGCTGGGACCATAGGTGTGCACCACCATGCCCAGCTAATTTTTCTATTTTTATTAGAGATGGGATTTTGCCATATTGTCCAGGCTGGTCTCAAACTCTTGGGCTCAAGCCACCCTCCTGCCTTGGCCTCCCAAAGTGCTGGGATTATAGGCATGAGCGACTGTGCCTGGCCTGTCTTCTGTATATCATAGTAAGAAAAAGATCTGACGAACAGGGAAGTGGAACTTCAATACATATTTTTGAATGAATGAATGTATGAACGAGCTGAAGATTAAAGTGATTATAGTTTAATAAATATTTATCAAATGCATATTATTTGTCACTTCATTCATTCAACAAATATGTTTCGAACCCCTGTTTAGGTCAAACTACTTGAGTATTTGAGAATACAAGAGTTGCAAATGCACATTCAATCACTATGTTCATGGAACATAGTGTCTGGCCAGAGAAATACAGGTAATCAAAAAAACCTCACTGCTGAATGTTTTCGTTATAAACCATACTACAAAGGAACATGCAAGTGCTATGAGAGGCTCAGACAGGTAGCAACGAACTGGGATTGAGCACCAAGGGGGGCTTCCCGGGAGAGACAGGGTTAGCTAGGTGGAGTTGTGGGGGATGCAATTCCAGGCGGGAGAGAGCTTGGGACCCTTACGGAAGGCCAGCACGCTCCTGCCCGGAAAAGGAGGGGGACATGGTGGGAGATAAAGTTGGAGAACTGGACAGAGGTGAGACCCTATGGGGAAAGGTGGCCCCATAACTGATATTGATTTTGATTTTAAGAGAATCAGCTAGTCCTTGAAGGGTCATAAGGAGGAAGAGGACATGATCAGATTGACACCGAAAAACCTCACCCTGCTGCAGCGTGAAATGTGAAACTGCTGGGGCCCAGAGTGTTTGAAAGGAGGCCATTTAGGAGGCTGCTGGTGGTGGTGAGGACCAGGACGATGGGTGATGTGGGATGGAGTGAAGGGGACAGGGCTGAGAGCTCCCCAGGAGCCAGATGGATAAGGAGGCCAGTGACAGATGATGATGGGGGTGGAAGAGGAAAGGGCTGTGTCAAGGATGTTGCTTCTCAGCAGGGGCACAGAAGTCTAAGACATCAGTCCCACTTGAGAATGGGATTGCTTGCTGGAGGAGAGAGACCAGCAAGTGTAACCAGATATGAAGTGGGCAGTTTCAACCAAGGCATCAAGCTACGATAATGCCACTCTGTAAAGGAGGCCCTAGACCATGTACAGAGCTGTCAGACAAATCAGTTGAAAACCAGTTAAACTGTTCTTGGGCCCTTCTTGAAGATTAAAGATATAAAAGGGATGACATAATGCTGATAGAATCATTGATTTTTTTTTTTTTGAGACAGGGTCTTGCTGTGTCACCCAGGCTAAAGTTCCGTGGCACCATCATGGCTTATAGTAGCCTTGGACTCCCAGTCTCAAGAGAGTCTCCCACCTCCGTCTCCTGAGTAGCTTGGCTCATTTTTTAATTTTTTGTAAAGATAGGTCTTACTATGTTTCCCAGGTTGGTCTCGAACTCTTGGGCTCAAGTGATCCTTCCTCTTCAGCCTCCCAAAGTGCTGGGATTATAGGTGTGAGCCACCGCACCTGACCCTCATTGATTTTTTAAAAGGATTTCATGGAGAAAACTGGGCTAGGAACCCCATCCTCAAGGTAGAGGGTTGGGGGTCAGTGCTTCCTCCTGACTCCAGGCTTAGCGAGAAGGGCTTCCACAAGGCCACCCAGAGAGTTTGCCGTGGATTCCCCCAGTTGGGTCCCAGAGCACTGGAGCTGGAGCCCCACTCTGGCCTGAGGAAGCTGAAGGGGCCCAGAGCAGCAGAGCTGGGCTGATGGAGGGTCAAAGCAGGATCAGTCCTGGTGGCAGGGATGTATGCTCAAAAGTCAGCCAGAGGTCTTTAGAAAGGATAAGGGGACCTTGGCAGTGGGAGGCTGTGGGGTGTAGTTCTGGAGCAGAAGTGAAGGTGGGATCAGGAGAGGCCCATGTCAGGGGATCCTGGTCAGAGGGGAGCCTGGGAAAACCCACAGGCCTTCCCATGGAAGAGTTGGCTTTAAACATCCATGAGGACCACAGGAATACATACAGTCCTCTCACGAGAGTGACCCAACCCTGCGATGGGGGTGGCTGGGGCATATGTCAGAATCTGCAACTACCAAGAGCAGCAAGAGGTCAGCAGGACAGGAGATGACTGGCCCCTTCCCTAGGCAGCAGCTGAGCTGCCAGGCCTGGCTAAGGAAGAGACATGGAACAGGCTGAGTTTCATGAACATCCAGCGTGGGCTCCTACAGGCTCTATACAGCTCTAATTTTTGACTTGAGACAATATTCATCACTTACAGGGTCTGTAAAACTTTTAAATGATCTGAAAGTGATCCACCAAACAGTCACAGATCTGTTCAAGATTTTATCTAGTGTCAAGGGAAGGACTGTTCTCACTAAGCAAAAATAAATGTGCTTTTTATCATATCTGGGAGTCCTGCTTGTTGGATGTACTGGGTACAGAAGTAATTACAAAATGATGAGCTGTGTGCAACAATTGAGGTATGAGTGAAGGAGAGAGGAACTTGAGGAGCAGAGGAAGGTTTTACAGAAGTGACTGCTGACTGGGCCTTGGATTGCATGTTGGAACTTGCCACTGAGGGAAGGCGAAGCATTACAAGCAGATGGATCTGAATCTGAAAAGTCAGCAAGAAATGAGTTTGCAAGTGGTCACACAGGGTGGTGGGTGGGGGGTGTAGAGGACAGAGGCAGCACCAGACTTTGGTGGAGACTTTGCAAACAGGGCTAAGGAATTGGTCATTTGTTTCCTGAAAGAGAGGGTAACAAGAAAATAATGTGTCCTCACATCAATTTTCTGGAGAAATGATTCTTGCAGGTGCGCCGTAGGAATTCCAGCCTGAGTAAGGTAAGAGTAATTTGCTGGGCGGCCAGTAGGGGTATGATCCCAGTGAGAGAGGCAGGAGGAGAGGACTAAGGCAGTGGCACTAGGAAGAGAGAGGAGGGGTCCAGTTACAAAAATGGGGTCTGTTTGCCATTGACAATGAGGGGGCTGTGTGTGCGTTTGATCATAATAGTGAGGTCAGTCAGGAGAGGAGTGGGGTTGGTGGAAATGGGGTAGGTTGAAGCCAGTGTGGTTGGATAACGGGGTGAGGATATGAGAGCCTGCAGGCCTTGGAGACAGGTTAGTGTTTTGTCCTAAGGTCAGGGAAAGCCACTGGAGCACATAAGCTGGGGAGAGACATGATCTGATTTATTTTTAATAAAATCTGCTTTGAGCAGAGTGGGTTGGAGGGGGGCAGAAGTGGTTGAAGGCTCACTGTTCTAACACTGAGTAGCTGAACCCAGGGAGAAGGCTTCCCCAAAGTAGTTTTGGGAACTAACATTTCAGTGAACCAGAAAACCATCAACCTCACAACACCGCATCACTCTCTTCCTCCCAGAGGAAGAGATGCCTCATTTTGAGACGTCAGACTAGCTAGTTACCTTGAGAAATAAGGGGCACATGGTTGGTGGGGAGCTGTGGTGGGAGCTGGAGCTGCCAGGACATGCATGTGTGTTATTTGCATTGACGTATGCTCACTATCACCACCTTCCCACTACATATTTGTAATTCACTCATTCATTTACTTTTAAAGGCCACGTTCCTTTTCTGCTAGGCAGTTGAGGTACACAGGACTTGCTTAGAAAAACTGAAGTCTGAGGGAAAAAATAGGCAATTGGGATAGAGTAAATGACTGGTCTCAATACTTCACCCCTCACTGTGTCCACACCCCCTGCCATGTAACTTTATAGCCCCCAAAATAGAGAGCACTTCCTTGCCTCTTGACTCTGGGTTTGGCCATATGTGTTGATTTGTTTATCCAAAGGGTGTCAGCAGATGTGATGTAACTAAAAGGCCTCCCAGGTGCTTGCATTTCCAGGGTCACTCCTGTGCATTTCTACCATGGCCATGAGAAGAGCTTGCCCTGGGTGGCTGCTGTTCCTTCAGGCCGGCCCCAGATTGAACCTGTTATAGGACCAATAGGTTCATATGCCTACTGTGCAGTCACAAACCAATTACACCAAGGCAGCAGGATTTGCAGCAGAGAAAGAGTTTTTGATCATAGGGCACCAAGCAAGGAGTTGGGAGGAGACCCTCAAATCCATCCCCCGGAGGAGTTCTGAGCTGGGGCTTTTAAGGGGACCATGGAGGGTGATTCCTTGGTAAGTCAGCTTCTCCTGGGGTCCTTCAGATCAGCTGACATCAGTAGTTTCACTGGTATGCAGGACCTGAAAGGAGTATCTCAAAGGGAAATCTTCACGTTTTATAATGTTCAGATTGTTGGCAATAGGGCAGTTAAGGGGAACTATGCTCTTGTAAAAGAGAAATCTTCATGTTTTATAATGTTCAGATTGTTGTCTATAGGGCAGTTAAAGGGAACGATGATCTTGTAACAGGATCTACGTTATTCTGAGGCAACAGGTAAGGAACCACGAGGGGTGGGTCAGAGAGCAAGCTGACTTGCTGATGAATGCTGAGTGTGCTGCAAGCTTGGTTTATTTTCATTTCTCCCCCTCCCTTCTTTGCTGATTAATTTTATAAAGTTTATAGGGATGGTTTCAAACTCACGTAGAAAAGAGTTGCCCTGGCCATGTTCAGCTGGTCCTATAGATTGAGGCAGACCTGCCAGCTGAGCCCAGCATATATATGTCATCCCAACCCAGCCCCAGACATGTGAGAGGTAACACCATGCCACTGAGATTTGTATGCTTGCTTGTCGTGTGGCAATAGCTGGCTGACACAGGAATGCACACAACAGCTCTAACGTCAGCGTGAACTAAAGCCTGCAGAAGGAAAGCACCAGGCCCGTTTAGAAAACAGGGGTTTCTTCTGTTTATCCACAGTGTGGGTTTCATAAGGAGAAGGTTGGTCAGATTATAGAGGGTCTCTGCTATCAGCTTGAGGAGCTAGAATTCTATTAGTTTCATAGACATTTGTTATCTTGGTAATCCAGCATCTGAATCCCCTTCTAAAGTTTGAGAAGAGCACAGTTCCCAGCATAGCAGTTGGAAAGGCCAAATACTCTCTTTCCCAGCCTCCTTTCCAGCAAGGCTGTGGGCACATGACTTAGGCTCAGCCAATCAGATGCTCCGGCCCCAGACTGAATGGCAGAAGGCAGCAGAGTCCATTCTGGTGAGGGCGGCACAAACAGGCAGCTGCTGTGGCTCTAGCAGCAACAGCCAGTGCTGAAGCTTGTGGTGCACGCTGTACATCCAGGCCCAGCATTGGTGGAAGTCGGGTCCTCTCTGGACCAGCATGATTCTAGGCATCATTTCCAGAGTGTAGATCTCTGGGACATTCTGAGATCCACCTTCCATCAGCTTAAAAAAATAATTTTTCTACTTAAACTAGCCATTGTTGGTTTCTGTTGCTTTTAATCCAGAACTCTGGCTGAGAAAATTCAATTGCCGTGGGGCGTAAGCAAATGTTTTTGAGCTGGAGAGGAATATGACCAACGCCATCCAGCAGCAAGAGAATGTACTCTAAGGAGGAGACGGGCACAACGATATCATTTTGCACATTTGGACATGTCTGTGCACATGCAAATGGTCATTGGATGAACAACCTCTCCCTATTATCATAGGCTTGGGGTCCCACCCAAGTAATCACCCTGTCTGTCCTTTGTGCTTTTATCAGTACACAAGAAACCGATGGGACTCTACATCTTAGCTTTATCAATTAGGACTCCTCACCACCACTGCACAGTTCAGGGCCTTGTGCTATGCCTACTGAGGCCTCCTCCTACCTCTCCACAAATCTAGACCTTGCACTGGGATGAGAAGTGGGTCTGCAAAGCATGCCCTGAGCACCCGTTCACAGCCAGCTATGTGCAGGATCCTCACACCAAGGAGCTGGGGTGGGAGTTGAGTCAATAGCCAGGCCTGCACCATAGGCGTGACCCAGACAGGCCATCACATGGAGATGGAAAGGCAGCAGATAAGGCCACTTCAGAGAGACAGGGTGGAGCCCATGTCCTGCTCCTGAGACCAAGCAATGCCTCTTCATGCTTCCTTGCAGACCATTCCCTCCCACTAGTCCAGCCCTTGGCAACCATAGGCTTCTTTTTTTTTTTTTTTCTCAGACAGGGTTTTGCTCTGTTGCCCAGGCTGGAGTGCAATGGCACAATCACAGCTTACTACAGCTTATTGCAATCTCCACCTCCCAGGCTCGAGTGATCCTCCAGCCTCAGCCTCTTGAGTAGCTGGGACTACAGGTCTGTGCCACCAGGTTTTAAATTTTTTGTAGAGACTGGATCTCCCTATGTTACTGCTAGTCCCAAACTCCTGGGCTCAAGCGATCCTCCTATCTTGGCTTTCCAAAGTGCTGAGATCACAGGTGTGAGCCACTGCACCCATCAGGCCTGTTTTCTGATCCTATAGTTTTACCTTTTAGAGAATGTTACATCAATGTAATCACACAGCATGTATTTTTTCTGACCGCTTTTCTGCACTTAGCGTAGTGCTTTCCAGAGGCATCCATGTTGTAGCATGTTTCCCGACTCCCTTCCTTTCTATTGTTGAGTATTATTGCCTGTACAGATGTACCTCAGTTTGTTTACCCACTGGCCAGGTGATGAATGCCTGAGTTGTGTCCAGTTTTTGGTTATGAATAAAGCTTCTATGAATATTTACATACAGATCTTGTGTGGATATCCTTTTTCATTTATCTTAGGTAAATACCAAGGAGTGGAATTTCTGGGTTGCATGGGAAGTATTTGCTTTGCTTTATTTTCCAAAGTGGCTGCACCATTTTACACTCCAACTAGCAGTATGAGAGTTCTGGCTGCTCATGTCCCTATGAACTCTTGGTATTTGTGAGGGTTAATTTTTGGTGTCAACATGACTGGTTGTGCCCTCAATGTGGGTGGGCACCATGCAATCGGCTGGGGGCCCCGACAGAACAAAGAGGCAAAGGAAAGGTGAATGTTTTATCTCTCTCCTGGAGCTGGGACACCCTTCTTCTCCTGTCCTTGGGCATCAGAACTCTAGGTTCTCCAGTCTTTGGACTCTGGGACTTGCTCCATCACCCGCTCACCACCAGGTTCTCAGGTTTTGGGCCTGAGACTGAGAATTACACCACGGGTTTCCCAGGTTCCCAGGCCTTCAGACTTGGACCCACCACACTACCAGCCTTCCTACGTCTCCAACGTGCAGACTGCCTGTTGTGGGACTTCTCGGCATCCATAATCCCATGAGTCAACGCCCCTAGTAAGCCTCCTGTCATATATCTACTGATCTGTATATCCTAGTGGTTCTGTCTGTCTGGAGAACCTTGAAATAATACAGAAATAATATAGAATTATTTCCCTGACCTCCTAGCCAGTGTGTTCCAGTACCATGGGATTCTCTAAAAATATTTTGATTTCAGCTTTTAAAGTTCTAAGAAACAGCCGGGCGCGGTGGCTCACGCCTGTAATCCCAGCACTTTGTGAGACCGAGGTGGGCAGATCTCGAGGTCAGGAGTTCGAGACCAGCCTGACTAACATGGTGAAACCCTGTCTCTACTAAAAATACAAAAATTAGCTGGGCATGGTGGCGTATGCCTGTAATCCCAGCTACTCGGGAGGCTGAGGCAGGAGAATCACTTGAACCCGGGAGGCGGAGGTTGCAGTGAGCCGAGATCACACCACTGCACTCCAGCCTGGGCGACAGAGGGAGACTCCGTCTCAAAAAAAATTCTAAGAAACGTTTTATTATCTTTTCCCTGAATGGGTACTCGTGTAAAATGAGTTTTCTTAGTAGATTCCTAGAGATCCTTAAGGAAGGTCTCTTCCTGAAGAATCCAGGTGTGTAAACCACATATTGCCAGAAGGGGGCGCGCGCCACCCACCATTAAACTTCACTCCTGGTCCTCAGAGGACTTTGAGCTGCTTCAAGGGCGGCCCCTCAGCTGAATAGGGGAAGAGGGGAGGTTGATCTTTCCTGGGTAGGAACGTTCGGGGTTAGAGATGCCTCCCCCTAGTGGAAGATTTGGATGGCTCCAAAGAGCAGGGCAGGACCAAAGCTGCCCCAGGCTGCCGGGGAGGCCTGTGAGTGCCGACTGCTCCTCAGGCGTCCGCTCCAAATCCTCTCTTCCTCTCCACCTGAAATTCCCCTTTAGAGTCACTATTTTGGCTTAGAGGACAAAATCACACGTGTTGCTTCTAGAGGACTCCTGTTAGCACACCTAAGTTACCTGAGAAGCGATTCAGGGACCCTCAACATGGCTGCACATGAAAGTCACCAGGAGCTTTAAAAACTGGGGCCCAAGCTGCGTCCCAAACCAAGCAAATCAGAATCCTTGGGGATGGGACCCACGCATTAGCGTTCAACACCTCTCTGGGGGCTTCTGGTGTGCAGCCCGGGCTGTGCGCCCTGGGGTAGGAGCTTGCTGATGCCCTCCCGTGAGTCCAGGTGGTGAGCTGATCTAGTTAGTGAGTTCACCTGGGAGGGCATCGGCTACGATGATGTTTAAACTTTAGTGCATATAAAGCTCACCTGGCAGGGGGAGCGGGGAGAGTTTTCTGGTGCCCTAGCTTTCCTCGTGCCCAGAGGCCACTTCCGGAAGCCCGCAGTCTTGATGAGATGGAAGCAGAGAGAGAGAACGAGAAGGATCCAGCGAGAACCCCGCCTGCTCCGTAAGACGATCAGAGGTCATGAATAATGGAGAGAAACGGGGGCCTTTGAGTCCTGGGAGCCTGGCTGATTCCGGGGCCCCGCCTTCCTCAGGAGGGTCCCGTGTGGGCTGTAAGGCTTGGGAGATCTCCTGGGTGAGGAGCCCTCACCTGTCCCTGGGGTGGCCTGGAGGGATCCCAGGTGACCCCCTGGCTGTGAGGCCAGGTGGGAAATGGACTTCAAGGGCTCCGTGTCACCTGATTCTCCATAGGGAGGAGAGAGGGCTGGTGGGGAGGGGAGAGAGGAAGGAAGTCAGCCTGCCCTCAGCGCCATGAATAAGTGATGAGGCCCAAAGAGAAGCCCCGGGGCAGGTACAGAGGAGGAGGAGGTGGCTCACCAGAGGGTGGTGGGAGGGGACAGGGACAGGAGGTTCAGAGATAAGGCACTGAGGTTCAGCTCAGGAGCCAGAGAAGGCAGAGGGAACAGCACCTTGGGCACGGGGAAGCCAAGAAAACGGGGCACTCTGGCCCACCCAGGCCTGAGCTATAGGAGGGCCGTGGGCGCCAGAGCTCAGGGAGGAGGTCTCAGGTTCCCGCAGGTGTGAGGAGGCGGCACAGTGAGCCTGCGAGCGCTGGGAGAAGGCAGCCGACAGAATGATGCCCCAGAAGAAAAGGCGGAGGAAGAAGGACATCGACTTCCTGGCCCTGTACGAAGCGGAGCTGCTGAACTACGCCTCGGAGGACGACGAGGGGGAGCTGGAACACGAGTACTACAAGGCCAGAGGTGCGGGGTCCCAGCCTGCGGGGGGCGGGTGGTGCAGCTGGCTGCGGTGGGCAGGGGTCTGTTCCTGTCTATGGGGAGTCATTCTAAGATTTCGGAGCAAGCCCTTCCTCACTGATTATCCCATGTGTCTGTTCCATATCCCCTCGGAGTAAGAAGGCAGGCATTATGCAGGGATGGTGGGGTCCCTGTTGTACAGACAGGTGGAGCAACTTGCCTTTAGCCCCCGATTCTCAGTGGAACAGAATAGACTAGAGCCACAGTGCCCCCATGGCCCCATGTTCTCCAGCTCCTGAACATCCCCAAAGCCACGTTCCAGTCTGGTCCCCGAGTAGGTGGTCTGCATCAGGCAGAGCGCCCTGAACTGCTGGGGTCATGAAAGGATGTCTTGGGGAGGAAGCCTGACAGCTCATCCTATGCCCACTGTGGTTGATGGAGACAGGGAGCCTGGGGCTTTGCAAGGAGATGTCCATCCCATATGTCGAAGGCGGCCGGTGCTCTGGACCCCAGGGCCTTGTCCTTCTAGTCTCATCTTTCCCTGGGCCACATGAGACCTGCTTGAAATTGCTCTAACTCCTTGCCAGGTAAACCAAAGAAGTGAACTGTGACCCTAGAGCTGGTTTTGGCCAGCAGAGTTTAAGTTGTTTTTTTCCTTTCCAGCGTTTTGAAATCCTTTTTTCTGTGAATGCCAATAGGCTGTGGACGTCCAGCTTATCACAGTCTCCACCACTCCCTGTCATCTCATACTAGGTCTGGTTTACTCATCAGTGCTGCCTGCCTAGTCTCTGAAGCCATTTAAATTCTCAATGCTGACTCCAAAGTGGCTCACCAGTCCCCGTAAGCGCCATAGTCATCCATGCATTCACTCATTCATTCATTCAGCAAGTATTTATTGAATGTGTGCTCTGTGCCTGCCCATGGCCTTGTTTGTCTTCCCCTTTCTCCCTCTTCCTGTCCTCACTCTGAAAGCCCAGTTCTGATCCCATCTCTTCCATGAAGCCCTCCTTGATTCCAGTCCACCATGAGTTCCCTGATTACATCCAATTCATAATTGTTCCATTGTTTCCTGCAAAGCTTGTCCAGCTGTGTCCGGCTTGCAGCCACAGTCACCCTAAACTCCGTGAGGGTGGGGCCTTGCTGTACTTGTCTTTAGTCCTCATCATTCAGCCCCTGCACAGTCCTGGGCTTAGAGGAGGTAGTCTCAGCTGAGATCAGGAAGGCTGTGGCCCCTTTCCAGGTACAGAATCCTGGGTACCTCCAAGGGTAGAAGGGGGGGCTGTAGTAGGAGGAAGTGGGCCCAGGAAAAAGGAAGCATCCGCCACCTTCTAACAGTACATGTGCCTCAAGCTCTGACCCTCTTGTGAGGGGAGGGGCTGGGAGGTGAGACATCAGGGCAGCATCCCCACCATGTGTGCTTGGCTTCCCAGGTGATTCTCCCCAGCCACGTGACTGTTGGTGAGATCATTCTAGAACCTCTCACAGCCAGCAGCACACTGTTGACTTCTGTTTACGGGCTCTGCATGCCTCAGTGTGGCCATAATGATCGTTCTCCTTTTTATCCTTTCAGAAGCCTTTTTACTAATGTTCTCATGTTTGATCCTTAAGATCCCTGAGCACAGTCAAGGCAGGCGGATCAGCACCACTTCACAAGTTAAAGACTGAGGCCCTGAGACATTAAGTGACTTGAGCAAGGTCACAAACAGGATGGACAACAAGAACCTCAAATATCTTTTTCGAGGCAAGCGCCCCATTTCATCTCATGATGCTGCCAAATAGGATCATGCACCATGCACCAGGCACTGAGTTAAGCACTTTATTCATGTTAACTAATTTCATCTTCATGATGACACATTGCAGCAGATGTGTTATCCTTTTTTTTCAGATGAGGAATCTGAAGCACAGAGAAGTTAAGTAACTTGCCCAAGATCACACAGCTAGCAAATAGCAGAGTTAGGATTTGAATCCAGCTGGTCTGGCTGGTCCTTGGTCTTGTACTGCCCGATTTTGACTGTGGTAAAAATAGCTGGAGAAGAGCAAGTGGAGGTGGGTGCCACGCTGACATTTCTAAGGGAACCATGGATTCTCCTGTCTGTTGCAGGGTACTGCCTATAAATGTGGATGATGCTAACGGTGGTCACATGCTGAGCTCCAGCTGTACTGTCATTGTCACCCTCTCAGTGCTAGAACAACGGTTCCCCCACTTCCTTTGAACTCTGGGCTCTGGTGTTACGTGGAGAGTCTTGATGAGTGTGATGGGGAGGAAGAAGGAGGGAAGAAAAGCCTAGGTGTTCCTTCTCTCTTCTTAGGCTACCTTCTGGCTACCCTGGGATTCCCCAATAACCAGAGGGAGGAGAGCAGCTCCCTCAATGCTTTGAGGGCAGGCTGAACGTGGCACATTGCTCTCTCTCCTAAGACAGGGCCCATGATGGGAAGAATAACTCATTCCAGAACTGGAGAGTAGAAGGGGGCCTCAGAGGCCACCCTGCACAGGCTTCCAGCCCCGGAGGCATCTCCTCTCCTGCATCCTAGACAGGAGTCCCCCAGCATCTGTTGGGATGCAATTTTCCAAGGCAGCTTCCTTGGGGATGTTGTCAATGGAAATGATAGCAATGATTTCTCTCTTAGTCCATTGGTGCTGCTATGCCAGAATACCTGAGACTGGTGATTTATAAAGAACATATTTTTTTTTCTTCCTCAAAAATTCTGGAGGCTGAGAAGTCCAAGATCAAGGTGCCAGTATCTGGTGAGAACTTTCTTGCTGTGTTCCCACATGGCAATAGGCAGAAGGACAAGCCCCTTTATAACGGCACCCAATCCCTTTCACGAGGGGGAAGCTCTCATGGCCTAATCACCTCTTAAAGGCCCCACCCCTTAATACTATCACAATGGCAACACCTGAATTTTGGAGGGGACATATTCAAACTATAGCAATGGTGATGATGATGATAGTAACCACTTATGAAATGCCTATCTTTTCATGCAACTGTGGAAGAATGCCTATAAGGTAAATTCCCAGAAATGTAACTTCTAGGTCAATGAGTTTAAGAGTTGAAAGCTATTTTACTTAATCCTTATCACAGTCCTTCAAGGAAGAATTTATTCCTACTTCAGAGATGAGGAAATTGAAGCTTAGTAAACCATTTGGTTGAAATCACATAGCCAATAATGGTAGAACTGGGCTTCAAATCCTGGTCAGTTTTGTTCCATATTTATTCATTGATTGTTTCATTCATTCATATGATCATTCATCCAGATAATTATTTGACTGTCTCTCATGTGCTGGGCTGTTGCTAAGAGCAACAGATTGACAATTGTTTGTGCTGACTTGGAAACTTTATTAGTGGGGGTCTTCCCATCTGGAGTTCAACAGAATTCTGTGTCCTCCACAAGGTATCTGTCTTCTACAAGATAGTTCTTCAGTTATTTGAATTGAGTTTTTCTTTAAGTTAAAATTTTAAACTTGAGCAATATTGTATATACAGAACAAAACTTATGAAGGTACGTTTACATATGCACATGCCTGTGCAACCAGTATTCAGATCAGAATATGAAATATTTCCAGCCCCCAGAATGCTCCTTCACACCCCTTCTCAGAGGCGACAAATCTCCCGATTCTGTCATCATAGATTAGTCTTTTTCCTGTTCTTAAACTTTTTTTTTGAGATGGAGTCTCGCTCTGTCACCCAGGCTGGAGTGCAGTGGCGTGATCTCGCCTCACTGCAACCTCTGCCTCCCAGGTTCAAGCAATTCTCCTGCCTCAGCGTCCTGAGTAGCTGGAATTACAGGTGTGCGCCACCACGCCTGGCTAATTTTTGTATTTTTAGTAGAGACGGGGTTTCACCACGTTGGTCAGCCTGGTCTTGAACTGACCTCATGACCTGCCTGTCTCGGCCTCCCAAAGTGCTAGGATTACAGGTGTGAGCTACTGCTCCTGGCCTGTTCTTGAACTTTTAAATGGAACCATACAGTGTGCACATTTGTGTGGGTCTAGCTTTTCTTTCAGCGTTATATCTGATTTATCCACGTGTGACACAATATATAGTTTGTTCTTTTTTATTGCTGATTACTATTGCATTTGATACATACACCACTGTCTACTTAGCCATTCCATTGTCAATGAACATCTGGGTTATTTCTGGGGTTTTGTTTTTGTTTTTTTGCTATTACAAGTCAAGCTACTACAAATCTGGTACACATATTCTGATGAACACATGTACTTGTTTCTCTTAGATTTATAATTGGAAGTGGAATTGCTGGGTCACAAGTGAGCATATGTTTAGTTACCAGTGCTTGGATCAATTTACATGTATGAGAGTGACAATGGCTCCACCTTCTTGCCCATACTTGGTATTGTCAGTCTTCTTATTTTTAGCCATTCTGGTGGGTACATGGCAGTGTCTCATTGTAGTTTTAATTTGCATTTCCCTGATAAATAGGCAGAGAACTTTTCCATATGTCTATTGGCTATGTGGCTATCCTCTTTTGTGGTATGTCTGTTTGAGTCTTTTGTCCATTTTTCAACTTCAATGAGGTATAATTTATTTATAATAAAATACACCTATTTTAAATGTTCTGTTTGGTGAGTTCTACATTCTTGCATCCACTAGGAAATCAATTCATGGACCATTTAAATTGGCCCTCAAGGGTTCCCTGTGTTCCTTCCCAGTCAGTCCCCCCTACTTCTGACCCCAGGCAACCACATTTCTGCTTCCTGCTACAATAGATTAGATTGGTCTCTTCTAGAGTTTCATATAAATGACATGATAAAGTATGTTGTGTTTTGTGTCTGACTTGTGCATAGAATGCACTTGAGAGTCATCTGTATTGTGCATCAGGAGTTCATTTTGTTTTATTGCTGAGTAGCATTCTGTTGTACAGATATACCACAGTTCGTTTATCTATGCCCCTGTTGATGGGCGTTTAGGGTGTTTCCAGTTTGGGTCTATTAGGAATAAAGCTGTTATGAACATTTGTGTGCAGGTCTTTGTGGGAACACACTTTCATTTCTCTTGGGTAAAGACTTAAAAGTGGAATTTCTGGGTATTAAGTGTACACTTATCTTCTTAAAAACTTGTTGCCCATTGAAAAAATAGTGTGGTTCCCTCCTTTACTTATTGATTGATGTGAATTTTTGGTATCTTCTGGCTCTGAGTGCTTTGTTGGATATACGCATTCCAAATACCTTCCCTAGTCTCTGGCTTGCCTTTCTCTCGATGGTCTCAATTTTAATGAAGTCCAATTTGTCAGTTTTTTTTAATGGTTTGTGTCCATTTAAGAAGTAGCTGTGCATCCCAGAATCAACTATTGACTAGTTTTTCATTCCTCTCCTATGCCTCTCCAATGCTCCTCTCCTTTTCTCCAAACCAAGCATTCTCCGGTGTCTATGTCTTCTCTCATGTGGTGTGGCTCTAGAATTTCCACCAGGCTGGAAATCCTGTGGGCATTTGGTTTGGAAATGCCTTTATGTGCAAGCTGTGTGGGCAACATGTCAGGTCCCAGGTCTGTGCTGAGAGGAGTCAGGAGTGGGCTCCGGGGGTTGATCAGCCTCCCTGTGGTATAGACTATTAAGAATTAAGGCTTTGGTTATCACAAAAGACAAGGAGTTGTGCAAATATATGGCTGCTTTTCTCCCCCTAATGGTGCCTCGATGGGGACCTTCATCAGAACCAAGGAGATCAAAAGGTCCACTCACCCCAAAACACTCCTGATCCTGGTGCCTCACAGGCCTGTAAGGACCACATGAGAATGAGAGGTCTCCTGCAGGGCTTCTGGAATATCTGTGGATCGTGTGCATGTTAGTTGAGCTACATCTAATCTGCCAAAAGAACAAACTCTTAGCTCTCAAAGTTGAAATAGGCTTTTCCGTATGAACGGTAGTTTTAAAACCAGGTTACTATTTGTTGAGTTTCTTCTGTGTGCCAGAGGCTTTTCATACATCATCTCTAATCCCCAGAATGCCCTGCAAACCAGGTAAGATCGTTCAGGTGTTACAGAGAGGCTGGCACTTGTCCAGGGTCACCTTGCTCAAAGTGGAGGAGCCAATGGCTGCATCCAGGTCTCTGTGGCTCTGGAGTCCAGTACTTTCTACCAGCCCACACTGGCTCTGGGCATGCTGAAGTATGAATGATATCTGTAAAGTACCTGCCAAGGTGCCTAGCACACAACACTCCACGTTATTTATGTTTTTCCTTCCTCCCCCATTCTCCCTCACACTTTGCCACTTGTGCCCTCTGTGGAATGGGCTCTGAATTGACAGGTTTGAATAACGAATGTCTAACTTCAAAATATCCTCCTAATCAGCTGGGCGTCTTTGGGGCCACTCAAATATACTCAGCATCTGGTTGGGGATCTGCTCTGAAAAGACCGGAAGTAGAAATAACTATAGGTTTACCGTGATAATCAGGTACAATCATACATGTAAGCCCTTAGCTCAGGGCATACAGTAAGCAACCACTCAATGTTGTTTATTACTACAATTATTAAGTACTTGTATTAATACAATCCAGTGATGTGGTGGACATAGATCATATGCCCCAAATATTTAAAACACCCTCCCCACATTTTGCTGACTCTCCACATTGTAAATTCCATCTTCCCAACGTGGAATTATTATTTTCTCAGCCTACTTTGGTACAGACATGTACCTTAGATTTCCAGAACTGGCTGTTCCAGTGCAAGATTTTGACTCAGAAGTGAAAATCTCATAATGGAATGAGCTGGGGACAAGGAATTATTTTGGAGACATGAGTAGCAGAAGGACAGGGAGGTGATGGTGGGCTGTTTTCTGCTCTTGGCGGAGGGGATGTGGCTCTAGGGTGGCTGGTGGCAGCAACCTTCCCCAGGCTAGTTCTGTGCTGTGATTCCAGGAGTTGCTTCTGGAAATGGGTATAGAGCACATGCCTCCAGCCTTTCCAAAACTTCTGCAAGCCTTCTAATATCTCTATTGCATCCTGCTTGCTTCACTTGGCTAGAGTAGATTCTGCTGTCTCTAAGAATCCAGATGCATTCTTGCCTTCTCTCTCCAGGAAGTCGATAGGGCTATAATTGTACTGATGCCCTGAATAAGAAAGGTGTTGACAGTAAACAGAATAAGCTTCAAGGGTTTGAGGAGACAGAAATCAGAGCCCCTGCCAAAGAAGGACCCCCTGCAAAGCTCTGCACACCCAGCCCTGGGACGGCTTATTCTGAGACTGAAATGTCAGTGCCCAGGAGGTCATGGGAGGTGAGGGCTGGCCACAGTCACCTTGTGTAGAGGGCAGAGAGGAAGCTGGGAGCTGGGTGCAGGCTCTGAAGAAGGCCATGTCTAGGAGGGTATCAGTGTGTTGTGCTGGAAAGATTACAGAATGGGCATCTGGAGGCTTTGGGCCGGGCTCTGGTGTTGATAACGTGCAGGACCTGCCCTCTTGCCCTCAGCCTCCTCGTGTGCAAAACGAGTGCATGGTTTAAATGTGAAGTTTTGATCTTGCAGCAGGACATATCGTGGGTCTCACCATGGCTCAGAGGCCTACAGGATGCAGCAGGGATTCCAAGAGTCCTTTGTGCTTGGGCCTCCCCAGCAAGGGCTGGATTCTCCAGGCCCACACAGGATTCCGGTTTTTTTCTGAGCCTGCAATCTGTCTCCTCCTCTCCTCCTCCAGTGTATGAAGTGGTCACAGCCACGGGGGATGTTCGCGGTGCAGGGACGGATGCCAATGTCTTCATCACGCTTTTTGGAGAGAATGGGCTCTCTCCCAAGCTCCAGCTCACCAGCAAGTGAGTACCCACTTGGCCTTGGTGGGATCCTGGGCCATTAGTCCTGTTGATTAGGTTCTGGGACCCAAGGGTGGCCTGCTTCTCTGGGGAGAAGGCACATCTGACCACAGGTTATTAAGTGGTATGAAGCCTCTGCTAATGACAGACCGTGTACCAGCTGGGGATCCCCCGGTGCACCTCCCTCAGCTCCTCTCTTGATTCTTTTGGACGGTAATGCCTCCTATGGATCTCAGAATTCCCAAGAATCCATATTAGCTGTCCCATATTAGCTGTTCCTTAGTTCCGTGTGACTTTGGCCCAGTCTCTCTGCACTCGGGGCCTTGGTTTCCTCATATATCATCACACAGATATCGGGAAGACCATACATCTGAGGGAGCTGTGAGCATAAAATACAAGGTCTCACCAGGGACCAGTGTTGTGTTAAACCTGCCTGCCAGCCATTGCACACTCAGCTAGCCGCAGGGATTGCTTGTGTGTGTGCTTGTGCGTGTGTATGCCTTGTGTGCTCTTTTTTATTATAACTAGTGAGAGTTGGGACCGTTGTCTCCTTCGGATCCTTTCCCCCCACTGCATGCACGCATACACCAACATACATGCAAAACCTGAGAACATGTTAGCAGACGACTGGAATTTCAGAGACGTTTTGGGCCTCAGGAGTGGTCTGTTCAGCTGGTTTTCAAACTGTGCTGAATGGAACAGAATTGATCAGCTGGTCTGAGTCCATGAAACATTTGAAAACTGCTGCTCTATTCTAATCTGCTCATGGGGAAACCAAAGCCTGGAAAGGCATGAGTAGCTCAGAGTCATGGAGCTTTTCAATGGTGAAGCTCGTCCTTAAACCCCACGTTTTTTTTTGTTTGATTGTTTTTTGTTTTTGTTTTTGTTTTGTTTTGTTTTGAGATGGAGTCTCGCTCTGTCGCCCAGGCTGGAGTGCGGTGGTGCAATCTCAACTGACTGCAACCTCCACCTCCCAGGTTCAAGCGATTCTCCTGCCTCAGCCTCCGGAGTAGCTGGAACTACAGGCGTGTGCCACCATAACCGGCTAATTTTTCATATTTTTAATAGAAACGGGGTTTCACCATGTTGGCAAGGCTGGTCTTGAACTCCTGGCTTTAAGTGATCTGCCCGTTTCAGCCTCCCAAAGTGCCAGGATTACAGGTGTGAGCCACTGTGCCTGGCCTTCAAACCTCACATTATTGATGTAGACATTTCCCTTGACCACATGACCCTATGGTCCCAGGGAGTGTGCTCCTTAAGGGAGTGTGTCCCAGGAAGATGCTCCTTAAGACATCCTGGGGCTCCAGATTGTGACCCTGGGGTTAATGACCTGCCACTTCCAGGGCTGGCAGAGGAAGCTGTAGAAGCCAGGAGATCCCTGCACCCTGTACCTTGGGGGCTGGCCAGGCCCCACGTGACATGGGCTATAGCGTCCATGCTGCTGCATCGAGGCAGGTATAACGTCCCATTTTATCCATTTCCACAGAACAGGGTACCTGCCTTCTTGTACCGCTTACACTGCAGTTTGACTCGCTTGCAGAAGTCTTTCCGTCCGATGATGTGGGCACGGTAAAGAGAATACATGAAACCTCCATCCTCTTTGCCATGTGTTCCCAGAGTGCACTGCTGTAGGGAGAAGCCTCAAACACTAGGGAGTCGCCCGGTTGGTTTCTGAAGTTCCCAGCTTTTCCTTTTAAAACAAAATGAATCCTTTTCTCCTTTGATGGTGGTCCTAACTGCCTTCCCTCCTTTCACACATTCAGCATCCTCAGATTCTTCCCCTTTTTCATTTGTCAAAAGGTCTTCTCAGGAAGGGCCCCTGAGCCACCCTTTATAACATGGCATGGATTTCCACTGAGCCTCCATTCCCAGGAGTTCGGGTTCCAGCCTTCCCTCTCATGGGGTCTGAAGGGGGTCTAGGGCATGAATGAGCTGGCAGGGCTGGGACCTCCTGGCTTTGCTGAGATCCCATGGGGCAGCCAGCTTCTCCTGGGCAGCCCTGAGGATGGGAATCAACCCTCCCCAATTACCCCAGGGGTTGGCCCCAGAGACTGGTGGTAGTCTCTGCCTATATATGGACCATGTTCCAGGTTGGGCAGCAAGAGCATAGGTCTGGCCAGGGCCCCAATCCAGCTGGTCAGGAGTGCTCTAGAGCAGAATGGGTGGTCTCAGTGATGGGGACACAGTTCGGAGTTCCAGCTGTGGGGCTGGAGAGGGGCTTCGAGGAGTGATGGAGGGAGCTGGAGGATGGCCTGGGGGAAGGTCTGCTCTGTGCTGCCAGCATCTCTCCCAGTTCTGTGTATATAGTCAGAGCTCGGCAAAGGCCAGTGGTATCAGTGTGGCTAGAGCGAGACTTTAAAGGGACAGACACTTAATCTGGGTCTTAAGTGGTGAAAATAACTCAGATGAGAGAGGAAGAAAGAGGGTCCTTTAGACTGAGGGGAACAGATTGCCAAAGTCTGGAGGCAGCAATGAGCGCTGCGGGCTGATGGGGGCAGAGGAGGCCTGTAGCTGGGAATGTGGGGCCATGTTGATGGGCAGGGAGGGGGAAAGTCAGAAAGGTCTGGAAGGCCAGGCTGAAGAAGGCCTTGCTGGAAAGCTGACCGGTGGAGTTTCAACTTACCGTATCAACAGAGATCATCTGAGCACAGTGAGCAGGACGAGTGGGGAAGGAGGAGGCCAGAGTCTGGCTGTGACAAGAACTGAGAAAAGGCCTTCAAAGAGCATTGAAGGACATGGTCCTTGCTATCTAAGACCTTTCTATTCAAGATGGAAACTGCAGGTCTGGGAGGGGCATTGCTTTCTGAGGAATTCCAGGCTGCCCATGCAACCCAGAACATATGGCAGCTGAGGTCCCCTTGCTCCGTGAGGTCTAGATGCAGTTATCTCAGGCCATCGGCTGCCCCACCCCATCCTGGGATCTGGCTGAGAATATCCACTGGTCCCACAGTCTCCTCGCACCTCACTGTCTGCTGCCCTCCCATCCCCTCCACACTGTGTTATCCAAACCCAAACCTCCAGGGGCAGCTAGAACCAACTGCATTTTCCTTGCTCACCTATAATACACACACACATGCATATTTGTGTGTAACACACTTCACTGATAGCCCCTGGCCCCAGAGAGAGTTCACACTGCAGCAATGCAAACAACTTAAAAAGGAATATTAGAGCCTCAGTCTTACAGCTCGGCCATCCTCTTTCATGGTGTTTCTCCTGACCTGTCCTCCGTGATCTCTCGTCATGTCTCATCCCACCTCTCCCTCCTGCTTCTCCCACATTCTCTTTCTTCTTTCTCACCCCTCAATTCTTGTCATTCTTGTGCCTTTCCTTCTGTGCCCCAGGTCTTCACTTTCACTCCCAAATGCTGTATTAGGATTTTTTTTTTTCCTAGTACAGAATAATTCCTTCTCCAAGAGGAACTTCAGTACCAGTGCTGATTTTCTTTGCCTTTGTGGTCTGGTGCCTACATTCCTTGGTACTCAGTGGACTTAGATTCCCCCATTAGTGAACCTCTACCCCGACCCCACCCCAGTTAAGCACCCACAGCAGTGGCTGCCAGAAGAAGGCCCCATCTTCTGGGTTTCCTCGCACTCTTCCCCATTAACCAGGGCCACCTCCAGCTCTGAGTCATGTGTTCAGAATATGGCAAAAGGATGGGATCTCATGTATCGTCTGGAACATGGTTATTTGGTTGAAAATTCACCATCTGAGTGTGTCAGAGAATGCCTGGCATTTTAGCCCGATGGCTCTGCTGGCTGATGGCTAAAATGCCCCGTGCAGCCTGTAAAGGATCTCCGTGTGGGGGTTCCTGCTGAATGGCAGGGGCTGTGCACTGCCTTAGCCTTTATGTGAGAATCGACCAGTGGCCTTGGTGAGGCTCCAGGCTTCTGCAAGGAAACATGAAGATTTCTAAGATTTCCTTTGACCCGAAACCCTCTCTCCTTTCTATTTCTTTCCTACCCCCAGTTTTCTGAAACCCACAGGCATTTGCAATCCAGATGTGAGGATTTCAGAAGCTAATCCTGAGTTGGGGGCTTATTTGGGATGATC
Source organism: Homo sapiens (assembly GCF_000001405.40). Taxonomy (NCBI): domain Eukaryota; kingdom Metazoa; phylum Chordata; class Mammalia; order Primates; family Hominidae; genus Homo; species Homo sapiens. Next base: position 46,645,107 of record NC_000018.10, on the reverse strand, counting down.
CCAGCCCTGACCCTGAGTGAAGGGAATCAGAAGAGCCCTGCCTCTGCCACTCTTTCCTCCTCTTCTTGTGATGTGGAAAGCCTTCCCCTTGTCTTCCAAAAAGAGATTGGTGTCCATCTCATAAGCACTGCGGAACCCAGAAATATTCCAGTGTAGTCCTGAGACAGCGTGGAGCACTCCCTCTGCTCTTGCTCTGTCCATCCTGGTGGATCTTCTCCCTGGTGTCCCTGCTTCCACATACGCTCCTCCCCACCCCCCAGCAAGTGACTATAAAGCGCCATGCCATGGTGGATTGTTTCACAAATGCTTTGGAACGTATGTATTCACGTTCAGCCTGGTCACTGGAAGGTAATGGAGATAACTCACATTTTTTTTTTTCTTTTTTAGAGACAGGGTCTCACTCTGTCACCCAGGCTGGAGTGCAGTGTCAAGATCAAGGCTCACTCACTGCAACCTCAAATTCCTGGGCTCAAGTGATTCTCCCGCCTCAGCCTCCTGAGTAACTGAGACTACAGGTGCACACCACCAGGCCCAGCCAATTTTTAAATTTTTTTGTAGAGCTATCTCTTGCTATGTTGGCCAGGCTGGTCTTCAATTCCCAGCCTCAAATGATTCTCCTGCCTTGGCCTCTCGAGGCACTGTGATTATAGGCATAAGCCATCACATCTGCCACATTCTTAAATGATACCGTCATGGGTGCAGGGCCTTTCTGGAGCTTTCCTTTACTGAATGCAACTGTTGGAGCTTCTTTTCTGGAACTTTCATCAGAAGCACCCCAGAAAGCCAGCTGCTTTCCTTCCAAGTCACACCTTGTCTTTGGCTAAAAATGGGGATACTTCCCTTCCTTTTCCCCTACTTGCTGGCAATGGCTGTTTCTAAAATTTCAGGCACCATCAGAAGATGAAGCCCAGTAATTCCCAAACAGCTTCCAAAGAATTTGATCCAGGCAGCCTGCAGGCTGGGCTGGGGATGGGGGAGTTGCTGAAACATGGGATTGTGCTTTTTTCATAATTACAGAAACAATATGTGTTCCTTTTGGAAAGTTAAAAATGTATATAGACAAGAACAAGGAGCCAACACTTCATAATGGCCTCAACATCTAGACATGATTTTTTAAAAGTAAATCTTCTCACTCCATTGTTTTTAAATGAAGATGGTATCCTGTTTGTATTGATTATTCTGTTTGTACATTCTGGTCTTAACCTACCTTTTCTTTTAAGCCTATATTATAAACCTATTTCTGTTTCATTAAGTATTTTTTTTTACAATAGGATTTTTAATGGTTGCAAAGTATTTCATTATATAGCTTCCCAGGGTGACTGTTTCTTAGGGTGTTTATTTGATGGAGAGGCTTTGTCTATTTATTCTAAAGATCACTTGCCTTGTCTTATATATTGGAAGAGAAAAGCCCTCTTATTCCTTTTTTTTTGTTTCCCATTTATATAATCCTGATGTGCAGAAACAATGTCCACACATTCTCCAAGTTATTGACAGCTGCTGTGACTCTGAACGAAAGCATGGGGTGTGTTGTTATTCTCCTTTGAAAGTGAAATTCCCACATCAGGCAGACCCTCACGATTGCTAGTTTGATTTAGTTCCCTTTAAGTGCTTGGTCTGGTAAGTTATTTTCCTGGGCAGGAGGATTTACTGGTGCTTCGTGGAGAAAACTTTGTATTTTCCTTGCTCTTCATCAGGAGCTAACAGTCGACATTCTCTGTCTTTATTTTGCCAATGGTGGAGTAGAAACTCTGGGCACTTTGCCCTGCTTCCTCCCTCCCTTCCTAAGGTACCTGCAGCAAGCCTGGGTGTCACCCCTTTCACTCCAGCAAACTCAGAAGGTTCTGTGCCTCTCTCCTCCTCATCCTTTGCACCCAGGCTGCATCCTGTGGGGGTCTCTTTTCCCTGACAAGGCTGCCTCCATGTACATTTTTGTCTGGAGTTAAGGAAACTTCTTCCTAGGGCAGATTGTTTGACACCATGAGTCCGTTCACAGAATCACAGCTCCTGGGTTCTGTAGAACCTTAAAAGCCGTCTATTACCAAGAGAGTCTGAGCCTGATGCCTTGGGGAGAAGGCCCTTCCCCTTCCGCTTTATTTTAAAAGACGTCGATGGTGGATAAATCTTCTGTGATGGCACACATCTTCTATGATTTTCCTTTCCCATGAGCTGTGTGCTGTTCCTGAGAGTCCTGGCTGAGAGCGCTGAGTGAGGCCTGCAGCTCTCAGCCCAGTGGGATAAACTGGGGACAGCAAGAGCTGCTGGCAGGCCGGGGCTCAAATGGCAGGGGCCCCGGCCCTGCACACAGGATGGAACAGCTGTTGACATGAGCTTCAAACTTCTGCTCCCAGAGGATTCTGTGGCGAGGCTGCTGCAGCCCTCCTGTGTCTATGCTCACTGTACTTAGGATGCTCCTGAATCTGGACTTGCCTGGCTGCCTCACGGCTGATGTCTCAGGTGTACTTTCTTCTGTTCACACCATTTGCAGGATGCCAGAGATGCACTTCCCTCACTGCCCTACTTCCCTGGCTGTTGGTTTGGGGTTGAGTGTTTTCTTTCTTGTTGGAATGGCAGGACCATGGACTGCCACCCAAGGTCTGCATCTACTTGGGGCTGCCATTGCAACTTTTCCCAGCAAAAGCAAGGCCAGTGATGGGGAGTGGCAAGAAGGCCAAAGAGTCCTAAGGTGTTTATTCCTTCCTTCCTCCTCCATCCACCCAACCCAGAGCAGCCAAAGGGCATGGGGTCATGACTGGGAGAGCCAGGTTCTGGTCCCAGCTCTGCTACCAACTAGCAGTTTGTAAAATGGGGCTGATATTGTCTGTGTGCTTGTTTTAGTGACTCACAGCAAGGATCAAATGAGAACCTGGGTGTGAGGGCACGGAATGATACTAGCAGTCCCTGCCCTCCCCTGGGAACCATGTCAGAAGGGAATCTTGGAATGGGATCTTGTTGCTCATAGCTCTCCCCAGGAGTGGGATGATGGAGGAAGAAGCGGAATGCCAGCCCTTGGCTCTCCTCCCAGGCCTGTGAGCCAACAGCTGATCTGCACTAACTGCACGTGTTCATTGCAGGAGCAAGTCTGCCTTTGAGAAGGGCAACGTCGATGTGTTCCGGGTGAGAACCAACAATGTGGGCCTCATCTATAAAGTCAGGTGAGAAGCTGGCGCCTGACTAGGATTGAGGGTGGAGATGAAAGTGAGGGATTGACTTCAATATTGACAATTTCTGGGTATGAATTACTTCCCAGATGTTATTTGAGGGGCTACCAAAGGCCCAAATCTTTCCCTGTCATCCTGAATCACAGTGCCCTAAACTTCCCCACTGGAGATTCATTTTTTTTGGGTTAAGACATTTCAAGACAAATTTTTACAAACTTGAGAATATGCTGTGAGAGACATTATAGCATAGTGGTTAGGGGCAGAGACTCTGAGTCCAGAGTGCCTGGGTTCAAGTGTCCGTTCTGTTATTTACTAGCTGTGCCACTTTGGACAGGTTATCTCTCCAAACCTCAGTTTCCTCATCTGTAAAAATGGTGCCTCATCGGTGATAACCCTAGGACTCAATGAGTTAGTGCTTGGAACAGTAACTGGCACACAGTAAACACTCAGCAAGTGGTAGAGATACCAAGTCCTGTTGCAGCATGTCTTTGGACAGAGAGCATCCGCAGTCTTGCCCTCTCTGGGGGCTTCTTGTGAAGGTATAAGGAGAGATTACTAGTCCAATGGCAGAGGAAGAGCCTTCAATTGCCTCCCTTTTCCCTTCCTAGTCCCTGCCATCCACCCCTATTCAAGTTCATGCCCATTGTCAGATGTTCATTTGTGGTCTGATTGCACCCAGACTAAGGCTGGACAGGGGTCAAATGCAGCCTCAGTTTAGTCCTGATTTTTTATCCCTTCTGCTAGAAAATACAATATCACGAACTCTCTTTGCTGGGGAAATAAGGGGCACATGAATATCCTGGGTATTGATTAAGTGTAGGGAAGGAGGTTACGAGCAGGGAAAGGGCTCTTGCAGGGGAGATTGGGAAGGGGTGTCATTGTGTGAGTAAAGGCGACCTCTAGCTGAGGTCCTACTATGTGCCAGACTTTGTGCCAGACAGAGGCATACATCCTTCCAAGGGAAGGGCCTGGTGTATCATGGGTTTCATCTGTCTGTTGGGGTTGTGTGCTGTATTGAGCTGTGGTTGTCCTGTTAACAACTGCAAGGATAAAGCCTCACAGGGGTAAGATGTTTGATGCAAAGTGAGGTCCAGGGGTCAAGAAACTGGACGTTGGAGAGGAGATAGAGGGGGCTATGGGAAGTGTTAGAAGATTTTAGGGACAGATTTTGAAGAGTCTGAATCTATACTGCCCAGTGCAGTAGCCCCTGACCATATGTGGCTATTACACTTGAAATGTGGCTAATCCAAATTGAGGCGTGCTACCTATATAAAATACACTGCAGATTTTTGAAGCCTTAGTACAAGAAAAAGAATGAAAAAATAGCTCATTAATACATTTTTACATAATTATATGTTGAGATGGTAAATGGAATTAAATGAAACATATTATTAAAATTCTACCAGTTTCTTTGGATCTTTTTACATGTGGCTATTAGGAAACTTTTAAATTGCATCTGTGGCTCACATGTGTGACTCATGTTATGTCTATGGGACCACCCTGGTCTAGATGGCCATAGGGGTCCTCTGGATTGTAGGACTAAGGGGAGTATCTGCTTGTTGTCCAGGTCCAGGAGTCATGATGAAGAGAGGGACACACTTAATCATCTCACAGCAATGGGAGAGGCGGTTGAGCCCCAGGGTATAAGCTGTGTCCTGTAAATCAGGTGGTCTAGTTGGCTTCTGCTTCCTGGGGATTCCCTTGTCATCTTTTCCCTTTACTGTCCTGTTTGACCTTGACTCAGCTGGATATCAAGAAGTGTTGTGTGTATCCGTGCTTGAGCCAGAGTGGGAGAGGCTCACTGCTTTCAAAGGCCAGGGTAAGGAAACAGACCTGAATAGCCAGGACCTCAAAGGGGAAGATCAAGATGATCCCACGGCAAGCCCTAGGGATCTTGGATTTTCTGTGAAAGGCGATAGTTAATATTTCCTTGCATGCAATATAACAGTGTAACATTCAGTAATGTGCACATCCAGCTTGCAAGGTATCCCCATTTTATAGATGAGGAAACCGAGGTTCAGGAGATAAAGTAACAACAACAACAGAATAATTGGACCTCTCTTTGGAGTAAACATCTGGGTATTCCAGTATGGAAGGGGTGCTGTTTCAGTTCTGCCAGTGATGGTGTGGGCCTTGGCTTCTGCCTCAGGATTGAGCATGACAACACGGGCTTGAATGCCAGCTGGTACCTGGACCATGTGATTGTGACCGACATGAAGAGGCCTCATCTCCGTTACTACTTCAACTGCAACAACTGGCTGAGCAAGGTGGAAGGTGACCGCCAGTGGTGCCGTGACCTGCTGGCCAGCTTCAACCCCATGGACATGCCCAGAGGTCAGTGCCTAGGCTGGCCTGCCTGCCATCCCTCCCTAGCTGGGCTGGGCTCACCCAGGAAAGAATCGTGCCTGTCTTGCTCTGGGCAGTCTCACCTACCTCATCTTGGCATGCCTCCAGGGCCTTCCTGTTGGTTAGGGCCAAGGGGAAGCCCCATATCTTCCTGGGGTCTTCCTATGGGCAACTTTTTATGCTCTAGGGGTTCAAGGAGGTGGGAAATACAAGAGGGATTGGAGGCATGATGGAAGGATAGGCACAGCCCTGAGCAAATCCTGTGTTCTCAATGATTCTTGTTGATGGGGTATCTATCGGAAGTCCCCTTTGAGATCAAGGCAGCCTTCCCCATTTTCCTATCCTTTTTCTTTTCTTACGATGCCCAAGGCAGGTGAGTTACAGCCAAGGCATAGTGGGTAGGAATCAGAGCTTGCAGCAGCCAGAGCTCATCATGCTGCCCTCTGACTCCTCCTGATTTTATGAGGAGTAAAACAACTTATTTCAAGTGACATCTCTGGGCAAAGGCCTTAAATTCGATCATTTTAATTTTACGGGAATAATGGGAGGCAGATACATTTGTCCCCCAAAGTTCTGGCCTCATCTCATCCCATCACAGAACATATTTGCTTTTCCAAAAAGGGGGGCATTACATTGCCGGCACCATCACCAGAATACCCTGCTCTCATAGAGTCATGGACCATGAGAGGGGAAGGGACTTTGGAGCCAGGAGATGAGAAGTGGCTTCCTACAATCACTCAGTTGAACAACAGAAGGCTAACACACTTGTTGGAGTCTGCCTTCCAGCGTGTACTCCAAGCTCCACCCTTTATCCATTGTCTTGATGGGCTTTAGCTCTCAATTTCTGTATCTCCAATTTTCTACCTCCCAGCTAAACTTGACACTTGACTTGTTCCTCTGTGATTCCTATCATCATAACTTACAACTTCATTGATTATTTTATTTTTATTTTATTTGTTTATTTATTTTTGAGATGGAGTTTCACTCTTGTTGCCCAAGCTGAAGTGAAATGGCACAATCTTCGCTCACTGTGATCTCTGCCTCCTGGGTTCAAGTGATTCTCCTGCCTCAGCCTCCTGAGTAGCTGGGATTACAGGTGCCTGACACCACACCCAGCTAATTTTTTGTATTTACCGTAGAGACGAGGTTTCACCATGTTGGCCAGGCTGGTCTGAAACTCCTGACCTCAGGTGATCCACCCACCTCGGCCTCCCAAAGTGCTGGGATTACAGGCATGAGCCACCGTGCCCGGCCATTGATTCTTTTTAAAACACATTATTGATCTTTTCTCTGATTATAGAAACCAAATTTGATCATTGTAGAAAATTTAGAAAATAGATATATGCAAACATGAAGAATACTTGTAATTCCATTACTTGAAAAAACAACACTGGTGACATTTTTATGTCTTCATTTCTAGTCTTTTTTATGCATATATAGTTTAAATGAATGGGCTGGTGCAACACCCCGTTTCACAGCATGACTACTTCTGTGCCATTAAATATTGCTCGACACCCCTCCTTGGAATGGCTCTGTGGTGCCCTGGAGCATGGAGATACCATCATTTATTCACTGGATCCCTTATCATTGGACATTTGTACTGTGCTCCCCCTCTAAAAAATTTTTGCTATTATAACAATGCTATTATAAATACTTCACCTAAATCTTTGCACAGGTTTATGATTCTTTCCTTAAGATAAACTCCTAAGTGGAATTTCTAAGTCAAGTGGAATGTACATGCTTAAAGCTTTTGAGGGACATTTCTGAATTGCTCTAGATAGGGTGTATCTTTGCACAGTATTACCAGCTGTGTAAGGGTGCCCATGTCCCTCACCCTTGCCAACATTTGGTAGTATTGTTTGATTATCCAGTTGGATAATTAAAGGGGATTTTTGATGTCCTTTCTTTGATTACTGGTGAGGTTGAACTTTTTTCATACATTTATTGGCAATTTTTATGTGTGTGTGTGTGTTTGTGTGTGAGTATGAGAGAGAGAGAGAAAGAATTTTTTGCCTGGGCCCTTCACCTGTTTTTTCAACTGGGGTGAATTTCATAGGTTCTTCCACAAACATTAAGCATCTTTAATTCTTTATCCAACCTCTACTATGATCAATCGTTAGCACACTGTCAAACTTGCCACTTTTCAGCTCATCTGACCTGCTTTGGTCACTCAAAAATCCAGGGTTCCACTGTCAGGAGAAGAGCCTCTGAAAAGTCATCATGAGAAACAATTCATGTAACTCAGTGGTTCTTCAGGGTTCCACAAGAATCCTCAGGGTAGACACCCCCTGACCTAGTCTTTGTATGAGGCTTCCTGGGCCCCCAGCTCCTTCACAGGCTAGAGGGCATTAGGTTCTTAGTATTTCCAGGCTGGATTCCAGAGAATGGAATGAAAAAGGGGTTCAAATATTCCAATGGTTTTTTTCTGTTTGTTTGTTTGTTTCCTGTTTTTGTTTTGAGGCGGAGTTTCCCTCTTGTTGCCCAGGCTGGAGTGCAATGGCACGATCTCGGCTCACTTCACCCTCCACCTCCCGGGTTCAAGTGATTCTCTTGCCTCAGCCTCCTGAGTAGCTGGGACTACAGGTGTACACCACCACACCCGGCTAATTTTTGTATTTTCAGTGGAGATGGAGTTTCTTCATGTTGGCCAGCCTAGTCTCGAACTCCCAACCTCAGGTGATCCACCTGCCTCTGCCTCCCAAAGTGCTGGGATTACAGGTGTGAGCCACTTCACCCAGGCTTCAAATATTCCAATGACTGCATTGGTAAAGAAAAAGTTAAATTTCTTTGCTTTTCACCTGAAATTACGTCAACTTGGTATTTGGCTGCTACTTCGATGATAAAAATGGGGTCTATTATTTCATCCATGAAGTTTGGTAGGTAAAATATTTCAAAACATGCAATATGGACAGTAACAGGAGAGAGTAAAGGGGGGCATGTTCAGTGAACTTATACCACCAGCCCCCAAAGTGGGACAGACTGTTAGGGAGCCTGTTCCTCTCTCCCCACCCTCAAGGGCCAGTTCCCAAAGTTCTGGCTGGCAATCACTGGAACCTTCTCTCATTCCTGCTCTTCAGGGAAGGGAGGTGTTCTAGGCTGACCAACTGACCCTTTGACGGAGGTGATTGGCAGATCCTCGTCGAGTGGAGGGAACTGGACCTTGATCAGGTTTCCAGGTGTTCCTCTAATGGGAATCTTGCATTTCATGCGTCAAGACACAGGTGTGAGGGAGCCTGCCCTACCTGTAGGCACAGAAGGTGAGCTGGGGGGCACCAGGACTGTTGCACAGTACGGTGCCTGACATTCGCTGGAGATGACTGTTTCGTCTCTAGGCTCTTCTTTAAATGCACTTCCTGGGGAAGTACCCAACCTCTAACCCCTTAAAGGGAATGGCATCTTTAGGACTGCCCTCTTCCTTAATGGGGTCCACTGGGTAGAAGGTAGAGATGATGAAAGACAGACAGGAGGTTTCAAGGGAAGGAGGCAGAAGCTGATCAGCCTCACAGTTTTGTGGATAGAAGATCCTAGAACCAAGTTCAATTTCTTAGTCCTTCTCAATTTGTTGGTGGAAATCGCTACATTTGGCATCTTCAAGACATCAAGCAGGACCAACCAAATGGCTGTGGCTTTTGGTTTTCTGGGTCTGATCTCCAGGACTCGGGGATCTATTGCTGGGGTCTGAAGAGGCAGGTTGTTTGTGCTCCCTCAATCCATCTAGGGGGCTCTCAAACTTCAGTAACTCACATTTCATCTTCAAGAGTTTTGCCTGATTCAAGTACTGCTTGCATTATTAATTACTACTACTTCTTTAACTCACTTTTTACAACTTACATTAACTTATAAATTTATTTTAATAAGAAAGTTGATATTACTATCATAAAAAACTGTTATCATTTGCTATAAATGTCAGGCATACACTAGTAGATATTAACATAAATTCACAACATTAGATAAATCTCATATAGCATTGCTAGCATCTTATGTCCCACCAGTGGTATGCAGACTGTACCCTGGTAAACAATACCAGCCTTGATCTGAGAGGAAGGGGAGGCAGGGTGTTGATTACAGAGATGGGTGCACAGAGGCCCAGGGATGTGGGGATCCATCCAAGGTCAAATGGCCAATAGCTGATGGAGCTAGGACTAGACTGTGGGTCTCCTTATTCTCAGTTCAATTGCTTTCTGCCTGCCCCTTGCGTAGGACATGACCAAGGGCAATTAGTCTGGCACCTAAGAGGTCAGAGCCTGTGATTGTGGGGATTGTGGGGGTTAGTTGGGACAACCTCCTGCTGTCACAAGAACCCCTTCTACATAACCCCCATCAGTTGCTTCTCCAGCTTTGGTTTGAGTCAAGCCTTCCTGGAATTAAACCCCCTAGTCTCCCTGAGGCTTCTGCTTGTCTGTTCCAGTGTTTCCGACACAACACAGTGTCTATCTAGGCATCAGCCCTTCAGCTGCCAGAAGACAGGGTTCCGTCCTCTCAGGAACACAACCCCAGGATCCTTGACCTCTCTTTTTGTGGTCCCTTCCCAAGAAGGTACCTACTAGTCTAGAACCCTGTGTTCCAGACAGGGGACCATTAGCACAGAGGAAGGGGCCTCCCTGACTCTGTTATCCTGCTTCTTTTAAAAAAAAATTGTGGTAAAATATGCATAACATAAAATTTGCCACCTTCACCATTTTTAAATGGACAGTTTAGTGGCATTAAGTACATTCACATTGTTGTGCAACCGTCACCACCATCAATCTCTAAAACTTTCTCATCTTGCCACCCTGAAACTGTGCCCATTAAACACTAACTCTCCATTGTTCCCCACCCCTGAGATCCTGGTAAACTCTATTCTACTTTCTGTCTCTGTAAATTTGGCTAATCCAGGAATCTTATACAGGGTGAGTCTAGTCCAGAATGCTTGGGACCAGAAGTGTTTTGGATTTGGGATTTTTTTTTTCTCCAGATTTTGGAATGCTTGCATAGGCCTACTGAGATATTTTGGGGATGGAAGCCAAGTCTATCCATGAAATTCATTTGTTTCATATGTACCTTATACATGTAGCCCAAAGATAATTTTATCCAACATTTCTGAAAATACTGTGCTGGAAGCAAAGTTTTACAGCATTTCATCTGTGACCTGTCACATGAGGTCAGGTGGTATAATTTTCCATTCATGGCATTGTGTCAGTATTCAAAAAGTTTTGGATTTTGGAGGATTTCAGATTTTGGATTTCTGTGTTAGGGATACCCAACTGTACAAGTGGAATCATACAATATTTGTCCTTTTGCATCTAGCTCATTTCACTTAGCATAATATCTTCAGATTTAATCCATGCTATGGCACGTGTCAGAATTTCCTTCCTTTTTAAGGCTGAATAGCATCCCATTGTATGGGTATAACACAACTTATTGGTCCATTCTGTTGATAGACATTGGACTATTTCCACCTTTTAGCTATTGTGATTAATGCTGCTATGAACATGGGCGTACAAATATTTGTTCAAGTCCCTGTTTTCAATTCTTTTGGGCATATACACACAGATTTGCTGGGTATTATATGTAATTTTGAGTAACCACCATACTGTTTTCTACAGTGGTTGTACCATTTTACATTCCTACCAGCAATGCACACGAGTTCTAATTTCTCCAGATCCTGACCAACACTCGCTATTTTCTGTTTTTTAAAAAACAATAGCCATCCTAATGGGTGGGAAATGATCCCTAATGATTAGTGATGTTGAGAATCTCTTCATGTGCTTATTGGTAATTTGCATATCTTCTTTGGAGAATAACCATTCAAATCCTTCATCCATTTTTAAATTAAGTTGTTTATCTTTTTATTGTTGAATTGTAGACCTCTGTTACATATTCTGGGTATTAACCCCTTTTCAGATATATGATTTACAAATATTTTTCTCCCATTCGATGAGTTGTCTTTTTACTCTGTTGATAGTGTCCACTGATGCCCAAAAGTTTTAATTTTTATGAAACCAATTAATCTATTTTTTCTTTTGTTGTCTATGCTTTAGGTGTCATATCTAAAAAATTGCCAAGGTCAATGTCATGAAGATTTTTCTCCCATGTTTTCTTCTAAGAATGTTATAGTTTTTGTTGTTACATTTAGGTCTTTGGTCCATTTTGAGTGAAATTTTGCAGATGATATAAATCAAGGTCCAACTTCACTCTTTTGCAGTGGATATTCAGTTTTCCCAGCACTATTTGTTGAAAAGACTGTCCCTTCCTTATTGAACAGTTTTGGCACCCCTGTTGAAAATTATTTGACTATATATATGATAGTTTATTTCTGGGCTCTCTGTTCTATTCCACTGGTCTATATGACTGTCTTTATGCCACTACCACACTGTTTGATTACTGTAACTTTGCAGTAAGTTTTAAAATCAGGAAGTGTGAGACCTCAAACTTTTGTTCTTTTTCAAGATTATTTTGGCTATTCAGGATCCCTTGATAGGTCACTTCTTTTAATGCATTCCAAATGTTCATTAAGTGATTTTAACAGTGACCATAGGCCATATTTCAGTCAAAAAGCTTTTGTTCATTTGGAAGAAAAGAGGAAAATGCCTTCACCTCAACTCCTCAGTTCTTGCGCAAGACTTCAAGGCTCCTGGAGAAACCTCCTGGATTCTCTTGACTCATCCCCATGTGAATCAGTAGGAGTGGGCGCCCCAGTCTTGGCTGGCTGCCCTCAACCTGTCAATGGAATGGTTCAGTCAGACATCACACGTGAATAAGCATTTCAGACATACACAGAGCCGGCACAGGGAGTTAGCAGCCATCTCTAGGCTTGTCTCACTCTAAGAGTGGGCGTCAGGGGTCCTGGCACCTTCTGGGGCCTGTGGAAGGCTGGCAACCGCTTTTCCAGCATATCCGCATTTATTATCCCTGGGAACAGAGTCTTGGCTATCAAATTGCTCCAGAAGTGTAGTGAATTTTCCCTCCTGCCATCTGCTTGTTGGCATCCCTTCTGTTGTCATGGATGTGTGTGACTGTCTTCCTGGTGGATTTCTTCCATCCTGCCGGGAATGGCTCACCCTCTTGGTAACTCAGAACACAAGGGGCAGAGTAACTGCATGGACATCTCCACACTGATAGCAGCCCCTGGCTGGAAGTTAAGCACTGTCTCCCCTGCCTGCAGGTGCAGCATCATCCTTAGCAGCTGCTGTTGGCAATGCCCTCTTGAGCTGCCCTAAGATGCTGAGCCTGTGGATAAGGACATAGTCCCTGCCCTCAAGGTGCTCACAGTCCAGTGGAGGACACAGATTCCCATCATACAAAGTGCCCACAAGGAGACTGTAGAGCATCATGGCTCAGAGTGCCAGGCCTCAAATCATGGAGTCCTGGGTTCAAATCCCACCCCTACCACCTCCTAGCTATATGACTTTGAGACAAAATACTTCCGTAGCCTTGTGTCTTTGTGTGCATACATTTTACAAGTAGTATCTTCTTAAAACTCCGAGAAGTAGCGGCTATTATTATCCCCACGTTGCACAGGGGACAAAGGTCAAGGCAAGCAGCACAGAGTGCCTCCCCACTGCCTCTTCTGTTTCTTGGTCTAGGGCTAGCAGCTCCCATTTCTCAACCTGTTTGCTCAGATTGTGTTGGCTCCTGTGCCTGGCAGACAGTGGCTCTGAAAGCTGTTCTCTCCAGCATTCATCAACCCTGAGGAGGTTTCAAGGGACCCGTTGGAAGTGGAACTGAGGCCTGAGGGCAGTATTAGACACCCTGTGCTAATCTGTTCAGAGATTGTGGAGTGGAAACCAGACCACGGACAGCCGACAGCTGTTTCTGTGATTCAGGCCCTATCGCATCAAGCCCTGCAAGGACCCAGTGGGGCAGGTCTTTCTGGAGCCCCGGGGCCTGCCCTATTTGCTAACTGAGTTGGCTCCTTGTTCCCAGAGTTCTGTCTCAAGTTGGTGATATAGGAAACTGCGGATCTTCTGTTAAAACGTGCCAGGGCCAGAGGAAATGTCAAGGCCCCTCGCCCCTCACTTCCTCTCTTTCATCCTCCTCTTTTTTGCATGCCACCCCGACCCCACTGGATGGAAAGCCTCAGCCTCTCTGGACGGCATTACCCACTTCCTCTGCCTCAGGTGTCCCCTCCCTCTCTAAACTCTGTGAGGAAAGTCTGTGCCACACACTGCTGTGCAGTGATTCTGCAATCAGGGATATGTAAGGAATCTCACGGGCAGGGAGGAGGACCTTCTCAACCTACTCCCTGTGGTTCACACGTGCTCTGGCAGAATCACCACCAAGATGAGCCACCAAGACTGATGGTGGTGGGGGGGTTGTAGCTGTCAGGTGTTTTGAGATGGATACATTGCCAAGAAATACCATATTTCAGGGCTCTAACTTCCTAATGTGTATCTCTCCAGTTTCTCCAGTGAAGCTCAGGTTGCTCTGAGGGTAACACTGCGGTCTCCTCCTATCTACCTGGTGATGGCTTTTACTCACAGCTGCTACCTTGGCCACTGGGACTTAGGGGCTTGTATGAACGTTGGTAAGGAACAGGTTGTGTGCATATGGTAGTAATGGGAGGTCATGGATAGACACATCTGATTATAAAGACAAGCCACAGAGATGGGTGGAAAGAGCTTTCCAAAGGGGCAGAGACCTGAGTCCTAGCCTCACACTTTGGTAATTATGTGACTCTGGGCAAGTTGCTCATCCTCTCTGGGTCTCTGTTTTCTCATCTTCTTACCAGGTTGCTCGAGATGTTCTCTGAGGTCCCTGTAGCACTGGCTTACTCTGACACTGTGCTAGCTAAGCACCTTCTTTCTTGCTTGCCTCCAGGTGTCTCCCACCCACTGATTTCACACCCCCCCCCATACCCACTTTGATGTTGTCCCTTTTGGTGAGACATTCACAGGACACAGTGCCCAGGTGCAATTCATAAGCCCACTGCAGAGTTGCCCAGGCTGAGAATGCAGGGCTACTCAGTCCTCTTTGACTTCAGGGAAGCCCTGGGCACATCCCTGCCTTCCCTATGGGGCAGTATTGAAGAATGAGGTTGGGCGAGACATCTGAGTTAGGCAAGGCCTGATAAGATGGCGTGTGCTCTCCAGGTAGATTTGGGATGACCTCATATTGGGTCTTGAAGGAGCTTGGGCTGGTAGGGAAGCATGAGCAAGACCTGTTTAAGGCAGATCCTGCCTGGCCTTCTCACGACCAATATGATGTCATTTCCTGCTTTCTGGCCAAGTAATTGCCCACAGCCCAGTGCCTACCCACAAACCCTCCTACTTCGAAAAGCACTGAGATGATCATGTGGCTTAGATTAATATTGAGCCCACACCATACTGCCTGGGGAAGGCTCCACCAGCTTGGCCATGAGACAGGCCTCTGAAGCCAAGAGCTGCGTTGCAGCTGACCTGGGGGCTGCTCACACACCAGGGCTGTCAGAACCCAGCACAACAGCTCAGAAATGTTTCAGACTCAGGCACTGGCAGAAGCAGAGAGGCCCCTTGCATTCAGAGGGCCCAGTCTTGAGGTGGGTCCTGATTCCACACCTGCTCTTGTTCTTTAGGTTTTGGGAAGGACAAGCCACCATCTAGGGGGCATGTAATCTTCTTGGGTAGATTAATAACAAATATGGTTGCAGCCAGTTTTGTTGTATGCTTCAAAGAGAAGAGAGGCTGATGATTACAGGAAAGGGAAGCCATAAGAAGAAACAACAACTTGGGCAGGTGGGCTGGGCGCATGCAGGTGGTGGGAGGGGTGGATGACGTTTACATCTGGACTCCCATTCTGGAGCAAATGAATTGCCTTTTTTTCTTTCTTTCTTTTTTTCTTTTTTTTTTTTTTTAATGCCCAGTGAGAAAGCTGGAGCTGGGGGCTGAAAGCTGCACAGCACTTGGGAATGGGTAGAAATGGAATTGTGTTTGTTTTCAGCATAATCACTGTTTCCATTCCTGGCTGTTTCATCAGGTAACTGGGTTATAGTTTTATTCCAGGCCATGCAGTGCCACACAATGATTATCACACAGCTCCAGATGTGTACCCGATCTTGACATGACCATGTTGGGCGTAGTGCCCAGGGTGCATTTGAGGGGAGAATGGGATAAGAAAGGGATGGTGATTAACGTATTAGGGGCATGTGCAAATTGTACCGCCCTGCAAAGGATTATGGACCTGCCAGAGGACTGCATAGTGCAAATGCAAAATGAAAGTACCCTGCATGATTGGAGCATAAAACACCCATCGCAAAGGCTCTGTCAAGAAGCCAGAAGCACTGACTTATTCCCAGATTCTATAGGATATTATCGTAGAGTAATTAAATCATTAATCTTAAAATAACTCTCTGGGTCAGAAAGCACATGGGACTATACATCCTGAGTTCTGGTTCTGGCTTTGCCACCAAATAGCAATGAGACCTGGGGCAGATCTCAGTTCCCCTCCTATCCTCAGTTTCTCCCTCTGTAGAGTGCCTGGACTAGGGGGTCTCTTGGAGTCTTTTCAGGATTACTAGAGTGTCCACTTTCATAACCAAAGGGAGACGGAGAGGTCAGGGCCAGCCCTCCTCCATGGGGGCAAAAGGAGATTGGCCTTTGGTGGCTTCCTTTCTACTGTGGATCTTTCTGCCCTATTTCATCTCCCCATACTTCCCATCTTCAAGATAGTCCCCCACCATGGACTCGGTCTCTGGACTCCCCTTCTCCATGGTCAAAAGCTAGCTCTGCCATTCTGCCACTTATGCTAGCATGAGCAGATGCCTTAAGCTCTGTGCCTCTATTTTCTCATTTGTAAAGTGGGGAGAACATTAATTTCTACCTGATAAGATTAGCTGGGGAAATGAGCATACAGGACTTAGTGCCGAGGCACAGAGTCAATGCTCAGTAAATGACACAATAGCGTGGTGCTTGTCCTTGTGGTTAAGCTCCTGATGTTTCCCTTTCTTCTTCCCCCACATCCAGGCTTTTTCTGATTCTGAGATGCACAGGCTTAAGATTCTAACCTCTCAGAAAGTACTCCAGAGCTACTCAGTGCCAGGTTCCCCTCTGGAATCCAGGCAGGTTCAAGCAGACAACTGGGAATAGGCTCATCACCTTGACTGCTGTTAAAGCCAGCAGGGAAAGCCTCTTTTCCCGACGCTTTGTCATTTTCCTTCACGGAGCACTCTCCAGGGCTCTCTGAGCCTATTTGCTGTGGGTGCTGCTTGGGAGTCATTGTTCCTTTGAACTCCATGGAAGAATTCCCAGGTGGGGGCAAGGACTCCAGGGTAGGGAGGGCTGGGCCAGCCCTGCAGCACTTTCCTCCACTGAAGCTCACAGCAGCTCCCCGCCCACCCCATCTGCTCCCACCTAGCACTGCAGAAAATCATCTCCGGAAAGAGGGGGAAGAAGAGAACCACTCTAAGTGAGGCCCTGTTGTGGCACATCAGAGAATTTAAGGACCAAAAGGGACTTTATCTACTCTTCCTCCATTTCAGAGAGGAGAAAATGGAAGCCCAGGGAAATTAAGCCCCTTGCTCTTGGTCACACAGCATAACTGTAGGGCAGAGCTGCAGTCTTGGGCTTTTGGTGCCAGCTCATGCTCCTCCATCATTCCTCCTGTTAAGCACATTCATTCAGTGATTCAATGGGCATTTTGCGGGGAGCCTTCTATGCACCAGAGCCTGCGCTCAGGGTGATTACATACAGGCCCTTCTCTCTAGGAGCTTAGAGTCTAGACGGGAGAGAGTCAAGCCAGTAGATAATCACAGTGCAAAGGGATAGAATATTCTAAGTGGGGTATGGCGCCCAGGCCAATGGGAGCATAGAGGAAGAAGGAATCAGGAGGCCTTTATAGAGGAGGTGATGCTCAAACTGAGTCTTCATGGGTGAGGAGTTTTCTAGGATTTGAAATGAAATGAGGGCACTTGGGGAAATGAGCTCTGATGGCTCAGTGTCACTCACACACCTGGGAATGGATCCTCCACCTCATATTTTCACTGTGGCCTCCACCCTCCCAGAACCACCACCAGCCACATTCTCTTTCAACCCAGCAGCCAGAATGTTTGGAGAATGCATGGAATTGTGTATTTGCTTCAAACTTGGTTATTTTTATCTTTAAATAGGTGTTTAAAATAGCCTTTTTTTTTCTGTTTGTGGAAATAGCACTTTCTCCATGTTGCATTTTGTACACACGAAAATCTGAACTGATGACACAGACACTGTCTTGGCCCTGATCCAGCTGTCAGTGTCCATTCCATTGCAGCACCAATGGCTTCCTGCTGGAACCCTCCCTTTAGCCACAGGTGTTGGCCAGTGTGAGCCCAGTGAGAGTCAGAGAAAGTGTTCCCACCTGCCTGGGGCTGGGTCTCTGCTGGTGGCCCTTGTGTCTATTCTCTCTCACTGGCCATCTGGTTCTCAATCTTCCCTCCAGCCTCACAGCCACTCAGACTGGCTCAAGGCATTTGTGTGACAAAGCCAGCTTGAGGTTATAATAAATTGGCAGGAACTTTCGACTGTTTCTTCTGAAATACAGAAGACATGACCTACTCAAGTATTGACATTAGGTGACTTCAGTTTTCAATCACAGAAAAAATATGGCCATTGTAAAAATTCAAAAGTACAAATAAGCAACAGAAGAATAAGAAAATCTTCCATAATCCAATCACTCAAAGATGACAATAGCTGATTTTTATGCAGCACTTACTCAATGGCTGTCATCATTCTCAACAAACTATTAATCTTAATCTAATCTATCCATCCACCTATCTATCTAAACATCCATTTAATTTTCACAACGCTGCAAGGGAGGTTTATTGTTACCCCCATCTAATAGATGAAGGAGACTGAGGAAGGGGGAGGTGAAATCATTTGTCTATAAGGATGAAGCTAGGAGCAAACACAGAGGCTTGAACTTAAGTACTGAGTACAATTGTGTTGGAGACACCCCTGTTAACATTTTGGTGAATTTCCTTCCCATTCTTTAAATTTTTGTTTATGAACATATTAAACCCTACATATTAAAATGGTATTGCATTAAACTCAATTTTATAACCATGTTGTTTCACTTAATACTACATTATAGCCTCAAATCATCTTCTGTTATTTTATTTTATATTTATTTATTTTTTGAGATGGCATCTCACTCTGTTGCCCAGGCTGGAGTGCAGTAGCATGATGTTGGCTCACTGCAACCTCTGCCTCCCAGGTTCAGGTGATTCTCCTGCCTCAGCCTCCCAAGTAGCTGGGATTACAGGCATGTGCCACCACACCTGGCAAATTTTGTGTTTTTTATTAGAGACAGGGTTTTACCACGTTGGCTGGGCTGATTTCAAACTCCTGACTTCAAGTATAATCCCAAAGTGTTGGGATTACAGGCATGAGTCACTGTGCCTGGCCCATCTTCTGTTATTTTAAGTGGCTGCATTGTAGTCCATGAATGGGAGAATATATGTCACCCCCCAAATCTCCTATTTTGGATATCTTTAGGTTGTTCCCTATTTTTTGTCAGTATTAACAATGCTGTGATAGACATCCTTATAGGTGATCAATTAATATAACTACTCCCTTAGTATAAACTAATGCATAGGGCTTGAATAGTTGGTTCAAGGGATTTGCACAATGTTAAGGCTTTTAACATATATCACTCACCTGCCCTCCAGGAAGGCTGGGTGACATTCCAGTAGTATACAAGAAGTGCTGGTGTTCTGGCCCTCTGGGAAGATAAATACTAGCAGTCTACTAGAGTCTGGGTTGGAAAGGGAAGTAATGGAGCCAAGGTTATCGAAATGTGCAGGTGGATGGGAGGGGTCTTCCGTAGAGAGGCAGGAAAGGAAGCAAAGGAGGACGAGTGACTGCAGGGTAGGTAGAAATAGCTCTTCAGGGCTGGGCAGTGGCTGGAAAAGGAACCAGCAGGATAAGCTGAAGGAGTGGAAGCTGATCTACTCCCTCCTATGTTTCAACACCTGATAGTATCAGACTTACATTGGACAGTTCCCTAGAAAAACGTACCAGCTGTATATTTACTTGAGGGTGATGAATGGTATAGGGCAAGCTTGTTCAACCCACCACCCACAGGCTGCATGTGGCCCAGGACAGCTTTGAATGTAGCCCAACAAAAATTCATAAACTTTCTTAAAGCATAAGATTTTTTTGCAATTTTTTTTTTTTTTTAGCTCATCAGCTATCGCTAGTGTTAATGTATTTTATGTGTGGCCCAAGGGAATTCTTCTCCTTCCAGTGTGGCCCAGGGAAGCCAAAAGACTGGATGCCACTGCTGTAGAATGTTATTTCTTGATTTCTGCCCATGAGCAACTTTTAAGGACCAAGTGATGTTTTCATGTTGGTGCATAACAAGGCTTGGCTGAGGTCAAATGCACGGACTGTGTTTGAGCACGTTAGTTGCTAAAGGAACAACGCACACACCGGGAGCTGTGGAATGGGGCCGTGTGGGTTTGGCAGGTGGGAACTTTTGAGAGAACCTGAGGTTTGAACTAAAGCTGGCAGGGTGGGGGCAATGACAGCCAAGAGAGAACCTTCTTGTTCAGATGCCCTGAGTCCAAATCTAGGCTGCACCCTTTCTAATTGTGTGAACACCATCAAGCTTCTTAAGCTCCTGCTTCCATTGCCTCATTACTAAAAATGGTGACACTAGTAGCCATAGGGTCCATCATTGTGAGGATTAAACGATGTGATAGAAGTGAATGGCCCATTGCAATTTCTCGGAGGATCAGAGGCACTTATGATTTTAATAAGAAGTGTGTCTGCAAGGAGAGCAAGGTGGAGGGTATTCTAGGGAGAAAAGTTCCAGTTCTATTTGTAAGACAGTGAGAGGGAGAAAAGACAGAAGAAGAAAGGGAGAAGGGAGAAAAGAAGGAAGTTACAGGAGGAAAGCAAAGGAAGAAAGCCTGTCATCCATCGTCCCAGTGCCTTGTGTGTGGTCCCAGGAGCAGAGAGCATCTCGCAGAGGCCATGGAAGAGCTGGTACAAAGTGATGATGGGAGGGTGGGTTGGATGTACTGGAGGTGGAAGAGTCTGGAGAATGAGGAAGAGACAGTAGACGAGAGCCTGGCTGAGAGGCAATGGGTGTCCAGGCCTGACGAAGGAAGAGGAAACCTTTTGGGGGTAGCATGGGGGAAAGAACTGGAGTCTACATGACTGGGAGGGAATCCATTGGTCGGTGGCCATGAGCCAGCTTCCGGCACCGGCACATGGCATTGTCCCCCCTGCCCATCCTTGGGTTCTGCGGACCAACCCCTCCCCACATCTGTGTGGGCTTGAGTAGTGAGGGGGCCTTCCCTGGCTGGGAGAGAACATTCCCCCTCATCTCCCACCCCCAGGGCAGCCCCCGCTGAATCTCTCTCCCTTGCCGTTTTCATCTCCTCCTACGCAGCGCCTGTGATATCTCACTTCTAGCGTCTTGGCTCTCAGTGAGCGGAAGTGAGGGGTGTCAGGGTGTGAGCCATTGCAGATTCACTTGCGGGTGGGGTAAAATCAGGCCCAATCATTCTCCTTCCAACCCCCTCCTCACCCTCACCTGCTAAAATAGCTAAAGCCACATTCTATTTAAACAGGATCTGGGGATGGGCGAAAGGCAAGGAAAAGAAACTCCACCAGTTCATTCATGATTCTCTGCTTCCTAAGAAAGCCTGGACCACGTGAGCTTCCCTGAGGTTCAGATCGCACTGGGTCTTGATGAGATGGGGGCTTAGTTACGGGGCATATGCTTGACTTCTGTAGTCGGGAATGTGGCAAGCAGCCTCACCAGCTCCGCTGTGCATGCAGCACCGAATTAGGGGGCCCGGCCCCCTCATGGCTCTGCCTCTCTGCATGGCCTGGGGTGGCTCTCTGGAGATGTGTTCTGTCACTGCTGTGTGCTGACTGTTCCAGACAGAGCGCAGGGGAGGCTGTGGGGGTGGCTGGTGCACCAGGCGCAGGCAGGCAGTTCGGGCCTGCCAGTGTCTGCCTTTTCTGGAAGCCCACACAGGCAGCTTCCGGCCAGCCGGCAAGGGACGGATTTCCTGTTTAGAGGGAGCAGCCTTGTGCCCCTGCCACAGGGCCTGCAGAGGAAAAACAGGGCATGTCAGGGCATGTGCATCCACTGAGCAGGGCAAGGGGGGCACAGACAACCCTCTGTTGTGGCCTTGAGTGGGCACTCTATCTTTAGGCTGCAGCTAAGCCCACCTGCACAGGATCCCAGCTCAATTCTGGTTGGCTTTGAAAGGTACCATGTGTTTAGCTTAATCCCTGGTCTACAACCCTCATTGTATATTCTTCAGATCAATGCTTAAATTAATTTGACCTCCCTGAGCACATGCTGACCTTTAGTGGAAGGAGGTGACTATGTGAAAGGTAGGGTTGCTGGTCTCAGATGTGCAGGTCACACACTGCACAAATGCGACTATGTAAGGAGACACAATTCACATCAGAGAGCTTGTAGATTTGTGTGTTTATTATGACAGTTATCCAACAGATGGCAGTAAAATGTCTTGAGAAAGGGATTCTTTTTGCCTAATTTGCACAAAGGTTCCATATAGGCTAATGGTAGCCCTGCTAAAAGGCCAGAGAGAAATCAACTCTAGGGACAACTGAACAACAGATAATACACTAAATGGGTAAATCACAGGCCAGCTCTAGAGCTGGCTTGGGTGACGATTTCCACAATCCATCGCTAAGCCCTGTTTCTCCCAAGCTTGATCAGGAACAGGGGTGCACTCAGTGCTAGCCTCTCTTCCAACTTGACTTTCACCTGTTTCCATTTCTGCTCCTTACTCTCAATCAGGCTATGAACAAAAAGCTTAAGACTAAGATTGCAGAAGCGGTGCTGCCCTCTGTCCCTGCCTTTAGGAAACCCCAGACCACGCCGCCTCTTCTATCAGTGGACTGCCAGGCTCAGCCCAGCCACATGGCATTGTAGGGGCAGGGAAAGTTGGCCCTGCTCATTCACAATGGGCATAGGACATGCTCTACTGCAACAGAGAAAGGGGACTCCTTCCCCAATCTTCAGAGCCTTGAGATGCTTAGCTAATGGTCCAGATATGCTGCCATTATCCTGCAGCCAGCAGCTGACCACCCTGGTCCAGGCAGCTTTGCTCCCATTCCAGGCCACAGAGAGCAGATCTACCCACCACCCCCTGCCTAGAGACAGGCAGAACAGTGCCTGAGAGTTCAAGACATATCCTAACTCTCACCGGTGGCCCAATCCCAGCCTGTCACCTGTTTTTGTGTGGACCCCGAGCTAAGAATGGTTTCTATGTTTTTTAAACAGTTGAAAAGAATTTTTTTAAAAAGTAATATTTTGGGACACATAAAAATTATATGAAATTCACATGGCAATGTCCATAAATAAAGTCTTACTGTAGCATAGCCACATACCCATTTGTTTATGTAATATTGTCTATTGTTGCTTTCATGCCACAACAGCAGAGCTGAACAGTTGATGTGACAGAGACCAAATGGCCTGCAAATCCTAAAATATTTCCTATCTGGTGCTTTACAGAAAAAGTTTGCCCACCCTGGCATAGGGTCTGGGAGGCCTGGGGTATCCTGGGAAAAGCCCTGGATTCAAAGACCAGAGACCTTGCTTTGAGCCCTTCTTGCATCATTTAGCAACTACCTGTCCTGGGGCGAGCCACCTTGCCCTCTGAGCTTCAGTTTTCTTATCTGTAAATGAGAACGTCAACAGCACCTGCCCTGCCTATCACATGTGGCCATTGTGTGGATCAAATGACATCTAGAATATGCAAGTGGCTTGTTAGCTGCAAATGCCTTTGTGAATATTTAGTATTATTTGCCCTGGAAGGTGAATCCACCATGTCATTTTCAGAGATGAAAGGTGACCTTTTGGCTCACATGGGAATTATTTCTTATCATCATCTTTCTCCCTATTTCCCTGCTTCCTGCTGGCCTTTGGGCAGGGATTTTTTTTTTTAATTGGTCTTTCACCTTTCTCTCTGGTCAGTGCCCAGTTGCCAGGGCAGCAGCCCTATCTCATATGTGGGCGTTTTGTTCTCACAGATTACGAGATCCAAGTGATGAGTTCAACAAGCAAAAACCTGCTTGAGACCAGAACAGCAAGTCTGTGCTCACTGAAACTCTAGTCACAGGAAATTGGGGGGCACTTGTGTGACAGGAAGGCTTGATGCCCTGAGCTGACGTTTGCCAACAGTGACAGAATGGAGCCCTGCTTTTCCTCAGCCTTGTTCTCTCATCGGCAGATGCACCTAAGCACAGATCAGGGCCGGCATTGGGCCATGGGCCTTGTTTTGGAAAATGGCAAAGTAGATAGTCTGGGGTTCTGCTTGAAGAGGGAATATGAAATAAAGGAGGTAAAAGAGTAATGTAATAAATGTCAGCATCCATGTATGGGGACTTCTAAAAAATGGTTTCGTGAGGTGTATCTGTCCATCCCTGCTGCAGCTCTTGTCTCCTTCTCAATGTGATTGGCAGTCACCTGTCACACAGGGATCCTATTCTCCACCCAGCCAACTGCATAGGGACTCAGGGCCCCATCTGCCATAGAAAGTTCTGCAGAGGCTAGAAGACAGTCTGCTTGTTCTAGAATCAGCTTCCTCCTGACCTCTGTCCACCTGACTTCCTGATCTCTTGGCTTGGGTCCCTTGTCCACCTCAGCTGGAAAGGCCTAGAAGCTCCTTTCCACCAGCCCTGGTCTCCTGATCTCTGACAGTTGGCCTGTCTCCCCAAATTGCCTCACTTTGGGCTCGTGGTCTGCTTCTCCAGACTTTGCCAGAGCATGGATGCTGTGTGTTCCCAAAGTCCCGTGTGCGTTCGTGCTGCCCAGGCCTCACTTTTCCTCATTCAGGGTGCTTCCCCTTCCTTCTGAGATGTCTCCTTGATCTCCTGGCTTCCCTCCAGAGTCTGTCCTTCTTGGTCAAGTGTCAAGGAATTGCAGATTAAAAAGGACCTTTAGCGTTTCCACATCCTCTCACCTATGGCACTTTCTGTGCAGCATCCCTGGCAGGTGGCTCTCCACCAATGTGCTTGGCACATGCTAACTGTCAGGTGTCTCTAGGGATGGGAAACTCCCTCCCCAACCCAAGGGCATCCATTCCTTTGTTGAATAGCCTTAGATACTACAAAATCTTTCCTTTGGTGAGTGAAAATCTGCTTTATAACTCAACTCGCTAATTAGAATTCTGCCTTCTGGAATGATTCAGAATATTGGCGACTCCTTCAACAAATGCTTCCCAGCCCCTCTCATCCTTTCTCCTGCTTCACTGTGTGCAGTTTCCCCTGGAGCCCTGCTGCCCCTTCCAATGGACTGATGCAACCTTCAGAACATTCCCCGGCCACCACCCTCCCTGGCTTCACCAGACAAGGGGCCCTAGGCATCTTGCCACCCTGAAGAGGGGTCTTGCCTCTGTGAAGTGAGCCCTGGACTGGAGTTGGGAAGGGTTGTGAGCCAAAATGAATGTTCTCAGAGGCACTGCCAGCCAGGGAGGAGAGAATCAAGGCTGGGGGGCGGCCTCTGGAATATGGAAGATGGTAAAAGCAGAATTAGCTAGCCACGGCTGAGGCCTCCCTGGTCCTTACAAACAACATGGCTCAGAAGCTCTGGGAGGGAAACCTGGAATCTGCCCGTTTAACACCTGCCAGGTGTTACTGCCAGGTAACCTGAGTGTGGCTCCAGTTTCAAGCTGCTCACCTCAGAGTTCCCTGACCTGGCCTCTTCCAAAACCTCCGGTTCTGGCTGCAGTCTCAGAGGATCTTCACTGTAAAGCAAGAGGTGTGGGAGTCTGACAGTGGCTGCTCCTCCTGGAGCTCTCAGTTAGGGACAAGAATTGCAGGATTCTTCCCTACCCCATTGATGGGTTTCCTCAAGTGAGGATTGAGGAGAGAAAGGGAAGGCACTGACCGCTGCTGCCTCAGTGTTCTCACCAGTTCAAGGCCAACTTTCAGGGGCTGTGTGTGGGCTGTCCTCTGTGGGGCTCCTGCAGGATCCTGCACCGTGTCACCTCTAGAAGGGATGAAATTAAGTTTTCTCCTCATCTCTCCAACCTCAGTCCTTTGCCCTGAGCAACTTCCTGGAGACTTTGAATTTTAGGAAATTTGATTCCATTTATTTTCCAGCGTACTTAATGAGACTGTAATGTACATGCCCAGCACTGTGCTAGGGTATGTGGGAGAGATTATCTAGGAGAAGGAAGTCCTGCTCCCAGCCCTCCTATAAATACTTGAAATTAGAAGCCTTACTTGCAGGAAATGGCAAACAACACAAGACAGTAAATGACAAAACTCAAAAATCATTGTCACAGGCAACATAGCGGAGCTGAGGAATACAGAAGAGAAAAACCTCTAAGGGCCAGGGACAGGGCTCAGAGAAGGCACTAGGGAACAGGTGGGCAGAGGGGCTGGGACTCTGAACCTTGATTAGAACAGCTCTAGTTTTTACCAGTTTCACATATTGGGCAAAAGACACCTATAAAAAAGGATTCTGCTACATAAAAAATATGAAGCCACTGTAAGAAGGGAAAAGGGGAGGGAGAGTGGTCTCAGCCCTTGGAATTGTTGGCACCCAGTGAAAAGCTGGAGGATTCCCCTTCCCTTGACCACAAATACCAACCCCTGACCTTTGCTCCTCACTCTAAGGCAGGCTCCAGCTGGGGAGACCTGGGCAGGTCTCATCATGTCAAGTTTACCAAGCTTCGTCTCCCATCAAGGCCATGGCTGAGGCTGAAGCTAAGGCATTTGGAGGTTACAGGGGATTAAGTTTTGTTCAATGAATGGAGCAAAGATACAGGAAGCAGATACAGGTCTTTGAAAGAGCCCTAAGCATGCCAGCCACTATTGGTGCCTCTTGTCTTTGCATTGGTTATGGCTTTGACAATTTACAGATAAATTTGATTTTCATCTGCAGAATCCAGTTTTCCCAGTGAATTTTTATGCTATGGTGCAATGTGGAAAACAGACTGGGAAAGGCAGAGGAGATACAGAGGGCCTAGTTAGAGACATTTCAATAGTTCAGGGGAGATATGGTGGAGGTTGGTTCAGGGTGGCACCTTGGGTCTGGGCTGATCCCTGTGTTTCAAGGCAACATGTTAGCAGATAAAAACAGAAGGTCTTCTCTACCTCTGATTTATTCATCACATACAGTGATGGTCATACATCCAATGGCCATTTGGAACTAATGTTGAGTGAGTTGTTTTTTGCTCTGTTGTTGACAGTAATGATGACAATTCATGCAATGACCATTTGGAACCAATGTGGACTGACTTGTTTTTTGCTCTGTTATTGACAGTAATGGTGACAATTTATGCATTGCTGGGGGTAAGTGTAGATGGTGTGGTAGCTACTTTGGGGCCTCTATTCTCTTTTCAGGATCCTGATGAGCTAAGGTTTTTCTCTCTCCTTGTTCCTAGGTAATAAGTATGAAGTCAAGGTATACACTGGTGATGTAATTGGTGCAGGGACAGATGCTGATGTCTTCATCAATATTTTTGGAGAGTATGGAGACACAGGTAATGGGTTTGAATTATTTTTTTCATAAGCCAAGCCCAGGACTATTTTGTAGATGGGGTTCCCACAATCCTGGCAGAGGAAGGCAGCTTGAGCCCCACTTTGGGCTCCTCTATTGAGCATCTCACTTCTTGTGATGTGGTTTGGAGTGACCTGTCCTGGGCAGCAGGTGTTCATTTTGTGTTGTAAAGTTTATGTGTGTGATGTGTTTTCCGATTATAGTATGGCTGGTGTGTGGGTTGATTGCAATTGTCCTGCATCTCAGACCATGGACACTCCCAAGCTTCACATCTCTAGGAAACTCATTCTCACTTACTCTATCTTCCTAAGCTTCATGCCCATCTTGAATTATACTTTGGGATGTTGCTGGGTGTGGCCTGATTCAATGCAGTAGTTTGGGGCAGAACAGAATGAGGCTGGGAATACAATTTGACTTGGCCTCACAGGGAAAGCAAGAACTGAGAGCTCAGACACAGCTGTAGGTGTTGAGAGGAAGTTCAGGTCAGAAGAATGAGACAGGTGGTTCTCTTCTGCTTCTGCCAATTTAGCAGAATTACATAGGAGTTGGAAAAGCTACAAAGACATGTGAATTTTGTAACAATATACTAAAGAATTCAAAATGCATTGCTAAGCTTATAAGGAAAAAAAAAAAAAGAGAAATCTCCAGGTGCCAGTGCTAGAAATGAAGAGGGAATTCAAAACCAAAGTGTTAACTATGAATAGATGTGGTGGCTCCTGGAAGGAGAGAGCTTTCATGCTCAACAATCTAGGGGATGAGCTTTCATACCCATGTGGGGTCAGGAAATGAGACCTTGGCCCTGTATGAGTCAAGAGATTTGAAATTAAAACTGAATATAAAGCCAGAAGCCCTGATGGTTCAGAGGAGCATCTTCAGTGAAAAAATAGACCAGGAAAAAATTTGCTCATCAGTACAGTAAATGTTTCTTGGCAAGAGCTCTAAATTTTAAAAAAAATACTGAGAAATTGATACCTTAGGCCTGCACTGCATGTGGGCTTGAGGTTTGATTTAACACTACAAGTGTGATTTGGGACCCCCTCTCCCTCAAGTACAGAAAATTGGTTTCATGCCAGTAATACCTTTAGATATTTGGCAAAAGCATTTGCAAGACTGCCTGAAATTTCCACAGATAAAATACTGAAGATGTGTTCACTTTCCAAAACTACAAAACACTCAAATATATAATTCATCATAACTAAGCATTAATCAACACAACACACAATAAGATTAAATCCTCAAGAATTTCAGATAATTAGATACATTGTGGTGAAACTAAAGGCAAAGGGAAATATTTTAAAAGGAAACAGATTTGGCAGATTACTTTCTATAAAAACAATAGTTAGATTGATAGCAAATTCCTATCAGCAACCTATGTAGGTTATAAGCACGTGGAATAGTGTCTTCACTATTCTAAGCAAGGATATATATCACCCCATAATTCTATACCAGCTAGGTTATCATTCCAGAGTGACGGCTAAATTAGCAAATTTCTATGCAAACAAAGATAAATAGAGTTTACCATTCATATGCTTAAACAACCACTAAAGGATATACTTCAAGAAAAAGGAAATTGTACACAGAAGAAAGGAATGAGATACAAGAAACAAAGGTGAGCAAAAATGGATAACTATGTAATGAATCTAAGCAAGCATTGACTATACAAAACAACAAAAATGATGACTAACATCAGCGCATGAAGAAATGTGGACCTCAACAATTAAAATCAATAATATTTGAGAAGGAAAGTGGATGATGAGAGTTAAGACATAGTAAGGGTCTTGGCCCCTGCTGATCTCCCCATTCCCAGGAGAGTAGGGATAATGATTAACTGTAGATTTTAATAAGTATGCATATCAAAATTGTAAAAGTAACCACCCCAAAACAGAAATGTATAATTTGAAAACCAAAGGAAGACATAAAAGGGAATAAAGAATCAATCCAATCGAAGGAAGGAAATGAAGAAAGGGAAGCAAAGAAAAAGCATGGCTAATAGCAAAAGTAAAACAAATGTATTAATAAATAGAACAGAGTCAGCATTTAAAAGATGGATATTCTTTTAGATGAAAATTCAAAAATCCAGCTTAAATACAGTATATGATACAGAAAGTCTGAGAATAAATGGGATGAAATAAAATATACCAGGAAAACATTAACAAACAGGAAAGATTCTGGCATAGCTATATTAATATCTGTCAAATGAAACTTTAAGGCAAACAACTTTGTTCAAATAAAAATAGACAATGACAAAAGGAATAATGACAAAAAGAATGATGCAATAATTTTTAACTTGTGTAAACTTAACAACATATTCCCAAGATATGAAGCAAAAATTAACAAAATTCTTGGAGGAATTTGGCAAATACAGAATCATAGTGGGAGATTTTGATACAATACTCTCAATAATGGATAGGCCAAATGCATACAAATTTAGTATGAGTGGAAAAGATTTTAACTACACAGTTAATAAGCTTGACCTAAAGGGAGTATATAGATTACTGCATCCAACTGGTAGAGAATACACATTCTTATCAAGCATATAATGAACATATACAAAATCACAAAGCAAGCCTTAACTTAAAATGAATCAATAATATAGGGACAACATTCTTTGATCATAAGGCAATAAAATTAGAAGAAATGTCCACATCTCACCCCATTTAAAAATTAAAAAGCATATGTCTAAGTAATTAAAGAATAAATTATAATATGAATAATCTGATGGCACATGTTATATCATCATCACCACCACCACCACCCGGAACAGAATTTATCTGGGGAAACTAGAGGACACAGTAGCAATAGCAACTATGCAGGTCCCTGTTACCCATCACATACTGGGTCATTCCAGGAGGATCTTGCAGGGCAAGACTGCAGACCTGGGAGAGAAAAACTGGCCCTTGGGCTGTGAGGTCTAAGCTACATTATTGGAGAAGGCTAGCCTCTTTCCTGGGGCTGGGGTCCCATAGCAATATGACATGGGAGAATCTTTGCCTTTGGTCCTCTTCTGCCACATCATCATTTATGCTTGAGGGAACATGAGGGTCTCCTCTAGCATAGTAAAGAGGCTGGGGTCCAAGCCTTATGATTGCCACTATATGATGTAGCCTGATCTTTCATCTCAGCATCCTAAAAAGATTCTCTTAAGAACATACTATAGCCAAATTCCAAGGAGATCTGTAATCACTAAAGAAATTAGAGCAGCAATTAAAATTCACCCAAGACATCACACCAAGAAGATTGTTCAGGCAAAATCTAACAAATATTTAAGAAATTATGAATCTCCATCTTATATAAATAGTTTCGAAGAATAGGGAAAAAGGTAATGTGTCCTAGTTTATTTTATGATTTTTGATACCAAAATCAGGCTGATAAATTAAGAGAAAGAAATGTACAGATTAGTCTTATTTATGAATAAAGACCTAAAAAGTTATTTATTTATTTATTTATTTATTTATTATTATACTTTAAGTACTAGGGTACATGTGCACAACATACAGGTTTGTTACCTATGTATACATGTGCCACGTTGGTGTGCTGCACCCGTTAACTCATCATTTACATTAGGTATATCTCCTAATGCTATCCCTCCCCACTCCCAACATCCCATGACAGGCCCCAGTATGTGATGTTCCCCACCCTGTGTCCAAGTGTTCTCATTGTTCAATTCCCACCTATGAGTGAGAACATGCAGTGTTTGGTTTTCTATCCTTGCGATAGTTTGCTCAGAATGATGGTTTCCAGCTTCATCCACGTCCGTAAAAAGGACATGAACTCATCCTTTTTTATGGCTGCATAGTATTCCATGATGTATATGTGCCACATTTTCTTAATCCAGTCTATCATTGATGAACATTTGGGTTGTTTCCAAGTCTTTGCTATTGTGAATAGTGCCGCAATAAACATACATGTGCATGTGTCTTTATAGCAGCATGATTTATAATCCTTTGGGTATATACCCAGTAATGGGATGGCTGGGTCAAATGGTGTTTCTAGTTCTAGATCCTTGAGGAATTGCCACCCTGTCTTCCACAATGGTTGAACTAGTTTGCAGTCCCACCAACAGTGTAAAAGTGTTCCTATTTCTCCACATCCTCTCCAGCACTTGTTGTTTCCTGACTTTTTAATGATCACCATTCTAACTGGTGTGAGATGGTATCTCATTGTGGTTTTGATTTGCATTTCTCTGATGGCCAGTGATGATAAGCATTTTGTCATGTGAAAGACCTAAAAATCTTAAATATTAGCACACCAAATTGATAAATAAATATATAGATATGTGACAAATAATTTCTACTCTGTAGGGTTTATTCCAGGGATTTAATGATAATTTAACATTAGTCTATTTGTATAATTTATTATAGTAACGGATTAAAGAGAAAGAATTATCTTGATAGATGCAGGAAAATTTGCATTATTTACTTTTTAAAAACCCATAGAAAACTAGAAATAAAATTTCTTTTGAAAAATATAAGGCTATCTACCAAAATATGCACAAATATCATGCTTAATTTTGAAAACTTGAAAGCACTCTTTTTAAAGTCAGAAACAAAAGAAATAGTCCAGCTACTCATTATTTCTATTCTTCACAGTACTAGAGGTCCTAGGGCCAGAAAAAAGGGCAAGTAAAATAAATAAAAGCTATAACGGTTGAAAATGAAATAACAGACTTTCATTTTTGTAAAAAATAATGATCATCTACAAAATCCAGGAGAATTTACAAACCATTAGAACCAATGAAAGAGAAAGTTACTAAAGTTGCTGGATATAAGATTACAATACAAAAAGTAATAAAAATTAGTAATGCAAACATTTAATTTAAAAATATATTATTTGCATTAGCAATTACAAGTTACCTAAGAATAAATATTAAAAAGAGCCTTTTGGGAAAACTATAAATTTTTATTGAAGGATATACAAGAATATGTAAATAAATTGAGAAATATGTTCGTGGATGAGAAAAGACTCAAATTCATTAATATGGCAAATTTTCCCAGGTTGTTTTATAAATGCAATGCAATTTCAGTTGAAATCTTAAAAGGCAATACCCCACAGCTTACATTGCTACTAATATTCATGTAGGGCTAAGCCATAAAGAGCTAAATATTGACAAGACAATTTTGAATAATGAAAATAATGCTAACAATATTAATAACATGAGAATATTTGCCCTGCCAGATATTAAGACATTTTAGGTCTCTAAAAACTAAAACAGTGTGATATTGCTAGATGGATAAACAAAATAAAGCAATGAAACAGAATAAAGAGTCTAGAAGCACACATAGAGTTGGCATTGTAAATCAGAAGGAAAAGATGAAATGTTCGATTACTGGTATTTGAACAATTGTCTAACCATATGAAAAATGATAAAATTAAATTCCTGCCTTTTACCACTCACAAAATAACTTTCAGATGGGCTGAAGACTTAAATGTGAAAAAACAAAAATAAAAAATTTTTAGAAGAAACTCTAAAGGAGTATCTTTTTAATCTCAATTTAGAGATGGGATTTTGTAAATAATTCATTAAAAGCATAAGCAACAAAGGAAAATATTGATAAATTGAAGTCTATTAAAACAAGAAAAATATCTGTATGATAAACATAGGCAAACAAGACAAGAGAAAAATGGAATAAAAGATATAAATGGAAAAATTACAGAAGAGAAAAGCCTAAATGGCCAAAATATATTCATGAACATATTCTCAATCTCCCCAAATAAGCAGGGGAATGCAAATTAAAACTACAATAAGATGCTGTTGGGTACACACTGAATAAAAATTTTAAAAAATATATGTTAATGTTTGTGGGGAATGGGAATCTTCATATACTACTGGTGGTAATTAATGTAATACAACCATTTTTGGAGGTAAATTTTGCAACATCTAATAAACTGAAGATGAGCACACCTCAGGGTTCAGAAGCTGTAGGTATCTATTCAGAGCTGTTCTTACAAATGTGCAGTAGGAGATAGGTACAGAAGAGTCCATTTTAGTGCTGCTTGCAATAGCAAAAAAATAGAAGCAACCTAAATGTCCATCAGTAGAAGAATGCATAGACAACAGTGTTTCCTTTATTCAATGACTATTATACAGCAGTCAGATGAATAAACTAAAGTTATGACTATCATCAAGGTACTCTCAAAAGGATAACATTAACTGAGAAAAAGCAAGTAGCATAAGGGTATGTGACAATGATAACAGGAACAATAGCAACCACCTCAGCAGCAATGATAATATAATAGTGACTATCACACTTCAGGAGCCGTCTTTATAGATACATATATATGCAAACAAAAATTCTTGGGAATGATATATACCAAGTTGAAGATAGTGTTTATTTTGGGAAAGGAGTAGAAGGGAAGAGATGGACAGTGAGGCCTTAGACATATCTGTCATGTTTTACATCCTTAAGAAATGAGAAAGGTCTGGAGAAAACTGGACAAAATGTTAGTATCTGTTATCTCTCTTAAATCTGGATGGTGGGTACATGAATGTCTTATATTATTTTCTGTATGTTTGAACTGTCACAACCTAAAATTTAAAAAAAATTAAAAAGAAAGAACACAGGATGGTTTCAGCAAAAATTGGTGCCTAGATAAGATTTGTAGATACACAATAATGGAAAATTGCAGAGCAGAAAGAACAGGTTAAAATTTGAGTCCTAACTAAGTGCTTATAACCTGCATGACTTTTGGCAAGGTGTTTAACTTCTCTAAGTCTCTGTTTCTTCATTTGCAAGACGGAGTTAATAATATCTCCTTCTTGAATTGTGGTGAGGAATAAATGAGAGTAAAACCCAAAACTATGTTAAACAACCAGCAGCATCTGATAGTATTAATACTTACCAGCACTGTTTTCCAGAAAAGGAGTCAGGTCTAAGGAAGTCTGTAGGCTGAATACCGACAGCCCCTTTACCAACTGCTGTGGCTATTGTTCCAATTCAGGACAAGCAACTGGCAAAAGCAAGGCAGGGTCCTAGATCTAGAGATGGGGGTACAAATCGGTTTAGTAGGATCGGGACTCTAGAGTAAGGCAGAAATCAAAAGCTCAGTTATAAGACCTGGGCACAAGCCACACATGAAGCAAACCTCTGCCTTGTTCAGAGACTGGAGGGATGTAAGGAGCCCTTAGATCTCAGGAGGAAGTTGCCCTTGTTAACTTTGGAAGAGCATCTTTCAGTGGGCGGACCATGAAGGCTTGGAAATTCTTTTCTTCTGGTCTTTTTGTAATTTCTTTTGTATGTCTGTGCATACAGGGGAGCGTAGGCTAGAAAATGAAAAGGACAACTTTGAAAAGGGAGCTGAAGACAGGTTCATCCTGGATGCCCCGGATTTGGGGCAGCTGATGAAGATCAATGTTGGCCACAACAATAAGGGGGGCTCTGCAGGTTGGTTCCTGTCCCAGGTGAGTTCAGCTGCTTCTCTGCAGTCCCTGTGGCCTTGGAAGGGGGGCCTTCTTGTTCTTCAGAGGGTTGTATCTCAGTCCCAACTTTCCTCTCTAGGTCCATCTGCATCCACTCTTCTACCTAAGCCAGATGGCCAGCCATTCTGTCCTCCTTATGGCCTCCAAGACTTCATCCACGTTACCATCTTCACAGGAAGTCCAGTACTTTCTCTTTTTTTCCTCTCTCTCTCTCTCTTTTCTTTTTAGGGTACATGTGCACAATGTGCATGTTTTTACATAGGTATACATGTGCCATGTTGGTTTGCTGCACCCATCAACTTGTCATTTACATTAGGAATTTCTCCTAATGCTATCCCTCCCCCAGCCCCCCAGCCCCCGACAGGCCCCGGTGTGTGATGTTCCCCGCCCTGTGTCCAAGTGTTCTCATTGTTCAATTCCCACCTATGGGTGAGAACAGGCAGTGTTTGGTTTTCTGCCCTTGTGATAGTTTGCTAAGAATGACGGTTTCTGGCTTCATCCATGTCCCTGCAAAAGACATGAACTCATCCTTTTTTACAGGAAGCCCAGTACTTTCATCTGAACCTAGCCGGGGCCTGTTCATTCTTCAAGACTCTGCCATGAAGCCTTCCCTGACCGTGGCCCACCAGAACCTCTCCCTCCCATGAAACTTTAGAACCCTGCTTGCTTATAGCATTCATTTGATCCAAGCGTACGCTTTCTTGTGACTTATCTTGACCTGTTGCTTTGTACCACAAATTTCTGGATCTCAAGTGTTATAGTTTCACCTATCCAGGACAAAGTTAAGAATCAAGAAGAAAGCAAAAAGGCTCCTGAGCAGCTAAAACATATTCCATTCAAAGTTTGTAAAGAAAGCTCGTGTCCCTGGCTCTATCTGGCCTTGCCCTGATTTTGAAGGAAGCCCCCTTCAGACTTGCACTCAGAATCTGGTGCTTACCTGTAATCCCTTCTAGTAAACTTGTTTCCTGTCATTTTAAACCTCTAGCGGAAAATTAGAAGGGGAAAGAGGCACTGTAATGGGTAGTGTTATCGAGAACAGTAAGGGGAAGTCAGAGAAGATATAAAATACCAAAAGAGTATTAAAAATTCACACCAGGCTGAGGTCCGTTAGAAAACAGGCAACCGGCCTTTTGCATAGACTTCCCTCAGTTATGAAGACATCAACGTATAATATTTCTGTTCATTACAGAATGATAGGAAAAGGTTAATGTGTTATATATTTTTGAAAAAGTATTTTGAGAAAGGTCTTATTGCTTAAAATAGAAAACTCAGATTTATAACAACTTGACTGTAAAGAATGAGGCTGTCTGATAGTTGAGGTTTTATTATTGCTTAACTTTATTTATCTTCTTATATTAGGAAAATATTTGGCTGCAAGGATCAGAAGATTCAAGTGCAGTGTTAAACAACTAGGAGCTTATTTTTTTCAGCTCATCCTGCATTTCTTCAGCCAGGAAATCCAAATGTGGTCAGCTCAGGGCTGGTGCAGCTGCTTTCTGATGCACCTGCTCCCTCTCTGCGTTACCATCGCCAGCACTGGGACTTTCATCCTCCAATTTGTTGCCTCATGAGCACATGATAGCTACTGAATCTCTAGGCATCTTATCTATGTTCCAGACAGAAAGAGGGGGAGAGAAAATGGGGATAAAGGCTTTGACAAGGGGCATAAAGACTGTTTTCTGGCAAATGATGCCTTATTTTGAAAAAAGCAGAGCCCTCCTTGGAACTTCTGGCTACATTTCACTGGCCAAATATGTATTATGTGGACACCCTAGCTGCAGTGAAAACTGGGAAATTGGGCAGTTAGCTTTCAGCCTGTAGAATAGAAGTGGACTAGGAAGAAGGTGATTGGAAAGGGTGTTGAGTGAACATCCTAGTGATGGCCATACCTGTTTTCATAATTAGTCTGAAAGTTCCTTGAGGGCACCTCCCTAGCTCTTGGCATGGGACTGGGCATTGAATCAACAAAGGAAGAAATGCCCAAATTCCTTTGGAAAGGAAGGGCTTGCCTGGTCCTAAGAGCAGCAAGCCTGGAGGGTACCAGGAGGCTAAGTGGAACTGCTGCTTGGATTGGAGAAGAAATAGGGTGTGAGTCCAGAATCCAAATAGCCAATACATCAGCAGAAGTGTGTTTTCAGGTGGTTTTCTGCTTAGCTGGGCAAAGCGGGGAGAGGAGGCCTGTGCATTTTATGACCTCAGCCAGGGCAGGGCACAGAACAGGTACCTTGAAGTCCACTTTCTTCATTCTGAAAAGAAAGACAGCAGAGTAAAAACACAAGGTTTAGTGGACAGAGCTTTAAAGGGTGAACAGTTTCACCCTCTTGAACTCAGGTTCCTTCTTGGTCACATGGGTGCGTTGTGCTCTTAGGAAGGTTCCCCAAGGAGGCAGGTTCATATGCCAAGATGTGTTTCTTTGTTGTCTTACCCTCAAAGGGCAGCTTGGCAAGGTGTGAAATCTATGGGTGAAAACACTTTTTTCCTTTAAAACTTTGTGGATTGTATTCCGTTAACTTCTGAAATTTGATATTGAGGCCAAGTAGACTTTTCGTTTCTTTCCGGGTAACCTAATTTTTTTTCCTGCCAGATGCTTGCAGATGTTTTTCTTTATATTAATTCAAAAGTCTTGCCAGACAGCATCTAGGAGTAGGGTCTTTGCCTGCCCGCCCTTCCTTCCTCCCTTCCTTCTTTCCTTCCTTCCTTCCTTCCTTCCTTCCTTCCTTCCCTCCTTCCTTCCGTGTTTGTTTTTAATTTCTCTGAAACACAGTATGTGTTTTCTATCTGATGGGCAGGCTATTTGTTTATTCATTTATTTGTAATTAATTTATTTATAGGTCAGAAAAGAGATTTCTTATTGTATGTTAGATTCTTGCTCGGGTGGCATTTGTTCTGGTCTCTTTCTCAGGACAGCCAATTGCCCATCTATTGGATTTCCATTCTCTACCTTCCAAAACCGGCAGCTTCCCCTTTACTCCTGTCATCTCTACTTTTTTGCATTCCTTGAGAACTTGTCAAATTCCCACCACATCATTGATTTGCTGTTCCACACTGAGTTCCACTTCTTTCTCCTGTCAATGTATATTTCAATTCTGAATGTATTTCTTTTAATTATTTTTTCTTATAAAACTAATACATGTTCATCATAAAACATTTAGAAAATACAAATAAACAACAAAAAAAACCACTCATAATTTTACCACCCAAAAATAACCAGTTAATATTTGGATGAATATCCTCTAGTCATTTTTCTATTAATTAATATATATATATCACTTATCACCTATATATATGTATCATATTATCACCCATATATATGTGTGTATATATATTCATTATGACACCATATATATGTATATATGTACATATACGTACGTATATATGTATATATGTACATATATGTATATATGTATGTATATGTACATGTATATATGCACATATATGTGTATATATATATGACACCATATATATATGGTGTCATAATGAATACAATATTTTACAAATTTGTTTTCATTTTTAAATATAGCATGCATATATCCCCATGTTATTTAAATATAATGACATGGCTATTTTACAATATAATTTTTTTTTTTTTGAGACAGAATGTCACTCTGTCACTGAGGCTGGAGTGCAGTGGCACAATCTTGGCTCACTGCAATCTCTGCCTCCCGGGTTCAAGCGATTCTTCTCCTGCCTCAGCCTCCCAAGTAGCTGGGATTACAGGTGCCCGCCACCATGCCTGGCTAATTTTTGTAGTTTTAGTAGAGGCAGGGTTTCACCATGTCAACCAGGCTGGTCTCGAACTCCTGACCTTAGGTGATATGGCCGCTTCGACCTCTGAAAGTGCTGTGTTTACAGGTGTGAGCCACCACGCCTGGCTACAGTGTAATTTTTAATGATGGAAATAAGTGTTTTAGATCTACCATGACTTATTAAACCAATCTCCTTTGGTCAAATGTTTCTATTTTTTCCTCAAAATTATTATATGACATAATTATGCTATATACTGTATATTATGTAATATATAAAATGTATATTATGCTATACAGGTTGAATATACCTTATTGGAAATGCTTGGGACCAGAAGTGTTTCAG
The DNA here is from genome assembly GCF_000001405.40 of Homo sapiens. Classification (NCBI taxonomy): domain Eukaryota; kingdom Metazoa; phylum Chordata; class Mammalia; order Primates; family Hominidae; genus Homo; species Homo sapiens. Next base: position 46,606,668 of record NC_000018.10, on the reverse strand, counting down.
ATTTCAGGTTTTTTTGAATTTGGAATATTTGCATATACATAATGAGATATCTTGGGATGGGACCCAAGTCTAAACATGAAATTTATTTGTTTCATATACACCTTATGCAAGTACCCTGAAGGTAATTCTACACAGTATCAGTCAATAATTTTTTACATGAAGCACAGTTTTGACTGTGTTTGGACTGCAACCCATCATATAGGGTCTGGTGTGGAATTTTCCACTTTTGGTGTGTTGTCAGCACTCAAAAAGTTTTGGACTTTGGAGCATTTTGGATTTCGGTTTTCAGATTAGGGATGTTCAACCTGTGTGTGTGTGTGTGTGTGTATATATATACAGTATACTATTATACTATAAATAGTGCTGTGACAAACGTTTCATGCCTTATCTTTATGCACATCTGTGATTATTTCTTACGGTACATTCTCAGGAGTTGGTGAAAGAACAGGCAGAATTTTAAGAACTTTGATCTATTTGCTGCTGTATAGTTTTATTTTTCTTGATTCCCTTTCTTACTTAACTTAGTTATTTTTAAATCTCATCTGATTGCCTTTTCATTGTAGTCTTATCTGTCTTTAAAGATATTTACTCCTATTTCATAAAGACTAAATCTGCTTATATTCTTTTAAGCACATCAGTTGAATGGTGTGAGTTCTTTTGGTGGGTCCCACATTAGGTTCTTTCCAGAGTTCTGCCCCTCCTCTGATTCTTTAGAATGATCTTCTCTGTCTTTGATTCAAGAATTTGCAAGGTCTTAAGTTGGTGTATTCCCTTTACCCAACCTCAAATGAGGTGGGTCTTATTCAGACTTGGTATCTGACAATAGTCAAGGTGCCCCTGAAACATAGGATATGCTTATTAAATCTCCCATCTTCCTACTCCTCCTCTCTTCTTCCTCCTCCCACTTCTATTTTCATTCTTGGCTCCAGTTGGGTAATAACCGAACTCCCATCTCACATCCAGGGTTGATTGGAGTCTCTTAGTCCAGTTCTCAGATCCTGGATGGTACTGTCCTGGTATAGCTCTGCCCTGATGTGATGGTTTCTTTTCTTTTTCCTATTGCCTGAGTCTTTGATACCAGTTGGTTGCATTTTATGCAAGAGATGCATTCCTAAAAATCTATATACTTTTTATTTCTTTTATTTTTATTTTTTTGAGATGGAGTCTTGCACTATCGCCCAGACTGGAGTACAGTGGCACGATCCCGGCTCACTGCAAGCTCTACCTCCTGGGTTCACGCCATTCTCCTGCGTAGCTGAGACTATAGGTGCCCGCCACCACGCCTGGCCAATTTTTTTGTATTTTTAGTAGAGATGGGGTTTCACTATGTTAGCCAGGATGGTCTTGATCTCCTGACCTCGTGATCCTCCCGCCTCGGCCTCCCAAAGTGCTGGGATTACGGTGTGAGCCACCACGCCCAGCCAAAATCTTGAAACTTTGAAATTCATTTGAGACAGAATTTCCTGCAGGAATAATGTAAAGCAGAGGGTTGTGCACTTTGAACTTATATAGAGACAACCATGAAAGTGTGTTTTTGTTCTAATGCTTTTGTTTTTTACAGTATAGTCTTCAATATTTTACAAAGCTACCAGATGCTTGATTGGTCTTGGTAGCATTTTATCATCTTAATCCTGTTCTAAAGTGATCGAATTTTTAAAATAAATTTTTTTGTGTATATTTAAGGTATATAACATGATGTTATGAGATACATGTTGACAGTAAAAAGGTTATCCTCTGCCCATATTGTATTATGACTGGAGGACACATTCTAGCTATTAACAATTCTACTTATCCTAGAGCGAGTTTTCAGTTGGATCTTCTGGGCACATTTTGAGAGGGCCCCTCAGCTCTTTGGTGTATTCTAGAAGGCACACTTATCTCAGCCTCACTAACTTAGCTCGCATGGGAGTCCCTGAGGGAGGCATCATAGAGTCCATTAGCCTTACTGTTGGTGGCTGATGTTTTCTGACCTGATCACAAGATCCTAGGATTCACTGTGCCTGATGTGGGGCTTGCAGTTCCCCTTGCCTGGGCTCTGCTTCTCACCAATAAGGTCAGAATCCCAACCTTCAGCCTGTGAGGACAGTGATGGTATTGTCACAGTTTGCAAATCCAGGCTTCCAGTTCTTGTAACCAGTCTCACAAGGCTCATGCTGCCAAATTTTTTGCTTCAATTTAAAAAATGATCTGCAGCAGTGGAGGGAGCGGTGGCTCAGTAATTCAAGTCAGAAGGTAATCGCCAGTCATCCCTGTATGATTCTGAGCTTTACCAGGTATCCTGGACACAGTTGTGTCCTTGTGATAAGCTTTCCTTGGGCCACGAAACAGATATCAGTACATTCTTAAAGTAGACTCAAGTGATTGGAAGATTGGATTAGATCTCCAGGTGCACCCTCAACAACACTTATCTACATCCTTGTCCCCTCTTCTCCTTCCCAGATAGTCATTGAAGATATTGGGAACAAAAGAAAATATGACTTCCCCCTTAACCGCTGGCTGGCCTTGGACGAAGACGATGGCAAAATCCAAAGGGATATCTTAGTGGGCGGAGCTGAGACCACAGGTAGATTTGAAGAAAGGGGAGGCTCTTTTGGGTATTTCACTTTCTGCCTAAGGGTCGCTGTTGGCATCTGTGGGGCTGGAGGCCTGTGATCAAACAGGAGCCAGCTGGGTCTGCAGACAGCATTCCTCCTGCTCCTGAAACTGTTCTGTCCCACTGGGTTGCAGCCTGGGGCTCTGTTGTTGCCAGAGGACCTGGGGGATGCTGCTAAGCAGATACTAACTGCCCAGGGCAAAGGAAGGTATCCATAGGATGAAGCCAGAATGTGAACTTCTGACAAGCATGGATGTTTCCCAGGACATTGATCTGAACTCTTCCTGATATTGAGTGCTTAGTATATGCCAGGCCTTCTAGGTAGGTACCTGACCTACATGGTGTCCTTCAGTCCTCACAACCACCCTATAAAGTAGGAACTGTTATTGTTCCCATCACACAGATGAGGAAACTGAGGCAATGGAAGAGCCTTGTCCAAGGGCACACAGCTGGCAAGTGATAGATTCAGGATTTGGTCTGCTTCCTAAAGCCCTAACCTGTATGAATTCCACAGAAAACTTCCAACTCCCAGCATGGCAGTCATGGTCATGCATGTTCTAGAAAATCAACGTTGATATTGTGTACATCTGAGAATGTTCTCTGCAGCAGAACTCCCATGACTCACCATGGGAGAAAATCCATGTTCTGTAGTATAATGTACACATTTCTCCCCAATTTGGCTCCATTCATCCTACCCACAGAGTCTTCCCATACCCTCTCTCCCACTGCACATTCACACCTTCCATTCTTCCCTCCATCTTGCTCCCATGCCTTCCCTCTCCCCTCAACTCCCTGCTTGCCTTGCTCTTTCTCTCTCTCTATCCTCGGAACCTGCCTTCTCCTCATCCTGAAAAGTCTTTTCTCTTCTTTCTGCCTCTCGAATTCCTGTTTCCAGTCACTTCCTCTGAGCCCTCCCTGACCTTCTCTGGCCTGGGTAACTTCTCCCTTCTTTTGCTCCATGCTCCTTGGCAGACCTTTATTGCTGCTGTTCAGAAGCCTAAATGCTCCTCTGCTCCAGTCCTTTTCAACCTCAGCATTGCGGGCTGATCATTGTGAGGTGTGGCACAAGTCATCTACAGATGAAAAGTTTGCAGTTTACTTAAAAACATACTCGAATAGAATTAATATATACTGAATATGTGAATATTATATGTCTCCTAGTGGTAGAAGAAGAGCAGAAATGATAGCAGCTGGGCATTGCTTATATCCTAAACGATGAAAGTATATCTGATGTGGGAACACCATTTGTCCATGCATCTTAGAGAAATAAAGCTCGAGACCTATTTTTTTTTTCTAGAGCAATGACCATTCCTTTTTATTTATTTACTCCCAAAGGCCTGGAATCTAGTAAGCACTCAATAAATGCTGAACAAAAGAAAATGTAAGTTTAAGAATGAATAATACACCCATGTAGTTGCATGTATTATCACTCAAAGAAATTTGGGATTTTTATTTCTCTGAGGTTATGGGATAAGAGTGTGGGGTATGGTAGGGTGAGGGATGGGTAGGGGAATTAACAAGGCTTAAAGTGACAACCGCCTTAGACCCCAGGACAGAATTACAGAATGTAGGCCAGGCATGGTGTCTCATGCCTGTAATCTCAGCACTTTGGGAGTCTGAGGGGGGTGGATCACTTGAGGCCAGGGGTTCGAGACCAGTCTGGCCAACATGGTGAAAACCTGTCTCTACTAAAAATACAAAAATTAACCAGGTGTGGTGGCACATGTCTGTAATCCCAGCCACTCAGGAGGCTGAGACACGAGAATCGCTTGAGCCTGGGAAGTAGAGGTTGCAGTGAACTGAGATCACACCACTAGATTCCAGCCTGGGTGATAGAGTGAGACTCTGTCTCAAAAAAATAAAAAATAAATAAAATAAAAAAATCTAGGCCAGGCCAGTCCTTAGTAGAATTGCCTGTCCAAATGTTTGTCTTTGGTATTTTCTTTTACTTCGCCCAGTCCCAGAGTTTAATCTCCCTTTGCTAGTTCTTCCTCAGAATTCCATGTCCTCATATTGCCTCCTGATAGACCAGAACCTCAAATGGCCCAACCAACAATGTTCTCTCTCTCCCTCAATCCTCCTCACCCTACCACATCAGGCAGCAAAGGAGGACATTAATGTCCTCTATTAAAAGTTATGTTTTTAAGTTATCAGCAAAAGAGCAAGCGAAATGAATCAGATAGCCCTGAACGTAAATCTCCATTAATGGAGTTGACTATTATAATTAGATTAGACATAACAGAATTCATCTGGCAGCTATTAATAATGTACGCATGGTAATTATCATTAATAATAAGTACTATTCTTAGCCAACCCGAGTTCCTCCTTCTCTTTGTTAGTTTCCTCTAATCAGCACTGACAGCTTCCTGTAATAATACGTGCGGTTTATTCTCAAACTCAGATGCATTGGACACACAAACTCTGGAAAAGATGAAATGAGGTCGAGAGGGACATTAGGTGGCATCTGGAGGAGTAGGACATGATGGGGAAAGAGGATGTGTGGAGGAGGAGGGCTTTGGGGGTGTTGTAACCAGGAAGGGGAGGAGGGGGTGGGATATTATGATGCAGCTCACATTGAACACTCTCTTTCCTGTTGTTTCCACACCAGCTATTACGTATATTGTCACCGTCTTCACTGGGGATGTCCGGGGGGCTGGTACCAAATCCAAAATCTACTTGGTCATGTATGGGGCCAGAGGGAATAAGAACAGTGGGAAAATCTTCCTGGAGGGCGGCGTGTTTGACCGAGGCCGCACGGACATCTTCCACATCGAGCTGGCTGTCCTCCTTAGCCCCCTGAGTCGGGTCTCCGTCGGGCATGGCAATGTGGGTGTCAACAGAGGCTGGTTCTGTGAGAAGGTAAGGGATGCCCCCAGAGACAGCCTTCCCTGATTCAACCCCTCTCCTCTTTAACTTGCAAGTACAAACTTTAACCTGAATGCTACTTCTCTGAACTAGTTACAGAGTGCATGGGCAATCTCTTTCATTGGGCATTTTGGGTGGTTACGTGTCCGTCTATCTTGCCTCAAAAGTGGTCAGGAACAGGGGCTGTTCTGTGCAAGCGTCCAAGGGCCAAGCAGGACAGGTTACCCAGAGGCGCTCAGTTGGTGGTTATGATTATCCTGATTCCTGGTGTAGTGTTTCACCTCAGCTTATAAATCTTTCAATCAATAAGTATTTTAAAGTATATGTTTGTATTGTGGAATACTTATACTTTAAAGAATATATATTAATAACTGTAAGACATAAGGAATGTTAAAAAGCAAACCTCAATTTTGTCTATCACACAGCTTGAGAAATAGAACATTCGTGATGCTTTTAAACTCCTCTGTGTCCTTCCACAGTCATATAGTTCTCTTTCCCTCAAAGGGCACATACTATTATGAATTTTGTCTATGTATAAGCTTGTATTGTTTGTAACTGGCAATTTTTGTCCCTCCCTCCCTCCCTTCCTTCCTTCCTTCCTTCCTTTTTTTTTGGACAGAGTTTCACTTCTGTCACCCAGGCTGGAGTGCAATGGCACGATCTCAGCTCACTGCAACCTCCACCTCCCAGGTTCAAGTGATTCTCCTGCCTCAGCCTCCCAAGTAGCTGGGATTACAGGCATGCACCACCATGCCTGGCTAATTTTGTATTTTTAGTAGAGATGGGGTTTCACCATGTTGGCCAGGCTGGACTTGAACTCCTGACCTCAGGTGTTCTGCCTGCCTCGGCCTCCCAAAGTGCTGGGATTATAGGAGTGAGCCATCGCTCCTGGCCATAACTGTCAATTTTCACTCAACATTATGTTTTAGAGATTTGTCCAAATGGTAACAGAAGCTGTAGTTCATCCACTTCCCTGCTGCAAAGTATTCCATTGTATGAATGAGTTACAATTTATTTGTCCATTCTTCTGTCGATGGATATTTTGGAGTGATTTCTTGATTTTTACTACTATGAGCAATCCTGCCATGAAGTTCTTGTACATGTATCTTTGTGGAAGTGTGCAAGAGCTTCTCAGAATGAAAGTGCTAGGTCACAGGGTAAGTGAATCTTCAGCTTTATAGGATAACTATTATTTCCAAAGGATTCCAGGTTGTTTTCCAAAATAGTTGCACCATTTTACTCTCCTGTCAGCCATGTGTAAGAGATATTTTGTTTTATACATTCTTGTAAATGCTTGATATTGTCTGAATTTTTAATTTTCACCATTTTGGAGGTTGTAAAATGATCCTGTTGTGGTTTTAATTCTTATTTTTATGATTACTACCAAGGTTGAATGTGTTTTTATTTTTTTATTGGCCATTCATGTTTCTTTTTATGTAAAATGTCTGTTCATGTCTTTTACTGAGTTTCCTATTGACCAATCTATCTTTGGATTTATTTTTAGGAGTTTTAAAATTTAATCTGGATATTAATTCTTTGTTGATAATATATGTTCAAATATTTTCTCATAGTTTGTGATGTTCTTTGAGTAAGAGATTTAATTTAAAAGTATCTAGTTTATCAATCTTTTCCTTTATGACTAATGCATTTGGTATTAATGAAAGAAATCCACTTATCTCAGAGCTATGAAGACATTCTCCTATATCCTTTTCTAAAAATTGTTGTTTTAATTTTTCCATTTATATTTTTAAAATACTAGGAATTGAATTTTGTGAGGGAGAAATTCAATTTTATTTTTTTCCATGGAGATATGCAAATGTTCCAGCAACATTTATTGAAGGGCTTTTAAAACTTGACCAAGGTTAAGAATCACCTGGAATTCTTGATAAAAATAGATTCCTAGGCTCTAATTCAGACCTAATGAGTCAGAATTTCCAGGTAATCTGGATATTTAGCAAGTGGTTTAGATAATTCTTATCATTAAGAAAGTTTTGGAAGCACTGATTTACTAAATAGTAATTCTTTTCCCACTGTTCTGAAAAGACTTTTCTACCACACATAAAATTCACAAAATGCATGGCTTTGCCACTGAGTTTTCTAGTCTGTTCCATTTATTTAGTTTATTTCTGCACTAATATAACACTCACTGTCTTCATTTTTACGTTTATACTGTCTTAGTATCTGCTAGGGAAATTTGTTTACCTTGTTATTCTTCCTCAAGAATATTTTGACTATTCATAACCATTTACCCTTCCAAAGAAATCTGTATTTATTTATTTTGCCAAATCCCATGAAGAACAGTGTTGAACAGAATTCATTTGGACCTATAGATTCGTTTGAAAGAACTGACATCTTTACTATATTGACTTTCCCTATCTATGGATATGGTATACTTCTTAAAATTTATGTCTTCTTTAATAGTTTTCAATATAGTTTTATATTTTGTGATAAAGAAATTGCATGTCTGTTAGATATGTTTAAGAGACCTTATAATTTTTGTTACTATTATAAGTGGTACCTCTTTAAAAATTATATTTTCTAACAATTAGTTGCTGATATAGAAATAGAAGTATTTTCCGGACATTTAGTTTACATATGGCCATTTTGCTAAACTCTATTGTTAATTCTGATAATGTCTCAATAATTCTTTGTTTTTTTTCTGTAGGAAGTCAAATTGTAAATGATAACAGTTTTTTTTTTTAATTTTCAAAGCTTATAGTTCTTTCTTCTTTTTTGTTTATTTGACCACATGGCCTAAGACCTACAGTACAATGCTGAGTAGTAGGATTAATAGTAGATAACTTTATTTTGTTTCTGATACTAAAGGAGCTGCTTCTAATATTTTATTTGGTTGATTTTTTTGCAAGTTTATGGTAGACATTCTTAGATTAGATTTGTAAAATTCCCTTCTACTTTTATATTGTAAGGAGTTTTTATGATGAATTGGTGTTAAATTTTATCTAATGCTTTTCTGCACTTAATGAGATAGTTGTATGGTCTTTCTATTTTATTCATTAAGTTGGTGCACTAATATGAGTGCATTTTCAAATGGCAAACTAACTGCTTTTTTATAAGTCAAACTTGGTGATAATAGATTGTTTTACATGTTTTTAGAGTTATTAAAGTTTAATATAGAATTTTTCTGGCCGGGCGCAGTGGTTCAATCTTGTAATCCCAGCACTTTTGGAGGCCGAGGCGGGCAGATCACGAGGTCAGGAGATCGAGACCAGCCTGGCTAACATGGTGAAACCCCATCTCTACTAAAAAAAAAAAAAAAAAAATGCAAAAAATTAGCCAGGTGTGGCGGCGGGCGCCTGTCCCAGCTACTTGGGAAGCTGAGACAGGAGAACAGCATGAACTCTGGAGGTGGAGCTTGCAGTGCGCTGAGATTGCGCCACTGCGCTCCAGCCTGGGCAACAGAGCGAGACTCCATCTCAAAAAAAAAAAAAAAGAATTTTTCTATGTTCATGAGTAGCATTGGCCCCTTATTCCTTTCTTGTACAGTTGTCGATTGGTTATGATTTTAGAGTGAAATGAGAAGTATGTCCTTTCCTAAAAGAGACTGTAAAAAATTGCAGTGATGTTTCCCAAATGTTTGGTTGCAGTCTCCTGCAAAATTGTACAGGTAGGGGTGTGTGTGTGTGTGTGTGTGTGTGTGTGTGTGTGCGCATGTACCACTATTGAAATATATACCACTAAGGTGGTAGATATTTCTTATTGTAGAACAATTTTTGCTTTATATAGTTTGAGGCTATGTTACTAAGCACAGAATTATTATAGCCTCCTAGCGAGTTCAATCTTTATCATTATCCAATCTGATACTATTTATCTCTGAACTGGCAAATTTAGTCTGCTTATATTTATTGTAATTACTGATATATCTGTTCTGCTTTTACTGTTTCTTTTTTCTTCTTTTAAAATTATTTTGGATTGACTGTTTTTCCCTATTTTTTCCTTTTATAGTGATTTTACTGTACATACTTAATATGGGAAACCCTAAATGTAATTGATATCTTTACTCTTTTTTGGCAAGTGCAAGGACCTTAGAAATCTCTAATAGTAATAGTTCTGCATGCTATTTTTTTGCCTAGTATTTTAGCTCCATTTTAAATTATTTTAAAACATACACATTAGATATCATTGTTTTATAGAGTTGCTTGTTCAGATTTACCTACAAGTTTCCCAGTTTGTTTGCTTGTCACTTCTTCTTGCATCTAAGACCTTATTTCTGGTGTCAATTTTCTTCTTCCTGAAGATACCCTTTAGAAGTTTCTTTGATAAAGGTCTATTGTTGGTAAACTCTGATTTTGTTCATTTGAAAAATGTGTTTTATATCACTGTCATTCTTGAAAAATAATTTTACGGTACAGAATTCTATATTGAGTTTTCCTCCCCAGTATCTTCTGGCTTCTGTTCGTCTAATTGCCACTATCTGTTTTTTCTATCCAGATGCTCTTAAGATCTTGTTTTTGGTATTCTCCTGCTTCTCCTCAATATGTCTACATGTGCATTTATTACTATTTGTTCTGACTATGACCAAGCTTATGGTAACTATTTCTTAGGTAAAACTATTATTATTTTCTGTCTGGAGCAAAGACAAAAAAGGTAGGCTTCTCTTTGCAGATTTTTCCCTGTCTACCTTTTGTCTAAAGGAGCAGTCCTTCAAATATTTCTGCTTATTCAGTGTTTCCAGTTTGGAATCTCCATTTTGTAAAGCCCATGGCCTAGTTTCCTGCATCCTCAAGTGGCTATTAGTTTCCTGGTCTCTGAGTGCCAGAGATTGTCTTTTGCTTCAGGGTAGCACCAACTTTAGCATTCACATTTGCCTACTCTCTGGGTTTCTGCTTACTCTGAATTTTGCTGGTTCTTATGGCTTCTCTGTAACCCCTTGGCAGCTCAGCAATGTATGTAAAGTGATACTTCCTGTGGTTTATGTAACATATGGCTATTTTGTGGTGATGAGAGGCTTTTCAGGCTACCTAGTTCTGGACTACCTAGTCCAGAAGCAAACATTTTTAATATATGAATTACACTAAATTATTTTTAAAGATAATGACAAAATAGTTTTTAAATAACAGAATATGATACCCTCAGGATAGTTATGTTTAACAAAACAATAAAACAAACAAAATCCTGAGATAAAAACCACAAGCTCTAGTAACAATACTATATTTTGTTGCTTACCTAACCTTTAACCTTCTAGAACCAGAACTTTTATCATAAATTTTTAAGCGCTTACTATATGTTTAGAACCATGTTCAGGGAACCCATGGGGTGAGAAAACACACAACCTCAGACTTTTAGGATTTTACTACTTCTTAAAAAAACAAAACTAACCAATACACAGTTAACAATGAGAGAACAATTCAAGAGTAAACGAGGAAACATCTGCAGGATTTGTTGAGAGGAAAGAAAGACTTGTAAATAAATTGTTGGTGATTATACCCTCCTGTGCCCTCAACTTGTCGAGGATGCTCTCCAACTTTGCCTATGTATAGGTCCACTTCTAAATATGTGGTCACATGGAATCTTCAGCATAAAAAATGGAGTGCAACAATGGATCCCAGTGAACCTCAGCCACAAATAGAAATTCTGAGGTTCTTCCTGATGAGTAGAAAAGATCCCAAACTGACAATTAGTGTCAGGAATACTTATATTCCTTGTTCTGCCACTAACTAAAGGTGCTAACTTGGGCACTTTATTCTTCTTTCTAGACCTCAGGTTTCCTATCTATTGAATGCAGGTGGGGTGAACTATATTAATTGCCAGTATATTTGTGTCAGAGGGCTAAATGTTTGAGGGGGCTACTGCCTGTGGTCCTGAGCCATCATTTATCTCTAGGGAGGAGCATTTCTCTGGAAGTTTGAAGGGGTACATACTCCCCTCCCACCATCTCTTAGCATCCTTCATCTGGTGCTTCTTATAAGTTAAGGTTCATCACAATGGTCAATAGTGAGTATGAGGTGAGTATTACCTGGGAATATCTAAGGGCAAGAATTCAAGTTAAGGAAGTTACAGTCAATTTTTGTCACTATGAACAGTAGACAACAAATACCCAGTAAGACAATGGTTGGTCAAAACCTTGACTGATGGGAGGGTCAGATTAGTTTTCAAGTTGAAAAGATTAGTTTTCAAGTTAAGAAAGTAAAGCTTAGAAACCAGTAATGTGAGAGTCAAAATTTCTTTGCTGATAGAGGATTCTGTAGTGTGCCAGGAGAAATCCTTTCAACATTTATAATGTGAGTGTTCAAAATCCATGGGTTCAGAACTGGGTAGAGATAGAGAAGGTATAAGAGAGAAGGTTGAATGAGGATCAAGCCTAAAAGAGAGAAGTTGGTTTTTATATTACATTCCAGATATTAATTAGCTTGCATGGGACTTACCTTTTTCCTACAAGATAATTATAGGGAATTAACCTAGTAGTCTAGTTCATTTGGTTCAGATTAACTGAGAATTTATGATGTGCTTAAAGAAATACGGTATTCAAAGAGAGTGTTGTGTATAGAGGAAAAGTTTGAGATTTGAATAGCTAATTGGAAGATGGGTGATACCTACTTTGGAAGACTCCTTGGAGGTTGCATTTCTTGATTTAAGATTTAATGAGATAGGCAACAGAAAAGGTGCCATTCCTTGAGAGTCCTAATACAGATGTCTCTAAATGTGGGGCTGGGAGCCTGCTGAACATCACGAAGAGGACCCTACTGGAGACTCAATGCCGGAGACACTGTGCTCCACTCTCCCCAGGTGGTGATTCTGTGCCCCTTCACTGGTATCCAGCAGACCTTCCCTTGTAGCAACTGGCTGGATGAGAAGAAAGCGGATGGGTTGATTGAGAGGCAGCTCTATGAGATGGTGTCTCTCAGGAAGAAGCGGCTGAAAAGTAAGTGAGAGAGACCCAGAACCTGGAGGCCTCTCAGCCAGGGTCAGCAGAGGCCAGAATGTCAGACCACTAGGCAAAAGCTATGAGGGCAGTCCACTCCTGCTTCTCAAGTCTCCTCCAGAAAGGAAGGAAAAAGCTCCCCCAACCCCGCCAAGCAGCTCCACTCTCCAAAGTACAGGCCATATAGAGTCACACCCCTGGCACCAAGGCTGACTCCAGTGTCACCAAATGGAATAAGCTGCTGTGATGGGCTAGGTGTTAACCTGAATCGTTCACTACAGTGCACTCTGAAAGTACTGGACATAGGGTGGGTGGAGTCAACTCGTTCCCCGATTTAAAACATACGAATACACTTTAGCCATTAAAAAGAACATTATAGCACCTTATTTTTAATAGTAAGGAATCCTTAGCTTTCTAAATTTGGCTATAATGGGTTTCTGAGAGTGGGACACACCTGTGTATACCCCGCCCTTCAGTCCTGATCATTTTGGATTTTTCCTTCTTCCCCATGGTAATATGAAAATCTCTTCACTTCCTGAAGTTTATGGTGCAACTTGATCTGTCTTACAGAATTCCCTTGGTCCCTGTGGGTCTGGACAACCGACCTAAAGAAAGCTGGTACCAACTCTCCCATCTTCATCCAGATTTATGGGCAGAAGGGGCGGACAGATGAGATTCTCCTGAATCCCAACAACAAGTGGTTCAAACCCGGCATAATCGAGAAGTTTAGGGTAGGAGAGGATTGTGATGGATGGGAGGGAGAAAGGAGGAAGGGATGTAGGGCATTCGTCCTGGGGATTCTGGTTCTCTAAGCCAGGTTTTGGACCAAGTTTGAAGACAAAAATGTACGATGGAGATTTTAGGTCCCTGCAAAGGGAGACAAATTTGATGATTTGTAAGCAATGTATTGAATGGGGTACAATTTCTATCTGGCCCATTCATCTGAATCAAACAGTCCAGAACCAAGGCTGGGCAAAGAAGTTAGTATGGAATGGCTTAAACTATCCAGGAGTTGGGGAATCATTGCAGAACAGAGACCCTGAGAACACTTAGTGTCAGACTGCCCAATATGGACTGATTTAGAGAGTAAGGATCAAATTTAATCAAAAGTATGAATTTTAGAACTTTTTTTAAAATTCAGCTTTAAAACTTTCCATTATGCATAAAACTAGAGCAAAGATTTTTTCCCCCAATGGAAGTGCTATTTCAACCTTTAGGTAGGAATAATTTGTAATTTGAGGCTCTCCTCTCAGCACCCCATTGGTACCTCTGTTACACCACTCAGTTCATTGCTCTTTATATATTTATCTTTTCTGCTAGACTATGAGCCCCTAGAGAAAGGGCATGACTGCTTGTTGATCTTTTTGTCTGTTTCACTGCCCAGTAGAGTCCTGGGGCTGTGGGCCTGTGCTAATTTGCAGGGCTGCCCTATAGATTTTGTTACTGGAAGTTTATTGCTTGGAGGATCTTCTTTAGTCTGAATCCCACTGTGGGGCCGTTATTTTTGTTCAGTTTCACCGGCCCAGACTGAACCCTTGCCCTCTGTGGCTGTCTTGCCCTCACGTGCTCCTGGTTACAAGGGTCATGAGAAGATAAAATATGTGAGGGTGGCTTGATTGAAGCAAACCCATCCTCACTGCTGAAGAAAGAGCCCAAAGCAGGTACCCTCCTGAGAGTGGGTCAGCTATGAGAATAAACACATTTCTTCAGTTATGCCCACTCAAATGTTTTTATTTCTCACCATAGATTGAGCTCCCGGATCTTGGCAGGTTTTATAAGATTCGAGTATGGCATGATAAAAGGAGTTCTGGTTCTGGATGGCATTTAGAAAGGGTGAGATGCACCATCTTGGGGTTTGGGAGGTTGTTGGGAAAGGAACAAGGATGGTCCCTTTTCAATGACCCTGTCACATAAATTTGCCTCTGTATTTATTGTGAATAGGGACTGAAAAGGGTTATGGTGAGACCTGAATTTGGATACAGGCCACAGGGACTTCCTAATGGGGAGAGACTTCCGAAGTAGATTAAGAAAACGCTCAGGTGTTTGGGGGGCTTGCATTCTGCCCTAGTCATCTGGTTGCTAGGCAAGTGTGGGTATCCAGGAAACCAGGAACAAATACTAATCCGGCCCTCTGCCTGCCATAAGGATTATCTCCAGGAAATAGCCTTGGCTTCTCTGCAATGAGATAGCAGAATGGGGACTGCAGGGCATCGGTGAACATCCCTGGTGCACCAACTTGCTCACCCCAGAACTTCATTCCAGATGACCCTGATGAACACTCTGAACAAAGACAAGTACAACTTCAATTGCAACCGCTGGCTGGATGCCAATGAGGATGACAATGAGATAGTGAGGGAAATGACTGCAGAAGGCCCAACAGTGCGCAGGATCATGGGCAGTAAGTACTGACAGGCTCTCCATCCTGGGAGGCAGTGGAACTCCTGCTTGGTGTCCCGATGGGCCTGACCTATGAGCTGAGAGTCTTGTCTGCTTTGCATCTTCAGGCCCCTTAGAGTGCCAGAGTGGATTTGGAAGGTCCCTGCCTCAAGACTGGCTTGGAAAAGCCATCTCCAAGTCATGATGCCGGAGCTCTACCATGATTGGTGTGGTGGGGAGGGAGGGAAGATGTATGGGTCTTCAGGTTGGCTCTGAGGGGATGAGAAGCATCTGCCCTGAGCAATAGTTCTCCAGAGCCTCCTTGAAAGGAAATATCCTCTTGCTCCCCTCAAATTGTGCATGAAATGTTCCCCAAAAGAAAAGCTAGATCTGGGATCCTGTAGCCCCAGTTGGCTGCTACCTAATAAGTATTCTATCTCTAATTAAGGATAGCAGGAGAAGGACTAAGCTTTAAATGTGGAATCCAGGAGCCACATTCAAATAGCCAAAGGGAAGAAGTCATTTTGCCTCTAGGTTATAGAAGCACGGTACTGGTAAATACAGAGCACATGCCCTGTCCTTTTCACATGGCAGACATTACTAAGTGATCAAAACATTCTCTCCCATGAGTCTGAAATGAGCTTTGTAGCCCTCAATAAAGAATTCCAAACAGACATTAACAATTGATCAGAAATGGCACTTAAGATAACCCATTTGCTATCCTTGTGGCAGTCCTTAAATTTTAAGCAGGAAAATAGTATTGCAACATTACAAAAAGGTAAAAATATATAAAAACAATGTCACCCATAGTTCCAGTAGCCCTTCTAAATATCTCCGTAATCTCATTTCACAGGTGATTGTGTGATATTTATAAACACTGCATTTGCACACCCAGTAGAAGTTCTGTATATATTTGTTGAAACAGTTTGATCAGAGTTAAATACTCATAAACATAGAAACCTCAAACAGCAAGTATCTAAAAAGAGATCATTCTGTTAGTTTAATTAGGCAATGCTTGTAATTAGCATCATGTTTCTTTTATTTTATGGTTCTTCTTCATTCTTAAGAAGAATGAAGAATATTTGTGTAGAATATTTGTGTGCAAAGGCCCTTAAAATAGCCTGATGCAGATAAGGAGCTGAGGACGTTCTTGCCATGGTTACACAGTTAGTTAGAGACAGAGTTAAATCTAGAATAAGGTCTCTTGCTTCCTGGTTCAGTGGCTATACCAAATCATCACCCTGCCTTTTTGCATTCGGTAATAACTGCCTTGGGAACAAGGCAATCATCTATCTAAATATGATAACATATAACCCATTCCCAAAATTGGGACTTAATATAATATTAAAGGTAATGGCAAAAATTGCAATTACTTTTGCACTAACCTGATATGTAGTCCACCAAGGCAGAAATACACCTGTTCTTACCTGATCTGTCCACTTTGTGCGCCAGAATTGAGCCTGCAGGTATAAAGAACTGGGGAGAAGTCTTGGGCCGTAACTGCTTTTGAAACCCTTTTAACTAACTCTCACGATTTTAGATTCTCGGTCTCTATTTCTACATTATCTGGACGGTCACTCTTGAGCCTTTTGGTAGGATTCCTTCTTGAATTTTGTGACTGACAGCTCTGATGAATCCTTTCCGGTCTGCTAAGTCAGCGATTCTCAAACCTCAGCATGCATTATCCCCAGGAGGGCTTGTTAAAACACGGATTCCTGGGCTCCACTTGCAGAGTTTCTAATTCAGTTAGTCTGGAATGGGACTCAAGGATCTGCTTGCCTAACAAATTTACAGGTAATATCTATGCTGCTGTTGGGGAACCACACTTTGAGAACCACTGTGTTAATGCATTTGCCACTTTTCTAGCTGCTCTCCAGCTTCCAAAATTGTGTTGTTCTCTAAACTTGTCGCCTTCCCCTAGTCTTGTTGGTGAAAACTTTTTTGTTTAGTTAAATTTTTAAAGCAACCTGTAGATTGCCATTTTGATAAGGTTTTCTAGAGAGAAATCTATTTTAATTTGTAATGTCCAGAATGTTCTTTACTTCCACCCCCTCTTTGCCTTGAGTGAAGCATGACTTTCCCCTAAGAACCTTATTTTCCCTCCTCATCAACTGAGGAGGGATTAGGCCCCAACCATATGACCTCCTTTTACTTTACTCCTTTAAAGGCCCTGTCTACAAATACATTCTGAGTTATTGGGGAGTTAGGACTTCAGTATATAAATTTGGGGGTATGGGCACAATTCAGCTTATAACAGACAACATCTCCTAAAGTACGGTCAAGGGCCCATCTATATCAAAACTACCTGAAGTGTTTATTGAAATACAGATTCCTAGGCCCACCACCAGCTATGCTGATTAGAGTCTTTGAGGGCTATTCCTGGTAATATGCATTTTGTCAAGCATGCCAAGTAATTTGTATGCATACTAAGCCTTAAGAGCCTTTGTCTACTTCTTTCAGTGTCCACTCACCTGCATCCTGGTGCTCACCTGTGATGGGTACTACAGGACTGAACGAAGGGGGACGGACAAGAAATGAAAACAAAAGAATCTGTTTTAAAGAAGGGGCCAGGGGGCTCCTTGCTTCTGTCAAGCAAGGGCCTTGACCTTTCACAGCCCTTCGTATTTATTGGGTAGAAAGAGCAGGGAGGAGGAGGTAACAATTGGTCAGCTGATGGATTGATCACAGGTTCGCATTATTGCTAACAGGCTTCAGATGTACCTAATCACAAGAAACACTGCTCCTGGGGCGTGACTGCCCTCAGCATTCCTTCCGGGTAGCAGACACACTTTGTCAGTTTGCCAACAACCTGCATTCATGAGAACAGTTTGCTGTTTCCTCATATAGCCTCCAGTGGTATACTGAGTTGATCACGACCCTCATTCTTTCAGCCTCCAACACTCACCCACTTTGTTGGTCCATGCCCACCCCACTTAGCCAGCCCTTCCCTGCCACTTAATTTGGGATCATCCCGTGAAGCTGCCCCTTCTTTGAACCCATGCCCAACCCTCTGACTCAAGCCCCTGCCCTCCCAGCACTGTTGTGACCTTGGTACACTTCACCTCACCCTTGACCTCCTGTCACTTCTTCCTCCCCACATTTTTCCTGGTCTGTCAGGGGCTGACGTGGATGGGTGGAGGATGGAACGGAGAGACAAACCTACAATCAGACCTCCAGTGGGGAGGAAAAGAGGTTCTGAAATCGGACAGAGAGAGGACACCAGAGAGGAGAAGATAAATTTAAGAAATATTTTGAAGGTGGAACTGGCAGGTCTTGAAGTGTGAATGCTGTGGAAACACAGTGGTGAGATAAGCTTCCTGTCCAGAAAGTTGGGACAAATTTTGCAGATGAAGTGACATTTGAGCTAGGTCTTCTATGTGGAGGGATTTGACAGACAAGGAGAGACCATGTCAGGAGGTGGAGGAGATGGCAAGGAAGAGCATCTCTACAGGTTACATGTATAAAATGTGCTCGTACACATTTTTAACAGTGTACAATTGTGGGGCTATCCTAGCTGGTGTTTTTTTGTTGTCTTCTGTGATGCTATTAAAAAATCATTTCAAGGAGAAAAATAATTCTGGTGATAGTATGGATATGGATAGTATGGATTGAAGGGCTGTCTGTTGTGGCTATAAGGCAGTTTGATGTCTTCCGGGGGTCCCTGGCTATATTTCAGAGCCCAAACAAACTTGAATTTCTTTCTCTCAACTGCTCTTTATGGCCCACAAACATTTATCTTATGCTTGGAACACCCCTATGTCCTCACTCACCTCTACAAGTACTCATATCTCCTTTTCTGGTTGGAATGTTTTCTAACAATAAATAGAGCTGGTGACAATGCTTCGTTTTCCCAGCTGGTACCAGTGTGAAATGTATAATGTGTAAAGACGTCCTGGAAATCCCTTAAGAGGAGAGTCTTAGACTCACGTAAAATGAGTAAATACCAATTTAAAATAATTTCTCTGAGTTTGAAGTTGTGTGTCTCTGGTTTACTTACAAATTAAGGGCCAGCCAAATAAGCAATTAATGCCATGTCTGAGAGCCAAGAGGCTTTTGGGAGTGATTGTTCTGATTAACACAGACTGGGAGATATGGACAATACACATGCCAGCTCACAATTTATTTCCACCTTGGCTGTCCCTCAGGAGCTACATGACAGTAAAATAAATGAGATCCGTGTTCTCCACTGTACTTCCAAGAGAAGTGATTACACACCACTGATGAGTGGGCAAGAGGCCACTGGACTCAAGTGCAGAAAATCGTAGCTTCTCGTTAATCAGAGCTGTAATTTTAAAATTAAAGTAAAGAGGCTCTGTACTTACCCATCTCTTTAAAGTCTTTCACTACTGGTATCTAACAATATAACTATTTTAAATTGTCCACAGACTTCTTGCCAGGAAGGAGCTCGGGACATCCATGGCTGGGGTGTTTCAGAGGGGCTCCTAGAGAGAATCAAGACCCTTGAGAACTTCCAACCAAAGGGACCTCAGAGCTCAGAACCAAAGGGATGGGAATTCCCAGGCAAAAGGATTTCTAAATTCCCTTATCATTTTGCTTCTGGGAATTGCCTGAAAGTTACAGCTAAAAAAGCAGAACTGGCCTTCATCATAATTAAGAGTGAAGCCAGGCTGGTGTTGAGAGCTTTCCTTCCCTGCTGTGTCATGTTTCCACCTTCAGTCCTCAGCTGTTCTTTCCTCTCACTGTTGATACGTTGGACCATTCAGAGCTTCACACAAAAGAACCAACTTCATTTATACAAAGGCTGAAGATTGAAAGCATTTAGTATTTGAATTTTAAACGAGTTGATTAGAGAAGACAATGATGGTTAAATTTCAGGTGCTGTGGCCCTATGAGGAGACAATATTGGTAGGCAGGAGATTTCTCCTCAATCTTAACTCATGGTTTAAGTGCCTACCTATACCAGCTTTGCTCAAGGCAGGCCTCTATGTACAATCAGTCGTTCTTTGCCTGTTCTTCTAACAAGTGCTTTTGCCACAGACACTCTATCTTTGTGTACTCATATGTTTCATGGTCAAATTATTTTTTCAGCTGTCTGCATATCTCCAAATAAAATGGTCATATTACTGAAAAAATAATTTGTACACTGAATTCACCTTCTTGGTGATTTGTCTCATTCCAGGTATACTTTGTCTTCATTTTAGATGGACTATCAATGAATCATGTCCATTTTTAAAAACAACAGCTATGGCGGGACGCAGTGGCTCATGCCTGTAATCCTAGCACTTTGGGAGTCCAAGATGGGTGGATCATCTGAGGTCAGGAGTTCGAGACCAGCTTGGCCTACATGGTGAAACCCCATCTCTACTAAAAATACAAAAAAATTAGCCAGGCATGGTCGCAGGTACCTGTAATCCCAGTTACTCGGGAGGCTGAGGCAAGAGAATTGCTTGAACCCAGGAGGCGGAGATTGCAGTGAGCGGAGATCGCGCCATTGCACTCCAGCCTGGGCAACAAGAACAAAATTCCTTCTCAGAAACAAACAAACAAAACAAACAAAAAAAACAACAGCTATATTAAGATATGATTCATGTGCCATACAATTTACCCATTTAAAGTGTACAAGTCAATGGCTTTTAGTATATTAATAAAATCGTGCATCCATCACCACTATCAAATTCCAGAACACTTTCATCTCCCCCAAAAAGAAAACCCATACCCGTTAGCAGTCATTCCCATTTCCCCACTTTACCCCTCTGCCTCTGACAACCACTAATCTACTTTTTGTCTCCACAGATTGGCCTAATCTGGATATTTCATATATAGAGTCATACAATATGTGACCTTTTTAAATTTAGTTTATTTCAATTAACATAATGTTTTCAAGATTCATCCATATTGTAGCATTATCAGTACTCCGTTCTTTTTATTGCTGAATAATATAGTCCATTGTATCGATGTACCAAATTCAACTGTTAAAGAGCATTTATGTTGTTTCTACTTTTTGGTTATGTAAATAATGCTGCCATAAACATCCATGTACAAGTTTTTATGCAGACATATTTTCAGTTCTCTTGAGCATATACCTAAGAGTGAATTTGCTGGGTCATTTGGTAGCTCTTTGGTTCACTTTTTGAGAAACTGCCAAACTATCAAAATAGCTGTACCATTTTAAATTCTTATTAGTAATGTGTGAGAGTTCCAATTTTTCTACATCCTTGTCAACACTTGTTCTTCTCCTTGATTATTCATTCTCAGGGTTGTTTTGGCTATTCTGGGTCCCTTGCAGTTCTATATGAATTTTAGAATCAGCTTGTCAATTTCTACAAATAAGTCAGCTGAGTTCTGTTAGGGGCTACATTGAATCTATAGACCAGTTTGGGGAGTATTGCCATCTTAATAATGTTAGGTCTTCCAATTCATGAACATGAGATGTTTTTCCATTTATTTAGATCTCTATTTTCTTTCAAAAATATTTTGTGGTTTCCAGAGTGTATGTTTTTCACTTGTTTTCTTAAATTTACTTCTAAATATTTTATTCTTTTTGATGCTGTTGCAAATAGAACTGTTGTCTTAATTTCACTTTCAGACTATTCATTGCAAAAGAATAGAAATATAGTCGATTTTGGTATATTGATCTTGTACTCTACAACTTTGCTGAAGTCATTTATTCTAATAGTTTTTTAGTGAATTCCTTATGATTTTATAAATACATAGTTATGTCACCCATGAATAAGATACTTCTTCCTTTCCAATTTAGATCTTTTTATATATTTGCTTGCCTACTTGCCTTGGCTGAAATCTCCAGCACCACATTGAATACAAGAGATGACTCGTTTCTGATCTTAAGGGGAAAGTGTCCTGTCCAGTCTTTCATGATTAACTATGATGTTAGCTGTGGGTGTTTTATAGCTAACGTTTATGGGTTGATGAATTTCCTTTTCATTCCTAGTTTGTTGATGGGTTTTTTTAATCATGAAAGGGTGTTAGATTTTGTCAAATGCTTTTTCTACATTTATTGAGATAATAATGTGATTTTTGCTTTTTATTCTATTAATTTGATAAATTACATTAATTGATTTTCAGCAGTTAAGCCAATTTGTATCTCTGGGATAAATCCTACATTGTCATGATGTATAATTCTTTTGATATGTCGCTGGATTCTTTTTGTGAATATTTTGTTGAAGATTTTTGCATCCATATTCATAAGAGATATTGGTCTGTAGTTTTCTTATGACGTCTTTGTCAGTTTTGGTACCAGGGTAATGCTGGCCTCAGAAAATGAGTTGGGAAATGTTCCCTCCTCTTCTATTTTTGGAAGAGTTGGAGAAGTATTAGTATTATTTCTTCTCTGAGTGTTTGATAGAATTCAGTAATAAAAACATCTGGGCATAGGCTTTTCTTTCTGGCTAGGTTTTTTTTAAATTACTAATTCATCTTTTCACTTAAAAGATTTGGAATTTTATTTTTAATGGACATATTGTAATTGTATGTATTTATGGAGTACAATTTAACATTTTGAGACAAATTTATGTTGTATCATGATCCAATCAGTGTTGTTAGCCTATCCATCACCTCATGCATTTATCATTTCTTTATGGTGAGAATGTTCAAAAGCATTTCTTCTAGCTATTTTGTGATATACAAGTCTTTATTGTTAACTATAGTCATTATACTGTATAATAGAACATCAGAACTTATTCCTCTCATTTAATTGTAACTTTGTACCCATTGATCAACTTCTCCCCATCCTCTCCTCCCCCCTCCTTTCCCCAGTCTCTTGTAACTACTCTTGTAAAAATATTATTCAATTCCCTGCCTCTATGACATCGACTTATCTCTCTCTCTCTTTTTTTTAAAATATTCCACATGGGTGAAATCACTGGTATTGGTCTTTCTGCGTCTGGCTTATTTCACTTAACCTGATGTTCTCCAGGTTCATCTATGTTGTTGCAAGTGACAGGATTTTATTCCTTTTTTTGTGGCTGAATCGTATTGCATTGTGTATGTATACCATATTTTCTTTATCCGTTCATCCATTGTTGGACACTTAGGTTGATTCTATATCTTGGCTATTGTAAGTAGTGATGATGCAATAAACATGAGAGTACAGATATCTTGTCAACATACTGTTTTCATTTTTTTTTTTTGGATATATACCCAGTAATGGGATTATTGGATCATGTGGTTCTTCTATTTTTAACTTTTTTGAGGAATCTCCATACTGTTTTTCATAATGGCCATACTAGTTTGCACTCTTACCCATAGTGTGCAAGTGTTCCCTTTTCTCTGCATCCTTGCCAACACTTCTTTTGTTTTTTTGATGATGGCCATTCTAACTAGAGCAAGATGGTATATTTCACTATGGTTTCGATTTGCATTTCCCTGATGATTAGTGATGTTGAACTTTTTTTTTCATCTGTCTGTTAAACCATTTGTATGTCTTCTTTTGAGAAATGTCTGTTAAGGTCTTTAGCCAATTTCTTAATCGAGTTATTAGTTTGCTTGTTTGTTTTTGCTGTTGAGTCATTTAATTTTCTTATATATTCTAAATATTAACCCCTTGTCAGATGTATAATTTGCAAATATTTTCTTTTATTATGTATGTTGTATCTTCATTCTGCTAATAGTTGTCTTTGCTGTGCAAAAGTTTTTGTTTGGGCAAAAGTTTGACGTAATATTATTTGTCTATTTTTGCTTTTTCTGCCTATGCTTTTGAAGTCTTAAAGAATTCTTGCCCAGCCTAAAGTTGTGAAGAATTTCCTCTGTTTTCTTCTAGCAGTTTAATCAATCTTTTCACTTTTTATATGTCTATTTAGATTGTCTATTTTTTCTTGAGCCAGTTTTATGGGTAATCTTTTTATTTTCACCCTTTTTGTGACTTTGAATAGAAAAATGTGTATTTTGTTGATAGAAGATAGTTAGATCCATTATCCATTTTGCCAATCTCTGTGTAACAGAGTCTGATTCCGTTTTGATGTTTGACTACTGGCAGGTTTTAAACTACACTACTCCTGTCTTCCTTTTTGCCTCATTTATAGGCCAGCTGATAAGAAAGCCTTCCTTAACACTGGTGGAAAGTTTAAGCCATACAAGCCCTGATCATTCATAGGAACCACCACCTCAGTCTCACTCCCTAACCACCATAAAATCCTAATCTCCCTGCTGTCCCAAGCTATTATTGGACCTGCTCAAGAGCCTGCCAAGCTCTCCCAAGAACTCCTCATTATGTAAATAATAGAATCTGGCTCTTAATGTATGTGTAGTATCATCAGCCTTGATAGCTGAGCAAATTTGGGGTGGGTGGATTCACCCTGTTTCTGCAGAATGGCCACCACACTCCGGCTTTTGATGGAAATGTTTAGTCTAATTAAATTTAATGTAATACATTTAATGCAATTACTGATATGTTCAGATTGACATTTGCCATTTTGCTAACTATATTTTGTATGTCATATCTTTTTTGTTTCTTACTACTTATATGTCTTATACATTTTTATATTCTTACTGCTTTCTTTACTGCTTTTATATTTTTTACAGAGTACCATTTTTGGTCCCTCATTGTTTTTTTAATCATATTTTTGGGGTGATTTTCTTAGTGGTTGCCCAGAAAATTACAATTACCATCTTAATTTAAAATAATCTAGTTCAGATTAATATTAACAATTTCAGTAGTATACAAAAACTTTGTTCCAATATAGGTTTGTTCTCTTCCCCTTCCTTCATGCTATTATTGTAATATAAATTGCATCTTTACATATTATAAACTCACTAGTGGTGCAGCTCTATATTTACTGCTTTATGCAGTAATATGAGATATGAGAAGAAAAGATTCACAAACAAAAAATACTTGCATATTTTCTATGTATTTACTTATGTCATTGCTTTTTCTGGTACTCTTTATTCTATCTATCAGGTGATTTCAAGTTACTGTTTAATGTCTAACATGAAGGTTTCTTTAATATTTCTTGACAGATATGCTAGTGATTAATTCTTGTAGTATTTTATATTCTGGGAATACCCTAATTTCTTCTTAATTCTTGAAAGGTAGCTTTTGTGGATTTAAAATTCTTGGTTAATGATCTGCACATTGAATATATCATCCCACTGCTTTCTGGCCTCTATAGTTTCTGATGAGAAGTCAGCTGTTAATTGTATTGAGCATCCCTTATATGTGATGAATAACTTTTGTGCTACTCCTTTCAAGATTCTCTCTTCATCTTTGGCTCTCAACAGTTTGACTATAATATGTCTAGGTGTAGATCTCTTTGAATTTATCATAATTTGGAGTTTGTTGAACATGTTGAATGTGTATATTAATGCTTTTAAAATCAAATTTGGGAAGTTTTGACCATTATTTGTTCAAATATTCTTTCAGTCCTTGTCTATATCTTCACCATAGGGTATTTCATTTGATCCCATGGCTTTAAATGGACTCCATATACCTATGATGACCAAAGTCATATCACCAATCCTGACCCTCCAGACACATATTCAGCTGCCATCTTGACCTCAGTTTTGAACATCTAATAGACAGCTCAAATGAACCATTGATTTCCATCTCCAAACCTATCCTTCCCCCAAGACTCCCCTACTCCTTATTGGCAACTCTATCCATCTAATTGCCCAAGCCAAAAACCTGGGAGTCACCTGCAACTTCTCTCTTTTCTGCAGTTACCTATCTGATCCATCACCAAGAACTATTTTGTCCAAAACAGTACATTTTAGACTTAGCATCCAAACTATATTGCTAATCTGTTGACTTTTCTCCACTTCTGTTGCACCTCCAGTCCTAGGCACCATCCTCTCTTCTAGACTACTGTAATTATTCTGCTAACTGACCTCTTTGATTCTACTCCTTCTTTCTATATAATCAATTCTTCATGGCAGCCAGAGTGCTCTTTAAAACATAGACCAGATCAAGTTACTTCCTTGCTTGAAGCCCTCCAATGGCTTTCCACTGTACAAAAATAAAAATTAAAAATAAAAAGGAAGCCACACTTCTTACCTTGACCCGCTACACCCCATGTATCCAGCTCCTGTCCACCTCCGAGCCTTATCTCATATTCCTTCCCATTCCTTCTACTCCAGCCATATTGGCCTTCTCTCTGCTCCTGGAACATACATCAGGCATCCACACACAGGGGCCTTTGCACTTGCCAGAATTATCTAACTTTATAGCTCACACATTACCTCTTTGCAGTCACCTTTTCTGCATCTCTAAATAATTTATATTCCCTCACTCCACTCCTTACCACTCCAAGATGTCCCTCCACTGTGTTATCTTAGTTACAGATATAACAAAAACATTTTCTTATTCATAATTTATGATTTTACTTTGCATTGCTCCTCTCTACTTTTACTCTTAACTCTAATATCAGAATTCCTGTACTGTTAATGGTGCCTGGCACCTACTAGGCTTCAGTAAACCGATTTGGGGTGAATAAGTGAGTGAATGGGTACATTTTACTTTTCAGCTTACTTTAAGTGAGAAGGAGGGCTGGGCATGCAGGGATGCAGGTCTACCCCCTCCACAGTACATTTTCAACATGGGAAGAAGTTGCTGCCCTTCCCACAGTGACTGCATTTCATGCCTTTCTCTCTGCTTACTGGCATGTCCTTATCAGTGGGAGTTCTGAAGAGAAGACACAATTCTTGTTCATGGAGAAAAGTTATCTTTCTTGAGAACACATAGAAGTTGGAGAACAACCTAAGGCAAAAGGTTTACTGGGATGGATGGAATTGAGGGCAAACATGTTTGGGTTAGACCAGTGGTCCCCAAGCACTGGCCAGCTCCATCAGAGTCCCCCAAGAAAGCTTGGAAGCAATTCACGTTTAGTAGACTGAGCTCTGGAAATTCAGAGTTGAGAAACCTGAAGCAGGGCTCAGGAATCTGAATTCTTATAAAAGTTTCCCAGAGGATACTGATAATTGACAGGATTGGGAACCTCTGGTCTGTCTCATTTGATCCCATGGATTTAAATGGAATCCATATACCTATAATGACCAAGGGCCTAGGCCAAGAGACTTGGGGATGACTCAGCTCTTGATTGGTGTGTGGTAGGATTTAGATAGTTGGGAGGAAGGGGGAAGGTCAGCCCAGATGAGAACTAGAAGGAGAGGAGGAATCAGAGCTTAGAAGTGGGAGCAGCAGGGCTAGGGATGGGAAGCAGGGGGCTGTCAGCAATGATGTCCCTCTCTCTGCCTGCCAGTGGCCCGGTACCATGTGACTGTGTGCACAGGTGAACTTGAAGGTGCTGGGACCGATGCCAACGTCTATCTCTGCCTTTTTGGTGATGTGGGGGACACGGGGGAACGGCTGCTCTACAACTGCAGGAATAACACAGACCTGTTTGAAAAGGGCAATGTAAGTTACAGCAATGTGCCCCACTCATCCCCTTCCTCCCAGTTCCCTTCCCATGTTCCCTCGTCTTCCCTGCCCTGTTAAAGTTGAGCTGATGCTGGTCCTGGGGCCTCAGCCATCAGGAGCCTCACTCTGGGTAAGGGGGCGGGGAACTGGGGAATCCCAGCAGAGCCACTGGGAGGGCACAGCAATGCCTAGTGTATTTGGTTCCTGAGTATCTGGCCCGCCCTGATTCACTAATATGCATGGACACCTGTTGGACTCCTGGGACTGTACAGCAGGGAGTTGAAGAGCCACCTTAGAGGGATTATGGTTCTCCCCCACCCCTGAGCTTTGAGAAGAGAGCAGAACAGAAGGACACTGGGAAGCAGCAGCAGCATCTTTCTTACCTCAGGGGTGGGCGGAGAGGGAAAGATGCCGGGCACTGTGGACTAGAGGACCTGGGCTGGAGAAAGCTGGGCCCCCAGGGGCCAATGTGGGAACTTGGCATTCTCCCCTATGGCATGACCATTGCAGGCATCTTGTTCATGACCTTTAGGAAAGAGAAATCAAGAAAGACCCTAAAGATGGGGTGGGAGAACTTGCTTCTGTTGCTAGCCTCATTACAGTTGTGTTGGGTGTTCCCCCTGTTTCCCCAGCCATCACATGGGTGTTCTGGGGAGGAGGCTGTGGAAGCAGTGGGGAAAGAGCTAGGCAAGTTTGAGGCAAACCCAGCCTTGGGCTACCTGCTTCATTCTCCTGAGCCTCAGTTTCCTCATGCCTGAAATGGGGAAAGGATGCCTACCTGTGGTGGGCTGTTGTGAGCATTAGGGGCAGTGGATGTACCGTCTCTGAGGTCAGATCTGGCCCACAGCACACAGTGGATGCTGAGTACAGAGTCGTTGTTGCAGTGAAGTGAGGCCAAGGGAGCTCAGCAGGGTGAAGGGGATTTGCAGACAACTGCTCTATCTCCTTCCTCTGCCACGACTTCCTTGGTGAGGTCAGGGAAAGCCCTGGAATTCCAGTGAAGGCCTCTCTCTGAGGCCAATCCAGGCTGGCTCGATTCTTGGGATCATGGCCATTTGAAGGCTGCAGTGGCAAAAAATAATCTGAGCAGGATGTTGTGGGTGGACTCAGGTTCATTTGAGGAGAGGAGGTAGCGATGCCTTTACTTCACATAGCTTTTTAAATTTCCTCTCTCCTTCCCACCCACCCACCTTTCTCTCCAGCCTTCCCTACTCTTTACTCCTACATCTTCTGACGCCTTTGTCCATCAATCCCACCTTCAGTGTTTCTGTCCCTGAAGGCTCCCAGGTGTGCTCATGTACACTTGGAAACTCTGTTGCCCCTACTGTTATGCTGCCTCAGTGGTGAGCAAAACTATACAATTAGCAAGGCTACTTAGTCCCCGTAATCAATTCTAATCATTTCCCTCCTTGGAAGGGGCCCAGTATCCCTCTAGAGCAAGGAGCCAGAGGAGATTTGCCAAGGAATTAGCTCATGATAAATGATTGGTGACTGACAACAGCTTAACTTGTTTATTTTCCCAGAGGAAGCTGCCTTTTGAAAGGAGAGCTGGAAACTTGACATTGGATGATATTCCAGTGGAAGAAATTGGGGGTGGGTGTGAGCTGTGCTTTATAGGTAGCTCCTGTCCCATGTGTGAAAGAGGAGTTGCCTAACCCATCAGCTCTGGATTTTCTGATATCTGAGCTTATGTCTTCCCTTGGTGTTTGGGTCCTGGGGTAGCCACTGTCTAACTGGCCTTGTGGTTTCCCCCCACAAGGCTGACGAGTTCACTATCGAGTCTGTCACCATGCGGAATGTGAGGCGGGTGAGGATCAGACACGATGGCAAAGGCTCCGGCAGCGGCTGGTACCTGGACAGAGTGCTGGTGAGAGAGGAGGGGCAGCCTGAGAGCGACAACGTGGAGTTCCCATGTCTCAGGTACATGCGTCCTGCCTGCTGGTGTTTTCTCCAGCTTAGGTTATGATCCCTGTGTTTTGGGAAGACCCAGCCCTACTACCATGACCAGCAAGCAAAACAGTGGCTTAAGGCTATAGCTGGTGCAAGAAAGAGGTGACCTCGCTGGTGGTGCTTAGACCTGAGCCTCACATTCCCTTCTCACCCCCTACCACCGTGATGAACACCACTGTGGTGTGTTCCGGTGTGCTGCTAGTTTCCTCTATTTAAGCAACAAAATGTGGGTGCTTGTTCATGATAAAATTTGGCAATTCCTGAATTTAGGTGAAAGTTAGTTCAGAGAGTTAGTTGCAGATTGAATTAAACTTTTAAATCAAAAGTTTTTTTTTAATTTAAATAACTTTCTGACCATACCTCTTCCCTGTTAACTTCTTTTCAAGGTATCTTACCTTGTTTTCCTTTCTGCAATTTATTCATGAGATAAAGTTTCCTTTCTCTTTTTGCTTAAGCATTTGGGCTCCCATTGACTTAAAGAAGTCCCTGATAGAGAGATTTTAGAATGAGCAATACCAGTGTTTTTCATGTCATCATGGTGGCTCTCCACATTTTATGTGGCAATGTCTGGAGGATTCACACTGTATGATTGACTTGGGGCCTTGGACTGACCCGGCTCTGCAAATCTCAGTTCCAAGGCTGAGTTCTGTATGTAGAGATGAGTTGCTATGTGTCCACTTTATTAGGGCTGGTCCAGGGCTCCTCAAGGGTAGCTACACTGAGGACAGCCCTCCTTTGAGTGGATGAGGGTGAGTTGCACAGCTGCCCAGTAATGAGTGTGTTGCTCTTCCTCTTACCATGAACGCAGATGTACTCACATGCATGCCTGTGCCTACAGGCGCACACACACAGGCACACATCTGCTGCAGCTGAATTACTTAGCACCCCACCAACCCAGGCCCAGTAGTTTCCCAGCCACGGAGGGCCACTGGGAGGGCTCCATAGGTCAATGATTGTGAAACAGATTTTGTCAATGACAAAGAGCTCTACAGTCTTCTACATATAGCACTGTTTGTATTACAAGGAATTACATTGAAAAGGTAAGTAATAATGCAGGCAGCTCCAAGTGAGTGGCACTAACAGAGGGCAGGCCAGGCAGGCTTCCAGGAAGAGATGGAAGTGCACCTGGGCCTGGAAGGGAGGTCAGAGAGTGGACAGAGGGAGAGGAAAAGGGAGGGTGGGCCACCTAGGCTGAAGAAATGGCATGAGGCATGAGCAAGGGGCTGAGGGGTGGCTCATCCAGAGGTTGGCAAGGGGCGCCTGGCATGTGGGGAAGGAGTGAGAAGGCTGGGGTGGGAGAGGGTGGAGTGTGAACCCTCATTCTCCTAAGCCACGGGGGAAGCGGGGTGTGGGGGAAGAGTACAGCCTCGCTTCAAGTCATTACTGGCGTTTTCACCCCCATCCTGGATCAGAGGCTGACTGGCTGGATGCCAGATGGAAGAGCTTGCATTGTTTTATTCCTATCTACTCAAAATATATTTATACCTACTATATACTTACTCCCTGTCCTCATGGAGTTTATAGTCTAGAGGGAAACTAGACTAAAAGCAAGTGAATAAAGCCAGAATGACACACTGTGAAGAGTGGCGTGGAGGAAACACACAACGGTGCAGGGGCTGGAGCCGGGGCTAGAAATGGGAAAGGCCTGCCTGCAGAGGGATGTTGAGGCTGGCCTCCTGTGGAATGAAGAGGAGAGCACCAGGGGAAAGGACTGGAGTGTTCTGGAGTCCAGCAAGACAGGCAGGTAGATGGAGGCCACTGTCCGGCAGGGCGAGGGAGACTCTTGCATGCGAGGAAGGCCTGTCTGGCCTCTGGGGATAGGACAGGGCCCAGGGAGGAGGGGAGAGCAGTAGGAGATTTTGGGGAGTTGATGACGGCATGTGTTCATGTTCCAGGGCTGTAACAAAGTGCACAGACTGGGTGGCTTAAATGACAGAAACATAATGTCTCACAGTTTCGGAGGCCAGAAGTCCAAAATCAAGGTGTCAGCCAGGCTGCACCCCTCAGAAGGCGCTAGGGAAGGATCTGACCCGGGCCTATGTCCTCACCCCAGCAGCCTCCAGAGTTCACTGGCTTGTGATTGGCCACCTTCTCTCTGCGCCTCCTCACAGCATCTTCCTCTATATATATCTGTGTCCAAATTTTCCCTTTTCATAAGGATACCAGTCAGATTAGATGAGGGGTCACCCTAATGACCTTATTTTAATTTGGTTACATTTGCAATGACCCTATTTCCAAATAAGGTCACATTCTGAGGTACCGGAGGTTAGGACTTAAATGTATGAATGGGGTGGGGTGGGGGGACACAATTCAGTTCACCACATAGCAGCTTGGCCCTTAGTGGTGGCAGTGAAGGTGGTGAGACGGGGCTTATTGTACACCAGAGAGGACCCTGGAGGGACAGTTCATGGGCCTTGCCCATAAGAGACAGAGAAAGGGCCAGAACTGAAAGCCCCAGGCTTTTGCCTTTGATAGGTGGGTTGAAGGTCATGCCCTTTACTGAAATGGGGATCCTGGGGAGGGAGAGCTGAGGGGTGGGGACGAGGTTGGACTCTGGAGGTCTAGTTGGGATGTGTTTGGTTTTCAATGCAGAGTTAGGCCTTGAGAAATGAATTCAGAGAATAAGAGCATAGAGCTAGAATTTAAAGCCAGGGAACTGCAGGGGATCCTTTAGGGAGAGTGTGGATAAAGAAAACAGTGAGGGCCGAGCCCTGGGGCAGGCCAGGAGAAGGAGCCTGGAAAGGGGAAGAGGAAGAAGTTGGTGTGTGCACACTGCATTGTCACATGCATGGTGCTGGGGGAGCTGGGAACCAGAAGTCTAGCCGTCCACCTGCTGTGTGACTTTGACCCAATCCCTTGTCTGGTCTTCTGCACCTTCCTGGCCAGCATGTGTCTTATGGTGAGGTTGAGGGTATTGTACTTTGAAAGGAGCCCATTAAAGACACAGTGGTGCTGATGATGCTGATGGCTGGGCGGAAGAGAAGCGGAGGCCTCAAACACTCCAGAGTCCTCCCTGCCCCCAAACACTTAACAGTGCATGCATTTTTTTTTTTTTTTTTTTAGAAAATGGGTTCTTATGTCTTGCTGACACATGTAGTGATGGCATTTGCCAACTCAGGACCCAGGGGACTTGGAAAAATCAGGAACTGGAGCCTGAGCATGCACACTGCTTCTTTCTTCACCTGAGCTGTTATTTTAACTCTGTTGGAGAGGAGGACAAACCAGGTCTATTTATCAGAATTTCTGCTAGGATCAGGTGTGTGTGTGTGTGTGTGTGTGTGTGTGTGTATGTGTACACACACACACTCCTGTGAGCTCAGAGAAAGAGTAATAAAATCACCACCAGACTGACTTATCCTTTTAGCAACATCTCACTCTGAAACTGGGCTGAAGTGTTTGAAGCTGAAAGAAACTGGCTATATTTGGAAATATCTATTAATACCCTGAAAGTATTTAGGTGGAAACAAAATGACAAGTCATGGTTTCCTTTTGCTGCTGGGGAGGGCCTGGGGGTGGATAAGTGGTGGAGAATGAAGGGAGCACAGGTAAGATTTTCAGATGGCCGAGGGCTTGCTGACTCTCCACACTTCACTGCCCTGTGAATGCGTTGCCCAGGCCTACTTCTCAACCTTCTCCTCTGCAGTCTCCATGCCAGGGTGACCTCAGCTGGACAGATGGAGTGGGAGGCTGTTAACGGGTTGATTTCAGGGACTCCAGCAGCCCTGAGTTCCCAAATCCCCCTGTCATTAATGCCTAGGATTTCACCATTGCATGCTCATGTCTTGGAGTCTCCAATGGTTTTCTTATGTTCTAGATTCACAGCACCAAAGCCCTTGGGAAAAATAACAGCCTAGTTGTCGTCTAACATTTTAGTGTTAGCTAATAGCCAACTGAGAGCAAGGTCTCATGGGAATGTCAGATCTTGTGTTTTGGGAAGGAGGATGTAAGAGAAGGTTTGGGAGAGACCACAGCATTGCCTCCGTCAGCCTTGGGGAGAGGGGTGGTCTATTAGCAGAGAGTATTGCAGTTTGGGGATGCCTGAACTCCATGCCAGGGAGGCTATGGAGGAATTAGTGTCTTGGCTTCTTTTACAGGCTCTGTAGCCAGGGAGTTGCCTCCCTCTCAGTAGGGTAATGGAGTGGGCTGCAACAACCAGTACCAAGACATAGACAAATGGGAGGTGGTTTGGTTGAGAGACAAATGTCTTGTTTTCCTCAGTATCCTGGGGAACAATGAACGGTATCTATTCTGCTGCCATGGGCCCCGTCATAAACCATCCTGAGTGCTGGGGCTTAGAAAACTCATGCTTGCATGATTGATTTCTCAGGCTGAGTCTCCGTGCCCAGTGTGATAGGTGCTTTTCAGGTAAATTGCCCCATACCTTTCCGCCTGGTGGATGACCAGCCGAGAGCTGGGACCGTGGCTCACTCCAACATGTTGAAGAGTCACAGCTATCAAACCGCAGCCCTGCAGAGCACAGCCCCAGCTTCTCCTGGAAGGCAATTCTCATTTATCTCTGAGGACTCAGATCACTGAGCCCTTCTCATTTCCCTCAACTCTTGCAGCACTTACTCTGGTCCAATACCTATCCTGGTCTTGGTCCTCAGTGCCTCAGCTGGTCTATCCTGTCTTTTTTTTTTTTTTTTTTTTTTTTGAGACGGAGTCTCACCCTGTCGCCCAGGCTGGAGTGCAGTGGCGCAATCTCTGCTCACTGCAAGCTCCGCCTCCTGGGTTCACACAATTCTCCTGCCTCAGCCTCCCGAGTAGCTGGGACTACAGGCGCCCACCACCACACCTGGCTAATTTTTTTGTTTTTCAGTAGAGACGGGGTTTCACTGTGTTAGCCAGGATGGTCTTCATCTCCTGACCTCGTGATCCACCCGCCTGGCCTATCCTGTCTTCTTAAGCAGGCTGCCGACAGCCTGGGCTGGGCCTTACGTATCCTAGCATATGTTCTCTGCCATCTCCCCACCCCAGAGCCCTCAGCACAGTGCCATGAGGATGGAAAGCTCTTAGAAAAAGAGGTGCTTGTTTTCTATGCTAATGATGGCTTTCAGGACAGACTTTTGACAGTGATTGCCAAGGCCCTATATCATGTGACCTGTCCCCTCTCCAGCTTCCTCTGCCAGCTCTCTACCTGTTGTTCACTGCATCCCATCCACATGGTCCTGTTTCAACTCCTGCGGGCTCTGTTCCATCCCAGGATATGTTGCTTCCTCTGGGATACTCTTCCTTTTTCTCCTGGTCTCCTTCCCAAGACCATGTGACATCATCCTACCCATTCCCCAAGGAGTTCCCTGCCCTCCTTCCAATCTCAGCCAAACACCACTGCCTCCGGGAAGTCCTCCTTTCCCACTCCAGGCTAGGATGTTTTGCTAGATGCTCCCATAGAATCATTTCACTTTGCTAAAGTCAAAGCTCTGGGCCTCCATAGTGACTCTGCATGAATGGGTGAAGCTTTGATTGTCTGCCTGCTCCACCCAAAGAGCTAACATTCCCCCATTTGCCCACCAGGTGGTTGGACAAGGATAAGGATGATGGGCAGCTGGTCCGAGAGTTGCTACCCAGTGACAGCAGCGCGACACTGAAGAGTGAGTTGTCCTGATGACCAGGTGCTGGGTGTGCCCTTGGTGAGACAGGGGCCTTCCCTCAGCTAAGCCCTTCAAGAAAACACGAGCACTTCATGTTTCACAGAGGTGGCAGTGGGGAGGGAGGAGAGGGAGGCTCCGAGGGAGTGTCTGGAGAGTTCCTGCCTGTGCTCCTGCACACAGTCTCTTTGTGGCCTCAGGTGTGAGGCCCTGAATGCATATGGGTCAACGAGAGTGATGAGCAGTAATGCTGGCCAATGGTGCCAAGCATTGGCAGTACCTGTCATTCAGGCCTTAAGAAGAGAAATATTTTGAAGGGACTGTAAAATAGGGACTTTAAAAATGCCAAGTATCATCTTGGAGGCCTTAGAGTTTTCCTTACTGGTGACATTTCTTCCATTGCTTTGGTTTGATCATGAGCTTTAGACAAAATTAAAAGAAACTTATCTCTAGAATCCTTGACATTACCAACACCTCATGTTTGTCATTTATTATCTCATTTGAGCTCTGCAATAATCCCAGAAGATGGTCAGGGTTGATGTTGTCCATGGGTCAGATGGAGAAACTTAGAACCGGAAGAGCTGAAGATATTTTTATTTTTGTTTATTTGTTTATTTTTGAAACAGGGTCTTACTCTGTCAACGAGGCTGGAGTGCAGTGGTGTGATTTTGGCTCATTGCAGCCTCAGCCTCCTAGGCTCAGGTGATCCTCCTGTCTCAGCCTCCTGAGTAGCTAGGGCAATAGGTGTACATCACCACACCTGGCTAATTTTTATATTTTTTTTCTACAGATGGGGTCTCTTTATGTTGTCCAGGCTGGTCTCAAACTCCTGGGTTCAAATGATCCACCCACCTTGGCCACCCAAAGTGCTGGGATTAGAGGCATGAGCCACGGCACCCGGCAGCTAAAGATATTTGTATCTGACCTCTTCTAAGGTCAGACTGCTGACTTTGAACTAGAGTGTCCCATTTCTGGTCTCAGAATTACAGAATTTAAGATCTGGGAAGGATCCCAGGAGATAAGATGCCTGTGGCAAAAGGACCCCTATTCCCCCTCCACAACCCCAGCAAACCCAGTTGTGTAGTCAGTGATGGGGCTGGGACCAGTACCCAGGGTATCTCTGTCTATGTCACTGTCCTTCCCAGTCCAGCAAGCCCCTATTTCACCATGTGGACAGGACCTCCTGACCCCCTGCTTCCTCAGTCAGAGCGTCTGAAAGCGTTTAGATCAAGCTTGTCCAACCCACAGCCCGCACGCATGTGGCCCACGACGGCTTTGAATGTGGCCCAACACAAATTTGTAAACTTTCTTAAAACATAAAACTTTTTTGCAATTTTTTTAACTCATCAGCTATCATTTGTATTAGTGTATTTTTTGTGTGGCCCAAGACAATTCTTCTTCTTCCAGTGTGGCCCAGGGAAACCAAAAGATTGAACACCCCTGGTTGAGATGGAAAATAGTACAAGAAAGAGGTCTCCTTCCCAGTCTCTGCTGCTACATCTTTCAGCAAGAATAGAGGCCATTTCCTCAAGTGCCCTTGGGTGGCACTAATGGAGCTGATCTGGAGCAGACCTGCAGGTCTGGCCTTCTCCAGGGCTGGTCCCTAGGCAAGGTGTGCTCAGCTGACTTTCTCCAAATCCTTCTGCCTAGTGGGAGGACCCTACGGTGTCAGTGAGTGGCAGGCCTGGGAGTGAGCATCACTCACCTTTCCAGTGCTTCCTCCTCTTTGCCCAAGACACACACCCAGGAACAAGCCTGGAGGACTTGGGGTCTTGCCTTGTATTATTCCAGGACTCACCTTTTCCTCGGGTGTTTTTGTCCCTGAAGACCGATAATGCAGACATTCCTGGCTGATAAAATGGAGTGACACCCTCGTGGTGGCCCAGTGAAGAGCAGGGGGTTTCAAGTCCACATGAGAGTTTCACTCCTGGCGACCTCTTAACTGTTGCCATCTTGCACCAAACACATGACATTCTGAGGCTCAGATTCCTTGCCTGTGAAACTGGGGTCAGAATCCTTAGCAATAATACCATGTGTATAATGCTCTAGACACTGTCTGGAAAGGTTGATCCTTCCTTTGTCTCAGTTTCCTTGTCCACTGTCAGAGAAGCTAGACCAGATGATTGTGGGAAATCCTTTCAGGCTCTTATGTTTTGATGTTCTTGCTTGTGATTTACACGCTTTCCTGCTCTAAGCCCATTCACACCTTCTGGAGCAGACAGAGAACCTACTAGAATTCTGCCATTACAGTTGAGGAGACCTCACAGAGATGGAAGGAACCCCTGCCCCAAGTTGCAGGGCTGCTTAGAACAGGAGCCTGGATTTTCAATTCCCAGCGTGTGTTCCCCACAAACCTCCAGCTCCAGGCTGCCCTCCTATACACGCACCCTGCTTCCTGTCACCCCCTGCACTAACCCCTTCCCTTCCTCCCTCTGCCTTGGGCTGTTCAGACTTTCGCTATCACATCAGCTTGAAGACTGGGGATGTCTCTGGGGCCAGCACGGATTCTAGAGTCTACATCAAGCTCTATGGGGATAAATCTGACACCATCAAGCAAGTTCTTCTTGTCTCTGACAACAACCTCAAAGACTACTTTGAACGTGGCCGGGTGGATGAGTTCACCCTCGAGACCCTGAACATTGGAAATGTAAGTCTCCTTCCCAAGACCATGTGACATCATCCCACCCATTTCCGAACACACATTCACACGTGTCCACACACACATATGTCCACACACAGACACACACGCACACACTCATGTACATAAGGGTAAACACATTTTGAAGAGAAAAAGCACACTTGGGAATAGTGAGTGAGGTGTGTAGTTTTTTAGCTGTGACCTAGAGCAGCTGAAGATATGTAAACAGTAGTGATGCTTCCAGAGCCTCTTTGGGGCTGGAATGTGTATTTTTAGTGGCATTGCCTCAACATTTTATTTACCTACATATCCAAGACCAATGTACCTGGGTCACAGACACTGGAGAAGGAGACTGAACGCAGGGAAGGAAAAGAGAAGGGAGGACTAAGAAAAGGGGCTAAAAATACTTCCCAATTTCAAACTTGAGTGTGCATCAGAATTGGGGCCAGGAAGCTTGTTTCAGTGCACACTTCTGGGCCACACCTGAGAGATTCTGTCTTGGGAGATGGAACCCAAGAGCCTCCAGATCAAGGCTCCAGGTGACTCTGCTGCAAGTGGTCTAAGCACTTCATCAAAGAGAAAGCTGAACAGTAAAGCAGCAAAGACAGACTTTAATCAGTAATCTACCACTGCCATCAGGAAAAGAGGCCAGTGTGAACTGAACCCAACTTAGGTTTGTGCAGAGGTTTGCAAACCTCTTTAAAGGGAGGATGAGGGAATAAGGGGAGGGTAATCAAGGGCTCAGTAGAGTCAGGGGGAAAACATGAAAAGCAGTAATGGGGAGGTCAGCACATGTGGGTTGTGGAACCCATCTGGGTTTGCTAACTGATGCTTTATGGCATGAGGGTCTTATCCTTCAAGAGTCTGGCAGACAGAAGCCCTACCCTCAGGTGTTGGCTGGAACCAACAGTAAATTATTTTGACAGCCTTGAGTTTTCTAAGGCAAGCACAGTAAGGGGGATTAGGGTCACTCTAGGGATGTGGCCTTGAGCTGTTAGAAACTGTGTTAGTGTTTTGTTCAAGTCTTTATAGGCCAAGATTGAGGCTGAGAAAGGGTTCAGGAGCCTGGCTAGAGTTTGGCCAAGGTGAGAATCTTCCTTGACATCACCTGGAGAAACACAGTTCTAAATCTTGGACTTGAGGATTGGGGATGTCTCTAGAAATGCCTGAGCTGGGATTTTTGTTACTACCTGCTGCTCCCAGGGTGTGGCTTGGTGGAAATGGAGATGGTAACAAGCCCTCTACCTGGAACCTCATCTTTCCTGCCCCTTCCCTCTCTGGGAGTCCCACCCTATTTCAGGTCCTAGGAATCTCTTCTCCCATCAAAACTCACTCCAGGGAAAGATCTCATGTTAGTCATTTATACCTTGAGGTTAATGAACTTAAATCAATGTTTTCATTTATCAAGATGTATTTACATTTTAAGCTGAATCAATAATTGCAGAGTGAAAATGCTGTTCCCTTTACTAAAGGATTTTGGGCAGCAGCTGGCGGGTAAGTTAGACCTCTAGGAAGAGTAGGGTGGCAGTGGGAGGGCATTTAAGCTTCTTCCTGAGTTTCCGAAACCCCCTCAACAAGCAGCATGGCCAAGAGGCTGGGAGCATGGGCTCTGGCTGCCAACCGCATATTTGAGACCCATTTCCACTTACCTGCCATATGTAAGTTATTTAACCTCTGTTTGCCTCCGTTTTCTCATTCATAACAACATGAGATACTAATGGGGTTGCTATTAGTATTAAATATGTGAATAACACCCACATGCTCATACTAAGTGCTGAGTAAATGCTACTGAACAATTAGTCTATGTCAGGTGTGAAGTGTTGTAGAACTGAGCTAGTGTCTGCCCTTAGGGAGCATCCAGTCATATCAGACACTTACCTCTGTCTTTACCCTTTCAGCCAATCCCTCCCTGGGACTTTCATAGTCCTGGCACCACAGAAGAACAACAAAACTCTTCCCTGTCCCTTGACATGCACACAGAGGGCTCTCAGGCTTTGTAAGCTTAGCTGGTTTTCTTCTGATAATTCCAGGGGACTGGGCTGCATGCACTTAGCTCTGACGTTGTTGCCATTACCAGCTGCAAAGAGGCACTTAGGACTCAGAAGAGCAAGAGCAGGCTCGCATGGACAGTTTTCTAAATCTGGCCTTTTGGCACCAGACTCATGGCTAACATCACCTCTTCAAACCATTGCAGAGAGAATCTCAGGGCTGGAAGGGTTCTCAAAGGCCATCTGATAATTCCATCTGATGTTAAAATTGCTCTGTATACAGCATTTCAAAAAGAAAAAACATAAAAGCAATCCAAACATTGAAAAACCAAGTACATATAAGGATGGTGATATGATCATCTGCACTCCCCTCTATGTTGCCCATGGGGGCAAAGATGTTAAAATGCAAAATCGCAAAGCAATTATAGAGTGTTATTGGAAAAAGAAAAGTGTTCCTTGGGTCCAAGAGTGAGCAGAGGAATTGGACACAGAACCGCAGAGTCCTGAGAGGTTGCCTGCATAGTCTGTCACCTTCAGGATGGGTGATATTCTGTCACCTTCAGGATGGGTATGTTGAAGAAATGCAGAAATATATACAACTGTGTATTGTTCAAAACCAAACCAAATCAATAACACAGTTATTGGAAGGTGATGGCAAACATTTTAAACATTTGCTTTCTCACATGGCCATGACCTAACATGATTAAGTACTAGTGGAGCTTTCAAATTTTGTGTCACCTCCACTCCCCTCTTGTTTCTCACTATGGCCCTGGGAGGTGTGCTGGGCTTAGGAGAAGGGAATGGTGGCTACAGGCAGGTGAGGTGATGCCCTGGTGCCCCAGCTGGCTGATGGTGGGGCAGGAATGGGATTCCAGCTTTCCCATGGATCTTCCCTCTCCTGGGGACTGGAGACCTGGGTTGTGTTTTGTGCTGGTGTTTGGGGAGGTAGGGATGGGATCATGGAGGTTTCTACACACTGGCTCCTTGCTCACCCTCACTCGGGTTTCCTTCAGATCAACCGGCTGGTGATTGGGCATGACAGCACTGGCATGCATGCCAGCTGGTTCCTGGGCAGCGTTCAGATCCGTGTGCCCCGTCAAGGCAAGCAGTACACCTTTCCCGCCAACCGCTGGCTGGACAAGAACCAGGCTGACGGGCGCCTGGAGGTGGAGCTGTATCCCAGCGAGGTGGTGGAGATCCAGAAATGTATGGAGGAGGCTGTGGTGGGACCACCCATTGTTTCCCATGGGGGATGGGGCTGAGGGGAAGGAGGAGGGACCATGGGGCAAAGCAGGTCTTGCTGACAAGTGCTGCTGGTAGGGTCCTGCAGGGAGAAAATGGGGGCTTTCACTGCTTCTGGTACTATGGTTCTTGCAGGAAAGTAGGGCTCATTTTATAGATGAGGAAACTGAGGACCCAATGGATGAAATACTTTTTTGTGGAATAAAGGCAGCAAATGACTTTATTAGGAAATGCACACTCAACCCTGTATAGGAGTTTGAGACCTAGTTCATGTCTTCTGTGATGA
The DNA here is from genome assembly GCF_000001405.40 of Homo sapiens. NCBI lineage: Eukaryota > Metazoa > Chordata > Mammalia > Primates > Hominidae > Homo > Homo sapiens. The sequence goes on along the minus strand of NC_000018.10, from coordinate 46,565,934 downwards.
AGACTGGCTGAGGAGACAAAACTCTTTATTCATTCATTTATTCAAAAAAAAATACACAGTCAGCCCTCCACATCCATGGGTTGTGCATCGGTGGATTCAATCGAGGATCAAAAACATTTGGAAAAAAATTACATCTGTACTGAACATATACAGACTTTTTTCCTTGTCATTATTCCCTAACAGTACAGTATAACAACTATTTATATAGCATTTACCTTGTATTAGGTATTATAAGTAACCTAGAGATATTTAAAGTGTATAGGAGGATGTGTGTAGGTTATATACAAATACTATGCCATTTTATATGAGGGGCTTGAGCATCCTCAGATTCGGGTATGCTTGGGGGTTCTGGAACCTGTCCCTGCAGATACTGAGGAATGACGGTCTATTGAGGGTTTCTCTCTGCCAGCACTGCTCTGAGCTTTGTGGAGGCAGCTGTGAGCAAAACGAACAAAACCCTTGCGCTCACAGGCTTTATATTCCACAGGGGAGACAGACAATAATAGGATAATGCGAATGAACAGCCAAGAGGAACATGAAACAGGATAAAGGGTTAGCAATGGTGTGGGGGAAGGGCCTTTTTGGATAGGATGGTGACATTTCTGAGGAGGAAGACAGTGGGACCAAAGCCTGGCACAGAGAATGTCCCTTCTCACCTCTGCATTTTTTTTTTTGAGACAGAGCCTTACTCTGTTGCCCAGGCTGGAGTGCAGTGGCACAATCTCAGCTCACTGCAACCTCCTCCCGGGTTCAAGCGATTCTCCTGCCTCAGCCTCCTGAGTAGCTGGGACTACAGGTGTATGCCCCCACACCCGGCTAATTTTTGTATTTTTAGTAGAGATGGGGTTTCACCATGTTGGCCAGGCTGGTCTCCAACTCCTGACCCCCAGTGATCCACCCGCCTTGGGCTCCCAAAGTGCTAGCATTATAGACGTGAGCCACTACGACTGGCCTCACCTCTGCATTTCTACATTGGCCCTGAAAGCAACTGCCCAAGGCTCACTTCCACAGCAGCTTCCCTGAGAGGGAACCCCAGTGTGAAATCACCTCTCCCGCTCCCAGAACTCTTTGAATATCTTTTCGTGTGTGTGTCTAATCTGAAGCAACCTGCAAGTTCCTTTAGGGCTGTTATATACACACGCTTTGTAATGGCACTTGCCAGTATAAGAATCAACTCCTTCCCTCATTTTATAAATCAACACTGGAATTCCATCAGAGTAGTATAGATACTAATCAAGAAGATAAAGATAAAGATAAAAAAGCAATAGTTCCCTTACCTACCTCTTCCCCTTACCCCAACCCCCCTTCTTCAATGCCAACAACCTTACTTTAGATTTTTCCTCTAAAATTTAGCTCCATATTTTTAAACAATATACCTATCAATTTTTATTTATTTAGTTTTTAGAGACAGGATGTTGCTCTGGCACCCAGGCTGGAGTGCAGTGACACAATCATAACTCATTGCAGCCTTGACTCCCAGGCTCGAGCGATCCCCCTGCCTCAGCCTCTTGAGTAGCTGGGACTACAGGCACGTGCCACCACACCCCTCAATTTTTATTTTTATTTTATTTTTGTAGAGATGGGGATCTTGTTGTGTTGCCCAGGCTGATCTTGAACTCCTGGCCTCAAGCAATCCTTCTGCCTCAGTGGATTTACAAAGCAGTGGAATTACAGGCCTGAACCACCGTGCCTGGCCTCAATTTTTTAATTTTACAGTCTTAGACGTTATCTATTGACTTCCTACTATGAAAGAGGATTTAGCTCTTTTAACATACACAAGCACTTGTATGGGCCCTCATGTGTGCGTGTGTGCGTGCACACACACACACACACACACACACTCTCTCTCTCCCCCTCCTTCCAGCCTTCAAAACATCTAAATCAGTGTTCAATTTTTATATTATTATGTCAATATTATTCACTGCTGAATCACCTGCCTTATGATAATTGCTTTTCGTCTTTTGTAGAGCTTGTTTTTTCTGGAGTGAGTCTCCTTTTTCGATGGATCGCTCTCTCTGCGCTCACTGCTCTCTGCATTACTGTGCTAGGGCTGCCTCATCACTGTGGACTCACCTGGTCTCTCCACATCCCTGGTGTCTCTCCACATCCCTGGTGTCTCTCTGTGTGCCACAATTTCCTTTTCTTATAAGGACGCCAATCAGCTTGGATTAGGGCCTGCCCTTGGGGGTCTCATTTAAACTAGTCACCTCTTTAAAGACTCTTATCTCCAGATACAGTTACATTCTGAGGTATTGGGGTTAGTGGCTTCAACATAAGCATTTTGGGGGGCCTAATCACTCCTTAAAGGTCCCACCTTTTAATACGGTTACAATGGCAATGACATTTCAGCATGAGTTTTGGAGAGGACAAACATGCAAACTGTAGCAGGCAGGCACACAGCAGGGATCGCCAGCTGGTATGTGACTCCTCCTCCTTCCTGGTGCGTGTGGTGCAGAGGATGACTGGGGTGTGTGTCTGATTGCTTAGATTTGGCATTTCCACCACTTATTCTCCTCTAAGCTTCACTTTGTTTACCTGCAAAATGGGAATGATTGTGCTTACTCAGGGTGTTGAGGAGAGGATTAGATAAGTGAATGACTGTAAAGCGCCAGGCACCTGGAACAGGCTCAGGAAAGGTTTGTTTTGTTACTATCATTGTTATTGTTATTATTACTAAATGTTCCACTTCTTCTGCACGTGCCCACCCAGTGGTCCACTATGAGGTTGAGATTTGGACAGGAGATGTGGGTGGCGCAGGCACCAGTGCCCGAGTCTACATGCAGATCTATGGAGAGAAAGGCAAGACAGAAGTGCTCTTCCTCTCCAGCCGCTCAAAAGTTTTTGAACGGGCGTCCAAGGACACATTCCAGGTATGTGGGGTCGAGGAGCGGGGGTGCCAACAGCAGGCTCAGTGGACACCAAGATGCTTCCCTGGGTGTACTAATTTCCTCAGTCAATACTCACCCGAGAATGGGCTGCCTCCCTCCAGTTGGGTGGAAAATGCTTCCTCTCTCCAGACCTGAGCTTTCGGCCTAAAATGAGGGGATTGGACTAGATCAGTGATTCCCACCCCTGGCCTCATGTTACAGTCACCTGGGGAGCTTTAAGAAAAAAGTGCTGCCTGGTGCACGCCCCATACCAGGCAAATCAGAACCTCTGGGGATGGGATATATTTTCTGGGTGTACGTTGAAAAGCTCCTCCAGGGATACTAACATGCTGCCGACCCTGAGAACCATGGGAGCAGGTGATTCTAATCTTGCAAAAGATGACACTAAGGCTGCAGTTCCTCCACTCATTCCCAGCCCTGTGGCCTCTGAGTCTACAGTTCTCTCAAGCCTGATGTCAAGGAAATGCTTCCCAGCCAAGACACTGAGAGACTTGGAATTTTATGGCTGTTTCCTGAGTATCCCAGGTCTCCGTTCTTCCTTTCCAAGTCTTTCAATAGAAGGAAAAAAGAGATAAGAATGTGGGCATGGTGTTGGCAAGAGAGGAGGATGCAAGGGTGGCGCCCCTTAGGAGAAACATGAATGTTTTATTATAGATATGACAATGTGTGTGCATGTGCAGATATATGTGTGCAGGCAGCATGTTCATGCTGGGTGCCTTGTGTTTCTGCATGCCAGGAGCACCTTAGCCTTCAGCAAAGAGTCCTTACCCGGTGCCCAGGGAAGACAGTCCTGGCTGAACTAGGACCTGGGCCAGAGTCATAAGTGTCTGGAACATCAGAGCTGGAAGGAGCCTCATTGAGCCAGACACCCTCATACACTGCTGAGGAGGCAGAGGACCAAGTATTTTAGCTCTCTGAGCCTCCACTTCCTCATCAGTTAAAACCTAGCTTTATAATACCTGCCCGGCTGGCTTCACAGTCCCTGTAATGATCAAGAGTCAATGTCAGGGAATGCACTTGGGATGGAGTGCCCAGTTATGGAGATGGAACTGGATAGCGTGTCTTCTGGATGCCAATTTACTGGATGTGGTGGTGGATGAAGGCACGGCTGGGCAGACAGATGTGAGGGAGGCCAGTGGTGCAGCAAGCTGGCCTCCTTGGCAAGGTTGATTGCAGGGGTGCTGTAACCTGGGAAATGCTGAAGAGGAGAGCTAATGCCGTGAAGAAGTGACTTACCAGGTCCAGAGCCTTTCTCCTAAGTAGCTGAGAAGTATAAATTCCACTCTCCCAGGGGCCCTGGGCTCTACCATGACTGGTAATTTTCTGGCAAAGGTGGTTTGTTGACTGCATTGTGGACTCATGAACAGGGGGTCAGAAGGCCTGAGTTCTCATCTAGGTCTGGACTTGAATTGTAGGACACTGTGGAACTCATGGGACAGCCTTGGCCTCAGTTTGCCCTGGCACTCAGTGAAAGAACTGGTGGGACAGGCTTTGAGAAGGATCAAACCCCAGACAGGGGCTCATCAGCATCAGGAAGCTTGGGAGGACTCTGACTAGAAACAACCCCCATGTGAGCCCTACCCTGAGTGCTGCAGGGGACGGACCAGACCCTACCTTAATGTGGGTCCTTCCTCAGAGCCTGGGGCTCAGGACAGAGCTCAGGTCTCATGATCTAGAGTCGATGATGCCATCAACACTGCCCTTTGGGCCAGTTATGTGCTATGCCCATCCTGGTAGAGACTGAAAATGATGGTCTCCGCCTTTAAGGAACTCATAATCAAGAGGGCAGAGACCAGCTTGTGAGGATGAAGAGGGCATCCAGGCCAAACCGGCACCACAGCTAAACCCTGGACCCCCTCTCTGCTCTTGGGGAAGGGGCAGTCAGGCTGAGGCCATGTGCTCAGGGTTGGGGGAGGAGGGAGCTTGGGCCTCTGTGGGTGTGGGTGAAATTTTTGTTATTGAAAAAGAGCACTTTTGTTTTTTGCTTATTACGAAAGTTATATACGGTTAACACTGAAAATTTTTGTAAAGAGAACACAGAGGCACAAAGTTAAAAAAAGTGATGAAACACAGGAACCTGAATGAATAGATTTTAGCTGCAAGTAGAGGAGGGGGATAAAGGCAGGCCAAGTAAGGAAACTGTATGAGCCATGATAGGGACAGAAATCATAGGAATGAGGCGCGCGCGCGCGCGTGCGTGTGTGTGTGTATACGTGCAGGCATATGTGTTTAAGAGAGAAGAGGGAGACCAGCTTGCCCACACAGAAGTTGGAAGAAATAAACTTTGTTGGAGGATGGGGCCAGGTAATCCCAGGGGACCCAGGACAGGTGTGGCCGGAGAGAGGGAGGTGGTGGAAGGATCTGAGCACAGAGGCCCCAGCCCTCTCCATCCTGCAGCTTAGCAAACAGGCCTTGTGCCTGGCTCTTTGTTGGGCGGGGGTGTTGGGGGCGTTGGGGAGGACGCTGGGGCCACGACAGCCGCTGCCCTGCCCTTTGAACAGCTTGAGGCGGCCGACGTGGGCGAGGTCTATAAGCTCCGGCTCGGGCACACGGGCGAGGGCTTTGGGCCCAGCTGGTTCGTGGACACCGTGTGGCTGCGGCACCTGGTGGTGCGGGAGGTGGACCTCACGCCGGAGGAGGAGGCCCGGAAGAAGAAGGAGAAGGACAAGCTGCGGCAGCTGCTCAAGAAGGAGCGGCTGAAGGCCAAGCTGCAGAGGAAGAAGAAGAAGAGGAAGGGCAGCGACGAAGAGGACGAGGGGGAGGAAGAGGAGTCGTCCTCATCAGAGGAGTCCTCGTCAGAGGAGGAGGAGATGGAAGAAGAGGAGGAAGAGGAGGAGTTTGGGCCGGGGATGCAGGAGGTGATTGAGCAGCACAAGTTCGAAGCCCACCGCTGGCTGGCCCGGGGCAAGGAGGACAACGAACTTGTCGTGGAGTTGGTGCCAGCTGGCAAGCCGGGTCCTGAGCGTAAGTGGGTCGTGGGGGGTGGGGGTGGGGAGGGAGTGGCCAGACAGTTCCCCTAAAGGGGGCCCACTGGGGGCAGGGGGCCTAGATCCCCCTCACGTGGAGGCCAAATAGGTGGGCACCCATCATGGTTCCCAAATAGCTCTCTTGACCTGTGTGTGAAATGCCACCATTGACACTGCTGTTTGGGGATAAGCATGGCGCTTGTTCTGAGGTTCTCAGGAAGAATTGATGACTTTGGGAGGAGCCCTGATATGACTCAATACAACTGACTGAGGGGTCATGAGGTAGGAGGGCTGCCTGCTGGCTTCATGGTAAAGGAGTCTTGGGTTGGGAGTGTGGGCAGTTTCAGTCCCAGGTTAGTGTAGATGCATCTGAAGATCCCTCTGTTCTAGGATCTGGCTGGATCTGAGAGGCTGTGCCTCAGGTCCAAACACCCCATGGCCATGAGGCCCTCCACACTGCATCTTTCTGTGTCTACAGGAAACACCTATGAGGTTCAGGTGGTCACGGGGAATGTGCCCAAGGCCGGCACTGATGCTAACGTCTACCTAACCATCTACGGCGAGGAGTATGGAGACACGGGCGAACGACCCCTGAAGAAGTCAGACAAGTCCAACAAATTTGAGCAGGGGCAGGTAGGGTGAGGGTCTCTGGCCCCTGGGTGGGGGCTGTGGGTTTGGTGCCCTCTGAGATTCCCATGGCAGCCCATCGCAGCACAATGGCTGCTGTGTTTGGCAGTGTGACTTGTTCATCCCACCAGGTTTCATGGCAGTACCTCTTCAGTAACACTGATACTTTGTGGAGGGGTTATGAGAGAATTGCAGGCAGGGCCCCAGCACCTAGAGCCCATGGGCCAGCTGACCCACAGGAACAAACAGAGAATGGCGTTGAGTGGCAGATGCTGAGGCACTTGGTAGGGATGCGGGGGTTCAAGAGGAAGTCCTCGCCGCAAGATGGTGTCTTGGGGGAAAACTAGGGGGAGGGAGCAACTTAAACTGGGCCTTGGCAGGTGAGTATGGTGTAGACATATAAAGGCAACAGTGGAAGATGTTCTCAGAAGATGGAACCACATGAGCAAAGATATGGAGGTGGAAATGGGGGAGGCCAGTTTAGGACAGTGTGTCTTCCAGCTGAGCTGTGGTCGGTGCTAAGCCCCAGTGGATAAGCTTGGATAAGAACAATTTAGGGTGTGGGGTGGGTGGGGTCATGAGAGGCTTAAGAGACAAGCTGAGAAGCCAGAACTGTATCCTAATGCAGTGGGAATCCATGAAAAGAAATACACATACCTTACTCTTCCAGGTGTAGTGGGAAAGTCATGAAAAATAAAGCCGTCATCTTTGCCCTTCAAGATTTTATAATATCCCCTGGCTAGAAAACTATCTCTTATCTCACCCTTCCCATTCCTGCCTCTACCCGAAAGCCAAATTCTCTCATTAACACAGATTTTTTAAAAATGAACTAAATTAATTAACATATTTCTGGGCTCATTTCTTGATTTATTTCAGGGGCCCCCTGCTTTTTCTTTAAAGAATCTTCCCCTTGACTTGAGGATGTAGTTTATTTCTGCGTTTCAGTGTTCTCCTTTAAAAATTATAGCCACATATTTCTGGATTAGGAAAAAATTTCTATAGAGGACTACATAACTTGTGCAACTGGTAAAATTTGAACATGGACTGTATATTATATAATAGCATTATGTTGATGTTAAGTTTTCTGAATTGGATCATTCTAGTGTGATTATATGAGAATATCCTTGTTCTTGGGAAATCCATGTTGAAGAATTTAGGGATGAAGAATCATGGTATCTGCCACTTACTTTCAAATGATTTAGAAAAACATACAGCAAGAGAGAGAGTGCAAGAGAGATGACAGAGTGAGAAAGCAAATGTTACAAATAAGTGCAGAATCTAAATGAAGGCATATGAACTTTCATCATACTATTTCTGAAAGTTTTCTGTAGATTTAAAATCTTTTTCAAAATTAAGAGTCAAAAAAGTTATATCCAAGAAGGCCCCATTTACTTATAGGTTCCTGGTGTGGTCTGCTTCCTCCCGTGCATGGAGCAGTGTGTGCATTCACATGGTGTGATCCATATGGCCCTCTTCACACCTAAATGGTGGGCAAATCCGTCTTCAGTTTCTGACAGTCACTTTGGATTTGCACAGCACCAGCTCATAGCAGGTACTTAATACAAATATGTGATTGAAGCAGATTATGCACACACCTGCACACATTGCAGAGGGTTTCAGTGCACCCCCCTCTCTTGCACACAAAACACCCACCACAGATGTGGGCATCCAGCAAACCTATCTTCTCTTCTGCCTCTCAAGGTCACCTTCACTCTTCCTCTCCTCCTTCCACCTTCCTGGACATGAGAGTGAGAAGATCTCCTGGCAGGGACAAGTTAGGGAAACAATTGTGCAGACCAAACACCAGACTACTAAGTGACATTCTCCATCATCCCCACTCCTGGTTGCTTTGGGTCTCACCATTGGCCTCTGGCTGGCTGCCCTGGTTCTTGGGAGGATGGGGCTGATGGCCATGTGGGGAGGGGTAGGTCTTACCCCACTGAGTGTTCCCTGGCCCTTCCCAGACAGACACCTTCACCATCTATGCCATTGACCTGGGGGCCCTGACCAAGATTCGGATTCGCCACGACAACACAGGCAACAGAGCAGGCTGGTTCCTGGACAGAATAGACATTACTGACATGAACAACGAGATCACGTGAGTGTGGGGGCAGTGGGCAGGGAGGGGTGTTGCTCTGAGGGAGGCCATGTCTGCCACAGAGGTAGTCCTGGAAGAAGACTGGGGGTGGGCCGGCTGTGACGGTGGAGGGTGAGGGTGGGCTGGGTGACACCTAAGGGTGAGGTGTACTGGCCGTGACATCCAAAAGTAAGGGTGGACTGGGGTGCACTGAGAATGAGGGTGGGCGGGTATGAGGGTAAGGGCGGGCTGGGGGTGATGTCTGAGGCTGAGGGTGAGCTGGGTTATGTCTGAGGGTGCAGGTGGGCTGGGTGTGACATTGGAGGGTGAGGGTGGACTGGCTGTGACGTCGAAAAGTAAGGGTGGACTGGGTGACATCTGAAAATGAGAGTGGGTGAGTATGAGGGTGAGGGTGGGCTGGTGGTGATGTCTGAGGCTGAGGGTGAGCTGGATGACATTGGAGGGTGAGGGTGGGCTGGCTGTGACACTGGAAGGTCAGAGTGGCTGTGACGTCACAGGGTGAGGGTGGACTGGGTGACATCTGAGAATGAGGGTGGGTGTGTGTGAGGGTGAGGGTGGGCTGGCTGTGATGTCTGAGACTGAGGGTGGGCTGGGTGACGTTGGAGGATGAGAGTGGGCTGGCTGTGACACTGGAGGATGAGGGCGAGCTGGCTGTGACATCCGAGGGTGAGGGTGGACTGGATGACATCTGAGAATGAGGGTGGGCAGGTATGAGGATGAGGGTGGGCTGGTTGTGATGTCTGAGGCTGAGAGTGGGCTGCGTGACATCTGAGGGTGAGGGTGGGCTGGCTGTGTTGCCTGTCATGGCCACCAGAGCAGGTTTGCCCACGTTGCAGGCTGGATGGGCATTGCCTCTCTCCCTCTTCTCTCATTGGCAGCCCCTAGTGTCACCTGCCCTGTGAGATGACAGTCCAATAGATCCCCCAGACCAGCAACTCTTGAGGTCCATCTGTTTAGAGAGACAGGATTTCCAATCCCTGTCAGACCTTCCTTGGTCCAGTTTCCATGCCTAGGCATAGCTCACCCATAAGCCTCTCAACGTATAAAGCAACTTCTAGTACATTCTTTTAATATTCTATACCAGGGATCAGCAAACATTTTGTGTAAAGACCAGATAGTAAATATTTTAGGTTTTGCAAGCATTTGGTCTCTGGAACAACAGCTTTGCTGGTGTAACACAAAAGCAGTCATAGATGATGCCTAAATGATTGGGCATGGCTGTGTCATTTTGACATGTGAAAATTATATGAATTTCAAATTTCAGTGTTGGACACTGAAATTTGAAATTCATATAATTTTCACATGTCAAAAAATATTATCCTTCCTTAGATTTTTCCTCCAGCCATTTAAAAATGTGAATCCATGCATAGCTTATGGATGTCCGCAAGCAGGGTAGGCCCGATTGGGCCTGAAGGCCGTAATTTGCTGACCCCTGGTGGAGGCTCACAGCTGCCACATGAGTTGGGCTGGGAAGAGAGTGTTATGTCTTCCCATAGGTCCACACCCCAGGGAGGTGAAGCCACAGCCCCATAATCAGTCAGTGCCACAGCTAGGACCAGAACTCCAGACTGTCTATGTTGAATTGAACGTGTTTTCATTAGGCCTCATTGCCCCTTGGGTGTAAGGGGCCCAAGGGCAAGAGAAAGGAGAGAAGTCCCCTTGTATGAGTGGAGTGGGACAGAGAAGAAAGCATGAGTGATCCTGAGTGGGCTTTGGGGCTGCTGAGGGCCTGCCAGTGCCTAGAATGTAATGGGCACCCTATCAACAAATATTTGTTGAATTAAATCAACTTTCCAGCCCATAGACTTGTTGGGCTCCCCTCTGTGCAGGGCAGGAGGTGACAGGGTTCTCCCATCTCCCACCCCACCCTCCCCTACCAGCCCGAGGGAACACTGAACCACAGCTCACAGACAGCCCATTGTCATGGTTTTCTGTGAGGTCATTGTGAAACCACATAAAGACCGTAGGACAGCCCCATGGCTGGGAACCAGGGTCCTGACCTGGAGTCTGACCTCTGCCAGAAACTCATCAGGTCACCCTGGACAAGTCATGCCATCTTTATGGGCTTTTGTTTCCTCTTCTGATAAATGGGCTTAATGTTGCCAGCCTAACTTCTTAAGATGTTCTGAAAATCCAAGGCATTTAAGCTTGGAAAGGAAAAAGTGCCACAGAACCATGAGGCTGGGGACAAACTGTGAACATCCCCAGCTTCCCCTTGCAGCTCCATCAGGGTTAGTAATTCTCTGCCACTGATTTGGCATTTCTCGGCTAGCCCAACAATTTAAACATTATTATAGCTTTACAATCTATAGTAATGCCTGTCAGTACTTGTCCCCCTTCATTATTCTTTAAAAATATTAGCTATTCTTGCCTTTTTCAAATCAAGACATTAAGTGACTTGAAAAAAAAATCCTCTTGGAATTTTGATTGTTATGCCATTAAGTGTATGTGTAGAGAATTGCATATTTAGAATAAGTGCTACCCTCCGGTACACTTTTCCATTTATCCAGCTGTTTATGTACCTCAGTAATGCTTTACAATTTCCTACACATAACTGCTACACATTCTTGTTAAGTTTATGCCCAGGTATATTATATTTTATTGCTCTTGTGAATAGAGTCTTCTCATTACTCTTCTTTTCCCCCCTCCCTTTCTCTTCTTTCTTCCTCCCTCCACTCTCCCCTTCCCTCATCTCCTCTTCCCTCCCCATCTCTTTCTGTTGGCATGGCTAGTTGACAGTCCTTTGCTTCCTTTGCTATTGAAGTAGCAGTCTGCCAGGGCTCTGTGATGAGCTGGCCTTAACAATCTTCAAGCCAAGAGCAACTCTATGCAAAGCCTACTGTGGGAGCTAGACAAAAAATTATAGAAGTTCAGAAGAAACCGAATCAGAATAGTGAATCTCCCCTTTCTTGGAGAGATACCACCTTTTCTGTCAATACCTAGGGCCTTCCCTAGGCTCTCCATGACCTTTATGAGCTCTGAAATAAGGCCTTTGCAGCCAAAAGGATTTGAGAACACTGACATCTCCCTCACTGTTGACATGTCCAGTCAACATCCTCCATGACTAGACCTCTTGGATGCCTCTCTGCCACTCATGCCCTGTCCCCAGCCCATTGGCAGAACCTGTTGGGCCTTCCATCAGAAGAGCATGAGTCTGACCTCATCCCTTCTATCTTCACCATCCCCACCCCCTGATCGAAGCTTCCTGACCTGATCCATGCTTGCCCAAGGCCCTCCTATTGCCTACAGCAGCCCAGTGACCAGGATCACACCACTCCTCTGCTCCAAATCCTGCAGAAGCTCCTGGTCACTCAGAGTCAAAGCCAAAGCATGTTTGGTGGTCAGCTCAGCCCGCAGGTCTGCTCTATGCCCCTCATCTCTCTATTCTGATTCCCCCTTGCTCACTCCTTGCTGTTCCTTGAACCCAACAGACATGGTCCCACCTCAAGGCCTTTGCATTTGCTGTCCACGCTCCCTAGCAGTCCTTCCCCCAGTGGCTCCCTGTCATGCTTTCTTCAGGCAGGCCTCTGCTCAAATGTCACCTTCTCAGTGAGGCCTAGCGTACCCTCTTCCCCTCATTTCTCTTGTCTGTTTATTTTTCTCTATATCAGCTTATCATCTGACCTACAAAAAGCTTGTGTATTTAGGTGCTGCTCATCTCCCCACAATAGAATGTAAGTTCCATGTCGTTAATGGCCTCATCTGTTTCATTTACTGCTGTGTCCACCCCAGCACGTAGAAGAATGTCTGGCACACTACAGGCATACCATAAATACTTATTAAATACACTAATGAGTAAAAATGATGGTTAATATGTTGATTTATTCATTAATTTGACAAACACATGCTGTGCTAAGTGCTGGGGGTTAACTAGCTGCTCAGTTATGACTCTGTTTTTGAAGAAAGGAACCCTGATGGTCTAGGAGGCTGATGATTTAGGTTTAAGTACTTTCTCTTCCACTGTTATGTGGCCTTGGGAAAGGCACTTTACTCCTCTGAGCCTCAGGCCTTCCATCTGTACAACGGGCATAATAAACCTCACCCAGGAAATCATCATGAGGACTAGATGAGAAAATGTGTTTAGGCGCCCAGCACCCTTCCTGATCCCAGTGCAACACAGCAGTAGTTCTTTCCCCTTGGCAATGAGAGTCCAATTAGTTAACATGGAAAAGTGGCTTGACAGCTGGGAAAGGCTGCAGGAATGCGTGGGATTATTCTTAAGGAGCTAACACTGTTACCAAGTGAAGGAGATAAAACACAGGTGACTACAAGGCACAGTGACAGTGGTGGTTGTCTCAGGGTTGACCTCAGAGGAGGGAGTCATGGGTGGGGACATCTTTGGGGCCAGATGGCATCTGAGATGGGCCTTCATGAGCAGCAGCCTTGTTTGGTGCTTGGGAAAAAGAACATTAGAAATGGTTGAAAAAATGTGATGCAGGTGGCACAGAATTGGGCAATTGAGGGGCACACACAGAAAGGAATGAGTAATTCTATTTGGTGCATAAGGGACATGAAGGGGTGGGAAACAGGAAAAACGGAAAGGGAGGCTGGAGAGGAGCAGATGAGGGCATCCAAAGCCATGCTGAGGAGCTTGAAAACACACCCAGGCTTTTGGTTGGCCAGATTTTACAGGGAGGAAAAGACAGAAGCAAGAGAATGCCAGCTGGGGTCAGGCACTGGTGGGAGATGCTGGCCTGAACCGAAAGGATTGGGAGAAGATATAAAGCTGTGGAGGCCTTGGCTCCCTGCGAAGTCACCCCAAGGGAGAGCTCTGTGTGGTCCAGGGGCTGTGCTGTCCAGTTGGTAGATGGCAGTCCGGGTCTCAGCAGAACCACTCCTAGCCCTCCTAGCCTCAGAGGCTGTTTGGAGAGCAGAGAAGCCTAAGATGGTGGAAACACAAGGAGGAGGGGGTTGGGGGTGCAGGTTTATTGATCTGCAATTCAATTGCCAAAAAGAAAATGCTCTTGTTTCTAAATGGAAGATATTTGAGGTCCTTTATAGGAGTCCCAGGCTGGCAAAAAGTGATTAAGATTGCATGAGAAAGCCTGTTTAATGCTAGTTTGCAGCTGTGGGCTGTGAATGTTTTGTTTTGTTTTGTTTTTTTACTGCCTCAAGTGAGTTGGATTTAAAAAAAAAATTGTGTAAGAAAACACATGACATACAATTTATTACCTTAACCATTTTTAAGTGTACAGTTCAATAGTGTTAAGTATATTCACATTGTTGTGTATCAGATCTCCAGATTTTTTTCATCTTGCATGACTGAAACTATACCCATTAAACAATTACTTCCCTTTTCCACCTCCTCCCAGCCCCTGGTAACCACCATTCCACTTTTTGTCTCTATGACTTTGAGTACTCTAGGGACCTCATAGAAATGGAATCCTACAGAATTTGTCTTTTTGTGTCTAGCTTGTTTCACTTAGTGTGTTGTCCTCAAGCTTCATCCGTGTTGTAGTACATGACAGGATGTCCTTCCTTTTTAAGGCTGAATAATATTTCATTGTATGTACGTACCACCTTTTTAGATGGATTTTAATGGGGTGTCCCGGGATCTGAGGTCTCCCTTGGGTCAACCTGGGCTCTGCACACAGCCTCACATCCCTTTGGTAAAGGACTACTCTTTTTACAAGATTGTGATATCTTTTTACAAGATTGTGATATCAGAAAATTTTATGTTTGAACTCCTCCTGCCTTCTCTAGCTTGAGAGGCCCTGCTCCTTGGCCACTCTGAAAAAAAATGACAGTTTACAAAGGCACTAGATTGATTTTTTTTATTAATAGTGATGTCATATTTAGAATAAGAAGAGGCTAGTTTTTCCTTCCCTCCTTTGTGCTGCTCAGACAATTCCTGGAGTCTAAGGGTTGGCACCATCTTAGGCAAAAGAATGCTAGAATAAAGAACGTGCATCTTCAAGGAAAGAGTGGTGGCTAATTAAGGAACTTAGGAGTTGGCCGGGTGTGGTGGCTCATGCCTATAATCCCAGCACTTCGGGAGGCCAGGGTGGGTGGATCACAAGGTCAGGAGATCGAGACCATCCTGGCTAACACGGTGAAACCCCGTATCTACTAAAAAATACAAAAAATTAGCCAGACGTGGTGGTGAGTGCCTGTAGACCCAGCTGCTTGGGAGGCTGAGGCAGGAGAATGGCGTCAACCCAGGAGGTGGAGCTTGCAGTGAGCCGAGATTGCGCCACTGCACTCCAGTCTGGGAGACAGAGCGAGACTCTGTCTCAAAAAAAAAAAAAAGAAAAGAAAAGAAAAGAAATTTAGGAGTTATCTCAGGAATTTTGAAGAAGGGGATGAGAAAGGTTTACCCCCAGAGGAGACAATGGCTTTCAATTCTATTGATATTATGAGTGCCTTGTATGCCAGGGGATGTGGATACAACAATGAGTAAGCAGACTCTGCATTCATGGGGTCATAGTTTTCCCAGCAGGAGGAACAGACAAATATACTCCCTGAGCAACCTCTTCCATCCTTATCACTTCAATTACCATTTATTTGAGAATAATGCTCAAGTTGTATCAGTCAGAATAGGCTAGGTTCTGCTAAGTAACAAACAGGCCTAAAATGCCAGTGGCCTAACACAACAAACATTTATTTCTCACTTATATGTCTGATGTAGGGTATCAGGGGACTTTGCTCAGCATGTTCACTCAGGGACCCTGGTTGATGGAAGCTTTTCCTCAACATATGCTTCTGTGATCGTCCTTATAGTGGAAAACTGATTTGACAGATCACACGCTGACTCTTTTTTTTTTTTTTTTTTTTTTGAGACGGAGTCTCGCTCTGTCGCCCAGGCCGGACTGCGGACTGCAGTGGCGCAATCTCGGCTCACTGCAAGCTCCGCTTCCTGGGTTCACGCCATTCTCCTGCCTCAGCCTCCCGAGTAGCTGGGACTACAGGCGCCCGCCACCGCGCCCGGCTAATTTTTTGTATTTTTAGTAGAGACGGGGTTTCACCTTGTTAGCCAGGATGGTCTCGATCTCCTGACCTCATGATCCACCCGCCTCGGCCTCCCAAAGTGCTGGGATTACTGGCGTGAGCCACCGTGCCCGGCCCACACGCTGACTCTTAAAAATCCCTTACAGCCCAGGGATTCCATGTATATTAACAAATAACCTAAAAATTCAGTGTTCTTCAGCATCCAAAGCTATGAGCCTCTAATATTTGGGTTTCAGAACACATGACAGAAATGGTGGGATATTTGGGAGTACGTTGTCTTTAATTAGGGTATCTTTGTTAAGTCACTTAATCATTGGCTCTGCTACTTTGTCACCTTGTCCACATTTATTGGCTTGTTGATTAAATGAGATTGTGCTACTTTCCTTTTTCTTTCAATACTCTAACTAGCTGCATTTTTAAGATCTGCAATAAAGTCTAATGCACTCAATTTCAAAGACAAAGAGGCAAATGCCAAAAAAAGCTGGGAATATGTTTAGTGTCCTGGGTTTCATCCACATTTGATGTGATATTTTATGTTTTCTCTACCTCTGTTCCCAGCCCTGAAACAAAGATTTATGTTTTAATTGATGGCCTGGGGGGTCCTATAAGATCCTTAATAATTAAAGACAGATACCATTCTTGAATATTGTTTCATGTGGCAAATATGTTGGGTGGGATTTCCAGAAAGGGTTGAACAAAAAGTTATTAAATTTTTTTCCCTTAAATTTTATCTAATAAAGAGTTGTCCTCTGGAATCTCCCATTCCTCCAGGGATCCTAGAGGTCCCAGAATGTTGAGACAGAAAAGACCTTCCAGGTCATCTCACCCAGCCTTCTGGGTGGTACAGTTTAATCCCTAGGATCTCACAGCTTGTTAGGGGCAGAGGAGGGAAACAAATTCAGAATTCCTGAGTTCCAGATCCATGCTTTTGTCATTACACCACTCTGCCAGGATTTACTCATACTTGATGTTGTCCAGACTTTAGCTTATAAACAAAATGGAAAATTCTGTATGAAATTATTTATATTGTACAACACTCAATTTTGCAATCTCATTCCATTTTTTACTTTCAAGTGGAGTTTATACTTTTAACAGTTTCGAGCTTTTGGTTCGATGCTCAGTTTCAACCTCCTGCTTACAGAAGCCCTTACTCTTTCCTTCCATCATCCTTGTTTAGGAGTGTGGTGAGCTTATCTGCCTTAGAACACCTGCATTCCTCTCATCTCCTTTATTCACTAAAAAACCCCTGCCTGGTCCCCTCCCTGGTATCCAGAAGCCTGGTTGACCAGGATGTATTCCTGGAGGAGGAAGAGGCAGGGGTCAGTAGGCCTGGTGTCCTAAATCTTCATGTGTGCTTGTTGGCACTGTGGGGATAGAAGCTGAACGCCCAGCGCTCAGGCCATACCTGACTCCTGCTTTGGTTCTGTCGGTACAAGGAGCAGGTTCTGAGAGGAGACGTGCTGCTCTCTGCAGTAGTGAGCATGCTGAGGGGCTTTAAAGTCATGATGCAAGTATCTCAAGGACAATGGAGATTTTGCTCCAGGAAATCCAGACTCTGTGTGCATTTTCTCTTTGTATGCATGGGAGGGCTTGTACCTTTTCTGTCTCTTTGACTTTTTTTCTCTCCCTCCCTGGCTCTTTCTTTGTGTGTGTCTCGTTCTGTCCTTGTCCTCTGCCAACTTCCTACACACTCTGTCTCCACCTCTGCTCTGACCCCAGCTCTTTCTTTATTTCTGTCTCTCTTCCTTAATTGGCCATAATTTATAACTATAGCCTATTATTCATAAGTTATTTGATTGGATAAAATGTTAACTTTCCTATTCATACATTTAAAGGCTAAGAAGCAGAACAGTGTGCATTTTTCTCTGAAACACTAATTTAATGGTAGCTTAGTTCATATTGCCCCAGGTCGAGCTCCTTTAAATCCATGCCATCAGTGTAACGTTGCCCCCCTCAGCACCCCATCTGAGCCCATTGACTGAGATCTCGCTCTCTGGTTCTGCTCCTCTAACATTTTGATACTTGGAGGCAATGAAGACTCTAGCAAAATGTGGGACTCAGACAGGGATGGGACCTTTGGCCTGCACTGCCCCTACCTCTCCAGACTTTGAGCAGTCCCTGAGTGGCCCTTGTGCATCAGGGCAGGGGTGGGGAAGGGACATAAAGAGGGTGGAATGGCCCCAACTTAGAGACAGGCTGAATTCTGAGACCCTTTGTGTTATTCTGGGAGCTTAGCACCCAGAGAGGATATTCCCAGACCACAGCGTCCAGAGATCCCAGGCATGGGCCAAGGAGAATGAAAGGGAAGGGAAATTACAAGAGCGACAATAGCAGTAGCAATGCTTACTGAGAGCCTACATTGAGCCAGGCATTTTTATAAGCATTTTATAAAGTTAACACATGTAATCCTCACAACACCCTATGAAATAGGCAATATTATGCTTATTTTATGGTACACTGAGGCACAGAGTAGGGTTGCCAGTTAAGTTTGAATTTCAGATAAGCAATGAATAATGTTTTTGTATAAGCATGACTCAAATATTAGATAGGACACACTTAAAACGTTATGCATTGTTTATCTAAAATCCAAATTTAATAGGGATTTTGTAACTATTGGCTAAATCTGGCAACCCTAGCACAGAGAGATAAGGACACTTACTCAAGATTGCACAAGTATTAGTGGTAGAGCCAAAATTTAAACCTGGACAGTCTGACCCAGGGGAGAGTCCTTAATTACCCCACTGTGCCTCCCATCCCTGGCCCTACCTTCACTCTGTCCAGGCACCTCCCTTGTGCTGGGTGTTACCTCCATGCTGAGGGGTCTGACTTGGACCTCCCTTTCCTAGATGGCCCCAGCAGTCTTCTATGCCAGCTCCTCAGCCATACTCTCTGTACCTTCTGAAAGCAGACATAATTGGCTCATTCCATTAAAATCCATTAGTTCAACACTTATGTATTGTGCACCTACTATGTACAACCCTCTCTACTAAAGTAGCCCTGGCTAGCAGATTCATTCTGGAAAGGGTTGGAAAGGTCCCCGTATGTCCCTCTCCTTCTAGATACTTCCATCCAATATGACCCTGATTGAGGCTCTGTGTGCTCCAGGCAGGTCACATAACAATTTTCAATGGAGTGTCTAGAGCCAATGTCCCCAAGTTTGTTCTCTACCCCAGGCAAATGACTAATGGAGTGATTCCCAGGCTGGGTAGAATAGCAGGGCAATGCTGTCAGGGGCAGACAGGGGAGAGTTTGGGACCCCATAGAGGGCCTCTCATTCTCAGCCCATGACTGCTCCTGGACGAGACCTTTCTAAGAGGACATTCCAATCTTTCCCTATCCACCCCCACAGGTACTACTTTCCATGCCAACGTTGGCTGGCAGTGGAGGAAGATGATGGCCAGCTGTCCAGGGAGCTGTTGCCAGTGGATGAGTCCTATGTGCTGCCACAGAGCGAGGAGGGTAGGGGAGGCGGTGACAACAACCCCCTCGACAACCTGGCCCTGGAGCAGAAAGGTTTTCTAAACTAGAGCTGATTTCTTTCTCCAGCACCCCTCCCCTCTGCCTCTCCCTAACCCTAAGTCTCCATCTTCCTTCCCTCCCCTGTGGGCTCTGGGAACTTCCTCCCTTGACAGTCTATTGTATTGCCCTCTCATTCCTCTGTGGCAAGACTGGGGAGGTAAAGGGGGCATAGTCTCACATATCTAGTGTAAGGCAGTATAAAGCACACAGCTTAGGACTGAGTTATTGTCAGAAATGAAATGGAATGGATTGGAATCAAATGGAATGAATTGGAATGGAGTGGAATGAACTGAATTGGGATGATTGGAATGGAATAGATTGGAATGAAATGGGATGGGTTGGAATGAAATGGAATGGAATGGAGTAGAGTGGAATGGAATGGAGTGGAGTGGAATGGAATGGAATGTGATGGGTTGGAATGGAATGGAATGTATTGAAATGGAATGGAATGCATTGAAGTAGAATGGAGTGGAGTGGAGTAGAATGGAGTGGAGTGGATTGGAATGGAATGGAATGGGATGGGTTGGAATGGAATGTATTGGAATGAAATGTATTGGAATGGAGTGGAGTGGAGTGGAGTAGAATGGAATGGAGTAGAGTGGAGTAGAATGGAATGAGTGTAGCCACTTCTGATTCAGTCTTGTGCCCTCCCCTATAGGCACTCAATGCATTTTTGTCAAGGGAAAGAATGAACAGTAACTTTCAAGAGTTCTATGATGCTCCCCTGAAATATGCATCCCTAAAACTCCTCCCAGCCAGGAGGAGTCAGAATGGGGCTCCTGGCTGCTGAGCCTCTGACCCTCAAAGTATCCCCTAACCATCCTATCAACTCTATTGATTGAAGGCTTCCTGTATAAGCCAGAGGCAGAGGACTCACATCTCTACCCTCTGGAAGTTTCCAGACTAATGGTGACTGCAGAGTAACACATGCTGAAAAAAAAAATGATTCTTAGAAATGGCCAAGAGGCGCGGTGGCTCACGCCTGTAATCCCAGCACTTTGGGAGGCCGAGGCGGGCGGATCACGAGGTCAGGAGATCGAGACCATCCCGGCTAAAACGGTGAAACCCCGTCTCTACTAAAAATACAAAAAATTAGCCGGGCGTAGTGGCGGGCGCCTGTAGTCCCAGCTACTTGGGAGGCTGAGGCAGGAGAATGGCGTGAACCCGGGAGGCGGAGCTTGCAGTGAGCCGAGATCCCGCCACTGCACTCCAGCCTGGGCGACAGAGCGAGACTCCGTCTCAAAAAAAAAAAAAAAAAAAAGAAATGGCCAAGAGGAACATAGAAACATACTTATTACTAATCACTGGGCTCACAGATACAGGATTGAAGGGGCAAGAGAAAAATTGGAGTGATGGGGTAGAGGGAGTGAATCAAGGAAGCCCTTCTAGAGGAGGTGGCTGTCCTCTTTCCTCCTTTCATGAAAGGAACAGTCTACAATTCATTGCTCTATACTATTCTCTTGGCAGATAAATCTACCACATTCTCAGTGACCATAAAGACTGGGGTTAAGAAGAATGCGGGCACAGATGCTAATGTCTTCATCACACTCTTTGGCACACAGGATGACACTGGTAAGAAAGCAGTGCAGGGCCAAGATTCACCCACATTCTTCCCCAGGGAGACCAGAAGACTCAGCAGAAATTTCCAAGGGGAATCCTAATTATGCTTTTGTCTCTCAATAGGATGCAAGCAATTAGCCCCATCGAGAAAGGCAGTTCCTTTTTTTCTAAAAATTTTCTTTTTCTCTGAGCCAGCTTTCTTTTTCTGTTCTAATGGTGAAGGTAGCCCTGACTCCACCCAATAACAATCTGGGACAAGATGGCTTTGCCCAACTTTCAATGAAATTCAGCCATGATACTCTCAGTATGAGGCACTCCAGGCATTGTAGAGTTGTTCAGGAGCCTTTGCTCAGGTACTCAGAGAAGGTGGTGTTTAGTGTTGGGTCCAGCCATCTGCTCACGCCACTGTCCAGCCATTCTGTTGAGTTTAGAGAGGAGTCAGTCAGTCCCTCAAGTAGTCATCATATATTTGCTCAAAATCCTGCAGGTCCAGAGCCTAGTGCCAAGCATTATTGAAGAATAAATGGACCTAACCCTTGACCATGGGGTGCTCATATCTACTACAACAATGTGCTGGTAGAGAGCATGGAGACTCTGAAGCTTGTCTGATTGGTTCAAACCTCCACTCCACCATTTATTAGCTGTGTGACATTGGGCAAGTTGCTTAACCCCTCTGTGCCTTAGTTTCCTCTATTTATAAAATGAGGATAAAATTAGTATGTGCCTTATAGAGTTGTAGGTCTAATGAAGTTGAACATGTACAACATTTGGGACAAAGTGGCACTCAATAAACATTAATTAACATCAATTATTTAATAGGTTGGATAAAGCAGATAATATATAATGATATAATTAGGTCATAACCTACAAATGCATGTGATTGCAATCATTCCTGAACCATGATCAAAGAAATTAATCGGCTTTGGCAACTGCTTTTATTATCTGAGGCCTTTCTATGTGTTAGACAAATTCTTGAGCATCCAACAGTCATCAACTCATTAAGTCCTCACAACAGCCCTACGAGGAAGGGACTAAGACCTGTCCTTTTTTGACATTTGGAAAACCAAGTCTCAGAAACATTACATAATTTTCCCAAGGCCACCCAGTGGTAAGTGGCAGAGCTAGGCACTGGACCAAGGTCTGTCTATCTCTCTGTATACTTAAACCAGTCTGTAGTGAGTCTAGGAATAGCAGAAGACTTTCTACATGAGGTGGGCCCAGAGCTGGGACTTATTGGGGTACAGGGACTTAAAGGCAATGCAGTGCATCCTGAGGCAGGAAGACATAGCGATGACTCTGAGATCACCTCAGTTTCAGACTGACACTACAGGCAGTCTCAGGACTGATTATATATGTGAAATAGCTGGGGGTTGGGGCATTCAAATTCATCCCTCCTCTGTCATCCAGAGAAGATGCTCCAGAGATTCTCACATGTCCCATCCCTGAAGGAAATCCCATGTTTCCCCAGGGAACATAGAGAGTGTGGCTTTGTCACTGGCTGACTCTCCATGTAGAGAGTTGTGAGGGTATGGAGGTGGTGCAGCATTGACTTAGAGCTCCACCACTGTCTCCCGGATGATTTTGAGTAAGGTATCTCTTTCAACATAAACTGGAAATAAAAATGCACACCCTAAAGGGTTATTGTAAAACTCAGTGAAAGAACACACACCAAAAAAGTGCCCACTGTGAGTTGAACAGTGAGAACACATGGACACAGGGAGAGGAACATCATACACCGAGGCCTGTCAGGGGGTGGGGGGTTAGGGTAGGGATAGCCTTAGGAGAAATAACTAATGTAGATGATGGGTTGATGGGTGCAGCAAGCCACCATGGCACATGTATACGTATGTAAAAAAACCTCATGTTCTGCACGTGTACCCCAGAACTTAAAGTGTAATAAAAAATTTTTTTTAAAAGATAAAAAGAAAATATGGTGTATATACACACCATGGAATACTACTCAGCCATAAAAAGGAATGAAATAATGTCTTATACAACAATTTAGATGGAGCTGGAGCCCATTATTCTAAGTGAAGTAACTCAGGAATGGAGAAACCAAATACTGAATGTTCTCACTTATAAAAGAGAGCTAAGCTATGAGGATGCAAAAACATACAAAATGATATAATGGACTGTGGGGACTCATTGTGGGAAGGTTGGGAAGGGGATGAGGGATAAAAGACAACATTGGGTACAGAGTACACAGCTCAGGTGATGGTGCACCAGAATCTCAGAATTCACTACTAACTCACCCATGTAACCAAAAACCACCTGTACCCCAAAAGCTATTGAAATAAAAAATTTTTTAAAATGCCCACTGTGCAAAGGTGGCCAATGGATGATAATTGCACAGTCTAAATTTGGTGGAAGTTCAGAAATTTGGTCATTTTGAAAAGGGATTAAAGGTTTGGGTCTGACTAGGCTTGAAAGGCCTCAGGTCCAGCCAGTCATGCTGGGGTCATCTGATCCACAGGAATGACCCTCCTGAAGTCCTCCAAGACAAACAGCGATAAGTTTGAGAGGGACAGCATTGAAATCTTCACGGTGGAGACGCTGGATCTGGGAGACCTGTGGAAAGTCCGGCTTGGCCATGACAACACAGGTGTGGCTTCCCTCCCCTCTGTTCCTTGCTAAGACTTTAAGGACCATGGACAGGTCCTTGTGGGCATCTGGGAAAGATTCTGGAAATTTGAATGCCATCTGTCTTCTGTAATGACACAGCTTCCTTAATCCCTTTAGCCCAGTAGAGCCGAGAGAGTCCTCAGCTGCACACAGAGTTTCTGGCCTAATTAGTCTAGAGCTGTACCTGGACACTGGTGATTTTTAAAGCCTTTATCAACCCCAGTGTCGGTAATTTTAATGCACAGCCAGATATGAAAATCTCCGATCTAACTCAGTAGTTCTTTGAGTGTGCAACAGGATCACCTGGGGGGTTATTAACTCACAGATTTCTTGGCTCCACCCCCAGAGCCTTTGATTCAATTGCTTCATTCCTATCATTGGGTAAGATTATAAAGCTTTTGTAAACACAGGCTCTTCCTGGCATCCCTGAGTTCTGTTTGAAGCCCCTTCTTCAAGGAAGGACAGCATCCTTGCTTCCTCTCAGTGCCCTCCCACCTCAGCCTCCCCCTACTCTCCTGTCATCTCCTATTGATGCTCTTTTACTCTTACTAATTTCACTGACAGCAGCCTGGAGTGTGATCCAGCTTCAACATCTGGGTGCACATTTTAATGGGAGTCACTTTAGCAATGCTGCAAGCAAAAGGGATGTCATGTTAATGATATCAGCCAGCCACCTAAGGAAGGAAGTCAGGAGTCCCTGAAGTTACCCACAGGAAATCATCTCTGCTCAGGTCCTTGATGGGTTTTGTGTCTCCTCTCTCTCTAGGCAAGGCCCCAGGCTGGTTTGTAGACTGGGTAGAGGTGGATGCCCCATCTCTTGGGAAGTGCATGACGTTTCCCTGTGGCCGCTGGCTGGCCAAAAACGAAGACGACGGGTCCATCATCAGAGACCTCTTCCATGCAGAGCTTCAGACGAGGCTGTACACACCATGTAGGAACCACACACGGCAAGGCCAGCCCTTCTCTGGGGCCCCATCACCAGCTACCCCAACTCAGCCCCAGTTCTTCCTTCAGGATTGACTGTGGGCCAGGCCCACCTTGAAGATTTTGGTCTTTCATCCCTGTCCTGAATTTTCTGACTCTGTGGGGGCTGTGGGCAGAGTTCTGGACCCAGGAAATGAAAATATGAAATTTATTCTAAACTCTACTCCAAGCTAGCTGGTGACAACATGTAGAGAACCTAACCTCTCGAGGGTTCAGATTCCTCATCTGCAGCATAGAGATAATAATGCAGGATGATAGCAATATCCAAAAGGAAGAAAGATAAAGGTCTAACTGAGGAATCATTATCAACCCTGTCACCAATCCTTACTCCAGTCATTAACATGCCAAATAAGTCAGCAGTATAAGATTTTCTCAGGTGGTATACATGACTGCCAGCCCCACAATGGCTTGAAAGGGCCCTCACTTATGGGTTGAAGGGAAACACAGCCTGGACCCTGCTAGACCCAGAATTCAAAAAAAAGGTGAATGTAATTCCCTTTTCTAGCTAAGGGGAAGAAGGGAAGGGAGTAATTTAGTGAAGTTTTGACACTTCCTTTCCACTGTCATCATCAGAAAGAATGTATTAAATGTTTATAGACATGTAAGTATGTAGTACTATGTACTGGGAATCAAACTGAAATTAACTAAACTCTGAAAGTCTGTCTGAATTTGGTAAAATCTGAATAAATTCCAGAGCATATAATTTTTTCTAACTAAATAATAAACTGTACCACAAGATTTCCCCCAAACAACTCATACTTAATAGCATGTATCAGTGATGAACAAATTTTTGCCTAAAGCAATAAACTGAAATGAACAGATCATCAAAATATCTTCTGATCCAAAGTCTAAAATGAAGTGACATTTCTCTGGCTGGGCATGCCCAAAGCCAGCCCTGGATCCAGCCTCTATTCCCAGGAGTCACCTGCAGGCGAGGACAGACTCTGGCCTGAAAGATGTGCATGGGGTTGGCAGCAGCACTGGGTGGGACCCTTGAGGACAAACGTATCCATTTCTCCCTACATGCCCTAGGACATGCCATACCAAAAAAAAAAAAAAAAAAAAAAAGATAAAGAGTTTGTATGGTTTGACTTTGAATATGTTCAGTTCCAGCCTGATATTAAAACTAACCTAAAGGGTGAGCTGTTCCTGCCCAGAAACTTCCAGGGGTTCTCCTACTGCTGGCCAGTCTCAGGAAAGCTCAGATTCTGTTGCCAGCTTTTCTGTTCAAGGCTTTCCAAGTCTTGGGTCAGGGAGAAACCCCAGAGGCTCAGAGGAAGGGACTGTATGCTGCAGAGATGACACCTCTGTTATTGGTTGAGCACCCAGCAGGGTCGAGGCTGTTTCCCTTCAACCTATAGGTGAGGGCCTTTTCAAGCCATTGTGGGGCTAGTGGTCACCTCCCTGGGCTGTCTCTTTCTGTTGCCTGTGGCTAAGCAGCAGTACTTATCTCTAGTTCACAGCAACAAGACTCCTAGAGGCTGGCAATGCACGCTTTAAGGTCAGGCAAGCCTGGGTTTGAGTTCAAGTTCTACCATGTGACTTTGGGCAAGTTACTTCACCTCTCTGAGCCTTGGTTTTCTCATTTGTAAAATGGAGTGTAATAATACCTACTCCCTCAAGTCATTGTGAGGGTTAAAGGAGGTAAGGACCATAGCATGCTCAGTACAGAGTCTGACATGTAGGAAGTCTTAATAAGTGATAACTATTACTACTATTACTACTGCAAGTATCACTACTACAGCCCTACAGCAAAGTAGCTATGATGATAAATGAAAGCAACGTCTTCATCTGGAGAAGGTTAGGGCCACAAGAGAGAAGGAAGCTTGTATTGTGACTCCTTTCAAGGGCCAAGACTACAGGATAGAGTAGACATCCACTTGAACTGTTTCTCTGGGTTTTCAATATTCTTCTTTTTTTTCTTAAATTTTTTTTTAGTTACTGTGACCCAGAGCAATTGTACACATTTATACGCATATGCAAAAAATAAAAATGTCACAAAAATTGTACTCTCATTATGTGTGATATACAGTGATATTTTTCTATTAGATTTTTTCAATTCCACATATTTTAAAAAATACTGTTGACAACCCACTAAACTCATTTCACAACCTGCTAATGAACTAACCTATAGTTACTATAGCAATACATTGTTTCAGGTGGTCTCAAACTTTAGTATAAAGTATGAGTTAAATATTCAGATCCCTAGACCCATCCTGCAGAGAAACTAAGGCAGGTTTTGCAAATCTGCATTTTTTTTTTAAGAGAGAGTCTCACTCTGTTACCCAGGCTGGAGTGCAGTGGCGTGATCTCAGCTTACTGCAACCTCCACCTCCCAGGTTCAAGCAATTATCCTGCCTCAGCCTCCCAAGTAGCTGGGGCTACAGATACCCACCGCCACGTCCAGCTAACTTTTATATTTTTAGTAGAAACAGGGTTTTGCCATGTTGGCCGGGCTGGTCTTGAACTCCTGACCTCTAGTGATTAGCCCACCTCGGCCTCCCAAAGTTCTGGGATTACAGGCATGAGCCACCACACCTGGCCTGCAAATCTGTATTTTTAACAAGCATCCCCAAAAGTTTCTGAAGCAAAGGTCTTCCACCCATGCATAGAGACATACTGGTCTCTGTTCACACCGGTGGCTGCCCACCAGGAAGCTGCTTGCTAACAGCACTGATTTGTCAACCCTCTTTCTAGGGGAGATAGTCCCTGGTGGGACCAATAAACCCTGGTGCAGCCCTCGCCTCCTGCTATCCTCTCCCCTATAAAAGATGTGTGTAATGTGACGGAACCTGAATGAGGGGCTGGGTGTGAGGTGGATGGGTTGGGGCAGGCAGGCCATCTGGGAGCAAGTGAGAGACTGGGAGCAGGGGATACGGAGAAGAGTGAAAGAATGCTCACTACCGTAGACTGGCCGATCCAGTCAGCAAGTTGCCCCCTGAAATCTAGTGCTCTTGTTTGTGGAGTCTCTTCAGCCAAGCACCATGTCGAGGGCACTTTACAGACAATGGACACTGAGGCTCAGAATTAACTTGCCCAGATTACACCAATGGTCAAGACAGAGCTGGGATTCCAGCCTGGGCTTGTCAAATTCTGAAGCCTGTGCTTTCAACCAGTCTGCTACATGTGCTCTGGCATGTGAGAGGCTCACACACCCTGGTCTGAGGGGGTGAGGGTTTTCCATGGGGGCGGGGCAGGACAGGACCCCACCTGCAGTTGCTAGGCAACCTTGTGAAGGTCCAGGTCCCTGAGCAGCAGTTCCCCGGGCAGCAGTTCCCCAGTGCAAGGGTCTGGGCTGGTTGTGCTGGTGAAGAACTGGCTCTCACCATGTTTGTTTTCTGTTCTCTCATCCACTCTGGCTTTGCCCTCTGACCACCACCCTCAGTTGTTCCTTACGAGATCACCCTCTACACCAGTGATGTCTTTGCTGCTGGGACAGATGCCAACATCTTCATCATCATCTATGGCTGCGATGCCGTGTGCACCCAGCAGAAGTATCTGTGTACCAACAAGAGGGAACAGAAGCAGTTCTTTGAGAGGAAGTCTGCCTCCCGCTTCATCGTAGAGGTACTTGGGCTCAGCAGGCTGTCCAGGGATGGAGTAGGTCAGACAGAGGGAGAGGAGAAGCCCTACCTTCAGGGCAGAACACATGCCCTTCATCCTGATGCACTGCTATTAGAGAGGAAGGTGAGCAGCTCATCCTACCTTCCTGGGCCTCAGTACATCCAAGCAACCAGGGGAATGGTGAAGCTCACCCTGCTCCTCCTGGACTGGTGTCAGGATCAAAGGCAATGATGAGAGACAGGACTTGGGAACACTAGAGGCATAAAGCCAACGGGCCTCTCTAGAGCTTCCAACAATAGACACTTATCCACAGGTGGAACATAGCTCCCAGACTTGCTGGTTGTGGGGTTCTGCTGATACTGCTAGCCAGGGAGAGGTGGAAATCCCACCACCAGTGGTCATGGGCTAGGGTCTCCTGCTCAGCTCTCAAGCTATGGTCAAACAATTTAATAGAGAAGAGCATTCTGTATGTTCCATGGCTTCCCATCAGGTCTTGACAATGGAGGTGCTGTTGTTCAGTGTTTACTGTGCATGTAGGTCATAATGCCTTGGAATCCATATACTTCAATTTAGTGCATGCACACTGTGCCTGCCCTGTGTGCTCAGCTGTGCACTAGGTTGGGTGGGAGACACAAGAGAAGGGGAGAGCTCAGATCCTGCCTGAGAGGGGCTTACGGTCAAGTTGGGGACCCCAGTCCTCCCAACAAAGGTAATGAGAGAGTCTGGTGATGGTCATTGTCATGGACCCTGTGGGTCAGAGGGCACTGTCATAGGCTAACCCACTTAATTATCATAAAAACTCTGTGCTATAATTGTCCCTGTGTAAATATGGGGAAACTGGGGCATGAGGTTTAGTTGCTTCCCTAAAACCACACAGCTAGGATGTAGTGGGAGCAGGATTGAAACCCAGGAGGACTGGCTCTGGAATATGCACTCTTAGTTAGCTACTGCAGTAGACAAGCAAATGGACTGAGCTTACTATCACTGTTTAGAGAAGGGAGAATGCTCCTTGGAAGAGGTGGCTTTGAGTTGGATCTGAAAGGGGGCATTAGCAGGGACAAGGAGGAAAGGCATTCCTAGCAGAGGGAACAGCATGGCCAACAGCTCAGAGGTGGAAATAAGCATGTGGCTTGAGGTTTGAGTAGAAGCCATGGGAGGAGTGTGATGTAACTTGGATAGATGGCAATAATGAAGCAAGACTTAGAGGGGAAGCGCAGGAGACCCTGAAGGAGAAGAGCCAGGAGCCTCAGAAGGCTGGGCCCTCCAGGCAGTGGGATCTTTGGAGATGTGCCCCTTATTTTCTGATAGGAAACAAAGCCCAGGGCACCTTCCTTCTTCCTGGGCCAGTCTCTATCCCGGGGGATGCCTTGCTCTCTTCCCACCTTCTCTGGAGCAGTCAGCACTTGTGGGAAGGTCTGTCACCTTTGCTGAGTCTTTTAACGAGAAAATTTAAGGGTGATTCATTAATCCACACAAAGCTAACATCTCATCCACCCAAGATGTCATGGTGCGTGAGTCATCCAGGCCTGATGCCGTCAGCGGCTGAGGCTGTGATCACACCTCGGCATGACTTCCGGGGAGTTTTTATCAATGAAGTCCCCACTAATAGACAGCTATAATTTGCCAGTAATTTTGTTGCTATTTTTTTTTCTTTTCAAATCTCTCTGGATTTGGGGGGAGTGTGAGAGCTGGGAAACAAATGAAAGGGCTTTGTCTCCTGGCCTCTGTCTCTCTGCCCACCTGTGTCCCTCTCTCTGCACTTCCCTTTTCTGATTGATTTTCAGGTAGGAGGTAAAACGCTGAATTGCGGAGTCGGTAACCCTGGATCTGATTCTGGCTCAGCCACTATCTCAGGAGGAAGCCGCTTCCTCTCTCTGTGGCCCCCTCCTAAGAAAAGATGTTGACCAGGAAAAGAACAATAATAGCTAAGAGTTATTGAGAACATCCAAGGGCCAGCACAGTTCTAAGGACCTGATGTGTATCAACTCATTTAATCTTTATAACATTTCCAAGACGTAGTTAGTATGATCATCCCATTTTACAGATGAGGAAATAAAGTGCAGAAAGGTTAAGCAGACTTACTCAAGGTGTCTTAAAACAGCAGAGCTGGGATCTAGACTCAAGAAGTTCAGTTCCAGAGACTTCTCTGCCTAATTCTTTCACCTTCCAGAATACTAGGGTCCCTTCTGATGTTGATGTCCTCTGAGTCTTTCTCTGAGGCCCACCAACCATGAGTAGCTGTCCCCTAAAGGCCACATTGCTCTCTGAGGCGTTAGAACTGAGATGACCACCAGGCGCGGTGGCTCACGCCTGTAATGCCAGCACTTTGGGAGGCCGAGGTGGGTGGATCACCTGAGGTCAGGAGTTCAAGACCAGCCTGGCCAACATGGTGAAACCCTGTCTCTACTAAAAATACAAAATTTAGCTGGGCGTGGTGGCAGGCACCTGTAATCCCAGCTACTCCAGGGGCTGAGGCAGGAGAGAATTGCTTGAACCCAGGAGGTGGAGGTTGCCGTGAGCTGAGTTTGCGCCACTGCACTCCAGCCTGGGCAACAACAACAACAACAACAACAACAAAAACAGAGGCAGCCATCCTGTCCCATGCAACTTAGTGCTTAGAGGATTAAGGTCACAGAAGCCAGAGATTCTCCTCTGCATCCCATACCTGGAGGCTCCAGGTGGGAGAGAGAAGATGTTGTAGCTGCCCCATCCCCCGCCCAGTTCAGGGGCTCACCTGGCACACATGTATCAGCTTTTTTTTTTCAGGGGACTTTCATGCACACCATCGTGGTTAAGGCTCACCACCGCATTATGAGAAGGCCTGGCTGATTTTATCGTACCCATTTTGCAGCTAAGGAAACACTCTTTTGTCCTTGCAACCAATGCTTATTGAGTACCTAGGTCATGGGCACTGTTCTAGGTTTTTGGGATACAATGCAGAGCAAAATGGTGCCTGCCTTGTGGTTCTCAGTGGTGAAAGAGATGGTAGGTGTCACACAAATAAATGAAAACTTACAACTATGAGAAGTACTCCAAGGAGGGGCTCCACTATGCAACAAGAGCCTGTCATGAAGAAAATTAACTTTCTCGGGGAGGTTAAGGGCTTTCCTGAGGAAGTGATCATTGAGTTGAGACCTGGATTACGAGGTTGAGCAGGTATGGGTTAGGTAAAGAAGAGGAAGGCAGAGAGGCAAGCAAAGCATGTGCAAAGGCCCCGTGGCAAGGAATGTGGAGTTCTAGGGACTGGCATTTCTATGTGGGAGCACAGAAAAGGAGTGGCTGGAAGGTGGGGGACTCTTAGGGGCCTGGGGCCTTGAATAAGTCCACTTGGCAAGACAGGAGCATGGCACAGCCAGAACTCATCTTCTGCTACCCAGTTCAGTTCTCACACAGGGGATGAGTTGCTACAACAGTGAGCAGTGGCAGATGGGGAGCTGGGCTCCATGCTGAAGAGGGGTCCCCCTCCCAGAGAAGGTGGATTAAACCAAGTTCTGGAGTCAAGGCTGACTTTAAGAGAGGGGACATGAGGCATAAGCATGGCGTGTGTGTCAAGGACAATGGGAGCTGGCCTGGCTGGATAGTGGAGACGTATCAGGAGGAAATGCAAAGGGACTCAGGGTGGATGCCCTGGGGAAGCAGGATGTTGCCAAGGCCATACTTTCCTGGATCTTTCAGCTAACATTCAGTGCCTTATCTCCTTTCCAAAGTTAGAAGATGTGGGAGAAATCATTGAAAAAATTCGGATTGGCCATAATAACACGGGCATGAATCCTGGGTGGCACTGCTCTCACGTGGACATCCGCAGGCTCCTCCCGGATAAAGACGTGAGTTGTTGACTGGTCTGTCCTGCTGTTTCTTTTGTCCCTTTCCAGAGCAGGTTCAAGGCAAATTCCCTGTGAGGACCTACTGGCTAGATCAGCCTTATTGAGATAAAAATCTCATAATGAAAATTCACCCAGTTCACTCAGAGTGCAGAAACAAGCTCTGGTCCCAAGCAGAATTTTCTAGAACCTGGTTTCGTGGTTGAGGAGGAGGGTCTGGGCATGTTTCTCCTCCCCACCTCCAAGGCCATATTACTAGTGATTGACCAGAGTGCCCTTCCTGTAACTCAAGGTCAACTCACATAGAAAATCCACCCCAGACAACTTTAAAAACATTCTGAAGCCACAAAAGTATAAACCTAGGAGATAGATCTCAGCCATAGCTATGGATATGAATGAAGAGGGAGCAATTTTATTTTATTTTATTTTTTTGAGATGGAGTCTTGCTCCATCACCCAGGCTGGAGTGCAACAGTGCTCTGCCTTCTGGGTTCAAGCAATTCTCCCGCCTCAGCCTCCCAAGTAGCTAGGACTACAGGCGCACGCCACCACGCCCGACTAATTTTTATATTTTGTTAGTAGAGATGGGGTTTCACCATGTTGGCCAAGCTGGTCTTGAAATCCTGACATCAGGTAATCCACCCGCCTTGGCCTCTCAAAGTGCTGAGATTACAGGCATGAGCCACCATGCCCAGCCAGAGGGAGCAATTTTTAAATACAGAGCACCCCCCTCCTCTTACCCACTGAATCTGAGTCTCCAGGATGGAGTTCAGATACCTATTTTTAAGTGACCCTGGGAACTCCAGCCTTTCAGAGCCAAACTCTGATGTGGTTGTGCAAGTCTTTAAGACTGATCTACTGAAATTGGGGCAAGGGGCTCTCCTGTGGCTTTTACATTATTTATGGGGCCCCATGATCCTTGTCCTTGGTCTCCATGAGTATTGAGCTGATGAATCCCTGAAGTTGGCAGCTTTCACATTAAGGGCTAATTTTCCTTTTTCTGCCTCACCCCAGGGTGCAGAGACCTTGACTTTCCCATGCGATCGGTGGCTTGCCACCTCTGAGGATGACAAAAAGACCATTCGAGAACTGGTTCCATATGACATCTTCACTGAGAAATACATGAAAGATGGGTCCTTACGGCAAGTCTACAAGGAAGTAGAAGAGCCTCTGGACAGTAAGTGTGGTGTGGCCACCCTCATCACCATGGGAAGGCTCCAGGACCCTGGTCCTCCTGAGCACATGCCCTGTGCCAGGCTAAGCCTCTTCACCCAGGAGTAGGGTCTGTTGTTACCTCCACTCTCTAGAGAGGGCCACTGAGGCTCACAGAGGTTGCATAATCTGCCTAAGTGCACACAGCTAATAGATGGCCGAGCTAGTCTTCAAAGTCTCAGCTGTCTCACTCCAAGGTTTGTGCTAAAATTCTTCCCTGGTCTGACATTGGGATAATACATCCAGATAACGGGAATCCTGTTCCTGGTTTATCCTCGTCCCTGTTTTCTCCCTACTATTCATTTATTTGCTACCAATCACTGGCTTTGGCCTCTCTGCTCTTGCTGGACTTAGCTGTCCCAACTTAGTATGAATCAAGAAACCTTCTTGATTTATATGTAACTGGAACCATTGTGTATTTGTTCTCAGTAGTTTGGCATGGCTCTAGAATGTCCAAGGTCATGAATTTCTGGATGGGCTGGTTAACACGTCCATTCTTCATCAATGTGGTTTTCTCTGAAGGATTTGCATCAGACTGGCCACTCCTTGTACTTCCTCCTCCTTTGCTTTTGGTGATACCACCATATTCTAGTTCTCTTCCTACCTCTCTGAAGTGTTTAGAGTGCTGGTTTCTTTTCTCATGCTAGATAGTATTCCTCAAGGCTCAGTCCTCAGCCTTCTCTTCTCCTCTCTTTCTACATTGTATATGTGTACACATACAGACACACACACACGCACACTTTTCCCAGAACATATGGACAGAGTCATACCTCTGTTTTGACCAGCAATGGCATCGTCCATGTCAATCCCCATGTTATTCATGAGCCATTCAGCTCTGAATTATCTTGAGCTGTTTCAAAGTCAAATTCATTTGCAAAAAACAGACTTTCTACCCCTGATGATAGAAAAAGAATACAGTGGATCTCTCTAGCAGGGCAGCCTACACAGATCAAAGAAGCTCCAAGAGCTTGAAAATCCACCTTAAATTTGTTGTGTTGTCTTCTTGGAAAAACTGGAGTAAAATTTAAAATTCTGGGCCCCTTATGGAGACAGGAAGACAGGTCTTTCTGCCCACCAAGTGGATAAGACACCCAAAAGACAAAAGACAAACACCATCTTCCTTTTTTGTCACCAGAAGTAAAACAGCTATAGCTCTGCCTTTCCTTTAACCTGAGTTGTCGCCCAGAAATAAAAACGAGTGTTGCCTCAATAGTGTGACTCCCCTACTCCTATCCTTTTCTCCACATAGTCTTTGCTATTAAATCTGGGGATAACTTCCTTCTCAACTTGGACCCCAGAGGATGCCCTGGAATGCTGTCCCAGGAGAGCACTTGGGCTGTTCTGTGTGGATAACACACCACAAAACTCACTCTGAGCTCAGTGATGTTTCTAGGGAAACATCTCTCCATGGATGCACCGGGTGGCCTGGGTGGGACGGGGAGGGAGGAGGATCCAGAAATAGCTGGCTCTGACTGCACTACTGCATTGCTCAGCATTCAGAAGCTGAATCAGTTTTCCTAATTCCCAGAGGACTGGAGAAAGCAGAAAGGGGGAGTGAGGAGGCCATTTCATCCCAGCCCCTGGGGACACAGCATCCTGCTCTGGGACACAGGCTCCTAGAAAAGGTGTCCCTATAGGCCCATGCCACCTGTGATTAGCTCACATGTGGAGCAGGCCCAAATGCACAGCTAGAAAATGGATGAGGGGGAAAATGAGGGGGGAGACCGTCAACTGTTGTGTCTAAACTATGACAAGTTTCCTAATGTCACCGCAGGTCAGTATTAGCAAGACAAGCTTAGGTAACATTTAGACAATAAAGAGAGGATTTTCTTTATTAATGTAGTGTGTGAAATGCTGACAGGTTTTTGCACTGAGCTGAGTGGGGCAGAGTGGGGTGGGAGCAAGTGTGGCTGGTCCCTGGTTTCTGCCCCTGGCGGTGTCTCTGACCAGCCTCTGCAGGTCAACTCTCACAATGCACTCAGGAGCTTTGGAGGGTAGTGGCTTGGGCAGGACCACTGAGACAAGGAAGATGGTTGGGGAGAAGGTTTGCAAAAGGGACAGGGGTTGCAGGAGAGGGTAGAGTTTAGGTTTGAACATGTGAGTTTGCAATGTTGGAGTCTGGTCAACGTGGAGACGCCCTCTAGGTAATAAGTGTGCGGATCCGAAGCAAAGGAAGGACCTGGGTTGGAGGCAAAGACTCAGAGAACTCAAGGAAGTGCAAGATGAGAGCTGAGGAATATGGGTGGAACCTGGGAGGCCTTGGCATCCAAGGCATGGGTGGAAGATTAGGAAACCATAAAGCTACCCATGAAGGAGTGTCCAGCCACACAGAAGGAGAGCAGGAGGGAATAATGCTGCAGAACCCAGGGGAAAATAAGAAAATCATGGGAACCCTGCTGTGGGTGTCACTGTGTTCTACAGCCATGGGGACAAGCAACTCACATCACTTTACTTTTCTAAATTTAATTAAATGTGGTTCTGAGCCCACTTGCAAGGGCTGATAAGACAGGCCATCTCATTCACGGCAGGGAGGGGAATCCCCTTTTTGAGGGTCTTCTAGGAATCCTGAGGCTCACAGTAGAGGCCTGGCCCTTAGTCCAGGATGAGTGCCACTCCCAGCTGTGCTCGCTGTCACACAGTGTCACTACTGGCTCTCCACCAACACACAAGTATCATTTCTCTGGGTGGCCAGAAACACTCCTGCATGAATCTGGCTTTGTCAAAAGGCCCTCTGTTCTACCCTTGAGGCCCCCTTCAAGCTTCAAGTCTGTAAAGAAGCCCAGCTGTCACTTCCCTATAGGGTCCCTGTGTGCAGGTGAGGGGTCCCTGTGGCCCACGAATACTCCCGAATCCTCACTCCCTCCCAGGACAAGGGAAGTTAACCTTCCTTCCACTTTGGCCACCTCTGCCTTTCAGCTTCCATTTCTCACCTTGGGGATAATCCAGCCAAGTTCCCTCTTCCTTGGCCTGAAACTCAAAATCTCCAAAGACAGAGGATACACAGAGGGGCCAACCAATTTTTAGCCTTCATAAAAATGCAAGACTTGAGTCTCCCTGGTAAGGAGAAGGTTAGGAAAGGAGATGTTTTATTTTTCCTTAAATAAAAACAGCAGAACAAAAACAAGATACCATGCGTTTTTGTTTTTCGTAATAATTTTTAATAATTGTCACACCCATATTTACTGAGCCCTCCCTATGGGCCATAGGAGACCAAGGAGAGGGCGGCAGTCACAGTGGCTTCGGTGAGGAGTTGACCTGAACCGCTGGGGCAGGGGAGGGTGGCAGTGGGTTGGAGAATAAATGAACGTGAGGAAATGAACAGAGGGGAAACTGTTCTTTACAAAATATTTTCTTTCTGTGAACCACTGAGAAGGATCTCGTGTTGACACTGGTCACCCTCAAATGGGAAGGCATTTTATTGCCATGTATCATGGCAGGTAGATTTAGTGACCACAGTGTGGACACATCTCAGGTAGTTTCTGAGTCTTTCCCCATGTACACTGCAGGCAGCTATATGGGCAGATAGATCGTTTGAGGGGTGCTAGAAAAAAGTTTCTATTTTTGGGGTCTCATAGAGCCTACCTGGGTCTAGATCAGATGAGCACAGTTCCCACTGGAGAATCCACATGGATTTGAAGCTGAGTATGCATAATTGAGCAAACAAAAGGAAGGCATTAACCCCTTGAGGCCTAGGCCAGAAGCTTAGCACCTCCTACAAATCCAGTTCCTCAAGACCTAAAGCGCTGTCACCCTTTTCTTCCCTTTGTCTGTCTGTCTGTCCCACCACCTGCCCAGTTGTGCTGTACTCGGTGCAGATCTTCACAGGGAACATTCCTGGGGCAGGGACGGATGCCAAGGTGTACATCACCATCTATGGAGACCTCGGGGACACTGGGGAGCGATACCTTGGCAAGTCAGAGAACCGGACCAACAAGTTCGAGAGAGGAACGGTATGAGGGGCACACGGAGTTTACCCTCCTTCCCTCCTCTCCAGGCCCAGCGATCTAGGTGCCAGCTCTTCTTGGTTCCTGGGGACATCCAGGAACTCCATGGGGCATTGTGCACACTCATTTGGGCCTCTGCCCTTGCCCTTCCCTTGCAAGTGTGCCTTATTCCCCTCTCCTAGCTGATGCACCCACCCTGGATCCTGCATAGGGGATGAGGTGGAGCAGAAGGCCGGCCTTGGACAAGCAGGAGGCCTGCTGGAGCTCGAGGTTGTTGGCTGGATGGGGCTGGGTCATCTTCAGAAAATCCAGTTCACTGTGCATGGTTCATGAACGTGGAGGTGAACACTGCAGAATGGCAGGGGCTGTGCTGACAGAGACTTGAACTGTGGGGTGGAGAGGGGATCTGGAGGCCTGGTTCTGCTATCAACTCCTTATCTGCTTCAACTTCTCTGGCCTCAGTTTCCTCATCTGTAAATTGAAGGGTCAGATATGAATTGGCTAAATTGTGTTGTGTAGAGCCCCAGGTGGCTCCAAGGCCCTTGGGAGCGGTGGAGGCAGGTGCAGATGGACACCCCACTCCCTCCCAGGTGGATCCACTTTGACCTGGCCTGTTGATCACAGTGCCAGGCAAGCCGTCTGTTAAGCAAAGGGTTCTGTGGCTATAAAAAGGCTTGAAAACCACATGACTGGGTGATGTGTAAGGCTCTTCCAGCTCTGACAGACTGATTTTACAAAAACACAGGAGTCTCTAAGGGTGGGCTTTATTAAACTTCCTTTCTCGCAAGCTTGGCTCCCCTCTCCCCGCCTCTACTCCTCCCAGTCTGTGCCCTTTCTGTCATGCCCCCTGCCCCTCCCCGCCCTTGCTCCTCAGCCTCCTTTCCTTCTCCTCTCCATGCACTGAAATCTGCCTGAAATCCCCACAGGCCAGGCTAT
Source organism: Homo sapiens (assembly GCF_000001405.40). NCBI lineage: Eukaryota > Metazoa > Chordata > Mammalia > Primates > Hominidae > Homo > Homo sapiens. The sequence continues at coordinate 46,528,246 of NC_000018.10, read as the reverse complement.
CTCCACAGGGAGATCAGGTTAAGGGGATTGGCTCCTAACCTGATCTGTGCTCTTGCCTGTGGCTGTGCATGTCTGGGGATTTCATACATCAGCCAATGGGTATTTATCAAGGGTCTCCTTAAACCTGACCCTCAGCCAGGCATATCCCTTAATATTGAACCACTCTACTAGTGAGGAGGATATTAGCCCTGGGATTAGAAAGGTGGGTGTCATCTAAGTGGGTCTGCAGCTGGCTGGTGACCCCGTGAGTCAGAGACTGTGGAAGGAGCCCCAGCCTGGCTGCCAGGTCTCCAGGAGTCAGACCCCCCAGCACTCCCATTCACTGCTTCACCAACCAGATAGAAACCATTTACCTCTAACTTCAGTTTACTGCATCTGAAGCAGGAATAGTAATATGATTGCTAATTAGACCTCTGGGCTGAAAAACAGGACAAGATGTAAGAGCATGTTGTACCAGGAAGAAATAATCTAAAACACACACATTCATGTTCCACAAGAGATCTAATTGTTCATTGCCCTTATAAAGTAGGTAGGAGGAGTCCTATCCTCCTCTTTCCATCTTGCAAAAATAGAATGCCAAAAAGGTCAAGTGATTTATGTGATTGTCCCTGACTCTACACTAGGGATATTATTTATCAGGTCCCCAGATGCTAGGGGCAGGTCACCTGAGCTCAGATCGTGGCTCTGACACTTACTAGCTGTGTGATCTTAGACAAGTTACTTAACATCTATGTGCCTCCTTTTCCTCCACCCTAAAAAAGAGTTAATTTTGAGTTACTGTGAAGGTCAACTGAATAAAAAATGTGAAGTGTCTAGAACCATGTCTGGCAGGCAGGTAGCTCTTTGTGCTGGATGTTGTCAAGTCTTGGGAAAGCTCACCTGTCCCCTGCCCTAGTTGACGCCTGGTGTTGATGCCTGGTAAATGCATTGTAAAAGCAGCAATGTACAGCATTCAGCTGAGAGGTCCATTTTTATGCATGGCTTTATTTACAGACTCTGGCAAAGAGTGGGCATTCAATAAATATGGATTAAGTAAATAAATGAATGGAAGCATAAATGAAGGTGATGCAAGCCATTCCCCTCTGCGTTCAGATTCCGTTTTTTTTTTTTTCCTCTCTCTCAGCAATTGTTATGTCACAAGAAAAAATCTTTGTCCCATTCTGCCCCATCCCTTTCTTCTGTTTTCCTCCAGTTTTGACGCCCCATCAGGGGAGCTGGACCAACTTCTGGCTCAGTTACTAACCATGTGACCTTAAGTTCACTGCTGAACATCTAGAAGCTTCCATTTCTCTGATCACTCCAGAATATGGAAGTCATCTTGGACACCCCTCTCCCTGTTGGAAACCCCTCCCCACCCACATCCAATCAATTGCCAGGTTCCAGAGTCTTCCTTCTAAATAACCTTAGATCAGCCAAGTCTGCCCTGTCTCCACTCAGCCCTGCCTCATCTCAGCTCACTCACTGAGCCAGCATGGTCTCTCTGCTCCAGGCCCTGCCATCCAACCCACCCTCCAGCTTCCTCAGTTAACCTGTCCAAAACTGACCAGTCACTCTTTCAGTGCAAGCCTGCAAAGGCTCCCCATGGGTCCCAGATCTGCCCTGAGTCCTTCATGGGATTTGTAGACCTTCATGGCCTACCCCCACTGGCCTGTTCAGAGTGCCCTCTGTAGACCACTGAGTGCAGTTTCCAGCATGCCCCACCCTCTCTTCTACCTCAGCATCTTTCCAAACATTTTCTGTGCTTACATGTACATGCACCCATAGAAAATAGGTAAGCCATTCCGTGGTATTACTGTTATACATAAAAGGCATCATGCTATATAAACACTGCTTTAACTTGCCCTTGGCGTGCATGGCTGCCTTGGAAATCTCTCTCTGCCAGGGTATTCAAACATAGCTGGAGGTGACTCTTCTCTATAGCCACTGCACACACAACTTTCTGCAGGAAAGGCTTTACCAGTTATTTAGCCACTCCCCAAGCACAGGACCCCAGATGGCTTCCAATTTTCCACTGTAAAAATTATCTGTGGTAAACATCCTTGTGCAATGTGAAGGTCTTCCCCCAGGACAGATGCAAACAAGTGGAATTGCTGTATCTCAGGGTGGGCCCATTCTTACTCTGGTGAACCCAGTGGATTGCCAGCACCCCAGGACTGCTCCCATCCACATCTGCTTTCGGCCACACACCACTGGCTGCTATTTACCTGCAGCTGCCTTGGCCATGGTCTTTCCCTACCTGAGCTGCCTGGAAAGCCCAGCCCCCCAGCTGCAGCTTAATGCTGACACCTGGAGACGTCTGTCTTCCTAGGCCTGGCTCTAGTCCTCACACAGGATGTTGTTCCCACCACCTGAGCTGGAATTACCCATCCCCTCCTCTTGCTGTCCTGGACTGTGGGGTCCTGGGGGCAGAGGGCATCCTATTCTATTCATCTCTGGATTCCTAGGGCTCAGCACAATGACTCACATGGCACCTGCACCCAGCAAATCTTTCAGAAGGAAAGTAGGTGTCCCTCAGTGTCACCTGTCCCCTCTCACCCTCCTCAGGCTCCCATCCTAACTTCCCACATTCAAACTCTGTCTTGGCCCCATCTCATTCAAAGCCTAGGATCCACACCTCACTGAGCTCCCCTCAAAGAATCAGCACACAAGAGTGGAATGTCCACTTGACTGAAGACAGACTCAGGGATACAGATTAGGGCCTTGTATCACAACCCCCACAAAACCCCCTTGAGCCTGCATCCCAGATGTTTGTCCCTGAGTCCCTCCACAGCCTTTCCTCCCCCAGAGCCTCACCTCTACTGCCTCCTCTCCTGCAGCCCAGACTTACTGGTTCATCTAACTCCCTCTCAGCATCTCTCAGGGAATTTCAAACCCCCTCCCGTTACTCAGAAGTTCATCTCTAGAAGAGCTTTTGCCCTCCGGTTGCCACAGCTGGACTTATCCCCAATGCTCAGCATAGCTAAGGAGTCTGGGAACAGGACCAGCTGACCACCCCTCCTCTGTCTCTGCCCATGACCTTCAGGTCCCAGCCCCCTTACACAGAGGAGGCTTCGAAACACCCACAGGCTTCTCCCAAAAGGAATGTGGTGAAGGCAGTTTTCTCCATGGCACCACACATATAAGTGGACTGCAAAATGGGACCACTGTGGATATGAGGCCTTGGACCCCACAGGCTCGGTGTTGGGGATTTGGGCCTGGAGGGCTCCCCAGCAAAGAAGGTCTGTTCAGTGCAGCAACTGAGGGGGAAGGAAGGTCCCAGAAGGGTGGGGCTGGAGTGGGTTGAGTGGGTGGCACACCCCCATATGAGTCCCCACATCTGGGCTCCCCAGGCTGACACCTTCATCATCGAGGCCGCTGACCTAGGCGTCATCTACAAGATCAAGCTCCGCCATGACAACTCCAAGTGGTGCGCAGACTGGTACGTGGAGAAGGTGGAGATCTGGAATGACACCAACGAGGACGAGTTCCTGTTCCTATGCGGGCGCTGGCTCTCCCTGAAGAAGGAGGATGGGCGACTCGAGAGGCTCTTTTACGAGAAGGTGAGCCAAGGGGTATATAGGGCCTGTGGCCATCCTCATGCCTAGGGGAGGTCCCTCGAGGTGGAGGTGCTGGAGCTGCAACTGCCAGTCCTGCTCTCCCACACAGGAGTACACTGGGGACCGCAGCAGCAACTGCAGCAGCCCTGCTGACTTCTGGGAGATCGCCCTGAGCTCCAAGATGGCCGATGTCGACATCAGCACAGTGACCGGGCCCATGGCTGACTACGTTCAAGAGGGCCCAAGTAAGCCAACCAGGGAGCTCTTTGGACGGGGGCCAGGCACATGGAAATGTTTTAAAGCAATTCTTGGATGAGCCATTCTTGAGCCCCACCATCACCGATGACATATCTAACACTTAGTCATTTACATAGTTTTCACACATATTACCTGTTTTATCCCCAGAACAACCCTGCAAGGTGAGAGGGCAGGGCTAAGCCCCCTTTGCAGATGGGGAAACAAAGGTTAAAGGAAGTTAGGGTGAGAATGAACATCCCTTACCTGTCACTAGAGCATCACACAAAGCACTCAGTCATGCAAACTTAAGGCATGATGTGGTGGTGAAGGCAGGGGAAGAAGTCCTGAGATGGTCATTTGGGGACTGAAGTTCCATTTCTGATTCTGAAAATAAAATGTGTGGCCTTGGACAAGCCAGTCTCTTGGCTTCAGTTTTTTCTTCCTCCATAAAACAATATCAGAGTTCCCTGGCAAGTTCTTTTTGCTAACCAGATTTTTGAGATAAGGCAGTTCTAAATTGCCTATCAAACATTTGAATGCACTACTTTCATAGTCAGTTCTCTTAAACATAAGAGTGTGACAACCATGCTATCCCCCTCCAGGAGGCCACATGGTGGATCTGTGGAGTCAGGCAGAGAAAGTCAGTCTGCTTGCAGTTTACCTTTTCACTCTGTAAATGAGTGATAGGACCACCAAGAAAGTACCTTTCCTTAAGCACTATGATCACCTGTGGAAAGGCTCCCCCTGTAAAGATAAAATAAGGCCATGTGCAAGTAATTCCAGCCAGGAAGAGACAGTTTGGAAACTTTTCAAAGAAATACAGATTGTATAACCTAAAATCCACTATGCCAGGGTAGTGTCTTCCAAGCTATTGAGAAAGATGAACCCGGAGAAGGGTTTCCAACTTGTATCAATTAGTAACTGCAAATGACAGAGACCTGGAAATGGTGACTTAAACAAATTAGGAATTTTTCTTTTCACTCACATAAAAGTCCAAAGGTAGGCCACCTGGGACTAATATAGCAGTTCCAGTGCAATCAAGGACCTAGGTTCCTTTAACCTGGTCATTCTGGCAACCTTATAAATGACCTAAATGTTGCCTATGGTTCCAAGATGAATGCTGGAGCTCCAGCCATCACATCCATATTCCAAGCAGAATGAATGGAAGGGTAAGGAAAAAAAGAGTACTCCTCCCAGTTGAGTCAGACCTTTTAAAGAAGATTTCCTGGCCAGGCGTGGTGGCTTATGCCTGTAATCCCAGCACTTTGGGAGGCCAAGGTGGGCAGATCACCTGAGGTCAAGAGTTTGAGACCAGCCTGACCAACATGGAGAAACCCCATCTGTACTAAAAATACAAAATTAGCTAGGTGTGGTGGTGCATGCCTGTAATCCCAGCTACTCAGGAGGCTGAGGGAGGAGAATCACTTGAACCTGGGAGGCAGAGGTTGCGGTGAGCCGAGATCGTGCCATTGCACTCCAGCCTGGGCAACAAGAGTGGAACTCCATCTCAAAAAAAAGAAAAAAAAAAAAGATTTCCCCAGAAACCTACCCAACAATGTCTCCTTCCATGTCATAACCACCCCAGCTGCAAGAAGAATGGATAGTTGGTGGGAAACTACAACTCTATGGACACTACCTGAGTAAGTTTTATGCTGATTAATCTGGTGTGTTTTGGAAATTGCTGTCTTCTAGGACTTTCATTCACTATGTGGCATATATGATACATTTTTATGTTCTTCTTCAAATTCCTTCTTTCTATGAGACCTTGCTTTTGCCAACAGCATTTTTGTTGACCATAGGGAGCTTTTTGGGCATATAATGCCTATACGTGGTGAGAGGTTATTTTTCTTACCCTCCTTCACATAATAGTGCTAGGTTCAAGTAGGATAATTGGTCAAAAGAGCTTTTAGAAGCTTGACACTCCAAACAAATGACAAGAATGCTGTCTTTGGTCTGTACATTGGGAGTTAGCAACTCCCTCAGTTCTTGGAGAGGAGACACACACCACAGATAACTTACCAGTCTGAAGGGCTCACTGCACTTTGTCTCTGAGCAAGGAGCTGAGATCAGTGCCCTCAGAGGTCACTTCCAAATCTGTGAGTCTATGAGGCAGTGCCTTGTCTATCTGGTCTGTTATGAACCTGAGCCCCGTGATCTCTTGCAGTTATTCCCTACTATGTGTCAGTCACCACTGGGAAGCACAAGGACGCGGCCACTGACAGCCGAGCCTTCATCTTTCTCATCGGGGAGGATGATGAACGTAGTAAGCGCATCTGGTTGGACTACCCCCGAGGGAAGAGGGGCTTCAGCCGTGGCTCTGTGGAGGAGTTCTACGTCGCAGGCTTGGATGTGGGCATCATCAAGAAAATAGAGGTGCTGGCTTCTCGGGGCCCCATGATAGTGACCACCCTAGGGATAGACAGAGCTGACCAGTTCCTGGGTGGGCGGGAGAGTGCAGGGTGGGAAGAACAGCCTACCTGCAGCACCCCTTAGAGCAGGTAGCAGAGAAGAACCAACTAGCCAGGTGACTTTGGGTGAGCCACCTGCCCCTCTGTGTGTCTGTCTTCCACCCACCCAGTGGGAATGTTCTGTGTATTAGTTTCTATGGCTGTGTAACAAATTATCACAAACTTAGTGCCTTAAAACAACACAAATGTATTATCTCACAGTTTCATGGGTCAGGAGTCTAGGTGTGAGTTAGTGGGGGTCCATCTTTGAGATCTCAGTGGGCTGAAATCAAGTTGCAGCCAGGGCTGCGATTTTATCTGGGGCTTGGGGTCATCTTCCAAGCTCACTGGTTGTTGGCAGAATCCATTTTCTTGGGGGTGTAGGACTGAGGACTTCATCTCTCAGCAGCCCACCATTCCCCACCATGAGGCCCTCTCCAAAACCTGGCTGTTTTCTTGTTCAATAGGAGACAACCTCTTCTGCTTCAAATATCTCCAACTTCTTCACCTCTGACATCTAGATATGCTTTTTTAAGGGCTCGCCTGATTAGGTCCAAACTACTCAAAGTCACCTAATTAGAGGCTGTAATTATATCTGCAAAATCTCTTCACCTTCATGGGAGGGACCTGGGCCAGCAAGTGCACAGCATACTGGGAAGAAGCACTGAGGGAGGGGGCTGGGCAGGGAGCACTTCCTTCCCAGTTGTGCCCAGATCGTCACAGATCAGGTGTGTCTCCTCCTAGCTGGGCCATGACGGGGCCTCCCCTGAGAGCTGCTGGCTGGTGGAAGAGTTGTGTTTGGCAGTGCCCACCCAGGGCACCAAGTACATGTTGAACTGTAACTGCTGGCTGGCCAAGGACAGAGGCGACGGCATCACCTCCCGTGTCTTCGACCTCTTGGATGCCATGGTGGTGAACATTGGGGTGAAGGTAGGGGGGGCACTGTGAGTGTGCAGTGCATGGCCAGGGCAGTGCAGGTTGAGGTGGGGAGCAGCAGGGGAGACAGAAGTGGAAGAAGTAGGAGACTCATCACTGGGGCATCCGCAGGCGCTGCAGCCTGGTGTGCTAGCCAGATGTACTTTGCTAGGAGCCGCAGACTGAACTCTCTTCTGGTCTGCTGCCGTGTGACCTTGGGCAAGTCATCTCATTTCTCTGGGCCTTGGTCTTCCCATACACTGCTTAGAAATAATGCATCCCTGCTACTCATGGCCTGTTCCATGTATGGTCTTGTTGAGAATTAATGAGATCACAATTCATGAAGAGCTTTGTGAGTAAGCAGCTCTATGTAGACAGGCAGGGTCATTGTTCACCAAAGGATCCACCATCAACAGCAGTAGAGTGGTGATAGGAAAGATGGCATCTGGGATACTGTGAATCTCTGAGTCTCACGGTGCAGCCAATGGTGTCCACACAATACCCTCCTTAACTGAAAAAGCCTGGAGGGCAAGAGGTCTGAGCTTCGGTCCTGGCTCCATCTCTAACTGGTCAAATGACCTGGGATAAATTATATAAACGCACAGGTCAGGCCAGGCAGGAGGCAGATGCCTGGTGCTAGGATCTGAGGACACACAGCCATTTGGTGGCCCAGAAGCCTCTGTTTCACCTGACCCTGTGGGTTTCTCTTTTTGGCTCATGGCTATGGGGTCAACAGAAGGCCCCAGCCCTTATCTCTGGTACTGAATCAAAACCAATGGGCTTCTTGGACCAGGTCAGAAGCTGTCCCACAAAGGTGAGAAGAAATCACCTGGACCTGAGTGTGCTCTGCCTACATTGTATATGGAAACAGAAGTGGGGCTCTAAAAACCTTGACAGGCAGGAGTGTGGGGGCCTGCCACTCTCCTGCCTCTCGCCTGCTAGAGACTCAGAGAGCAGCACTTTCTATAGCGCACATCCTTCCCCTACCCCCCAGACATCTCCATCTGTGGCCAGACGGATGGTGTGGGTGAGCACACAGTTCATCCAGGGACCTCCGCCTGACCCACTTCCCAGCCTGTGTGTGCCTCTGTGCCACCGCCCAGCACACATGCACACCCCACGCAGTGCAGCTGCAGCTCCCTTGGAGCCCTTTAGTCCAGGAAAATCCAGACCTACACCCGTTATCCATGGCACAAAGGAACACAGGTTTGTCACTTTACAAAGAACTGCAGGGTTCTTTGGGCTGGCCATCTCCCCAGGACACCTGGTATCAGACTAGAATTACAAGAGCACTGTTTCTGTCTCTTTTTGGAAGCACACTTATTACATAAAAAGAGATGTATCTGTGTAAAGGAGAGAAAGATGGATGCAGAGAACACAAGAGTCGGACGGACCAGCTCTCAGGGGCCAGTCTCCATGGGGCAGCTGAAGCACTCATTTTGATCATTCTATTTTTTATGCCTGCCTGGATAAGAGCAAAAAAGTGTCAGGCTCGCACTTTTGTTCCCAGTGGCTCCTCCTGCCCATCATGAATGCCCTTGTTGGGTGGCCTAAGGGGATTTTCTTGGTAAAGCAAGAGGCTCTTCATCCATTCCCTCAGCAAACATGTCCTGAATTTCTCCTGCGGGCCAGGCCTGCACAGAATACTTCAAACCTCACAGTGTCCTGGCAGAGATTCTAGATGCTGCCAGAAAAGCATGCAACCCCCACCAGGACAATGATGGGAACATGACCGCTGTGATTAATAGCTCCGGTTTGGAGGTCCAGGCTTCTGGGTAATGGGGACCAGGCCCCTGCACAGGTGATAGAGGAATGTAGCAGCCTCCAGAGAAGGGACACACTGGACCAGGTACGTTCAAAGGAGACAGTCAAGATGGCCCTTCCCCAACCGTGTGTCTGAGCCTCTCCTGAACCTTCAGACTTCACTGTGAGTCCAGGGGCACTTGGTGAGAAGGAAGGGAGTAAGAATCTGGGACCAAAGAACATTCTAGAACATCAGTGTAAGTGCTTTCTCTTGCCACGAGGCTGCCTCACAGAGGAAGAACCGAGGTGGGGGCTTGGTGAAGGCACACCAGGAAGAGCAGGCTGCGCCTCACCCTCCAGTGGAGACAGAGGGCAGACATTCTCTTTGGAGCACACCTCAGGCTAAATGGCAAAACCCCAATCTCAAGTGAACATCATGGAACTAGGGGATTGTCTCACTTCTCCAGTGGATTGAGGCAGTGCTCCCTCTGTAAGAATCACTCCCGATGGCACCCCTCATTCGCAGCTGCAGGGCATGTGCAGGCTGTGGCATGAAGGGGAACTGACACCCAGAGCTTTGGCTGCTGCTTGGGGCTGCACAGGTGGCAGGCTCAGCACCAGGTGCCATGCGAATTGTCAGCAGCTCTCACTCTGCAAGGGAGCTTATCCCTATTTTACCACAGGGGAGCAGAGGCTGGTGAGGTCGGGCATCTGCCCGGGTCTAACAGCCAGCAGGTGGCAGGTCTGGGATTCACATGGAGCTCTGGAGGGCTCCAAAGGCCACTGTCCTGCCACCATGCGCTGCTGGCATGCCTGGACTTAGGTTGGAATTCAACTGACAGCGTCAGTTAACGCCAGGCTTTCCATCATGTTTCTATTGCAGAAGGGCTGTCAGAACTCCTTTCTAGGGTGGGACTGGGCACAGTGGGGTATATAAGAGAGTGACAAGGCTGCCTTTTGCTGTCCAGGCATTTACAGTTGATTTGAGGAAGGGCTCTTTCCAGAGCTGTGGAACTTGGACAGTGTGTCTCTTTCTCTGGTGAGACTGAGGCAGGTCAGGTGGGGTTGGAGGGTGAGGCTGAGACTCAGCACCTGCATTCCTCTCATGGCAGGTTCTCTATGAAATGACGGTGTGGACAGGGGATGTGGTTGGCGGGGGCACTGACTCCAACATCTTCATGACCCTCTACGGCATCAACGGGAGCACAGAGGAGATGCAGCTGGACAAAAAGAAAGCCAGGTACCTGGAGGCGGCCCCTGCCCCTCACCCCTCCCACATTCAACTCTCCCCCTCTGCCCCACCCTGCCTTCAGCCAGGCTGATTCTCACATGCCCGCTGCAGACCATGAGGCCTTCCTTCCTCTGCCTTTGTCTATTCTGTCTCAGTACCTTTCTCTTTCAAGGGCCAGCTCAAATCTACCTCCCCCAGGAAGTATTCCTTGATCACCTCTACCCATAACATTTCTTCTTTCTTTCATTTGGTACTCAAAATTGTTTATTGTAAGGTTGGTAGATTAGTTGATGGTATTGTATCATTGTTAATGTCTTGGTTTCATTAACTGTACTATGGCAATATAAGATGTTAACATTAAGGAGAGCTAGGTGAAGGGGGCACAGAAGCTCTATTCTATTTTTGCAACTTTTCTGTAAGTCTCAAATGATTACAAAATAAAATATAGTCAATTTTCAAAACATTAAAAAAAGACTGAACACCTAGTATATGCCAGGCACTGACTCAGGCACTGAAGAGATGATATAACCAAGAAGACAAGGGTCCTTGTACTTACACAGCTTAACCTAAGGAGGGCAATAACAGCAACACTAACATTTATAGAAGCTTGTTTTGTGCCAAGCATTGTTCTATCATAAGTCATGTATTGATACACTTAGTCTTTTCCTCAACCCTATAATAATAACCCAATTATTATCATCCCCATTTTACAGGTGAGAAACTGAGGCACAATAAGGTAAAGTCATATGCTCAAAGTCCCATGGCCGTTAAGCTGTGGCACTGCAAACTATACCCAGATGGCCCCCAGTCCTAATCACTCATTAGTGATTAGTAATGACATTAAAGATGGCCCTCCTATAGTACTCATTGTCCCTGTCCTCCCTTGGATTCCCAATTTAGACAGTCCTGGGTTTGGGCTGGTTTGTCATGTTCAGCCACTGTCCCCCAAACATCCCTGGCCCCTGACATCTTAAGAACCAGAGATGACAGACTCGGATCCTAAGCTTAACATTTTAAAAACCCACCCACAGCAACTTGCCTCTGAACACACAGCACTCCTTCCCTTAGCTGGAGGGCAGGACCCAGGCGGCTTCCTTTCTGAGCCCCTCATACCTCCTAGCTCTTGCCTTGCTTATAGTAGGCACTCAATACTTCTGGATTGGGGTGGTGATGAGGACATTGTGGATGATAAGTGAGGATGGTGATATTGATGGTGCTGAATGGTAGGGATGATGACTGGGATGATGGTAGTGATGATGGTGATAGGGATGAAGGTGATGGTAGGGATGATGATGTTGATGATGGTAGGGATGATGATGATGATGGTGGTGGTAATAGGGGTGAAGGTGATGGTAGAAATGATAATTGTGATGATGGTGATGATGATGATAATGATGGTGATGATGGTGATTATGATGATGAGGGCAGTGATAGGGATGAAGGTGATGATGGTAGGGATGATAATTGTGATGGTGATGATGATGATGATTATGATGGTGGCAGTGGTGATAGGGATGAAGGTGATGATGGTAGGGATGATAATTGTGATGAAGGTGGTGTTGGTGATGATGAGGATGTGGCTACTGAAGCTTTTGAGGACCAGGCAGCATTTCTTTTCATGGACGGAGCAGCTCGTGCAAGCTGGAGCTTTGCCCATCCTATGGGCCCTATGCAGCTCATCCCTGGGGGTCTGATTTTGTGTCTGTCTTCTTTTAGCACTTCTGCTGTCTCATTTTGCAACTCCCATTTCCTCCTTGAATTCTTCCCATATCAACAGCAGTCGTGATAATAATAATGGCTAACATGCATTGAACATTTATTCCATGTCAGGCACTGTTGCAAGTGCTTTTTAATATATATTAACTCACAACACCCCTCTTATCACTCTTTGTACTCTTATCGTCTCCACCAGTAAGATGCCTGAGACACATAGAGGTGAAATAACTTGCCCAAGGTTATACAGCAAGTAAGTAGGGGAACTGGGATTTGAACTTGGTTCTAGAAATAAAGGAGGACCAAATGAGAACAGAAACTCTCTACTTAGAGCTTGCTACAACAAGAGACTCAGTTACCATCACTTGGTTTGGTAGAGATTTGAAGGCTGTGAGAGGAGGAGGAGCTTTATAGTGAAGCATTATTTTTGGTGTGGTAAAGCTGGAGGTAGGGTAGCCAGAATCGGGATTTCATACGTGATTGCATTGGGGAGCATATCTGGATTTGGTCCGTCGGTCTGGTTAGTCCTGAGTTGGGAGCAGGGACAAAATAGGGAAGCTGGGGGCCATTGCCCAAGTCCTGACCATTCTGGACCAATTTCTGTAGAGACCGTGGTTTCTTGGGATGGTCGCTGCAGAGGAGGCAGCTCAGAGTTCTATTATCATACATGGTCTGGCTACTATTGTTTGCATATTCAGTCTCCTATAGTCTTTACTTCTGTACTGTGACTCTAATCTCTACCCAACCCCATATTCCTGGATTTTCTCTGATTAACTATCCCACTCCTACATTCCAACTTGTTTTCCAGATGTACAAGGCTTAATTGCTGGTGGAAGAGGCATCTCGTTTCTGGAAGTATCTAAATTCCAAAAATGTTGCTTGAAAATCACATCATTATAAATACAACCATATTGTAAATGCTTTGAGCCACCTTGCTAGTTAAAAGATTTTTTTTTTCTGAATAAAGATTTATTTTGTGAGGGGAGCCATCATTTCTTGATTACCCTGGTTTGCAAGCTCAGGGCTGTTACCCGAGACATGTTTTGATTTTTTCATTTGCATGTGGCCTGATGTTTCACCTGTGTCTTGAAGTCCTTGTTAAGAATGTCTGTATCTTGACTAGGAAGATAGATAGAAAGACCCACTGGGCATGTGTCATGGGCACAGCTTGCTATTGTGCAAGGTGATACTTTCAAATGGTATGTGACCAGAATGAGGCTGAGATATGCATGCATTCACACAGAAGGTATCATGAGGCTTCTACCTGCTGCAACGCTCCTGCAGTCAGATGCTATACCCAGGGGCTGAAGCTTACAATAGCCAATAGCAGTTCACTCTATCCCACTCCCCAGCTAAATTTCCCAACTTCTCATCTTGCCACTTCAGAGAAAATGGTTCTGGTAAATTAACTCCCATGAGATGCTGGTGAATTAATATGGCATTCAGAAAATATGATGCCCTAAAAGGTAATGCATACTCTCAGGAGATGAGTCTCTAACAGAGGGATTTGAGGCGATTGGTGTCCAGTGGGTGTAGAAACTATTTTTAGACAAAGAATTGTGGTATTTCTATAGCGGGAAGTAAATGCCTATGAGGGGTCATGCCTAGGCCCAGTAGAAACCTAGTGAAATGGGAGCTTCCTTAGACTGGACACAAAAAGGATTTTGGGTCCCTTTTTGTGTCACAAAAGAGTTCTGCTGGGTTTACCCTTCAGGATGGCCTATTGCTTTCACTAACCCTTAGTACAAAGAGCATGGAAAGAGGCTGAGCTCAAGGGAATGGAAACAGAGGACAGACACTCAAATGGGATTCCAGTTGCCCTTTCAGGAAAGGATCAGGAAATACTTGGCTGTGACCATGTCTAGGGCTGTAGTAAGCTTGTAAGTTTTGACTCTCTCTTCCACATCTTTATCACTTGAATCTTAGTCTTTTTAGCAATAAAGCTCTGAGACTGCAAAGGGCTTATCTTTGGGGACTTCATGGGCAGAAGACTTGGGTGGGAAGGTTGAGTCCTTCTCAGAGAGCTTGGAGGTGAGTCCCAGGGGACAGCATGAATGATGGTGGTCTGAGAGAAGAGGAAGGAAAGCTGAGTTCCAGGAACTGCTGCCATCCAGGGGCACCCGAGTCAGGCAATTGAAAAGTTCCTGCACTCACTGCTGGGCACCCCTCTCAAAGCACCATCTGTAGCTCAAGGGCTGCCCTTTAAGAGGAGACTGGCAGATATGTACTAGGTCTGATCATGGCATTCAAGAATAGCAGAGACTTAGAATCTGTTTAAGATTTGACCTTGTTCTACTCTCAAACCACAGCAAAGATGCCCACAAGATAGAGATGCAGCTCCCCATCACCTCATATGTCTCGTAGGGGATGCACAAGGTCCAGCTTTCCCAGTGGTCCCTAAGGAGCCCAGATCAGCAGAGCCTGGGACTGGAGGCTCTGTCTTTTGTGTCCCAGTTACTTCAGCCTCCATGGACACTTACATCATCACTGAAGCCAACTCCCTGCTGCTCACCAGCCCCAGGCTTGGAATTTTCTCTGTGTGAGTTCCAAGGCAGCCTCCCCTTGTCTACCTGCTTTCTGGTCCCAAAGTTTTCCAGTCACATCACTTGGGGCTATATTAGTTTCCTGAAGTGGTGATACAAAATTACCATAAACATAGTGGTAATTAAAACAACAGAATTTTCTTCTCTCATTTTTCCGGAGGCCAGAAACCTGAAATCAGAATCTGTGGGTGGAAATCAAGGTGTCAGCACCACCATGTGCCCTGCAGGCTCTGGGAGAGAATCCACTCCTTGCAGCTTCTGGTGGCTGCCAGCAGTCCTTGGCTTGTGCTGCATCACTCCAGCCTTCAAGGCCAGGTCTTCCCATCTCTGCCCCATCTTCACATCCCACCTCTTTTGTGTATGTGTTGATCTCTCTCTTTCTGCCTTCTTATAAGGACTCTTGGGATTACATTAAGGGCCCACTGGAATAATCCAGGATAATCTCCCCATCTCAAGCCTCTTAACTTAATTACATCTGCAAAGACCTCCCTTTTCTTTTTACCATACAGTTATATACATGGATTCCAAGATTTAGAACACGGATATCTTTTGGGGGACCATTTTTCAGCCTACCACAGGGGCTACAATCCACAGAGCATGGATCTGAAAATTCTGTCACATGAAGAACAGTCAAAGGTTCTAGAGACATTTACATTTTTAAACATTTTATCATGAACATACATATATATGTAAAAGTACATACATTATTGATACTTGTAAAGCAAAAACTTATGTAAACCCTCCATGCTGCCTTCAGGCCAAGAAATTAAATCTTGACAGTTCTCAGCTTTTAAGGTAAACATTTTCTTGTTTCCTTTCTTTTTTGATCTCCATCTCATGGGGCTATGCTTTCATATCACCTGGATTTCATACCTAATGATAGGCTTTTATATCACCTGGATTTGAATGGTACCTAAATAGAATCAGGCCATATATCTTATTTTATGTCTTAGTTCTTTCACTCCGCATCAGGTTTTTCATATTTTCCTGAGCTGTTGAGTGTGATTGTGATTTGCTCATTTTCATTGCTGCATAGTATTCCATTGAGGACCCTGGAGAAGAGAGAGATCCAGTGGTTTGTTTCAAAGGGGTAGAGAGGGAAGAGAGTAGAGGCACTGAGATTGGTCAGATGTTGACAATTCAACAATTTATTCTGGTGGCAGAACTCAATGTAACAAAAACTTACTAAAGGTTGGCCATGGATGTCCTAAGAGGAAAAGAGCTGCAAGGGTGGCCATGGAGCCCCATCAGTAGAGCTGTCTAAGCATGGAACCACCCAGTAGGTTCATTTTGCCCACAGCCCAGAGATAGCTGATTTATCAAAGCAGGGGAATTGCAATAGAGAAAGAGTTTTACACATGTGGAGCTGGCTAAATGGGAGACCAGAATTTTATTATTACTCAAATCAGCCTCCCTGAAAATTCAGAGACAAGGGTTTTTTGAGGATAGTTTGGGAGAAGAAATGGGGGTGTCTAGGCAATGGGTGCTTGCTGCTGATTGGTTTGGGGGTACAATTATAGGGGTTTGGGAAATGGCCCTCATTGCATGCTGAGTCGTTTCTGGGTGGGGCCACAAGAGCTGTTGGCAGGTCCAGGTGGAGCCATTGGTCATCAGACATGCAAAAAACCTGAAAAGACATCTCTAAAGGCCAGTCTTCAGTTTAAAATGGCGATGTTGTTATCTGCAGGGGTAATTGGGGAAGTGCATATCTGTAATAATGGCTGGCAATGTTTATGTCTATGTTTTAGCAGAATTCAGGCTCCTCTCATCCTCCTAGGCTGGTAGTCTCTCCTTAACTTTATGGAAGGGCTATTATCGTTTAAACTATACACTAAATGTCTCCCAAAGTTAGCTTGACCCAAACTCAGGAAGAATCAAGGGGAGTTTGAAGGCTAAAGGCAAGATGGGGGTTGATTAAATCAGATCTCTTCCACTGCCAAAATTTTCTGTTATAATTTTTTCAAAGGTGATTTCAAGCATAGGCTCAATGGCCTTGGATATGGAGAACTTCAGACTGGAAGGAGGGTGGTCTAGAGCAAAGCTAAAACTGGCACTCTGACCCTGGCCAATCCTGAGAGCCCCAGCTATGCCCCTAAGATGTCACAAAGACAAACTGCCTGAGCAGCTGCCCAGCGTGGTGGGCTTTAGACCCCACACCATCCATCCCCATCTGCTGGCCAGCCCTCTCCCAGGGTCCCTAACCATAACCCTTCCCGGGCTTTGTAGCAATGCCAAAAATTCTCCCATGAAATAGTTGTCCTTCCAGCCTAAGCCTTTGGCCCTGTTTAGCCTTCAGGCTGTGCTCAGTCATGGAGCCCAGTGAGGGAGTGGTTGCTGGGCCCTCCCTAAGGACAGCCTTTCATAGCAGGCAGGAACAGAAGGAAACCAGAATAGGAAGGACGTGAGGGGCAGCCAAAGGGGGCCCTTCCTAGACACCACTGCCTCAGCTGCTGAGCAGAGGATCCTTTGAGTAGATGAACAGCAAAAATCCTGGGCCACACAACAGCCCTGTCCCTGTGAACCAGGGGCAGAAGGCCTGGATCAAAGGCTGGCTCCTCAACTGAGGTGTCTGGAGGGGGTCTGGGGCACCTGGAAGGATGTGGCTAGTGAGTTGGGAAGACTGAAGGACAAATAAGGGCCTTCACTTTAGATGGTTTTACACCGAAGAGAGGAAGTCCATCCAGGTTAATTGGGGTTCAGCCTGGAATGAAGGGTGAGGGGGTAAATGTAATCTCCTTGCAGTCTTCCAGAAGAAAAGCTTGTTTCTCCTCCCCTTTTCCTTACACCTGTCCCACCATAAAATCTCCATAAAATGAAGACACTTGGCTAAATTCAAAGAGTGAAAATTAAAGAGACATGCAAAGCGAAGAATTCTAAAGCTCTTTTGATCTGCAAAATCATGCTCCTGGCAAGAGTAAGGAATTGAAAGATTATTTGAGAGAATCTCAGTGTGTGACATGAATGTGACATGAGCACCTCCTTACAGTTTCCATTATGCCCAGAGGGACAGATGGGGCTTCAATTAGAGGAGGAGGGATATGGGGCTGACTTTGAGATAACTTTTTTACTTCTAATAATTGTAAAATGCACACAGAGCAAGTTGTCAGAAGAGATTGTCTCTGTTTCACCACCACCTTTAAGACTAGCAGTAGTTAGTTCTCAATTTGCAATATTTAAGTCTCAGCCGCCATCAGCTATGGCCTCTGTTTTTAAAAGACATAAAAATATGTCTTGTATTCAAGGAAGCACGACGATTGCCATGCAGAGCCACATCTCCAGTGCCACCTGCATTACCCCGAGGGCCTTATCAGCAGTATCATCTGGAATCAGTCAGCAGTCAAGCAATCAGTCAGCATTGAAGGTCGAATTGTACATGCGGCACTGTGGGAAGAGCAGTAAGGAATAAAGATAGAGCATCTCTGAGATGATGAGGTCATTCAGCAGGAAAATAATAATAGCAACAAAAGCAGCATTACCTTCTATTTGCCTACTGCTTTACAGTTGGCAGTAGCATTACCCAATTCAGGGCACTGTGTTCAGTTTTGCAGATGGCAAATAGAAAAATGTGAACGATGCCATCTAGAGTTGTGCAGTGCACAGCCTGCCCCACCATTCGCAACGGGCCTGTCATGCACAGAATCTCATTTACAGCTTTTCAGATATGGAATTATTTTTCCATTTTAAGTTGATTTCACATCCATTTGGTCTCCATCACAGTTTTGTGAGATTGCAGGGCTAGTGTTATTCTCCAGACCACAGGTAAGGAAACCAAGTTCTAGAAAGGAACTAGGACTATTCTAGGTGACTGGTAGAATGAGATTAGAACCCAGCACTGATACCTCTTGGTTCGGGGCCATTTCTACTAGCCAAACTCACTTAACCCAGTCTTTCAGGAACACATCTGGGATGCAAGAGATGGGCTGGTGGAGAGTTGCTGAGAGCAGAGGGGCTGCTGAGTAAAGGCCTAATCTTCTCCCTCACCCCAAACCTGGCCTCTGGCCTGGCCCACCCCAACCCTCCCCAATGGCCAGCTTCCCTTCTTCATGCCCCTCCTCTCCACCCCCAGGTTTGAGCGGGAGCAGAACGACACCTTCATCATGGAGATCCTAGACATTGCTCCATTCACCAAGATGCGGATCCGGATTGATGGCCTGGGCAGTCGGCCGGAGTGGTTCCTGGAGAGGGTAAAATGTCTAGACCCTCACTCTTCCTTCCAGCCACCACCCACCCCTTCCCCTGGTTCCTCTGGCTTGTCAATGGACCTTGTTAAAGCACAAATGTCACTGTAGAGGATCATTACATGAACCCAGCCCATATGATCCAGTATGCCCTTTGGCATGAATTAATCAGAGAATGTCGTTTTATTTATTTGTGTCCAGTGAGAACTGAAGCAACTGTCAGGTAATTAAACAAGAGCTGTCAACGTTACGTGGACAGAGACCTGAGAAAGGGGAGGGGTGGTGTGGGCTTCCTTCAGGACAGCAGCTGGGAGGGTTGAGAGAGGAGGAGCAAGGCCTGGGGCAGAGAGAGGCTGCCATGGTGGGAACTTCAGGCAGGATGGCAGAAAGCTTACTGGGGCCTCTGTGATCACGGAGTTAGGCAGCTGCTTCTTTTTCCATTGTGGGCCTCTGAGTCTGAGCTTGGCCGTCAGCACCCTGCCTGAGGAACCTGGATCCTTAAGCTCTCAGTTGGGCTGAAGCCAGCCTTGGGGATGGGATGCTGGGATCTTCAAGGAGCAACAGCAGCGTGGGATTTCTTAGTTCTGCCTCCATCCTCCCGCTTTTCCCAGCATACATATGCATGGGCACATATGCACACACATACATGCACATGGCCACAGACTCAGTTTCCACCAAGAAAGGAAGGCAGCTGCTCCTTCTCAGGACCTCTCATCACTTCCTCACCTTCCCCAGCTGTGCGGCTCTGTGCCTTCAGGCTGCCCAGAGGAGAGTCATTAACACTTGCTGCTCCAGGGCAGAGAGAAGAGCGTCCACGGCATAGGGCCAAGCTGCACTCATTTTGATGAGAACCACTGTGATGTTAGGAGTCCAAGGGCTTTCCATGCTAAGAGTGGCTCCAAAGCTGGAGACCCCTGGCAGCCAGGAGGAGCCTCATCTGCAGCACCAGACTCATAAAGGCAATGACTATGCCGACAAAGATGATCTTCCTGCAGCCTCCGTGTCACACGAGGTCCTAGGCATGCGAACTTGTGTGTTGTGCCAGTCCTCCTTACATAATGTATGTTATAGTCTCAGGCAGCATAACAAAGCACCATGGACTAGAGGCTTAGAACAACACACATTTATTACTCCCTCACTGTCATAGAGGCAGAAGTCCAAGGTGAAGGTGTCGGCAGGGCCACACTCCCTCTGAAGGCTCTAGAGAAACATCTGTTCTGGGCCACTCTTCTGGCTTCTGGCAGTTCCCTGGCTCGGGGCAGCATCATGCCAGTCTTCACATGGCGTTCTGGGTGCATGTCTGGGTGGTATAAGATTGGACTAGGGCCCACTCTAATGACCTCATCTGAACTGATTACACCTATAACAATCCCCTTTCTAATAAGGTCACATTCTGAGGGACTGTGGGTTAAGAATTCAACATATGAATTCTGGGGGAATACAGTTCCACCCATAACACAAAGCCCTGCAGTCCCCTACCTGAGTCAGCCCATGCAACCTCGTCTACCAGAGGCCAGCTGTCCTGCATCGCCTCAGGCTCCTCCTCCCCTGTTCAGCCATTAGCAGACTTTCTTGAGTCAATAATATGGTGCCCACACCAAGGACTAACCTGCAAATGTCAGCGTTCTGCTCCCAGGTGTTTGTGGCTGACAGGGGCTCGGTTGGTCCATTTTTCTGTCACTCTTTCAGCAAATATCTCTTGTGCACAGTGACAGGCACCTCTGAGGACACAGCTTTAGGTGAATTGCCCATTCCCAAATCCCAAGCTAGGGCAGTCCTCGTAAGGACTTCAAATCCCATGCCAGGCACACAGGACAGGGCCTTTGTCCTGGAAAGGGCCCTTTCCACACCCCGTGGGTCTCAGTCGCAAGCGCTTGTCTCAGGTCTGGGATCTCCAGGGTTGGGATTCGGGGAGGGGCTGCATGAGCCAGGGGGTGCTGGTGGAGGTGAGGGAGGACAGGGCATTCCCACGGTGGCTCCCTCTCCCCCAGATCCTACTGAAGAACATGAACACTGGAGACCTGACCATGTTCTACTATGGAGACTGGCTGTCCCAGCGGAAGGGCAAGAAGACCCTGGTGTGTGAAATGTGTGCCGTTATCGATGAGGAAGAAATGATGGAGTGGACCTCCTACACCGTCGCAGTTAAGACCAGCGACATCCTGGGTGGGTCGGGGGTCCCTCACACCTCCCGCTCCCTTACCACTCCAACCGTCAAATTCGGGCTCAGGCCCTTGTTTCTGGTCAGGGCATTTTTCTTCATAAGGCCTTCCAAAATCTAGTCAATCCAAGTTTTCTCCACAGTGTGTCGCTTTCTGTCTGGACAAAGCATCTCCTCCCAGGGAGTGACTGGTTCCCTCCCTCCTCCCTTGGGGAAATAGGGGAGAACATTACTGGGGAGTATGGTCAGCACTTTTGGAAATGGTACAGGCACTTGATGCAGAGCCTTCCCATCTTCCTTCTGCTGCCTGGCACCCCTCGCCCAAGTGTCATGCACCTCAGGCATGCTCGGACCCATGTGCTTGGTGGCCATCTACCATGTGCCGGCTTTGGCTGTGGGTCTTAGGATACAGATGTGCTGCCCAAACCTTGCAGGTCTGACCTTCATTGGAGCAACCACAGTGCAGTGCGGTGACGCTCCGATGGATGCAATGCCAAAGTCAAGTCCAGAAAGACAAATCCAGAAGCCAGGCAGACAGGGCACCCAGAGGAAGGATCTTCTAATCAAAAGTATTAGCATGTTAAAGGCCAGGAGCTGAGAGGGAACACACTGTCATCCAGGCATGGGGGCAGTACCTCCTACCTACACTCCCCTATCCCAAGCCTGCTCTCCAGGAGCCATTACAAGGAATCTGGCAAGCTCATCACATTAATTATAAATGGTGAATGAAGGATTAACTTGTTGGCCATGGTAGCTTACATTTTCAACAGAGAAGCCTCTTGCCAGATAAATGAAGCTCTCATAGTAGGATCTCAGGCATAAATGATAGGTCAATAAAGCTAGTAAATTTTGTTGGGGGTACCTCCTTTCTTCCTATTCTCACAATGGAACTTTTACCCCTATTGCTTAAAGTTCCAAGTGTCATATGTTTTCAGACCCCTCCATCCCTTTATGATGCACTCAGAAAATAATAAATTCATTGATAACCACAGATGTGTGTCAGAAAAGCTTCACTGGGTCACCCCTTCCAGAAGCATTTGCTTTTGACTTGGGCCAATACCTGTATTTGGCTTAAGCAAATGATATGAAGCTCTAGTGTAGAATGTCAATCAGAGACAGATTTAGGGAACACAGAACTTCCCTGCTTCCTTCTGAACCCACACTGTGCAGGAGGTAGCCTATGTTTCTAAACTGTAAAGCCAGCCTATATGACACGCCTTTTAAGTTTGGGTATATTTCCCCAGAAATAGATGAGTTTTGTACTAAACCATTCACACTTGCTGACCATGACTCCAGTTAGACCAAAAGCTTTTGTAAGGCACAAAGATAAGATGAAGAAGAGAATTGGAGACCTGGGACAGTAATTGACCCTTTCCAACCTCACCCCTGGCCTTCTTGAGTCTGTACTCTGTCCACCTGTACCCCTGACTCCTCTGAGGAGTCCGGGATCAAGGCCAGAGCAAGAGGACTGTGTGTCAAAGAGGCTGGCACCCTAAGCCTCACCTTGTGCACCCCCCAGGAGCAGGCACTGATGCCAACGTGTTCATCATCATCTTCGGGGAGAACGGGGATAGTGGGACACTGGCCCTGAAGCAGTCGGCAAACTGGAACAAGTTTGAGCGGAACAACACGGACACATTCAACTTCCCTGACATGCTGAGCTTGGGCCACCTCTGCAAGCTGAGGGTCTGGCACGACAACAAAGGTAGCTCCCACTCAAGGCCAGGTTGGTGGGAGGGCAGCCCTCAGCTCCCTTCCTGAGCCATTATTCCCTCCCTGGCAGCACATTGACTCTGATTACCCCAGGGTGGCAGAAAACTGAACACAGTTGATGACCACCACATTGATGCTTCCATCAGTATGAAAGAGCCAGTGTTTCTGGGCAAATATTTTTAGAGAGGAAGCTTAGTTCCTCCTGCTTTCTCCCTGGGTGATTAGTGGTTCTCCATTGTTTGTGATTTCAGAGCATTAATTTGACTTAGTTCAGGCTTTAAAAATTAAGAAAAAAAGCTAAATCACCAGTTCATTTCCCATGGATTTTCTATAAAGGATTATGTTTGTGCCGGGTGCAGTGGCTCATGCCTGTAATCCCAGAACTTTGGGAGGCCAAGGTGAGAGGATTGCTTGAGCCCCAGGAGTTCAAGACCAGCCTAAACAACATTGTGAGATCCCATCTCTACAAATAATAAAAAAGAATAGCTGGGCATGGTGGCATGCACCCGTGGTCCCATCTACTTGGAGGCTGAGATGGGAGGATTGCCTGAGCCCAGGAGGTCATGGCTGCAGTGAGCTATGATTGTGCCACTGCATTCCAGCCTGGATGACAGAGTGAGAACCTGTCTCAAAAAAAAAAAAAGAAGGGATTATGCTTGTTTATTCATAATAGTAATCCTAAAGTTGTTGAATTCACTTATAAATATAAACTATGAAATAGGATATAAACCAAGTGAGAAATATATTTTTAACTTTGCAGTGCCTAAGGAATGCTTTGTCATTTCTATAACTGTGATGACGTTCATGTTCTCAACATTTCTTTGGTTATCATTTTGCTGTCTTTAAGCCACTTTATTTTCTCTGGCTTTGGGCCTATAAGTTCTATTTGTTATAATTAGGATAGAGTTGTTAAATATTAAATTCCACCTCCTTGATGCATACCGCTTTCTTCATTCACCCTTTTGTCTTCTGTAGAAACATGTCTCTGCAAAGCTATCTGCTCAAAGCCTTCTCTAGCCTTTGCTGGGTCTCCCAAATGGCTGCCCAGAGCTGTCCTGAATGTTGTGTTGTTCCTCACTTCTTCCAAACCCCTGCGGAGGACTAGCCTATCTGTCACGGTCACTGACGAAACCCAACTCGGTAGTTTGCAACCTCTCTTCCATAGGAGCTAAGCTATTTTGCTTTAACGTGGATTAAACAGTTAAAATTTTTTCCATAACACAGAATAAACTCAGACTAGGCATTGATAAAATAGCCTTTAAGGCAATAAAATAACAAATATTTACACAGCACTCCACAGTTTTCAAATTTCAGTGTATCCCACCAGTCATTTGTATACGGAACATCTAAAGTATTCATGACATGCCTGGGACTCTGTTAGGTATTAAAGATACAAACATTTGATTCTCAAAAATACTTTGTGAGGCCAGGGGCTGTGGCTCACAGCTGTAATCCCAGCACTTTGGGAGGCTGAGGTAGGCAGATCACTTGAGCCCAGGAATTTGAGACTAGCCTGGGCAACATGGCGAAACTCCATCTCTACCAAAAATGCAAACATTAGCCAAGTGTGGTGGCTTATGCCTGTAGTCCCAGCTACTGAGGAGGCTGAGATGAGAGGATCACTTGAGGTCAAGGCTGCAGTGAGCTGTGATTGCATCACTGCACTCCAGCCTGGGTAACAGTGAGACTCTGTCTCAAAAAAAAACAAAACAAAACAGTCAAAAACAAACAAATAGAAACCTTTGTGAATTACTGCAGCAAAAGCACTTTATTGCTCCTCTTTTTACAACCAAGTAATATTGAGTCTAGTGAGGTTTGAATGTCTTACTCAGAACCACACAGCAAGGAAGGGACACCCAAACCAGCCATCACCCAAACCCAGGTCTTCTGATGCCTGTTCTAACACACCGTTCTGTGTGCCGGCCCATCTTGCCAGCCACCATTCTGCACCCTCACCAGCCACTGTGTCAGGTGGTCAAGAAGATGAGGTGATGAGAGGCAGCCTCTTTATCTCTGTTTGCTACACCCCCCAATATCAGGGTGTATCCGGGTTAGTCTTGTCCAGAAAAGCATGCAGTGGAAGGGAACTCTTCTTCCTCACTTGATCATTCAAGTGGCATTATGAGTCTGTGGAAAGAAACATACTCGCAAATCATGCTCAAATATCCTTAATGCACCTCTCCTCTTTCCTAAGATGAAAACAAAACAAAAACTCCTGAGTTTTCTTTCCCTCCATCTCATCATCCATTCTGATTGTCTTAGGATTAGCAGCAGTTTCCCAAGTCTGGTTGAATAACAGTAGCCATAATCATTAGGACCATCTTCTGCCCCAGACACTTCACAAAATCAGGATGAGATCTTCCCATGACACTCAACAGTGATCACGTAGTCAAGACAAGTGTGAAAGCATTGAGCCACATTCTGTGTATCTCCACAGGCCTAATTAGAGGGATTTGACAGATCAGATTAGTAAGGGTGGCAGGCATGGGTGTGGGGAAGGTAAGGACAAGGTCTGTCTACCCTAACCCTAACAGGAGAGCTTGTCTACAGTCTCTCCTGTTAAAGTGCCTAAACCGTTGTTTAGGAAATATGTTCCCAAGAACTATGTCCCTGCCTTAATCAGAAAGAAGTACATTATGTCTGTGGGCTTCCAACTCTCTGTCTGGCTACCAGCACACACTGGCAAGATGTCACTGCCTTTGAGGATAGGAATCATGCCTTATTCATCTTTATCTTCAAAACTGCTTATAACAGTACCTGGAGCATAGTGAGGGCTTAATAAATGTTAGTTTAATTGAGACTCCCCCCAGAGAGCTGAGAAATACCAGGTCTTTTAATCCTGTTCTGCCATAGCCTCTATCTCAGAAATAGCAGAGACCCAAAGGAATTAGAACCCTGGGAAGGAAGAAGTGGTATCCCCAGCAGCCTGAGCCCTTCCTCTAAGACTCACTATGAGACCAGAAGCACGGGGTTCCCTAACCTCTTCCCAGTCAGCCCAGAAAACTGGAGAGGGGAGAATTTCATGTAGACTATGATGACCCAACTTTTCCATGCCAGAGCCATTTACAATATGAGTGTTTTATTCATGAGGGGTGAGAGTGGAGAATATAGCCAGAAAGACTGAGGATGCTGTGTTAAGGACCATACTCTGTAGAAATCACTCAGCAGTCTTGGGGCAGGGGCAGGGGCAAGAGGAGCTGTCCGTGGTTCTGACTCCTTCTCTGGCTTCTCTCAACTCTGGACTCCACAGGCTGATCCAGGTTCTTTCCTTGGTGCCTATTTTCAACCTGGCCTGCTACAAACATCCAGATGCTTGACAAGATGGTCCAGATTACTATGCATTCCAACCCCAATTCACATCAATAAAAGGTAGAGAGTTGCGGATCCAAGATCAGAGCTCATCTCTGCTTCCTGCCTGCAACTCCATCTTATCCAAATCTGAACTCCACCTAATTAACCCCTTTCTTCCCTGGATGGCTTCCCCTGTTGCTCCCATACCTTCTGTCTCAGCCTGTTTCTCGGGATGAACCTTCCAGAGTCCTTTCAGCCATTCCTGCCTCCATACTGTACCCTTCCTTCCAAACCATCTAGGAAAGTAAAGGCTCATATATTTGAGAAGAAGATTCAAAAAGTAAAATCCCAAGATGTGGTATGTCAATTCCCTACTCCATAGTTTCCTGGACATAAATTTAATAGAAGAAACATGAGGCCTCATTTGCTTCTCAATAGCAAAGCAATTCAAAATATTTAAAATGTTTATTTCTCTCTAGCAAATTTCTAGAATCCCTTGCTTAAAAATGTCCTTATACAGCCAAATATTTAAGCCACTGTATGTAACAGGGAGAAAGAAAGGGGAGATGAAAAAGTCATGTAATCACATTTCAGGAGTCAGGAATAATGATTGTCTTTAGTGACATGCAAGTTTCCCCCTTTCTTGTTTTCATCCTCCTACCTGATGTGTCCTCTTCAGAGACAAAATGAGCAGTCCAGGTCCTTTGCAGGCCTAACAATCCCCTCAGTTTTAATGTTTATTTCTGTTAACAAATCAATTACAGCTGGCTCTCACTATTCACGGTAGTTATGCCCTATAATGTTGCTGTGAACTCTGAATTCGCAAACACTGAACCATTGCTCCTAAGGGAAGCACAGGGTTAGGTTCCTGTGAGCCTCTGGTTACAACATTTTCACCAACTGATCAATAGATAACCTTGTTTTATGTGTGTTTCTGTTTAAAGACATCTTACTTAGTATTTACTGTTTGTTCATTAACATTTAACTCATGACCAACAGCCCTATAAGTCATGCCTGAGTGAAGCTTATCTAACATGTATCATCTCTGGAAGGCACGTTACAGCCTTCTTGCATTTAGAAACACTAAATAGCACTTCAGCTTGAGGACCAACCACTATGTTTGGGGGCCATTTTAAAACAATGAACTCACTAACAAATAGCACAAAAATGTGAAAACATGGCACTAAATAGACCATGAAAAGGACAATTGTTTATGGCATGAGAGATGAAACAAGAAGGCAGTGTTGCCTTGTTCAGCCTCATCTGAGAACGTGCATGGCATTTGGCAACTAAAATTTTTTGCCACTCTGCATATGTCCACAAATGACCACATGAGTATTAATTTAGGGTTACAAATAAATTTTAGCAAATAGCCAAATCCACAAAGATTGAACATGTGAATAACGAAGATCAACTATATATCCATTGAGTACTTACTGTTAGGCATTGTGTTCAGTGCTAGGGACAGAGTAGGGAGCAGCAGACAAGATTCCTGTCATCTGGATGCCCTTCTAGCAAAAACTACATGTATTAAACAAGTAATTAATTTAAATAATGATGTGTGTCTAAAATGGAGGTCCACAGGATGCTAGTCCGAGGACTCAGAGAAAACCCTCCTGAAGAAGGGATATTTAAGCTGAAACCTCAGGAATGAATAAGAGTAGCTATTAGATGAAGTGTGGTGTTCGCTTAAAATGAAGGAACACATGTGAGGTAGAGTGAATAGCAAATATAAAAGCCCTAAAACAGGAAAAAATCTTGATATGTTCCCAAAATTAAAGAAAAATCCAGAATGACTACAAAATAGGGAATAGGGGTGGAAGCTACAATATAGATAGGAACCAGGCCATGCATAATATTGTAAGCCATGTCAAGGATTGGGTTTTTATCCTGAGTGTACTGAGAAGCCATCAAAGCGTCTCAAGAACGGGAATCACTCAGAGAAGATCATTGTAGTGTCTGTGGGAGGTAGGTTACATGGAGAAGAAAATAAACTTCAAAAGATGATTAAGAAATTGGTGGGAGAATGTCTTGCAGCACGATGATGGCAGTGGGAATGGAGAAAAAGCAGACCGATTTGAGAAATATTTAAGGCAAAGGACTTGTTAAAGGTTTGCCTGAGAAGACCTGAACAAGAATGGTGAGGATGCTGGAGAACTTTCTTCATCTTGATGAGTTTAATTTGAAGGCCTGAGTGACATCTGTGATGTCCAGTAACAGTGGGGTCTGGACCTCAGGAGGAAAACTAGTTGGAAGATTGATCTGAGATAGTAAACTAAAAGTTGTTAGTGCAGAGAGAGT
Organism: Homo sapiens; assembly: GCF_000001405.40. Classification (NCBI taxonomy): domain Eukaryota; kingdom Metazoa; phylum Chordata; class Mammalia; order Primates; family Hominidae; genus Homo; species Homo sapiens. Next base: position 46,500,237 of record NC_000018.10, on the reverse strand, counting down.
AGTAAAGTCATCAATAAAGAGTGAATAACAGAGTCTATGGAGAAAGTGCAGCTTGAGGATAGCAAGGGCGGTGTAGAGCAGATTCCCAAGAATTTCAACATTTGAGGTGAGATAATGGAAAAGAAGGAAGAGGAGGGGGAAGAAGAAAAGAGAAGGGGAAGGAATTACCTCCATCTTTTGTACTTCCAAAGTGGGATGTGCTTGGGGAGGAAATTTACATCTGGGAAACTCTGTAATGCTGAAGATTGTTCACTGGCCATGAAATCCCAAGATGTGGTGTGTCAATTCCCTACTCCATAGTTTCCCGGACATAAATTTAATAGAGGAAACATGAGGCCTCATTTGTTTCCAAACAGCAAAGAAATTCAAAATATTTAAAATGTTTATTTCTCCCTAGCAAATTTCTAGAATCCCTTGCTTAAAAATGTCGTTGTACAGCCAAATATTTAAGCCACTGTATGTAATAGGGAGAAAGGAAGGGGAGATGAACAGCTTTGTGTAATTTGTGGATTTATGTTTGTTAGACAAAAATGCTCCTCATTGCTTCCTCCCCCTGCCACACACACACAAACACACACCACACACAAAGTCAGGAAATCTTTTTCACCTAGCCTCACTCTCTCTGCTCTCTGGTCCTTTTTGTAATGTGGAATTGTCTTTATTCCTGACTATTCTGACACATCCAAAGAATGGCATGGTACATTCAAGTTTTCAGAAACTAGGGTCTAAGATTAGCTATTTTCATTCAAAAGGTTTGCTTTGTTATTCTCTCTCTTCTTTTTTCCTAGATCTCTAAACTTTCATTTCAGCCCTTATTTAAATTTCACCTTGCATGAAGTAACTTACATCTTTTGCCCAAGCTAACAGACATTCATAGATACCCAAGAGATAACTTTGCACCTGCCATTCCCTTCCCCTGCTAAATTATTATGCATCCTTCAAAATCCAGATTAATATCACCTTCTCCATGAAGCTCCCTGATTATCCCAAATGAAGTTAGATGCTCCCTACTCTGTGCTCCTAAACTTCTCTGCTCATACCTCTATATCTAGCACTCACAACACTGAACTGTAATTGTCTTGCCAGTCATAATTGGCAGACTTTTGAGTCTCTCAAGACTGGAAATTTTGATTCACATTTATATGCCTAATGCCTGGCACTTAGTAGGTATTTAACAATTATATGAATAAGTAAATTAATGTTGAACATCAGCTTGTAGCAGCTTCTGGATCCTAAATAGACGGGTCCAGAATTCTATCCTTTTCTAGACTTCCACAGATATATCTTTCTCCCCTGTAGGTGACTGAGGGGTTTCTAGATGCAACAATTATATCAGACACACTTGTTAAAGCATTTGTAATTATCCAAGGGTAGGTGTCATGGGTGAAATAGTGTTCCCCACCCACCAAATTCTTCTTCACCAAGAACCTCAGAATGTGATAATATTTGGAAATATGATCTTTGCAGTTAGACTTAGTTAAGAATCTTGAGATGAGATCACCATGGATTTAGAATGGGCCCTAAATCAATGACGACTTGTGTCTTTATAAAAAGATGAGAGAACATGGAAAGATGCTGAAACAAGAGCATGTGAAGATGGAGGTAGAGATTGGAGCTGGAGATAGCAGTGACAAGCTGAGGAACACCAAGGATTGCTGGAAGCCACCAAAGCTAGGAAGACACAAGGAAGGATTCTTCTCTAGAGCATTCAGAGACAGAATTGACCTTCTGACACCTTGACTGCAGACTTCTGGGCTCCAGAACTCCAAAAGAATAAATTTCTGTTATTTGAGCCACCAAGTTTGTGGTAATTTTTCTGATGGCCTAGGAAAATAATATAGTAGGGAAGAACCTTCTGGGGAACAGTAAAGACTTCCCTAGGGTCTCAATATAAACAGTCTGCCTCAGGATTTGCTACTGGGTGGAAAATATTCAAGGCCACTGGACCAAGATTAATCTCACCATATCAGAGTGCAGTCCCATCTGAGAGCCTAGAGTCAGCAGGGTTTAACTGCAGGAGCTTAAGGCATAGCAAGGCTGGGTGGCCCAGAGTCCTAACACTAAAGTTGGTGTCAAGTAGTGATCTGTTTAGCAAAGGCCTTGCTCCTAACTTTTACAACTGGGGTCTCCACAGCCCTGAAATTAGTTTGATAATAACTTGGGGCACAGAAACCAATTATTCCCCTAGGCATGAAAAAGAGGGGAAACCTAGAACTGAAAGGCATTGTAGATTAGTTTGTGATCCCACTCTGCAATTGTCATTTAATTCCAGCCACTGAGACCTCGGCCTTGTGACCTCTGCCTTGTGACCTAACTCCCACTGTGCATCCTGCCATGATTATATCTGCCTGTCTGTGGTTTAGAAGCTCTCTTATGTTCTCACTTCCTCACTGAAAGTTCTTCCTATTGCACTACCTTGCTTGAGCCCACTCCCAGAACAGTCGACATATTTGTAACTACATGTGTATTCTGTCTCTTTTACTTGAGCATTAGCTCCACAGGTACCATTATCTTGTTCATGTTCTTTCCCTAATGCCTATCACATTGCCTATAATATAATAAGGACTTAATATATTTTTATAAAATTTAATTATACTTATACTTCTCTTTCAGACCCTTCCCTGTCTTTTTATGCTTCAGTTATAGGGAACTCAGTTTTCCCCAGAATCAGTGTTCCTTGTGCCTTAGTGGTTTTTTAAAAAGTTGAGTCCTGGCCATGAAACTCAGACTCATGACTAAGTCCTCCAATGCCAGCTGCCCCCACCCTCAAGACACTAATTGCACACATATCCAGACTTTCTTAGTTTTCCTGATGCATTTTTCTACTATGCAAAAACGTGACTCCAATCAGCCAATTCCTTCCATCTCCTCACGGTCAAAATCTGAAAGAGGCGGGTTCAGCACCGTGGACAGCTCTAAACCACTCCAACCTTGTGACTGGTTGCTACTATTGTTGTTCAGATGCCAGCCTCTCCAAAGAGCTTGACACCCCACCCCACCACCACTTTGGATAACCAAAAACTATCTGATTGCCTTGGACCCATAATGGCTCTTGGGTTTAAAGAAATCCTGAGTCATTGATGTGATCCTCTTCCCCTTGTAGGCAAAGAAGTGGCCCTCCACCCCTTCAACAGACATTGGGTCTGAAACCAGGATAATATCACTGGTAGGTCTTCAGGCTCATCAAGAAAAGGAAGATTTCTGTATCCTTATTTTTTTGTTTTATTTCATTTTTGAGACGGAGTCTCACTCTGTTGCCCAGGCTGGAGTGCAGTGGGGCCATCTCTGCTCACTGCAACCTCTGCCTCCCAGGTTCAAGTGATTCTTCTGTCTCAGCCTCCAGAGTAGCTGGGATTACAGGAGTGTGCCACCACACCCGGCTAATTTTTGTATTTGTAGTAGAGGCGGGGTTTCATCATTTTTGCCAGGCTGGACTCAAACTCCTGACCTCAAGGGATCCACCTGCCTCGGCCTCCCAAAGTGCTGGGATTACAGGCATAAGCCACTGTGACTGGCCATTCTGTATCCTTATTGAGCCCATGTGGTTGAGATACTAGGTTCAGGGGAGGGAGACAGAAGTCCAGGTTTTGTGTCCAATTTCCTTTTAATGGTAACTTTCTCCTCCAGAGATGGAAGTTTAAATGTTAATACAAGCTAAGATGGCTAAACATGTCCTTAGACTCTCTCTATGCCACACTTTTTATGTTTATTTTAATTTTTTTTCAAGATACCTTATGCTTCCCTTGCATAGACACGTATGAGGAAAAATATATTTTGTTTGAGAGTCTTCTACAATAAAGATGGGGATTTCTGAACAAATACCATATAAATCAGGTGACAAATGCTTAGTTAACTTAAAGTGTAGCAATCTTCTCTTCCTCTGAATCTACCTTTCAACCATTTTTGTCTATTCAATATTTCTTTTTTAGTGAAAAATTTTAAACATGCGCAAAAGTGAAGATTAATAGTGTAATAAACTTCCACATAGCAATCACCCAAGTTCAAGAATTATGAATTAGTGATTCACAATTGAATCAGTTATTGATTATTGAACTGTCAAATTTGAACTATTGAAAGTTGTCACACCAGCTGTATTGTTCATACCTTTTAAAATTTTTTCTTTTTGGTTGCTGGGGGATATAAAATCAAATCCTAAACTTCATGTCATGTCACCCCAAACATAGTGTGTTCCTATTTATTTATTTACGGATGGAGTTTCACTCTGTCACCCAGGCTGGAGTGCAGCGGCGCCATCTCGGCTCACTGCAACCTCCGCCTCCCAGGTTCAAGCGATTCTCCTGCCTTAGCCTCCTGAGTAGCTGGGATTACAGGTGTGCAGCACCACACCTGGCTAATTTTTGTATTTTTAGTAGAGACAGGGTTTCACCATGTTGGTCAGGCTGATCTCTTTTTAAAATGAACAGTTTCTTACAAAATTACACCACCACTATCATACTTAACAATGATTTATTTGTATTGTTCAATTTCCACTCCATGGCGAATTTTCCCAATACTATGTAATATGTAAATTTTCTTAATATTGTATATGGAATATATGGAAAATATGTAAATTTCCTTAGTACTGTATACTGAGTAAGTCTGTGAGGAATACAATGTATTGAGGAAATACCGTTTATTGATGTAATATGAAGTACACAGAAATCCCATTATTATTGGTGCTAACATTGAATAGTGGATACAGGGACTGCCAGCCTGATTACTCCACTGTAAAATTTCCTCATAACTCTTCATCTAATGGACTCATCCAGTGATGATCAATTAAGGTTACAAATGGTGATTTTCTAATTCTTTCATTTCTTATTCATTTAGTAGCTAGAATTTTTCTGTTAAAAAAGTCCCTCAGGCTATTTGATTACCATAAAATATAGTTCATAGAGGAAAATCAAGACAAATGATTAATTCTCCATAATTCCAATTACCCAGATAGCTTTTATAATACTGAACAAATTATAACCAGAGTATTTATTTTCTAATTTATCTTGTTCTTCATGCCTTCTTTGGTTAAGTTAAGCTCTGAGGAAAGAAAGAATTTATGTGTTTTCTTTTGAAAAATATAAATTCATGGCTGGGCGTGGTGGCTCACGCCTGTAATCCCAGCACTTTGGGAGGCCGAGGCTGGTGGATCACGAGGTCAGGAGATCGAGACCACGGTGAAACCCCGTCTCTACTAAAAATACAAAACAAAACAAAACAAAAAAAGCCGGGCGCAGTGGCGGGCGCCTGTAGTCCCAGCTACTCGGGAGTCTGAGGCAGGAGAATGGCGTGAACCCGGGAGGCGGAGCTTGCAGTGAGCTGAGATCGTGCCACTGCACTCCAGCCTGGGCGACAGAGCGAGACTCTGTCTCAAAAAAAAAAAAAAAAAAAAAAGAGAGAGAGAAAAAGGAGAAAGAAAAATATAAATCATAGAAATATTAGGTTGGTGCAAAAGTAATTGCAGTTTTGCCAAAACCACAGTGACTTTTGAACCAGCCTAATGTAAAGAACCTCAGAAATCATCTATTTCAATCCACACATTGTACAAGTGAGGATACTGAGGCATGGGGATATAACGTGTTCAGTTTGGTGGATATGCTGAGACTGCAACCTGATCTGCCAGATCCCAGAGTGTTGCTCTGGGTGGCCTCTTAGATAACATATGTGAAAAAGTGTTTGTGGAAAAATAATAGCTAGATTCTCATATTCATCCACAGCTAGGGCTCTGTGATGGTTCCATATCTTACTTCAAACCATTTATTATCTTACTGAAGAAATGTGAGTTACCTAGATGAATCCTTAGCTTGCCAAAGATTATTGTCAAGAATGGAGTTGCTTGGTGAAGAAAATTATCTGACTACCTGAGAAGAATTTTTAGTGGTTTGTGCTGGAGCAAAGAATTGACAGTTCACTTTAGAAAGTAAAAATCATTGATCAGTTCTATGTTTATTGAATGCTAAGTCTATACCACTGTGATACAATTAAGAGCTCCTAAGATATGATTCTCATTCCCTAAAATCTCATTAGAGACGTCAGGCATACAGATAAAACCAGCCACAAAAGTTAGTGCATAGTCATGACCTGAATAGCAGAGATTTCTCAAGATGTCTGTGCTCATGGCCAAGAGAATGGACAAGCAAAAAACGCTGAGAGCCTGGGGATTTTGGAGGGCATTGCAGAGGAAGTGAGGTCTAAATTGTCCAGAGGACAATAGGCAGGTATTTAAGGCAAGGGAAAGCTGGGTGCCATAATGAGGAGAAAGGAAATGCCAAAGGGATGCTTAAATCCATCTCACTGGGCTAGGGGATTTGTAAAAGGGCTCTTCCTTATTGAGGTGAGAGATAAGATGATTGGAGTCAGGCTGAAGAAGGCCCTAAATATGTAAACACAGAGTTGGGCCCTTTTGTCCCATCAGATGTGGAAAGCCACTGGGGAACCGCAGGCAGAGATGGCATGTTAAACTCTAGGGAGCAGCTGCCAGTCTCACTCCCATCCAGAGACTGTCATCTCTTGCCTGAAAAGATTGAGACCTCACACTGCACAGTTTCTAAGCCTTTTTCTTAAAGTAAACTTTCAAAACTGTGGGACAAAATAATCAATTCTACTAGGACAGGCCACCACTCACTGCTAGGGCTTTGAATTCTTTTTCCCATCCACTCTTAAAACTTCACCATTAGAGCCATTCTTCCCTATTCAATAATGGTGCACACTAATGCATTCAATAAACACTTATTTAATAATATGCCAAGCACTGTCCCAGGCATTGAAATATAGAGGTGGATAGGTTACAAAAGGCTCCTGTTCTCAAGGGGCTTACAACCTAGTGGAAGAAGACAAACTATACAATATATGAGAAAACAAAGACAAACTTATTTCAGATTGTGAAGTGGACATATCATTATTGACAGAAAGTAATTGGGGATTAGGAAGCTTCTGCAAATAGGGTTGTTAACAAAGTCTTTCTCAAAGACAGAATATTTGATCTGACATCTCAGTGATGAGATGGTGTTGACATTCAGAACCTGGGGAATATAGTTCCAAACAGACAGAATGGTAGATGCAAAGTTTCTAAGAAAAGAGAGGGCTTCATATATCAAGGGATAAAAAGAAGGCCAGTGTAGTTGGAACAGAGTAAGTGAAGTTGTGAGTAGTATGAAATAAAATCAGAGGAGTGGAAAAGGACCAGATCATGTCAATCCTAATAGTCCTTGATGAGCAGTTTGCATTTTATTCTGACAGTGATGAGGAGCCATTGGGGGATTTTATATGGAGAAGTGACAAAATCTGATATATCATTTTAAAAGATTAATATGATGCATTTGGAAGGATATTATAGCATTGTGTGTAGAAGTACAAGCCTGGATACCAACTAACTACCCATCAACAAGGACAAGATAAATAATTTGGTGATACGTGCATTCAATGAAATACCAGGCAACTATGAAAAAGAATGAGTCCGTATTTATATTTTGATATAGTTTGTCTCTGAGTAAAAGGTGTCAATAGTGTAGAGTGTTTGTTACTTTTGTGTAAAAAAATAAAGCAGAACCCTAAAAGAGGAGACTTTGTAAAGCAATGGATTCTTTGTCAATTTCAGATGGTTCCTTCTTGGTCTACTGATATGCTTTGGCTCTGTGTCCCCACCCAAATCTCACCTTAAATCGTAATAATCTCCAAGTGTCAAAGGCGAGACCAGGGGGAGATAATTGAATTGCGGGTGTGGTTTCCCCCATGCTGTTCTTGTGATAGTGAGCGAGTTCTCACAAGATCTGATGGTTTCATTAGGGGCTTCCCCCTTCACTTGGCAATCATTCTCTCTCCTGCCACCTTGTGAAGAGTTGCCTTCTGCCATAATTGTAAGTTTCCTGAGGCCTCCCTAGCCATGCAGAACTGTGAGTCAATTAAACCTCTTTTCTTTATAAATTACCCAGTCTTGGGTATTTCTTCACAGCAGCATGAGAACAAACTAATACATCTGCTAAGGCCAAGTAGGATATCCACCATGCAGCTAGTGCTGGCCACTCAGTTAGCCATGCTGTACCTGTGAGTCTACTATCCTGCTGTCTACTCTCTACTATCCTGCTGTCATCATCAGCAAAATCCAGACACATGACATCAGCCTGCCAGATGTTTCATAGTTGCATGTTTCATAGATTCTTAGTGGGAGAAAGTCATGGTGAGATCCCTGTCAATCACACCCAAAATTTCCAAAACAAGGCAATTAAGTGAGCAGCAGGCACAAAGCTCATGGAAGGAGTTTCTCTGAGGAATTCTAATTTGAAAATTGTGGATGGGGTCAGACAATGCCAATTTTTGAGAGGACGGGGGAAAGGGGGCCACAGTGGGAAGAGAGGCAACCTGCCACTGAGCACCAGGGCAACCCAGGCCAGACAGGCTCCTATTCTGGTTGTCTTCATCCATGCAGTGGGGGCAATGAATTATATGTGGATAAAGGTAAAGCCATCCCAGAATCCACCCTTCCCCTTAGCTCACTGTTTTTCTCTGTCACCATTCTGGCTGGAGCCCGGAAAGTGTAATTGTGTAGTGAAAACTGTGTAGGGTAGAGCATGATAAATGGTGCATTCCAGCAACAGAAAAAATCTCGTGATGGCCCACGTCTCCAGGTAATGCCATCCTCCTCCACTAGCATACTCATGCTCACACTCACGCATGCAATCACATGTTCAAACTTCCCATTGATTTCCTATTGCTGTGATTCTGTAGAAAGACCTCTCTGACTCTGGTCCTGATACATTGAATCAGTAGTTCTCAAGGTGTCGCTCTAGGACCAGCAGCGTTGACCTCGCCTGGGAGCTAGTTAGAGATGGGCATTCTTGGACCCCACCGCAAACTGAATCAGAAACTCTGGCAGTAGGGCTCAGTAACCTATAGTTTAACAAACCCTCCAGGTGATAGTGATACAGGCCCAGGTTCTCAGCCTTGGCTACACATTGGGATCACCTGGAGAGCCTTAATGACTAATGATGCCTAGGCCCCACTCCAGAGGTCTGTAGCAATCAAACTCTCTAAGAGCTGGATAGTAGAATCTGTTTGTGTGTGTGTCTTCTGTCACACACATGCACACAGTGAGGATGAATGGTGGGAGGAGGACAAAAAGTCTCTTCCACCTGGACACCTTCCAATAAAATCATCAACTTGTCGCCTTTTTCTCTGCCTTCCTCTTTACCTGTCTCTTCCTTCCTATATTCCACTTCAGAAGTGTTTGAGCACTGCTTCAGCAGGTCTCCTCTGCCTCATTTCCAGACTGAATGCATTGAGGCTGCTAAGTAGTTCAATCTTCGACAGCCAGCAGTCGCACTTGAGGCAGAAGGTCTCATCTTCATGACACTATCAGGAAGCATCTCAGAAAGCAGCCATTTTGCAAACTTACAGGTGGAATTGGCCCTAATGTAGAAAAATTGAAAGATTAATTGAGTTAAGAAACAAATTTATTGTTAAAATAACTTACCGCCGGGCGAGGTGGCTCACGCCTGTAATCCCAGCACTTTGGGAGGCTGAGGCGGGTGGATCACCTGAGTTCGGGAGTTCGAGACCAGCCTGACCAACATGGAGAAACCCTGTCCCTAATAAAAATACAAGATTAGCCAGGTGTGGTGGTGCATGCCTGTAATCCCAGCTACTTGGGAGGCTGAGGCAGGAGAATTGCTTGAACCTGGGAGGCGGAGGTTGCGGTGAGCCGAGATCATGCCATTGCACTCCAGCCTGGGCAACAAGGGTGAAACTCCGTCTCATAAATAAATAAATAAGTAACTTCACTGTTTAACTCAACAGAAGTGTTTTAAAATTTAGCTTAACTCTATTGGTGCTGTTTTCCACTTCAGTGAAGACCTGTGTTTACAAAACGTAAGAAGTACTTTTTCAACCTGGAATGATGCTATACCAGGACCGCCAATGTGTATTCCCTGCTGAGCCTTAACATGTGTCCCCTGCGATCTGGGTGACTGCAAGTGTGTGTCTATCTTTTTGTGTCTCTTTGTGCTTTAAGACACTTGGAGTTTCCTTGCGGACATATAATGAGCAGCAAGTAACCTGCCAAACCACTGGGATATCCTCCTGCCTGGGGTCCTTTGGTTGTAAGGGTTCTCAAGGACTTTGAAGAGAAGAGAGTAACTCAACCAGTGCATGGTATAAAGAGCATGCAGCTGTCACATGCATGCTATTTACACCATGCAGGCAAGTGCACATCAATTCATATTTGATAGCTGTGCTATGGTGGGCACACTTCCGAGGGAAGCCCTGCCAATTATAACAAGGGCAGCTATGTGTTCAATATTAGCAACATACCCAAAAGAAATAGCAGCTTTGGATTTCTTCTATGATTGTTGAACAGCTTAGCCAAGTCATGACACATTAATTCATTCAGCATTCATTGAGCAACTGCTACTTGCCAGTCATTATGCTAGGCATGCAAGAAACGAAAACAAGTAAGACCTACTCCCTGCCTTCAAGAGCTCATGGCCTGGAGGATGAGACACATGTAAATACTGACAACACAAGGTGGACAGTGTGTGGCCACGGCAGATGCAGGGGGCTATAGGAGCATGGAGAACACCTGATGCAGGCCTAGCAGGTGATCAGGGGACATCAGGGAAGGCTTCTTGGAGGAGCTGACACCTGAACTGATTCTGGAAGGATAATGGGCATGGACTAAGTAAATACTGGTGTCAGGAAGTGATAGAAGTCATCCTTCATCTTGGTGAGCTCCAGAAAGTTCTATTTTGGGTCAGAGATCTCAATTATAAATTAATGACAGCTATGAGCTCTCTCCCTGGTAAAATGTTCATGTATAATTACAGCACAATTTCTTGGGGTCATGGACTGCTTAAGTTCCATACACAAATCCTCTAGGGTTCATGAACCCAAAGTTAAGGGCTTTGCAGAAAATTATATCCTCTGTGCTGGAGGAACCCTCTGAGACCACCTAACCCAACCCCTCACTTTATCAACAAGGAGATCAAGGCCCAAAGAGGACAGATAACTTGTCCAGGGCCACACAGCCAATGGGTTGTGGGGATGTAGAAGTCTGAAAGGGGAGGGAAGGCACATCCAGCTTCCAACCCCCATGGTGTCTTTTCCACAGGGATATTTCCTGGCTGGCATCTGAGCTATGTCGATGTGAAGGACAACTCCCGCGACGAGACCTTCCACTTCCAGTGTGACTGCTGGCTCTCCAAGAGTGAGGGTGACGGGCAGACGGTCCGCGACTTTGCCTGTGCCAACAACAAGATCTGTGATGAGCTGGAAGAGACCAGTATGTGGGGGAGATCATTGGCTCAGGAGGGAGGCAGGGAATGGTGCTGGAATAAGAAGACACCGTTCCAGCTGGAGGGGGGTCAGGTGCCAGATACAGGGAATAATATGGAGATATGCATGAGGAAACATCCTAAATGCTGTTTGGTGAAACTGGAACTGCTAAGAAACACTGATGCCAGCTCATGGCTCAGAATCACAGGGACTAATTAGGTAGCAGGAAAACCCACTGGGGACAAGCTGACCCTGACCTGAAGGCTGAGCTGGGTGGTTTGGTGTGGAGTTCTCTCTGGTTTATTTTTATAACATGGACATCATCCAACTGATGCCTGTGGCAACAGCTGCCTAATCAACGCTTCCTAGAAACAGAATGCAGGGGAAGCCAGTATCTCTAGCAGCGGCTTTCCTTTTGTCCCTTCCTCAGGGGATATTTAAAGGGGAAGAGTAATTGATCCTGAGGGGATGGCCATCAAAGCTGAGGGAGATGTGCCTCTCACAGATGCCAGGGTCTGGGCCCAACAGATTGGAAGAGGCTTGTCAAAGGCAGAGCGTGACATAAGAAATGGATTTTTCCAATCTTAGTTATTAAGGCAGCACTAGCTTCAGTAAGAGGCAAACCCCTAAATCTCAGTGTCTTCACACAACAAAACATTTTTCACTCCTATAATACCCAGTCCAGTATGTGTGTTTGGTGGGAGGTCTTCCACGGAGTGATTTAGGGACCCAAGCTCCTTCTGTCTGTATCTCTCTCTGGGACATCCTCTGGCAGGGCCAATGTCTTCCTCTCTGCAGCCCCTCCCACTCCCTATGCTCCCACTCTTGAAGCCTTTTAAGGCTGCCCAGTCAGCCTTACCTGCAACACTTCCAGCCAAAATACAGTCCAGCTTGCAGGCCAACTCCCCAGGGATGGAACAGTCACTGCTTGCTTCACCAGACAGTTCAGCTAGAAAATCCATCTTCATATTTATGTTATTGAAGCATCCCTCCTTTGGTAGTCCCAATGGAGTCAAACAGAAAATTTCAGGAGTGGTCAGGACTCTTGGTTGTATGTACCTGAAACCCAATCCTAAGCTGGCTGTAGCAAAAGGGAATATATTGGCTCCCAGAACTTGGAAGTCTTGGGTGGCTCTAGCCGAGACTTGGCTGTCTCCAGAGGCTCCCGTGGTCTCAGTACGTCTCTTTCTCTCTTCTCCTCTCAACTCTGTTTCCTCCCATGTATCAACTTTGTTTTAGTACAGACTCTCTCCATTGTGGAAGGTGGCTGCTCGCAGCTCCAATCCCACACCATTTCAGCTTAATAGCTTCCATGGAAGGGAAGAGAGCATCTCCCTGCTTAAGTTCCATACACAGATCCTCTAGGAGGATTCTGGGGAGGATTCTGATTGGGCAGGCCCAGGACTCTCAGCTCCATCCAACCCACATGGTAGGAGCTCCTCAGCGTAAACCGTGGGCCTGAAACGTAAGACAGTAAAATCCAAATGTCCACTAGAAGCCCAACTATGCTCCTAGCATTCCTCCATGGCCGTCACATGCCCCTGTAGTTCTTGTCTCGAGACTAAACATCTGTTTATTCTGCAGCAGCTCCTTGAACAATGTGACATGGAATCTTCCCTGCATCCTGCCCCTTTCCCTCTTGGTACAACCTGTATCACTCATTCGCTGCCCTCTGCAGATGCCATGCCCAGGATGAAGGCAAGATTTCAATGGGGATCTGTTCGCTCCTCTCCTGTCTTGCCTTTCAAACTACGACCCATGCCTCCTAAGCCCACAGTAGCTTTGCTGGTGGCCCCTTTATGCTAGTGACTTCCATGTGCTTCTTCCTTTGCGTGACTACTGAGAGCCTTCCTCTAGTAGGGCTTGTCCTTGGGTGTGCTGGCCCCACGGGAGATCTGTTAGATGGGGCTCATCACGTTTACCTGCCCTGAATATTCAAGTTCCTGATCCTCTTTCATCTGTTCCTTCCCAGCAACCTGTGAACAAAGTTGGGAATCATGCCTTCTACATTTTTATCAAGCCGCTTCGTGTGGGAAAGTAAGCAAGGTGAAAATATGCTGATTGAAACTTCCTCTCAAAAGACCACAGATGTGACTAGCAACATGTGTTTCTAATCTACCTAAATGTCCTTGCTTACAAACCTTGCTTCTCTACCTTATCCTTAGGACCACTAGGAAAGAATTCATTTCAATCCATGTAGGAAACCCCACCCGCATCATCTCTCACACCTCCTACTTGAGTCCATCACGGTGATATGCAGGTTCCCAGTGCTCCGTGCCTCCCTCACTGATTCTGACAAACCATTTCCCTAACCACACCCAGGATCCCTCTTTGAATTCACCAGTACCTGTTTGCAGAATAGACCATCACCTCCCATGGGAAAGCAGAAGGCAATGGTACAACTTCCCTTGCTGGGATGGCTTTGGGTCTCTGGGCTGGAATCTGCCCTGGGCTGCAGAACCCCTCCCTACTGCAGAAGGATGCACTTTCTGTGGATCTCTTCCTCTATCAGAGGCTGCCTGTCTCTTTGCCTAGATTCACTCTACTTGTTTCAGGTAGCAGAGATTTCTCCTTGAGAAAAGTTACAGAGGCAAAAGGGTGGCTGAGGGGCTGGGAGTGGTGCTACATTGAGCCACAGGTATGGCCGTCTCTCATCTTCATTATTTTTATCATGTCTCTGAGATAAAGGCACAGAAACAGAGCTACCCCTTTGGATCCAGAATCCCAGACCGTCAGTCATCCAGGTACTGCAGCAAGGGGTCTATGTCTGGGGACACTTGAGCCAGACACTTACTGTGTCCTCCAGGGTGCTGGTTCCATCCCTGGTCTGGTCCCTGGGGAGTGAGCCTGGATCACATGTCACACTCTCTCAGTATCTTGGCTTAGGGGGATCAGGTAGCAATTTTAATTAGGGTGGTTGGATAGACATCTCTGAGACATGACTTTTGAGTAAGGATGAGAAGGAGGTGAGTCAGTGAGCCACGCCACTATGGGTGGGGGAGGGAGAGGGAAAGAGGGAAGGACTCCAGGCAGAAGGACAGCATTGCAGAGCTCTAGGGAGGAGCACACCTAAGTGCTCTGGGTGCAGCTAGGAGGCAGAGTGGCTGGAGTGAGAAAGAGAGAAAGTACCAGGACACAAGGTGGGAGAGGAAATGGGGAGCCAGGTTTTCCTCTTACCCCACGGTACTTTGGCTCTTTTTTGCAGGGTTATCTATCACATTCTGTCATATGGTACAGTCCATGTTTGTGTCTGGGGCTAGAGATTGAGTTCTAGTGTCACCCAGGGTCTAGTCCAGTCCTGGCACTTGGCACCTACTTAACCAGTGTTGGAGGAGTGCACACCTGTGCAGACACGATTGAGTGAATAGCAGGGTGAGATGGAGTGACACCAAGACAAGATGCAAGTGAGACTGCTTGCTGGAGCAAGTGCAAGGGTCTTTGGGGTGGCTTTGCCTGCCTGGGTCTTTCCCCTTTGCTTTTGCACTGGGCCCCACTTCTTGTCCCTTCTCAGCACCAATCTCCATTTTGCATCTCACCCCTGTAGCTGAATGTTCAGCCCCACCTCCTGCTGCATTCCCAGTGGCTCCCATATTTGCCTACAAAGAGGTTGCTACTATAAATAAAATGAGAGCATTCGCTGTAGCCCCAGAATCCGGGCAGATTCTACCTACAACGCCTCAATCGTGGTGCTTTTAACCTGCCTCCCCCACCCCCAGGCTGCAGCCTAAGATCAAATGAAGGACCGGAGGCCGTGACCCTCTTGCTCCCGCCCTGAAGACGGGCACTGCTTCCCCTGTGCTGACCCTCCCCCACCTCCTCCATTACAGCCTACGAGATCGTCATAGAAACGGGCAACGGAGGCGAAACCAGGGAGAACGTCTGGCTCATCCTGGAGGGCAGGAAGAACCGATCCAAAGAGTTTCTCATGGAAAATTCTTCTAGGCAGCGGGCCTTTAGGAAGTAGGAAGGGGAGGCCCATGGGAAGTGGTGGGGGGTGGGTAGGTAAGGGAGGACCCCGAGAATCTCCCTCTTGGGTGGGAGCCATAGGTACACAAATGGGCCTAACCAGCAAGTACTTACTGAGCACCTACTGTGTGCCAATCCTGTGCAAGCACCCAGGGGCTAAACAGGCAATGGTGAAAGGGAAAGCATGGGACTGCATTTAATGGGAGCCCACCCTGTGGATGGACAGTGCTACTCAGTCCAAACATTGCCCCACATCTACGTAGACAAGGACCACACCTCCTTCCATCAGAGCCACCTCTGAACTGTTCGGATGCCCACTTCATCTCCTCACTCTCTCCAGGACTGCTGAGACAGCCTCCACCTCCCCCTTAACTCTGCTACATCTTTCTCTTAGTCCATTCTGACTGCTATAACAGAATACCTCAGACTGGTAGCTTAGAAACAACAGAAATGTATTTCTCACAGTTCTAGAGGCTGGGAGTCCAGGACCAAGGCACCAGCAAATCTGGTGTCTGGTGAGGGCCTGCCTCCTGGTTCATAGCCATCTTCTCACTGTGTCCTCACATGGCAGAAGGCGGAGGGAGCTCTCCAGGGCCCCTTTTATAAAGGCATGAATCTCATTCATGAGGGCTCAGCTCTCATGACCCCATCACCTCTCAAAGACCCTACCTCCAAATACCATCACACTGGAGAATAGGTTTCAACATATAAATTTGGGGGAACTGGGGCACAGACATTCCATTTATAACAACCTTTTCTTCAAATCTCTACCTCAGGATGAAGTCTGGACACCTTAGACTGGCACTTACCCCCACAGGCTGCCTGCACCCATACCTTCTCCATTAGCTTTTCCCTCCCTGAACCCAAACTTCACCCAAGCCAGCATTCCCCCAGAAATATCTGCACCTCCACACCCCACTGTTCCCACCTATGACTTTGCTAAGACATGTCTGTTACAGGGGACTCTTCCCTTCCCCTCCTCCCTCTGCTCTCCAAGTCTCACCACCCTCCCCATCTCCATCCTGCATAACGATGTCACCATTCTTTGGTGCTGAGGCCAGGCAGCTAGTGGGGCTTTTTCATCGTGATTGTCTTGGTCCCAAACTGAACTGAACCCCTCAAAGCCTCCAGGACTGCCATGAGCTCCTGCTTGCCATCCCATCCCTGTTCCCTGGCCCACTGCTTGGAATGCAGCAGGCCCCCGACAAATGCTTACCTGCTTCAGTGGGCAAAGGCAGCTCATGGACCACACTTTTGTTTCCTGCAGGGGGACCACAGACACGTTTGAGTTTGACAGCATCTACTTGGGGGACATTGCCTCCCTCTGTGTGGGCCACCTTGCCAGGGAAGACCGGTTTATCCCCAAGAGAGAACTTGCCTGGCATGTCAAGACCATCACCATCACCGAGATGGAGTACGGCAATGTGTATGTACTGAGCCTCTCCCCAAGGAAGTGCCACTCCCTCAGCATGGGGCAGGGACTGAGCTGGACCATGGGCAAGAGAGCAGGGTATGATGAGGTCTCTTCTTCAAGGTCAAGATTACCCTGTTCAGGAGGCCTAGAAGGCAGGAAGGGAAGAGACAGCTGTATGCTTCTGAAGCTATCTGGATTGTGCATCTACTATCAGAGGCAGGGGAGTAGGCCAGATGACCTGGGGTGCATCTAGTCTTTGGATCCAGGGATGCTTCCTTGGAAGGATACTGAGAAAGTCAAACAGTGCCAGAGAGCAGAGACTTTCCTTGCCTTCCCCTTCCCTCAATCTAAAATGACAAAGAAACACAGTTATGAAGCCTGCTGTTTACACGGTCATAGTGAAAACCCACCATCCATGTGGGCAGAGTAGGGACCAGAGACAAGCTAGGGTAATCCAATGGTCCATCTGCCTCACAGTACCCCAGATAAGGGGCTTTGCATTCTCTCATCAGAGCCTTCTGGAGACTCAGACATTTCTGGAAGATTAAGGGTCTTAGTTACCTGGGCAACATAGTCACAGTCATCAATTTGTCTAATTAAAACCCCTTGGTAACCAAGCTGGAAGCCAGGAAGAGCCCTGAGGCTCTGGAAGGCAGGAAAGGTGCTGAGAAGGAGCCAGGGGAGGGTGGAAAGGGGAATCCAAGATCAAGGCTTGCCAAAGGGTAAGTGAAAGCTGAGTACATAGCTCACAGGGCCAGA
This sequence comes from Homo sapiens, assembly GCF_000001405.40. NCBI lineage: Eukaryota > Metazoa > Chordata > Mammalia > Primates > Hominidae > Homo > Homo sapiens. The sequence goes on along the minus strand of NC_000018.10, from coordinate 46,482,839 downwards.
ACCACTGTGGACGCTCCCACATCTGCACCTCTCCCTGGGGCTGGCCCTGCTCATACCACACCCTAGAGCCTTCCCTGCACAAGGAAAGGTAGCCCTTGTCTGCACAGAAGCGGCAGCCAGGCTGGACCTAGGCAGAGCCCTCGGCTATGGGCTCTGGCCCTCAGGAGGCCAAGCTTCTCAAAGCCACACTTGTCCAACCTGCAGCTCCCTGGATTTGGCTCCCCCAGACCAAGCAACTCCTTGGGAATTTGGCAGAAGAGGTTCTGACCTCTGCTCAGACTGCCATAACAAAATATCAGAGAGTGGGTGGCTTAAACAACAGAAAGCTATTTCTCACAGCTTTGGAGGCTGGAAGTCTGAGATCAGGGTTCTAGCATGGTGGAGTTCTGGGAGCACTCTCTTTCTGTCCTGCACATGGCCGCCTTCTCTCTGTGTCCTCACGTGGCAGAGAGAGAGAGCTCTGGTTTCTCTTCCTCTTTGTGTAAGGGCACTAATTCCATCATAAGGGCCCCACCCTCATGACCTTATCTAAACCTAATTATCTCTTGAAGTCCCCCATCTCCAAATACCATGGCATTGGGGGTTCCAGCTTCAATGTATAAATTTGGGGAGATACAACTCTGTTCATAGCAACTTCCCTCTTGAGCTATGGCATTATTTGCTGCTCTTTTAGAGAAAGCCCAGCTCAAGTACAATCAATCCTGTAGGAGTTGCTCTATGTGGCTGCTAGGACCAGTACTGATGAGAACTTGACAGCTGGGAGACTATCCCAGAAAAGTGAATGACTCACTGAGCAAGTCAGGGCCAGGCCTAAGCCCTTTCCATGGCTCAGTACTACCTCCCATCCACAAGGACTGTGTCTGCTGATACTGCTCATCTGCAAACCTCCCAAAATAAACAAAACAAAATAAAATAGTCACCCTCACATTACCCTTAAACCCACAATGTTGGCCGAGAGAGAGTTCTCAGCACCACCTGGCACCTTCCTGTCTTAGGAGGAAAGGAAGGCAAAGGCCCAGCTGTAAGCTTCCTGCCCCACAGTCCTGGGCCTCAGTTGTAGAATTTTCCATCCTGCAGAAGAAAAAGCCGCTCTTAATTGAAGCATCTTTCCCTCCAGCCTCAGGAATGCAGCCTGTCTTTTGTTGTCACCAGGGCTGGAGCGGGGAGGAAGAGATATCTGTGAGGAAGGGGCTCTTCCTGAAGTGAAGGGGTTGCAGGGGGTCCAGGCCTCTGGATACTAGCGCTGTCACCTGGTCAACTGTGTGGCCTCCAGCAGTTACCCATCAACTCCTTGTGCTTCACGCTGCCCTTTGGGAGGAGAGCTGGATGCTCTATAGGGTCTAGGGTAGAGGGACGATGGCAGGGGTGTCAGCCTAGGAGCTCTCTGAAGTCATGCCCTAGCTCACCCCTGCCTGCCTGCAGTTCTCAAGCCTGTGGTCTCTGCTGGATGAAAACCTGTCACCTGCAATTCTCAAGCCTTATTCTCTGCTGGATGAAAACCTGTCGCCTGCAGTTCTCAGTGGTCTCTGCTGGATGAAAACCTGTCGCCTGCAGAAATACCACCTTCGTCCAGAAGGGGGACTTTGCAGGCATGTTTAATCGTGGTGACAATTCACATGGCCTCATTCTAGAAGGAACCTACATTCTGCATTATAAAACCACTTGCTTAACACTGTGTGTAACATCCACAATTCCTTTCCTGCCACCATGTTAGCCATATTTGGAGTTACATGAATTACAAATGAATTTAATCTCAATATCTCATACACACAATAACTCCAAATGTCCATCTCACAGCTATTTCCATTCTGATCCCTCTTTTGCAGTGTGCTGTTGACCTTCCTGACCAGTTCTCATTCATCACTAATAGCCTCAGGATTTGGGTGAAAGGTCATACAAAAAGACCTTATTTTTTAACTGAAAACACCTTTATTGTTTATCCCGGTAGCATATCTAATACACAACCATAAAAATTCAAATACAGAAACGTATGTAAAAGAAAGTAAAAATTCCCTACAGCCCTGCCCATCAGAGGTGGCCACCATGATGAGCATTTTGGTGACCCCATTCTCTCTGGGATTTTTCTAATACACAATGTTCACAGATGTGTGCTTATACATAGTTTTGAATATGTATCACTTTTTTCTGCTCATTTTTCTCTGCTTTTGCCTTTACTCTGGCTGGACACCTTCCCCCCTTTCTAGCAGGAGCAGCCCGCTGAGTGTCCTTCCAAAGCCAGAGCTTTGTGTAAGTCTGCAGGGCCCACATTTTGGTGATCCTATAATTATGTCTATCAGAAAACATTTCCTTATATCTACACCAGGGAATATTTTTCAGCCATCAAAAATAATGAATTAAATACATACCAGATGACTTGGAGCAATTCCCAGGAAGTATTATTGAGTGAGAAAAGCGAGACACAGGAAAACATGTCTTATGTGATGCCGTTTTGTAAAGGGAACACTGACATCCCCATATGTCTATGTACACGTGGGTCTGTGCAGGGTTGGGTGAAATGGAGGGAAATTTGGCAGGCTACACCCTCAACTGTTACATGGGTTATCTGAGGAGAAGCGATGCTGAAGTGAGAAGGAGAAAGAAAGAGAGCCAAGCAAAGAGGGAGCAAAAAAAAGTACGTTTAGAAAAGTATGTATATGATCAGATGATTTTTGTATTTATATAGAATGATGCATATTAGTGGGCATATGCATAAAGAAATACATTTTAAGAGAATTTTAAAACAATGCAAGTATCTCCTCCTCTAAGAAATTGTAGTATGTAACAACAATCCAAATTTATCAAGTGATAAATTGGGGGAAGAAGGATCTCAAAACAGAATAAGGATTTCCTGCAAATGTCTTTAAATGGCTTATTCTTCAGGGCCAGGCAGGCTCTGGCTCTGGGTCACCTTAAGCGCTGACTTTTCTTCTTCAAGTCTCAGTTCCTCCTCCTATGAAATGGGAGGATGATGCCCAGGGTTGTTGTGGGAGCTAATGAGATTCAAGAATGCAAAGTCCTGGAGTTGTGTAAGCAGGCAAAAAACCAAAGGTGTTTTTTTTTTTGTTTTTTTTTTTTTCTGTTAAGAATGTTCATCTAAAATAGGGTTTGATTTTGCACCATTGGGCACACCTTTTCAGTGTTGCATTCCTGAAGTTGTTAGCCAGCACCAAGACAGCTTGTTTTCAAAGGTGTTAGCATATTAGCAATTTGGAGTGGGAAGAAACCATAGCAATTGTTCAGTCCAAACCTCCAGCTTCGCCAATGGGAAAATCAAGATCTGGGTAGGATATGTGACTTGTCCAAGGTCACACAGATGGTAGGTGGCAGGGCTGGGGCAGACCATGCCCTCTCACATCCTGTGCAGCATTTTCCCACCATGCTGTCTGGCTTTTTCCTTTATAATTCCTGAACCCACTGTCATTACCCAGAGGCTAAAATTGGGGATGTGCAAGAGAAGGTTTGGGAGGACTTCTTGGTCCAAGACCATTCTCTTGGCTCTAGACTTGCTTCTGCTTGTGATGGCTTCTTCGATAGAGGACTTTCTCTTTCCCTTTGTACTCTGCAGTCCATGAACACACACACACACACACACACACACACACATACATATATATACAAACTCTTTGTTCAACTCAGCCAAGTGTAAGGGATCTGGGAGCGTACATTTAATAGTCATATTTCCACTTGGTTTTGCCTAAAATTGTCACTCTGGATTCAGCAACTCCCTCTAAAGGTGACAACACCAGGTACAAAAATTAACCAGTCCCTTTAAGGGAGCAAGAGTATCTGCAGATGGGAGTGAGCTTGGAAAAGAGCAGGTGACAGGTGAGAAAGGAAAGCACAGCTGTGTGCAGTGACTCACACCTGTAATCCTAGTGCTTTGGGAGGCCAGCGCAGGAGAATTGCTTGAGGCCAGAAATTTAAGATTAGCCTGGGAAGCATGGTGAGACCCTATCTCTACAAAAATATATTTTTTTAAATTAGCTGGACATGATAGTGCATGCTCATAGTTCCAGCTTCTCAGGAGGCTGAGGCAGGAGGATGACTTGAGCCCAGGAGTTCGAGGTTATAGTGAGCTATGATCGCGCCATTGCAGTCCAACCTGGGTAGCAAATTGATACCCTGTCTCTAAAGAAAATAAAAATTAAAAATACATAAAAATGAATAAAGGAAAACACAGGAAGAGGAGAGTCAGATCATGAGGAGTTTTGCAGACCGTTGTAAAGTCTTTGGCTTTTACTTGACATGGGAAGCCACTGGAGGGTTCTGAGCAGGGGAAGGACATACTTGGGCTTACCTCTCAATAGGATCACATGGCTGCTTCATAGAGAATTGACCACAGGTAGCAAAAAGCTAGAAGACCAGTTAGGAGGCTCTTGATAATTTCCAAATAGGAGATGATGGTGACTTGGACCCAAGTAGCAGGAGGGCAGATAGATACTAGACAGTTTTCAAGTGGGCTGGTTCTGGATATATCTTAAAAATAGGGTCGGCCAGGCGCAGTGGCTCACGCCTGTAATCCCAGCACTTTGGGAGCCTGAGGCAGGTGAATCATGAGGTCAGGAGTTCCAGACCAGCCTGGCCAAGATGGTGAGAAAAAAAAAATAAAGTCAACAGGATTTGCTTATGGATTGGACATGGAGTATGAGGGGCAAAAAAGAAGTAGAAGAATCAAGAAGCAACTGGAAGAATGGAGATGCCCGTCCATGGTGAATTTGAAGTTAAACAAGAATCCATACGCACATTTAAACCAACATTTCCAGCTCCAATATCCCATCACCTTGGGAAGGGATCATTTATAGATGAGCAAGGGGATCTGGGGGAGGGAGCAGCCTCGGCTGGGGTCTGCTTAGCCCCTACCCCTCCACTCTCCCACCTCTCTGCCAGGTACTTCTTTAACTGTGACTGCCTCATCCCCCTCAAGAGGAAGAGGAAGTACTTCAAGGTATTCGAGGTTACCAAGACGACAGAGAGCTTTGCCAGCAAGGTCCAGAGCCTGGTGCCCGTCAAGTACGAAGTCATCGTGACAACAGGCTATGAGCCAGGGGCAGGCACTGATGCCAACGTCTTCGTGACCATCTTTGGGGCCAACGGAGACACAGGCAAGCGGGAGCTGAAGCAGAAAATGCGCAACCTCTTCGAGCGGGGCAGCACAGACCGCTTCTTCCTGGAGACGCTGGAGCTGGGTGAGCTGCGCAAGGTGCGCCTGGAGCACGACAGCAGTGGCTACTGCTCAGGCTGGCTGGTGGAGAAGGTGGAGGTCACCAACACCAGCACCGGCGTGGCCACCATCTTCAACTGTGGCAGGTGGCTGGACAAGAAGCGGGGGGATGGACTCACCTGGAGAGACCTCTTCCCTTCTGTCTGAGGGGCTAGGGCCCCCACCCTCTCACTGAGATGCCCCAATCTCACATTTCTGCCCTCCACCTTGGCGGTCAGCAGCCCTTCAAAGCCTCTAGCATTGGCACTGGGGGCTAGCAGTCCACTGAGAACTTCATGGGGTCCTGCTCCCCACCCTACCCCCAGTTTATTGAACCTACAGTGATAATAATTAGCATGTGTCATAATCTGTGGCTGCCCAAAAATAATTTTTTGTATTTCCTTTTTCTGTAATAACAGTAGTGACCAGGCTGGGACTTGCTGCAGAGTGTGGATGAGAAATTGAGTCTTCACCCAGGGGATAGAAGTGGAGAAGCAGAGGCCATCAAGATGGTGTATTTTAAGCAAAAACTAATTAACACTTTTCCCCAAAAAAGCTAGGCTAATTAAATTATTACCAACCATATCCTATAAAGAACTCATCTTAGCATCTGCTTGCTAAGAAGTGTATACTTTTCCCCAGTTTCAATAAACCCAGTGGCAAGTGGAGAAAAACCTCAGGAAGAAGTGTTTTGCCGGGGGATTTATGAGCCTGTGAAAAGTAGATAATTCTTTCCATCACTTTACAGAGAACGCATTGGCAAGTGCCTGCTGGTTATCCCAGCCTGTGCTAACACAGTCAGGACTGGACACAAAGGTGATAGGGATGGCACCTGCAACAGCCTGGTCACTGGCACTCTAAGGCCGGGAGAGAAAGCAGGGTCATTGAGGTTATTTGGTGATTATCACCTGTGGCTCTCTGTGGGCAAGGTTTGGACTGAGAGCTGAGAGGGGCTTGGGAACAAAGTGAAGACCTGGTCTTTACCCTCAAGGGGAATGTGACCTTGATGGAGAGGCAGCAGGAGAACTGTACATTTGAGTACCCACACAGATTCACACATGCACACACACTCTCCCTGATCGGCAGTCACAAAGTCACAGCAAGACTTCGCAGAGCTCAGCACCTAACTTCTGATTTTCCTGTAGAGAAAAGGACAGCAACAAGGTGGGTCGGGCTGGAAAATATCCCTACAGGAGGGCACCCCAGGACCAGTGTTTCTGCCACTTTGCTGTCCCTGCACCCTCTGTCCCAGAAAGGTCTAAACTCGCAGTGAGGCTTCAGGACCCTGAGGCAAGTTCAGGCCCCTCTCAGAGATCTCTCAGAGAGAGGTTAAATGCACAGGCTCTGGGGGCAACCAGCCTGGGTTTAAATCCCCGTTCTGCCTCTTTGCAACTGTGAGAACTTGGGCACATTATTTTCTCTCTCTGGGCCTCAGTTTCCTTATCTGTAACACAGGGGGAATGATCACAATGCCCACCTTGTAGGTTATGATGAGGACTAAATGAGTTCATGTGTATGTAGTTTAAATTCAGTGCCTACACCAGATAGTGAGTATATCCACCATGCTGAACACGCAGGACTTGGGGGATGGGGAGGGGAAGATGGCATCATTAAACAGCTTTGTTTCCATCTCCTTCTGTGGAACTGGTTCTTCCCCTGTCCCTAGATGAAAATTTAGACAAGCCTCACAACTCCTGTGGACTCCAGTAGGTAATAAAAAGTCCAACAAACACTTTAAGTCATGAAATCCATCTCCATTCTATAATTTAAATGTCCAGCCCCAAAGTAAAGATTAAAACATCAAACTTAAAATTAAGCTTCCTGCCATCTCCTGGCTCAGTCCCGTCACAGGTGGGCCCACAGTGAGGGAGGGGTGTGAGTGTGTGTGCAGTGAGTGTATTATGTAGTGTGCAGGTATAAGGTATAGTGTGTGTTTGAATGTGTGGGTGTACACATTAGTATATATGTGGTGTGTGCCTGTATGTGAATCACTGGGCATGTGTGTGTACATGAGTGTGGGTGTGTGTAGGGTGAATGTATGCATGTGAAGATGTGTGAGAGCATGTGTGTGCGCACACATCAGTGTGTGTGCAGGTGTGTGTGCGTGCATGCGAATATGTGTGCATGTGTGTACACAAGTGTGGGTGTGGTGTGTGTGCATGCAAGTGTATCTGGGTGTGTGAAGGCATGTGTGTGTGAACACGAGTGCAGTGTGTGCATGCATGTGAATCTGTGTGCCTGTGTGTGTATACAAGTGTGTGATTGTGCTGTGCATGCATGTGAATCTGTGTGTGTGTACATGAATGTGGGTGTGATGTGTGCATGCATATGTGTGTATGTGAGTCAGCCTCCCCTCTCTTCCCCTGCCTTGCCCTGTCCCTCCTCCTCCTGCCTTTTGGTGACCCAGGGTTTCAGACTCCTGCGGGAGGAAGAGAGGTGAAGGCAGCAGGCAGCTTCCTGTCTGAGGGCTGCTATTGTGGCTAGTGTCTTTGTTTCCAGACCTGGCAGGTGTTTAGACTTTCATGAGCACTTGTGTGGGTTCACCCTCCACACTGTCCTCTTGTTTAGGATCTGAGACACTCCACAAGAGGCCCTCGGGCACCCTTCTCTCTGACACACTCCAGCCGTTCAGGCCACTCACCTCTCTGTGACCGGGGCCAGCCCATCTCATCCCAGCCATGTCTCCAGAGTGGGCAGGCAGCTTGTCTGCCGTGTATGGTCACACCCCATCTCACATAGCCCTGTTGAAGCCCCAGTCGCTTGCCTCAGATTCAAGGGCAGCCAGGAGGCAGGGCGCACGCTCAGCCCCACAGCAGGCCTCTCAGGATGTCCTGCCCTCGAATCCACTGCCTCCTCTCAGCCTCCCCATTCCCTGTCAGGACCTGGAGATGAGTGTGCAGCCCAGAGTCCAAACTGGTTCTCTGCCCTGTCCTTCTGGCAAGAGATACACAGGGCTCTCACTGCAGAGTGTGGCATCTGTGGGTGACTCGGCCACTGCTGGTACAGGAGGAACCCGTTACCATCCTGTTGCTGGTGTGTCCTGTGAATTTTGGCTTACCATCGATGGGGTAGTGCTGGCCTGGCTCAACAACATACCCCAGGACCTTAGAGAGCTTTCCGGCCATCCTTTACCTGCCCTGCTGGCTCGGCTTTCCTCAGAGGACTTGGGATCTGAGGAAACTATTGCTTCGAGAGCTCCATTAAAACTCATTAATACCTTTGGTCCATTCCGGGGCACTTTCTTACCCACAGGCCTCCCCACCCCCTGCCCCCTACCTGGTTCTCCAAGTCCCTGGACCTGGGCCATCTCCATCTGGGCAAGTCGCCCACAGCTCTGTGCCCAGCAGGGTGGCCCCCAGCAATGTCACACACACTGTCCTCTCTGCTGTCCTCTGCCAGGGCTGATCTGTGCCTGAAGTCTCCTTGCCACCCATCCATTCCTCCACCCTACCAGGCACTGTGCTTCACATTCTTTTTTTATTATTATGATTTGTTTTGTTTTTTGAGATGATGTCTCACTCTGTCACCCAGGCTGGAGTGCAGTGGCACGATCTCGGCTCACTGCAACCTCCACTTGCTGGATTCAAGTGATTCTCATGTGTCAGCCTCCCAAACAGCTAGGATTACAGGCACATGCAACCAGGCCCAGCTAATTTTTGTATTTTTAGTTGAGATGAGGTTTCACCATGTTGGCCAGCCTGGTCTTGAATTCCTGACCTCAGGTGATCCACCCACCTCGGCCTCCCAAAGTCCCCACTCCCGGCCCACATTCTTTTTTTTTAATTGATGCATAATAATTATACACATCTGTGGGGTACATATGGTATTTTGATACATGTATACAATCTGTAATGATTAAATCAGGGTAATTGGCATATCCATCACCTCGAATGTTTATCATTTCCTTGTATTGGGAACATTTCAAATCTGCTCTTCCAACTAATTTGAAATATACAATAAATTATTGTTAACTAGAGTCACCCTACTGTGCTGTAAAACTCTAGAACATATTCCTCCTATCTAACTGCATGTTTATACCCATGAACCGGCCTCTCTGTATTCCTCCCAACCCCATTCCCAGCTTCTGATAACTATCATTCTACTCTCTACCTCCATGAGAACAACTTTCTTATCTCCCACTTCTGAGTGAGATCATGACCTGCTGCTCTGCTGCTGAAGGGCAATGGCAGCAGTCCAGGGCAGGTGGCCCTCAGGTTCTGGGGAGCACACACTTCAGGTCCCTTTGTCCCCAGGGGAGACTCCTTGGCATGCTGCATCACCCATCCCTCAAGGTATAGGATACTACGTGGGCTAGAGTGCTGGGGACTTGGTCACACTCCTGGGTCCAGCCATTGTTGCAATGCTGCAGCCCCCTGGGTAGATGTGGGGGTTGTGGGTGGGTCTCCAGGGATGTGGAGATGCAGGGGTTTTTGGGCCCTGGGCAGGATATAGTCTGGTGGTGGCTGGGTTCTTAAGATGGTGCTGTGCTGCAGCTACTTTGATCTCAGGGGGTGTGTGGACTCGGCATGAACACGATCTCTGGAGAAATGCAGTCGCATGGGCTCCAGGCAGCTCTCCATACTTGTCTCAGGGCCCATGAGGGCTGAAGGACTCTCCCATGATGAGGACTGCAGGAGTCTGCAGTGTAATGTGGACCACTGGGGATCTCTTGCTTACCTTTTCCCCTCCTGGCTCTGAGCCAATCCCTGCCTTCTCCTTCCATGCTTTAGAAGTTCCCTGTCACTTCCCTGCTGAATTCTAGTGTTCTCTCTTGGAAGCTCTATTTGATGTTTGGTTATCTACTCGCTGTTTTGGTTGTTCTTGGTGGAGGAGGCAAGTTCTGGGCCCCTCTAATCAGGCTCCTGGAAGCCCCTTTTCTGTGCATCACATTCTTTACATCTCAACTCAAGGCCTCCAATCACTCCAGGAAACATTTCCATTACCCCTCCCCCAAGACAGAGCTAGAAGCCCACCCACATCTATGAGAAGTATGTTGGAATTGTGTGTCTCCTCATGTGTCTTCCTAACTGGAGTGTGAGTCCTTAAGAAGAAAAGCTAGGTCTCACTCATCTCTGTAACCCCAGCACTTAGCACAGGCCCCAGGGCATAGTGTGGGTACTAAGTGCATGTGTGGTGAATGGATGGATAGATAGATGAATGGATGGGTAGGTGGGTGGATGGGGGGATGGGTGGATAGATGGGTGGGTGGGTGGATGGATGGATGGATGGGTGGGTGGATGGGTGAAAGGGTAGATAGATGGGTGTGTGGATGAATGGATGAATGGATGGTTGGATGGGTGGGTGGATGGATGGATGGATGGGTGGGTGGATGGGTGAAAGGGTAGATAGATGGGTGTGTGGATGAATGGATGAATGGATGGTTGGATGGGTGGATGGATGGATATATGAGTAGGTGGGTGGTTGGATGGGTGGATGGATAGATGGATGGGTGGATGGATGGATAGACGGGTGAATGGGTGGGTGGATGGGTGGATGGATAGATGAATGGGTGGGTGGGTGGATGGATAAATGGGTGGATGGGTAGATAGATGGGTGGGTGGATGGATGGATGGGTAAATGCGTGAATGGGTGGATGGGTGGGTGAATGGGTGGCTGGGTGGCTGGGTGGCTGGGTGGCTGGGTGGCTGGCTGGCTGGCTGGCTGGCTGATTGGCTGACTGGTTGACAGGATGGGTGAGTGGATAAATGGACAGATGGGTGAGAGGGTGGATGAATGAGTGGATGGGTGGATGGATAGATGGAGAGTTGGCGAGTGGATGGATGTGTGTAGGTAAATGAGTCTATTTCATGGCTTAGAATATTTTCTATGATGAGACTCATCCCAGCTCAAGGACTTGAGGAAGCCCAACCTCATCATCTGTGATCAGTATACTCTTCTCAATCCCTCAACTATTGCCCAAGAGCCCCTTAGCCAGTCTGAGTCATTTCTCCAAAGACCTGTTACTTAACCTTCTAGCAGCCCAGCTCTCCTTTTAATGAAATTCCCAAGTTTGGGAACTTCAGATTTCAAACCCTCCTTAGGGCATGTACATTGTGTATTGAGAGACAGTGGCCCTGGGCTCACCCCTGAGGTGGATAGAAGAGAAGATTGTTCAGGGGATCCACTGGACCCTTTGCCTCAGGGAGGTTCTATATATTGTTGGGGCTGAGGAAGGACAACACCAGGAGTCCTGGTCCAGTCTAGAGCCATTCAGTAGAAGTTACCCCTGGTCATTCATTCATATGTCAATGCTGGGGAAAAAGTGGCAAGCAAAAGAGACGAAAATCCTGGATTTCATGGAGCTTATATTCTAACTGGGGGAAACAGATATAAACAAACAAATATATAAACTGTATGATATGTCATATGGAAACGCATAATGAAGAAAAATAAAGTAGGGAAGAGAGACATGGGGGATGTTTGCAACTTTAAATAGGGTGGTGAAAACTTGATATTGAATAAATAAATCCCTAATGCAGATGAGATGATGCCATGTAGACATCTGAGGGGAAAGCACTCCAAGCAAATGGAAAAGCAAAGATAAACCTGGAATGTTGTTGAAACTTCAGGGAGGCCACTGTAGCAGAAACAGCATGAGGTCAAGCAAGCCAATAAGGGATACGGTCAGAGCAGTGATGAGTCCTGCGGGACCTTGAAGGCACTTGAAGGTCTCTGGCATGTACTCTGAAAGAGATGGGTAGCTATTGGATGAGCAGAGAATGACATCATCTAACTTACATTTTAACTAGATCACTGGGGTTGCTATATTGAGGATAGATTATAGTGTAGAAGCAGGAAATCTGCTGGGAGGCTACTGCAATAGCCCTAGCATGAGATGAGACTGGCCCGGACCAGGTTGGTAGCAGTGAAAGTGCAGAGATCCTCTATATTCATAGAGGCAAAGCCTGTGACTGAGGGCTTTGCTCAGGGACTTAGGCATCTGTGGATTTTGATATCCGCAGGAGTACTGGAACCAATTCCCCAAGGATATGGAGGGCTGACTGTAGTTCAGAGTGGTCAGATTCTGGGTCTGTTTGGAAGGCAGAGCCACAGGCTATGTTGATGGATTGAATGCAAGATGTGAGACCAAGAAAAGAGTCAATGTTGACCAAAAAAAAAGTTACCCCTGTGCACCTGAAAGAATGGGGTTGCCATTTCTTGGGATGGAGAAGACTATGGGAAAAACAGACGCTTTTGTCTTGCTTGACTGTGCGGTTTTATTTTACATGGTGAGGGGAGAGTGAGAGTTCATAGTAAAGCTGTTTCTTGGACATCTAGGTAGACCCATGGGTAGGCAGTTCCCACTAGGAGTCTGGTGTTCAGGGGAGAGATGGAGCATCTTTGGTGTCATAGTCTGAAGAAGGGACTCTCTCTCTGGGTCCTCCATTTCCTCTGTGCATCCCTGGACATCCCTGGAGTAAAGCCAAAGGCCAAGAACTATGATTCAGAGACCTGGGTCTTAGGGGAGCAGCCTGGGATAAGAGTTGAGTGTTCTGGAGTCTGGGTTCAAATCCCAGCCTCACTTCCTAGCAGTGTACTTTGGGCAAGTTATGGAACTACCCTCTGCCTCCCTTTCCCCTGAAAATTGGAGATGATCCCAATGTCATGGAATTATTATAAGGATGAATGAGGCAGTTCATGTAACTGGCTTAGCACAGTGTCTGGCACCCAGTAAGGGCTTAGGAAGTGTTAACGGTCATTATCAGTTTCAGCCCTACCACTTATTAGGTTTGTAACTCTAGTGACTAGATGCACTCTCACTTTTTTTCTTGTTCTGTCCCACTATGACTCCAACAAAGACAAAAATCTGAAACCTGAGACTTTCAGCTCTCCAAGAGATCCTGCTGTCTTTTGGAACCAGCTCAGCACTCTGCAGGGAGAGGCTGCCAGGCTATTGCCAAGAAAACTTCAGCCTCAGAAGCAAGCTGTTGAAACAGGGCTGCCCCAGGGCTAGATGATAAAGGTAAACACTGACTCCAGCATCCCATTTCCTCTTCCCTGGTATTCCAGCCAGGGCTCTACTCCCCCTCCCGCCATACCTTAACCTTGTCTTTGCTGATGCCTCCAGCTCTCCCAAAGCTCTGGGCTTTTGACCTTGCAGCCTGCCCATGGCAGAAGGCTCCCTAGGAGGCTCCCCAGTCCAGGGAGATGACTCTAGTAACTGGCGAGACTGAATTCATCCTTATTCCTATCTGTTCTGGAAAAACCCTGTGTGTGTGCCTTAATGTTTCCAGCTCATTGTGCAAATACCCTTACTCACAGCTGAGTATCTGCACTGAAAGCTCAGGCAAACGAACATTGTAGCTCATCCTGGGCTGCTGGGTTTTGATCCCAAATGAGGCTACCAGTATATGTGGAAGAGAGCTTGAGGGCACTCCTCCAGTTCTAGGTCATTCACAGATGGGACTCTGCCCCCAGAGAGCTGAGTGCTTTGATGCCACTGCTATGGCCTCCTGCAGAATTGCCCCACCCTCTGTCCCTAAAGCCATATCCCCAGTCCATGCCAAAGGGCACCAGGGAAAATGGCCTTGCAGGCCTCTTAGGAGAGGCCAATGCCTCCTGCCCCCAGATGAAGACTCATACAGAAATGTCTTTATGGAAGTCCAGACACGTTTCCCACATCTGGGAAGCAAGCGTGGAGTGGGGTGCGTGCTGTGGCCTGAGAGCGCAGAGTGAGGGCTTTCACGTCCACTGCCAGCTGTGCGGCCCCACACTGCCATCTTCCCCTGAGCCTACTGTCCCCAGGCCCAGGGCCTCAGATCCAGTTCTCCAGAGAGTAAATGTCTTTGGAATATGGGTTATGGGAGTAGGTGAGTAGGTCCCTGGCTGGAGGTGGGAAAGGAATCCCAGTCTCTAACTGCTCCTTAAACTTCCAACCCATCTTCTCGTTTTCAGCTCCTTCATTGTACCCCACCCTTTAGAGATTTCTGGCGCTTCCAATTCTTAAGAAGCTTCCTTCACATTGACTTCTCAGCCGCAGGCTAGGAGGTGTCAGTTTTCTTCTCTCTGCTAATCGGTTTCATCTCATCCATCCTCTTTCATCTTGCAACACTTTGTTGACATTTCTCATGGCCTAGACCCAGTGGATTTAAGTGTTTCTGATTCTTTTGTGGTTCTTTAAGAGGAGCTTCCAGAACAAATGAGTTTAATCTCTGAATTTAAATGGAGCCATCTCCAGCTTTTAGTTGCTACGTCCTGGCTTTAGATAAATAAATAACTACAAATGTGTATATAAGGACACTTTATGTATTATCATAAGCTACCTCAAACCCTTACAGCCACAGATTCAGAAACATGTACCTAAAAACACACCTCTGACACATCTTCCATTTTTAACAAAGCAGTTCCTACTGGTTTATTCAAAGGAATTAGAAGGTAATAATGAGTTTCAGGTAGCAGCGAGAAAGCAGAGACTACACTTCACCCAAGGGGAGCCTCCTGAAACCAGAGGCAGCCATGTTGTTTATGGAGATATGGGGGGGAACAAAGAAGGTGGGATGAGGCCCCTCGCCAGTGCAGCATTTCTGCGTTATAGGAGCAAGGACGGAGAACCAGAGAGGGTCTCTGACTTGCTGACGGTCACACAGGGGCAAGGCTGGGCTTGATCCTGGCTGTCTGATGGGGGCCCTCCACACCCTGGGTGCCCGGATGGGACCCCTCGGGAGCAGGCCTTGGGGCAGCAGTGGAGGAAGTGGGAGCAGGTGTGTGGTTGGGGAGGGGGAGAGGGAGGGGCCAGGAGTCTCATCAGCCAGATCCCAGCTCCATACTTTTACAGGATGAGATGGCTTTTTTGGGATGGGCACTGATTTTCCCTAGGGGATGCTGGGGCCCTGGGCAAGCTCTATTGTTTGACTCATTCCAGTCAGCCCTCTGCCTCCCAGGCCATGCTGAGGCTGCAGGTGAAGGAGAGGGGAGAACCCCTTACAAGGGCGTGGGGAGAAGGGTCTGGAAAGGTGGCCTTCCTGCCACATTCTCTCCCCTGATTGCTGTGCCCAGCCTGGCTACTGCCCTCATCCCTGCTGTCTACTGTGAGGAAGGAATGATAGGTGCCTATGAGAAGTCTCCAGGAGGGGGACTCCCTCCAAGTCTTACCCCATCCTACCCTGGCCTGAACTTTTCTTTTCTTTTTTTTTTTTTTTTTTTTTGAGACGGAGTCTTGCTCTATCACCCAGGCTGGAGTACAGTGGTGTGATCTCAGCTCACTGCAACCTCTGCCGCCTGGGTTCAAGCGATTTTCCTGCCTCACCCTCCCAAGTAGCTGGGATTATAGGCACGTGCCACCACGCCCAGCTAATTTTTGTATTTTTAGTAGAGACGGGTTTCAGCATCTTGGCCAGGCTGGTCTTGAACTCCTGACCTCATGATCCACCCGTCTCGGCCTCCCAAAGTGCTGGGATTAGAGGCATGAGCCACCACGCCCAGGCTTTTTTTTGTTTTTGTTTTTTTGAGACAAGGTCTCCTCTATCGCCTAGGCTGGAGTGCAGTGGCACCATCATAGCTCACTGCAAGCTTGAACTCCTGGGCTCAAGCAATCCTCCTGCCTCAGCCTCCCAAGTAGCTAGGACTACAGGTGTACACCACTATGACCAGCTGATTTAAAAAAAAAAAATTATGTAGAGTCAGGGGTCTCACTGTGTTGCCCAGGCTGGTCTCAAACTCCTAGCCTCAAGTGTTCTTCCAGCAGCCTCCCAAAGCCCTGGGGTTATAGGCATGAGTGCTGAGATTACACTACACCTGGACAGGTTTTGCATTTCAATAAGTCTTCATACTTGTGGCAGGGCAGCAAGCAGGGCCGGGACTAAGGTGAGGCAAGCAAAGGCCCAGGATGCAAAACGTAAGGAGGCACCTAACCTCAAGCTCATGCAAGTGCAGGGCTGGCGCTTGAGAGTGAACGCCTCCTGTCCCGGCCCCAGCAGAAAGCTACTCTTCTACCTATAGCTGCCCTAGAGCTCTGTATCCCAACAGTCCTAATCCTGAGGCTGAGACCAGGCAGCCAGCATGGTGAGTGTGTACAGCTCCTTTTCTGGAAAAGGGCCTCCTCCCTCAACCTATCTCACCCCAATACCCATTCTGCTAACATCCTGCGGTCCAGGATAGACAGTTTGTGCTGAAATGCCACCTCTCCTCTGGCCAAGCCTCTCATTAGGGCACAGGGTGAAGAAAACAAAGGAAGGGGAGGGTTCCTTCCCCGCCCCCAGCACCTCCCTTTCTTTTCCTGCAATCCTTGCAAGAGCAGCTCATTCCCTCCCCACACCCTCTTGGGTATTGACGGCTCACATGGCTCGAAAGTTCTTCCTTATAAGGATGGCTTTGTGAGTGACAAGGTTTTATATTAGCTCCTTCTTTCCTCCCCTGATTTAGACACAAGTCTGTATTAAAGAATGTTTGAGAGAACAGTAATTATATTGCTTTGGAGTAACTGCTAACAAAGTATTTCCAGATAAAAATCCCTCAGGGTCTACTTTAAAGAAGAGATAAGACTTATTTGCAATTAGCACAAGCTATTTACATACAAACTGTTGCACCGAAGTCTAAAAAACACTCTCACTTTTAAGTAGGTTAAACAAAAGCCTTCTAATGTTGTTTTCTTGGTTCTTTGGCTAAACAACCCTTTTCATCCAAAATTCTGGTACAAGCAAACTTAGCTCAGTCCAGATACATCCTTTCTGGATATTGATTTGTGGGGTACAAATGGATGAGTTCGGACAGGGCTATGGGTGCCCTACTTCCTGAGGACCCCCTAGTGTGTCCATCCTGAACAGGCACTCCCATTACTCCCAGCTCCTTTTCAGAGCCTGGCACCAGGCACCAACCACCCATAGACATCCCAAAATGCCCTGAGCAAGGGTAACATAAGGGAGTTTCAAGGGAACAGATAGGGCCATCTCAGCCTTGGACAAAGGGAGTAAATAGAGTCTCTAGGAAAGGAGGTTTTGGACAGAAGGGCCTGGAGAGAAAAGTACATTTGTCCTAAATTCAGAAGGCAGAAGGGGTAGTTTTGGTAGGGGCACCTGAAGGGTGGTGCAGGGGAGGTTGCTTATGAACTGGAGGGAAGATGGGTCTGTTCTTCCAGCCTAGTGGCCTCAATGTGCCTTTTCTTCTAGAGTTTCCAACCAAATGCAGAAAAAAAAATTGTTTTATCAGTGATTTGAGAAGTCGTGGTGCTGAGGCCTCAGCCACCAGCCCCCTGCTGGACAGGGACTGCTGGTGGCTGACCATGGCAGGAAGTGGGCAGAGGAGAAGGGTAGATATTGATAAGGTCTGGGAAACCATCTAGGAAAAGGAGAGGGAGGAGAGCCAAGAGGATCAAAGAGAGAGCCAACAGAAGGCAGGGTTTAAAAAAATAAATATCATCATCATCATAATAGCTAATATTTATATAATGCTCACTGTGTTCGAGACACGTTAAGTGCTTACACATATTATGTTCATCAAATCCTCATAAAAGCCTATGCAGCAGATACCATTATTATCCCCATTTTATAGATGAAGGAGCCAAAGCACAGAGAGCTTAAGTAACTTGCCCAAAGTCACACAGCAAGCAGCTAGCACAGGAAGCGCAAGCGTGGGCTTTTTATCAAACGATATGTTCAACGGAAGCTCCATATTTAAAACAGACCAAAGAGTAGCTGCTCTGACTGGTTGGAGGACCAGGGTGGAAATCCCAGGCCACTCAGTGGTGGGTAAGTGTGAGTGGAGACGTGTTATTTGCCAGGTTGAAGACTGCTGAAGAGGGCATGTAACTGAGGGCCAAAGGGAGGGCGACCGGACAATGCCTGCAAGAGAAGGATCTTGTTTCCCACTTCCCAGGAGTGAGAGGGGCTTCCCATGGCCTGCAGAGCACTGGGGAGGAGAGAGAGCAAGGAGCCAGGTGTGAGGTTGCAGGTGGTGGGGAGGATGGGGGGAGCTGTAGGGAGAAAAGTACTGGCTGGGAGGCACCCAAGAGTGTCTGGGAGTGAGATGATGACAGATTCCACTCCTCCTTAACCTGGGGGGTCATTATGGTGACAGGAAGTCACAGGGCACGTACCTGGATGTTTTCTGAGAACCTTTCTCCTGGGTGCTGCAATGGGAAAGGGGCGGGAGCAGAGGCTAGGAAGACTGAATATATTTTCATGTGTTGAGTGGACACAAAATCCAAGGAAAGAGAAATGCTCTCCTCGACCCTCTCCCTTCACCCCAAAAGCAGCCCAGACCTTTCCTCCCAGGATCAACCTCCATTGTAAATGTTAACAGATTAAACAGACAAACGGATAATAGAGGGAGGTAGGAACTTGAAATAGAGACTTGTGGGATTTTAGAGCTGGAAGGAGCTTAGGCTACCATCCACACCGGCAGAGCCAGAGAAGAGAAATGTCATGCCACATTCACAGGACTGGCCGGGGGAGGTCATGGATCAAATGAGACATAGAGAGAAAGGTATGGAAAACTCCAGACTTGGGTTCATCTCACTTGAATGAAAACTAAGAATCTAAACATTCATTAACCTAATGTAAACTATGGGCTTTATTTAATGCATCAATATTGGCCCATCATTTATAACAAATGCACCACATGCAAGATGTTACTAATAGGACAAACTGGTGTGGAGATGAGAGGGTAGGTGGAAATCTTTGTATTTTATGCTTATTTTTCTGTAAACCTAAAACTGCCCTACAAAATAAATTACTATTTTTTTCAAAGTTCATTAATGTGGGTTCTGTTTGCAGTTTTTCATTCACTGACCCCAAACTTTTTGGAGGGCAGATTCTAGACAATGCAAGGAGCTTGTGAGCATGGGCTTTTATAAGGGAGTAGAAAATCAACCACCCATTGAAAATCAAGTTCCTTCTCTTTTACAGAGAATCCGAGTAGCCCTCCAGTTCAAACACTCATTTGAAGATTGATCAAAAATGGGAACTTTCGACCAGGCATGGTGACTCACACCTGTAATCCCAGCACTTTGGGATTAAGCTGGGAGATAACTTGAGCTCAAGAGTTTGAGACCAGCCTGGGCAGTATAACAAAACCCTGTCTCTACAAAAAAAATTTAAAAAAAAATTAGCCAGGCATGGTGGCATGCACCTGTGGTCCCAGCTACTTGGAAAGCTGAGGTGAAAGGATGGCTTGCATCTAGGAGGTTGAGGCTGCAGTGAGCCGTGATTGTGCCACTGCACTCCAACCAAAAAAAAAAAATTCCGCTTTACAATTCATACCTAAAGTTCAGGAAATAGGTCAATTAGATGATTGGTCCACAGTCATAGAACAGATTCTTTAAGAGATAAAGAGATACAAGAAAGAAATAGATAAGAGACAAGAAGGGGGGGGAAGAAAAGGGTGAAAGAGGGGCAGAAAGGGAAGAGGAAAATAAGAGAAAAAGGAGAGAGAACAAGGCAAGTTGGTGAGAGCTAGATAGATAACTGATAGTGCCTCTTATCTTGGACAAAGACAGAGGCCTGGCGAGGCTTCCTCCGACATGCCCTGGGTACACACCAAAATAAACACCCAGCAGGCATAAGGTGTAGTTAGCAATGCAGTTCATTTTTATTAGTTATAAATAAAGTACAAAAAATCCACCAAAAGTGAATCTAAGCATTTACACAATTCCTAATGTCTCCGCCTTTTCATTGATGCACTATTGCTTTAATATTCATAATAAATATTCTTCTAGCTTTCTGCTATAAAATAGTCTATGTAGCAAAATGTTGCACAGCACAACAGAACAGAACAGCAGGAGGATTACAAAAAAGGACAATCAACACTGAGGATAATCCTTTCACTTGCCAGGGGCAACAAAATTACCCCCTCGAGGGCTGGTGCAGCTGGCTCCATGGCTGAGAAATTAGCCGCATCCGAGGCCAGGGGTGGAGTGGGGGGAGGGGCTCAAGGGTGAGGGCACAGGCCAGCCAGGGCAAAGGGCCCCTTTCCACTCTGACCCTGCAGAGCAGCATAAGGCATGCCCGTCCAGGAGCCCTGCCAAAGATGTGGTGTCTGCCAGGCCCAGCAGTGTGGTGGTCGTGCTCCCTCCAGTGTGGTGGGGGACTCCACGGGCTTGTCTCCAGGGAAAGCAAGGCTCCAGGCTGGAGGCAGAAGGGGAAGCTAGGCAGGAAGCCCAGAGAGGGGCACCCATCGCCCAGCTGGGGCAGAGTTGAGGCTTTAGGGACCATACACAGCCCAGTTCTCACACAGCCTCCCTGGGCAGTATGGCGAATCTCGGTCTCCACTTCCTCCCTCCACATCAGCACCTTCCCCATGGGGCCTCATCCCCACCAGGTAAAGGCAGTGATGTAAAGAGGGAAGAAGGAGGATAAGCTGTGAAGGAGGGAAAGGGGAAGAGGCAGGAGGAAAGCAGGCAGTCCAGGTCCCAGCCGGCTCAGGGGGCTACTCTCAGGGGCGTGAACTCCCTCTCTCTCCTTTTCGCTCAGAGGCATTGGGCTCACAGCTGTGCCAGCCTTTGACAGTGACTTCCCCATGTCCTCCCTCATTATTCCTCTACAGGGGCAGGGGGACTGGAGGCCCACTCCCGGTCCTCCGAAGAAGCTCCTCCTGCCCACAGTCCCCAGGGAGCAAAGGCAGAGGGAGACGCACAGAGGAGATGCCAGGAGCAGAGACCTTGATTCCAAAATCTATGTCCCAATCTGTTTTCCATGGGCAGCATCTCAACAATGAAGACTCTGGGTGATGATAGGATAGGGGTGCCAATCCCAAACCCATAGTTTGGAGCTCCTTTCTGCCTACCCCATCCCTATCTCTAACAAGACATGGATTTCAGCTCACTCGCCAAATGACTGCCCAAGCCTTATGAAAGGGCACGTCCTATACGTGTCCACCTAACTCACCTCCCTGTCACCCACAGGATGCCACATATTATAGGACAAAAACCCTCCCGAAAGTCAACTCTGAGCAAGCTCAAATTCTCAGCTCACTCTCTCTATTCTTCTCTTCTTCTTTGCTCTCCTTTTCTCCTCCCAATCCTTTCTCCCTCTTTCCCTCTTTTTTTTTTTTTTTTTTTTTGGACTGAGTTTTGTTCTTATCACCCAGGCTAGAGTGCAGTGGTGCACGCTCCCAGCTCACTGCAACCTCCGTCTCCTGGGTTCAAGCCATTCTCCTGCCTCAGCCTCCCGAGTAGCTGGGATTACAGACGCCTACCACCACGCCCAGCTAATTTTTGTATTTTTAGTAGAGACAGGGTTTCACCATGTTGGCCAGGCTGGTCTCAAACTCCTGATCTCAAGTGATCTGCCCACCTTGGCCTCACAAAGTGCTGGGATTACAGGCGTGAGCCACCATGCCCTGCCTTTTCTCCCTCTTTCTTCTCTCCTCAGAAGGTGAGACAGCACAGCACAGTGGTTTCCCACGGGATCTGTGTCACATTCTACTTGAATCTAAGGGACCCTAAAGATCTCCCAGTTCTCCTCACTCACCCCACCCAGAAAACTGAGACTCAGGGGCCAAGGGACTTGCTCAAGGTCATTGGGACGTCTGTCATGGAGCAGATTTGAAAACCTGAGCCTCCCGGCTCCCCAGTCCAGGGCTCCTTCTAAGAAGTCAGGCTTTTTGGCTCTCTGATGTTCCTCTTGTAATGTCTGGAGGGCTCCAATTCTGGAGTTGGAGGCCAGGTGGAGACAGTGGCCTCTAGTGCCCCAAGACTTTCCTCAGAGGATACCGGCTGGGTGGGCTGAGGTTGTGGGAGGAGCGAGGGAGGAGGAAAGGCAGGTTCATGATGGAGAGGCAGGGTTGTGGTGGGGGCGGGGGGGTGCCAAGTGTAGCAAGTGAAAGGATTACCCCAGTCTGCTGACAAGTGCAAATTATATTTATATATGTGCTAAATACAGTCACTATATTGGAGTTTTTCACTAGATCACAGCATACAGAATCAAAGGTTTGCATTTCGTATGGAATGTATCCAAAGAGGCCAGCACCACGGTAGGACAGCTTGCAATCACACACCCTGATAGTTCGGACGAAATAAAGTTTGCAGAATTTTATTTAAATTTTTTTTTTGTATTCGTAGTTGTTTGTCATCGTACCAATGCATGCAAAGCATTCCACTCCCAGAAACAACGCCAAAATGAGGTAATAGGAGTAATAAAAAAAATTAGTATCCTTTCTAAATAAATAAATTATAATTAAAAATGCAAAACAACTATAAAAATAATTAAATAAGAACCCACGATATCTACAAGTTAGTCATAAATTATGATTGTTAAATATAAGGCATTTAAACTCACAAAACCCTGTAAACTAGCAACGTGCCATGTTTTTTGTTTTTTGTGTTTTTTTTTTCATTTTTGTTTTTCTATCAGCTGAAATCGCTCTAGCATTTGCTCTACGCGCGCAGGAGATGAAACACAAGGGGGCCTGACAGACGTTGCTACAGCCCCACGCAGGGAGTGTTTGTCCCGCCTACAGGCGGGGGGCTTAGGGGATTTCTTTAGGAAAAAAAGAAAAAAAGTCTGGTGCTTTTTTCTTCACCATTGAAAAACTGTGCTTGTTCATTAGGCGTAAAGAGTTAAGAATACTTGCACGGAGGCTGGGAACATTTGCAGAAGAGGAGCTTGAGTCCTGCCACAGGTGGTGGCCAAGGGCAACTGGGTGCCGAAGGGGGTCCTGGCCAGGTGGAGGGGCAGCCCCTGCTCACCCTCTGCTTGCACCCAACCAAGCTTGTGGTGTTGGGTTGATTGATTGGCGTCCTCGGTGGACCCGCGGCGGCACAGCTGCTGCAGCTGCTAGGACGCCCAACTTAAACCCTGGGGCTGCTCTCACCCCAGAAGGCACTCATGCGTCTCAGTCAAGAAAGGGTCTGAGTCCCTTGAGTTGAGCAGGAGGAGGACTTACCAGTGGTCTCCCCTCCTGGAGGTGGTGGATGTGAGATGCTGAGGCCTGACCCTGCCTCTTCTCCACTCTTCCCAGACTCCCTGACCAGTGCCGGGAGCAGAAGCACAGACCCTGGCCCTCTCTTGTCCCCCAAACAGCTGCCCGGCTAAAGAAGTGGGAGCTGCAGGGTTCTGAGCACCCCATCACCTCCTGTCCCCATCTGTGGGGGAAGGAGGAGGGGCTTCAGGGTCTACCCCCAAAGTAAGCAGCTTCCCTCTCCCCTCTGGTGGTCCCCTCCCCAGTCCCTAATATTAGCCTGGGGCAGAGAATTGGGAGGGGGGAGGGGACGAGGGCCCACTGTCTCACCCAGCACGTGTGCCCCCAGCCCAGTCTGAAACAGAGTGTGTGCCCACAGAAAGTCCTTTTCAATAGCTGGGTGGGCGCACAGCTCTGCCGCCTTGAAGATGTGTTGATGTTAGGGAGTGTGAGTGTCAGAAGGAAATTAGCAAGCATCCAATCCAACCTCCTTAGGTTGTAACTGAGGAAACTAAGGCCCAGAGAGACAAAGGGAAGTTTCTAGTGTTGCCCACTTTGTCAGTGAAGAGCCCAGACTGGAACCTGGGACACCAGCTCTAGTTCTATCCTGGCCTCCCCACTGACTCCCTCCCACTTGCCAGCCTTTCAGGCCAGTCTCAGCAGAAAGAATGAAAGACTGAGACTAAGAGAGGAGTGAGCTTCCTAGACCACCCTAGCTACCTCCAGGCCAAAGCCATCTTCCGATGAATTCTTGGTTTTCACCCAGCCATTGGAGAGAATGGGGCAGAAGTCTCAACTTCCTGTGGCTATCAGTAACTAGCTTTCCCCCAAAATCCTGACTCAGATGTACTTTCCCCACTGGTGAGATCTCCAGCCTTTAGCCCTGGAGACATTTTCATACACTGGAGCTACTGAGTTGGACGCTGTGATACTCATTGCTGCTAACCCTGAATCAGGTTATTCACCATTTTTGCAGCATTGGATGTGTCTTGTCTCCTCAGCTAGATTGTGAGCTCCTCAAAGCTATTGTCTCTCCCAGCGCCTGCACCGGTAGGCACTCAATAAAGATTTTATAGAACACCAGGATATTAGTGCTGGGAGAAATCTCCTGCCAGGAGCCACTTCCCCCACTTTCTGCCTGCAGGTGGCCAGAGCAGCTATTCCCGCATGAACCAGTCGTGCTAGAAGCTCTTCCTCAAGCCAAAATCTGCCCGCCTGTTACTTTTACCCATTGGTCCTGGTTTTACCCTTGTAGCAGCAATACAGACTCAAATTTCCTTCACTGTATGGAATTTCTTCAAATATGTGACAAGTATCCTGTCCCCCTTACCCCGGTCTTATTGATACGAGGGCATTGAGACTGGGTTATGAATGGAGGTGAGGGGGAGGCTTACAGAGCAGTGCAAATGAGGGAACAGTGGGGGGTGGGGCACAAAGGAAGGTGGCAGAATTCCAGCTAATCTGGTGTCTTCCACATAGGGAGAAAGAAAGTTGGGTTTGGGTTGGAATTTGGTGGATTTTCCCATCTCCATTCTTCTGTCCTCTTATCTCTCTGCTCCCTTTGGGGTTCAGGAAAATTGTGAGGTGGTGCAGAAAGACATACTGTATCAGGTCTGTGTCTCCCAGCACCCCCATCCCGACACCCCACAAGGTTCTCAGAAGAGAGCATAGAACACGCTGGACAGAGAATATGAATCCTCACAACATCTAGGTGAGGTAGCAGGACCGGAAATGGGGCTGCACTGTTCTCTCTCCCCCCTCAAAGGAGAAGGAAACTGAGGCACAGAGAAAGAAAGGGACTTGCCCAAGGTTATCAAAGAGTCAGAGAAGCAGCCAGAGACCAGGAACACGGGCACTCCCAAACCAAGCTGAGGGGCCTCCCAAACCTAGCTGATGTGACCTCAGAGCCAGGGCCATCTCTGAGGGACTGTGTCAGGACTGGAGACATCCCGGGGGATGCTCAGCTTCCTCCCCAAGGTCTGCGGTATTGACCTCAGCCCTTAGTGCTGGCTGAGAGCACTGTGGCCAAGACCAAGCAGCCATCACCTATGCTGTCTTATCTGCATCATCTGGTTAATTTTTTGCATAGGGAGGCAGTGGCTACGTTGCCTCTTTGTGACAGGCAAGAGCACAGCCTAAAGGAAGGAGTTGGAGTGACCATGGGTCTCTCGGCTCCCAGGAACACATTGGGTACCAGTAGCTGAGGGCCGAGCCCTCCCTGGTTTAGTGTGGAACTGGGGGGATATAGCTGGGGCCATGAAGTTGAGCCCTGGGCCTGGGGAGCCCCGCCTAGATGAACTCTCCCTTCACCTGCTGGAGCTCTGCTGCCTTCCTCACCTCCGCTGAACCCTCAGAGGCCAGGATAAGACCCCATCAGCTCCTTTTCCAGCTCTCCCTCTCCTAGACCCCCTTCCACACTCCGTGCACTGTAAACATGAGAAAAACAAAAGCCAAGGTAAAAACAAAAACAAAAATAAAACGAGAACCCCCCCCTCCCGCCTCCCAAATTGGGTGAAAAACAAAATCCTTTTTCACCGTAAACAGAATTTGGCTTTTTTTTTCTTCCACCTTTGATTCCTTTTTCCTTTTCTCTCATAAAGACGGGAAGATTGGGGCTGTCGTTGGTTCGGTCAGGCACCAAAACAAGAAACTCAATGAGAAATATTTGGTGCGAATTCGGTAATAGCGACATGTCCACCACAAGATGACTAGAGCACCACACACAACATTTTTCTTAAGCTAACATGCTCCGGCTGCCATCCACAGAAATAGCTAGAGACCCCTACATGGTTCCTACGTGGTCGAGAGGTATATATACAATCCTTCAGAGGACAGGATTGAGGGGCCCGTCTGTCAGCTAGTGCCTTCAGGATCCCACCTGGGTTCTCCGCAGCCTGGGCCCCTCCTTCCCGCCCTTGCGCTGGGCACCGCCAGCTCCCTCTCTCCTGCTCAGCCAGGCGGATGGGGACAGTCGCCATTCTGGAGAGGTGGGTCCTCCCCAACCCCCTCCTCTCCCTCGACACCGATACCACCAACTCCTCTTTCCACAAAATGTGCTTGCAGGCTTTTCCTCTACGTCAAATGGCTCAGAAGGCAAAGTTTGGCTGCAAGGGCTATGGCCGTGGGGGGACCTGGTGAAGGAAATGGGGTGTCCACTGGCTAATTCCTCCCTCAGCTGTCGGCTCCCAGTTGTGTCTCAATGTCCACTCGGCAGATGGGGCATTTCTTGCTCATGGCGAGCCACTGGTCCACGCACAGTTGGTGAAAGAGATGCATACAGGGTAGGCGTCTGGAAGAGAGGAGGGAGAGTCAGAGGCCCGGCAAGAGCTGAGGGACACTGAGCGGAGCAGGGACACACACCTAGGACTCCTGGGGAACTGCCCGGCTATGGAGGGAGGCTGTGGCTGAGATGGGAAACCATGAAGCCTCCGCCAGGAAGCGCTTTCAGATCAGCCTGAAACAAAGCCACAACTTTGTCTTAGACGCATTCAGACCGAACACCACACTGTTCTCCTACACTTTTCATCCTCGCGTCCGTACCCGGGCATCACACATCTAGAACATTTCATACCCCACCTTCCCAGGGCAACCATGAAGCACATTATAGCACACTTGGCACATACGTGCACAAGCAAACAAGCACCCCAACTCCCAGACACACGGTGCAGTGATTGGTCACCAATACCTATAAGAGAGGGGAGAGGGAATCAAAATGGCGGTCTCCTACCTCACATCTTCTCCATCTTCCAGCATAGACAGACAAATTGTGCATTTCTCATCTGTGTCTGACTCCTCCCCCTCATCCTTCTTGCCCTTGCCATCCTGGGGTCTTCGCTATGAGAAGCAGAGAGAGTAGTATTCATTACCTGGGGCAGACTCAGCTGGTGGCTGGTGGTTTTCACCCACAGCCTGCTCTTCCCCTGGGAGTCAGGTTTTTTAAAGTTTCTTTTTTTGTTTGTTTTGTTTTGTTTTTGAGACTGATTCTTGCTGTGTTGCCCAGGCTGGAGTGCAATAGCGTGATCTTGGCTCACTGCAACTTCCACCTCCTGGGTTCAAGCGATTCTCCCACCTCAGCCTCCGAGTAGCTGGGATTACAGGCACTTGCCATCATGCCTGGCTAATTTTTGTATTTTTGTAGAGACAGGGTTTCACCATGTTGGTCAGGCTGGTCTTGAACTCCTGAGCTCAGGTGATCTGCTTGCCTCAGCCTCCCAAAGTGCTGGGATTATAGATGTGAGCCACCTTGCCCGGCCATAAAGTTCTTAAGTAATACCCAGAACTCCTTCCCAGCTACTCTCCTGCAGCAAGGGCAGTAGGAAGAGGTCAAGTGGACATCATTTTTGCTGTCCCAGGCACTTTCTAGGGATACAGAGCTTAGAAAGAAATTGGGTTCCTAATGAATCGATCCTTTGCAAAGCTATGACTGTGCACAGTTTCCCTTTTCTGGTCCCTTCACACCATCCACTCCCCCTCAACACCCTTTACAACCTAGATTCCTGCCTTCAGGTTTCTCCCTCCACTTTCAGGCCCAGCAGGTTTCATTTATTCTTTCAGTCAACCACTGTTGACTCATTTATTCACTGATAACTACGTGAAGACATCAACTCTTACAAACTGTAGCCATTGTTATAAACTATTTATATTGTTGGATTTATCTTTCTATCCAGAAAGTTCACTTAAGATAGGCACTATCGTAAAGCAATCATGAAACACTGTTTATACTTGTTGACTTCCCTTGTACTGTTTTTCATTTTATGCTGATTATTTGAAAATAGTTTACCGTTATGTAGAAGCCATATGTAGAATCATTATGTAGTTTACCATTATGTAAAGTCTCAAATTCAGATGGCATGGACTCATGACTTACCCTTCTTTAAGTACCACCCCATACTTGGTCACTTACAAGGCGTATTAGTACTTGGTAAATATTTTGGCAAAGAAGAAATCTAGTCGTGAGCGAAATCAGCCCACCTTTCATGTTCACATCTTCACACTGTGCCATGAAACAGTCTAACAATAACCATAAGAAGAAAATTACTCATTCTGTCCCTCTCCAGAGACAGGCTGACTTCAAGATCATTTTGCAAAGAGAAAAATCTGAAGAGTCACAAGATGAAGACTACCTAGAGAATGACCGTGGGGCAAGGCCCGGATGCCAAGTCTCCCTTCTCTGGCCTCTGGTCCTAAACTCTGGAGATCCTGAGTCTGGTTTAGTCTGGGGAATACTGTAACCTCACTGGAACACACAAGAAAATCTATTTGTTCTGCTCTCTGCCTCGCTGTGCCCTATATACTCCACTGCAAACCCTGCTAGGCTTCTGTAATAAGTTTTCCCTTATCCAGAATCCAGAAAATCAGAATTACATCCATAGTCCCGTATAATTGTCATGGCTTTAGAGTATGAATAGAGTCATGATGATCTGCCTGCTTAAGAGTCCAGCTGTGTTTGCTGGAAGAGTGGCCTTCGTTTAGCTGACCCTGCTAGAAAAAGGAGGTCCAATAAAATGTATTGGTAAGAGTCACCAATTTGCCTATTTGCCTACTTTCTACTATTTTTTTGCCATCATTATTCATGATTTTCCTTTAATAGTTAAAAATTTTAGCTTAATATTACCTTGTTTTGCTGTCTAATCTATATATCTTCTCGTTTCATTAACCTTCCCTTTTACTTTTTTTTTTTTTTTTTTTTTTTTTTTTGAGACGGCCTTGCCCTCTTGCCCAGGCTGGAGTGCAGTGGTATAATCACGGCTCACTGCAGGCTTGACCTCCCAGGCTTAAGCAATCCTCCCACCTCAGCTTCCTAAGTGGTTGGGACTACAGGTGCACACCATCATGTTCAGCTAATTTTTCTTTTTATTGTAGAGACAGAATCTCTCTATGATGGCCAGGCTGGTCTCAAACTCCTGGGCTCAATCTATCCTCCTGCCACCGCCTCCCAGAGTGCATGAGCCAGTGTGCCCAGCCCCCTTTTAACTATGATGTTATTGATGTTAATTTTATATGTTGCTTTCATATCTCTTTCTAGTTTTTATTCTTTGCATATTTTTCTATTTTGACTCAGTATTTTCTATATTTTTATTCTTACATCATTACTATTTTAAAGTATATATTTTATTGTATATGATTATACTCTCAATTTAAATTTTTAAGGTGTTTTTCTTCTTTATTGTCTTTTTCACTTGTGTATAATTTTTAAGGGTTTTTTCCACATTTTATTTGGGTCCTAACTTTTGTCATTTCTTATTTTTAATTCATTTTGTTCTTTTTTTATAATATTTTATTCCCTTAATTCTTTTTATTCTCCTTTTTACCCGAGCCCTTTATCTACTTGATTCAGTCCATTTCCCCTTTTAATTCTTAGCATTGGTTCTCTTCACAATTTCCTCGTGCCTGTTGAAGTGACAGCAGGTGAGGCGTGCATCCTCGGTAGGAGTAAACACTCCCTGGTCCGGGACACAGGTGCTGCTCCTGGACTTGAATACACCACTCATTTCCTTCTATGTTCTTCTCCAATAGCTTAAAACTCTCTCTCTCCAGAGAATGATCATTTTCCCCTGTAGATGACACCCTTAATTACTGAAATGCTGCCATTTCCTCTATTAGCACACTAGCCAAGGTTTGATACATAGTAGGTACTCAATAACTGCGGTTGAAATCATTTACGAATAAATCCAGTGCCTTGAGAGGAGCTGCCTATACTGATTCACAGTCTTTGACATTGACACCACCAGCACATGGGTTAGGGAAAAGCATCAAGGTATCAGCAGCTCACCATTCCTGGGCACTTAGTAGATACCAGGCACTGTGCCAAGCTGTTCAAGTGCATCATCCCGTTGAGTCCCCACAGCACCCCGTATGGTAGCTACTAATGAGATCATTCCCATTTCACATTTTAAAAGGGGGAGGTGGACAGGGAGGGGCCAGAAAAGCCAAGAAGTTGTCCAAAGTAACGGAGTTATAAGGGGTAGAACCGAGAGTCAAAATTGGCTCTAACTCTAAGAGTGCTCTCGACCAATGCACCCTAGGGTCTCATGAGGGAGTGAAGACGGTCCTTGGCTTGACAATGATGAGGACAGTCCTGCTCTAAGATTCTTAATGTTTGTCAAGCTTTTAATTTCCCCTGGGAAGGATGAATGTTTTAAAAATGTATTAATATTTATTTATTTATTTTTATAATAAATGTTATTTTGTAGAGCAGTTCTAGTTTACATAAAATTAAGCAAAAACAGGCCAGGCATGGTGGCTCATGCCTGTAATCTCAACAATTTTGGAGGCCAAGGTGGGTGGATCACTTGAGATTAGGAGTTCAAGACCAGCCTGGGCAACATGGTGAAACCCCATCTCTACTAAAAATATAAAAATTAGCTGGGTGTGGTGGCACATGCTTGTAATCCCAGCTGCTTGGGAGGCTGACGTGGGAGAATTGCTTGAACCCAGGAGGTGGAGGTTGCAGTGAGTCAAGATCGTGCCACTGCACTCCAGCCTGGGCAACAGAGCAAGATTCTGTCTCAAAAAATAATAACAATAATAAGCAAAAAGTACAGTGTTTTCCCATATACCCTATACTCCCAACACAGAGTTTCTATTACTAACATCTTGCATTAGTGTGGCACACTTGTTACAATCAATGAACCAGTATCAATAGACTATTAACTGAAGTTCATTCATTTACATTAGGGTTTGCTCTGTGTTGCACCATTCTATCAGTTTTGACAAATGCATAATGTCATGTATCCACCGTTAGAGTATGATACCAAATACTTTCACTCCCCTGAGACTCCCCTATGCTCCACCCATTCATTCCTCCCTCCCTCCCCACTGGCAACCACTGATCTTTTTATTGTCTCCATAGTTTTGCCTTTTCTAGAATGTTATATATTTGGAAACATACAGTACACAGCCATTTTGGGCTAACTTCTTTTACTTAAGAATTCCTCAGTGCATTTCTGCTTCCAACATGTCTTTCCATGGCTCAATAGCTTATACTTTTTCTTTCTTTGTTTGATACAGGGTCTTGCTCTGTTGTCCAGGCTAGAATGCAGTGGTGCAATCATAGCTCACTGCAGCCTCAAACTCCTGGGCTCAAGTAATTATCTTGCCTCAGCCTCCCTAGTAACTAGGACTACAAGTTCATACCACCATGAACTTTTTAACTTTTTAACTTTTCAAAATTTTTGTAGAGATGAGGTCTCACTATTTTGCTCAGGTTGGTCTTGAATTCCTGGCCCAAAGTGATTCTCCATCCTTAGCCTTCCAAAGCACTGAGATTATAGGTGTGAGTCACTATGCCCAGTCCTTATTTCTTTTTATTGCAGAATAATATTCCATTATCTGGATGTGCCACTGTATGTTTATCTATCTTTCATCTATTGAAGGACATCTTGGTTGCTTCCAAAATTTTCATTTATTTTAATTAAAAAAAAAATTTTAAACTCAGTTTCCTGGGCTCTAATCTTATCCTAGATTCCTAGTTCTTAGCCCTGGAGATTCTACCTCTACAGACTTAGGATAAAACCTGTGACTCTGTGGCTTTAAAAGCTCCCCAGGTGATCCTGACGCTCAGTCAGGTTTGAAAACCTCTGCTTGGATGCCTTGCTTTCCCATTTGTTCACATGTGAGATTGGACATAGAATTATTTTCTAAGGCAAATATTAGCCTTCTGTGCAGGTATCCCCTTTCCCCATCTCATTTAGAGACAAGTATTTATGTGCCTGACACCTATACATGTATATGTATGTAATATACCCAATGGCAAGTCCACATGCACACACGGATACCCAGCTCTCCTTCTTTACTAATGAGAGGCCTTCCATCTTCCCTCCTGGCCACACCTGGCACAGAAAAGTAACATGACCCTGGGAAGTTATTACAGCTTTAGAGCATCTAACCAGAGCAAAGGTTTCTAGAATCTGGACTGCACCCCTCTGTGAACAACCAGGCCAGAGTCAATTAGACAACCCCCCTGCCCCATTCCCTGACTATGCAGGCTGGCCTGCTGGCAGACCCACCTTCTTATACTTGTGGGGGAAGGTGAACCTCTCAATGGTGTTCTGTACAGCTCCCCGAGTCACATTACCCAACCTGTCCTCGAGCTGCAGCAGCTCCTGGAAAGAGAAAAATGTGCACATGTGTGCTCAGCATGTATAAATGCCCACATGCACACAGGATATGGATTGGGAGCTGGAAGACATGAGCAGGAAGCATTCACATAGCTATCAGGAAGAACTCATCTGATGCTGAAAGACTGCAATATCTCTACTGGCTCTCCCTTCTTCTCTTTCTTACTCTTAACCCTGAAGCTTCCTGACACCCATACCCTACTCACCAGCAGAGGTGGGGAGGGAAAAGGGATGATAACAATAATGGCATCTCCACCAACCCAGTTGGTACCAGACAGAGCAACATACCTCATAGCTCTCCCGTACGGCGGAGGTGTGTCTGCTGGGATTTAGTCCCTGGAGAGCAAGGAAGTGAAGCTGAGGGTAAGGGTAGTTTCGGATTTCATGGACGACCTGTTGGGTAGAAAACGCCTTGGATAGAGCAAGGATTCAAGGTTTCTCCATGAGCCCAGCATGCAACTTCTCCACCTGTAACCCACTCAGTACACCCTGAGATGCTGTGGGCAGAACTATTGTCTTTCCTGCTCTTATGTCCCTTTTCTTTCATCAAGAACCAAGCCTTGCCTGGACAAGCCCCAGAAGGAATAACAGAATTAATAAAGTGACAGCTAACCTTCATGGCAGGCACTGTTCTAAGCACTTAACGTGACTAATTGAATTATCTCACCTGATCTATAATGTGGGTGCTATTACTCTCCCCATTTTACTGATGGGGTAAATGAGGTACAATAGATTATGTAATTGGCTCAAGTTATGCAACCAAGGGACAGAACCAGGATTTCAAACCCAGGCAGTTGGGTGGCAGAGTCCATTCCCTTCACCTTTTGGTTTAGTTCATTCTCACTCTGCTATGAAGAAATACCCAAGAATGGGTAACTTAAAAAAAAGGAGGTTTAATTGACTCACAGTTCCACATAGTTGGAGAGCCTCAGGAAACCTACAGCCATGGTGGAAAGCACCTCTTCACAGGGCAGCAGGAGAGAGAATGAGTGCCAAGCGAATGGGGAGGTCCCTTGTAAAACCATCAGATCTTATGAGAGCTCACTCACTATCATAAGAAAAGCATGTGGGAAACTGCCCCCACATGATTCAATTATCTCCACCTGGTCCTGCCCTTAACATGTGGGGATTATTCAGTTCAAGGTGAGATTTGGGTGGGGATACAGAGCCAAACCATATCACTCCTACTCTGCACTGCCTCCAAGAGAAGCTTGGTGGTTCAAGGCTTGGGTTTGTGTCAGCACCAAGGTGGGGGCACAAAATTTAAAGGGCCACCAAAAGCCTCAGTAATAAAGATTAACGATATTTTAATGCAATGTTTTTTAAAGTCAAATAAATGCAAAAAAAACCTCCATGCTGAGCAAAATATCAATATTTTAAATAAAGACAGAGTCTGACTCTGTTCTGGCATGGCCTGCCTCACTCGCCTTTCCCTCACCCTGGCTATGAGTCAGAGAGGAGTTTCCATCACAGCTCCTCTACTTGCTCACTGTATGTCCCAGGGCCAGTTACTTAGCCTCTCTATTCCTCAGTTTTCCAATCTTTAAAATCAGGATAATACTCTTTTGTGGGAGTTTTTGAGAGGATTAATGGGATAATTTACATGAACTGCTTAGAACAGTGCCTGGTATGTAGTAAGTGCTCAATAAATGCTTGCTTCTTTATTCCTAAGAGATGGTGCTTCATACACAAAGCATGGACCCTCAAAGCTTACAAGGACTCCAAAAATTACTCATGCAAGCTCCTTATTATACAAATAAGGAGACTGAGGAGCTGAGTGGTTAGTGACAGAGACAAGGCTTGGAAGGTGGAATTATGCTTTAGGGCAGCAAAGTGAAGTTGCCTGGAAATAAGATTTTCAATCAAGCTTTTGCTGCTTTCATGGAATATCTTCATTTTAATTCCATGCAGCTTGCAATGTCAGGAGCCCAAAGGCCCCCAAAGCCAGCCTGACCCATGATTCGGCACTCTGCAGCCACAAGAAGGCCTGCCCTCTGAAAAAGGCAGAACTGGATAGGCAGGCTAGGCCCAAGAGCTCCCGCTGGGATCTCTTTTGATCCTCACACCAGCCCTGTGAGATGGGCGAGGCAGGCATCTTCATTTCCATTTCACAGATTAGTGAAACCAAAGCCTAGGGAGGTACTGACCACAGGAAACTAAATGAGGCCATATGAAGTGCAAGGTCTACTCTGCCTGATCTTAGCCCTGAGCCCTTTACCCACAGACCACACCCTGCCACGCTGCCCCTTTCCACTCCTCCAGTGCCCACTCCTACTCCCCTCAGCAGAACCAGCTTCCAGTCCAGCAGGTTCCCTTTCATTCCCCATAAAGCCAGAGTGTGAATAGGAGCTGCGAAGAGAGGGGAGCTGTTGATCTGCCAGGGAGCCAGGACACAAGAAGGCCAGGGCACAAGAAGGCCAGGGCACAAGGGAGTCAGGGCATGGGGTGTTGATATACAGAGGAGCTGGGTCATGTGGAAGCCAGGGCACAGGGGAGCCAGGATATAAGGGGGCCAGGACACAGGAGAGTCAGGGCATGGGGGTTGATACACAAGAAAGCCAGGTCATATGGAATCCGGAGCGCAGGGGAGCCAGGATATAAGGGGGCCAGGGCACCGAAAAGTCAGGGTATAGGAGGTTGAGAACACAGGGGAGCTAGGTCATATGGAAGCCGGGGCACAGGGGAGCCAGCATATAAGGGGGCCAGGGCACAGGGGAGTCAGGGCATAGGGGGCTGATAACAGAGAATAGAAGCTGGGAAGAGAGGGGAGCTGTTGATCTGCCAGGGAGCCAGGACACAAGAAGGCCAGGGCACAAGGGAGTCAGGGCATGGGGGATTGATACACAGGTGAGCTGGGTCATGTGGAAGCCGGGGCACAGGGGAGCCAAGGATACAGGGGAGCCAGGCCATGTAGCAGCCAGGGCACAGGGGACCGCAGGCCTCAGACCACCACTGGCACTCAATAGGCGCAAGGGAGTCCGTCTTCTTTCACTTACCATCTGTGTGGAGGAGGAGTTTCTGGGAAAGTGGTGCATTCGAGGAGTGGCTAGGTAATGCTGATAGTGCTGAGGGATGGGCCGCACCTGGAACTGAGCAGGACTCAAGCCAGCATCCACACTGAGATCCCTGCAGGGAAACAGCCTCAGTGAACCATAGGGTGGTGTGATTTAGCCAGGTTAGAGAAGGGACCTCAGACATCAAGCCTATGGAGTAGAATTGGAGTGACACCCTGCCAGAGCTGCAAGGAACTTTACATCTCCCAGCCTTTCCTCTCTCTTCAGAGGGAAGGAAACAGAGACTCAGAGAAGGAAAGGACTCTGAAAGGTCTGAAGGAGCTAGAGCAATCCAGGCTCTATGAAATTTCTTTAAACTAGGGGACCAAAGCTCCCTCCCAAGACAAAGTCCATCCCTGAGAGAAATGCTGAAAGAAGAATCTAAATCGAGCAAGCCAGAGGCACTGAGTAATGGAAAGACAAGGTTCAGATAAAAGTGGAGGAGGGAGCTGAGGCTATATTTTTACCACTTTGAGAAAACAAAGAGAGAGAACTCTACACCTAGACCTACAGGCCAGACAGCTTATCCTGGCCCACCGCAACCCACTCCTAAAAATATAGAAAAATTCATTTTGCTTAAAAACTAATTAATTGATGAATTGCACTGAGGATGAACCAATGGCTAATTTGGAAAATGGCCAATTTCAGATCTGGAGAGAAAATGAGCAAGATAAGATGGAAACATCTTGTCATAACTAGAAACAAGAGAACTATCAAAACACTATTAGGGTGACAGCAAAAGGGCTCAGAAGCAGTCCTGAAGAGGCTCCCACTGGCCAGAGTTAGGACAATGTGCAGGTTGACAAGAATAACTGCAGGAGGGATGGAAATAAATAAAAATTGTTTAGATCCATGCTCATGAAATGATGCTAGAAAATTGGTCCCCTTCAAAGAATGCTGGAGAACAAACTTCTTTACCTTTCTTTTTTTTTTTCTTTTCCTTTTTTTTTTTTTTTTTTTTTTTTGAGATGGAGTCTCGCTCTGTCACACAGGCTGGAGTGCAGTGGTGCGATCTCGGCTCACTGCAACCTCCATCTTCTGGGTTCAAGCAATTCTCCTGCCTCAGCCACCCAAGTAGCTGGGACTACAGGCATGCCACACCACGCCCGGATAACTTTTGTAGTTTTAGTAGAGATGGGGTTTCACCATGTTGTCCAGGCTGGTCTTGAACTCCTGACTTCAAGTGATCCACCCACCTCGGTATCCCAAAGTGCTGAGATTACAGGCATGAGCCACCACACCCAGCCAACTCTTCATTTTGAAAACTAGTAAATAAATGAAAAGAGCCTTTCTTTTCTTACTGTATTTCCAGGTAATCAAATATTTGATGAGTGGAAATTTCTCTTTGTAAAAGTTTTTCAGCTAATAAATGAATAAGGGATGATTGAATTTTTCTTGAATTTTTGTCATCATTTTGCTTCCCCTAAAGAAATAAAGGATCTAAGCAAAGATCATTGATTGTTGCTAACATCACAAAAGAAGCAACAACCAGACAGTAGTGCTCTCTGGTGGAAGAATACAATATCACCTATGAAGTATTTATGCCAAGAAATAAGAGTTGAACCTGAATCTACTCAAGCCTTAATCTTGGTGCCAAGGTCCAGAGAATACAAGAAACTAAGGAACATCTTAAGTGACAACACAAGAATGCAACCAGTAAAATCCAGGTAAGGGGAAACTACAGGAAAAACAGCCTGGATTCTTCAACAAATACATTGGAGAAAAAAAAAAAAGGATATGGAGAAGTATTAAAGGAATTTCCGCTTCTACTGGTGATAGTTTAACAGGAGTTAAGTTTACCTTTCCACTTTAAACCACTAGAAAGCTGAACAGAATATATGAAATCTCTGTTTTCAGACGTTATATAACAAGCAATGCAGACTGTTATCAACAGAAGGACAACACATGAGGTGAGCTCTGCAACCTCCCTAGTTTTTTGCATGAAGGCACATTCCAGACCATGAGCAGGGAGAGAACTAAGCAGAGCATGACGATCTTAATGATTTGAGGATTCAGAGATCTTATTTCCAGGAGGCTGAGGTCTCTGAAAGTTGTGGTACCATGATTTGGAGAGAAGAGGCAGCTACATAGAAGGAGGGCTCCAGAAATCTGCACGGAGATTCCCTTGAGTCTTTACTGAATACTAAGATCTGCATACATGGGGTGAAATTTTAGTAGGTTGAACAAAGAGCATCCAAGGTATAGTGGGTTCCCAGAGATTAGACAGTGCTGGGAAAGATTCATATTCCAGTCAGCCAGAGCAGAGAGTCCTTGGTCATACAATAGAGACCCCAGAAGAGCCTTTTGAGACTTATTTATGAGTCTTATTCGGGAAGATCTAGAGTAGTCTCTACTCTAGGGATATTCTAGTCCTGCTGGAAGAAGACCTAAAAGCAAGCCTTAAAAGGATGAAACTGAACTGCAAGTGCTCCTTACCAGAACGAAGCCTAACACTCTCTAAATGAATAAAACAAACGTAACTACTTAACAGTGTATAATCCACAATTATTCATAAATGATGTTCATCATTCAATAAAAAATTACTAGATATGCCAAAAAAATGATAATATGTCCCAGAATCAGGTGAAAAATCGATCCATGGAAACAACTAGGAAACAGAAATAACAAGGATGCTAAAATAGCTATTATAATCATATTCAAATATACAAAAGAAAACATGAAAACAGAGAAGAGTAAAATATATAGAAGAGGAGATATTTTAATGATGCCAATGGAACTTCTAGAGATGAAAAATGCAATGTCTGAAATAGGAAATTCACTGGGTTAGAGTAACAGTAAATTAGATACTACAAAAGAAAAGATTAGTGACTTTAAGACACAACAATAAAAATAATCCAAAATGAGCCAGGCACAGTGGCTCATGCCTCTAATCCCAGCATTTTGGGAGGCCAAGGCAGGAGGATCATTTTAGTCCAGAAGTTTGAGGCTAGCCCAGAAAACATAGTGGGATATCACGTCTACAAAAAAAAAAAAAAATGTTTAAATTAGTTGGGTATGGTGGTGTGTCCTCTGGTCCAAGCTACTCAGGAGGCTGAGGTTGAAGGATCACTTGAGCCCAGGAAGTTGAGGCTACAATGAGCTGTGATGCCACCACTGCACTTCTGCCTAGGTGACAGAATGAAATCCTGAATAATAATAATAATAATCCAAAATGAAGCACACCATCAGAAAAAGACTAAAAAATTAACAGAGTCTCAGTAAAAATATCAAGCAGTCAGCCACATGGGTAAGTAAAGACCCAAAAAGAGGGGATGGAAGGTAGATGACAGAAAAAATATTTTAGGGAAAAAATGGCTGAAATATTTCCAAATTTAATAAAAACTATAAATTCACAGATCCAAAAAGTTCGATAAACTTTAAGCAGGATAACACAAAGAAAACCACTCCAAGGGACATAATAATCTAATTCCTGAAAAATAGTAATAAAGACAGGATCTTAAAAATAGTGAAAGAACAAAAGACCCATTCAACATAGAAGAATGTAGGTAAGAACAATCATAGATTTCCCATCAACAACAAAGCAAGCCAGAAGACAAAGGAATGGCACCTATGCACTGCTGAAGGGAAAAAAAACTGTAAACTTAGAAATATATAGAAATATATACCTAGAAAAAATATATTTTTAAATGACAGTGAAATAAAGACTTTTTCAAAAAGTTGAGAGAGTGCACTGCTAGGAGACTGTTACTACAAGAAGTGTTTTAAAAAGTTCTTCAAACTAAAGAAAAATAACACCAGACAGAAACTTAGCTCTCTACAAAGGAATAAAGAGTGCCAGAAATGATAATCATGTGGGACATATAAAAAATTATTTTTCCTATGAAAAATTGTCTTTAAAGGTTGACTGTTTAAAGCAGAGATTGGCAAACTTCTTCTGTAAAGGATCATAAATAGTAATTGTTTGGGGCTTCAAAAGCCGTACAGTCTCTGTCACAGCTACTCAAGTGTCCACTGAGGTGTAAAAGCAGCCATAAACAATAGGTGAACAAATAGATGTGTCTATGTTCCAATAAAACTTTATTTACAAGAACAGAGAGCAGGCAAGATTTGATTCACAGGCCATAATTTGCCAACCACTGGTTTAAAGCAAAAATGATAACAATGTATTTTGGTAATTGTACATACATAGAGATAAAACCTACAAAAGAAGTAGCAAAGGATGCAAAGGGGTAATGGAAGTATGCTGTTGTAAGAGTTTTGCATTACACACAAAATGGTATAATTCTATTTTAGGGTAGAGTGTGATATGCTAAATAGGAATATTGTAAACCTAGTGAATTCCCAAAATAAAATAAGATAAAATAAAGTGGTATGACTATTAAACCAATATTTAATACTAAAAATTCTCAACTGATCCAAAAGAAGGCAAAAAACAGACACAAATTTTAAAAGAAAAACAACAAAATGACAACAACAACAAAACAGATGGAAGAAAGAGAAAAGAAAGAGCAAGATGGCAGATTTAATTCCAACCATGTAGACAATTGCATTAAATGCAAATGGTCTAGACACCCCAATTAACAGACAGAGATTGTCAACTGCAAAACAATTGCCAAGTATATGCTGTCCATTCAAGATATAAATATGTAGATACTAGGTTACAAGTAAAAGGAGGAAAGAGATATACCCCGTAAGTGCTAACTGGAAGAAAGCTGGAATGGCTATGTTAACATCAGACAAGGTAGACTTTGAACCAAGGGATATTACCAAGGATAAGGAAGGATGTTTCATAATGATAAAGGGGTCAATTCATCTTGAAAAATGACAATCCTTTTAATATCCTAATATATATAAGTCAAAATAAGTGAAGCAAAAACTGACAGAACTGAAAGAAAACAAATTCATAAGTAGAGTTCTAGACATCCACCCTCCTTTATAATTCATGGAATAATTCATGAAAAAAAATCAGTAAGAATATAAAAGACCTGAACAATACTGTCGACTAACTTGATCTAAGAGACATTTATAGAATACTCTATCCAATAAGAGTAGAATATACACTTTTTAAAAATACTTATAGAACATTTACTAAGATAGTATAAATGCTGGACCATAAAACAAGTCTCAATAAATATAAAAGGATTAGAATTACACAGAGTATGGTTTCTGATCACACTGGTATTAAATTAGAAATCAACAACAAGAAAAGTCTGCAAAATCCCAAGTTTTCAAAAATTAAATAATAAACTTCTAAATTACCCAGGGTCAAAAAGAATTCATAATGCTAACTAGAAAGTTTGTAGTCCTTAAAGAAAAATTCAGTTTTATATGCTTATATTAGAAAAGAAAACCCAAAGTCATGATCTAAATTTCCGCCTTAAGAAGCTAGAGCCCAAATAAGTAGAAGGGAGGAAATAATAAAATCAAGATCAGAAATCAGTGAAATAAATCAGTGAAATAAAAAACAAGTAATGGGATCAAAGGCTATTTTCTTTTTCTTTTTTTTTTTTTTGAGACGGAGTTTCGCTCTGTCGCCCAGGCTGGAGCGCAGTGGCGCGATCTCGACTCACTGCAAGCTCCGCCTCCCGGGTTCACGCCATTCTCCTGCCTCAGCCTCCCGAGTAGCTGGGACTACAGGCGCGCGCCACCATGCCCGGCTAATTTTTGTATTTTTAGTAGAGACGGGGTTTCACCGTGTCAGCCAGGATGGTCTCGATCCCCTGACCTCGTGATCCGCCCGTCTCGGCCTCCCAAAGTGCTGGGATTACAGGCGTGAGCCACCGCGCCCGGCCTCTTTTTTTTTTTTTTTTTTTGAGATGGAGTCTCGCTCTTTCGCCCAGGCTCACTGCAAGCTCCGCCTCCCGGTTCACGCCATTCT
This sequence comes from Homo sapiens, assembly GCF_000001405.40. Taxonomy (NCBI): domain Eukaryota; kingdom Metazoa; phylum Chordata; class Mammalia; order Primates; family Hominidae; genus Homo; species Homo sapiens. The sequence goes on along the minus strand of NC_000018.10, from coordinate 46,441,796 downwards.
CCTGCCTCAGCCTCCCGAGTAGCTGGGACTACAGGCGCCCGCCACTGCACCTGGCTAATTTTTTGTATTTTTAGTAGAGACGGGGTTTCACCATGATAGCCAGGATGGTCTGGATCTCCTGACCTCATGATCTGCCTGCCTCAGCCTCCCAAAGTGCTGGGATTACAGGCATGAGCCACCGCGCCTGGCCTGATCAAAGGCTATTTTCTAAAGAGTAGTACAAATGATTAAATTTCTATCTAGATTGATCAAGAATGAAAGAGAGAACATACAAATTACTCATATGAGGAATGAAAGAGGGAGCTTTATTACAGATTCCAGATGTTAAAATGATAAGAAAATATTATGAATAGCCTTATGCCAGTACATCCAATTAAATGAGAAAATTTATTGAAAGACAAACTACCAAAATTACCAGATGCAGTGGCACACACCTGTAATCCCAGCTACATGGGAAGCTAAGGCAGGAGAATCATTTGGGCCTAGGCATGTAAGACCAGCCTGCGTCTGGGCACAGTGGCTCACACCTGTAATCCCAGCACTTTGGGAGGTGAGGTGGGAGGATTGCTTGAGCACAGAAGTAGAGGATCAGCCTAGGCAACATAGCAAGACTCTGTCTCTACAAAAATTTAAAAAACAAAAAGTTAGCTGGGCACAGTGGTGCACACCTGTAGTCCCAGCTACTTGGGAGGCTGAGGCAGGAGGATCACTTGAGCCCAGGAGATCGAGGCTGCAGTGAGCCAAGGTGCACTCCAGCCTGGGTGACAGAGCAAGACCCTGTATCTAAAAATTAATTAATTAATTAAAAATAATAATGCCAATCCTACACAACCTCTTCCAGAAAGTAGATGAGGAAAGACTTCCCAAACCATTCAATGAGGCAAGCAGTGCACTGATATAAAAATCAGACAAAGGCATTTCAAGGAAAAAAAAAACCCTATAAACCAATATTACTCATGAACAAAGATGTAAAAATTACTTAACAAAATTTTAGCAATTTGAATCCAGGAACATGTAGATTAAATGAGACTTATGTGACATATCAACCAATCACAATGTGTAAAACTTATTCGGATCTTGATTGATACAAAGTATAACAGAAATTTTAATACTGGCTAGATATTTGATTATAGTAAAAATTATTATTAAATTTCTTTGTGTTAATAGTGGTATCAAAGTAAGGATGTGAAAAAGCAGAATCATTATCTCTCGAGATACATAGTGAAATATTTACAGATGAAATAATATGATGCCTGGATTTGTTTCCAAATATACTAGTTTCTCCTTTTCTGTGAGGGATATGTTCCAGGACACCAGTGGCTGCCTGAAACTGTGAATAATAAGGAATCCTATATATACTATGTTTCTTCCTATACTGTATATTCACACCAATGATAAAGCTTAATTTATAAATTAGGCACAGTAAGAGGCTAACAATAACCAATAACAAAATAGAACAATTATAACAATATACTGCAAAAAATGTTATGTGAATATGGTCTCTCTCTCTCTCTCTCTCTCTCAGTCTCTCAAAATGCTGTAATATCTTCAGACCGTGGTTTACATGGGTAACTGAAACCCTGGAAAGCGAAACCACAGGTAATGGAGACTACTGTAATATCAGGACCGGGGAAGCGAGAGAACAAAGATGAGTAAAACTGGCCATGAGATCTGGGCGTGGTGGCTCACGCCTGTAATCCCAGCACTTTGAGAGTCCGAGGCGGGTATATCACGAGGTCAAGAGATCGAGACCATCCTGGCCAACATGGTGAAACCCTGTCTCTACTAAAAATACAAAAATTAGCTGGGTGTAGGGTGTGCGCCTGTAGTCCCAGCTACTCAGGAGGCTGAGGCAGGAGAATCGCTTGAACCTGGGAAGCAGAGTTTACAGTGAACCAAGATCGTGCCACTTCATTCCAGCCTGGCGACAGAGCGAGACTCCGTCTCAAAAAAACAAACACACAAACAAAACAAAAACAAAACTGGCCATGAGTTGATGTCATAGCTGGATAACATATATGTGTGAATTCATTATACTATTCTCTTATTTTTTTATTGTTTGATATTTTCTATAATAAAAAGGGTTTTTTTTAATAAAAAAGTTTATCTATTGTGCCAAGGTAACATCCACTATCTCCAAGTTTTACCTCTATGGGCACCAACTTCAGAAATACCAAAAGCATGCATGGAAACTTGTGGCATTTATTAGAGAAAATATGCTGCAAGCAGTCGTTTCTTGCAGTGTGCTGTGTACATTGAAGTGGTCCCTGGTAATTAGGACACAGCTTCCCTTTGGGAAAGTGCAGCTAGGCCCTAAAAGCACCCTTGAGAGGAATGCCAGGGCCTCAGAAGGTTCAACCTCAGATCCTACAGGAGCGAGATGGCAGGAGGCATGGGACTCTGAGACTTCCCCTCCTCATCTTGCTGTGAGCAGGCCCTGATCACTAACTTCCTATGCTCCCACTGTGCCTGCTGCTACTGAGCCTGGATCCCACATGGCCTGGGTTTGGCTACGCATTGCCCTGCAATGTCATCTGAGATCTTTCTGAGGGAAAAACCCAACAAAGCCATCAGCCTTCAGGGGAGTCTGATCCCTGTTACCTGGGTTACGCTCATGAGAGTATGAGCCCTGGAGAGTTGGCAGGAGCTCTCTGATGGTCTCTGATGGTCCCTGGCATCTGGCCCCATCCTCCTCTTTGCACAGCCCAGGTCCAGCTGCTACGGGCAGGAAGGACTGCCAGTCACTCTCACAGACTCCATGCACACCACAGCCTGAACAGCAGCAGCTGTCAGAAGACCCAGGTCCTTGTCCCAAGTCCATCCCTTCTTAGCTGTGAGACCCTCTCTAGCTAATTCACTTCTTTGAGCCTCATCTCTAAGATGATGATAACAGTAGCTCCTCATGGTAATGTTGGAGCATCAAATGAGAAAATGCAGGTGAAAACTCTTTGTAGAGCACTACACAGATGCAAAAAGCCATTATCAGCCCGAATCCCTGGAACAGCTCATGATGAGCCTGTCACTTGGGAAATGAACTAAACTCTTGGAGCCAGTTGGATGCAAACTTAGAAATCCACTAGGTCAGCCCCTCATATTCACAGGTGCATCTGAGGCCTGCAGAAGGACAGTGCCTTATTCATGGACCTTGGCTGTCCAGTTGGGACCATCAGGGTTTCACACCCTTGCCTGGGCTCAATCCATTGCACTGCCTCACATGGCAGAATCTCTGATTTTCAGCATTTACCCAGAAGTCTCAGGGAGCCTAACAAATTCAAAACAAATGTTCAAGGAATTCTACCAAAGCAAAGTCCCAAGGAACTTGGAACAGAGTCATCCCAATCCTAAGAATGCTAACTGGAAAAGCAAGAGGCACCTTGTCCCTCAAATGGGTGGGATGGTCTGCCCTAGGTGGGCCTGGGTGGGCTCTCATGATGGATCTGGGCTACCCCAACAGGGGATGTGGTTCCTCGAACCCTAAAGAAGTCTGACCAGGACCTGACTCAAAGAGAAATTAGCCCCTAAGGCAGCAGTGTCTCCAGCCTTTGCTGTTGCCACCAGCCTGTAAGAACTTGCTAAGTGTCTAAAGGGGTCACAGGAATATCCCACAGACCTAAAGCCACAGGGTTAACCCAGAACTGTGTTTTGGAGATTTCTTGTGCCAATGTGTCATTTTTGGCCTTTGTATCTAAACATCACGCTGAACTTTATTTTCCACTTTTAATGTTCTTGAACATGGTGTGGTCTGGTTGCTGTACAGACCCTAAGTTCTTCCCAGAATCTGGCCCTACGAGTGCCAGCACCATCCTATGGGTGACTCCAGGCTCAGGGAGCTTTGGGAGCTTTGCTGAGGCAAGGTTGCCCGGAGGGGAAAGGACAATCGGAGGTGCTCACCCTCCACCCACCCTCTGCCCACAGGTCCCAGGTACTTAGAGACCTCCACCTAGGCAGGGCTGCAGCTGTGACAGAGTGGGGTATAGTCCACAATGGGGAGCAGAGTTAGAACTGAGAAGCCAGGACTGAGTCCAAGAAGGAGAGTGAAAAGAACTCAGGCCCTGGGTTGCGGCTTAAGGTCAGGATCAAGTTATTAGGCATGGGCAAGAAAGAGAGGGGTTTGGGATGTATCCCCCAAGGCTTCCACACACTCTCAGGCCAGGGTTCCCAGCTGAGAGAAGCTGCTTGGGTTGGGTTAAGATATCCCAAAGTAGGAAAAAAGGCCAGGGTAACCTCAGGGGGTGGACGACCTTGGGCTGGACATGGGCTTGCAGCCCAGTTTCTGGAATGACCTAGGGCAGAAGTCTGTGGTCTCTGATGGTTCTCTAAAGGGGATAGGGGATGCAACAGACACACTCCCCCAGGGCTCCTTGCAGAGGATGAGAGTAGCCCTTCCTATAATGCATTTCCTGCCATCCAATTACCAGGCTGCCTATCTCCTGGCAGAAGCAGCCTCTCTAGAAAAGAGGGCTGGGATGCAGTTAGCACAATCAATCACAAAACCCCTCGGCGCCACTAGGCTGGCCCCCGCTGGAGCAGAGCTAATTACAAGGGAGGAGAATCAGCATCCTACTTGGGAAGTGGGAACAAAACAAGCAGAAAGAGCCCAAGGGTGGACCAGGCGGGCCTCTAGGCAGGGCCTCCTAGCATCCCCTGCTAGGGCAGGGACCAGCCTCCCGGAGCCTCCTTCTTTCTGTTTCTTGGGGCAGGTAGTGGTCAGGAATGCAGACTGGTTTAAATGATTAAGAAAGACAAGGAGGTTTGGCTCTATAAAGAAAGCTGAGGACAGGGCCAGCACCTGTGCTGCTCCTCCTGCCATCTCCCCAGGATGAGTCCCACCTATGTCACCTGTTCAGTCCCACTTCCCTGTAGGCCCTTGTGTGTGTTCCAATCACTCAGCCATATGCAAGGGCCCTGAGTACTCCGTGTGTGCTGAATTGAATTAAATGAAATTGACTTGACTGCTGAGGGACAGAATTCAATCCAAATTGCAATTAAATCTTCCTAATTTGAATCTGCTAATTGGAAAAGGCTGGGCAGAAGTTGGCTGTAGTGCAATCTATCTTTTATGGAATTGTTCAATTTAATGGAGAGTGTACCTGAGAATGAGCAAAGGACTGAAGAAAATGGAACATGTGAAAGCCACGACTTCCTGCACCTAGAAGCTCCCATAGCATTCAACTGACTGGAACTATTCTCTGGAATCATTCCTGGGTGTGCATGGGAAGGGCTCCCAAAGCAACCCTGGACTAAGCCTGACAAGTGGCTGAAAAATGACACAACGGCACATCAATCTTTAAGATAATTCATTCTTTTCCATTGATAGATTATTTTACACTCCAAAACAAAACAAAATGAAACAAAATATTTTTGACCTAAAAGTTGCAAGAACAGCATAAAGAATTCCTGTATACCCTTCACCCAGATTCCCCAAATGTCACCATTTTACTGCATTTCTATTTCCTTCTCTCTCTGTCTCCCTTTCTCTCTCCCCCACAATGTATATACTTACACGCACACACACACACATACATATATACCCACACACAATCCTCTGTGAAGATAGATGATAGATTAGATAGATAGATTTTTTTCCCCTGAACTCTGCAGGCATGATGCCTTTTACCTCTGAATATTCAGTGAACTGCACATCTTTTTAAGTTTTCAAGGGTTCTGATCCAACTCTAGTTAATATCAGCTCTCTTATGAGCTAGAACCAGAATCTGGTGGGACCCAGGATCCAAAACCAAGCGACCCTGCATCTCAGGACAACAAAGATATCTGTGCTGAGTGAGGGAAATTATGGGCAGATTGCTCAGGGGCCCATTATCTGCAAAGACTCAGCAACAACACCACCCTCAACCTCTCTCCCCAGCTCCCCTCCTCAGTCCTGACCTCTGACCTGGCTGGCTTTGCCTCCATCCTTCAAGATGCAATGTAAGCCTGTGTTTACACAGCCACCCCACCCAGCACTGCCTTGCTGGCATGCCCTGGCACTTCTCTGTGGATCCCTTGAGATGCACCTGCTCCAGAAAGCCTTCCTGACAACCCAGTTCCTCGGAATTCTCCTTTCTGCTCTCCCCCCAGGGACCACTGGTTCATATCCCTCACTGAGCCTGGGAAATGTTTTCTATCCCTGTCCCCCTCCCCCACTGCAGGACCATGAACACTGTGTCCTACGATGGGCATATAATAGCACCCAGTAATATCTGAGCTAATTGCTAGAACCAGGCTCACGTGGGACCATCTGGCCCAGAGGGTGGCTGGGAGCAGAGGCAAACGCTGGGGCCTGAGAACTAGGCCTCCTGCGCCATTCAAAGTGAAGGAAAACAGAAACTCCACAGATCTGGCAAGACCTCCCTCCTCCCTCCCTTCCTCCCTTCCTCCCCCAGGGGCCCTGAAGACTCACCAGTCAGTGCCCTCAGCCAAATACCTGGGCTGAGGTGTCTGCAGTTGGCCGAAGTCGAAGCTGGGATGGAGGCGGTGGGGGTGGACAGATACACGCTCCTGACTCCGCCTGCACCAGAAGGGATGGAGAGCCCTCGTGTCAGGGGCTACCCAGGCCACTAGTTCTCAAGAGCTCTGAGAAACCGGGGCAGCCTGAGGGTGCCCCACTCTTGCAGCCCCACTTAGCACCCACAGTCTAGCAAGCACTGAGCTTCACCACTCTTGACAAACTCCAAGGAAGCTTCCCAGATGAACTGCTGTTCATCTGCAGCTCAGGAACTCTGGCTGTCTCCGGGCTGCCCGCTGTGCAGAGGTCTCTCCCTTGGTGTGTCTGTGGTAGATTACCTGGCTCCACCCACACTCTCTGCCTCTTTGCCTTTCTTCCCTCTGTCCTTGGTGGGCCATCTTCAAGACACACAGACTCGCCTCCTACAGGCTCTATGCACCCCTCTACTCCCATCATGCTCTTCTCCTCTCCTCAACCCTTTTTCAACACTCTTCCCAGCTTTCATGGCACAGGTCAAAGCCTTCCTCCTCCAGGAAGGCCTCCTTGAACATCCCAGGTCATGGTGACCTCTTCTCCTTCTGACCTCCTACAGCGCTCACCTTCTATCTCAAGCATCCCAAGCCCTATGGTCATGTATGCTTAGGGCCTTAGAGATGATCTAGTCCAGCAGTTCTGAAAGTGTGCTCCGAGCATCCTTGGGAGTCCCTGCAACCCTTTCAGGTGGTTCAAGAGGTCAAAACCATTTTCCTAATAATACTATAAGGCTATTTGCCTTTTCACTCTCATTCTGTCACAAATGAACAGAGAGGTTTTCCAGAAACTACATGACACAGATTCTGCAAGAATGAATGCAGAAGCAGACATAAGAACACAGCTGCCTTCTATTAAGCCACGCATTAAAGAGATTTGCAAATATGTTTTAAAAAGTCATTCTTCTCACTAAATTTATATATAGTGGTTATTTTTCATAAAAATATATTATTGGTGTTAACATGAATTTGTTGTTATTTTTAAGAGAATTAATAAATATTTAAAACTTTTTAGTTTTTATTTTTAATATGGTAAACATCAATAGTCAAAACCCACATAAACAGAAGCTCTTCGTAGTCTTCATTAATTTGTAAGAGTGGAAAAGAGTCCTGAGACCAAAAAGTTTGAGATCCACTGACTATCCAACTCTTTCTCTTGACAGTTGAGGCTCAGAGAGGCACAGTGACTTACCCAGGGCCCCACAACTACTCCAGACCTATTTGATTAGAATTGTCTAATTTCACTCCCTGCTTGTTTCCTAATTATTAATATGCAGCCGGACTCTATCTAGACCGTGGGCTCTTGAGAACTCTTGAGGGTGAGAATTCTTGAGGGTGGGAACCAGCCGTTCCTGGAACCAGCCATTTCCTTTTGGTATTCTTTAGGGTGCTTGGGTGTTAGAATCAGGCAGTCATAAAGCTGGAGGGGACATGAGGAGTTCCCTAGTCAAATTTCCTCCCGCACCATGCAGGAGTCCACTGTGAGGATCGTGGACCACCAGTTACCCGTCCCCGACCCTGCACCTGGGTGATGCAATGGGGACACACACTGGCTTCTGAGGGAGCCCCTGTCAGATCAGGACAGTGCTCACTGCCTGAAGTGGATGCCTCTGAAACAATAGCTACTTCCTACAGAGACCCACTTGGTGACTGCCGGCCAGGCCAGGGAGAGAAGCCAGGAGTCTAGGAGCCTGTAGCCCCGCCCCCGTCTCCGCCACACCCGGGCCACGCCCTCGTCCTGGCCCTGCCCACGCCCTGGCCCTGCCCCCTCACCCGACCCCATCCGGGTCCCCACCTCCGCCCCAGGCAGCACCAACCTGGGGTGCGAGACCAGCCTGCGGTGCTGGGCTTCCAGGAGCTGCTGCTGCAGGAGGTATTGCTGGTGCAGGGCCTGAGGTAGGAAGGAGGGACCTGTGACGTCCTGGAACTGCAGGGTGGGCAGCGGGGTCAGCGACTGGTGCAGGGCGCCGCTGTGCTGGTGGGCCGGGGCCATGTGGGCGCTGAGGCCTGGCTGCGACTGCACGGGGTGGGCCAGCGGGAAGTCGGGAGCGAGCTGCTGCGGCTGCGGGGGGCCCAGGTGGAAGTGGCGGCAGGAGGTAGCGTGAGGATGCTGAGACCTTTGAAAGGGGGCACCTGGAAGGCAAGGACAGAGACATCTCCATGACGACCAGCACGAGCGGCCGCCACACTGACCCTTGTGCCCACCCGGGGCAGCCTGGGGCTGGTGAAGCTCAAGACCTACATTAGGACACAGCAGCGTCATCACTGTTAGAGGCATGTGGTCATCCTTAACCCAGCCAGGTGAAGGCTGTGTGCGTGTACCTGATGGAGGGGGAAGTGTTATCTTTATTTTTTATTTATTTATTTATTTATTTTTTGAGACGGAGTCTCGCTCTGTCGCCCAGGCTGGAGTGCAGTGGCGCGATCTCGGCTCACTGCAAGCTCCGCCTCCCGGATTCACGCCACTTTCCTGCCTCAGCCTCCCGAGTAGCTGGGACTACAGGCGCCCGCCACCGCGCCCGGCTAATTTTTTGTATTTTTAGTAGAGACGGAGTTTCACCGTGGTCTCGATCTCTTGACCTCGTGATCCACCCGCCTCGGCCTCCCAAAGTGCTGGGATTACAGGCGTGAGCCACCGCGCCTGGCCGGGGAAGTGTATCTTTAATGAATACATAAGCATCCTTTTTATAATTAACATACTTGTTTAAAAGTTTTAAGGTTCCTAAAGCTTGGCCTTTTGAATTAGACTCCTATGCAAGCCCACTGACCCTACTACCTTTTTAAAGATGCCACATGGAGAAAAGTTAGTCCAGCCTAGCCAAGCTCAGAATTTCACTGAAGCCTGGCCAGCCAGGACTCAATCCATATGGAGCCCTAATTCCCAGAGAATAAAACAACCAGAAGTTGTTTTGCATACACTTTTAAGGAAAAAAAAGACTCAGATCACACGAAATAGTTTTTAATTTAAGTAATAGTTAAATAATGTGTTATAACATTATCATTTATTTAAAAGCAAACATGTCCAGGTATAAGCTGGGTTCAGGCTACATTCAATTTGAGCTCTAGTCCTTTTCTAAATAAAATTGAGCTTGATGACAAGAAAACCTTACAAATTCTCTCTAAGCAAAAATCCAGCTCTAGGTGCCAAAGGGAGGCCTTTAATGAGGCCAAGAAGTAGACCCGGCATTTCAGAAAGATTTACAGAAAACTTGCTGCTAAACATGGCAGATTCAGTACATGTCTGCTCCTCCCAATACCCACTAAAATGAGAACAAAGGAATAGAGACAATAAACAGACAAGGACAGATAACAGGAAAGGTGACATCAGCAGGCAACAGATGTCAACAAATTTTTGGAAGAAAAAGAAAGCAGATGGAGGAATTAGCAGAGTTGAGAAATTGAACACCAAGCACCTACCAAAGGAGTGGTCAAGAAGGAATGGACAAGTCTTGCTGCACAATGCTGGAAGGGTCAGGAATTGGAGGCAGTGGCTACTTTGGAAGGCAGGAGAAAGGGCAGAGCCGAGAACAGGGAGACTGATTGCAATCTGTGTAAGGAGCAATTCTGCCCAGGGCTCCTCCCCTTTCTCATGCAAGGCAGTGACTTTCTTTCCAGAGAGGCTCCAATAGGAGTGGGGGTTGACCCGAGGCAGGAGAGGGCAGGGGTGCAGCACCATGCTAACAAACACAGCAGGATTAAGTGAAAGTCTGAATATGGAACTTTGGAATCCCTCTCCTCTTCTACTACTTGGTGCCAAAAACACTGTTACCTAAGCGTGTGCCCCTCCCCTGCACCCTCCACAGCCCCAGGGTGAAACTGGGGGATGCTTCTCTAAAGAAAATCATTGGTCCTAGGAAGAGCTCTGCAGATACTTCTGGTTGAGAGCACCCCTGATAAATCACTGGGTCCCCAACTGGCCACTGTATAATGAAGCCCATTCATTGAAAAGTCCATTCTCACCCTCAAGGCACACAGACATTCTAGACAGCTTTAGTGACCTACTCTTTGGCATGAACAGAGAGCCTAAGAGTGATCGGTCGTTTGATTACAAAGTGAAAAGAGAAAGAGAACCTACCAAATTTTTAAAAATGAACTCAGAGAATCATGTCCTTTGCAGGGACATGGATGAAACTGGAAACCATCATTCTCAGCAAACCAACACAGGAACAGAAAACCAAACACCGCATGCTCTCACTCATAAGTGGGAGTTGAACAATGAGAACACATGGACACAGAGAGGGGAACATCACACACCGGGGCCTGTCCAGGGGTGGGGGGCAAGAGGAGGGAGAGCATTAGGAGAAATACCTAATGTAGATGATGGATTGATGGGTGCAGCAAACCACCATGGCACGTGTATACCTATGTAACAAACCCGCACGTTCTGCACATGTATCCCAGAAATTAAAGAATAATTTTTAAACAATGAACTCGAGGAACAGAGTTAATGCAAGGGCTAGAAAAAAATTAACTTCAAAACAATATAATCCATACCCTCAGGAAAATAAGATGTTGGATCCATGCAACAACAGGAAGCTCTTGAAGAAGGATCAATGAGAAAACAAGAAAAGGAGCTCTTGGAAATTAGAAATGTACGAGGTGAAATGAAATTCAACAGGGCAATTGGAAGACAAAGCTGGGGACTCTCAGAAACCGGAATGAGAAGACAGAGAAATGGGGAATGGGAGGAAAAAAGATGCAAACGTTGAAGGAACCCGTCAGAAATTGCACATTTCACTGGAAAGAGAGAAAGAATGGAGGAAATGATAGGGAGAAAATTAGGAACAAAAACTACAAAGCCTGTTTCCTAGAACTGAAAGTCTGCATTTCTAGATAGAAAAGGCCTCTGAGTGCCCAGCAAAATGGATGGGGGAAAGAACCCACCCGAAAGACATCTCCCTGTGAAGTGTCCAAACAATGAGAGCAAAGAGGTGGTTCTGAAGCCTTCCAGAGAAAAATCCAACAGGTCCCATGAAGGTCAGAAATCAGAACAGCTTGAGATTTTTCAAGAATTAATCCAGAAGCTTGAAAACAATAGAGCAGCTACCTTCAAGGTATTGAGGGGGAAGGGTGATTTCCAATCTAGAATTATCTGCCCAGCCAAACCATTAATCAAGTATGAGAATAGAATAAAGCCATTTTCAAACATATAGGAGCTCAAAAAAAATTAACCTTCTCAACACTCCTTCTCAAAAAGGTACTAACACAAACCAAGAAAGAGGAACAACAAAATAAGGCTGCACCTGACAGAGGTGGAAAGCTTCCCAAGCACACAGCTGCGCAGGGATCTCTGCAGCCATTCCACAGGGGAGCAGGAGGGCGGGGACTCTGGGAGGAGATCTGGAGGAGAGGAGAGGGGACTGGAAACAATGGGACTGCTGACAAATGTGGCCACATGAAAACAGTATTACTGCACAGTGGCTCACATCCATAATCCCAACACTTTGGGATTACTTAGGAGGGTAAGGCAAGAGGACCACTTGAGGTCAGGGGTTCAAGACCAGCCTGGACAACATAGCAAGACCCCATCTCAATAAAAGAAAGGAAAAAAAAAGAGTATTTTAAAAAATAGTATTTGAAGGAATTTTATAATGTGATAGAGAGTTTGGTAAGAATTTGTAAAAATGCTATGGAAAACAAAACAATCCAAAGAAAGTGAGGCAATTATTATGACCAGGAAAAGAAAAAGTTGTTTAAGAAACTGTAACTACCTGTATGATGTTATACTTGGCTCAACAGTAAACATCATTTCTATATTAACAATAAAACAAATAATAAGCTATATTAGAACAGAAAAGGACATTTCTTCCACAATATGAATAACATAAGCAATATCAGAAATTTAAAAATAGACAAATAGAAATCTAATCTTTGGTTGTAAATTTGCTTGGTAATTTATGTCTTTCAGGAAAGAAATGCCTGAAGAAGAGTTAAAAGCGCACTGCGGTTGAGGGATTTTGCCTCTGGTGTGGAGGGCAAAGGGCAGACCGAAGCTGCTTGGCTCAATGTGTCTTATGCTAGTCTATTCAGCCTTGTATATTACGTGCATGTCACTGATCAATTTTTAAAAATAAATCTTTGCAAAAAGAAATGAAAATCCAAAGAATTTCTGCCTGACTGCAAGTGAGCCAGAAAAGAATTATCTAGAACTTTAATTCCCACAAGGATTTCCATAAGTCAGGCCTCTCTGCCTTATAGATTCTGGCTTTGGTGAGTCCGGGGGCTGCAGCATGAGCAAGCGGCACCGGACCCCCTTCCCTTCACTCCATGGTCTACCATCACACAGGACAAAGGGAAGGAGACTGCCAGTGTGACAGAGGGAAGGAGGGCAAGAAAAGGGAAGCACAGTAGAGGGATAAAGAAGAGAAGTAGAAGATAAGCATGTCTATAAAGGAAAAGAATGGGGTGAAAACGGGTATTGTCAAGACTCTCACCCAGCACTGTCCAACAGAATTATAATGTGGGCCACACAGGGAATTTTACATTTCCTAGTAGTCACCTTTTAAAAGTAAAAAGAAACAGTTGAAATTAATTTTAATAATATATGTTTCTGTAATTCATCATATCCAAAATGTTATTTCAATATGTATTCTATGTAAAAAATTATTGAGCTTTTTAAAACTCTTTCCTTTTCTTACTATGTCCTCAAAATCTGGTGGCTATTTTGTACTTGCCACACATGTCAATTCGCCCTAGCCTCATTCCAAGTGCCCAGGAGCCACTGGAGGTGAGTGACTTCCATTTTGGACAGTGCAACTCTATAGGAAAAAAGCCAACTCCGTACACAGAGCAAAGCATTTCAGCCAAGTTTCCTAACTGATAGAGTGGAGCAGTGACCACTGCTTACTGGTGAAATCCAAACCCCTTGGCCTGGTTTTGTTTGTTTGTTTTTGTTTTTGTTTTTCTTTTTGTTTTGAGATGGAGTCTCGCTCTGTCACCAGGCTGAAGTGCAGTGGCACGATCTCAGCTCACTGCAATCTCCACCTCCCAGGTTCAAGCCATTCTCCTGCCTCAGCCTCCCGAGTAGCTGGGACTACAGGCGCCTGCCACCACACCCAGCTAATTTTTGTATTTTTAGTAGAGACGGGGTTTCACCATGTTGGCCAGAATGGTCTTGATCTCCTGACCTCGTGGTCCGCCAGCCTCGGCCTCCCAACGTGCTGGGATTACAGACGTGAGCCACTGCGCCCGGCCTCCCCTTGGCCTGGTGTTAAAGCTACATTCTCCTTGTTTCCCACAGACCCCCTCCAAGCCCTCCCGCAGCCGTCCACACTGGTCTACCAAGGAGCCTTCAGCTTTCTCTGGAGACTCATTAGGAGGTCCACTTCTCTCATGTTCCCACTGGAGAGTTTGTGCTCCCATCTCCCTGGCTGCTTTTCCCATCTCGAAAGGTCCGTGTCTCCTCTCAGCTCCTCCAGAAATACCACCCTGCCCACCAGCCCCAGGGTTGCCTTCCTCCTCTGAGCTCTGAGAACTCCCTTCTCTCCCACTCCTTTGGCACCTGGCAGTGGCTACCTTGAGCTGTCTCTTCACACTGGCCGCCCCCACCAGGCTGGGCTTCGTGTCTTTGCTGTATCTGGATCCCCACGCACCTGGCTTGGTGCTGGCACCCAGTAAATACCTGCTTGTCTGACAGATTGTTGTGGGGAGTGAGGGAAGCTCCGTGGCTCGAAGGGGCTGCGGGTTTGAGGCTGGTTGAAGGCAGACTGGTTTGAAACGGAACGGGAAAGAGAATGGCAAGTGGGGCCAAGTAGGCTCTGGGTTTTGATGCTGTGGCATGGGAGGGCCAGGTCAGGCAGAGCTGGCCAGTACCCTCCCGGGTGGGCCCTGGTGGAGCCTCCCCCACTGCCATGAACGTGCAGCTGCCTGCCTCGCAGCAGCCCCTCCTGCCATGAGAGTACCCACTCTGTCCAAGGGGCCTTCAGGTTTCTCTGGAGCCTCATTAGGAGGAGCACCAACCGCCCCAGCCTGGGGAGGTTTCTACCATCCTACAACCTGTGCCCTCCAGCAGACGCACTGGGAAGTGAAAGCAGATGCCTTCTCTCCGGGGTGGCAGCCAGAGGAAGGTGGGCACAGGTACCTGGCTGTCTGTAACATTCTAGGCAATTTCTACCTGCAAGGTCCTTTGACTTCCCTTCTGGGAGGCTGTGCTTCTTCCCTCCACCATCTCCATCCCCAGAGTGGTTCTTGGTCTCAGCACCCTGCTGAGAAGGGAACTGGAAGTGGAAACATCCACCTTGCCCCCTGGGGCCTCTCCTCAGCCCTAAATCATGTAGGGTCTGTAACAGTACCAGGCAGCAGCTGCTCTGTTTGGTCCCTAAGATCCAAGGAGTGAAACTCCCAGGATAGTATATCTGGGTCCATGACAAATCAACGATCAGTGATGTCTGAAAAACAGACATCCCAAATACCCCATTAATAGACAACCTGCAATTTTCCCTGTTAGAGTTACTCCTTCAAGTTAAAAAATAATCTCCAGATGTCACTGATTACATTATGCATTTGTCATATTTCCCCAGGCTAAAATGACATCAGTTGAAAGACCCATTATGAGCTAAATAATATTTTTAGGGAGTAGGGAGAAAGAAGGGTCTCCCAGAAACAAACAAACACCACATTAAATAAACACATCAATGGTAAGACACACATTCATTTCAGAAGAAAAATGTGCATCTTAGAATTCTGGAGTTGATAAGGACAGTGAGCACACCTGAGAATTGGCCAGGAGCTGTACCATAAAGCAGGGGGTGGGGGCCTGAGTGAGGTGGGTCCAGGGCTGAGGATAGCCCTGCACAGCTGGGACAGGGGGAACCCACAGGTGCTGGGCTCGCCTGACGCCCACCTGGCACACATGGTACACACTATAGGTGACCCACAAATGCCTGGGGACTGCTGGCTGCTGGATAGTGGGTGGATAGGAGGACAGAAGAACCCATAGGGGAGGGAAAGGAAAGGGAGAAGCAGAGATCAGTGGGGAAGGTGGGTGGGGATAACAGTGACAAGGTCCCCGAGTCTCTAAAAGGCTCACTGCCTTGCCTGGGACACTCATCTGATAAGTAACAAAGTAGAAATTTGAAGCAAGGTGTTTCCTGAAAGCCAAATGTGGACGGGCAGAAGGGAACAGAGCCCAGGGAGTCAGGAAGCTTGATGAAATATGGTAGCAGTGAGAGAGTGCTGTGGTCTGAATGTTGGTGTCACCCCAAAGTCATATGTTCAAATCCTAACCGCCAAGGTGATGGATTTAGGAGGCAGGGCCTTTGGGAGGTGATTAGATAGTGGGGATAAAACCCAATGAATAGGATTATTGCCCTTATAAAAGAGGCCCCAAAGAGCCGGCTTGCTGCTTCCACCAGTGAGAACACAGAGGGAAGGAACCATCTATGAGGAGGCGGACCCTTACCAGACACCAAATCTCCCAACACCTTGATCTTGGACTGCCCAGCCTCCAGAACTGTGATTAGTGCATTTCTGTTGTTCATAAGCTCCCAGCCTATGGCCTTCTGTTAGAGCATCCAAAACAGACTAAGACGGGGGGCCTCCCAGGGAGGAGGACAGTGCAGAAATAGGGCCAGGACACCAAGAGGACACACTGGGTGCAGTCAGGAGGCTCCTCTGGCCAGCAGATGAGGGGAGTGGAATGAGGGCTGAGCCTGGGCAGGAGCAAAGAGCCAGGCCAAGAAGTCAGATGCCAGGGACCGTGGAAGGCAGCAAGGCTTCTTCAGGGAAGACTGACTCCCGAGCTGGAGGTCCTGATGCTCCAGCCCCAGGACTTGCTCTGGAGGAAAGTGGAGTTTCATCCTCAAGACTCCAGGGCTGAGAGGCACTGCCTTCCAGTCCTCCAAGGAAAAGGGGGCTGAAAGAGGGGAAGAACAGGCAGCCTGAAAGGCCCCACAGGGCACCTGACATCTCTACCTGGCCTGCCACCCACCCGGGGCTACCCCAGGGATGATGGCCTTCTGCTGGTGGGCAATTCAAGCACAGGTCTGCCCAGGGTCCCTGTTGCAGGCCTGCCAGCTGACCAGAGCCAGCTCTGCCTGCTCCAGGGATGTGGGATCCTGGGAGAGTAGGATGGGATCCAAACCCTCCCAGGCTTCTCTGGGGTTCCCCGGAAGCCCGAGTTCCCGCCTCCTCAGGCCAGCTCTCAGGTGTCAGGTTTCCCGCTGTGCTCAGCTACTGAGCCAGCCTCACTCTTCCCCAGTGTTGGGGCAGAACAGGGAGGGGACACTGGAGGCAGGGCCCTGATGGTCAGAAAGGAGGGGAAGGCCCGAGACTCCCTCTCCAAAGGCACCAGGGAGGGGCAGGGAGAAAGAAGACAGGACAGCCGGCCACAGGGCTGGAGAGGCTCAGCCTCAAGAGCCGGGGTTCAGCGCTGGCTCCTTTTTGAAAAGCCCACACAAGCAGCAAAGAAAGCCAGCCTTTTGAAAAGCAGGTCTCTGCCCACAGAGGCCAGTGAGGAAGGCATCACTACCAAGAAGTCTTCAAAGCCAGGCAGAGTCACCCGGTGTAAGGTCTCTGTCCCAAAGGCCAGGGCACTTCCCCTCACAGTCAGACCTGGACAGCCCCATGGACTTCTCCAGGCCCTAGTTTCCTGGACTTGTGACCTGCAGTGATGCTGCTGATCCCACACACCTGCTGAAATCTCTTTGCTGGCAGGGGCCTCAAATAGCTTCTGACCAGGCCTCTCATCTTATTCACGGGGAGGCTAAGTAGAAAGTAGAAAGCGCCAGGAAGATGTTTGTGTTCAGTGTTGTACCGCCGCCAGGGTCCTAGAGCTGGACAGAGCAGACCTGAGATGGGCACATCAGAGCTGTGATGTGACACCCAGCATTTGAAGTGGGCTGGAACCAGGGAGAAACAAGGACCAGCGCTGACCTTCGAAATCCCTCTTCCAAATAAATGGCTGCCACGTTAACTTTCCTAAAGCACAGTTCTAAGCATTCCATTCCCTGCCCAAATCCCCCTCCCAGCCTTGCTCTCTCTCACTGCTGTATCTGACCTTCCTCATCTCTCCCAGACCCCCAGGGGCCTTGCCTGCCTCTGGGCCCTCGACAGCCATTCTCTGCCCTCTGGCACTGCCACCCTGCTTTGCCAGACCATTGCATCCTGTCCAACCCTGACTACCCTGGGCAGATGTTAACTCCCTTGGGAGCCCTCCAAGACCTTCCCAGGTGGATGAAATTCTCCTCTCCATCTGATTTGTGGCATTTAGGCCATTATACTTGGCATTTTGTTTGTGTATGAATTTTATCTCCAATAAAGTTGCGAAGTGAGTGTTTTCGGAGGAGGTACCATGCAGTAAATGCCCTTTGTTCTTAGAAGGGAATATTCTTAGAGATATTCTGAGACAGGAGGATAATGAGATACTGGATAAAAGAGGAAAAGAAAGAGGGAAGGACATGGAGAGAGGACAGTGAAGAAGGAGGAACGAGGGAAAGGAGGAAGAAAGAGTTCTTTATTTTAGAACAGGTAAGGATGAAGTTATTAGCTAGTAAAGAAGCATAGTTCTTCATGGAATCCTCCAATATCCTAGCTAAATGAAGTGCAGAGATCACACAGCCTTCATTCTACAGATGAAGATCTGGAGGCCAGGAAATCTGGGGTGGCATGTCTGAGGGCTCTAGAGTAGTCATGGCCAAGTTGGGGCTGGCATCCAGGCCTCCTGAGTCCCAGTGCTGCAGTGTGATCCCCCTGCTCTGCCACATCAGTGTCACGGCCTTCCAGCACATGGGTCCTCATACAACCATACACGTCTCCACGTGGTATGCCCAGAGAGGAACCCACCTGCCTGGTGGCTTGCCGAATGGAAATAACATGCCATGGTCCTGGTGGTACCACCTCTTCTCCCCATCCCTCTCTCTCTCCTGAGTTCCCCTAGGAGTAAGCCTGTTCCTGCCTATGACAGTAACCAAGAAACAAAGCACTAGCTCCTGGCCTCCATGGGGAATAGGCTTGAATCTCTTCTTTGGGAGATGCTGAGGAATGGCTGAGGTGAGCACAACTGCTCAGGCACAGTGCAGTTTGCCTTGGCCAATAGCCCCAGGCCTCCTCCCTAGACTAAGGAAATGCCAAGGACAAGCCCTGCCTCTGTAGAGCAGGCCAAATGTTTCCAGGCCCTTGGGTGCTTCTGTAGCAAGACAAATCCCAGGGCCTTTGGACATCCCCCAAAGGAAAGGCTTTAGGGCTTGCATTTCACAGGGTTTAACTGATGGAAAGGTTGAAGGAAACTCCTGGGTACTGGAACTGATTTTGGGAAACTCATATTAAAATGGACATTGATAAACTGGACTCTGATGATGGACAGCAGGGTTGTGAAGGGACTTGAGTAATCTGACACTAGGAACAGTTGGAGAATCTGGGCATGAGCAGGGAAGAGGAAACTCTGGGTCAGGTAATAGCTGCAGTCAAAGGCTAAAGGTCTTTCCAGTAGGCGGATTTGAGTCAACATAAGGAAGACATTTCTCAGAATTTATTTTGTCTCCCAAAGTTCCTTATCACTGCAGATGTCCATGCAGAGGCCCACTAACTGCTCAGAAGAGGAGTGTGAACACCAGCAAAGGGCGGGGGTGTGACCTGGAGTACTTCCAGGGCCCTTTTTGGCCCACCAGGAGATGATGCAAATTCCCTGCAACATCTACCCTCCTTTTGGCCTGATCATAGTTAAAGTTGCCAAACTGGACAGTCACCATCTGTGAAGGCACAGAGAGCTGGACCTCGGTCGGGGGGAAGAAGCATGGCAGTAAGGAGAGAGCAAGTCTTGGGTCCTCAGGGAGCAAGCCGGTGGGGCTGCGCCCAGGTGGAGGGAGATGTAGTCCAGAGGAGGCCCATGTCCAAAGACAGACTTCACGTTCTACTCAACATGGCCCCCAGGGAGCCTCCTCTCCCCTCTGCATGGATACAGCTCAGAATCTTGTTTCCTGTATCTTCTGAGTCTCTCAATGGCCCACACTGACTTTTCTAGCCTGGGAGAAATTCGGATTTCATGCAACTAGGTAATGCACCCTTTGTGAGTCATTCAGAGGCAGGGTGCTTGGGAAAGTGATACAGGAAAAATGAGGGTGTGGGGAAATTGTGGGGAACCTTGAACGGCAGAACTGAGAGTCTGGGGTACACTACATAAGCTAACTACTTGACTACACACCAGATAAATCAGAGATGAAGAAAACGAAAGTGGGCCATCTGCCCAGAACCCAGCTTCAAAGGCCATTCTTTCCGGGTTCCTTATGTACTCCAGGTGTATCAGTTTAACCTCTTTTGCTCCAGTCTCATCAACCCCAAGAGGCCTATTGCTTGGCTTAGCCCCCAGGGCTGCCATGGGTCTGCTTTCCTCCCTCTCTATCTATTGGTTCCCAGTCCAATGGAGTATGCCAAGGGCCTAGAAAGAAAGTGATATGCCCAAAGGGATCCTTTACAGCCAAGAGCAGCTTTGTGATGCTTCCCCAGGGCCAGGCTTTGATCTCTAATGAAAAGCTCAGCTTCTTCCAAGGAACTGAATTCCTGCTCTCAAAACACTGATGGGAGGGGACTTTGCATCCTAAGGAACCCTACTTGCCCATGGGTATGAGACAATTAAGCAGCAAGCTTCCAACAAGCAGCAAAGGGCCAGTATTTAGCTCCAGTTGCCATCATGGACCAGGAGTAAGGGAAAGAAGCCTAGAAGATTTGGTTAGAGACAGGATACAATTACAGAAGAAAACCTCTGTGCATAATGGGACAATATTCTGGGCATGATCCATCCAAGAAGATACTTTCCCCATCTAAACCAACAAAGTGTATGGACACATTCCTGCCACAATCCTAACAAGGCATTTTGTGGAAGGCATATGTGGTCAGAAGACTGTACACTCCATGAAGGCAGAGCCTAGGTCTGTCTCATTCACCTTTACCCCTACTGCCTGGCACAGATCCTAATACACAGTAAGAACTCACTGAATGAATGAATGAATGAATGAATGAATGATCACGAACAGGTGAGCATGGAGGAAGCATCATCTTGCCAAAAACCTTGGTCATGTGCAAGCAGCTGCCTCTCAGCATTTTAAAACTGCATGGAATTTGATGGTGTCAGAGGGAGAAACAAAACTAAAGCAGATAAAGTGCAAGGTAGAAAGACTAGCTTTGAAGAATTACAGACAGAAAGACTGGGAATTCTTTGCAATGAGTATAGGGGCCCAGTTGCAGGTCCAGCATGAACTGAGGAGACCCAGGACGGAGGTGGTCAGTGTGCATCACAATCAACTAACAGAAGAAGAAGCAATTTCAGACCCAAAACAGAAGTCCTCATCCTGCCATTCCTGGCCAGGGAAGGAGGGGTCTGCACTGTGGATGGCATTGGGTGGCTTTTGCAAACCATGTAGAGTTCGTCTTAGGTCATGAGTTCAGATATTCTCCTACTATTATATTTTTAACAAAGACTCAAGTAAATTAAAAGCAGAAAAGCAAATCTCCAAACCCCAATAACTTTCTTTCTTTTTTTTTTTAAGATGGAGTCCTGCTCTTGTTGCCCAGGCTAGAGTACAATGATGCGATCTAGGCTCACTGCAACCTCCACCTCCTGGGTTCAAGCAATTCTCCTGCCTCAGCCTCCTGAGTAACTGGGATTACAGGCACACACCACCACACCTGGCTAATTTTTGTATTTTTAGTAGAGATGGGGTTTCACCATGTTGGCCAGGCTGGTCTCGAACTCCTGAACTCAGGTGATCCACCCTCCTCAGCCTCCCAAAGTGCTGAGATTACAGGCGTGAGCCACCGCATCTGGCCCAAACCCCAATAACTTTCAAGACATGCTAGGGTGGCTACCTGGACCACGTTAGCATTGTCTGGTGCCAAAAGGAGGGGACCCAGTTCAGAAAGCCACTTCGATGGGGCCCCTTCCTATTGAGGTGTGCAGAACACACAGTATGCTTACACAAGCCCGGCCCTGTGAATACGGTGGACAGGACAGAGAGTAGCTTTATTCCTCTGCCTCCCATTTCTCCTGGGAGAATTGTTTCGTCTGATGCCCCTTTCTCCTGTGCCCTCCTCTGTTCTGCCCCAAGCCTGGCTCCCGAAGCCATCCATTCTGATGTGTGATGATGGGGAAGAGTTTAGAAGAAGAGCTTGGACCATGGCTTTTCTCAGGAGTGGTTACGTTTTAAGGAGCTGGTGCTATGAAGTTCTAATGGTGGGATTTCAGACAGCAGCCGGTGAGTGGAGGCGCCATGGGAGTTGACCTCCACACGCCCCTGAAATCAGATCACATCAGTGAGTGGATATCTGCTTGCTTTCAGAGGGAGCCAGGGTCAGTAAAATTAGATTCCCAACCATCACTGCTCATGGGGCAGCCCTGTCTAGCACTCTGGGGTATTGGGGAGGGGAGGTGTGCATGAGAGAAAAAGAGACGGTGGACGTCAGTGGAAATACATGAGAAAGGAAGACAGGAAAGAAAGAAGGTTAGAGGAGAGCAGGGGAAGAGAGATAACAAAAGGATGCAAAGAGGAAGGGGGGAGGGAGGAGATGCCTGGGAAAGGCAGAGCTATAGGCTTCTTGGAGCTGCCAGATCCCATATGCCTAACAAGCAGCAGAGGCCTGTCCGTCTCCAGTTACCTCGAGGGGCTCCATCAGCCCCTTGGCTGCCCCTGCCTTGTGACTGCCCTGCCTCCCACCCCTGTTGGCCTTCCCCAGGTAGGCCTGGTCCAGCTGTGCGCTGCCCACTCCGCTCATTGCTTAATATCATGCAGTTATTTCAAGCCAGCAGCCCTTTGACCCGGTCACTCCAGCTAGACCCAAAAGGCCCCTCAGGCCGAGATTGTGCCTGCTCCCCTAGAGGAGAGTCCCGGCAGGCTCTCAGGGGAGTGACTTGGGTACCCACTTCCTGTCTCTGGACTTCAGCTTTCCAATCTGCAAAACAAGCATGTTGTGTCTTGCTTGCCCACCTAGCAGGGGGAATGCTATGAAGTTCCCCCACCTCCTCCCCCATTGAAAGTGTCTTACAAAGTATAGAGGCTTTTCACCCTCCCTGAGGTCTGGCCTAGGGCTGGCTACGGAGGATGGCTCAATGATTTCCTTGAACTGGACATATTCCCAAACTCTGAGAGCACCTGCACCTCCCAAGTCCCCCTCTTCCCATCAAGCTCCAGTGCCGTCTGTAGTAAAATACCAGGCAGGGGAGAGTAGCAAGGGCACCCAGCAACAGGCCACCCAAGGGCAGCCTGTCAACAGAAGCACCCTGGCTGACAGCCTACTTCTGGGGTGAACTCGGGGACATCAGAAAGACTCATGGTCCAGTAATAGCGTTCCCACTAGAGCCAAAAATTCTCCAGGAGGGAATCATTGCTTTGGATTAAGCATTGCTCTCTCTCTCACTTTTACTTTCAATGTGCAAATGCCCAAAAGAGGGCAACACATTAACTCGCTATTGTTTCCTAGTGTGGATGAACTTGCAAGATTTTCTGTCTGTCCAGAGAGAATGGAAAACCACGGAGGTGCTGAATGACTTGGCAAGACTGAGACAGAAAAACTAACTTTCTCCCCTTCACAGTCCTGCCCTCACAGCCCAGAGCATGGATATAGCCAGTTGATAGCTCTTTTCTGGGTCTGTAACTATCTTTCCACATAATTGTATTTGATTCAGAATTTGACTTATTCAATCATCAAATATTTATTGCATGCCTTCTACATGTGAGACATTGTTCTAGGTGCTAGGGAAGCAGCCGTGATGAAGCAGTTAAAAATCCTTGCCATTGTGGAACTGCAATCTAGTTCTGTCCTGTCCTGTATGGTTACCAAATGTGAAATATGGCTAGTTCAAATTCACATGTGCTGTCATATGTAAAACAGACACAAGACATCAGAGACTTAGTGCAAACAAAATAATGTAAAAAATTAGTAACTTTTAAAATTAATTAAATACTGATAATATTTTGGATGTAGTTAATTAAATAATGTATATTATTACAATTGATTTCCCATTTTCACCTTTTTTTTGGAGACAGTGTCTTGCCCTGTCACTCAGGCTGGAGTGCAATGGCATAATCATGGTTCACTGCAGCTTCTGTCTCCTGGGCTCAAGCGATCCTCCCATCTCAGCCTCCTAAGTAGCTGGGACTATGGGCATGTGCGACCACACAAAGCTAATTTTTTTATTTTTTATTTTTTGTAGAGATAGGGGTCTCACTATGTTGCCCAGGCTGGTCTCAACCTGCTGGCCTCAGGTGACCCTCCTGCCTTCAAGTGCTAAGATTATAGGCATAAGCAACCACACTTAGCCTGTTTTCACTTTTTTAATGTGGCTGCTAGAAAAAAATAAATTATATATGTGTCTTACATTATACTTTTTTTTTTTAAGAGTCTTGCTCTGTTGCTCAGGCTGGAGTGCAGTGGTGTGATCTTGGCTCACTGCAACCTCCACCTCCCAGGTTCAAGCGATTCTCCCACCTCAGCCTCCCGAGTAGCTGGGATTACAGGCGCCTGCCACCAAGCCCAGCTAATTTTTGTATTTTTAGTAGAGACGGGGTTTCACCATGTTGGCCAGGCTGGTCTCAAACTCCTGACCTCAGGTGATCCACCTGCCTCGGCCTCTCAAAGTGCTGGGATTTACAGGCGTGAGCCACCGCTCCCGGCCTTATGTTATACTTCTATTGGACAGCACTGGCCTATCCAATAAGTAGATATATAAGAAAATATGTCATGTATTGATGATGACAGAGCTATGGAAAAAATGAAGCAGGAAGAAGAAAAGGTTGGGGGGGTTCCATTTTAAATATGACTGCCAAGAGAACCTTCACTGAGAAGATAACTATTGTGTAAAGAGCTGAAGAAGGTGAGGACTGAACTGGCAGATATCCAGGCAAAGTGCTTTCTGGGCAGACAGAACTGCACACGCAAAGGCCCTGTGGTGAGGGCAAGCCTGAATTTTGAGAAACTTCGGGAGGCTTGAGTGGTAGGAGTTTAGGTGATACTGATCTTGGGGGCTGGGGAGACAGATGGTGCAGGACCTCACTGGTCATTACAGGATGTTGCCTTTGACTCTGAGGAGGGTATCTGAGCAGAGAAGTGACAGGTCTTGACTCTCTGGCTGCTGAATAGAATAGGCTGCAGAAGGCAAAGGTAAGAAGCAGGAACCAGGGAAGAGATGATGGTTTCTTGGACTAGGGTGGCAATCGGGGGAAGGTGAAAGGAATGGTCAGATCCAAAATATATTTCATTTCAAGGGTACAGGTGACAAGATTTGTTCATGGATTGGATGTAAAACCTGAGAGACAGAGGACAAGATAGACTCCATATCTTGCTTGCTAAGCAACTAGAAGATTGGTGTGGCTGATAGTTTGCAAAAATGGCCTCAATTTCTCCCCTCCTTGTATGCTTACCCTCCCATACAAGCTCCTCCCATTAAAGGCAGAGTCTACTTTCCCACCCCTTGCCTCTGGGCATGGCCACGTGACTGGCTTAGGCCAATAGAAGGTAGCAGAAGTGACATCATGCCAATTCTGAGCCCAGGCCTCAAGAGACCTTGCAGTTTCCACTCTCTCTTGGTCTCCTGCCTCTACCATAAGAACAAGCCCAGGCTAACCTGCTGGAGAATGACAGACCATGTGATATACAAATAAACTGTCCTAGACCCATCTGTCCCAGCTGACTGCAGCAATGTGAGTGAGCCCAAGAAGACCAAAAGGACTTCCCAGCTGAGCCCAACCCAAATTACCAACCCACTGACTTGTGAGCTGCATAAAAGGTTGTTGTTTTAAGGCCAAATTTTGGAGTGATTGTTATACAGAAAAAGCTAACTGATACAAATGGCGTTGTCGTTTATTGAGGTGGGGACTCAATTTTGAGTTGTGCTCTCAATGTTCTGAATGTGAATCTGAATGCTTAAAGAGAAAAGTCCCTGTATTGTCTCCATGCAACACCCAGAGCACCCTCAGGACAGGGCTGGATGCAATCTGGGTGCTTGGCGGATGCTTACGGATGGAGGGAGGGAAGGATGGATGATGACTTCTTCATTGGCTTCCTTATCATGAGCCAGGTTTCTGTGTCACCCTTCTCCTCACAAAGCCAGAAGAGCTTTAAATGCCTCCTCCCTCCATGCCCACTGCTGTCTCAAGAGTTTATAGTTGAGCTTTGACTTCCTAGAGCTTTCCTGCAGATCCGTGTGTTTCCTTGAGAATGCAAAGCACTGATTTTTAGCCTTGATTTTGACCTCCCACACCCAGCCTTTTCCCAGATGTGCTGGCAAATAGACAAATCAATTGTTTTGAGTTTTTCTTCCTCTCCACCCCCATGACATGTTAATTAGCCATGAAAATGCCAGCAGCAAAGTCAGGAAGGCTGAGGACAAACCCCAGCCCTGAGTGGCCAGCTGGTGCAGCACTGGGTGTCCAAATTGGTTTCCATTTTCAAGGCTTCAGGCACTGTTTTCTGCCTCCCTGCTTACCTCTCCTCCCACCTGGCACTCCAGGTCCCTCGTGAACTCTGCTTCAGTCCCTCTGTGATGATCCCAGTCATATCAGCATATCACTTTACCTGTCACAAAGCTTTTCCCAAATTCAGCCCTACAACCATCCAGTGCAATGAATTATGGGCATTATTCCCATTATTCCCATTTTAGAGATGAAGAAACTGAGGCTCAAGGGTTAGAAAGACTTGCTCAGCATCACTTGGCCCAGGTTGGGAATCTGGAGCCTGTTTGATTCCAAGCCCGTCTTTCACTCTCAGCACCACCAAAACACGTTCTCAATAAAGGGCCTAGTGCACCAGGGAGGGGGCTCCTTCAGCAACTTTTTTATTTTTATTTATTTTTTTATTTTTTTTATTTTTTTTGAGACAGATCCTTGTTCTGTCGCCCAGGCTGGAGTACAGTGGCACGATCTCGGCTCACTGCAAGCTCTACCTCCCAGGTCCACGCCATTCTTCTGCCTCAGCCTCCCGAGTAGCTGGGACTATAGGCGCCCACCACTGCCTATAAATATAAAAAATTTTTTGTATTTTTAGTAGAGATGGGGTTTCACCGTGTTAGCCAGGGTGGTCTCCATCTCCTGACCTCGTGATCCGCCCACCTCGGCCTCCCAAAGTGTTGGGATTACAGGTGTGAACCACTGTGCCTCGCCTTCCTTCAGCAACTTACTGGTAAGGTCACTGCCTTGGGGCTCACGTGGGTATTCACATTTCGATGAGTGTCAGTCAAACTCTGGCAGAGGTCATGTAGGCCTGGGGAGGGGACACTCTGGACTGACACAGGGACTCCACCAGGCCCTGAAACTGCAGCAGCGCACAGGCTGACTTGGCTTCTGCTCCCTCCCCTGCCCATTTCCTGGGCTTTGGCTCCAGATGTTATCTGAAGCCGATGGAGTGTCCATGAGCTGAGAATAAAGGCCCAGCAGGACTGCGGCTTAGCTCAGCCCCTACTCCCTCACACATCCTCCTGCAGCCCTGGGTGGAAGTGCACGCTCCCCATTCACAAGGCTGTGATGACACAAAATGAAAATGTTTCCTAGGGGTGAAATGGCTCCCAATGAATCTAACACGGCCACTCATATGGCCTTTCCCAGAGGCCTCTGCAACCTGCCCTCCGCACTGGGGCAAAGGAGGACCTGAGGACCAGGATTCCACGTGCTGTGTTTGCCCTTCTGGAGTCTCAAGGCTGTGTGTATGTGCATGTGTCTGTGAGCGTGCATCTGTGTATGTGTGTATTGTGTGGTACGTGGCATGATCATGAATGTATAAGCATGTGTGTGTGCATGGTGTAGGTATGGATATGGGCATGTGCGAGCATGTGTCTGTGGGATTTGTGTGAACGTGTTCATGTGCAGGTATATGTCTATTCATGGATATGTGCATGTACATGCATGTTGTGGCACCTGTGATGTGTGTGTGTGTACATGTATGTCTGCACGTGTGTGTGTGCACACACAGAGAGCAGCTGTGGTCTGAGTCTCCACAACCTGCCCCATGGCCTGCTGGGGTTAGTCAGGTCTGCCTGTAAGCAGCACCTACACAGAGCCCTGGTTTGGAAGGCTAATGATTTTTTATAAACATCTGCTGTTTACCAACACAGCATAGGGAGATTAAAGCAGTTTCCCTTAAGGAAGAAGACACATCTGCCCAGAGAGTCAGGCAGGTTGTGTTCAGGTCCCGTCTTAATCAGTCACTCACTATGTGGCCTTAGGCAAGCAGCCTGGCCTCTCTGAGCCTCAGCTTCCTGACCTGCAAAATGAGCATAACGATATTGCCATCTCTACCTCCAGAAGGCCGTGGATTCAGATGAGAACTGCTGGGGGATGGTGCCTTGAAAATTGTAGAGCACCCTACACAAATGAGGCCTGGTATTAAGGACATTATAGCAAACATTTCTAAGAGAGGAACCCGAGCATGCTGCATGACTTTGAATTAAATTATGTGGTTTAGATTACAGTGTATGTGCAGAAAAGTAAACATGCAGATGATTCCTGGAAGGATCCATGAGACATAACAACAAGGCTCCCCATGAGGAGAGAACCTGGGCAGCTGGGGCAGGGGGAGGAGTGTTTTTCTCTGTATGTACATCCTTTTGCACCATAGGAATTCTTACCACGTGCATATGTAATGTGCTTTTTAAAACACACAGAGCAGTTTTTAAGAGTAAAATGATTTTTAAATGTGAGTAGAGCAGAATGGAAAAAGCGCTGCTCTCCTGCCCTTTCTCATCTCCCACCCCTTTGCCCTGGGTTCCCAGGGCCTCAAATAACTGTCTCCCACTCCTCTTCCCAAATGTCAGCTCACCTTCTCTCCCCAGGTAAGAGATAAGTAAACTGAGACTCAAAGAAAGTAAACAACTTGCTATCCCGTAGTCCAGGTCGCAGGGCTAATAAGACAAGGCAGATGTGGTTTCCACAGAGCCTGCAGAGCTCTGTAGGACTCCAAACCCAGGGAGCGCTCACCTATCCCACTCAGAACTGACTATAAAGCTCAAGGAAAGCCCTACAAGGCTGTGGGTTTGGGCACGGTGGGACAGGCTAATGCAGATAGATTTGGGGATGGGAGCATCTTCCCAGGGTCCCTGGGACGTCACCACATGGTCCACTTCTGGATAGGGCTGGGCTTGAGCGACGCTGCTTTATAAAACTTGAGGATCAGTACCCTTGGAACGGGTCGGGGCAGGCTGCCTTATTCTAATTCCACTCGAGAGAGAAGAGGACCTGGCAGGGTTCCCAGCTTGCAATGTTTTAACCAAACAATTTTCAAAACCGAGTTCAAGATCTGTCACCCAAAGCAACAAACTTGAACAGAGTGCCACAGAGTTGAGCTCCCCCATCCCCCGGCTAAGGCGGGAAGACTCCTGGAACTCCTCCAGCTTCTCGGAGAGGGGGCTGTGTTGTTTGACGTGCAAGCATCCCTCATTCTTTGCATCCAAAGGCCTCAGGAATTCTGGGGGATTTTGAGGGTCCTAGTCAGGGAGAGAGGGAGGATCTGCTAGTGACCTTGACCAAAGGGCTCCCCTTTGGGCCTCGGTCCTTATCTATAACAAGATATGGTGGCCCCTGGCCCACAGGTGTGCCATCTGAAGCATGAAACGTGGTCACTCCGCGTTGGCTGTTAGCAGCATCTCCGTACCTGCCCGAGGCGGCCTTGTCATTTTCTAAGAGTTGGGAGGGGTGGGGGTAGTCAGGACCACCAGCAATTCCCTTCCGGCCTGACCACATCCTCTGGAGGGAGAGCATTTAACAGCCAGCTACTGGAGTAGGGAGGAGAGAGGAGGTGTGACAAGTGAGAAGAAACTGACCAACCAGGCAGCCTCATCAGCACATGACTGGACATCGGCCTCCCTGATCTCCTCCCACTACCCTGGGCTGCACTCAGTATGAGGCTCATCTCCTAGCAGGACATTTGGCAGGAGGGTGGCTGCTTTCTGCTCTGTTTTCAGAGCCTGACAGGCAGCTGTGAGCTGCTACCAAGGGTCAAGACAGCAGCAGACTGGCAGGGACATGTTTGCCTGCAGGCTTAGTGGTAACCCTCTGGGGCTGCCAGGCAACCAAGAAACCAAGGCTGTGGGTCTGCTTCTGGCCAACTGGGCAACCAGCCCAAACCAGCCCTTGACCCCATGGCCCCAGGAGTCCATCCTTCCCCAAACTGGGACATATGATCATGGCAGGATTTGTGGGCAGTTGCCCAATTTGAGATCTGATTTTGAAGAATGGGGTTGGAAGGACTTAAACCTTGAGGGGAGGGGGCTGTGCTTTGATTCCCAGGGCTGTGAGATGAGCCGTTGTCTCCCGCTGAGCTGAGATCTGCACTTGGGGAAGAGAGGGCATTTAAAAATAGCACCAACTGACTCGAATACCTCTGCTCCCTGCCTGCTGCAAGTCAGATCCAATTACTCTGCTGACAAGAGGCTTTTAGCCCAGGGAGCCTGGCATCATCGACCCCACTCCAGGGAGCTGGGCTCCATGGTGCCCCTGCCCTTCCTCCTCTCACTGGGCATCCACAGGTTCAGGAGAAAGGGACCAGGGAGGTGTAAAGATCACACATACACGGCTCAGCCCCAGGCTGTGATTCCTGCATGTCCAGCTACTTGACTGAATCTGGCTTGCTGGAGTCCCCCTTTTGTTCACATTGGGTGAGCAGCCCCAAGTATCTGACCCATATCTGAGATTCCTTCAGTAGGGCCTCACCCCTTTGGAACATGAAGACTTTTTCAAGGTCCCCAACTAAGATCCAAGTGCCCCTCCCTGGGATGGGCTCTCGTCACAGCTGGGGACAGGAAACTAGTACACATATAGAATATCAACTCCGTGAGGCAGAACCTCAGCTGTCCAGCTCACTGCTGGCACATAGTAGGAACTTACCAAATGTATGTTGAAATGAATCAATCGATAGCAAAGGGGACTTGGTGAGAAAATGCAAATGGCTCCATGCAAATCCTTGCTCAACTGCAAGAGTGAAAATTAATCAGCTGACTCAGAGCATACGTCCTATTCAGGATAGTCACATAGTGTCAGCTCATCTGCAAAGGCCAAGTACAGAGGCCTCTAGGAAATCTCTTTCCTTTCTCCAGCCAATGCCACCATAATTATCTTTCAGCAAACTCACCCAACCCAAAGCTACTTGCCAGTGACCCTATTAAACCAGCAAATGCCAAGAGCTAAGCTCTCTCCTGCAATGCCTCACACTGCCTTCCCCAAGGGGCTGTCGTTTCCTTTCTACCCTGGCTCTCTCCCTTCATTCAACTCTCAAAATTATCAGGTGCTAAGGGAATGCCAACAAAAAGAGCTGTCATTAAGGGGTGCCTGAATCCATCAGGCGTGTCTTACCTGCCTTGTCTATGACACCTGTCACTTTTCACTTTGGGAGGCTCATCTCAGCAACTTCCCCAGAGTGGAGACAGAGCCTTGGGCATCTGCCACCCATGCACAGCCAGCACCTGACACACACTGGTGCCCAGGAGATGTCTGATGAATAAATAATTGGGGGTGAGGCAGGGCCTCCCGTAAACATTACAAAGGCATGTGTAGAGTTTAAGGAGGACTTGCTGACCACTTTCATGAGCCTGGACAATTGAAGAAACGATGCTTAAAGTGAGTTTACCATGCAGCAGCCAAACCAATGAGAACAAGAGGAATGAGTGGCCCTCCTGGTCATGGGGTGTGTTTGCTTCCTTTGTGACAGATTTCCACTTGTTTGTTTGTCAGGGAGGCTCCCCTTCAGCCAGGCCCATGGACAATTATTGGTGATAGATTTGAGTGTTTCTGGGCATGGCTCCAGGTCATAACCAAGATCTAGGTCCTGCCAGCATCTTCCTGGGACGAAATTGACAGCAATTGTCAGAAGGCTTGTTCAGCTTGTTAAGGGTGAGCCTTCAGCTGAGGCTGTCAGTGCAACCCTGGATGGTGAGTTTGCCCCTCAGTCTCACAGCCTAACGGGTTCAGTCCTTCACACAGCTGGCTGGCTGCCTCCTCCTCCACCTTAACTGTGGGAAGCCAGGTGTGTGTACACAGAAGCTGGAATGATGATAGTTGCAGGCACAGCACCAGTAAGACATTGAGCACCTGGAACACATTCTCTGTCTCTAGCTTTCTCTCTCTCTTATTAGGGATAGCTGGAAAGCAGAAAAGCCAAGGTGAGAGGAAGCAGCAGAGCTGAGGTGCAAGAAGCCAAGCTTGGCTAAGCATTTGGGGCCTTAAGAAATGGGATCTGACCAGAGCAGGGCCCTGAGGTCATGTGACCTTAGAAGTGGAAGATGTATTGATCGCTTGATCACCAAGACCTCCCACCCACTACTCCTCACCACATAAGTAAAACAGCAGGGCCCACAGTTGGCAGTAAGATTATAATTTGGTGCAACCTCTAAGGAGAGTGATTTGGCAAGATCATGAAAATCACAAATGCTCAAATCCTGTCTACTGCAATTCCACTTGGCATCTTAAAGACAAAATGCATATAACTCCATGCAGATACACAAACAAAATGTGCTCTATGGCTGGTAAGTACAAAAGACTGGAAACAACGAAATGTCCATCAATAGGAGAACATGCATTATTGGGGAATATTGTGCAGTTATGAGAAAGAATGACAGTAATCTCCAGGATGCCTTGAAGCCAAGAAAGCAAGACGCCTGAAGGGCCCATCTATCCTGAATCCTCCCTTTTACAAAAGGGGAGCCTAAGACCCAGAGTGAGGACTGAGTGGCAGAAAGCCATGCCCCTGCTACTCAGAGGCAAGTTCAATACCAGGACTGAGACTGCCTGACCCCCAGACCAGAGGTCCCTCCTCTGCACCACAACTTCCACTCTGGTTAGATGTGGCCAGGAGCCCACAGCCTCTTAGCTTCCCCCAATCCTAATACTCAGCAGCTCAGAGTCAGACGTCTCTTCTACTGTCAAATCCAGATTCTCAGTGTCATTTCTTCACTTCATTTCCTCCTGCCCTGTCCTCGGCTAAACTAACGAAGAGTGCATCACCACCACCGTTTACCTGCAGATGGGCCAAACCTCAAAGGATCCCTTGAGCTCATTCCTTCCCTCTTTCTCAGAAGATCACGTCAATCTCACCGGACTTGTTTGTTCTAGATCATGATGGCTGCTCCCAGGACAG
The DNA here is from genome assembly GCF_000001405.40 of Homo sapiens. NCBI lineage: Eukaryota > Metazoa > Chordata > Mammalia > Primates > Hominidae > Homo > Homo sapiens. The sequence continues at coordinate 46,409,279 of NC_000018.10, read as the reverse complement.
TGTCTGTCCTGGCAAAGGTATCTCATATTGCTGTTCCCCTTTTTTCTCCTTTGAAGTGGAAAATAAACTTGCAGACTATCCTTTCTTTTGAGGCATCAACATTCTTTTCCTGATCTTGAAGGCCTGCAGTTGTAATAATGGCTGACATTTCTATTGCACCCCCTGTATGCCAGGCACTGTTAGGTGCTCCACATATATTAACTCATTTAATCCTCAGAACTCCATGGTGTAGCTACCGTTATTATCTCCACTTAACCACTGAGTGACCAAGGCTCAGAGAGGTCAAGTAACTTTCCCAAGGACAAACTTTAAATAGAAGATGGTCCTGCGGGCAGCTAGGCAATGAACAGGGAACTGAGACTTGGAACAAAAGCCACAACTTGCAGAAAGTCCTGTGTGATGACTCAGAAAACAGATAACAGTACCACTGGGATGAAGGCTCATCACAGACTATCTAAGCTCAAAGTCTTTTGACACCAGCTCATTCACAACCATCTGTTCCAAGATAAGACCACAGACAAACTGATCTGACAGCAATTCCCTAATGGCTGGTGTGTTCTAAGGATGTGACCTCGGACTGTTCCAGCAACCCTTCAAATTCTGACCAAGATGATGCTCTAATTAACTCCAGCCCCCAAACTCTGTTAAGTGTCCCTCCTACAGTGCCCCCTTTAGGATGCCCCACAGTTCCCATGATGTGCTCTCTTCCTCCCCGCAGCAGGCTGATAACCTTAACTCTGTTTGACTACGGGTAAGTTCCTCATGGCCCTCTGCTGGTGGGTTTTAATGGGTTAGACCTGGAATTTGAAGGCTCTGTGTGCTCTTTAACCTCTATGGACATTCTGCTGCCTCCAGATTGTCATCGCAGGTGCGTGTGCCAGGCTGACACCAGTCACATCAGCCTAAGGCCAACTCTGGCTCTGGGTAGAAGGGAGGTGGGACCAAGAGATGACAGGACAAGGCTAACTCCTTGGCAGATGCCCATCTTCTCAGTAGCCCCTTCACAGTTTCTTAAAGCAGACCTAAGACACCTTCTGCGGACCTTCCCCTGAATCAGTAGCCTCCATCACAGCCTCTTTATCAGCCCCCACAATTCCTTGCTTCCTCCAGGGCAGACTCCTCAACCGAGGGGTCATTCCTGACTCCAATCCACTGCCCCGACCTATCTGAGCTACTTCCAGGCCTCCAGACATCCTGGAGCTTCCCCACTTCCAAATATCTCCCTTGGCTTTTTCCCCAATCCCTGCCACCCCATCCATGATGTCCAAACTGACTCAGACTTCAAAGCTCAGCTGCTATGCCACCTCCCCCAGGAAGGCTTCCCTGACCACCTCTCTGGATCTTTGCCACTGTGAAATCCTGAAGACGCCACCAATCTCTGTGCTTCTCAGTATGCCAGGTTCTCCAAGCAGCTTTGTGACATTTGTGATGATGTAATGCCTGTGGTGTCACCCAACTTTTCACATGGGTGGATCTCATCACTCCAACTATAATGTAAGTTCTCTAAACATAGTATTCTCCAGATATGTCTCAAGGCATTGAGCCCAGCACCAGCTCCCAGCATGTACTGCCCTGCTCTTAATTTTTAAAATCCAACTATGAATAGCAACTGTGACTCATTTTTCCCACGCAAGCCACGGCTGGAGTCTCAGGTCTGGAAATACCCTCTGCATTAGAAGGGATTAGCCTCCAACTTCAAAAACAAAACAAAACAAAACAAAAAAACACTAAACAAGACCTCTGCCTAGGAGAAAATCTACAAGGAAGAACGTCAACAGGCTAACACTGTCCTGTCGGGTGATAGGATTAGAAATGATATTTGGGGAGAGAAATAAAGCCACATAATAATAATGATGATGACGACAATATGTCACAAAGAAAGAGAAAACATGTGAGCAAGCAAGAAAGGGCCAATCCCCATGCTATCCATGGGCAGCAATTCTCAGTGGGGTGTCAGGAGACTGGTTAGGAGGAGAAGAAGAATCTTACCCCAAAAGACTGGGTAGGTTTGAAGCTGGACTCTCAAGCTGGAGCTGGTCTCCCACTCTGTGGGGTGAAAACTGCACAGGCCCCAGAAAGGGGAGCAGAAGCCCTGGCCACTGATCCCAGTGCCTCAAATAGATCTCAAACTCAGGGGAATTCAAGGCAAATCAAAGGTAACCCAACTTTGTGTGGTAGGATGCAATTTATAGTACTCATTTCCCTCCAAGAGGTGGTAGAGGCCGAGGCAAAAGTCGAGTTCAAGAAGGTTTTAGATAATTCTTAAATAAAAGCACCATAAATAGTCATTTTTAAAGGGAAACTAGGCTGTTCAGGGACATGATGAGGGTGATCTCAGGAAAGACAGCCACCCTTTCCCTACCCTATCCTTATGTGTCCCATCAGGGTAAGGATTCTGGGCTAGAGGGGCCAGAGCCTGGAGCTGCCTGACATCTGCCCTCACCATCCGCTCCCAGCCACCTGCCAGGCCCAACGCCAAGGAGGCAGGTCCCTGTGGGACAGGATGAGGAGCAGAAGCAGCCCATAGCCCAACACCTGGCTGCATTACCGGTGGCTGGCCCTGTGCCCAACCTGTACACTGTGAGCCCACATGTGATCCCTCTGTGGTCAAACTTGTCAGCCAGGGCACACTGAGGGCACCCGGGCCAGGTAGAGTCAGCCTGGGGCCCCAGCCTCCCATCTCCTGGCAGGGAGACCCTGGGCAAGCCAGGACCTCTCTGAGCCTTGGTTTCCTCAGCTGCATGAGACAGATGAGAGGCACTCTAGAAACTCTCCCAGTTCCCACCTGTGTTCCACTCCAAGGACATCCTGCTCTTGGGTTTTCTGGAAGCCTGGGATTAAGAAGACCAGAAGGGCTTCCAGTCCTCAGAGGCTGGATTCCAGCTGGCCAGCCCCGGCCAGCACCCACAGGGCAATGGCAGTAAGAGGCTGGGGCCATCCCAAGTGTGGGCTGCCTGGCTGTCGCTCTGCTGCAGCTCCCACGCCTGCCCGGGGCATCCAGTCCCGTGACAGTGGCCACTCTCTGGGGAGGTTGAGAGGGGGGTTCAATGCAACAAGAGCTATTGGGAGTGGAAGTTTGTGACGACTCTGGATGCAGGCGTATTGGGGGTGCACATGGGGTGAGTGTCTGCATGTGTGTTGGGGTAAGTGTGTGTCTATGAGGGGAGTGTAGGAGTGGATATGAGTGTACACAAGGTCAGTGTGTGAGTGTGTATGTGGGAGGAGTGTGTACATGGGTGTGTAAGGGTGTACACACACACAGGGGTATGTATGCGAGTGTCTGAGGGGAGTGGGTGGCATGTGTGGATGAGTGTGTAGGGTGTACACATGTGTGCACATGCCTAGGCAGAATCCCACTCCGGGAGGAGGAAGGGAGTGTGGGTCCTGCAGGAAGGTTGATACAGGGGATGGCTTCCCTGCCAGTGATTCTAGAAAATAGTGCCTCTCACAGCAGTAACCCCAAACCTTAAGAACCTCTCACCATCCCCAGACCTTAAGAAATTCTTTGCCTGGATGGCTCACATAGACATCATATTCAACCCATCCTGGATGGCCCAAATACACATCAGACTCAAACCATCCAAATCAAGTCCATTTACCGGGCCCTGCTCCTCCCCAACCCTACCCCTCAAGCTATATAGAAGCCTCATGGCCCCAGGGGCCCAGGTCAGCATCCCAGGAACCTTCTTAGCATTTTTCCTCTTGCGCTGTCTCCTTCGCCCTCTCTCTCCAACCTTTCACCCACTTTTGCTGTTTCCACATCGCCAACAGCCACTCCCACCCACCACTCCATCCTATTGCCTCAGCTGTGTCTGCAGCCCTCCTGTCCCTGCCTGGGCCACTGCTGTAGCACCTCACTGTTCCCACTGTCTGTCTGGTCTATGCTGCCTGCACATTTCAGCCAGGCCCCCTTCCGAGTGCCAGCCCTGTGGACCTGCAGAGCTTCCCTGGCTCCCAGCAGCAGCAGGGACAACCTGTCTGGCCACGGGCACCTCCCAGAGACTCTACTATTTCTGGGGAGCCCTCAGAGCTGATGAATTGCTGACCTCTGAGCTACACATTTTACTATGGGATACTCTCCAAGTCACTTGACCTCCCTGTGTCCCAGAGAGCAACCCCACCAGTATGCCACACTGTACACCATAGACATGTTGAAAATAATAAACTGCCATTTTATGAATCAGGTCCTAGATAAAAGGGGTTCTATGATGAGCCTTACCAAAAAAAAAATTGGTGGGGTCTTGCCATATCATAGTTGCCAAGCTAAGCTCTGTGGTCCAGTGGAAACAACAGAGACTTTGGAGCCAAACGGAGCTGAATATGTCTTCTGCATGTATCATACATACCAGCTGTGTGACCTTGAGCACCTCACGTAACTTCTCTGAACTTCCTATGCCTCTGTTTCTCCAACTCTAAAATGGAACTAATAATCCCTACTTCATTGAGTTGTTTGTTTGTTTGTTTTGGTGGGGGGGTTGTTGTGTGTGTGTGTATGTGTGTGTGTGTGTGTTTGTGTGTGTGTGTTTTGAGATGGAGTCTCGCTCTGTGCCCCAGGCTGGAGTGTGGCGGCGCGGTCTCGGCTCACTACAACCTCAACCTCCCAGGTTCAAGCAATTCTCCTGCCTCAGCCTCCCAAGTAGTTGGCATTACAGGCTCCCGCCACCATGCCCTGCTAATTTTGGTATTTTTAGTAGAGATGGGTTTCACCATGTTAGTCAGGCTGGTCTCGACCTCCCGACCTCACATAATCCACCTGCCTCGGCCACCCAAAGTGCTGGGATTACAGGTGTGAGCCACCACGCCTGGTCAGTACTTCACTGAGTTTTAATGAGAGTGAAATGATACAATGAAGATGGAGTGCATTGCATGTCCCACACGAAAAAGGTGCTTAATACCTGCTCATGTCTTCCTGTCATCCTTCTTCCTATCCTTGACCCACATCCATCAAAATTACTTGGGAATAATTCATTAGCTTAAGAGAGGAAGCGAGCCATCCAGCATACTCATACCACCTACATCTTCCAACAATGCTATGCTGTAACGTAGCACCAGGAAAGAACTCGCAGGTGTGACCCTAAAAACATTGAGCAGTTTTCGAGAAATCAAGAATCATAGCTGAGGGGTTTTAGACCGTAAATCATATTTAAATTTTTGCACAAAGAAAAAAGATGAAATCCTGAAACTTTCCATGGGAATGTAAAAACACCTTGACAAATCTGTAATGGATTTTGAAGTGGTTTGGATCACTTAAAAAGAGAAAGGGGGGAAAGAGGGAATTGTTAATCACACAGGGCAGTAGAATCCCCTAAAGAATGAGCTTCTATGATGGGGTCACCCAAGTTGGTAGATGAAGAATACCAGAGTGCAATGGATCTGATTTTGTTTTGTTTTGTTTTGTTTTTTTGGACAGAGTCTCACTCTGTTGCCAGGCTGGAGTGCAATGGTGTGATCTCAGCTCACTGCAACCTCCACCTTCCAGGTTCAAGCAATTCTCCTGCCTCAGCCTCCCAAGCAGCTGGGATTACAAGTGACCGCCACCACGCCTGGCTAATTCTTATATTTTTAGTTGAGATGGAGTTTCATCATGTTGGCCAGACTGGTCTCGAACTCCTGACCTCAAATTATCCACCCGCCTCGGCCTCCCAAAGTGCTGGGATTACAGTTGTGAGCCACTGCACCCAGCCGGATCTGATTTTCATGAGGCATCTGACACATTGCATACGGAAGCATTCAATAAGTAGTCATTGAAATGAAAGAGTCAAGAAATTGAAGACTGTTATGAAATGTCTGTGGATAGAAATAATAAATGTAGTCTAGGTAATGGATACTACACTTAGGTGAGTTGGCCCAGTGAGTATGGGTTGATGTCAACCTAGAGGGAGACGGGGGGCAGGGAGGGCTCTCTCCGGGGGCAGGGAGAGCTTTCTCTAGGAGCACAGCACAGGCTTCTGTGCTTAGCCTTGGGCTGTTCTGCATTTCCATCAGTTACTTAACTGATGATCTAAAAGTCATGCTTATCAGGTCAGAATAGATTCGAGTCTGGGAGAGATGGACATTTTGCCAGGTGCCAGACTCTGGCACACTCTGGAATTCACAAGATTCCAATGGCCTGGAAGCACAGACGAACCAACAAGGTGAAATATCACAGGCCTAGATGGAGAGGCCAAGGTTTCATGCAAAACCTCTGCCTGGGGCTGCCTAAGGGCTGGAGGGGCAGCCTGCCTGAGAGCAGCTGAAAGGAAGTGAGTCTCGTGTTCTGAGAGCAACAAGCTCAACAGGAGCCACAGACGTGGCTCAGAAAGGCTAAAGTAATCATAGCATCATTAATTAAACCCATGGTGTTGAGACTAGAGGAAGCACTGTCTAGTGTCCTGAGACACCAGGAAGGTTCAGAATACTAGAGGTACTGAGACCTGATTCTATACAGCTCAAGAGGGGTGACTTCAGGATTCCAGAGTTCACAAATAAAAGGAGAATGGGGCCAGGCGTGGTGGCTCATGCCTGCAATCCCAGTACTTTGGGAGGCCAAAGCCAGAGGATCATTTGAGCCCAGGAGTTTGAGATCAGTTTGGGCAACATGGCAAAACCTTGTGTCTACAAAAAATAAAAAATTATCCAGGCATGGTGGTGCATGCCTGTGGTCCCAGCAACTTGGGAGGTTGCTGATGGGAGGATCACTTAAGCCTGGGAGGTCAAGCCTGCAGTGAGTCACGCACTCCAGCGTGGGTGACAGAGAGAGATTCTCTCGAAAAGAAAAAAAAACACACACATGTAGAAAGCCCAGTTAAAGTGGAATTTTACACAAGAAACAATTTTTTAGTATAAGCATGTTCCATGCAATATTGAGATATATTTACATCAAAAATATGTTCATTTTATCTGAAATTAAAATGTAACTGGGCATCCTGTATTTTATCTAGCAATTCCATTGGAGCTGGATTGAGAAAATCAGATTTAGAGGGAAGGAGGTTTTAACTAAATACAAGTTTTTAACAGATTCTAGCACATAGTATATAATACCTGCTCAGTAAGTAGCTGACCTAATCAATGAATTAATAGATGTGCAAGAAGAGTTAACCAACAGGGTATAGATGCTTTCATAGGTATATACATGTCAGAACTCACCAAATATACACTTTAAATTCATGCAGTTTATTTAGCATCAGCTATACCTCAATAAATTTTTTTAAAGGAGGGTGGATTGCCTCACAAAACAGTGGAGTGACTGCCTCATAAACCGTGAGAGATGGCTCCAAGGGAAAGTTCAGTCCAACCACTTGTGAGAGCAGTGAGGAGAGGTTTTCTGAATTCACATCAGATTTGTAGTGTTTAATTTTTTTTCTGTGTAAATAAACCTTCCTGAAAGCGCCACTGTGTAAAGCAGATGCAAGCTGATGGTCCCTCCCAGTGTGAAGCCTCCGGCCCTTCAACCAGAGCTACATGTGGTCACCAGAGGTGCCTTCCTACCCTATTTGGAAACCATAGAAGGAGATCCTCTCCAAGGCCTCCTCAACTTTAAAGTCCCATGACTCCAGGAAGCTCCGTGGAGAAGCCTGAACCTCACGGGGCTGACTTGAGGATTTGTGTTCACTTAACGAGCAGCCTGAAGCATGCTGAAATTTGTTCAAGAGGGCTCAGTGGGAAGATCACAGGAGGGAGTGAGACCCAGTTTCATTTGTGTGTTCCTTGGCTCTGCTCTGTGACCCAGGTGCAGTCTTGGCACCACCAGGCCCTGAGTAGCAGGGTGATCATGGGCAAATCACTTCACGTCTCCAGAAGAGGATGAAGAATTGCTAAGGTCTTTTTGTGCTCTCATGCTCTTGCATCTGTTGAAGAGCTTAAATACAAGGAACCTCCATTTTTAATTGAATGACACTGAGAGATTTGAAAAATTGCATAAGAAAAAATGTCCCTGACTGACATTTGATGTTGGTGATGGGAGAAATAGGGGGTGGGGTGAAGCGCACCACATCCCCTCTGCCATCAGCTGGAATTTGGTGTGGCCATGCCTGGGATGGTGTGGCCAGTGTAACAGCTCCTGGGAAATGGGTCTGCAGTCCCCAAATCCTCACTCACGGACAGGCCTGGGAGGAGCAGCTGTGAGTGAGGACCAAGTAGGCCCCTGGGGACCCAGGGCACAGTCTTCCTGTGCCCTCACCTCCTCCTAGGCTCCAAGCTTGTGTCCCACGTCCCTGTGTCTCTCAGCCAGGCACAGTGTGCCCCTTGCTCACTTATGGGGAGGGGGTCTGGCCTCCCCAGCGTTTCCAGTTCAAGGCTTAGCTTTGCGGGAGGTCATCTCTGCCTCCAGCATCTTCATGTTCCCCGTATCCCATCTCCCACCACTTCCACCTGCCCAGTCAAAGCCCAGTACACCTGAAGGGGGTAAGTGGTAAATGTCTGCACGAGACCTGATCCTGAGGCTTTACCAGGATTTTCATTCTAATAGAAGACCAAGGGGGAAGATTCAAATGGTGGAATGGCAGGATTTTGCCATTAGGAGCACAGTGACGGGGCTACTGAAAGCCGACACAATTTAGGCTATTCAGACCTAGGGAGACAACAGAGGCTTCCCGACAGGCTGTCTGAGTCTGAGCCCACTGCACTGAGAGGCACGCTGACACACCCGGGAACTTCCTGAACAGATGGAGACCTGTGAGAATGGGGGAGTTCTGACTGCCTAGAAACCACCCTAAACAGGTGCGGGTGTTCCCTGTTTCTCTTCTCCTTCTCTGTTCCCCAAACACTTAACACAGGATGGTGGCAGGTCACACAGTCTTACGAACTGCCCGTTACAGACTGAGGGTCCCCACTGGATCTGAGTTGAAGAGGTGACAGGGGCCATAATGGCACTCTCCCAACAGCCAGAAGGGAGACATCAGAGCTCTTAAAGCCATATCTATGCACTGGGAACCTGCCAGGTGTCCAATCCCTGTTCCGGGGAACACAGAAATGAACAATCAGGTTCCTGTCATCACTGCAGGACACTGGCCAAGCCCAAGTAAAGAGAGTCCCCCAGGCCTACCCACATGGCCAGGGTGAAAGGCTCAGAGGAGGGTATAGGAGCAGAGCCCATGAGAGGGGTGACCAGCATGAGGGTCGGGAATATCCAGCCCAGCCTTAGAAACAAGGCCTAGAGCTGGAGCTGGAGGAGCAGGACACCCGCCAGGAGAAATGAAGCCAAGCGATGGGTAAGAGGTACCGTGGGGGTCCCAGTGCTCCAGGGACCAGAGTGCCCAGCACCCCAGGGGCCCAGAGGCTGAAGATCAGAACACCTGGGGTGTGGCCCCAGCTTGCACCTCACTAAACCTGAGCCACTTGCCCTGATCACCTTGCAGGGTTTCATGTGAAGATGCACACTGAAGTGCTTTGGAAAAGCCACCTGCCATGTGGGTTGTGAGGGGCCACCCTCAGGGAATTAGAGAGAAAATCAGAGAAACAGCCAGACCTGAAGGAGAAGAATAAGAGCAGGGCCTGGTGAGGGGAGGAGGATGGCACAGACTCTGAGTCTGCTCTGAAGAAAGGGCAGGGCCTCGGGCCGGACACTGTCCTCCTCTGCCTCTCAGTTCCTCACCTGTGAAATGAGATGCCTCCCATTGCTATAGTCTACTGCTCCTAGAGCGCTGGTGGCCCCAGCAGTAAGAGGGCAGGCCTGGCCAGGCAGCACTGGACACTCATTGCCAGCCCACCCTCCCATCATTGCCTCACCGTTTTCCCATCAAAGTCCACTCATCCTGCCCTGGCCCCCTGACTCTGTTCTCCACTACATCAGTAACCACAGCAACACGAGCAAATCCCATAAAACCGGCTCCTCACAGGAGGTCACGTGCCGAGGCCCAGTACAAATGCACACATTCCCTGGAGGCCCCATGGCCTGGCCCAGCCTAAAATGGGGGGCGGGGGACACATGATGGAGGGAAGGGGCCAGCACCCCAGCATCCTTTGATGCCCGCGTGATCCCCATGCAAGCGCAGCCCACGTCCAAGCTTTGTCCTTTTGCCCAAGCTGCCGGAGCACTGCCCTGGACGTCCAGAGTACCAGTCCCACCCCCACCGCCTGTGTGACCCTAAGGAGACCTTCTCCTCGAAGGATTCACTGTCCTCACCCAAAAGATAAGCACAGCTACCTCTGCTTGGCCAACCTCGTGGGCAGCAGCAAGTTCTGAGGAGACCCTATAGTTGAAGGTATCTTGTCAGTCATAGAAAAACGACAGTTTCTCCTGATCTCCTGGGACCATGTTGAACTGCAGACTCCCGGGTGTCGTGGTAACTCACAGAATCAGGATCTCTGGCGGCCACACCCAGGAGCCTGCCCTTTAACAAGAGCTCCCTGGGGATTCTTTGGCACAGTGAGGTTTCAGAACCACTGCCCTACATGTGCATCCTAGACGATGACTAGATGTTGTCGACGTGTCTCATTTGAGATAATGACCAGACGAGAGAGGGCAGAAGCCAGCAGGTCAAAGGACAGTAACCACACCCCACCAGGAGCACTGAGCCATGAGGGAGGAGCCCGAGTATTTGGGATATCTGGCCCCTCCTGTCACAGGTGCCAGGAGCTTTAAGGGCACTGGTCTTACAGAGCCTGTGGGGCTAGACCGTGTGCTCTCAGTTCAGCAGCGTGGACCCCTGCAATTCAGACCCACCAACCCATGGTGTCAGCCCAACTCCAGCCCTTCTCTTCCCACTCTCCCTGATCTCCCACCCATGGGTTCCTCTAGCACTAAAGTCCCGGCCACACTCTCTGATATCTCACCGGACACTGTCCAGATTTGCTGGCCAATTGTCTCACCTGTGTCAGCTTCCTGTGCCCACCAGCAGGCACCTTGGGGGTAAGGGGCTAGGTTTCTTCTGCCAGACCCTCCACAGCCCTGATGAAGGCTCGGGGCACTTGACACACACTTCACTTGCCATCCAACACCTGCTCGCCTGGTGTCGCTCCCCCTCCCTACCTGCTTCCTTCTTCCTGCCCTGCGGCCTCACTGTGAACACACACACTCACACACACACCACATGCACACACACCCTCACACCTCCGCATGACCCCACACACACACCACAGGCACACACACCCTCACACTTCTGCATGACCACACACATACACCACATGCACACACACCCTCACACCTCTGCATGGCCACACACACACCTTCCCACCCCAGCATGATCTCACACACACACCACATGCGCACACACCCTCACACGTCAGCATGACCACACACACACACCACAGGTACACACACCCTCACACCTCCACATGACCACACACACATACCACATGCACACACACCCTCACACCTCCGCATGACCACACACACACACCCCACATGCACACACACCCTCGCACCCCAGCATCATCACACACACACCACATGCACACACCCCCTCACACCTCAGCATGATCACACACACACATACGCACCACATGCACACACACCCTCCTACCCCAGCATGACCACACACACACACCACATGCACACACACCCTCACACCTCAGCATGATCACACACACACACCACATGCACACACACCCTCACACCTCAGCATGATCACACACACACACCACATGCACACACACCCTCACACCCCAGCATAACCACACACACACACACACACAATTCTGCCCCAGCATGACCCCACACACACACACACCCTCACACCTCAGCATGACCACACACACACACACACCCTCACACCCCAGCATGACCACACACACACACACACCCTCACACCCCAGCATGACCCCACACACACACCACCTCACACCTCAGCATGACCACACACACACACACACCCTCACACCTCAGCATGACCACACACACACACACACCCCCTCACACCTCAGCATGACCACACACACACACCACATGCACACACACCCTCACACCTCAGCATGACCACACACACACACAGGCACCCTTCCCTGTTCCTAGTGACTGATATAATCTCTGCTCTGTCACCTACTGAGAAACCACATACACTGGTCTTGTATTTCCTGATCTGGAAGGAATCTCACTTCCCCTCCCACCCCCAGTCCTCACTCCTGACCCTAGGAAAGGCTGAAGGAGGGAAGAGAGAGAGGCATGACATCTACCTAAGGCCAACCCTCCTCCTCCAAGTTGGAGTGCAGAAAGAGGGGACGCCTCCGGCAGGGCCCTCCCAGACAACACCAAGCCTGGGTTCCAGGCCGGGCCCAGGGGAAGCCAACCTCACGGACTCCTGACAGAAGAAAGCTTCCTGCTTCTAAGAATCTGGGCCACGCTCGCACAGCCAGCACTGAGGTAGAAGGGAGCCATAGGCCACCCTTCCAGAGCGATTGGGCTTGCAAAGGAAAGGGGAACCCCCCAGGCTGCCCAGGCACAGCTGGATGTGACTGAACTGAGCCAGTTGGACAATTAGCGGAAAATCCACCCAACCCACGTCATGCCAAGAACCTGGGAAGAGTTTCCAGAGACAGGGCCCCACCACGCCCGTCCTTGGATGCCCTGAGCTGTCCCGACATAGGCGTGGTGCACATGGCCAGCACCATGAAGGCTGCTGGTGTCCCTTCTCTGCAGTCCCCTATCAATTGTGCCTAAGCTTTGGTTCATGGTCCCGACAGCCAGGCCGAGAAGTGAACAAAATCTCTGACTCCCTTGGATTCAATAGGGCTGAGCTCAGTGGACAGTAGATACTTACCAAAGACCACTGAATTGAGTTCAAGAAAACAAATTGAAATAATTTCACATTTACCAACTATTATCTGAAAAGCTACTGTGTGCCAGGCACCTGCTAGGTCTTGGGACTCAGGGATGAATAAGGCCCATACTGTCATGGAGTTCACCATCCTGAGAGGTGACAGGAGACCTGCTCTGTGTCTGGGCAGGTAGAATGTCTCTGCAAGAGCCTGAACCCACTAACGCTTCACTTCTCTCTCTCACTGATGGGCCACGAGCTTCCAGGAACTGAGCCAGAAGACCAGATGAGCACTATGAGACAACAACTACAAAAATGGCCTCCATTCCCTCCTCTTCACTTCTGCTCCCTTGTGATGTGACTCTGCAGCTCTCTCAGTCAAGAGGTAGAGTCTATTTCCCCATCTTTGAATGTGGGCTGGCTTTGTGACTTGCTTTGGCCAATAGAAGAAGGTGGAAGTGACTGTTCTAGCTCCAAGCCTAAGCCCCAAAGGGTCTTGCATATTTCTCTTGGTCTCTGTGTCTCTAAGATTCCTGCCTTTGCTATGTGAGCAAGCTGAGCTAACCTGCTGGACCATGAGAGACCACACAGAACAACGCCAAGTCTGCCTGGTCATTCCAGCCAAGGCCATGTGACAGAGCCCAGCCAAGAGCAGCAAGCCACACGTGTCTGAGTGAGCCCCAATGAGCCTAAATGAGATCGGAAGAACTACTGGGCTTTCCCATAGAATGGCGAGCAATAATAAGTGATTGTGGTTCTCTACTCAACTCCTTCCTCCCATCACCACCTGGCCCCAGAAAGCTCTGGAAGTAAGAGAATTCTTAGGTTGAGACCCTTGCATTGGGCATGACTATTTGTTCACTTCTCCCAAACCCAAGCTTAGGCATTTTCCCAGGTAAACACCAGCTGAGATCCTGGGCTCCTTGGAGCTCCAGACAGTGAATGAGATCTTATCCCCTGCAGCAGGAATTATGGTAAAATCCCGGACTTTGGGGCCATACAGACTCAGGTTTGAGTCCCAGCTGCTGTAGATGAGTTACTTAGTATCACTCAGCCCCAGCAAACTCATCCTTAAAGCAAAGATGACAATAAAGCTGATTCTTCTAAGGGCTGCCATGAGGATTACGTGTGATGATATATGCACAGAAGTAGTTCTCAACAACCAAGCCAGGGATGCTACTAGCATCTAGTGGGGAGGTGCCAGGAATGCTGCCAAACACCCAACAAAGCACGGAACAGCCCCTGCAACAAAGAATCATCCTGCCCAAAATGTCAGTAGTGACAAAGTAAAGAAATCCAGTCTCTGGGCCAGTCCCTGGCACTATGGTAAGCAGCCATGGAGATGGTCACACAGTCCCCTGGAGACGTGGGCTCAAGGACCCCTGCACTCTTCCTGGAAAATCCAGGGGAAAGTACTAATAGCAAACGTGGTACTGGAAATAACTGGTTCAACTTCCATCTTTTAATCCCTCCACCCCATAGCTCCATAAAATGGGAGTCCAGCTAGTCAGCGTTGACTTCAGGCATAAGCTTGAGTTCCAGCGAGGAGAGGGGGTACCTGTATGACACTTCTGAGTTTCTGGCAGATTCTTGGTCCGAAAGAAGCTGTCTCCACAGGCTACATGAGGCTTTGCATGGACATTATAGCACATTCGGAGCAAAGCCCCACATACGTGAAAGTTCATGTTAGTCAAATGTTCCAGGTTTGCAGAGTTATTCTGCATCCTCTACCAGGGCATCTATTTTCAAAGAACTAGCCTGTAATAAAATACCTGCAACCTTCCTTTGTTTATTCAGGAAGCCTTTGGATCCTGCAGAAACACACTCAGGACCATTATCAGGATCCACAGTCGTCCTTGAACAGTGGTGTGGACATGAAGGAAAGCTGTGGGTTTCCTGCTTGTTTGGAGGAGTCTATCAGAGCCAATTTAGAAGTAACCTCGCCAGGGTCATTAGTTTGTTATGAATGTATTTCAAACCAGGGGAAACTGTATTCCATTTGCCCAATCTGGGCCTCAGCAGAGACTTCCCCTCTGTGGCTATGTGAGCAGAGATGAACTGAATGCTGAATGAGAGTGGGCACTCAGCCTGGCTGGGGGGAAGGTGGAGGATGGAGACTCGTGACCCACAGAACTGCACATCCCCAGAGATGCCTTAGGCATCAGGCAGCAGACAGTTCAGGAGGAGAGGGAGAGCTGTGTCATCTCCGAGAGTGAACCCCGTCACAATTACATTTCAGGGACACCTGGCAAGCTAGAAGGAGGGAGCTCTCTCTGTCTTGGGCAAAGGATATGACCAGTGAGCTGGGACGCAACTAGAGATTCCCAGGCCAGGGCTCTCGCTTTTGCCCCAGAAGGATTCCTCTGCCATGGTGAAATCAAGGCAGGCACCTTGTCCCTTCAGGCCCTTGTTTTTGCCCTGTGTAAATTCTGTCCCTCGGCAGGGGACCCCATCTGTCTCATCATCCCTAGTCACTTGCATCCAAGTGAAAAGGCTCTTGAGGGAGGAAATTAGAGTCTGGTGTGTGGCAGGATTTCCGGTACCCGAGGGCAACAGGAAGCTAACAGGGAAGGTTGGGGTTACCTAAGGCGAGCTGCACCTGCTTCCCATGATGCCAGGGGCCAGCCCCACTGCATCCTCCCTCCAGAATCCCACAGGATCCCCACCAGGCAGTGGGCACTATTGTAAGCCTCACATCAACTAATATTCAGAAGGATTAAGTAACCACAGAGCCACGAAGTGGCAGAGGCAAGATTTGAACCCAGGTCTGTCAGACTCCAGAGCCCAGCAGAGCAAGACCAGCGCTCATGACCTGCCAGGCTCTCCAAAAGGTGAGTCCACCATCTTTCTACTTACTGGCCTCTCTCCCCACTGGCCTGCAGAGTAGCCAATGTCCCTGAATACTGGGAAATGACTTCCCTGGGTGGAAGGTTTCAGGCATGTGGAAGATACATCAAGGTTTGAGAAGAACTGGGGGTGGGGTGACCTTAGACCTTAGTGGTCTAAGACCTTACACTTTGCTGATTAAACAGCATAAGGGCCAGCTCCAGTCCTATGTAGATGGGGTGGGGTGGTGGCGGGGGGCGTCCAGACAGGGTATGAAGCTCTGGCAGAAAGAGAAGGAAGCCTCCCAGCCCCATTTCTAAAGCCCTGGGCCAGAAGAGGAAACAGCGCACCCTTCTGGCGTCTGCCCTCAGGCCTGCCTCCCACAGAGAGCTGGTGGTCAGCGGGAAGGTGTCTGCCTGTCAGGCAGGGCCTGGCCAGATGCACCCCACACCTCGAGACTGCTCTCCACCGGCCCAGAACAAGAGCTGGGAACAGTCACCCCACAAAGTTTTCCGCAAACTTAAGTGGATGTTGTCAGGATGAAACCAGTGGTCATAACCTCTTGGCAAAGTTAGAATTCATATCACAATGCCCTTTCTTGGTGTTGCTTTTAAAAACAGACCCACGATGTCAGTAAATCTGATCAGAAAAAGTCTGGATTTGTGAAGCTCAGACAGCAGGAAGTGACTCCTCACATTGCGAAGGACTCATCCTGCCACTAAGTAGCTGTGTGCCTGTGAGCAAGTCCCCAGGCCCTTCTGGGTCTCTGCAAAATGAGGTGAGGAGGCTGCCTTATGGTTGCCGATTTCCCTTCCAGGGTGGTGTGTCTTGGGTTTCCATGGTGTTTCTTGGGTTTCTGGAGCTGGAATCCAGAGGGTAGCAGGATTAGGAGTCACTCCCCAAAGACCAGGAGGTCATCTCACTGAAGGGTCCAACTCCACCCAGGCGTGTTGTCCTCCTGGGTGCAGGAGCGGTGCCACTGCATGCGTGTTCCTCACACAGGCCCCGTCCGGGCTGGGTACCTGGCGGGGCACACTGAAGAACTGAATCAAGGGCTCTGGCACCCAGAGGGGAGAGACTGACAAGGCACAGGACCGTGTCACCCTCAGCCCGAGGCTGGCCCAGTGTCCCCCAGCCTTGGCCTCACTCCATGGGTCTTCCCCATGAACTGACCCATCACCCCGGACAAGGGCTCCCCAGAGCCTCTCCTCTGAGCCGTGTCCACTGACCTGGCAGGACAGGGGCTCTGGCCACAGGGAGCCTTCAGAGACTCCTGGAGTGGCTCTGAGAGCTGGCAAACAATAAAATACGGAGTTCTTGTCCATTCCCGCCAAATGTGGTCAGCAAGCCACCAAAAGAGGGCCCTGAGGGCCCTGAGGGCCTTAGCCTGGGGGAGCTTACAGAGTGGACACCAGGACAATCTGCATAGCAGGGAACCCTGAGCTGAATCTAATTAAATGTTCCTTCAAGCATTCAGGGAGCGGGGGGCATCCAGGTGTCTTTGGGCAAGAGGCGGATCTAAGGTGAAGGCCAGGTAAGGTGACCAGGTGAGAGGGGAACAGGATGGGGATGAGTTGGAGGCAAGGATGACCACAGTATGTGTGCATGTGTGTGGTACACGTGTGTGGTGTGCATGTGTGTTTGTTGTGTATATTGTGTGTGCTGGGCACAGTGTGTGTATGCGTGGTGTGTGTGTATGTTGTGTGTTGTATATATTGTGTGTGGTGTGTGTGTTGTATGTATTATGTGTGGTGTGTAAGGTGTGTGTGTTGTGTGCATATGTGTGGTATGTGTGTACGTGGTGTGTTGTGTATGGTGTGTATTGTGTCATGTGCGTGTGTGTTGTGTGCATGGTGTACGTGTATAAGTGTGTGTTGGTGTGTGTAGTATGTGTGCATGCTGTGTATATGGGTTGCATATGGGGGGTGTATTGTGCAGGGTATGTGGTCTGTACATGTGTTATATGTGTGTTGTGGTTGTGTATTATGTGTGTGGATGTATTGTATAGTGTGTGTGTGCGTGTGTGTGTTTGTGGCACAGATCTTGGGAAGGGTGAGTGAACAGAGGATGCTGACTGGAGATTGACATGTCCCAAGCCCTTTACACCAGGTAAGTGGTGTGCAAACATTTTAATATGTCACCAAACCAAGCAGAACAGCTCAGGGTGAGGGAAGGTGGGAAAGCCTGGCTGTGCAAACTACCCTGCTCGAGCAGGGCCTGCCCCATAGAGGCCTCAGGAGCTCCAGGCTTCCCACAGAACATGGGGCTACACAGAGTGTGTTCAACACACATGACGGATGAGGACACTGAGGGTGGAATAGCGGCAACCACAACCGTAGTGTCCTTTCCCTTGATCTGAGAGCATACAGTGAGCCCAGCCCCGTACTAGGCCTCGCCTCTGATTCCCAGGACAACCTGAAAGAGCTGTAATGTCGTCCCATTTGGCCAACAGAGAGCCCATGGGACACAGTGGTTCAGGTGCTTACCCCAGGTCACCCGCTACAGGTGAAGGTGCTGAGTCTAGAACCCCAGCCTCCCACCTCAAGACTAAGCGAGATCACTCATGTGAAATGAACCCATGAGCAAGTGCTCTGTGACCTGTAAACTGTAAGTGATGAATTGCGAAGTGGCGAACCCTGTTTATGGAGGCGATTGGTGCCATTTTGTCCTCAGACCCATGGGGTAGGAACTCTCTCCACAGCCACCCAGCCAACAAAAGCAGAGTTCAATTCAGACCCAAGGGCAGACTTTTACATCATTATTAAATGTGCAGAATTTCCATTTCATTTGCTGTTTTCAAGAATCCCAATGACACCCTTTTATAGATGGTAGAGGTGCAGGTCAATAAATAACCCATTTGGTAGAATAGTTGCTCCCATTTTCTGAGTGCTTCCTCAAGTGATTTATCCATTGTTTCATCTGATCCTCACACCCCATGAGGCATTAATATCCCCATTTTACAGACAAGAGAATGAAGCACCAAGAATAAGGGTGCCCGGCTCAGAAGTGGTGCAACTGGAACCTGAGCCCAGCCCAGTATAGGATTCCGAGCCACCGCCTTCCCACATTTCCTTTGTATCTCCTTAGCCTGATATTCCACACCCCATAAATGCTGCTGAATGGGGGCTGATGGACTAACTGTCCTACAGAGAAAAGAAAAGAGAAAACGGCTTATTTCTATCACTTTGAGAAGGGTTAGTATTTTTTTTCACACAAAGCTGGAACTCCACAAGCTTTAAATATGAGTTCCACTGAAAATAGATAGAATATATATGCCCGTCTTCTGAGAAATGAGTCACACTACCCGAAGACATAGAAGCAGTGACCCGTCTTCAAACACTGTCATTGGCTGTCAGGCCAAGGATGGCTGATGAAGTCAGCAAAATTTCCTTCAAGTCCCCAACTCTGGCTTAATCTCCACAATGCCCCATTCCTGCACCAACACCCAGCGGGCAGGAAGAGTCACAGGGTCTGGAGATGTTGGGGATGGCTGTGAGGCTTCTTCACCACCTGGAAAGATGGGGTGATTTAGACAGTGATGGGAAGGAGGAGCAGGACATCCTAGGTGAGAGTCCCAGCAGGAATCGGCCCAGTTCCCACCTGACTTGCCAGCCTGGCTCATCCCACAGGGGTTGGGGTGGGGAGGTCAGGAAGAGGGAGAGGAGCATATTTGCAGAAGGCAGGGAAGCCAGAGTGGCTTTGAAGACCCAGGGGAAGAATTGGGGAACAGAGCCTCTGGTCACTGGTTAGAAATGACCATTTCATGGTGGCTCACGCCTATAGTCCAAGCACTTTGGGAGGCCAAGGTAGCAGGTCAGTTGAGCTCAGGAGTTTAAGACCAGCCTGGGCAACATGGCAAAACCCTGTCTCTACAAAAAATACAAAACTTAGCTGGGTATGGTGGCACGTGCCTATAGTCCCAACTACCAGGGAGGCTGAGGTGGGAGGATCAGCTGAGACTGGGCAGTCGAGGCTGCAGTGAGCCAAGATTGCACCACTGCACTGCAGCCTGGGTGACAGTGTGAGACCTTGTCTGAAAAAAAAAAAGGAAAGAAATGACCATTTCACTTCCTGGAGAGAGCTGCTATGGCTTGAATAAAATCTAGTAGGGGCCTAAGACAGCTCCCGGGTGGGCCCAAGTCCCTGAAGTCTGGAAGTCTGGGTTTGGAGAAGCGATGAGGGATGGGCTGGGGAAAGCGTAATAATCCACCCCCACGGTTGCCCCTGACAACAGCAAACTCTAGACCGGGGTGGGAGACTGTCTCTGCTCTCATCAGCTGTGGGCCTTGAGCCAGGGGTCCCTCTCACTCCTACATATACTTCCGTGCCTACAAAATGAAGGGATTGAACCAGATGACCTGACACTCTTTGTTTCCTAAAACAGTGTGAGTCTGTCCAGTGGGACTTTATCCAGTGTGTTTAGAACTTACAGTGATGTTTTATTTATCAGCATTGTTGGGAAAGATGCACATAAGTAAATTTTCTCTATAACAGAAATTTACCCATTGAATCTCTATCTTTCAGTTTGGAAACCTTTCCTAAATGCTCGTGCACTTAACTTTCTTGGTTCCTTCAGAGGTGAATAAATACAGTGGATGTTTCCCTGTTTCCTTGTGGTCCTCACTACCTGATGGTGACTTATGAGACAAGATGGGTATGTGCCCACTCCTCTCAGCTATCTGCTCTGTGGTCCCTAAGCCTGTCTTCCCCCTCCAATAGTTGTTCCCAATCTGTTGTGGACCTTGAGCCAAGATAGGACCCTGATTCTGGTAGAATTCCTCGTGAACCGAGAGTCAATAAGCTATTAAAGAAATCCAATAAACAGCCACAGAGTTAAGTACATGAGCTTCATGGCAATTGCTTCAATGTTTCGTGTCTTTTTTTTTCTTTATCTCTGTGTTCTTAGGTCTGTTTTTAACTGCCCCTAAGTGGGGTGTGAAATTTTCACCCACACCCACCTCTCCACAAAAACACACCTCTGAGTTCTCTACGTTTACCCCTCACTCGGGAAATGGAAATTGCTTTGATTTATCCTGAGCCCACCTTCTGAAAAAGCTGCTTTTTCCTGTTGTCTAGGATTGGTGAGTAAACCCATGCCCAGCCCCAAGCCCCTTCTTCATGTCTTGAGGAACCTAAACCTCCCGAGTGAAAAGAAGTCACAGAGGTCCATCGCTCCCCAGATCCCAATTGAGGGCAGCTTGGTTCAGTGCCAACCCCGTGTGCTTCCTGCGCCCTTGATCATGGCCAAGGTGCACCACAAAAACAGAGTTGTGTGTGTCTTGCTGCCCGATCTCCTGCTAAACGTGCAGGTCCCAACATGTGTTTCAGGAACAAATTGTTCCACAGGATTGAGCAGCTGCTAGGTCACTGAAGGGTCCCAGGATCAAATGTATCTAAGAAGTGCATGGAAACATTATAAAGTTGAAAAAGTTAAACAAGGTTTTTGTTTTGTTTTGTTTTGTTTCCTGCCAACTTCTCCAGGTTTGCAACCTTTCCAAGTCTTTTGCATACTGTATGAGTGGTGAATCTTCGAGTTAGAGGTGGTATTACATACAGGATTTCTCCAACTTACTTAGCCAGGGAACCCAAACACCCCTTGAAAATGCCATCTTACTATGTAGCTATCTCCCTTCACCTCCCAGCTGTAATCCCAAATAAACATGTAACCTTCAGTAAGCCACTTTCTCTCTCTCAGCTTTATACTCTTTGTGTGTCAAATAAGGGTGTTCATCTAGATGGGGAATGGCAAAGAGGCCTGCTTGGAACGCAAGTGCCAGCTTGAATCTTGGAAATCCCCAGCCTGTGGGGATTGTTCAGAGGAATTCTGATGCTGCCTGTAGGCTTGAAGGAACAGCTGCCACGGTTGATTAGGCGTGACTGCCCCAGTCCTAAGAGCTGGACTGGCAGCCTGCGTTGCCCTGCACTGGCTGTCCCTGTAACTAAATAACCCCTAAGGTCAGCTTCTGCTTCAAGAGGCTGCTTTGGGTGCACACAGATCCCTGAGCTGACCCTGGGATTTCAGCAGTCCTCGATGATGAAGACTAGAAGCTTCTCCCGTCCCAGCGTTTGACTTCCAAACTGAAGCTATCTGTGGTTTCTGGTCTGTTCCCATTCAGGGGCCCTTGCACCCTCCACGGGTCTGTATGCCCAGCTCTGGACTTCTTCCAAGTGGGGAATGTTTTTCTTGCTTCATGCCCTCCAGAGCTACACCCAGGTGGTGCCGGGAAGCACAGGGACTTCCACATTTTGCACAGCCTGGAGGGGAATTTGGCACTAAAGTTGGGACAAGTTTCTCCCCTAGTCCTGGAATATTGCAAGTTCTGTACACATTTCTTGTCCTCAGAGCTAATGCTGTTTTTGTACTGGATTCACTCCCAAAGGCCTGCACTGTCCAAAGGAAAAGCTGCTTTCCTTACTTCAGAGTGGTTCCCCAAGCTCTGCACTGGAATCATGGAGGATGGGGGCTTGTTTCAATGCAGATCCCCAACCCCCTCACCCACTTGCTGAATGGGACTCTCTGGAGGTGGGGCCTGGTTATCTGCCTTTTTTTATGCATGCCTCAGCTGGACGTTGAAGTTTGAGAACAAGCCATGAAGAAACTTGTCTGCTAAGCTGGACAGACTGTAGCCCTCTGTTGACAAGCTATGTCAGAGTGTCACTGCTGTGAGACCACCAAAAATCACTGCTTCCCTGGCCTGGCGCACTCTCCTCAGCCTCTTTACCCAGCCTGTCTACTGCCCCTCAGAACTGTGTGAGGAATGAATTAGAAGAGAATGTTGGCCAAGTGCCTGGTTCAGCAGCGGCACGCAGCAGTGCCCAGGAATGTCAGTGTCCCCCGCCAAAAGGAGTAGCTGCTCCTCCGCCACCCAAACACTGCCCATGATGCCAAAGGTACTAGAAATCAGAAAGTGGGGGACTCCCAAAATGGCCTAAATCCTGTCTGCTGTGGGAAGAAGGAAGGAGGAAGTGATGAGAAGTGAAAACAAAATGTTCCTCTGAGAGCCGCATGTCCAGCTCCCCAGTTCTTCCTACCTATAAAGACAGCACCATGTCCCAGAAAGAGAATCTCCACTGAAAGGACAGCTGCCAGGGACAGGGAAAAGATCCTGTTTTGTTCACTACTCTATAGCTATCTACATGGTTGGAATGAAATGAGCACTTAATAATTATCTGCCGGATGGAATGATGGATGGATGGGTGGATGGGTGGGTGAATGGATGGATGGATGGATGGATTGATGGGGGGTCAAGACATAAGATAGCTTAGCAAAAGACCTGGATTCTAGTTCTGGCCCCAGTCCTTACCAGGCCTTAGGGAAAAAAAAATTGATATTAACCCCTCTGCCTCTGCTTCCTATAAAACAATGAAGTTTACACCTGCCCCAGCTCCACCATAAGGGGAGCTTGTGTCTCAAATGAAATGACTATATATTTGATGGTACCTGGTAAGCCATCAGATTTGTACAAATGTCAGAGATGAAGGCAACGATGACAATGCTGATGATTAAAGAGTAGAAGGGTGTCGGACAGTCTACAGATCTTTGTATGTGCAGAGAAGGCTTTCATTCAGCTCCCTCGCCAGTGTAAGAAATGAGGCAGCCAGAGGAAGAGAAACCCTGGCATGTAGGTAGCTAACAGCATTTCCCTGAGAACATGGCCCCTGGACAGATGGGCCTTGGCATTTGCTTCTAAGGCCTCACAAAACTGAGGGTGAACCCCAATACTTTATTTTTGGCAAAACAGCTGAGAAAGAGGCCCAGATGGTTGGAAGCAACTCCCTTCCGGAGACAAGGGGTTCTTGGGGCCAGAGCATCAGAACCACCACACACCGCCATGAGGTCATCTAGCCCCATCCCCTTATTTTATGAAGACAGCATTACAGTCTTCTTGGCATGTATTAGTAAAAGCAACTCTTCCAGCCCCAGATACCTCACCAGGCTCAGCTGAAACACTTATCACTTACAGAGGGGGCAAAAATCTCTTTTCCAATATAAAGGCAAACACTGATTTTTTAATTAACTGCCTCGAGGGGGTCCTGCCAAAAGTGCAGGCTTGGAGCAAGAGGCTGGGGAGGGGCACAGAAGCTCTGGGAAGAGCTGGTGAGGGCTCAGTTCATGCTCCAAAGGGGGACAGCTGACACTTCTAGATCAGGGGCTGTGGGGCTTGTATTAAGATTTTCTGTCTGTGCATTTCAAAGTAAGTTTTGTTCCTGCTTCTACCTATCAGCAGACAGGAGCAGAATCTGGGGGATTTGGAGCTCCAGAGCCTGTTCTCTGTCCACTAGAGTCAGTAGAGCCACGCTAGAAAAGCTCCTGGGTTTCAACCTGGACATCCTTGTGCAACACCTTCCTCTTCAGAATCCCTCCCTGCACACATATGCACACGCACACTCACACACACATGCACAGGCACATGCAAGTCCTTCCTTCCAGACAAAACAATCTGTTATCAGTCATTTACACCCACTTGTCCTCACAAGCCACCACTTTCATCTCCCAGGAGAGCTCTCATCTCTGTGCAATTAGATTTGAGGCCCAGGAAGCAACCCTGTAATTGGTGAGGCAGGACAAGATTCCCCTGGCCCATGACATCACACCACCCAACCAAACATATTCTCTAACCCAACAGACAAGAGCTGGCACCAGTGTGGTAAGCAGGATCTCTGAGAATATACGCCAGAGTTGGCTGGACCATCTCCCATGGAGATGTCAAAAGGTTTGCCAACTGAAAGGGAGCCCTGCACACCACTCTGGAAATCTTTGAGGGGGAGGGAACAGAGATACTGTCTACGGGCACAAAGGTGACCATCAAGAAGTGAGTGGAGCTGAACCAGCTGTGTGTGTGCCCTGGCTCTGGGCTGTATCTACCAGGGAAAAGGCAGGACATTTTCTTATTCTATTTTATATTTAATTTTGTTTTATTTTATTTTTGTAGAGACAGGGTCTTGCTATTTTGCCCAGGCTGGTCTCGAACTCCTGGCCTCAAGCAATCCTCCCACTTCGGTCTCCCAAAGCACTGGGATTACAGGCATGAGCCACTGTGCTTGGCCATGATGGGCCATTTTCTAATTCATGCAAGAGTGCAGAATGGGTTGGCCATGGTCCCAAGTGGAAAGAGGTGGGAGATAGGGAATGAGTCCCCTCTCTGTTGGGAGGCTTTGCTGCTTCTCCAGGGAATCTGAGTAGGTTTGGGTATATGGGAGGCATTATGTGTGTGTCCATATGGCAGGGGTGGAAGTGGTGTGTGTATCATGGGGTGTGTATCCATGAGAAATATTCAAGGAAAGGGCAAGGGATTCAGGGGAGGAAAGAAAGTCGCCACCAGATATATTTTAAGAAAGAGGGGCCTCCCAAGCCCCAGCTAGGGGCAGATCTCTGAAGAAGAGCATCTCTGCAATAAGAAGGAAGAAGTATCAAGAATCCCCCCCACACACATACATGTACACACCAGCCTGCATGTCCTCGGGAAGACTGGACACTACGGGGAGCACCAGGTGAGGCCTTGGGCATCCCAGCCCCCTGGGACTCCAGTGCCCAGGTGGTCTTAATAACCAGAGTGGAATTCTAGATGGAGGGAGGGGTTGGCCCAGTAGATGAGGTTGGGCTGGAAGCACGGCCGGGGCAGTGGTCTTGGACAGTAAAAGCCCTGCTGTACCAACTCTGTCTTCACCATCTCTGTGTTGAGCTCTCTGGCTAGAATCCCACAGTTTCACCCCGACTGCCTCTGTCTGCTGTTAAGAAAAAATATCCAAAACTTTGAAATAATACAGAAAGAGGACTGTGTGTCCTTTTAAAGTCATGTTACAGCATTGTCTGACAGACTTCCCTAAGAGTCACTGGCCTTCCATGGCAAGATATAACTTCATCGGACTGACTACTGAGCAGACCCTGGACTCTGTAAAGTTAGTCGTTATCATTAGAAAACCAACATGGTGGCCGGGCGCGGTGGCTCACGCCTGTGATCCCAGCACTTTGGGAGGCCAAGGTGGGCGGATCACGAGGTCAGATCAAGACCATCCTGGCCAACACGGTGAAACCCCGTCTGTATTAAAAATACAAAAAATTAGCCGGGCGCGGTGGTGGCTGCCTGTAGTCCCAGCTACTCGGGAGGCTGAGGCAGGAGAATGGCATGAACCCTGGAGGCAGAGCTTGCAGTGAGCTGAGATCGCACCACTGTACTCCAATCTGGGTGACAGAGTGAGACTCCGTCTCAAAAAAAAAAAAAAAAAAAAAACAGAGAAAACCAACATGGTGCCAAGGATTTTTGTCCAATGGAGAATATAATACCAAAGGTTATGGTTTTACTGTCCTGCTAGATATTAACTAGTCTTGTGTCTAATTTAGCAGCATTAGTTTTCTCATTAACATGTGTGTGTGTATACATATTTTATATATACGTATTTTTCCTTACATCCCCTTTCGAACCAGGTGCATCATCCTGCTGGTTCCCTCATTAGCAACTTAAATAAATCACTAGATATTTGTAGAAAAATTGTATTTTTCACATTTTGAAATTTTGACTTGATGCCATCTTGGACTGACCCTCTCTGTCTTCAGCCCCCAACACCCACTGCCTCCCCTGGGTGGGAGGGGCCTGACGGCATCTCCCTTTTTGGAAGCCATCATCTGGCCATGTCTGCCTGACCCAACCAGCACCTACCCCGGCCTAGGCTAGGCCCTTGGCCTGCTCCTGGCCCAGCATGCTGAGAAGAAGGCAGGCATGAGATGGATGCCATGATCTGGCCAAGCTGGCCCAGCAGGCTAGGGGGTGCATGAGGTTCCAGACCCAGGGGGTGGGGGGAGTGAGTATTAATACATGCCAAGAAGAGTATGACGTTGTCTTCATAAAATAAGGGGATGGGACTACATGAGCTCATGGTGGTGTTTGGCAGTCCCGAGGCTCTGACGGTCCAGGAGGGATGGGTGCTGCCAGTGACCAAGCTGCTCAGATGCCAGACCTTGCCATGTTTGAAACCTGCATAGTCTCTAATTTAAGAACCTAGGCTTGGCCCTCAGTCTGCTGCCTCTTCACCCAGAGGGACACTCCATGAGCCTGTCTTTCTTTCCCTGCACACAGAGGAAATCACACCTGCCTAACTTCACGGGGCTGTGGTGGACATCAGAGGAGATGGACAATAGACAGAGGATGGTTGGGAAAATGGGAAACTTAAGTCATGCAAGGCTAACTGAGCCTGCTGAGATTCATGGGGCAGGTAGGGTTTTACTCTCAGTAGTAAGTAAAATAAGCAGTGAGAAAATAAGAGACTGACACTAGATGAATGTATTGATTTTTAAAACATTCATTGCATATAAGGGGAGGGATTCCTCTTTGTGATGAAAAGAAAATGGTAAACAACTCATCTCTGAAAACCACAGGTTTGCAGACTCAGACCCAGCCAGGACCAACCCAGGGCTCTGAGCTATGTAGTAAATCTGAAGCTGGACAGAGCCTGTGGGCCATGAGGGTCTGACAGCATGGGCCAGGCACGGGCTCCTGCACTGCCTGATTTCCTCCCCAGATGCAGATCTAAGCAACCCCTGCCTCCATGGGACCTGTCCTCAGCAGGAGGGGAAGATGACAGACCGTCCAGGAGGGATGGGTGTTACCAACAACCAAGTGTTCAGATACCAGACCTTGCCATGTTTGAAACCCTCATGGCCTCTAATTTAAGAGCCCAGCCCCCAAAGCCAACCTGGCTCTACAGATGCCCAGGCTGAGGCAGGAGGGAAGAGAGCCTGCTCCAGCTGCAAAGTTCCATCTCCCGGCACTGCTGTGGGGCTCCTGCAGAGCATCTCACCCCTGAGACCTAAGAGAAGGGAGGCCCTGCGGGTGCTTAAGCCAAAGCCCGTGCCAGAGAGCAAGGGAGTCGCACATCTCTCCAAAGACACCTGCTCGCCGGTGGTGCCTGAAACCCCACCTTTGGAGTTTTATTCCTAAGCATCTTTTTTTTTTTGAGACAGGGTCTCGCTCTGTCACCCAGATTAGGGTGCAGTGGTAGAATCCTAGCTCACTGTAGCCTCAATATCCTGGGCTCAAGCGATCCTCCCACCTCAACCTCCAGTGTAGCTGGGACTACAAGCACTTGCTATTACGCCTAGCTAATTTTTTTTATTTTTGGTAGAAACAGGGTCTCACTATGTTGCCAGGCTGGTCTTAAGTTCCTGGGCTGTAGCAATCCTCCCGCCTCAGCCTCCCAAACTGTTGGCACTACAGGTGTGAGCCACTGCCCAGGCCACCTGAGAGTCTTGAAGGATGTTTTTCCCTCCAGGAGGCTTCTCTGGAAATAGAAGGACCGTGAGAAGGACCAAACAGGGACTCAACGGATGTCCCTGAGAGCACTGGGTGAGCAATAGATGGTGATCAACTGGGACAGACATGGGCTCTGACTGCAGAGGTGAGGCCCAGGAAGCGGGGAGAGAGCAGAGAAGCTCCAAATTCTCTTGGCATGGGTCACTGTTTCTTGCGGCTAAACCTGCTCTTGTGGCCCCACATGGCAGAACCTGACTCCTCAGAGACCACGGAGGGGACAGCAAGTCTGGATGGAAATCAGGCTTTGGCCACAGAAGACAAAGGCAGTGCCTGGCCTTATCCCAATGCCTGGCTGACAAAAACAGCAATGCCTCCTCGCTTCAGAACAGCGTTGCCGTCTCACTCCATGGGGAGGGCAGAGAGATAGCCTTGTCCCTATTTTACAGATAGAAAAACTGAGGCGCAGTAGTGTGGCATGCCCAGGGCTTCCCCCACACTCCCACACATGGCCAGAGGACATGAGGCATGCGTTCCTACTCTGGAGTCAAAGGTGCTCTCTGTGACAAATGTGCTTCTGAGAGAAGGAACTCCAGCCCGGCTGGGTTTGCTCTCTGTGTAGCCTTCCTCTGTCCCTGGCCTTCCTTCTCCACTGCAGTGCTGAGACGTGGGAAGGAAGGCTGGGGCGAGTGTGATGGGGACCTGCAGGAAGGGCACCTGGTCCTAGCCCCGGGGGTTGGGGGAGCACTAGCTTTGCAACCCCTCTTTGTCCTTAGCTAGCAGGCCACTCACAAGCAGACAGCCCAGATCACACAGGCTGGGTTCGAGGCTCCAGAGTCTCAGATACTGGGGGTTGGAGACCTCAGAAGTCCCTGCTCCCTGCTCCCAGCTCCCAGTCATAGGAGATTCTCCAGCCTCCCAGCGACCAGCTCAGCAACTCTCTAAGGCAGCAGCTTCTGAAGGATGAAGCACTAGGACCTGAGGAAACGCAAGCGCCTGGGTCAGAGTTCACACAGGTAGAGCCCTGAGAACGATGCCTGGCACACCACAAGCACTGTGCAAGCGCCCCTCATAACTATTCCTGCTTTGTTCTTGATGTTGTTATTGTCATTATTACTGTCACTTCCTTCTCAAAGAAACCTTAAGCAAGTTCCTCTGGGCCTCCTTCAGCCTGCTGGATGTCCCCTGCGCACACTCCCCAAGTCGCCAGAGGAAAAGGCCAACAGCCCCCGTGGGCACCATCTTCCAAGACGCCCTTCCAGGCCCCAGCCCAGGTTCTGCACCAGCTGTGCCAGATGCCATAGGAGAGGAGACTGGCACAGCCAAAAGGCAGCAGAGAGACCATCCAGTCTTCCATTTTATAGCAGAGGAAACCAAGGCAGAGACACGAAGATGGAGAAGAAGGCAGAGGTTCGAGGCCCCTGCACTCCACCCCCACTGGGTGGGCAGTTTCTAAAAAGTTTAACCCGACAGCAGAGCTCATGGATGGGGAAACTTTGAGGCTAATAGTTGGGAGGGATTTGGGGGTGGGGTGGCCTCTGCCTTTGGAGCCTCATCTCTTCTCTGACGTTCCAGTTCCATTTAAGATGAAGCCAGCCAGCAGAGCCACTGGCAGCAACGTCCCAGTGGGCCAAGGAGGCCAGGGGCAGGACAGCCATGCAGATGGTTTCTGAAGGTAGGAGTTTAGCAAGGGGCACCCTCTCAGGACAGCCTCTAGGCATCTCTTGAACGGGCCCTGAAACAGATCCCTTGTATCAAACTCCTCTTCCCCTGTCTGTGGTCCTGAAGTCACATGTCGCTTTAGATTCAGAAAGTACATTAGCTCCCCAGGGTGGCTGAATGAACTGGCCACCTCTGGAAAGGCCACACTTTCGCAGTTGGTGGGGAGGGCCTCAGGGAGTGGGGAGAAGAATTCTGAAGGTGGCTTCAAAGAGCGACTTTGCCCTGTGGGGCTGGTGGGAAGAGAAGGCCTCAAGAGAAACAAATGAGGGCGGTGCTGTTGGCCAGGCCCGGAAGCCGTTACTGTGTGACCTCAGGTAGGTCACTTAACCTCTCTGGACTTATTCCCTCATCTGTAAAATGGACTCGGGGAGGGAAGGTGGGTGTGAGGGTAAGTAGAGGCCTTTAGAATCTGGAAGAATAAGATATGAGCCCTGAAAAGAAACCAGCGCTTAGTCTCGTGAGATTGATTTGTTCTTTTAAATTTCAAGTTAAGTTTAAGGAGAGGGTTTTGTGTTTGTCAAAGTGGAGACAAGTACGGTCAATAAGCTTAAAAACCTGTGGACTAGATGCACCCCAAAAGAGATTAAAGAGGTTTTCCTTGACTGAGTGACTTGCCAGAATGATAGCGTTTCCAGCAACTCTTGTATGACAGGATAAAATCAGAGGGTTGGGGGGCCTGGGGGCTCCCAGCAGGGAAAACGAGGCCCCCAAGCCTTCCCTTTCCTTCATTGCCCCCAACACCCACACACTCTGAGGAACAGATGCTGGCTGATGCCCTCTGGTGCCCCGCTCCTTCCCTACTCCAGGCCTAATTAGGAGCAGGTGAGCCCTGGGGACAGTGAGGTCCCTTCATTTGACATATGGTTTGTTTCAGCTGCTTATTCATCAGAGCCACACTGGGGAGGAAGAGTGGAAGGTGGGTTAGACAGGACCATAGCGGGGTGCTTCATAGGAGGGGCACCTCTCTATCCTGCACCCCCTCCGTTGTGCAGCTCCCCACCATCCATAGCAGCGCTCCTCTCCAGAACTTCCTCTTGGATGCTTCGTGATGCCAAGCCCCACCCTCTTGCACCCTCTGCCCTAGACATGGTGGCCTGAGCACCACACCTTAAGTAGAATGTGTATTTATGGGTTCATGCCACTCCCTCTGCCCAGAATGCTCTCAACCTTTGTTCATCAAACTCCTATTTGATAAACAGTGGCCCTGCCTGCTGGCCTCATCCTAAATGAAACTGGAACAATTGGACCATACATCAAATGGAGGGATCATCTGACACCTCTGGGCTTTCTCCAAGCTCCCCGAAGCCTTTCCAGTTTGGGTGGTGACTTACAGAAAGCGGTGCAAAAGCCCATCACTTCTCACGCTGCCCCTCCACGGTGGTCAGGGGGAATGAATGTGCTGGAGGACATGCCCCAGGCTGAAAAGACCAGGAGCCTGGATTCTGTCCCTGGTGCTGACTCACACTGCTGTGTGGCCTTCAGCAGCCACCCAGCCTCGGTTTTCCCATCTGTAGTATGGGCAAAGGGAGAAACTACGGTGTGTGTAAACTAGAGCTAGGGCACGCAAGGGCATGTGCAGGGTCCTTGTCTTGCTTTTGGACACCACGACCTCAAACTTGCTTCCCCAATATAAATTGATAAATGGTTTGGTGCAGGGGACGTACCTTGGAGCATTAATGGAACCTGCATTCAATCTGGAAGAGCAGTTAGCTCAAATGCAAATCTCAGGGCCAACTTCCACTGGCCTCATTTCTCAATGTCTGCAACTCAGCAGTTGCCAAGACCCCTCACCCTCTTCCCAAATGCCTCTTAAACCCACCCCTCCTCTCTATCCTGCACCACCTCTGTTGTGCAGTCCACCACCATCCATAGCAGCCTTCCTGCCCCAGAACTTCTTCTTGGATGTTTGGTGATGCCAAGTCCTACCCTCCTGTACCCTTTGCTCTAGACATGGTTACCTGAGCATCACATGCTAAATAGACCAGGCATTTATGGATTCTGCCCACTCCCTCTGCCCAGAGTGCTTTCAACCTTTGTTTATCAAACTCCTATTCATCTCACAATGCCCCATCACATAGCAACTCCTCCCTGAAGCCTTTATTGATCTCTCATGCCTTTGCCCTCATGCGAAATTAATGACACCCTCCTCTGACCTCCCATACATTTGGTTCATAGAGCCTTCATATGTGCCTCTCCCTTTACCTGATAACCTCTCCCTGGCTCCCTAGCTCAACCTCCACTCCTTCATCTAACAAAATACTGCTCTGCTGCCCTTCAGGTCACATCTCCCACACTGCTTCCTCCAGGAAAATCCCCTCCAGCCACTTGCTGCCCCTCCTATGAAGCACCTTCCTGTGGGTTCTCGGGATGCTCCACACAGAGCCATTAGGGAGCTGTTACTGCTTTTTATTTGTCTGTTCTCTTGGCCTCACTGAAAGACACACATCATTGTGTGTCTAGACCAATTCCTGGCATATAGCGAGTTCCCATAAATACTTGTTGAAGGAAGGGAGAGAAAGAGGGATGACATGAACTGTCAATCTCAAGTTTCCCATCTCAGCTTTATGAAACTTTTTTTCTTTAAAGGATATTTGCTAAAGATGTGAATTTAAAAGGGGTACATTATATACCTTTTTCAGATATTTCATATGAATATATTTGCAATTTAAATAATCCAAGGTCAGGCCATGTGCTGATTGGAGTTCTGACACAGTCACCATATTCAAACCTCTCCTAGTACATGTAAGATGCATTGCTGCCTCCTCCTAGGTGCCTGACCACTCCCTGAGGTAGGGGCTGGGTTTTGCATCTTTGACTCTCTCACAATCCCTACACATAAAAGATTCTTGGCCGGGCCCTGTGGCTTACGCCTGTAATCCCAGCACTTTGAGATGCCGAGGCGGGCAGATCGCGAGATCAGAAATCAAGACCATCCTGGCCAACATGGTGAAACCCCATCTCTGCTAAAAATACAAAAATTAGCCAGGCATGGTGGTGCGTGCCTGTAGTCCCAGCTACTTGGGAGGCTGAGGCAAGAGAATCGCTTGAACCTGGGAGGCGGATGTTGCAGTGGCTGAGATTGCACCACTGCACTCCAGCCTTGGCATCAGAGCAAGACTCCATCTCAAAAAAAAAAAAAAAAAAAAAAAAAGATTATTAACCAGTGCTGGCTGAACTAACTTCAAATAAACTGAACTGAGGCCCCAAAAGAAATTTCTTTCCAAGTCACAGGGGCATAATCTTGCAACATCCCACAAAATCTGGTCGAATAGTCCAGAGCATAGGTGTGGTCTGAGGTCCCATCAGGGGATCTTCCAAACATCCCTGACAAAAATATCTCCACAAGAGGCTGCATCTTCTGTTTCCTTTATGCTCTCCACCTGCCAGGAACAAAGTTCAAAACTAGGCAGTCCAGGGCCACGCTGTGGCCTCTACCACATCCTGACTGTTGTCTGGCCATGCTCCTTAACCACACGGAACCTCAGTTTTCCTGTCCATTAAGTGGGCATCCTAACATTTACCTCATAGAGATTCTTGACACAGAGAAAGTACCCAACTAATGTCAGGCCCTTGCATGCTGTGTGTTGATTTTAGAGAGAACTAAAAGTGAACAGGAAGGGCAGGTGACCGTTTTGCTGCCAAGGCTGTTAACAAGCCAGGGGCCTAATAGCAGGTGCCAAGAGAAGTCCATAGGCCCCTCTGCCACAGGTGAGGGTGACACTCAGAGCAGCTGAGGCTTGCTGTGATGACCCCGGGCCCGGCCCTGTTCTGAGCTGTGCACACTCACTGCCTCATCTCACCCTCAGGCCACCCTCTGAGCTATTATCATCCACTTCGTAGACAAGAAAATGGAAGCAAAAGAAGATTAAGTCACTCACCCAAAATTGTACAGTCTCATCAAAGGCAGGGACTGAACCTGTTTTGCTATTTCCCCAGCCCTTAGCCCAGGGCCTGGAACCCTGATCAACCTCCAGTTGTTTGATGTAAGCAGAGTCCATGGTTGCCAGGTGGGATTGGAGGGACACTCAAAAGGGCTTCTGCCCTATGTGCTGCTCCCACCTCAAAATATCTCCTCCAACTTGCCTGTCATGGGGTCTCACCTTAACATAAAATTGCTGGGAACAAGAGAACTCCCAGGATGCATAAACCCAGGATGTGGCAGCTCATATAACGGCGCAATTCATTCAAGGAGCTAAGGAAATGGAAGCCAGGACAAGTTATTATTATTATTATTATTATTATTATTATTATTATTATTATTAGAGACAGAGTCTCACTCTGTCACCCAGGCTGGAGTGCAGTGGCACAATCTCAGCTCACTGCAACCTCCACCTCCCAAGTTCAAGCAATTCTCTTGCCTCAGCCTCCTGAGTAGCTAGGATTACAGGTGTGTACCACCATACCCAGCTAATTTTGGTATTTTTAGTAGAGACAGGGTTTTGCCCATGTTGCCCAGACTGGTGTTGAACTCCTGGGCTCAAGTGACCCACCCACTTCGGCCTCCCAAAGTGCTGGGATGACAGGTGTGAGCCACTGTGCCCGGCCAGGACAAGTATTTTTGATGAAAGGGAAAGGAACTATCTAGAGTCAATATATAGATGCGGCCAGTGACAGCACAAAAGAATGCGGCCAGGGCGGCCTGGAAGGAGCCTGGGGCCTCTGAGGGCGGGGGGAGTTGGGAGGGTGCCAGAAGAGACTCAGGCAGATGCAGATAAAGCCTGCCTGGGTGAGGTTTGTGGGGAGAAACCCCAAATCCTCCGGCAAAGCATGCTTGTGCCTCTCTCTGGTCCTCCACCTATTACAAGGGCCTGGGGCCTGGCTGGGGCCCAAGACCTGAAGAGGACATTTAGGAGGGAAGCCAGGAGGGCAGTAGGGAAGTGCAGTGACTGGGGAGGCCCTCAAGACCAAATGTCAGACTCAAGGGGCTTCTCACTCATGACCCAAGTCAATCAAATCGGCCCCTCTCTCCAGGCATGCAGGCACTTTCCATCCCCAGGAAGTGTCTCCAGGAATGCCAGGCTTGGGGTGTAGGGTCTCTAGCCCCCCCAGTTCAGCCAGAGCCTTGCTGCTTTTGTGTGCTGTATTTACTAGACCTCCGTATGAGACTCTGTTGAAGGGGGAAAAGATGGGGGAGGATTCCATTGCTTTTTTCTTTTTTAAGTTTAAAAACCAAAGAATTAGAGCACAAAGAGAAGGCATAAAGCCACCTGGCTGGGGAATGAAATCCTGACACAGGGTGCAGCACAGGTGAACCCTGAAGACGTTCTCCTGAATGAAATAAACCAGACACAGAAGGACAAGCACTGTGTGATTCCACTGACATGAGGGGCCTCAAGTAGTCAAATTCACAGAGACAGAAAGTGGAATAAAGGCTGCCAGGGGCTGGCGGGAGGAGAATGGGGAGTTCGTGTTTAATGGGGACAGAGTTTTCATTGGGGTAGGTGAGAAAGTTCTGGAGATGGATGGTGAAGATAATAGCACAGCGATGTGAATGCTGCTAATATCACTAAACTGTGGCACTTAATGGTTAAAATGGCAAATCATACAATATGTATATTTCCCCACCATAAAAATTCATTAATTAAATAATTGAAAAAAAACTATTTTGGTGGAAAAAAAAGGCTTCCTGGCTGACCCCTGAGTTTCTCGGACTCGTTCAAGCTGCCTGGGCCCCAGTCTTCTCGTGTGTGAGAAGTTTCCATAAGGGGACCCCTGGTGGGGAGGGGAGGTGGGGGACAGGGATGACAAGAATGCCCCAGCCTGGCCCTGCTCATGCTGCAGGAAGAAAAGAACACCAGGAGTAATTAGAAACATGAGGGGCCTGGGTTTACCATGGGAACCACAGCATGGGTGCCACACAGCCCCTTTGTCGGAGCAACTGTCCATCTGCTTCTGGGAAAACAGGCAGCTGCCAGGAGGGCTCAGGGGCACAGGGTCTGGGACCGGGGGTGGGAGGGGGATCTGAGGGCTAGCGAGCCCCAGCTCTGCCTTTCTCTGGCTGCACGGTCTGGCCTAGGCACTGAGCCTGTCTGAACTCAGCTTCCCCACGTGTAAGATTCAGATAACAATTCCCCCCACACCTGCAGAGATCCTGGAGACAGCCCTGTCCTAAGAGTTGTAAAGTGCCATTTACACACCTGTGAGCCTCTGGTGGGCTGTCCCTGGAGCCCGAGGAGCCAGTGTGGCAGCACTCAGCTCTCAGCCTCAACGTCACTGGGGATCTATAAAGCCCTCAGCGTCCAGGCACTGTGCTGTCTCTCGTTACCACATCACTTTCAACTGGGTCATCAACAGCCAGAGACATCATGCAGTGACCTGCTCCCCAGGATGCACCCAGGCAGGCCAGTCCTTCCACAGCAGGATACTGTGGGGCACTGTCAAAAGGCCTGGAGAGAGCCCACGACTTGCTGGGTGACTCTTGCCCAGTCCCTCCTGTACCTGGCAGGCCAGCCGCCTTCCAGATGACTGTCAAGATGAAGGGCAGGAATGGAATCTTAGAAAGCACTGGGCAAGCTCTGAGGAAATGTGCAGTGTTACACTCTCTGGCCTTTGGCTGGGCATTAGCCATGCCAGTCCAAGAGCCAGGGATCAAGCTTAATGCCCTGGAGGCCCATGAAGGAGATGACACCCTGGCAGGGCCTAGAGAATGGGGCAGGAGGCCCTTCTGCTTACCTGGGTGTGTGATGAGAGGGATGAGAGAGCCCTCTATTTACTAGTTACCTTTGGAGTTTCTAGCCTACCTTTTGACACATCCTCCAATGTGTGCACATGCACACGTACACACACACACACTCGCACATGCACAGACACACAGAGCTTCCAGTTTCCCAGCAGGAGGGTCCCCCTCCCTGAGTGAGGCTGATGATGGTGGCATTAGGAGGCTGTGGGAAAAGAAGGGAGAAGTGGAGGCCACAGTGGTGAGCAAGCTCATTGTTCCTGTGCCGCGGGAGGCTTCCTGGACACTACACAGTCCTTACATAATAGCACCGCAGTGTGGTTAGAATAAAGGAAACGTATGGATTTTGGCGCTCTCGAAATGCACAGGGTTTAACAAGTATGGATAAAACAGCCTGGCCACAGGTAACAGAAGCTTTTTGTTCCTATTAGCCAGAGCCCGAGAAGGCTCAGCTCCCTCCTCCTGCGTCTCTGCCCCCCAATTCTAACAGGAGACCCCCAACCCCTTAGGCCAGCCTCTCTCATTGGAACCCAGACACCTGCCTGTGACCATGGTCACGTGTCCTCACATGGTGTCACTCCCTTCCAGGCCTCCAACAAGCTAGAATGTGGGGTGAGCTGGAAGGGGGCTTACTAAGGTGGCCCCACATGGGGTTCATTGAGATGACAATGATGCCCTTTATGTCACTATTTTCAGGCTGCCCTGGGCACTATATCACTGGGTCTGTATGCAGCCTCTGGGAGGGGTAGTGGTGGGTTTACTGCTCTCAGCTGAGCAATGGTGGGACCGAGGCAGGAAGAGCGAAGTGACTTGCCTCAGGATGCACAGCAAGTGGGTGGCTGGATGAGTGCAACAACTTACCACCACATCTCAAACTGGGCTCTCTCCAGAATACTATGCTGCCAACCTGATAGCATCCTCAGGAGGGCCCCAGGGAGGACCCTTCAGTGCCTCTGAACTTGGCAGTATTGAGGTATAGCCCCGTCCAGCTCCTAAGGCCCTGCAGCCAACCTCCAGCCACCAGCACTGTCATCAGGGTTCACATCTGTGTGGATGCCAGTCCCTTTCTTCTACCCTAAAGGAACTGTGGGCCTCATCTTCAGGACATCTCCTGATATGGCCCATCCAGGACCCTACAGTCAGCTCTCGGAAGTGACATGGGACCAAGTCTAGTACGTTAGGAGTCAGTATTTAATAAACAGCTGTTAGTTGAATGGATAAGAGTAAATGATGAACCCATGAATGTCCCAGCCTATGTCTAAGTCTATCTGAACAGCGAGGATGCTGCAGTACAATAGAAAGGGCCTTGGACACAGGTAAATTCCACCTGCCACTTTGTCACTGTTTGACTTTGACCCAGTCACTAGTCTCTTTGGTCCTTGGTCTCCTCATCTGTATCACTGGGAAGAAAGCGCACCTGAAGCTGGGAAACACCAGTGCTTCTCAGAAGGGTTCTCAAACCATTGTTTCAGCTCTCATTTCCCAGAGAGGCTTATCATCAATACTAACAGCTGCTGTCTTCTGGGTACCAGGTGCCCAGGTGGGGGCTTCATGCCCAGGATATCATCCAAGCTTCATAAAGATCTTGTTTGCTCAAAATCCTCTTTTGGTCAGAAATGCTTTTAAAATGTCCAATCTCCTTTAACTTCTCCCTTAACCAGAGAATCTCACTGAGTCTCTCTGAGATGACTGAGAATCCAGTCAGGGCCTGGGTCATCCCTGGGATGAGGTTGCATTGTCAGAGCCTCCTCGCTGGCCTGGGCTGTGCTTCCTCCTTATCAGACCCCGTGACCCTCCTTGCAGTGGGCCATCTCGTTGGCCAGGGGAATGCTAGGCTCCTGTCTCCCCTGACCTCCTGATAGGGTTTGGCTGTGTCCCCATGCAAATCTCGTCTTGAATTGTAATAATCCTCACGTGTCAAGGGCAGGGCCAGGTGGAGATAATTGATTCATGGGAGCTGTTTCCCCTGTACTGTTCTCATGATGGTGAATAAGACTCATGAGATCCGATGGTTTTATAAATGGGAGTTCCTCTGCACACACCCTCTTGCCTGCCACCATGTAAGACGTGCCTTTGCTCCTCCTTTGCTTTCTGTAATGATTGTGAGGCCTCCCTAGCCATGTGGAACTGTGAGTCAGTTAAACCTCTTTTTCTTTATAAATTACCCAGTGTCGCGTACGTCTTTATTAGCAGTGTGAGAACAGACTAATACACCTCCCCTCTCCCACAATGTGCCCATCCTCCTTTTCGTGTACCTGATTCCCATTGGCTTCCAAAGCTCATGCTGACCTCACGCCCCCTGAGTTCCAACAGCTTGTAGGATCTTGGCCTCCCAAATCTCTCTGGGATGGCCTTCTGCCTCCTGTCAACCTCTGTCACAACCCAACTGTCCATTGGGTCTTGCCACCCAGAGAGTGGCTCAAGAGAACGAGGACAGAGATGGTATCTTATTCTATTCCTTGATCCCCTTAGCACCTGGCATGGGGCATTCTGGGGAGGCCTCACCCACACCTGGTACGTTTAAGATCAGACGTGAGAAGGGTGGCAAATAGCGATGACTGCCACCTGGGACCAGACACACTCTTGGATCCTGAATCTGAACACAATGTTTTCCCTACAGCCAAGGACAGAAAAGTCATTCCTATTCATCACAGACCCTGACTGGGGAGCAGGGTCCCCCTAAACCCCCTCCTCCATCCACCTCAGCTCATGAGAACTAGACCTGTGTAAAGAATTGGTTGAAGACACAAGCTCTGCACACTGATTTCCCTGCTTCTAATTTTGGCTTAGCACCTTATTAGTCTTATCTTGGACAAGATGATTATCCCTTCAAGGCTTCAGTTTTCTCATCTGTAAAATGGGAATAACGATGTTTCCCCTCCCCTGCCTATAGAGATGATCGTAAGGATATCATGTGAACCCCTTAGATGAGCCTGGTCCAGTATGGTCCTCACAAATGTTAATTACTATTCTATATCTTCCTTCTATCAAAGCAGGGAAGGAAGTGGGGACCCAGATTGGTAGATGAGCCTGGAAAGTGATGCTCAAAGGGAAGAGGAGCAGCAAGGCCTTTCTCAGCTCCTTCACATTGAGGGGGCCACAGGCAGCAAGAAGCTGTTATGGCCCCCAGAGTCCACACCAGAATCATTCCCAAGTCTAGGGTGCGTGTGTGTGCATGTGTGCGTGTGTGCGTGTGTGTGTGTGGAGGGCCAGCAGCTCTCCCAAGAGTGGTTTCTTGGTGTTAATTTATAGCAGATGGGCCCAACGGGCCCCGGGCTCTACCCTGATACCAAGATCTTAAGAGGAAAAGCAAGCAATGGCTCTCTCAATCTCTTGAAATGCGCATGCAAAGTCTTACTTTGTCCATTAGAAATGGGAAAAGGGTGTGCGTGATGAGAGGAATAAGGACCCCCCGGTTTATGAGTTACCTTTAGGGTTTCTAGCCCACTCAAAGCAAAGCAGAACTAAATGAGATAGGCTAGAAAAGTGCCCCCACCTCCAGCAAGGAGCTGTCTCCAGGCCAAAGTTTTCTGGCTACATTGTGTGTTAGGGAGTGGGAATAGGGAATCCCGCCCTGCAAACCTAAAGCAACACCTCACTGACCAGCAGAGGGATTCTGAGGCATTTCTCGTTCCCTGACTCCCTTCACTTCACAACCAGGACTTCAACATTCCCCGGAAGCTGGCCTGTCTCACCTCTTCTTCCCGAGTCAATCAGCTTCCTCCCTGCCCTGTCCTCTCCCACCCCCCTGCCACCCCAGCACACACACACACCAGGATTCTACAACACTCTCTGCTCAGCCTTATCCCCCTGCTTCTCCAGTAAATCCCAGCTCAGGCCACCCTGCCTCAGCCAGCCCATCTTGATGATGGATGCTGCCACCTTGAACCACCCTTCAATTGGCTCCTGGGTATCTGGAAACAACCACACGTTGCTTCTAGATACAACAAGCTTTCTTGTCCACAGAGCATACACACAGGGGAAAACAAAAACATGGCCTTTTAGATCATAGAGGTCTAGATTCAAATCCTGGCCTACCATTTATTAGTTGTGTAAACTTAAACACATAGATTAATTTCTCAGGACCGTGAATTCTTAATCTCTGTAGAGTAACACTTAAACTACATGATTAAATAACATCAGACAATCTAAGTAAGTACCATAGTGCCTGGCACATAGAAATGATGACAGTAAACATTCACTAAGCAATTACTGTGTGCCATGCACTGTTCTAAACACTATGTGTACTAACTCATCTAAATTCTCCCAACCACTCTATCAGGTAGACATTGTCATCATGCATTTGAAACATGAGGATATTGAGGTTCAAAGATGTTCAATGATTTCCCCAAGGTCCCACAGCAAGTGAATGGCAGAGCTGGGGTTTGAACCCAGGCATTCTTGCTCTAACCCTGACCACTACGCTAAACTTTCAGTGTGTGCTGCTCACTCCTGATGCTCAGCCAGGTTTAGGTACACAGTAAGCACTTCATGGTGCCTTGTGCAACTGATTAAGACTCGACTCCATAGAGCTGTCCTGAAAAGAACAGAATTGAATTGCCTCAGAAGGTCCAACTGGCTTTCCCTAAATGACCAGTGGAGCTGGGAACAAAACCCAGGCCAAGCTTTGATCAAGGTGACCTGGGCACACGCAGACCCACAGGGAAGTGGGGTACTCATGAGCTTCTGCCAGCTCTTCTATCTCATGACCAGGCACTATTCTGGAAGTCTTCGTTTCCCACCCAGTGGTTCTGGGGGTTTAGGGTGATGATATGAGCAGGGGGTGGAGGCAGAAAGGGAGGCAATGGGGGAAGAGTAAGTGCTTAAACCAACATATTTTATTCTTTATTTAGGCCTCCACGTCCCAAGCCAATCTCAGCTAACACCAGGTAGGCCTAACCTACACTTCCAGGATGAATGCATTTAGTGAACTTCCAATAAGCTTAGCCTGGAAAGGATGTTTTTCCTCAAGCACAAAGTCTCATGGAGGTCCAAGGAAGCAGATAAGGTCTAGAGCAGTAGTTTCCCACCATTTGTATGCATCACAATTACCCACGTGGAGTCTCAAGCCCAACCCAAGATTCTAATCCATGGTTCTGGGGCCAGGCCCAGGAATCTGCATGTTTAACAAGCCCCTCCCAGCTGGGGGTGCTGCCTAGGGCACCACACTTGGAGACTCACTGGCCTCAGATGATTCTCAACCGTAACTGGGCATCAGAATCATGGAGGAAAGTGGTTCAAAGTACAGATGCCTGCACCATCCCACACCAACTGCAATGAATATCCAGAAGCAGAGCCGAGAAATCCGAATTGTCTCAAGCACTGAAGTGATTCTGACACTCAAGAAGGCTTGAGAGCCATACCTCTAACCTAACATTCAGGGGATCTGGGCTCTGATCTTGACTAAAGCACAAAGTCACAGGCTACTGGTGGGGACACCGAGGCCAGTTTGGTAGAGTAACTTGCCAAAAGTCATATGAATACAACTTGTTCCATGTCAGAAGCTTTAGGCAATGTGGGTTTTAAGACCCAAGTTACAGTCCACCTCTTCACTGAGACAGCCTGATTATGAGGGCACAAGGCAATGGGTCCAATAGACCCACCTATTATTCAATAACCAATTCTACCCTGCCTCAAAGAATGTCAATGCAAGGCTTTGGCACAAATGAACAGAACCAGAGCCACTTCTTTTCCAAGAAGGAGACGGCTTCTTTTTCAGGTCACTACTATGGACAAATTGTTTCCTACCTCCCACACTGAACATAAATGCAATCCTCCAATTTGTGCTCAGACCCTAGATTATCCTGAAAATCACTGAACTGTTGACTTTTAAAGCAAATGGAAACCTCAGAGGTCATCTGGTCTACCCTATACCTGGAAAGCCAGGTATGACAGCCAGGATGGGAGGCGGAGCAGAATTGAACCAGTTGAATAAGAAGCTAAATATTGCATAAGGCTCTTGGAAAACCCCCAAAACTCTTCATCCGTAAGAAGAGATCCCACATCCCCCAGCAGATGGGCAGCCGGTAGGAGCCTTTCATCCACCCAACTCCAGTGTCTTCCTGTTGTGTTTGCTTTATGAGGTCCATAGCGTTATTTTGCTTGGTGATTTTTTCTTGGAAACTAAGTATACGATGAATTTCCTCTTGTTGTGAATCTCAGAAGTCCAACGGGATGACTGGGCCCTAAGCCAGTGTTAGAAAATCTGTTCCTTCCAGCAAGACACAGAAGACCTTTTGCTGGACTTGGATTTTTGCTCTCCAAGACTGTTTTGTTTGCTGTGGTTTCCCTAGTACCTAGCACAGCGTCTGACTTATGGCAGGTAGTCCACACGTACATGTTGAGTAAATAAATGAATGAGCATGTGAATGAATAAAAGAATGCACATAATCTCAGGACTAGGAAGGTCAGAGAAAGCTTCCGTGGCAGAGCTACATTTAAGCCTTCCTCAAAAGAAACACCTTGCTCCCAAGTGTAAAACTTCTCAGAAACCCTACTATTCCTCTCAGCCATGACTCTCATCTTTAAGGACCACTGGGCTGTGAACAAGTTCTGGAAATTCTGCATTGCTAGGCACTGCCATTTACTAAGGGCAGAAGAAAACCAGTGAGCAATTCTCCATGCCTCCTCACCAAATTGTCTGGGCCTCATCATAAAATGAGTATCTGAGTGCAGTATTTGGGAGAATGAGAAGTCCTCTGCAGGGGCTGGGCTGGGCTTGCGGAGAAGGGAGAGGTCATATAGTCAGCTGTTCCCAGCTGTCTCTCCCTAATCTGCCAGAGGGCTTAGGCCTATATCACAAGAATTATCTCTCTCTCTATTTTTTTTTTTTTTTTTTTTTTTTTTTGAGCCAGAGTTCTGCTCTTGTTGCCCAGGCTGGAGTGCACTGGCGTGATCTTGGCTCACTTCAACCTCCACCTCCCGGGTTCAAGCGAGTCTCCTGCCTCAGCCTCCCGAGTAGCTGGGATTACAGACATGTGCCACCACGCCCGGCTAATTTTGTATTTTTAGTAGAGATGGGGTTTCTCCATGTTGGTCAGGCTGGTCTCAAACTCCTGACCTCAGGTGATCCGCCCTCCTTGGCCTCCCAAAGTGCTGGGATTACAGGTGTGAGCCACCGCGCCCAGCCAAGAGTTATCTCTTAATTAGACCCCACTTTGCACTGATCCTCCATTGTCTGTTCACAAGATGTGACTTTTCCTTCTCAGGATTTGAACTTCCTTCTGAGTGACCCCCATGTTTCTACCTCCCCTGCAGTCATTCCTCAGTCATTCCTTGCCCACACCCTCACCCCCATGCAAATCTAGCCACAAAGCTGGAGCTTCCCTACTGAATGAGGATGGGGAAACCCAGCAGCAAAGTGAGATGTCCCACTTTGGGAGGCCAAGGCAGGCAGATCATGAAGTCAGGAGTTCAAGACCAGCCTGGACAACATTGTGAAACCCCATCTCTACTAAAAAATATAAAAATTAGCTGGACTTGGTGGCATGTGCCTGTAATCCTAGCTACTGGGGAGGCTGAGGCATGAGAATCGCCTGAAACCAGGAGGCAGAAGTTGCAGTGAG
This sequence comes from Homo sapiens, assembly GCF_000001405.40. Classification (NCBI taxonomy): domain Eukaryota; kingdom Metazoa; phylum Chordata; class Mammalia; order Primates; family Hominidae; genus Homo; species Homo sapiens. The sequence goes on along the minus strand of NC_000018.10, from coordinate 46,365,574 downwards.
CCAAGATCGCACCATTGCACTCCAGGCTGGGCGACAGAGCAAGCCTTGGTCTCAAAAACAAAACAACAAAAAAAAATTCAAGATCACAAAATGAGAAAGTCATCCAGCCAGACCTCAGACTTGGTGCCCTGCATATCAAGAGCCAGATTCTTGTGAAGACATAGGTACATCTGTTCATTAGTGGAGAAAAGGCTCTTCCAGAGACTTCTAGAGACAGACATAGGTCATCCCAAAAAAGACCTCCTGGACTCGACCCTGCGTAACCCTGAGTTGGGGAGTGTAGGGTGGGGACCACTGACAGGGGGCGTGGGTTTCTGAAGAGCCCACATGGGAGCCTCAAGGTCTGAGCTTAGGCCACTCCCTGCCATCCATACCCCCTCCCCTTCAGCCAGGTTAAGTTCCAAAGAGCAACTCTACTTTCCCACCTCTAACAAGAAGGCAGGATGCTGCCTGGAGAGGACATGGCAGAGACGCAGGGAATGGTGATAAAGCAGGAATATCAGGAGAACCAGAGACTTATAGGGCATTAGAAGAAAGGGAACTCCCAGAGACCCCCAACCCCTCACTCTTCTCCTGTCACAGAGGGAGAAACAGACCTCTGAGAGTGTAGGAGAGACCCAGCTGGGACCAGAGGGCCAGCTCTCCTGAGACCTGGGTCAGGGCTGTTTTCTACCCTGAAGTTCCAGTAAAGCTGGCCAGAGTCAGCCGCCTGCTGAGGCCCCAAGCCTCCTGCCCAGAGAGCAGGAGCCCAGAGATATCCAGTGGACCTGACTCTTCTGCAGGTTCTATGACCTCGGTGGCCGTGCGATCCTCAGAAAAGGCCACCCTCCATCAGTATGTGAGCACGGATGGGCAGAGAGAGCCTCAGGACAGGAATGTCCCAAGAAGCCATGTGAATCACCAAAGGAGAGGCTGTGGTGCCTCCAGCCTCACTTTTGGCCACATCTGAAGAAAACAAAATCCAGCTATAAGCCAATCCTAAAATCCAGGCATCAGGCAGTAGGTGTGAAGGCTTTTCCAGTTAGAGGGGAGGTGGCCTGAAATGATATGTCTGGTAGTCACCTTGTCTGTCGGCATCACGAAGGGTTCTCTGGGGAGCCCACAAAATGTGTCCCTTTCCAGTTACTTTAGAATGCGTGTTCTACGACTTTAGAGCTTTTTTTTTTTTTAAGTTTCTTAGACCACACCAAAACATGTTTTGTTTAATGTTGTTAACTTCTGTGAATTTTTGACCCAAGCAAACTTTGGTTGGTAAAAAGTGCATAGGTGGAGGTGGGGAGGGCAGGAAGATCCCAGAAAACCTTTGTCCTCAGAAAAGCAGGTCAGGGGCCTGGCACAGTGGCTCATGGCTATAATCCCAGCACTTTGGGAGGCTGAGGCTTGCAGATCACTTGAAATCAGGAGTTCGAGACCAGCCTGGCCAACATGGAGAAATCCCAGTTCTATTAAAAACACAAAAATTAGCCGGACATGGTGGTCCCTGCCTATAATCCAAGCTACTCAGGAGGCTGACGCATGAGAACTGCTTGAACCCAGGAAGCAGAGGTTGCAGTGAACTGAGATTGCACCACTGCACTCTAGCCTGGGGGGCAGAGAGAGACTCTCTCTCTCTCAAAAAAAAAAAAAAAAGAAAAGAAAAAAGAAAAAAAAAGAAAAGAAAAAGAAAAGCAAGGTCAGGAAGCAGAGTCAGGGCCTCAGACCCACTGAAAGGTGACCCTGGAGGTCACACCCTCAACGGTGGCCCCTATGAATTCATGTGACCACCTCAATTCTGCTCAGAAAGTCCAAGGAGACCCAACCTTAAAAAGTATGTTTCCTGCCCTCAAGGAGCTTATAGTCAGCTGGGACTACAAGGCCAGCTCATTATAACGGTGAGAATCTTAGCTCCTCAAGCAGCCCATAAGTCTCCCATGGGCAGGGCTGTGACTTGACAGCTGCTCTCCTCCATGTCCCCTCCCCTGGGCCCGTGATGGGGCTGTACACTGAGTGGACATCAACCAGCACACAGGAGGGAGGTTTGCAGGGGTGAATCAGGGATCCAGAGACCACAGGGTGCATCCTGATTTGTGGATGTCTCAAGTGAAAGAGCCCTGAGGCCCTAGAGAAGCCAGGAACGGGCACTGTCTCCAGGCAGGCACATGCCCCTGATGGCCGGAGAACTGCAAAAAAGAGGAGCTCTGGCTGAGGGCACTGTGGTGTGTTCCTTTCGATATTTTTTAACATCTAAAATACAGCTGTCTCTTCTGCAGGGTAGAAGACCTGGCCTTTGCTTCCTCTGCAGCCAAAGGTGGTAGAAGAATTAAGAGTGCTGCTCATCTTCAGGGTCCCGTTCAAAGCCCAGAGAAGGAGGGATGTTCTTGGCTGACAACACAGTAAAGCCACATTCATTTAGACTCCAGTGATTTAGACTGTTTTGTCATTCCCATTTATTCAGTCTACAAGTACTTATTGAGCACTTATTATGTTCAGCACTGGGCCAGACAATGGGGATATAGCAGTGAACAAATCAGGCAAAACTCATGCCATTGAGAGCTTCCATTCTGGTAGCAGCAGAGGTTGGTCTGGTTTTAACTCTACACTTTTTCTGTGGGCGTGGAAAGATCTCTGTGGACTCCACACAAGAGCCCCGGGGTCTGTCTGATTCTTGGCCACTATCCCTCCCGGTGATTTTTCTTCCCCTTTAGAACTCAGTTTCCATATCTGAAAGTGGAAGGACTGAGTGAACACACCTCTAAGATTCCTCTTGGCTCTCGTATGTTGTGCTTCTAGAATTTAAGGAAGAGGACTAGAGGGAAGTGCAGAAAAGAGAAACTTGTCAAGCACTTTGAGCATGTGTACTTAAGTGCCATTCAACCTGATGTGGTTGTCGCAGGGCATTATTCTTTGTTCACTGAAGCAAGTTCCCAAGGTTTCACTGGCTAAGGCCAAGAAACCATATGTCTGGAAATAGCAAAGCTTTGAGGCTCTCATTAGTCAAAACGAGTGAGGCTTGGCTGTGCCACTATCTATTTGGGTGGCTTCTATGCTGTTCTTCAGGGTTTGCAGGGACAGAAAACCCCTGAGTGACAGAGAGGGCTTCCAGGATGAAATTCTTGGCTTTGCTAATGAGTGAGCCAAACCCCTTGGGGCGCGCACACACTCCTCCCCTCAACACACTCTCCCCTCAACCACTGGGGTAAAGCAGGCATCTTATTAAAAGTCTGTTATTCCTTTTAGGGGTGTCCTGAAACACTCACCTAGCAGGCCCTGAGACAGTAAACCGAGGCCTAAGAGTCTCAGTTAGAAACCAGCTTTCTTGCAAAACCCCTGAAGGAAAACCCTGCCTCCCCAAGAATCCATCCCAAAGGCCTGCTAGGGCCCACTTCATGGCCTGGTGGAGAAAAGATTGACCTTGGAGGGGACAGCGACTGCCCCTTGACTCATTTGTCACCTTGGGCCTGCCCCTAAGCCCAGAGCTTGGGCACCCCATTACACTCCCATATGAGTGGGGCTTGGGGTGGCAGGGGGGCCTTTGGCAGGCTAACTCCAGCCCAATTCAAGCTCCATTTTGCTTGCCATCTGTAAATGCCTTTGAAATCCTCAGGGATATAAATGAGCTATTATCTTCAATGCTGCCCTATTTCTTAATTTCTGTAAGTGGGGAAACGGGGCATGAAGTAGATAATAGGATCATGGAAATTTGAGCTGAAAAGGATCTTCCAGAGCATATCACCTAACCTCCTCATTTGCTAGTGCAGGAAGCTAAGGTCAGTGGGGATCAGAGTCTCATTCACTCAGGAGCACACAGCCAGCAACAATGGGTGGTGACCTGCAGCAGCTCCTGGCTCCCGCCTGGGGAGGGGATAGGACTTGGTGCCCAGGCCAGTGCCCTGCACCTTGAGTAGGGTAGGCTCTTCCTCAGACAGCCAGCTTGCTTCATGCTCCTGCCATAATCATGTATATTGAATGATAGTACTGAGAAGAACATTAACAAGGATCAAGAGGACCAAATGGAATAAGCAAGACCATCTTTGAAAGCATCCAAAAGAAACTGTGGAGGGGAACCGTGTGGCCGGGCACAGGGGAGAGGAAGCCTTGCTTTGCACTGTGGCACTGTCTGCCTTTTTTTGGACACTGGATCATGTGCCTGCCATACTCAGTTAAATATTAATGTACATATATGCTGCATATGTACAGCAGATCGACACAGATATATACACAGACATATGTAATGATTTCTATATCATTATAAACATATGGAAGTAATATGTTCTTTTTCAGAAGAGCAAGGCTACAGGGATTCAGTTGAAATTTCACTTTGGAGAGCAAGGTTGAGAGTTCATCTTTGTCTTTTGTTTTCCCATCTGGAGCTGGGGTGAAGCCCAGCTTAGAGCACCCAAAGGCTCTAAGGAGTTTCAAAAGGTATTACTAGAAAAGACTCAGTATGGTGTCAAGGGGTTAAAAAAATTTTTTTACACTGGGCATCAGGAAAAATGTGCTCACAGCCCAGTTAGCAGCGTGATCTTGGGCAAGTTCCCAGCTGCTCACTGAGAGGTTAGCTGGAGTCTTAAACCTTTTCCACTTGCAGAAAAGGTAATGTTTCAGTTCCTTCAAGTGCAGTGTTCTGTGGACGTCCACTTGGAAAGCTTGGGACAGCTATGGAAAGTCACTTGCTGTGGGGCTGACGCCTGGCCTCTGGGCCAAAGCTCCTCCACAGCTTTGTCTCCCCAGGAGTTCCGCTGCTGAACACCCCAAGGCTGAACAGTGTTTAGGTGGGCCCTGTGACCCTGCCTGGTGCTACCTAGGTAGGATTCCACATACCCGCCTCGTGTGCCCAGGCGTATTAGAGGGCAAGGGGGGCCTGCAGGAAGGAGGTGGTGAAGGCAGGCCAGGGGCAGGGCAGGGTTCTCCCATAGCACCCCATCCCCTGGCCCCCAGGGAAGAGCTGACTGATTTACTAATGCAGGGGTCTTTCGCCTGGGGCTGCCTGGTGCTTCAGCCCCAAAAGAGGAGAGGAGAAGAGAGAGGGAAAGTCTGGAAGGCAGGGGTTGCCATGGAAATGTCTTTCAGAAAAGGACACAAGCAACCTGGGCCTCCAGGGTCTGTTTGTAAATGAGGTGTTTGGAATTCCAATTGCATTTTCCTCAGGAACCCTGAGTTCCCAGGATAGCCCACAGAGGCAGTAAAACTGCTTGTCCAGCAGGGCCTACCCTCCAATTTTGAGCACCATTGTGGGGAGCACCTGCACTGTTGCAGGGGAGCACCCTCTGTGTTCCTCCATGGCTGGCCACAAACACATGATACCCCGCCTCTGTGCCCAGCAGCAGGAGTGAAGACCTCCAACACCATCAGCACCCTTGGTGGAGACTGAGGGCCCCATGCGGGAGAGGAGGAAGCCCTTGAATGAACCACACTGCCAGGAGAGAGGACAGCTCTGTTTGGAGGAGTGAGCTGGAGGACCTTCAATGGGGCCATTGCATGGACTTGTGATGCGTCTCAGGGTATTCTGGACCTAGAGTGCTCCTCATCAACTGAAACACTGGACATGATGACTATGGTAGAGACCTTGAGATGTCTCCCAATATCCTTCTTCCTCCCATTCTTAGCTGACACATGGATATCTGGAATAAAGATCCTTTTCCAGGTTCCCTTGCAGCTAAGTGTGATCCTGTGACTAAAATCTGTCCATTCAGATTTAAGTGAAAATGTCACGTGCAATTTCTAGGAAGTGCCTTAGTTTCATAAGGCACTCCCATCCCATCCTCTGGCTGGAATGCAGACTCAAGGGCTGGAGAGTTAGCAGCCATCTTGGGCCATGTATGACTTTGAAAAGGGAAGTTGTGAATGGCAGAGCAATAAGTAGAAGGAGCCTGGGTCTTTGCCACTGAGGGGCACCACACCAGCCCTGGATTGCTACCTCCAGACCTCTTCCTGAACATGTGACAGAAATAAACTGCAGATTTTAAACAAAACAGAATCCTAGCTCATACATGGGCTTTCAGGTGGAGTCCATGGCTCTCAGGCCTCAGTTCTTACATTCTCTTGGCTCTCTATCTCCAGCCCCACCAGTCAGCTTGCTATTCCCAGGACAAGCCATGAGCCCTGGCCTCTAAGATGCTACTCCCTCTGCTGAGAACCCTTTTTTCTACCTGGCTAACTGCTCATCAGTGGTCAGGTCCCCTCCATGTGCCACCTGCTCAGGAGGCCTTTGCCTGACCCTGGAACCAGCTGAAATCCCAGCTGTGCCTCCCCACAGCTGCCTGCACACTCCCTTTGTCACGTTCATCGTTTTGTGAACTGCTTACATAAGATCCCTCTCTCCCAGCAGACAGACCATAACCCCACAGGCAGGGAACAGCCCACCTGGCCCACCCTGAACCCCTGGGCCTGGCATCATGCAGAAATTGCCATGTGGAAACTCAGATTGTCAGACTGAATTGAATTGCATTGTTCTAGCTTCTAACGTCTTCCTCTCATGGGAGCCCTATGAAGGAAGTGGATGTTACTGCCTCTCCTTTTACGGGGAGGACAACTGAGTCCTGGGAGGGGGAAGTGACTTGCCCAAGCTTTGTGTCTGCTCAGTGTCAGGACTCGAGCCTAGCTCTCCTGACCCACACAGTGGCATGGACAAAGGGGTAGGGGACCTGGGGCTCTGTGGGGACAAGAGTCCGGGGGTGTGACTGAGAGAGTCTCTCCTCTCACTGTGGTCTTTAAGTCAAAAGCACATTTCTTGTGAGGCTGCTCTGAGCAGGCCCTCCTCTAGGCACCGGGACACAGTGATGACCAAGGCGTGTGTCACTCTGCCCATGGGTTTCTCCCTGAGCATGTGAGAAGGAAGGGGTGAGAAGCTGGTCAGTGTAGGGACAAGAAGGAGAGGAAGGGGTGTTCCTGGGGGTCTGGAACCTGTCAGTAAGGGCCGGAGGCTCTGGGCTTTGGAGAGAGGGATCAGCTCATTCTACGAGCCTAGGTGACAGTCACCCCTCCTTTCTCCACAGCCACCACACCTGAAGGCCAGAGCTGCAGGAGTTGAGGAAGGTCACAGAGGGAGGCTGAGGCCACTCCAGAGCCCCACAGCTTCCTTCAGGGGAGGAGCAAGTGGGTTACCTTTCGGGTACGCTTCAGGCTTCAAAATTGCCGTGGCCTCATTTTACGTGATTCCCAGTCCCAGAGGGCAGCTCTGAGGTCCGCAGATCCTGTCCTATGGCTGGGTGTGCTGTGTACATTCCTGCCTCTGCTGTCCTTCACTCGTTCACTTCCTCACACTAGGCCCTGCTCCCCATGTACCTGGATTCTCTCAGACAGGGAGGCCTCCCCTTCCTGGAGCCCACTGCCCTGTCCACCCCAGCCTGCGCAAAACATGCCCTTTTCTCTGAACGCTTGCAGCCCTCACAGGGGGTCCAGCTCATGAGGCCTGCATGACTCATCCTAGCTGTGGTTTGAGTTGTGCCCCCTGAAAAGATAGGTTGATGTCCTAATCCCCAGTACCTGTGAGTGTGACCTTATTTGGAAACAGGGTCTTTGAAGATGTGATCAAGTTCAGATGAGGTCATACTGGATGAGTGTGGCCCTAATACAATGTCATGATAGGCCATGTGGAGACACTGAGACACTGTGACAACAGAGGCGGAGACTGGAGTGATGCGGCTACAAGCCAGGGAGCCCCAAGGACTGTGACTGCCAGCAACCCCCAGAAGAGAGGAGAGATGAGGAAGGAATCTTCCCTGGTGCCTTCAGAGGAGACGGCTGGCCCCGCGGACAGCTTGATTGCAGCCTTCTAGCCTCCAGCACTGTCAGAGAACACTTCTGTTGTCTAAAGCCACCCAGCGTGTGCTATTTTGTCACAGCAGCCACAGAAGCCAACAGACCCCTCATCGGAGGCAATTCCTGCCTCCCTAACTGGAGGGTGACTCCCAGGCATCTGGAGGCATCTTGCTGTCCTCTGTGCCCCAGGCCTCGAGCCCAGTGCCCCACAGAAAGAGATGATAGAGAGGGACTGGTGGCCTGACCAAGGGTCCTGAGACCCCCAGTGGTTCCTTCACAATCACCTGGGATTCTGCAAAGGAGTTCAAGAAATTCTCATCCCACCTCCACCTCTGCCAGCACAGCCCACCAAAATCAGGCCACACTGCTGTTTTCTTGCCTGACACCCTGTTCTTTATTTCTGATCCTCAGCACTTTTCACAATTTCATATTGACTTGTGGATCATTTGCTTACTCTCAGTTACCTCCACTAGATTCTAAGCTCCACAAAGGCAGGGACCACCTGGGCTCTGTTCACTACAGTCTAGGCCGTGGCTAGAGCAGTGCTTGTTACTTAATAAATGCTGGGTACTGACCACTGTTACCACTGGGGAAGAGACCTGGGTAGCAAGGGTGAGGTGGGAGGAACAGGAGAGAAACTTACTATTCAGCGAGGAGTCCTTCATATTGTTTATATTTTTCCTATGTGCATTCTGTCCTCTTTAATGATAAAACAACGAGTTCATACTTGAAATTCGCAAACACATAAGAATACAGATTCCTACCTCAGAAAGGTAGATCTGGTGTAGGGCCTGGGAATGTGGATTTTGCAAGCTCCTCAGGTAGCCCAAATGACAGGTGTGGGAGTTGGACAAAGCCACTTGTCCCCCACCTGAACTCAGCATTGCAATGCAGGGCACAGATCACGCCTTTCCAGCCGGGGCTCCATCTGGTTCCAGAGGAAGCCTTTTAACCTCTGGAGTTTCCGTTTTCCCTGAATGTAAAGCCTCTGTCTCTTGCACCATGCCTGAATAAGACCAACATCTAGAATTGAGGCAGGAAGCTGCGGGGAGAAGAGGTGACACGGTGGAAGGAGCAGATGACAACGCCATCAGAAGGGCTTTGGGGAGGTGGAGCCCTGGGAGAGGGTGCTAAGCCCCAGGCACCCTCTCAACCTTCAGCTGCCTGTGTCTGGGGCTGGACATGTGGGAACCCATGATGGAATCTGAATACTCCCTTCTGTGTGTTCAGAGTGAGTAGTTAGTCCCTGATCTGGAGGCAAGAAGTACGCATTCCGTGCCTGCCCAGGACAACAGAGGCAAGAATCAACCCCTGGGATCTGCAGGGCTCCCTCTCTCTCTGCCCTCAGGCTCAGGGCTCTGGTAAATATCACACTGACAGCAAGGCTCTTTCTGAGTGCCAGGCATAAAATAAGCACCTCCCCACCCCCACTCCAGCATCACCACCCTTTGACCCTGCGCTATTTTGCACCATGGCACATGTCACCTCTGATGTGCTACCTATTGGCCTGCTTGTTTGCTGTCTGCCTTCCCCACTAGAATGCAAGCTTCTTAAAATCAGGTGATTGTTCAATGCTGCATCCTCCGCACCTAGAACACACCTGGAACAGGGTCGGCTGGTCACGGATTGACATTTGCAGAATGAATGAATAAATGGACAATAAGGCAATTTGTTTTTCAGCTTCTGCATATCACAGAGTGAGGGCTTAATTAATACTTCAGTAGTCAATAAAGGAGAGAATAAGGGAAGAAAGGTGGAGATTTGGGCCAGGGGCCTGCATGGAGCCAAGTTCGTCCTGGCCGAGGGCTGAGGGCCACGGGAATGCTGCCAAGGACCAGACGGGTGGCTTGGCCCAGCAGCCCCATCCCTCAGCCATGCCTCCGCCCACTACAGAGGCCCATCTGCATCATCATCATCATCATCATCACCATTGTCGTCATCATCCACGGCAGTCACATACCCAACATGGCAGGGCCATACTGGATATTTAAGGGTCCTCCAGGCACAGGGGTGCCATGCAAGGCTTTGGATCATGTGCAAAGCTGGGTTTGGAGAAGGTCTTGAGGGGGCATGTGTGCACATGATGGGTGGAGAGATAGAGGGGAGCCACAGCTCTGCCAGGAAGCCAGGCAGGCACTGAGTTCAGGGGCAGCCAGGGGCACTTAGAGATTGTGGCTGCTGGAGGAGCAAGAAGAGAAGGAGAGGCCAGCATTCCTGGAGGTCCCCAAGTGTCTGGAAAAATAGGCGGTCCTCAGATAGGCACAGATGGGAGCTGGGACCGCTGGTTTGGGGAGGGAAGGAACATTGAGAAAGTCAGTGTTTTTTCTAGAATATTAGACTGGGGCACTTCTGTCCTTTCCAAGGCTTTCAGACAGCAAGGATCTCCTGTGATCCTCACCAGAGCCTAGAGAATGAGGCAGAAGGAGAATCCTCATCCCATAGAACCAGTGAGGAGCCCGAGGCCCTGAGAGAGAACCAGGCTGGTCCTCTTCAGAGGGACCTCGGGACCACTGCTCCCCTCAGATATGTTCATCCTCAGTTCTTGGGTGTGAGCTGCCATGTTAAAAAAAAATATTAAAACAGGCCGGGCCCGGTGGCTCATGCTTGTAATCTCAGCACTTTGGGATGCCGAAGTGGGTGGATAACCTGAGGTCAGGAGTTCCAGACCAACCTGGCCAACATGGTGAAACCCTGTCTCTACTAAAAAAAAAACAAAAATTAGCCAGGCATGGTGGCATGTTCCCGTAGTCCTAGCTACTCCGGAGGCTAAGGCAAGATAATTGCTTGAACCTGGGAGGTGGAGGCTGCAGTGAGCTGAGATTGTACCACTGCACTCCAGCCTGGGTGACAGAGTGAGACTCAGTCTCAAAAAATATGTATATATTAAAAGCAAAATGAAGGAGTGTGTCTATGGTGAAAAAGAAATCTAGGTCTCATAAATCACAAACTTGGCACTGATGTTTGTCTTTAAAGAGTCAATAGATTTACTTATAGGCCCCAAAGCTTTGTGTATGGAGCACACACAAAATGAATGTCAAATGTCAGCAGCCCTAAAAGGCCATCTATTGCACAGTGGACCATCGCTTTATGAACCACTAAAAGATTTTTAAGAGGCAATTAAACTAGGACAAACTGTCATTTATAAGGCGCATCCCAGTTTCCAAGATGTGAAATGTGAAAGCGCATGCATCTTAGCATGGTGCTGATGCTGTGGCTGGCAGGGAAGGTACAGTCTTTGAAAACTCTAGAGAGGATCGGGCAGAGACCCTGGAGATATTCTAACCAGCTCTCAAGTCTCTTGTAAAGGTTTCTCAAGTTCGGCCTCTAAGGGAGCTGAGAACTCCATCTTGTCAGCAGCACTACTGGGTTTGGGCGCCTATGGGCCCTGATCATGTGTTCTCCAATCCTGCACTTCGTGCATGAGGACCCCCCATCATTACAGCCTGAGTGTGTGCATGGGCCCTGGCAGTGTACAAACCTGCATCAGTTAATCACTCTAATGCTGGGAGGTGTGTCCAATTCTGCCCACACTTGTAGAGCTGAGCCCAGACCCCCAATCCCTGGCCTAGCAAAGCTCCCCTACATCACAGCTACCTCCTTCAAGAGGTGTCCCCTGTCTCTGGTGCTGGCATCTCTGCTAACATACATGCCCTTCCCTGGGCCTTCGCTGGACATAGGGACTGCAGTGTGGGAAGAAATGAAACAATTCATAAATTTGGGCAAAAGGAAGAGGAGAGAATTGGGGAGCCTGGTGAACGTTGTGGCTCCTGCCTTCCTGGTTTAGAGTGAGAGTGGAGACTGAGATGTGGGGAGCTTGTCTTCTCCCCAGCTGAATGATCTTGGCCAAGTCCCCGTAAAATGAGGGGGTGAGCTAAATATCTTTGGGGTCCTTTCCAGGCTTCCAATAAAACCCTTAGAGCTGGGTCTTGGTGAATGGGAGGCAGAGTGACCTAGGGCCCAGCCAGGCCACCCCACCACAAGGCCCCGCTACTCCATCTCCCAACTCCAGGTCTCTGGGTCCTTGACATGGGCTGTCTGTATCTGGTTATCTCTTCTGGAGGGCCCGTTTCCTTTCCCTTCTCAGATCAAGGATCCGAGGCAGCAGCATGGGAGGGGGCCACAACGCTGTGGGAAGGAGCCAGAGTCCTGGCCCCCTGCCTACCAGCAGCATGCGTCTCCAGGGCCCCGTCACTCCCACTCTCTGACTTTCAGAGTCCTCCCACACACTTCCATTTGTAGAGGGATGGAGTGGGATTAAGGGTTTTTAGGTAACATCCCTTACCAGTGACAGTGGGGTAGCGGACGGGGAGCAAACTAGCATTCATTGAGTGCCTACGACCTGCCAGGCACCTGTGCTAAAAGCTACACAGATTTTCACTCCCACAGCAACCCTGTCAAGAGGTCACAGACCCTTGCTCTCACCTAGCAGCCTGACTCACGGCCCAGACATTGCACCTGGTGCTTTCCATGGACTCTGGCTGAATCTCCCCAACAATCCATGGAGGAGGTCACGATGACATCCCCGTCTCTCAGATGAGAAAAGTGAGGCACCAAGAGGTTAAATATTTTGCCCAAGGATGTGCAGCTTTCATTCAGTGTCTACTGTCCACCACACCCTGGGCTGAGCACTTCACAGACATCATCTCATTTTTAGATCTAACATTCTACTATAGTCTTTTGGATAAGATGGAAAATGCAAGCTAGTCATGAGACAGGAAGATTTGTAATGAGATGAGTAATCACATCCAATCGCCACAGGCCGGTGGTTTGACACCAACTTGGAGGATGGCTTCTCACTTCCTACCTTGGGGATGTCTTTGCCTATTTGGGTGAAGCCATGGAGGGCATGCTAGTCCCACCCACAGTGCCACTAATGCAAGAAGGGTAGACAAAGGAGGAGCTCCACCCAGGATCAATGTAAGACCTGACGTGTGGGTTCTAAGCACCAACTGAGGCAGAGATGACCAACTGAGTGCTCCCCCCATTATCTGTTCTCTCCTTCTACGGTAATGCAACCCCTAAATTCAGCTGGGCACATGGCCTTCAGTATATAAGACTTCCCAGCTTCCTTTACAGCTAAGGGTGGTTACGTGACCCAGTTTAGCCAATGGGGTGTGAGTGGGGGTGGCTTGTGCAGTGCTGTGTCATGCTCTTTCTAACCTTTCCCTTCTTCCTCCATCTTGATGCTTGGAAAGTGGATAAAGGTGTGAACCATCCTGGACCATGCAGAAAAGGGCCATATCCTAGGGAGGGTGGAGCAACAAGAGAGAAGGCACCTGAGTCCTTGATATTGAGCACCACTCTAGGCTGTTCTGAGAGTTGCTATCCCTTTAAGCCACCTTTATTTTGGATCTCTGTTACCACAGCCAAACTTACATCTGACCCAATAAACCTACTCCACTAGGCTGGGACATGAGAGTCTCCATAGCAGGTGTTATCAGATTTGGGAGCTCTGGTCCACATGAAATAAGCTTGGGACAGGATGATGTGTACCCAATATAGCCAGTGCAAACTGAGGCTACATTAACAAAAGTGTAGATTCTAGGTGGGGAAAGAGTCTGATGGAGTCCATACTGGCTGCCTTCCCATTTTCTGGGCTTTGACCAGCTGGAGTTCATCAAGGTGAACCTCCTGGATAGGACCCAAGGCCCCCAAGGAGGAGGGGAGCCTGGAGGGTTCCCAAATGTCTCCAGCAGAGCCCTGCAAAGGCTGTCCAGGGCCAATGGTGGGGAAAGGAAGGTCAAGGCCTGGGAGGTAGAGGACAGGGCTGCCATCCTGGGAGTGACAGGGTCTGCCAGGCCACCAGGGCAGGAAGACTCCATTGCATTCTGAAGGCTATTCACTCCAGAGGCTCCCAGGAAATATACCCACCCCTAGGAGAAAAACTGCGTAGATGCACGGTGCAGGAGGACCTCTTTATCACCTCACATTCTTGGTATCCCATCCCAACACACACCAATAGATTTACCGTTTGCTGAGGCTGCAATGTTTGTGCGCAGTGGATTGACGTAGCCAGGCCCTGCCGCCACGGTGGGACACTGCCTCAGGTCATGGAAAGAGCATGAGCTTGGGGTCCAAGCTGGACTTAAACCTAGGCCTCTGTTTCCAGGCGATGTAACTGAGAACTGTCTAAGTTATCTTTCAGTGGGGTTTCATAAAAAAGTAACTCAAAGATCAACATCAGAGGACAAAGAGATGATGCCTATAAAGCCCCTGATGTGCCCCTCATGAGCGGATATTTCTGTCCTGCTTAGCAGGAAGGGGCTGGGCTTAGCAGGAAGGGGCTGGGCTGCTGAGGGAGGACAATGGCAGGGCGGCTCTGCAGGTGCAAGGAGACAGCCTTAGCAAACCTTACCATTTGGCTCAAGGACCCAATCTCTTTAGCTTTTTGCTCCAGGTCTATTATTTGCCAGCTCTTGATCTTGTCTTTTTCTGCTCAGATATCCACGGAAGGGACGCCTTTGCTTGGAACTAGGGGCACCTGGAGGGAACTGCTCCAGCCCATCTCACAGCCCATCCCTGCCCCCAGCCCTCAAACTTCAGACTGGAGGGAAGTCCCGAGCTCCACTCACAGAGGTGGTGACTCTGTAGGGCTAGGTCATCTGTATTTTAACAAGCTTCCAGATGATTCTAATTTAGTGTCGACTCCAGTGGGAAGCTCCTTGGCAGGGTGATCTTCCAGGGCCTCCTCCCAGCAAAGAAGATTGTGCATCCCTGCCTCCCTCCCGGGCTCTGCAGACTGGCATACCTGCCAGGGAGCCCCTCTGCCACACGTGAGCTCTGGGGTCTGCCCGCTAGGGCAGCTCCCAGCCCTCTGGTCTCAGCGCTGCTGGCGTCTGCCATGATTTATGGCTGCACCTCCTGCACACACGCCAGGGGCAGAGGGACTCAGCACACTGTTCACAAATTAAACCCGGCCCTCTTCTCCTCCCAGGTAATGGGCCCATCTGATGATGAAAGAGCTTATAAACAGCTATCGTCAAATTAATCTCTATGTCAGAGATATAATATTGGCCGTAAATAAGACTGAGTGTGCCTGGCTCGCCAGCTTGTTAGGACACTTTATAAAGCAGAACAGTGACATTAGTATCATATGATCTCTTTCATTCCCCCAGTGTGACAGCTGAGCACTAGCTAAGGAGTCTCTCAGCTACTGGTGACCTCAGCCAGGTGTCAGTGCCACCACCGAGCGTGGCAGGAGGAACGCCAGCAGAGAGCTTCTGGCCATTTCCTGGCCCTGCTGCTTCTTCCTCCACCTCTACCCAAATGTTGCTGTAACTGCTGCAGGGGTTCTTGGGGTTGGGGGCGCTCCTGACCATGCTTGCCCCTCTTGACACCCCTCGTGTGACCCCCATACCTCAGCGCTCCCTTCTCTCATGCTCTACTGACATGGACCTCACGCTTCCATCCCAGCTGAAGACTCAACGCCTCCAGGAAGCCCTCCCAGGCCACATGGCATCCAAACAGAGCTTTGTGATGATTGTTTTCTCCATCATAGTGGGGAGCACACCAAATGTGGCCTGGTATCAAAGGCCCAGGCTCTGCGGCTGGCCTGCAGATGTGGACACACGCATACGCATGGTGTTTTCCTAGATAAGGCCTGCATCTCCTGTTGAAATATTGTTTGAATTCAGCGATGGTGGGGTAGGGGCTTCATAGGGGCACAGGTGACATGTCAGAGAAAAGAAGGGGAAGGCAGTACCTTCTGGAAACATTTAAGCCTGTATTTCTCTGGGTATGTATCATGGGGTATGCATGTGTGTACATGTATGTGAGTGGTGAGTGGTATGAGTCTGTGCATGTATTGGCATGTGGAACATGGGTGTGTATATGTACTGTATATTCTCATCTAATACAGATACGTACGTGTAAATGAATGCGTGCTGCTGTTATAACTGTATGTGAACTGTGGATGAATGTGTAAATGCATATTGCATGGGGCCCATAGAGGGATGGGCATGTGTCAGGGTGACCATCTGGGTGCACGATGATGTGAGCATCAGGTGCTGGGTGGATCGTGTGCAGCGTGTCAAATGTAGCTGTGGGTTACTGGGCAAGGGGTGCCCAACTAGATAGGCAAGAAACTCCACTTCAAGGAATCTGGACAAGGTCAAAAATGTAAGACAGAAGGTGGGAAGGAAGGCCCTAAGCTGAATAGGGCTTTGGCACAAGGCAAGCACCCCCAGTGGCCAAGAGCCCACTCCAGAACTGTGACCACTGGCAGCTTCCCCTGGCTGGCCAGCAAAAATGCCACTGGGAATGAGAGGCCAGCTCACCGCTGACCTCCCTCTAGAGTTCTCTAGAGTAGGTGCTATGACTTGAATGTTTGTGTCCTCTCAAAATTTATATGTTGAATCTTAACCCCCAAGATGATGGTGTTAAAAGATGGGGTCTTCGAGAAGTGATTCGATTCCAAGAGTGAAGCGCTCATGAATGGAATTAGTGCCGTTATAAAAGAGGCCCCAGAGGAGTCCCTCTCACCATCTGCCATGCAAGGTTACAGCAAAAAAACAGCCATCTAGGAAGTGGACCCTCACCCGCAACAAACCTGCTGGCACCTTGAGCTTGGATTCCCAGCCTCCAGTACACCGGGAAACAAACTTCTGTTATTTATAAGCCACCCAGTCTATGGCATTTTGTTACTGCAGTCCAAATGTGCTAAGATAGTGGGAAAAGATGGCACTCTGGGATGAAGACTATGGTGGGAAGTAATTCAGGCAGTCACCAATCCATGAGTTCCCTTTTATGGCCTTTTTCTCAGTCTCCCTACCTCCACAGTATAAGGGAGTTGCTTCTGGCCAGTCTTGAGCTAGATGACCCAGTTCCCAGGCTAGCATTCCCAAACTGTGCTCCATGCAACCAAGTTCAAGGTATGCTTCTAGAAATCACACACACACACACACACACACACACACACACACACACACACACACAGAAAGAGAGAGAGAGAGTTCTGTGGTCAGATAGTTTTGGGAAATGCTGCTAAAGCAAAACCAAAGGGCTCTCTTGGTTGCAGGACTTACCAGGGACTTTAATTTGCTAATACGCACACCGACTCTCCAAGACTGGGATATAGTGTGTAGTATTTCCAAATTGTTGGAATATGTAACCTTTCTGCAGAAACAACTTTTAACAGCTCAAGAGGCCCCAGTGCTTGCTTGGACACTGTGGAAAATGCTGCCCTAAGCCCCTACTTCAAGGATCAGTCCCACCCCTGTGTCTTCCAGGAGGTCTCCCAGATACCACACCACTCTGCTCTTTTCTCTGAAGTTTCCCACCCTCCCAGCAGTAGCCCATGGTACCTCTTCCTGTGGAGGTAACTGTCCCAGCATTTCTTCACCAGGGTTTGTTGAAACTCCTACCTCACTTTCTTGTACCCTCAGCCCTTAGCTCAGGACACACAGAGGTTCTGTGCACTTTATTCTTGACAAAAGACAATCAACCACCAGCAACGCTGGCCAATAGGCAAAGCTGCCATGTTGACCAGGAGGGCCAACAAAGCCTTAGCTTCCCTGCATGCCATCAGTCCCCCAGCTCCCTGTCCCAGTGACCCCTCTGCATGACTCTCCTTCTCAGCCTGCCCTTCCCCTCCCCTCACCCCCCCCAGCCCCTTGGCCCACAACGCCCTCACCCCACCCCTTCCTGGGCAACCAGTTCCTTTAAGACTCACCCAGGCATCAGCTCCCCCAGGCATTGCCCTCCCCAGGATGTCTGCCGCAGGCTAAGAGAACACCCAGCACATACCTTAGGGCCATGCTGTTCCTGCGTCTGTCTGTTTCCCACGAGGTTCAGTATTTTTAAGGCAGGCAAAGTGCTTAGGAGGGTGCCTGGCACAGAGTAAGTGCTACGTGAGCATCTGCTACTGCCCTTATGGTTATTATTATTATCCTTGTGTCCCCCATGCCTGCACGGGGCCTGGTCCAACACAGGTGCTCAGTGGGTATGTGTTAGATGAGCTGAACAAATCCATGATCAAATCTGAGCCTCACTATCACCCTGCCGGGGGACTTGCTGTAATTATTCCCATTTTACAGATAAGAACACTGAGGCTCAGTTTCCCCCTTCCTTTTATTTCCCTTATAAAATTCAAAGTGCCTCCTAGGAGCAGGCAGGGGGACTCTGTGCATGGCAACTCCCTAGCAGATAGCCATATAGAACAATTAGTGTAGCCCCTACTCTGTGCCAGGAGCCACTCACGGTGGGTACATTACATCCACCGTCTCGTTTAATCCAGATGAGGATTAAACTCACCTGGCAGGTAAGAATGAGTACCCTTTTCTGCAAAGAGCAGAACCAGTGCCCCAAGAGGGTTGCCCGCTTCAGAGGGAGGACACGAAGCCCCCAGCTCCCTCGAGCAGCGACCCCTCCACGTGACTCTCTTTCCAGGGGCGGCACGATGACCCATTGGAGCACTCAGGCAGCTCGGCTGGGCAGAGGGGCAGGAGAGGAGGCAGAGAATTTCAGCAGGATGGCCAGGGCCAGGGGATGGCAGGGAGGATGGAGACTGGAATGGGAGGGATGACAATGAAATGAGAGGGCCCGATGCTCCAGAAAAGAAAAAGAAAATTCAGACGAGGGTGACAGCCACAGGACTCTGACATTTACCTCTTGGATCAGATCTGGGCCTACATGGGAGAGGCGCAGGGAGCAGGGCTGACCCGATCACTCCCCAAGGCAGCAGAGCTACAGCTCTTCCTCCTCGGGGAACAGCTCCAGTCCTGCCTCCTCCGGGAGGCCCTCCTGATTTTCTCCAGGCCTCAGTGACCTCTCCCCATCCCGTGCGCTAAGATATCTCCCTGCTAGGCCACACTTTCTGGCCAGCATGACCACTGTTTGGCCATTCTTGTTGCCCATTCTCCACCCACATCAGGAGTGTTCGGGGGTCTCCCCAGTTAGGCTACAGGTCACAGGCTGTCTGTGCCAAAGCAGGTTCTCAGTAACTGCTTACACAATTAAGCTGAAATATGCCCAGCCCTTCCCTGACTGCCCAAGGGCCTGCTTTGCACTCCCCTAAGACCCCTAAAACTGTCCCAGGCCTGAACAAGCAGAGGTGTGTTTGCATGGGGGAAGTGGGGTGTGTGGTGGGAGTTGGGAAATGGCCATCTTTTCTAAACACTTCCCAGGATTTCGGGTGTCTCGTACTTTATATGAGTGAGAACTCTCTTTCATCCTCACCACTCTGTGACACTGGTATTTACATCAATTATTTCCATTTTTTTAGAAGAGACTGAGGCTCAGAGAGGGCCAAAGTCCCGCAGCTGGTAGGTGGTCAAGCTAAAGACTGCCTGATGGCAAAATCTGTGTATTCTTTGCTACAGCTTAGTTTCCCATCCCCTCGGCCCCCAAGAAGTCCCAGCAAACACAGCCCTTAACCTGCCTGGGAGGAGGCCCTAAACCCAAGGGAGCTCTTAGTTTCTGTTTCGGGTGATTTAAAAGTTTTGGAAATAGAAAGTAGTGATGTTCGCACAGTACTGTGAATGTACGTAATGCCACTGAATTGTAGTACACTTTTAAATGGTTGAAACAGCAGACTTTATGCTGTGTATGTTTTACCACAATAAAGAGTCCTGTGCCCCCCTCAGAAGATCCCCTTCCCACCCACTGGTGGGGTTCTCTCCGTCTCCTGGCCTCCCCTCTCAGGCTCTGGTTCCTAGGCCTGGCACACTTGAGGATCTGCCACCATGTTGAAATGCCATCCCTTCTCTCTCTGCCCAGTTAAACCCAAGCTGTCCTCAAGCCTCACCCAGTCATGCATCCCACACAGCACCCCATGGCTGCCATAGCTCGTGCCACTTACAAATGGCATTGAGTCAAAACACAAAACGTCCACCAGCCCTCAGAGTCGAGAAACCGAGTTCCAATCCTGACTAGAGCTCCAAGAGCCAGCTCTGACTCTCCAGCCACTGAACAACTTGGGTCCCCAAGCTCTGGGAAGATGAGGCCTTGGGGTGACCCTGAAGAATTACTCTCACTCACCCCTGGATGGACCCAAATGCCAGAGGAGTGTATAGCCACCCCGGGAGTCGGGGCACAGCCTGGACTGACCTGCCTGAATGAAATGTCACCAAATTCTGTATTTGCATTCAAAGGTTTATGTAAAATTTGCAAATAGAGGTAGAAGAGTTGCTTGTTTAGTTTAATATAAACTTCATGTTTTCCCCAAATTGAGAGGTAAAACTAGAAACCGTGTCCATCCTGCAGCAGGCCCAAGCCCTGTTTTGCCCTAGGAGTCAAGACTCTGCTCTCTGCTGCGCACACGTCTAGTCCACCCCCCAGCCAGATGCTCCCCAGGTGCACCTGTGCAGGGATGGGGCCTGACTTAGGGAATACCCAGGAGATGGCTGAGAGACACCAGCTGAGAAGGCGGGAACCTGATGCCTCCCTCCTCCTTCCCACCACCTCTCTGCTGGGGGAAACTGAGACTTGTCAGGGACCTTCAGGATGGGACTGTGCCATCTCAGGTTGTCATCTGGCCTTCTCTCCCACCTCAATCAACACTCCCACCGCACCTGCCCGGGGAAGACCAAGCTGGGGGCTGGCTGCTGCCCCCTCACCCCAGATGACCTCTCTTCCCTCACCCCCTCCTTTAGTTCCTTTCCTCCTGGCAGGAAGAGGGCTGGACTCTTCAGGTTCCAGCGGGCGCAAACTTCCTTCCAGTTGTCCCTTGCTGCCCTATCCCTCTGGTTCCGTGGCAGGTGGCAGCCAGCAGCCCTGCATCGCAGGCACCCCTGCATCCCAGGCACCCCTGCCCCGAAGCAGCCTCAGCATCAGCTTGGCCAGAAGGAGCGAGGCAGGAGCTGCCTCCCAAGCTCAGCTTCCCTCCTGACCCAGCCCTTAGGGAGGGAGACAGGTCTGATGTCCCCCTCCGTCCTGAGGGACATGAGCCCACCAGAGGGGAGGCCTGGGCCACAGCCCACCACCCTGGTGTCCAAGATGAGGAACTCTGGAGAGTGCTGACAGAACCAAGCCAAGGCTCTGGCCCAGCTACCTCCGCTGTCTCTCTCCTCAGCACAGAGGTTGGGGACACACACACCTCTGGGCCATGCGAGGACCAGTTCTTTGGGCCCAAGTCCCCCACTGTCACTCCCTCACCTTCCCAGAATCTGACTTTTCAGGTCTGGTCAGAAGTCCCAAACGTCACAGGCAGAGGGGGCAGGTATGGTCCCTTCCCCTGAGTCCATGCCTGCCCCTCCAGGGAATGAGCCCACTGTGGATGCCGAGGTCCCCTGTGGAGGCCAAGGTCCCCTGGGGAAGGGCCATCCTTCGGCTTAAGGAAGGCCAGTGTCTCCACGCTGGGGGTGGGAGTGGGCACATTCTCCCATTAGCTCGAGGGAATTTGAGGAGTAGAAGCAGGTGTTCTAGGAGGTGGGTGGTCCTCGGGCACAGGCAGCCCGGAGGGGGCCCCTGAGCTTTTGAGGAGGGGGTGGCATGGGGGAGGAAGGCTGGAGCTAAGCAAGCTAGCTGGGGGCGGGGGGAGAAGGGGGAAGACATGGAGAGCGCCTCCACCCCTTCCCTCCCACTCAGCTTCAGAGGGGGCACAGCAGCTGTTCCAACGCTTCCTGCCCTTCCTTGAGACAGGTGTCCACTGAATTCTCACTTCCTCCCAGCCTCAGAGAGCTCCTCCACCCCCTCTCCACCTGCAGGCTGGTGCTGAGTCAGCAGCCGCCGCTTCCTTTCCTAGGTGCAGTGAGGCCAGCACTTAGATCTAAGGGATACAGTGTCGTCAGGGGAGGCCAACGTGGGTGACTGTCCCCCTCCTTCTCTGGCAGGGAGGACTTCCTGGAGGGCTCAGCTGCACACAGCGGCACACCCAGGCATGTTTCAAGGAAAGGACAGCAGGAGGAAGCAGCAGCATCCGGGGGAATGTCCCGCTCAGTGGCCCAACAAGAGCAGCAGCACCAGACTTATGCCAGCCTTGAGCTCGGGGTCAAGGAGCCCTGTGTCTGTGCTTCCAGGTTTAGCCCATGCCCTGGGTGGGCTACTAGCCAGGCAGGGGCAATTACTGCTCCCTTCCCACCTACTGCATGGTATGACCTGGCCAGTGGAAGTTCACGTGCCTACTGAGTCCTAAAGGTCATGTGGCTATCTTCCCAATGAAAAAGCAAAAAGGTGATAGGAATAGAAGCTCTTCTCATCACGAGGAAAGCACAGTGCTTTAGAGCAGGCAGGGGCAATCCAGTCAATTCTCTCCCTTGGCAGATAGGCAGTGAAGTCGCGGAGTACTCAGGCTTGGCCAAGACCTCACACGGGTAGTTACTGGCAGAGAGGCCATGAAGCCAGGACTATTTCCACTGTCCCACATGGCCTGTCTGAGTGCCACCACTATGAAGAATGTCAGTGATGATCTTCACTGTCGCCTTTGGCTGGCTTCTCGACTTGTTTCCTATGCATTACTTCATGTGACGAGTCCAGTAAGGCACAAGCCATAAGATGTGCCCATTTGACTGATGGGAAAACTGAGAATTGATGGAAGGAAACTAACCTGTTCAAGATCACAGTGGAAGTTTGTGGACCAGAATCTAGGTCTCAGAATAGTTTATTCAAGTCATATTCCTTTCCCCAGCCTTCTCTTATCTGCCTCCACTCCACTTATTTGGGCCTCTCGATGGAAGGGGCTGCTGGTGGGCAGAGAGGAGTGAGAGTTGTCACACCTGATCCACTCACTACCTCCTCCCCACATGGCTGGACAGCAGTCCAAGGGAGGTGGGTTAGAGCAGCACCAAGCGGCCTAGAACCTATGGCATTTTGAGTGCATGCGAAGCCAGCAAACTTGGCTGTTGAGCCACTATTCAAGTGGAATATTATGTAGCCATTAAAAGCAGTGCTTGTGAAAACAGCATAGCAGAATGTGAAAATGTCTGTGACATTAATGTAAAATAGGAAATAGAGAATGTAAAAAGTATACATATATTGTGTTTACAGCTCCACTCCCCCCCAAAAAACAACAAATAGATGAACAAAAATATGACTGCATTTCACTCACATGATCACAGAGGGATGGACTCCTATGAGGTTTTTTTTCCTTTGATTTATTTTCTAAACTTTCCAGAATGTGATTCTATCATCTCCATGAAACAACATAGATACAATTTGTTAAGGCTTCAAGAATTTCTAAGAAAAAATGCAAAACGTGCCCTCATCTTGGGGCTCAAGGCCTCAGGAAGGGGACACCTATTATTTCTGTGGAAATCAGGGTACAGACTCCACCTCCCTGGAGTTCCTCCAGCAAGCCAGCCAGGCCTGCTCTGAGACGGCATCTGAGGGTGAAAGGACTCTCCACCCTGGGTTCCAATGCCCTGTTCATTTCCCACTCTGGAGAGTTTCTGGTCCACCATGCACCCTCCCTGTCTCTCAAAGTCCCCTTTTGGGATGTGCAAGGCTCAGGGTTGGGGGTCTAGACCCCCTCGAAGCTTGGCAGGCCATTAGCTGGAAAGATCCTTTTCCACTGTGGACAAAGAGCCTAGCATTCAGAATCGGTCCCACCAGCTATGGCGGGAAAGCAGGTATTCCTTTCTCATTCTTGCCTTGGTCTTGATGAGGCTCCTTGCCGTATGCAGGCCATGGCAGGCAGTGCAGGGGGCCATAGTCGAGTGTCCAATCACCTAGGTTCCCCTTCTGGCTTAGCCATTTACTAGCTAGTCAGGAAGGGTGGCAAAGGCTTTCACCACTCTTGGCCTCAGCTTCCTCCTCTGATTCTCAATTAACTCCTCATGGGCTGTGCCAAGGAGGAAATAAGATAATGGAAGAGAGAGCTTTGAATTGCGAAAAAACCCCTCTTTGCAGACAGGACCAATCTTGAGATCAGAGCCCCTGTCCTTGTCCTCAGTCCCTACTCCCTGCCCTCTCCTCTCCCAATACGCTACTGGGTCGGGCTCCCTCCCGTTCCCCCTGCTCCCATGTGTAGGGATGGCCTTTTGCAAAGTAGTGGAGGCAAAGCTCCTGGTACTTGCCCACTTTGGGGTCTGTCTTTTCAAGAAAGACAAAGTTTGATAAAACTTGTTCCAACTCAGATTTCGGGATACTGATTGGTACAACTCCGGGAGGAGTTCATATTGTAAGAAAGCTTGCTCAAGGGGTGACCTAAGCCAGTAAAGACACATGTGAATAACATCACAAGGGTTTCAGGCATCAACAGAGAGTCTGGGGGGGACAAGTCATGTGAGTATGAGGAATTTTTATTGTTGAAGTTCATTTCCTACCCCAACCAGGAATCTGTATGTAAAGGACTAGAAGTCTCAACTCCCAGACGTTGCCACAATCCCCTTCCATCTGCCATTCTGGCGTCTGAAGTTCTATGTGCTTATCTGTACACTAAACTCAATTCTCACCAAAATGGACTGTTCCTCCCATGTTCCCCGTTTGTCTTCATGGTCTTCTACTCTCCAAAGCACCCCAAAGACCTCCTGCCCCTCAGCCCCTTCCACATAGACTCAATCCTGCTTACTCCACCTTACAGTAAACTCCCTGATGTGAGCCATCTTCTCCTCCCTACCCCCCACGCCTGTCCCACCCCCCTCCCTGACCTCAGCCCTTAGCCCCATCCCTCTGTCATCAGCTGCAGAATAAACTGTTTAAACAGCCCTCTCCCCTCAGAGCTCCCAAAGGCCAAAGAAGCCAGTCCAAACTCTCCAGAGGCCTTCAGAAACTGGCTTCAAAACCTCTTCAAGCCTTTTCTCCCACATTCTCCAGACCTCGTGCTGCTTAACTCCTAGAGTTGTGCTCTGAGGAGAGCCATTCAAAGACAGGACAATGATCCCGGTGCTCCCTGTAGGCCTGCACATGTGCCTCCGCCCCGCCATCAACACACACTCTTCCCTCCTGCTACGTACTTTCTGTTCTTGCCAAATCAGCAGAGCCACTGGCCTTGGCCAAAATCACTCATTCCCTCCACCTGGGGTGCTCTCTCCTCTTCCTCCTCCTCCCTCCTGTATACACACTACCCTTTGAGGCACATTGCAAACCCGCCTCTGCAGCAAGCTCACCTCTGACCTTATTTGATCCTCTGGCTAGCAAACACCTACAGTTGTGAAGGGAAGGGGCAACTGTCTAGCACATCCTAGGCACCTGCCGCGTGCCAGGTATCTTGTAACAGCTTAGACATAGCCTATCAGGTAGGTTTCATGGCAGTCATCAGTCATTGTTCAGAGGATGCTCAAAGCAGTGGCCTAAGATCACCCTTCCAGGTCAAGACTGGGCTAGGACTCAAACCCTGGACTGCTCCAAGCTCTTTTATCTCAGCAGTCAGGACGTTCTGCCATTCGTGTGGACATTTTGGCCCAGAACATCTTAGACAGTATCTGGTTTCCTAAGCATTCTTCCCTCAACCTCAGCATAAGCCCCAGGAGGGAGGCACTCAGGTCTCCATTTCTTCTGTATCCCCCTTAGCGCAGTGTTTGGCCCCAAGTAAGTATTCAATGAACACTCATTAACTAAATGAACAAACAAGTGAGTGAGTGAATGAATGAACAACTAAACACATGAAGTACAGGCATTGCATGAGGTTTGGCTATGGGGTTATAAGGGTTTGCTTTTGGTTCTTAAATCATCCTGAAAATCTGAGTCGTTCCAAGATAAGCCCTCCCCTTTCCCCCAATTCTCTTGGAAATATATTGGTTTATCTGTAGCTAAACCATACCAGAAACTAATAAATACTAATTCACATTCATACAATGTTAAGCCGGGAATTTTTACAAAGCTGTTTAGATCCATAGAGAAACTAAGGCACAAGTGTCTTGCAGATTTGTGTGACAGTTGTGGAGTAGGATTGAGGGAACCAAAGTCACACCCTGAATCAGGGTCAAGGACCTGTCGTCTCCTGCCCTTTGCTTCAGAAAAGGGGTCCCTGCTGCCCTTGGATCCAGCACAGAACTGTTGCTTCCGTAGCCTAAAAACCATTAAATCATCTAATGTGCTACTGCAGGATACTTATTTAAAGATGGGAAGGACAGGGTGGGGCAGGAGGTGAGAAAACTGCAAAAGGAAGATGAGTGGCCCAGGCCCTGACATTTGCACATTAGGGCCTCAACACTTTTGGTGGTCTTTTCCCTAAATTTGAGTAACTAATAGTATTTGCTGGTTTGCGGAAAATTATTATTAAAGAAAACTCATTAACTTAGTGGGTCTTTCTGATGCTAGTTTCAAGAGAGAAGTTCTCTTGTTCAGAAAGAAGAACTGTGTTCCATCTTATTACAAAGCCTATGACATAGGATTCACTGAACTGATGGGGTTTCCAAAATCCTGAAGTCAAGGTGCTAAAACAGACATGTGTCAGGTGGTTGAGAGAATAAATATAAAGAACAATGGCCTTGTAGTTCCTGAATCGTCCAGTCACAGGGAAAGTCTCCTTAATATGTAAGTGTTTAGTTCAGACAATCTGGGTCAAACATTAAATACACTGCATACATTGCTAAAACATGATTTCCCATTAACCCACAGCTTGCTATATTATTACTAGGTTACTAATCATCCTCAAAATGTATTCTCAAACAATTCTGACATACTTAACAAAAATTTAGAAAAATGAAATCCTGGAATTGGTTAAGATTGATCTAATGAGCCACTGTTCTCTAGGGCAAATATGAGAGTGATCACTCAATTCAGGGTAGTTTTATTATTGTTGAGGTTGGATTGGAGGCTTTCTAAGTCTCCTGTAAATGAAAATTTAAAAAGAAGAAAACGAAACAAACAAAATCTTCAGAGGACTAGCCTTGTAAACCTGTATCTCTCCTCTTGCACAAACTACAGCAGAGCCTCCACTGGGAACATCCATGTGTGTCCATGTGTCACAGTAAATCAGCTCAGCTTTCCCATCCAGGCTGGGAAGAGCACGAGAACAAAGAGGGCCAGAGCAGAGAGGGCAGCCATGGGGGGAGAGGAGAGTTGCATGAAGCCACAAAGAAGGCAAGGAAGCGCTGTGGTCAGGCAGGGGTGCACCCGCCAGCGAGGAGCAGGGTGAGCCGGGGAGTCAGTCAGCCCAGGGGAGCAAGGACAAGGCACATCGGCCAAAAGAGGAGCAGCTCCAAAATGATGACCCTTTGAAAGAACCAGGAATTTCTTTAATCAACTCATTTCCTCAGTGTCTAAAATGCCTCATTTAGCAAGGCTTGTTCTGGGCTGAAATTGAATAGGTGTAATTGACAAATGGCTGAATTTGGGTTCCACTCTGGGAAAAAAAATACCTCTCCACTGGCTTCTCCAGTGTAATTATGGAAAAAAAAAAGATATTTTAAGGGTTCTTTTTTCAACTCAATTTGGGGTTAGGTCCTGACTTTACTCCTGATTTCCCCTTCCCCCTTCCCCACCTCAACACACACACTTAGACAATGGCTGAGATCTTAGCTGTCTTTCTCTTAAGAGAGGCCCTAGGGCCGTAGATGAAGCAGCTGTCAGGAAACTAGGCTATAATCAGCTTTAACTGGCTCACAGCCTGCAGAGGGCACAGACCCTCTTATTCCTACAGTAACAGGTCCGCTGCTGGCCCTGGATAGGGGTGGGAGTGGCCTGAGTCAGCTTCTGTTTCAAACATCTTCCTTATCCAGGATCTCAATGCAAAACTTATATTGCAAGTCCTAAAAATTTAAATATGCACATAGAAGAGGGTACTTTAAAATTCCAGATCATGGCTTCAGCTACATGTAACATGTCACCCCCAGCATGATTTATAAGGACAGTAAATCAATGAGACAGCAAACAGAAAAGTTAAAACACAACTCAAAATGGGTTTTTAGGCGAGTCTGAAATGCTACAAGATTGCTAGTTAAGAACAGTATCCCTTTTCTCAACCTAAGTGTTATATCCCCTTCTCTTCACCAGCATCATAAACCCAGTGCCCATGTATCTTGAAAACTAAGATGAAATGTGGAAGCTACTGAGTACACAGGCGGCCAAAGGTAGGGGTTCTCTCTAGGCAGGTGAACTGTTTCAGTGTAACAGGACAACTGGCCCCTCCTATCGCTCCAGACATCTATTGTGAAAAGATATGGACTAAATGAGATTAAAGTCACCATATCTGTACCACAAAAAAAAAAAAGTAAAGTAAAAAGAAAAGGCATTCACTCAAATCTTACAATGGGAGGTGGGAGTGGTGGGTGGGTGAGGGTGGGGATAGAAAAGCAAGGGGGGAAAATCTAAACAGCAGGATACGACAATAAATGGGAAAACAGCAAGAGAAAAAGCACACTAGGTTAATATAGGAAAACTAGTTCTTTATTGAGAGATTGTATATTAGTATTAGTGGATTCTGTGTGTAACAATGTCGTCATGCACACGATACAAAAAAAAAGGCTGGGCCCACCATGCTTCGGAAGGGCAACAGAACAAAAGCAGCGTACAATGAGCAGATGGCCCGGGCTACACGACCACAGTACGTTTCAGCAGGGTAACATCTCTAACCGAGCGCTGTACATTGTCAACTGGGGGATGTAAAAAAATACAGATCATGCTTTAGTTTTAGTACAAGAAAAGGTGAAAAAGATACACAACCAAAAGGATATTTGATACAGAAAAAATTACCCACAAAATAAGAACAGGAAGTAATTCAGCACAGCAGAACACGCTACCCCTGTTTAATGGAAAACCATTTTGCTGGGATTCTTTTTTCTTTTCTTTTCTTTTTTCTCTTTCTTTTCAGATTGCCAAATGGCAGTCTGGGGAGGCTATTTGGGACTTTATTTTGGAAGGGCCCTCAAAGTAGGGGCCTTATTCTTTTATTATTGCTGCTGTTTTGTTTCAGTTTTCAAGCAGGTCTGGCTGGCGAGCAGCAGAAGGGAGCCGGCTGTTAAAGGGGCAGCTCTGAGGGCCAGGGCGGATGTCCAAAGATGCTCTTGACATTGTACAATTAAACAATTAAGACGCTATGGCCATGGCTCCCACTTAAGCCAGGGACCTTGGTGCACCAAGTTTTCAGAGGCTATGGGATAGCAGCAACTGTCATTTCATCAAAGATTTTTTTAATACATATGTTTAACATTTTTTGCCTCCAACTAAGTGCAATCTTCAGTTATGCCTGGGTGCTGCCAAGAAGCTAACTGATAGTCACCCAGATAACTGAAAAATGAAGTGCTGCAGCCTCTAAGCCAAGGCAAAAGGAATCCACTTAACAGGGATTTACAGTGCAATGTACTCGGCTAAACAAGATGAAGATACAAAAATGGTTATTTCTCTACATCTATTCTGAAATGGCCTACATCCTACACTACTACAATGGAAACTAAAAAGAACAGATTTAAGCTGGCAAACTCTCTAATAGTTTTACAAGAAGATTGTGGTTTAGGACCTTGTTGAGTTAAGCATTAGTATCCTCTATCGGAAGGTCATGAACTCTTATCACATTCTGCGAAATTTTACCCACAGACCAACTCACCCCTCAGCCCTTGAATTTCCTGTGGGCATGTTTGCCGTGAAAGTAAACTTTAACTGATGGGCAGAATTTGTGTTGTTGGATTTTTTTTTGTTGGGGGGGGTGAGGGAGAAGGTAGTATTAAAAATAAAATTTAAAGGCAGCTGAGCAATTTGAATTTCAAAACATGGAATCAGCATCCTGCAATGGTATTTAGAGATTGGTGGTATTAATGAGGATGGTAATGATTTAATCAGGATAATTATACTTTCAGGCTCAACATCCTTCTTAATCATTTTTGAATTTCTGCCTAGTGTAATGTTCCACACCCGTTTTAAGAGGAAATGCCAAGTAATAAGAGATAATTGTGTATTGAGAGAGGGGGTGGCATTTCAAGGAGATCGCATCCAGCCCCCCTCTTTCTTCCTCACACACCCACTCCCCCTCACCCCCATGGCTAGGCTGGCCTGAGATAGGGGATACTGCCGCTTAAATAGCAATGCCTTCCTCAGATGGAGACAGGAAATGGTTAAGAGGGTGTCACAATACAGCTAAATGCGGAGGCAGAAGGGTCACAGCGCACACAGCAGCGAGTTGACCATTCACTGAGCTACACAATGAAGAAAAAAAAAGATTTGATAAATGCAGAATGTCATCATTCTATCATCACACAAAAAACTGCGGTTCAAACAGGCCTAAGGGGGCCAAGCTTGCCTTTTAGGTTCTGGGGAGAGGCGCGGGGCTGGGGACAGCTGGGCTGGATAAAATAGGGCTGGGCTTTCCTTTTCTTGCCCAATCGGGCCCCTGGGGCGCACTAAAGCGCTGGCCCTGCGACCCCACCCCCCACCCCGACTTGGTAGAGGAGCCCTGGTCGGCCAAGGGAAGACATCATTCTGTGTATGAGGGAGTGGGGAGAGGGGGAGGAGGGCCTGAGCCAGCAGGGATTTAAGCAGACGTGGAGTGGGAGAGGATAGAAGAAACATTTCCAAGACGAGAAATGTGAGTCCAGAGGCAGAATACAAAAAAGAAAAAAAATGAATCTAAATGCATCTCGGATTTGCTTGGGAGGTGGGAATTTTTTATTAAAAGAAAATGAAAGAAATGTGGAGTGGAGGTGGGGAGAAGAGGGGAAAATCAAGCTATTGTTGTAGCAGAATGTGAGGGAGAGGGGATGTGGGGAAAGGGGACCGTGCAAACACACCCCATTTATCACAGTTAAAAACAAAGCCCGCGCCGGCCCGCTGCTTTGTCAACCGCTGCCCGGGGCAAAGGCCTGGCGTGGGGGCAGCTTCCCACCTCATCCTCACACACAGCACAACACCCAAGGGCCGGACGCCCCGCTCCAGCCGGACCCAAGGAGGGCACAGCAGCGCAGGTCTGACTCTCCGAGGCGCGCGCGCACACTCGCACACATGCACACACACATACAGACACACACACACACACACACACGCGCCCAAGCATCTTGAACCCGTGTATGCAACTGTCATACAAAGACAGTTGCGGGGGGCGGGGTGAGCAGGGCAATAGCACAAGGGCGATGCACAAAAAGGGTTAAAGACGAAAAAAGGATGGGATGGAAAATCGTGCAAGTGCCCACGAGAGGGTGGGGGCTGGGGCATGGGATAGGGCAGAGACCCAGGTCCCAGCTAGCCAGCCATCGGTACTAATGAACAAAAAATGAATACAAAACACACATAACACAAAACACACATATACCTCAAAAAAAGCAAACCACAGAAAACCAAGCATGCTCTCGCGCGCGCGCTCTCTCTCTCTCTCACACACACACACACACACACACACACACACACACACACACACACGGTCATGTATCTTTCTCCTTTCGATCATACAGGGCTAGGTATTAGGGGAAGGGGCTGTGATTTGGGGGAACCACGTCCGCCGCAAAAAATAAAAAATGGGGCTGGGGAGGAAGGGACCCAAATTCGCCAAACCCTAACTTCACTACAAAAGCTCCCACGAGGGCGGCCGCCCCCACCCTCGGGGGTCCCCCTAAAATGGGGTGGGGGGAAGCCACCGCTCGCCCTGCGTCCTCGCGGGTGTGCCCTGAGCCCCCGGCCGCCCGCGGCGCCCGCCCCCGCCCCGGTGCCTGCGGCGATCCACGCTCCGAAGCAGACCCCGAAAGGAAAAAGCGATACCTCTGTTTCGCACAGAGCCAAACACTGGAAGCACGAGATAGCCGACGTGGACCAGGACCATCCTGGCTCCTCGCGCGGCGGCGGCGGCGGCGGCTGCGCGCGGGCCCTTTGTGGCGCGGCTCCGGGGCGCGGGCGCGGGCGGCGGCGGGGCTGCGGGAGCCGCCGGGGCGGGAGGCGGAGCGCGGGGCGCGGGCGGCGGTGGGGCGGCGGCTGGCGGGGAGACAGATGGCCCATGGAAAGGCTCCCTTCCCGGCCCCTCTCGACATTCAAAGGCGCTGGGGCCGCAGCTGCCGCCACACAAAGGCGCGCGCAGCCAATGGGAGCGGAGCGCAGCGCGGCGCGGCCTCGCCGGAACCGCGGGGGACAGCGGGGACCGCGGGCGCGCGGGTGGCGGAGGGAGGGAGGGGTGACGGCTGGAAGGGGGCCGGCGGCCAATCGCTGCGGCCCGCTGCGGGGCGCGAGGGAGGGGTCAGCCCCACGGGAAGCGTGGAGCCCAGCGCGGGTCCCTGGCCGCCCGCGGGCCGGAGAGGGCGCGCGTGAAGCGCCCCTGCACAGACATGGGCGGCGTGAACACGGAACGTGCACACATGGAGAGGGACGTGCACTCAGACATGTGGAGGTGCGTTCCTTAGTGCAGAGAGACGGGCACGAGCGCCCTTAGTGCACACGACCCTGAGGTCCCTGCACACCGCGCACGGGTCACTCGGGGACGTGCGCTCGGAGGCTGGCGCACGTGTAGAGCCTGACTGCGGGCACAAGGGAAGCTGGAATGCGAACAAGCAGCCGCAAACAGGACCCAGGCACTGTCACACAGACATGCACACACCAAACGCCTTGTTAACGCAGGACGCGTGCCAAGAACGCATTCTCAGAGACACACAGAGGGAACACACGATGCAGACACAGGTAAGACACGCACACTCCCCAGGCTCTCTGCCTGGCGCACCGCGTCGTTGCTCTTGGAGAGCACAAAGCTCACAATAATTATTTGCTGAATTGAAATTCACTCATTCACTGAGGTCTTTGCCAACAGTCTACACAGAGACACACTGCCCAGAAAACCCAGGGCCACTCATCTACCTTTTGCCCTGATCTGAGACAGGTACACCCAGCCATGTGCACAGACACGCCCACTTCCACAGCCAGCAGGCGGATATGTAACATCAGGCTCTGAGGCTCCTGCAAATTCACACGTGGAGGCGCAGCCACCGTGTCACATGTGCCCTGTGACAGTCCAGCTGGGGACAAGCAAGACCCAATCAAAGAGCCTTCACCGCAAGCTTTGTTGCCAGGAGGACGACTGAGGCGGTGTTCTTGCATGCTCAGCTGACCTTCTGTGAAAACTCCCAAGGCAACCCTACGCCTACAATCAGGCTCACAGTTCACACACTAAGGCCAGAGAATGCTTCAGGGGCCCACCCACGGGCAGAAAGACAGAGGACATTCCCTACATTGGGACTTGTCTTCAAAGCCCAGTGGTTTCTTTCTTTAATGAGTCTGATAAATAGGAGATGGTAAAAATCACAGTATGTGGAGCTGGAAAGAATCTAATCCAACCCCAACCTGCCCTCACCTTGGAAAAGGAGGGTCATTCATTTAATCCATGCTGTGTTGAGCAAGGGCATAGGGAGGTGATCCCGATCTGCCCAAGATCCCAATTCTTGGAGGCCAGAGAGGGCCTCAGAGATGCCAACGGGCAATCACCATAGAGCTTGTTCCATGCAGAAATGGGCAGCACGGGAAGCTGGGCAAACGGGGAGCCTTGGAGGGGCACCCAGCCCAGTGGGTGGCAAGGGGAGGAGTTGAGGCTGACTCCGGGAAAGTGACTTCTAAGGCTTTTGAGACTTGAAGAATAAAGAATGGGAGAAGTGAGGTAAGACAATGGACAAGACAGCAAAGGGAAAACCACAGCCTGGCTTTACCCAGACAGCTACCATATTCCCAGTGGCAAGGGCAGAACCCAGGGTTCACCATTCTCTCTCCCATAAGCCCGTGGATCTCTCAGGCCTGAGCTCTCTT
This sequence comes from Homo sapiens, assembly GCF_000001405.40. Classification (NCBI taxonomy): domain Eukaryota; kingdom Metazoa; phylum Chordata; class Mammalia; order Primates; family Hominidae; genus Homo; species Homo sapiens. The sequence goes on along the minus strand of NC_000018.10, from coordinate 46,332,316 downwards.
TCCCACCCTAAACTCTGGCTGCCCCCAGAGAACTCAGGGATGAAGACGGCCAGAGGCAAGTCTCCCAATAGCAGTCCAAGTCTCACCCTAGGCAATTTTTTTCAACCCACTTCTACCACCAGCTCTTTCCTTTTTTCATTATCTGATAAATAAACACAATGCCACTACTAATTGAAATCTGAAAAAAATGAAAGGATTTTAACAAACACCTAACTACTAGAAGTTTTTCCTGTTCTATTTCAGGCTTGGACAGTATGCATATATATCAGAATTGTCATCATAATCTACATATTTTTCATCCTGCTTTTTAAACTTAACATTTTATCAGAAACATTTTCCTGTCCTTTTACGTAGCCATTGTAATTATCATTTCAAATGCTTTTATATATTCCAACTAGTGAACGTATCATGATACTACTTAATCATACCTTATTCTAGGGCATTTAATTTGCTCCCAGTGTTCCATTATTACAGATCATACAATAAACTTCATGCATATGGCATCTCATTTTGGTCGAACTATAAACGTAGAATAAACTTCTAGGATTGACATTCATGGATTGACAAATACGGAAAACTATGGCTCTTGCCACAAATTGCTTTATAAAAAGATAAAACTCATTGTCAGTACTATCAGCAGTATGTATATGGTATGCCAGTTTCTCTGTGCAACCTTGCTAGTTTTGGATGGGCATTCTTTTTTAAAAATCTTACTTTGTACCAGAACAGCTTGCAAAAGCTTATGATTACCCAATCTGACCTTGACAGGAAGGAGGTCAGGGTTCAAACTCTGTAATCAAATTGCCTGGCTTCACATTCTGCCTCTGACACATAGTAGCTCAGGCAAGTTATTTAACTCCTCTAGGCCTTGGTTTCAACATCTGTAAAATGGGCTTGATGATAGCAACCTTCTTGGTGGGGTTCTTTTGAGAACCAGATGAGTTAATACTTGTAGAGTACACAGAATCGGGCCTGGCTATTAGGCTCTTAGTTCTTTCCCTTCACTTGTCCATCTCTCCTTGCTCACCACCTCTTGCCCTCCACTTGCTATTTATGATTGCCTAGTTAATGCAGTTAGTGTAAATTATGCTATAGCATGGAACATCCCTCAGAGAAAGGCAATCATCAAAGAACAGACCAGCAATGCAAACCAAGGGAAATCTATGAGTCCACCTAATAATTGCATCCTTCGTATTTGCACATCAGAGAAACCTGACAGACAGATGCCTGCATTTTCAGTACACCAACATATAAACACAGGCATGAGCCTCCTGCTAAGAAGGAATTTTTGTGGATTAGGAGGAGGAGTTTCATTTTTAATGAAACCTTGTTAACTACCTAACATTTCTCAGCCCCAACACACCCATCTGTATAATGGGGATTAGCACAACCCCTGCCAGACCTACCTTATAGGTTTATTGTGAGGATTCAGTGAGAAAGTGATAAAGAATCTGAAAAAAAAAAAAAAAGAAAAGAAAACAAAATTCTAGAAGCATAAATTCATTGATGTCTCCAGAATGAAAGTCGATTATTGTCTTGCCCGTCTCTTGTTTTTCAGGTGAGGAAGCTAAAGCTCAGAAGGTTGTAAACAAGGTCACAGCCATTCATGGCTGAGCTAGAACTAGAATCCATATTTCCTAGCACATAGCCTAGTCTTGCTTCTACTTTCTATCTGTTTCCGTCAGGCTGGGATGACTGTTTTCCACTCTCCCTCCCATTAGCTAAAGTCCATAGAAGTACAATAAGAAGATTTCTGGAGTAGAAAGATTTGTAGAAATATTCCATTCTTCAGGGTTTTTTCTTTGTATGTTCTGCACCCCCTCAATCCCTGCCAAAATCAATGCCTAGTGCATGTTTGTGGCATAGCATGTAAGGCTCAAGAAGTATAAAAAAATGAAAAGTGAAGGTTGATCTATAATTCCTAATCCAAAATGGAAAAACATGGCCTTAGAGGATGGAGAAAGCGCTGTCACTTTGGTCTCTGACCCACACTTTGAATCCCCACTCTCTTTTGGCTCCACTATGACCACCTGCAAAAAGATTTCTACAGATCATCATGTTTCTGGAGCCCAGAAGTATCTGTTTTAAGAACAGCTCTTTTGGAGCCCAACCTTACATCTAGGTTATGACCACATTGTCCTTTAGTCAACAAATGAAAACAAACCCACCACATCAGTCATGTAGATAACAAAAATGTTCAAGAATGATGACAGCATTCCTGCTCTTCTCCATGTTGTGTTGACATCAAGTTGACAACTTGCAAAAGCTGTGCAAAACAGCTATGCGTCAATCAGTGAACCTACTGGGACTGGTGTCACGACAGCCCTGTGCTGAACGTGGCAGGGGATTCTAGATGCGGTCTGCTGCAGAAAGAGCCGTGGCCCCAGGCACTGATGGCCGCTGGGGAGCCAGGGCATAAACACAAGAAAGTAAAGAGTAATCAGGACAGGCTGCCCATAACGAAGGATGATGGTGAGTCAGACAGAAGTCACGGTAGGCCTGAATACTCAGGAAATCCTCTGGATGGATCAGGGGAGATGAGGACCCTAAAGTGTGGGTCTATTTTGAACAGGCTGAGAAAATGGGAGTGGCATTGAGTCAAGGAAGCAAAATATGAACAAAAGCCCAGAATTAAAAGCAGAAGAAAGAGAAGGAACTGGAGCCAGGCGTGGTGGCTCAGGCCTGTAATCCCAACACTTTGGGAGGCTGAGGCGGGCAGATCACCTGAGGTCAGGAGTTCGAGACCAGCATGGCCAACATGGTGAAACCTCGTCTCTACTAAAAATACAAAAATTAGCCAGGCATGGTGGCACATGCCTGTAATCCCAGCTAGTAGGTAGGCTGAGGCAGAAGAATTCCCTGAACCTGGGAGGCGGAGGTTGCAGTGAGCCAAGATGTTGCCACTGCACTCCAGTCTGGGCAACAGAGCAAGACTCCATCTCAAAAAAAAAAAAAAAAGAAGGAAAAGGAACTGGAAAAGGTGGAAGTGGAGGGGAAGGGGAAGAGGAGAAGGAGGAGAAAGAGGAAGAGGAAGAGGAGTGAGAAGGTCAGAGAAGAATAGGAGAAAGAGAGAGAAGAGAAGCAGCAGCTTGGAACAAATGTGCTATATAGGAAGGAGCTCAATGTTCTTGGCCGAACTGGGAACCTGGGTCATGGAAAGCATGGGAACAGTGAGGACTGCACCATTTATTCATATGTTCACTGCACAGTCACTGAGTAGAGCCTTTTGCATCAGAAAGTGCAAGGGATACAAGATAAGATGAATGAAGCCACTTCAGCCCTCAAACAGGTATGGGCCAACAGGAAATGAAGCAGTTACCAGGGTTCACAATCCCCTTCTCCAATGTAATTGGGAAATTACCTGAGCACCTGGCTGCCCAGGTTAAATCCCAGCTGAAGATCCCAGACCCCCTGGCAGTGAGGGAAGGCTGTATGATTAAGTCCTGCGGACAGGGATGAAGATAGGAATGTTGTGGGATATCTTTCGTAGAAGATAAAGCTCGCTTGGAGGATGCTAGAAATTGGTAAATAAAGAGAAAGAATCAAGTATGTGTCCTGGCTTTCCCATACAAACTCTATTATTTTAAGATAATGAAATATTTAATGAGAGAAATTTCTTTTTATAGAAATATTGGCAAACAAATAAGAAATGATATCATGAGCATGTCATCTTGATGAAATAAAAGTTCTAGGCAATGACCGTTAATGGCTGCTAATATCAGCAAAAGAGAGACAATGGGCCATGATGCGTTTCTGATAGAACACACCACCATCCATGAGGTGGTCTTTCCAGAAAATGAAACCTGAGCCTGATGAAAGCTCCAGATCTAATTTCCAATTGTTAGGAAGCACAGGAAACAAAGAAACGTAGTAAAAGATAACATTGGGATGCAATCTGCAAAATTCAGATTAGGGAAACTCTATAGGATAAACCAACCATTTTCTTCAAAAACCAAATTAACAGGTGCTAAAAGGAGATGGAGGGGGAGCCTATAGAGACATAAGGGATCTATCAACCAAATGCAGTGTTTAGATTTTCATGAGATGGAATTAGAACAAGTAAACTATAAAAGTAATTGGGGGCCAGGCATGGTGGTTCGAGCCTGTAATCACAGCACTTTGGGAGGCCAAGGCAGGAGGATCACTTGAGCCTAGGAGTTCGAGGCCAGATTGGGCAACATGGTGGAACCCCGTCTCTAAAAAAAAACTTGCTGAATGTGGCCAGCTACCCTGGAGGCTGAGGCACCTGAGCCCAGGAGCCCGAGGCTGTAGTGAGCCATGCTCGTTTCACTACACTCCAAATAAATAAATAGTAATTGGGGAAATGCACACTGACTGGATATTAATGATATTAAGGAATTATTGGGGTATTTTTAGGTGGAATAATGATATTATGGTGATGTTCACACAGAAAACCCTTACACAGTCAGTTCTATGTACCTGCAGGTTCCACATCTGAAGATTCAACCAACTTCCAGTTGAAAATACTTGAAAAAAAAATACAAATAACAATACAACAATAAAATTAATACAAATTTTAAAATACAGTATCACAACTATTTTCATAGCGTTTGCATTGCATTACATCTTATAAGGACTCTAGAGAGGACTTATAAAGTATACAGGAAGGTGTGTGTAGGTCATATACAGATACGTGATTTTATGTAAGGGACTTGAACATCCTTGGATTCTGGTACCTGCAGGGGTCCTGGAACCAATTCCTCCACAGATACTGAGAGATGACTGTATTTACAGATGCTTTACAGATTATATTAAATGACGTCTGGAAGGTTCTCCCTCTTTGAAAAAGGGGAGGGGTCAGTGAGAAGCCATAGCGATGAAACTAGATTGGCATTGTGTTGATAATTGCGGAAACTGGATGAAGAATACCTAAGAGGGTTCATTGCATTATTCTCTCTACTTTTGATTATATTTACAATTTTTTTCAAAAATAAAAGTGAAAAAGGCCAGGCACGGTGACTTGCGCCTGTAATCCCAGCATTTCGGGACGCCAAAGTGGGCAGATCACTTGAGGGCAGGAGTTCAAGACCAGCCTGGCCAAATTGGTGAAATCCCATCTCTACTAAAACTACAAAAATTAGCCAGGTGTGGTGGCACGTGACTGTAATCCCAGCTACTTGAGAGGCTGAGGCACGGGAATTGTTTGAACCCGGGAGGCGGAGGCTGCAGTGAGCCGAGATTGTGCCACTGCACTCCAGCCTGGGCGACAGAGTGAGACTTCATCTCAAAAAAAAAAAAAAAAAAAAAAGGAAAAGGTAAAAAAGCTAGCACATATCCTTGCGTTCTGCAGGCACACAAAAAGATGTTATCTCTGGGTGGATAAGTTAGGAAGCAGCGCTCTTTCTCACCTTTGACACAGACGTAGGCCAGAACTTCAGGCTGAATTTTAGTCCCCACTCACTCCCTTGGATGGTCTCCCCTCTGCCGCTGAAGCCCTCCTTGGACGGTCTCCCCTCTGCCGCTGAAGCCCTCCTTGGACGGTCTCCCCTCTGCCGCTGAAGCCCTCCTTGGACGGTCTCCCCTCTGCCGCTGAAGCCCTCCTTGGACGGTCTCCCCTCTGCCGCTGAAGCCCTCAAGAACACAGACGGCTCCCACTCACCACACATGGCTGCGGTGGACAGTGTGTCCCCTTCACAACCTCGGTGCAAGAAAAATAAACTCCTGTCTTTTTTAAACTACTGAGACTCGGGTCTCTGTGTTCATGGCCAGATCTAATCCTAACTGAAGGTAGAAGTGATTCGTACCCTAAAACGAGTCATTAAAAATACTGCAGGCCTGGCGCGGTGGCTCACGCCTGTAATCCCAGCACTTTAGGAGGCCGAGGCTGGCGGATCACGAGGTCAGGAGATGGAGACCATCTTGGCTAACACGGTGAAACCCCGTCTCTACTAAAAATACAAAAAATTAGCCGGGCGTGGTAGCGGGGGCCTGTAGTGCCAGCTACTCGGGAGGCTGAGGAAGGAGAATGGCGTGAACCCGGGAGGCGGAGCTTGCAGTGAGCCGAGATTGCGCCACTGCACTCCAGCCTGAGCGACAGGGCAAGGGCAAGACTCCATCTCAAAAAAAGAAGAAAAGAAAATACTGCAGAGGGGATTAGACAAGGGAAGAGCATGTCTAGTCAGGTGGATGCGTTAGCGATTGCTACCAACCTATTACATCATTAATAATTATCAAACCGGCAGTGGCACACAACAGTAAGCATGTATTCTCCCTGAGCTGCAGGCTGGCCAGCTCCAAGGCGGCTGCGGCTGTTGTTTCTCATGGCGTCTGTGCATTGCTGGGTGGTTCTGACCCACATCTTTCATCCTTTTTCCGCTGGCCAGGACATGTCCTTTTCCTGCGTGGCAAGTGGACACCTGCAAAGCCTCTTAGGACATGCCCAAAGTGACAGCTCACACGGAGATCCAGGGTGAGTTAAGGAAACATGAATTAATGTGATGGGAACAAAGAGTGTGTGTGGGCACACCTGGTGAAGAAACCAGAAGTTTCTCTGGTACGCAGTGGGGAGCACCGGGGGATTCTGAGCATCAGAGTGAAGTGTCAGGAAAAGTAATCTACCATCTAGGCACAACATGAACAAAGGTGGGGGTAGATTCTAGGGGCTGGGAAATCAGGTGGGATTGAAAGTCAGGCTTAGGAATGGCACATTGATCCTGAATGCAGGGCCAAGGAGGAACCAATGACATGCCTGATCTGTTTTTTGTTTTTGTTCTGCTGCTTTGTTTTTGAGACAGAGTCTCACTCTGTCACCCAGGCTGGACTGCAGTGGCTTGATCATGGTTCACTGCAGCCTCGATCTTCCAGGCTCAAGTGATCCTCCCACTTCAGCTTCCTACGTAGTTGGAACTACAGAGGTGCACCACAGCGCCCAGCTAATTTAAAAAAAAAAACAAAATTCTTTTGTTTTGTAGAGACAGGGTCTCACTATGTTGCCTAGGCTGTTCTCCAACTCCTGGCCTCAAGTAATCCTCCCACCTCAGCCTCCCAAAGTACTGAGATTACAGACATGAACCACCACACTCGACCAACACCTGACCTTTTTAACCAGGGAAAAGAATGTTCTGCAGGCACTCTTTTCCTTATGATGACGTTAAGATTTCAGTGGTGGTCTCTAATCCAGTCATTCTTAAATCCAAACGACACCATTCAAATGAATCACATGTACTCATCTCTGAAAAGCTAAACTTTCCTCTTAATCCTTTTGTAGTTATCTGATTCTAACTTCTACTGACTTTTCCACATGCTGTCTGATTTTGCTCTTATTGGACATGAGACAGTTTCATATATTCATAAATCAGCTCAAATATTGGGCTTACCAAGGCAAACCTGCAACTGGGGTAGGCTGCCAAGGTGTCGCAGGGAATGCTAGCAGGCCCTGTTATCTATTCCTCACTTCTTTCTGGATAATAGAGTCTCTGACTTTTAGTTCAGCATATGGCCACCTGGATTAAAGACTACATTTCCCAGATTCCTTTGCAGTCAGGCATGATTAATTCTGAGCAATGGGATGTAAGCAGAAGTTCATGTGTGACTCCCAGGAAGTGTTCTTTAAGGCAAAGAGCTGTGCCTTTCTCCACCTCTTTATCATTTGCACTAACTGGAAGATGGATTGCAGGGCTGGACTGGAACAGCCATGTAGGACTGGAGGAAAGTACACCCTAAAGACAGTGAGGAAGCATGTTTGAAAGAGGCTGGATACTGGATGATTTCATAAAGCTACTCTACCAACCCCAGACAGCCTCCTATGACTTCTTTGAAATGGGAAATAATTAGATTGCAGTCTCACTGAAGCTGTTGTTATTTTGCAACTCTCTCTCACTCTCTCCTACTTGCAGTCAGGCGTAAAATCATCACATGACCACTGATTCCTCCCCAGGTGGGCCAAGACAGAGATGACATGTTTTGGTTGTGATACAAGATTTTGTTCAGGTTTATGGAACTGGGTAAGTTGTGTGCATAAGAAGAAGCACTGCTTTAATGCACAAGGAGAGGCAAGCAGGATGGGGAAACATGGGGAAGTGGCCCCAGTGTGTTCAATGAATGCTAAGAGCAGACTGAACAAGCGAGATGTGACAGGTGTGATGATTTAGGCTTTCCCTGCAGGCAAGGGAGACATCATGACCTTATTTCATTCCTTACTTCTTCATTTTCCCTCAGTAACTCCCTCCTTGGTCGGGGAAGCAGGTGACTGGTAGAAATCCACAGAGAGGGCCGGGCACAGTGGCTCACGCCCATAATCCCAGCACTTTGGGAGGCCAAGGCAGGAGGATCACCTGAGGTCGGGAGTTTGAGACCAGCCTGACCAACATGGAGAAACCCCATCTCTACTAAAAATACAAAATTAGCCGGGCATGATGGCGCATGCCTGTAATCCCAGCTACTCGGGAGGCTGAGGCAGGAGAATTGCTTGAACCTGGGAGGTGGAGGTTGCGGTGAGCCGAGATCGTGCCATTGCACTCCAGCCTGGGCAACAGGAGCAAAACTCCATCTCAAAAAAGAAAAAAAAAAAGAAATCCACCAACAGTGCAGGGCAGTCCCTGGATGCATGTCCTTATGGGGCTGGTTCTCACACTTCAGTGTGCATAAGAATCCTGTGGAGAACTTGTTTAAAAGATAGATCCTGACTGTGTGCAGTGGCTGGTGCCTGTAATCCCAGAACTTTCAGAGGCCCAGGCTTGAGGATGGCTTGAGACCAGGAATTCAAGACCAGCCTGAGCAACATAGCAAGACCCCATCTCTACAAAAATAAAAAATTAGCCAGGTGTAGTGATGCATGCCTGTAGTCTCAGCTACTCGGGAGGCTAAGGCGGGAGGATCGCCTGAGCCCAGGAGTTTGAGGCTGCAATAAGCCATGATTGCACCACTGCACTTCAGCCTGGGCAGAGTGACAGAGCGAGACCCTGTCTCAAAAATAAAAAATAAAAATAAATAAATGGTAGATCCCCCAGGTCCCATTCCCTGAGATTCTGACCCAGGGAGGCTAAGGGCATGGCTGAGGAACATGCATTTTAGCAAGGACGACCTCTTGGCAGGTGAATCTCATGCAGATGGTCGGAGGCCCCTCTTTGAAAAACATGGCTCTGAGATCTAGCCAGTCAGTCCCTGAGGCTGGGTGGCCCTGTGTCTGCTTTGCTCTCCACTGAACACCCAGCACCCTGCGCGCTGCTGACCAGAGGCTGCTCACTGTCCCTCTATTAGCACCGAGGAGCCACTGTGCATTCTTGAGCAAAAGCGTGACCTAAAGAACACTTCCACTTCTCCCAGCTCTGCTGCCCTGGAGCCTGCTGAGGGAGAACAAAAGAAATGTCTAATCCTACGAGAACTGAGGATTTTCTTTTTTAAAAAAAAAAATCAGGTTCTCAGGCCAGCATTTTGATAGTGTTGTGGCTTAGCCTCCTTTCTGACTTTGCAGCTGGTGTCTGACTCCCGCGGTGAACTCTGTGCTTAGTATTAGGTGACTCGTTCTTTTGGAGACAGGTCCTGAGATGTGGGTCTGAGACCTTGGGGGAGGGCGCTTGCAGAGCTCCACACCAGCACTGCTCTGTCCCGTGTCCTCGTGCCTTCTCACCTGCTGCTTACCATCCCTCCCTGCGGCTCAGCTTGTCCTCCTCTCACTGGTGAGGAAACTGAGAGGTTGGGATACTTTATCCAAGTTGAGGCTGCAAAATTGGCATTCGGGCACACACCCGGGTGTGCCTCCCAGCCCTGGTCGCTCCATCAGGAGAGACGTGATGCACATTGTTTGCATAGTGTTACTTTTTGTCCCAACCCCCAGAAGTGAGGCTGGCCACACCTAGCTAGAGGAACTGGCCTCACCTTCCAGTGGAATTTGAGTGGCTCGGGATTCCAACGGATGCCCTCAGCAGTCTCCTCAAATCAGGCACAGTGCCTTAAAATGCCACCATCTCCATCCTTTGGGTTAAGGTATTGTTTAAAATGTGCCCTTCGGAAAAGCAATAAGTTTTCATGTAAATTTACGCAGAAGCACCCGTCTGATCTGTCAGCCTTCTGGAAGCTGAGTCTTCTCACAGCTCAGGAAACACAGGCACAGCCCTCCTTAGCATAGTTACTGAGGCTGCTGAATTTCCCTCTCTTTTGTCCGTCCCTCTCTCCCTTCCTGGGTCCCCTGCCCTCCAGTGAAATCTGAGAGCGTGCCTCTCTGGGTAGTCACAGTGCCTTGAGTCAAACACCTCAGACTCTAAAGATAGAGTTTCAGGTTTGGGTCAGGCAGAAGGGGTAGATTTGAGAGGCCTTCAGAGTCCCAGGAAAGACAACTGCTGATTTATAAGACTGGTCCTGGGGACTTGAAGGAGAGAGGCCAAGGGCAGAAGCAGGGCCTCTATGGGTCCAAAGAGGGGTGGGAAGAGGTCAGAGGTCATCCAGACCTCCTGGGAATGTCACCCTGCAAGGCAGATGTGGTCCAGGCTTCAGCCAACAATGTGTTCAGGCTGCATCATTAGAGATGAATTGATGGTTGATTACCAATAATAACCTCTCCAAAGCAAAGCCAGATGAGGAATGAATTTAATGAAGAGGGAAATGAGCTGACAGTGGCTTCATGGGGGGCCTTGGATCAGGGACTTTCAAAACCAGAAGGGTGAAATTTGAGCCTGACTGTTTCATTTTGTTTTATTGGTAATGGCAAAACACACATAACATAAAATGTATCATTTTAACCATTTTAAGTGTACAGTCACATCAAGGACATTCACATTAAGTACATTAGCAATGTTGCATAACCACCACCACAATTTCCAGAACTTTCATCATTCCAAACAGAAACCCCCAATCCATGAAGCACCCCATTCTCCACTTCCCCAGTCCCAGGTAACCTCTAATCTACTTTCTATCAATGTGCCTGTTCTAGGTACTTCCTGTAAGTGGACTCATAAAATATTTGTGGTTTTATGTCTGGCTGATTTCTTGGCATTATATCTTCAAAGTTCATCCACGTCATAGCATGTGTCAGAATTTCATTCCTTTTTAATGGCTGAATATCATCCCATTGTGTGTATATACCCACTTGGTTTGTTCATCCACTGATAAACACTCAGGATGTTTCTACCTTTCGCTATTGTGAATAGTACTACATAATAACTGAGGTACAAATACCTGTTTAAGTCCCAGTATCCTGTGCTTTTGGCTATATGTCTAGAAGAGGAATTGCTGAGTCATATGGGAATTCTATGTTTAACTTTTTGAGAAACCTCCAAACAGTTTTCCTGAGCCTTGCTCTTAAATCCTGGTAAAATATCACCCCCATTGTGCAGCGTTCAGTCCCCAGCTCTCTCCCCTTCTCCTAAGTCAAAATCCACCTAGCCCTCCTTTGTGCTCCAAGGCCACCTGTGCACATGATGAATGCAGCTCCTATCACTTGGCCTCTGGTCATCTGCTTACTGGTGTCCATGCTACAAGGGCCCTGGAGGCAGGGACAGCGTCTTGTCTGGTCTCACATCCCGGAGCCTAGTGCAGTGGTTGCTCATGGTAGGCCCCATAAATGATGACATGAACCCACATTAGTTTGAATGGGTGATCTGTTGCTCACTCACTCACTCCTTAGCTGTCTGATTGACCAACACAGCACTTCTCCCTGTTCTCTGCCAAATTACACCCTTTTCTTCTTGGCTGCAAAAGGGGTGCTCATGACCTGTCTACCTGTGAAGTGCTTAAGTGTAGGGTAAAGGATTTGATGCTCACTAGCCAAGTTGCCATGAGAAAGTTTTCTAAGCTCTCAGAGCCTTAGTGTCTTCATCTGCACAGTGGGGTTAATACCATTACCTACCACAGGAGGCTGGTGTGCACGTGAAGTGATATGTGCTTATCACAGTGCTTGGCCACGGCAGCGCTCCGCATGTGTTCACTAGCAGTCAGAGCATCAGGAGGACCCTGCTTCATCTCTTTCTTGTTGATGCCTCCCACATCTTCCAAGTTTGGTTTTGGATTTCAAATCCAGAACCTAAGTCAGTACCTGGCACACAGTAGGGACTCAATAAATATTGAATGAATAAATTGCTAGTTTATCTTCAACTCCAGTGAGCCATAGCTTTCTTTCCGGAGGCCAGAACAATTTGAGACCAGTAACATGGTCTGGGAGTGTTATTAGTCAGGCTGTTTTCACCTGTAATGAAGAGAAAATATTATTAATGGAGGCTTAAACCACTAGTTCATTTATTATTGACTTGGCACGTCCTGCAGTGGGAGTAAGTATGATATTAGATGAGTTCAGAGGCTCAACAATGTAATCAAGGCTCCATGCTCTTTTCATCTTTTCACTCCTTTAACCACAGTATATGGGCTTCAATTTTCTAGTTTATTGCCTCATGGTTGCAAGATGACTGCCCAGCTCATGAATCATACCCTCACATCATAGCATCCAAACAAGAGGGAAAGAAAGAGAGGAAAGGCTTCTCTGTGTCTCTCTTTTTTATCAGAAAGGAAAATTTTCCCTAGAAATTGCACCACACACCACACCATTCCCTAGCCTATAGGCATATCCCATTTGCCAGACCTGGGTGACATACTCATACCAGTGGGGGTCTGGAGGTCTAGTCTCTGCAGAAGATAAAGCCAGGAGTCCTTGGCAAAGAATGAATCAGTGCCCTGACCCCCACCAAGGTCTCCATAACTCAGCCTTCAAAACACTGGCACCAGACTTTTCTCCTTCAGACAGGACATCAGAAGATAACTCCCCAGGCATTTCACCACCCAAAAGGAAAAACCTGAAGACACAGACCCAGGAGTTTCCCAACAAAGGGCCCATCAGGATCACCTTACACTGAAACTCAAAGTTGACGTGCCTCACTTACCTACTCAGAGTTTCCAATTAGTATTTTGTTTCCTTCCCATCCACCACTACATTTAATTACAAGGAGATGACCAAGGGTTATCGGACTTCCTAGAAAAGCCTCTAATAAGGAAGACAGAGACCACACAACCTGGAAGCAGCAGAGATGATGCAGGAAGAAGAAGAAGAAAAAAGTGCTTAAAGATCATTAATATCTCTAGAGAAATAAGAGAAGATGTCACATACGAAGAACAGAATGTTATTTTAAAAAGAACATTGAGAGAACAAAAAAAAAAGAGTTCTTGGAAATCAAAAACATGAGAGCAGGCACATGAAATTCAATAGAAGAGGTGGAAGATTAACTTGGGGAAATCTCCCAGAAAGTAGAACAAAGAGTCAAAGACATGGAAAGCCCAAGAGGAGCTCTAGCAGGAGAAACAGGAGAGAGCGAGAGAACACACAAAACAGAGATGATGAAATCCTTCTCAAAATACTTCCAGAATATTTCCCGATCTGGAAGAATATGAGTTACAGAACTGTTGTGAAAATGAGTTCTTCTGGGTCTTCATCTCTTGCATGCACCAGGATTCAAGGAGAATTTCACAGCATCCCACATTAAGTAGTAAGAAATGGCCTTTACTGGAGAAAGAGAAGACAAGGCCCAGGGTTGTAACAAGGGCCATGAAGACAAGGGATGGGAACCCCCGAGTCTACCCTCATTCCACAGAGGGTGCTGCTGGGATGCAGTGTCATTCTGGTTCCAGGAAAGGACCCCATCCTCACTGTGGATTCCACTTTTATATCCCCTTTTACAGGCAACGGTAAGAAAATTGCCTTGTCTTGAGAGTAACAATAGGCTTCTAGGCATCGGGCAGTCTGGATCCAGGGTACTTGATGTTTGTCGTTGTTGGTAACCAGCTGCCCAGCATCTGGAGGCCCTGGAGTCTGCAGGAACTTGTAGGCCCAGGCGCCCACTCGGGGACAAGGTTGGGGAAGGAAGATGTTGGTTCTGCTGAGCTCCTCCTACTGAGAGATGGGAACTTGGAGCCCAGCAGGCTTATGTCTAGGCAACCCAGAACAGGCTCAAGGGTCTTTTTAATAATTCTGCTCTCTGCACCATGAACACTGAGTGGCCCACTGAGCTTCCAGCACAGTGGCTGAAAACAGTTCCACTCCAATGCCTACCACTGGGAATTTTTGGAACACCGAGGACAAGGAGAAGATCCTATCAACTTCCGGGGAGAAAAGCACAGGTTACACATGAGGGGTCAGTGATGCCAATAGACTTCAACGTCTCAGCCTCCATACCGGCAGAGAAAAGGATGAAGCAAGACCCTCAATAGTCTAAAGAAACATAATTTCCACCCCAAAATTCTATATCCACACAAATTGTCAGTCAGGTGGGAGAAGATGTTATTCAGTCACGCAAAGTCTCCAAAAATTATCACCCCAATCCTTTCTTAGAGAGCTACTAGAAGTTATTCACCATTAAAACCAAGGAGGAGGATGCAGGGATCAAAATATACATTAAAGAAAAGCCAAGAGAATTTCCAGGAGGGTAGTACAGGGACACTCAAAAGGGGCAGTAGGCAGCCAGTCCAGACCAGTGCAGTCATTATTATGACTCTGCTGCTATGCCATAGTGTTAGCCAGATGATATGCTTCCAAAGAAAGAGAGTAAACCAAGGAAGAGAATGCCATGAGATCCAGGACACAGAGGCTCCAACTCAGAGGAAAGGCAAAGGGAATTTTAAGAGTGACAACAAAAGGAAGTCACAGGTTGACAACTGGATGGTAGGCCTAGAGAAGAGCGAATTCAGATTGGTGGAAAATGAGGTCTCCAGTAGGGACAACTCCAAGAAAAAACTGGAAATAACAGGTTACTTTCTATGATTGACTTTATGGAAAAGTATATGGTGGGAAGAATATGCAATGGGTACAAAGAAAGCTAAGCAAATGAAAACAACAAAACAATTATTAACTTTGGGAAAAACAAAAGCAAAAAAAGAAAACAACATGTATTACAATACATAGCTGTGAATAAATTTTGCAAAGGCATAATAGCCCAGACTGAATGTTGATTTAAGCAAAAATTGTAAAATAGCCATATCGGAAGGATGAGGGAGAGAAAGGAGAGAAGAGAGAGAAGATTCTTTTGTAAGACCACTAAACCTCATCTATCACAATAAGAAATCAATAGGTAAGACCTACGATTAAGGAATCAAAAGATACCAGCATAGGCATATTCTTCAAACATGTAGAAGTGAGTAATTTCCAGAAGAAACAATGAAGTTTAGTACTTGCCTTTAAGGAAGAAGTGGGATAGTAGGGAAGAGTGGTGCTGGGAACTGTCACATTATATCATAACCCGCTTAGTACTATTTGGCTTTTTCATTCTTTTGTTTTTTTGAGATAGGATCTCCTCTGTTTTCTAGGCTGGAGTGTAGTGGCACAATCATGGCTCACTGAAGCCTCAACATCCTGCGCTCAGGTGATCCTCCCACGTCAGCCTCCCAAGTAGCTGGGACCACAGGTGCATAGGGGTCTCACTATGTTGCCCAGGCTGGCCTTGAACTCCTGGGCTCAAGTGATCCTTTCGCCTCAGCCTCACAAAGTGTGAGCCACTGTACCCAGACTATTTGGATTTTTTAAATGGGTGTAGATATCATCCTGATTTTTATAATTAACTAAACGATTTAAAGTACAGCAATATTGAAAGGCAATGACTGAAATTTTTTCAATGTCTGATTTGATTGACTGATGAGCACTGTTCAAAGACTCATGAATTTGCTCTTACTTAGTAGTTTTGGGTCTGTGCTTCTCCCCAGAGGGGTGAATATTTCCAAGGTATACAATAAGCATTTGTGGACTGAAGTAATGAATCAACAAATGAACCAACAAGCTACAACCACCAAAGTCTAAGCATAATGTACTTATGGTCCATTATAGTGGAGCCCAGGAAGTCCCTTTCTCTCTAGGAGGTCTTGTGGTCCCAATTCCAGAACAAGGGACAGCTAACCCCAAGGCACAGATGCCTGTGTTTATAGGGCCTTGATCTTGGTTAGTTGGACTTCTTTGGTAGAAAGAAACCAAGCCTTACCTAGACTACCTTAAGAAAGTATAATGTACTTATAAGAACCCAGTAGGCATTGTTGTTGTGTGGACAGAAGCCATCTGTTAGGGACTTGGATTAGTCAGCGTTCTCCAGAGAAAAGCAACCACTAGGATAGAGAGAGATATATCAGAGGGGATTTATTATGGGAATTGGTTCACGTGGTTATGGAGGCCGAGAAGCCCCACGATCTGCCATCTGCAAGATAGAGAACAGGGAAGCTGGTGGTGGAATTCCACTGGAGTCCACAATCTAGAGAACCTGAGGAACTGATGGTATCACTCTCAGTCAGAGGCCAAAGGCCTAAGAACTTGGGCTCTGGGAAGTACCAGGGTCTGAAGATCTGAGAACCTGGAGTTCTGATGTCCAAGGGCAGGAGAAGATGAGTATCCCAGCCACAGAAGAGAGAGCAAGTGTGCCCTTCCTGTGCCTTCTCATTCTATTCAGCCCTTCAGCCAATTGGACAATGCCCTCCCATGTGGCGAGGGTGTTCTCTACTGTGTCCACTGACTCAAATTGCAATCCCTTCCAGAAACACCCTCACAGATGCACCTAGAAATAATGTTCACCAGCTACCTGGGCAGCCCTTAGCCTAGTCAAGTTGTCACCTGAAATTAACCATCACAGGGACCAAGGCAGGGGATGCTGCCCAAGATCCAGTGGGCTCTCTGTAGGGGATGGTGGGGCCCAGGAAGTCCCTTTTCTCTCTAGGAGGTCTTGTGGTCCCAATTCCAGAACAGGGAACAACAAACACCACGGCACAGATCCCTGTGTTTATAGGACCTTGATCTTGGTTAGCTGGACTTCTTTGGTAGAAAGAAACCAAGCCTTACCTAGACCACCTTAAGAAAGGCGAAAGTGCTGGGCAGGAAACTGGGCCAGACAGGACAAACTGGGAAAGCCACTCCAGGCCACCCTGGGGACCTGCCCCTCTCTAGGGTCATGCCTTCCTGCATGCTCTTCTCTGCTCCTCTAGGGGAAGTGGACAGTGCTGAACAGCCTTGCTCTGCCTGGGGGAATTTCCAGCCGTATGAGTCCCTCCTCCCCACTGCTGAGCTCAGAAACCTCACCTCTGCAGCCTCCTTGCAACAACACCCTAAGCAGGTGACCTAGATTGCACCATTTAGTCTCACCCCAACAGGCTTTGACCAAACATGGGCACCTGAAGAAGAAAGTACCACAGGGCAGAGGCACCAGCTTGGGACAGTGGCCCTGGCTTCCTCTGTGGCATGGTGTGGGCTATCCTGCCTGGTAGCTGCGCCTGCAGCCTGGCTCCCAGCCTGCCAAATGATTGTGTGGCTCTTGGTTTAGGTTCTCCCAGCAGCAGACACTGATTCAAATATTCAAGTGTAAGGATTTATTTGAGAGGAGATGCCAGAAGACAATGGTAGGAGACAAGGGAAGGAAGGGAAGATAGGAGAAGGGAAGGAAGCTAACAAAGTTATCAAATGTGGCAGATTGTTTCATAGTTGTGACTTCTCCCATTGCAGTATCCTCAATTCTTGTTAAAGAACTTGATCGCCCTTCCCATCCAGAGGTGGAGTATATTTCTCCACCCCTTGAATCTGGCCAGTCTTGAAGACTCATTTTGGCCAACAGAATATGGTAGAATTGGCATTGAGTGTGTTCTGGAACCTAGGCCTGAAGAAGCCCTGCCACTTTTGCCTGGGCCTTCTCGGAATGCTGCCCTGAGACCGTCATATAAGGAAGCCGGTCTAGCCTCATGCAGGATGAGAGATCACGTTGAGGGGAACCAAGGCACCCAGCCACCCACCAGATGTGTGAGTGAGCCCGTCTTGGGCCTTCTGTCCTGGCCAGCCTCCAGCTGAACGCAGCTGCATGCATGAGCCTGGGCAAACCCAGCAGAAGACCCACCAGCTAACCCAGACAATCATGAGAAACAATTCATCATTATTACCTTAGGCCACAGCATTTTAGGATGATTTGTTCCATAGCAAAAGCTAACTGTTATTTTAAGCCAGTTACCACTGAGGGCAACCAGAGCCCAATCCTGCAGGGGAACTCTGGGAGACAGTGTAGACCAGGCCTCAGTGTTACCTCGATCAAGGGAAGGGAGAGCTGGGGTACTTATTCACCACCTCCCCGCCCGTCATTGGTTGAGAGCTGCTCCACAGGCATTAGCTCCAGCACTTCCAGTTTGCCCCACACACAGGCCAAGCATGTTCCCCACGTCCAGTGAGCTGTGCATTGTCACAGTAAGCCGACTTCAGGGTGTGGCGGTGAATGCAAGGGCTCTGGCCATAGCACTAACAGGGCCTTCTCCAGTGCGTAGCCCAGAGCCCTTTGCAGAACCTTCTTTTCCATTAATTAAACTAGAGTCAATGCCTGTCAGTTGCCTCCTGGAACCCTGGCAGGTGAATGTATTTCTCCATTGCAGTCCTTCCTGGCTACCAGCTGACTTGGCCCCTCTCTATTCTGCGGTCCATTTTCCACAGTGGATTGGCTTTGCCAACCTCCATTTCCCCAGACGGCAGTGTTCTTTCAGCCAGGTGGTCACTAAGTGGCCTGCACATGGGCTGCCTGCAGCCGGGAGCCTGGTTGGGCCAAAGTTCAGTCGCACCCAGGGTCATGGAGAGTGTACAGGCACCATGGCCGATCTGCCCAGTGAGGTGGGGGAGAGGCATTCGTGTCTGGATTCCTGCCCCTGCCCCATCTCACTGTGGGTCTTTGCCCATTGTTCCTCAATTCAGAACCTTGGGGACATGGAGCTCTCCATCTGCAGTGGGGGTTCCTGGTACCCAAAAGTACTTGCCCTTCCTTCAGGTTCCCCACGACACCCCTAAACCCCCTAATGCCACATAGAATTGAGATGCATGCCTGTACTCCAAACTGGAACCTGACATGCATTTTCCCACATACGTCACGCTCTAAATGGTGACCAAGCGCAGTTAACGTTGCATTGCTAATGATAAACTCCAGGAACACTATGAGTTAAATAGGAATTTGTGGACTGGCCTGAAAAACCAACCACCATTTATAACTTGGTTTCTATGGGGAAATGCATTATGAGTTCCAAACAACTGGCTCACATAGAGAT
This sequence comes from Homo sapiens, assembly GCF_000001405.40. Taxonomy (NCBI): domain Eukaryota; kingdom Metazoa; phylum Chordata; class Mammalia; order Primates; family Hominidae; genus Homo; species Homo sapiens. Next base: position 46,313,341 of record NC_000018.10, on the reverse strand, counting down.
TTCTGGAACACAGCCTGGTCGACACGTTGGGAACTGTAGGTGGCTTCTCCGTATACCCAATTAACATGGTCATTGTAGGCAGTTAACGGTGGGCTCTCGCTCCAGGCTTGGCGAGCCCTGAAGAAAGGTGTGGGATACTCCAGGCAACCTCGTGGAGTACTCTACTCCTTCCTTCTGGAAGCTGGAAGTGACCTCGGAGCTGAGGGGGACGCGAAAGGCCACCTTGCTCTCCAGGATAACATTCCTGACTGGCTCTCCTTATATGCTTCCAAGCCCAAGGACCTTGCTGCCTCACAGAGATTATGGGGCCACCTGTCACTATCCAACAATTCTTTCTCTACTAGGCTGAAATCTACACTTCTCTTTCTAACCCCCCCTACCCCAATTCCACCCTTCAAACCTTGCTCAAGCATTAACTTCTCTGTGAAGCCCTTCAGCTGCTGTAACAAACAAGCCACAAGTGTTTCAAATTAGATCTCCTTATTAAATACTGGATATTCCTGGCTGGCAGGCAGGCAGCATTTCCCACCTGGTAAGTTAGGGTCCTCAGCTCCTGCTAACCTGCCAGCCTCCCCTGGGCAGGTGGGAAGGAGAACAGAGAGAAGGCATACATGCTTCTCAACAGCCAACATATCTTATCTTGGAAGTGACCCAGTATTACTACTCAGTGTCATTGGCAAGAACCAGTCACATGGAAAAGTAATGATCATCACTCTTATTTGGTAGGCATTCAGTGTGTGCCTGGCTTTGTCCTGAGAACTTGACGCTGTTAACTCTATTAGCCCTCTTTCACCCTAGGATTGAGTTCTATTGTCATGCACTATATTACAGACAGGGACGTTGACACCCTGAAGTTAAGTGACTTGCCCAAGGTCAGAACTAGGATGTGCGGGAGCTAGGCTGCAAATGCGCATACTCCGGCTGCAGAGCTGGAACATACTGGAACAAACTGCCCTGCTTGGGACACGTAAGAGGTCTTCAGTCTTGAGCACTGTATTTATTGTAAAGACATACAGCACCCTTCCATTCAAGGGAAGGAGGAGAGGAAAGGGAGCATGAAGACTAGTGGCTTCTTCAAGGCTGGAGAGGAGAGGAAAGGCTCCCCTAGAAATTAAGGGAGCCTGAACCCTAACTTGGATGATGGCCTGGGTCCCTCGCTTCCCGGGTGAGAAAGCAGCATTCATGGGGCAGTGTGGGTCTAAGGGCTGTGGGCTCACCTCACCACCACCTGGGTGCACCCCTGTCAGCCACTTGTTGCCAGAGGGTGGCACAGCAGCTGTGCCCGAGCACCCCCCAACCCCACACCCAACTTCTGCTCTCTGCAGCCAAGAGGCTCTGAGACAGGAGAGGGGAGGCCGACCGGGGCCAAAGACCCCAGTGGGCTTTTCTGCAGGGACCTGCAGCAAATCCCCAGCCTCTATCCCCTTCCTCCTTCTCCTCCTCCTCCTCCTCCTCCTCCGCCACATCCCACAGCATGATCCAGACCAGCTCCAGACCAGAGGCCCCTCACCCACCCACAAGGCTCCTCCTTTCCAACCAGTGGCCCCTGGGTGGCTGAGAGACCAGGGCTGGGGAAGAAGACTGGAGGAGTGTGGGCCCCACTGTTAGGTTGGGGGACAGGTGTGGGCTTAGGCTGAGACGGTGAAGGCAGACAGAGTAGGCAGGAAAGTGTTTAGGGGCCAGGCCCGGGATTTTCTTTGTCACCTCCCCCAAGAGCTCTGAGCAAGGAGCACCATGATCCGATTTGCTTGTTAGATCAGGCTGGCAGCAGGTAAGAAAAGTGAGGCTCTGAGGTCTTAAGAGGCTACTAAGATATTAAAATATACATGATAGGAAGATATGAGATTTGAGCCTCCCTTTTTATGTGTCCAGTGGCCCTGTAGTTGCAACTCTGTCACAGGGACTCAAGAAAGCTATCTGGTCTCTAGCCCTGTAAAGGCTGCAGCTCCCAGCTGTCACTTCATGAACACTCTATCCTTAGTCTGGCTCCCAGCATCTTCCAGTTGCTCCCTTCCTTGGCTTACCACACCCTTAATTTCAGGGTGCCCTGCATGAGCCCCTTATCCCCTGGACCAGTCCTCACCACCAGGCAGAGGAAGAGCTTTGGGCAACAAGTCTCTAACAAGGACTCAGGCCTAGGGCGGGCGGAGGGGACAGGTGCCTGGAGGATAGGCAGCATTCCCCTGCCCTCTGAAGGAGAGCGTGACGGAAGATGAAAGCTCCCCGGCAATGGGACCAGTGTGTACTGAGTGACACAGATGAGGGGCACAGACAGAGTCCAAACAGAGAGAGGACAAAGTGTGCCAGGCGTATGGGGGCTTCGGGGAGGAGGGTGACTTGAGCTTCAGCTCTGATTTGAAATGCAACAGGACAACACTCTCCCCTCTGTCCCCGCCTCCATGGGTGAGTCTCCTGGTGGAAAGATCCCAGCATCACCCTCCCCCTGCTCTCAGCACTTCAAAACAGGGACCCATGCTGAAGGAGAGGCCCAGGCCCAGCTCTGCCACCCTCCCCATTCAGGGGCCTGCAGTGGCATCTGGAGCCAGGGGATTTTTCATCAGCTTTTGCTCAGTAGGTAGCTCCCAGCTCTAACCTTCCCCTTTGAAATCTGCATGTCATTCACTTTTTCACCTACTCCACACGCACAGGCCTGGGCCCACCTGCACACCACCCACCCCCAAACCTCACAGTCTTTGTGCCCCACCCCAGGGTGAGCATGACACAGATGCTGCAGTTGCCAGCCTCTCCCTCGGGAACCTTCCTCCAAGGGCCCCTATTCTCCCTGCCTACTTCAGGTCTCTTCACATAAGCCTTTGGTTAGCGGACCATAGCAAGTCACCTGACCTCTCAAGGCCTGCATTTCCTCATCCAGGAAGTGGGATCATCATACCTACAGCTCAAATTGTTGTGAGAGGCACAGTGCCCAGCAAATGCCAGGACCTCCTGGGAGTGTGCACCCACTCCCTTCACCCAGCGGACAGATCTAGACATGAGCGCCTGAATCCCTGCCATCAAAAGGATTCAAATCTCTAGTGTCTTCTCTCAAGGTAAAGTCATGGCAGGGCTTGTCCTGATAAATATGATCTGGATTCCAGAAGGCATTGGTGGGAGCATGGGAGGGCACAGAGCCCTTCACAGAGCTTTAAAGCAAACCGGGTTTCCAGGTAACGCCACTTGCTCCATCGTGTCTGTAATCCACTCTCACCTGTGCAGGAAAGTTTTCATTTTCCCGTATGATTTTCTCTGGGGTTTATTTCTGGCTTTTAGTTCTGTGCCTGTTCTGGATCCTGCAGTTTACTCCTTGTGCTCTGTGTGCACCCCCAATTCCATTCTTTGGAGTTAGTTCAAGGGTGGGGGGAAGTTCATCACTTCTATCTCATACCCCCAGGCGGCCTGGGGATGCTGATCGCAGCCTCCTGGCATTTTGCACAGTGTCAGATTCTTGCTAACTTGGTGCCCCCGCTGCACCTACTCTCAAAACCCTTTGCCTCCCATAGCACAAAAATGCCCAGAAATTCCTGTATGTGTATTCCCTAGCCATAGAAAATGGATATCGTAGAAAAACACTTCATAGCATGGAGAGATGTTCACTGTATGTTGCTGAGTGAAAGGGCAGGTTACAAAGCAGTACATTTAGGTGATCCAAGTTTTATTTTTAAAATATATGTATAGGCTGGGCACAGTGGCTAATGCTTGTAATCCCAGCACTTTGGGAGGGCGAGCGGGGAGATCACCTGAGGTCAGGAGTTTGAGACCGGCCTGGCCAACATGGAGACCAGCCTGGCCAACGTGGCAAAACCCCATCTCCACTAAAAATACAAAAACTACCAGGGCATGGTGGCACATCTATAGTCCCAGCTACTCAGGAGACTGAGGCACGAGAATTGCTTGAACCCGGGAGACAGAGGTTGCTGTGAGCCAAGATCGTGCCACTGCACTCCAGCCTGGGTGACAGAGCAAGACTCTGCCTCAAAAAAATAAACACATAAATAAAAATTTAAAAAAATAAAATACATCTACACACATATATATCTGAAAATAAGAAGCTACCATAGTGTTCATAGGGTTGAGTAATTACAGGAGAGTTTTAATTTTCTTTTTCTTGCATTGTAGCTTTTAAAAACACATTTTATATAGGTATTTGTTATCAGATTAAAAATGTTTCATAGGCACCCAAAACCTTAATTTTACCATGTTCACTTTCCTGCCCCCTAGAAAACACCAAAGGCTCCTTCTAGCCCACATGATAAAGTCAGTGAGAGACCTTTCATGCAGGAAGCATCTGGGTTAGTGATTTTTAACTATTTGGGAGCTGCAGACCTTTTAGAGAATCTGATTAAAATTGTGGGCCTCTCTCCAGAAAAATAGCATAGATGCAAAACGTATGTGATTTGGCAAGAGGTTCTTAGACTCCCATGAAATCTGTCCATGAACTTCAGGTTAAAAGCTTCTGATCCAAGTAAATCCCCAGGTTTTATGGATGAGGAAGCAGGCCAGGAAAGTCAAACCAATTTACCAAAGTTTCCAGCAGGCTAGTAGCATTTAGATTCCTTTAAGGCCTTCTAGAGTTTGGCTCCCACCAAACCCACCTCCCACTACTGCCCTACACAGACAAATTGGTCTCCACTCCACCAGTTTCATCTTCCCCAGGCTTTCCTCCAGCATTGCTCCTCATCCCTCTGCTAAATGCCCTTTCTTCTCCCCTCTACATTCCTAATCCTCCTCATCAGGATCAAGACTGGCCTCAGCTGCATATAACTGAATCCCTCCTCCCCCAGTAAAAGTGGCTCAAACATCCAATGGTATATTCTATAATATCTGGGTAGAGTAAGTCCAGGGGTGAGCAATCCAGGGCTGGTGTGGAAACTCCATAAAATTGTCAGGAACCCAGGCTGCTTCTGTCTTGTTGCTCTGGCATCCCCATACACCCACTCCATACCCCAAGTATGCCTTGCAGACCAAGATGTCTACTAGGAAGAAAAAGAAGGACAGAGAGAACAGCAATGAATGCATATCTCCCCTGTGAGCCACTTCTTTTGAAGGAAACTTCCTCAAAGTCACAGACACCACCTCTGCTGCATCTCATCCACAGAACCCAGGCTCATGTCCACATCCAACTATAAGGGAGGCTGGGAAACTCTTCTCAACTGAGCACAGGGTTCTGTTACTAGGGAAGGAGAGTGCAATGGATATTGGCTAGGCAACCTTCAGCCTTCACTATGCCATCTCTAAAGCTGTGTTCAAATCCCACTTCATTTATAAAGACTTGCCTGCTCATTCCCAACTGCTAGTAGTCTTAGCTTCCAATGAAACCTTCTAATTTGTGTCTAAGCTCTTTATTTTCAATTTCCCATACCCAGCTACTATTTAAATATTTTATTGCCATTTAAAGTGGCTTTCTCCTACAAGATATCAAAGTTTGTATAATGCAGGTAAAGTAGTGCTTTGAGGGAAGTTTATAACACTAAATGTTTTTATTAGAAAAAAGAAAGATCTCAAATAGTAAAATAAGCTTCCACCTTAATAAACTAGAAAAAGAAAAGTAAATTAACCCAAGGCAAGCAGAAGGAGAGGCATAAAGAACAGAAAAACAACAAACAAAATCAATGGAAACAAAGCTGGTTCTTTGAAAAAATTAATAGAACTTATAAACATCTAGCCAGACATACTAGCAGAGAGAGAGAGAGAGAGAGAGAGAGAGAAGACACAAATTACCAAGATGGGAATTGAAAGAGGAGACAGCACTACAGACTTCACAGACATTAAGAGGATAATAAGGGAATGTAGGTAATTTCTTACACAAACAACCAAATTTACTCAAAAAGAAGCAGATAACCTAAATAGTCATATATCCATTAAATAAATTGAATCCATGGTTTAGTACCTTTCAATAAAGATAACTCCAGGGCTTCCCATTCTGTCAAACATTTAAGGAAAAAATAATACCAATTCTACATAATATCTTCCAAAAATAAGAGGAAGAAATACTCTCCAACTCATTTTACCAGGCCAGAATTACCCTAATGACAAAACCAAAGACATTACAAGAAAAATAAATTAAAAACAAATATCTATCCCTCATGAACATAGATGCAAAAATCCTTAACAAAATGGAAAATCGAATTCAGCAATTAAAATTAAAAAGATAACGTACTAAGACCAAGTGAGTCTTATCCTAGAAATGTAAGACTGGTTCAGCATTTGAAAATCAATGTAATTCACTGTATTGACAAAGTAATAAAGAAAAACAATGCGATTATTTTATTAGATATAAAAAGGCATTTGACAAGATTCAGCATGCCTTCATAACAAAAACTCTCAGCATACTAGGTATGGAAGAAACTTCCTTAACTGGATAAAGAGCATCTGTAAAAACCCTACAGGCCGAGCGCAGTGGCTCAGGCCTGTAATCCCAGCACTTTGGGAGGTGAAGGCAGGCAGATCACGAGGTCAGGAGTTGGAGACCAGCCTGGCCAACAAGGTGAAACCCTGTCTCTACTAAAAATACAAAAATTAGCCAGGCATTGTGGTGCATGCCTGTAATCCCTGCTACTCAGGAGGCTGAGGCAGGAGAATCACTTGAACCCAGGAGGCAGAGGTTGCAGTGAGCAGAGATCGCACCATTGCACTCCAGCCTGGGCAATAGAGCGAGACTGTCTCAGAAAAACAAAAAACAAAAAACAAAAAAAAAACCCCTACACCTAACAGCATACTTAATGGTGACACACTAGACGCTTTCCTCCTAACATCAAGAATAAGAGAAGGGTGTCCTTTCTCACCCCTCTTATTCAACATTGCACTGGAATTTCTACTCAATACAATAGGCAAGGCAAAGAAATGAAAGGCACATAGATGGGAAATAAATAAATAAAATGGTCTCCACTCACAAATAACATGATTATCTCTGTGGGAAATCCTAAAGAATCTACAAAATGCTCCTAAAACTCAAAAGTAAGTTTAGCAAGGTTGCAGGATACAAGATAAACATACAAAAATCAATTGTAGGCTGAGCATCGTGGCTCATGCCTCTAATTGTAGCACTTTGGGAGGCTGAGGTAGGAGGATCACTTGAGGCCAGGATTTCAAGACCAGCCTGCGCAACATAGTGAGACGCCCCCTGCCGCCGCCTCTACAAAAAATGAAAATGAAAAATTAGCCAGGCATGATGGTGCATGCCTATAGTTCTAGCTACCTGGGAGGCTGAGGTGGGAAGATTACTTGGGCCCAGGAGTTCAAGAGTTCAAGGTTGCAGTGAGCTATGATCACACCAAGGCACTACAGCCTGGGTGATAAAATGAGACCCTCACTCTAAAATAAAATAAAATAAAAATCAATTGCATTTTATGTACCCCAGCTATGATATGAAAAACTACAATTCAAAAAAATTTTAAGGTACTATTTACTATAGCACCCAAAAATGAAATTCTTAAGTATAAATCTAATAATATATATGTAGGATCTGTCTGCTGAAAACTATAAAATACTACTGAAGGAAATCAAAGATAAGTGGATAGACACAGAGTATTCATGGGAAAAAAGACTCAATATTGTTAAAATGTCAGCTATCCCCAGATTGATCTATAGATCCAACACAATCTCTATTAAAACCCAGTGGGAGTTTTTTGTAGATATAAACAAGATGATTACTTTTTCCTCCTGAGGCAGGAGCATTGCTTGAACCCGGGAGGCGGAGGATGCAGTGAGCTGAGACCATGCCACTGTGCTTCAGCCTGGGTGACAGAGCCAGACTCCGTCTCAAAAATAAAATAAAATAAAGGACAGCACATGGAATTTTGGGGTGATGGAACTGTGTCGGGCCACTGGTGGTAAGTATATGACTGTATGCACTGGCCAAAACCCTTAAAACGATACACCACAAAGAGTAAATGCTTATATGTAAAAGTTTTTTAAATTAAATGTTTCCTTCTAGCCTTTCCCATTGTAAATTTCCTCAAAATGGAGACTGTAATTGACATTCTCTGAGCAGCCCAGCTCCAGAGCTCTAGCTTTGGGGAAAACAGGAGGTAATTTAGAAGAGCAAGGCTGGAAAATGGGTGGAGAAAGGAGGAAACCACTAGAAATGGAAATGCAAATCCCATCATTTCCCATCATTGCTAACTTTTCCTGCAGCCTTGGCACCAGGCATGGCCCAGGTTGAAATACGGGAGAAAACGGAATTTCCCTTTGGATGCCTTCTCTCTTTTCCTGTCTTTCCCTTCCAGGGACCTTCTGCCTCCATCAGGGAATCCATACAGGGGCCCCAGGTGCTTCTATCTCAGGGATTTTCATATTAAAAGATACTGCAGGATATGACAGATCTTATCTGCATCCATGAAGGAATTTTGGACCTTAGTTCAAAAGTGTGATGAGCATGATGAGTATGATGGGGAAAGGGGAGGGAGGAACACTGTGTAATACCCAAAATTCCACCCTAAATTTGAGGCATCGTTTCCGGCATTGCCTCCTGCCCCCATCCCCGGGGAGAGGAAGTGCTGTAATCAGGTCTAGGCATAAGCCAGTTTATTAGATCCTCTTAAAAGTAATAATAGGGGAGGTGGCCAGGCACAATGGCTCACGCCTGTAATCCCAACACTTTGGGAGGCCAAGGCAGTTAGATTGCTTGAGTTCAGGAGTTCGAGACCAGCCTAGCCAACATGGCAAAACCCTATCTCTACCAAAAATACAAAAATTAGCTGGGCATGGTGGCAAGCACCTGTAGTCCCAGTTATTTAGGAGGCTGAGGCGGGAGGATTGCTTGAGCCCAGGAGGCAGAGGTTGCAGTGGGCTGAGATTTTGCTACTGCACTCCAGCCTGGGTGACAGAGATCCTGTCTCAAAAAAAAAAAAAAAAAGAAAAAAGAAAGAAAGAAAGGGGAGGTTACAGGCCTCTGACTTCACCACCTTCCGCTGCTCCTTCCCCTGACCCCTGCTTTCATTTGGCTCCTGGGCAGACCTGCGGACCTACTTCCCACAGCTTCTCCAGTCCTGGGCCAGAGCCTGGCCAGATGCCCCTAAAACATAGTGGATTAGGCTCTTTCTCTGCCACACAAGAGCAATCCTCAGATCCTCAGCTGCTTAGACAGCTGCCCCCTCCCCACAGCTGGAGCAAGGTGTGAATCTGGGGCTCAGCACTCTGGGAGAGATGCTTGCAGGCCTGGAGCCCTACCTCCTCCCTGGGCAAGGCTGAAACCCGGGCCAGGAGGTGGGAGGTAGCGGGTGACCTCTGTTGCAACTGAATAATGCAATTCCAGAGAGAGTCCCTGGGAGGGACAGAGCATCCAGGGAGGGTGTCTTTAAAGGCCCCCCTGCCCACTGGGTTTGTTTTCCAGGGCTGCCGTAACAAATCACCACAAACTTGATGTTTAAAACAACAAAAAGTTATCCTCTCACAATTCTGGAAGACAGAAGTCCAGAATCAGGATGTCAGCAGGACTGGACTTCCTCCAAAGGATCTAGGAGAGAATCCTTCCCATCTCTTCCAGCTCGTGGTGGCTCCAGGCTTCCTTGGCTTGTGGCCACAGCACTCCAGTGCCTGCCTCCATCTTCCCCTGGCTTCTCTGTGCCCTGGGTTTTCTCTCCTCTTCTGTTTCCATAAAGACACTTGTCATTGGATTTAGGGACCACCTAGGTAATCCAGGATGACTCATCTCAAGATGCTTAATTTAATTACATCTGGAAAGACCCTTTTTTCAGATAAGGTCACATTCACAGGTTCTGAGGGCTAGGACATGTGCATGTCTTCTGGGGGGCCCTCATTCACCCCACTACACTCATCAACTCCCAGAGGCACCTCACACCCTCTCTGCCTTCATTTCCCATAGCTCCTCTGAGGCGGGTCACCTTTCCTCTCATTTTGCTGGGGAGAGGCCTGGTTTATACCTGTGCCTCACTGTAGTTATCAATAATGTCTCTTTTCACTCTCAGAAGTTGAAAGCAAATTCCACGGTGACCCTGTGCAAGGGTCAGACTCCTCCTAGCCACCTTCACAGGCAGTGTCTCACACCATCCTCCCTTTCCGGGAGTGGTAGCAAGGCAAGTCTTGCTCCATTTTGCAGCCGGAGATGCCGAGACTCCCAGGTTAAGGACCTGCTCAAGGTCATGTAGCTGGTGGCAGAGACATGACTGGAGGCTGGAAGGAAGGGCTCCTGACTTGGTGCGCTGTATGAAAGACACTTGCTCTCATGATGAGCACCCTTGAGCCAGCTGATGCCATCAGTCAGGGACCGCTGGAAAGACACCTGCAGCCAACCAGAGCTACATCTATTGATGCAGCTGTGACGGGGGAGACCACACCCCTGGGGAGCTATGGCGCATCCCGGTTGGAGGGTTGTGTTAGAAGGAAGTTGCAGGGTTTGTGTTTCTTTGGTGACTTTGGGAAGGGTTCGGAGAAGTGGGGATTTCCTCTCCACTGGTTGCAGTCAGGGAGCAGGAGAATTCTATGATCGAGGACATTAGAGTATCTTTAGGATTCTGACCTAGAAGCGGAGGAATGAAGCAGTGCTAACGCTGTATTGGGTAAAGAAGCCGTAGCCCCTCCCATCGGCTGGGGGAGGCAGATGTTGGTTTATTTCTGTGGTTCAGCTAGTATTCTTGTTTTTGTCTGTGCTCGTGTGGAGGGGTCTTATTTCTGTCGTGGTCTGTCACGGTCACAAAGCAGCCTTGTTTGACATTGTTGTTCTTTGTCATTGTTTCTGTTCAAGGAGGAGGGCCGGCCAGCTCAGCCTCTCAGAGGCTGCCTTTCTCTTTTGCAAACTTTTGTTAAGTTTCCTCTTAGTTTCAATTCAGGTTTGGTTTCCTTAGAGGGTGGGGATTGAAGAAGCTGAAAAAGCTAGTGGAAGTGCTCCCGGGGAGCTAAAGATGATGGGGTGGGATGGGAATGGGATGGGGCAGAGTGGGGCGGGGTGGGATGGGGTGCGATGGGGTTGAATGAATGGGAGGGGATGGGATGGGTCAGGACCGGACCTGAGGGAACAGGATGGGAATCACTCATGGACCATACTCAGGATCTCATGTACCCTCCCCATGCAGCTGTCTCACCTTCTACCCACTCCACAGAGAGTGGAGAACAAGGAACATGCTCCTTTGCCCGGTGCTGGTTGAAGGGGGGTCTGCAAGAGGTCTGGCGGGTGGACCTATTTCTGGTCAGCTGGGTAGTCCACCTCCATCTCAGGACGACTACAGACATTCTTCCCCGGATCATAGATCATTAGTGGGGGTCTCCCTCAACCCCTCCCTATCATCTCCTGGCATCTTCCAGGAGGAAGCCCCCAAGTCTAGCTGCAGAGATGATACACTGGGGCAAATATTAGGATGTATGTCCAAACGCCCTACTCCTGTGGTGGTCGAGGGGAAACCAAACTAATGGAATGCCTGGGCCAGCCTCATGGTGGGTGGAGCAGCTGGGAGGCAGCAGGGGAGAATGAAGACTTTTACTGGCCGACCGGGGCATGGTTTTCATTCTGCTCTCCTGGGCTGAGCAGCCGCCCTCCGGGGGACAGGGGATGGGGAGGCGTCCAACACCCCCTCTCCCTGGGCTTAGATCAGAGCACCTTTTCTTTATTGTTTTGCTGATGGCGGTTCTGCAGATACAACATCACACGTGAACATCCCTGGGTTTGAACATGAGCCCCACCTGCTCTCGCCCACAGGGCATTTGTCCTACAGCCCTCCAGGTGTACTGGAAGGTATCTGAGCACCTGGGACCAGCCCACCTGTCTCTTTCATTCCGCTGAGGAATGAGCTGAACAATTCCTGCCTGCATCTGACTCCAAGAAGAAATAAACCAATCAGGACACATGGAGACAGTTTCTCCCTGAACAGGGTTGACATCTCCTTGGCGGGGGGCCTGAAGGAGGTCAGGAGTTATAGTAAGAAGTGTCCCCCTCTGCTCAACAGCAACCCAGTCACTTCTTCAATGTCATCCTGTCCGCCATCTCCCCCACACACCTGCTGGCCAGGGTGAGTGAGCCCCACTTGCCACTTTGTGTGTGTGCGGCATCTCCTGCTGCTCCCCACTCCTAGTGAAAGTCCTTGTTCTGTCTGCAGGCTCCCTTGTGCCCTCCCCCTGGCCAAGCTACAGCCCCTGGAACGCGTGGAGAACAGCTCTTCTGTTTGCCAAGCCACACTCACCACCATCACCGCACTAGCAGATGGCACACACACTGGTGAGGCAGGGAGTTATTGTAAAGATACGAAAACCAAGGCACAGAGTAGAGAAAGTCCCATGGCATGGCTAGGGAGAAATGACAAAGTGCTATTTGGGTCCCTTAGTCATTCATTCATTCATTCATTCATTCATTCATTCATTCAACCTTTTGGTAGAGGCAGTGGGTAAGGACAAAAGATTTTAGGGTCAGGCAGACCTGGCTTCAAATTATCCCAAGATCACTGGCAGATACAACCAGTAATTACCCTCACTGAGCCTCAGTTTCCTCATTAGTAAAATGGGAATGACGAAGTTCTGGTTTCAGAGTGTTGTGAGGATTAAATGAGACAACAGATGCAGGGTACTGGCAATGTCCAATGCACAGTTAAGTGCACAATACATGAGGGATCTTATTTTTTTTAACTTTTATTTTGAAATAATTTCAAACAGAAAAGTTGCACTACTACTTTAGCATGTATTTCCTAAGAACAAGAATATTCTTCTGCATAACCAGTGTTTAATATACTATAAACATAATTTACATTTGTCACATTGATACAATTATTTTTTCCTAATCTGAAATCCATATTCCAGTTTTGTCAATTATCCCAATAATGTTCTTACTATACTGCAAAAAACAAGCCTCCTAAGAGATCAAGACTTGCTTTTGACTCTTTTTGTCTGCAGACTGAGGGTATGTGATCAAAGTACTGTGTTCAAAAATTACTTGGGGCTGGGTGCAATGGCTCATGCCTGTAATCCCAACCCTTTGGAAGGCCGAGGCAGGAGGATCGCTTGAGCCCAGGAGTTCAAGACCAGCCTGGACAACATGGTGAAACCTCATCTCTACAAAAAAAAAAAAAAGTTAGCTGGGGATGGTGGTGCACACCTGTAATCCCAACTACTTGGTAGGCTGAGGTAGGAGGATCACTTGAGCCTGGGAGGTGGAGGTTGCAGTGAGCCGAGATCATGCCACTGCACTCCAGCCTGGGTGATGGAGTGAGTGAGACCCTGTCTCAGAAACAAACAACAACAACAAAAAACAACAACAAAAAACCAAACAACAAAAAGAATTACTTGGTTTCCTTTTTTTCCCCTTTACTGTGGTTATTTTAGTCATTTGAAATACATTTGGATTCATTTGTTTCCATTTAAACTCAATTTTAGGGTTTGCCACATCCTTGTTGATTTACTATTCGTTTTTTAATATATATAATATTTATATAATCTAAAAATGGAAACTACTCAGAGAAGCATCACTGTCACAAACTCCTCTCCAGTCTTCGTCCCCCACCTCACCCTTCAAAGATAATCAATTTTATTTGTTTCTAGTTTGTCTTTCCTGTGCTTCTTTTTGGAAAACAAATTAGCTGACATATACAATTTTTCTTATTTCCTGTATTTCTTACATAAAAGACAATATGCTACATATTCTCTTTGCATTTTGCTGTTTTCACATAACATTTCCTGAAAATCACTCCGTATCTGTTCAGAGATCTTCCCCGGTCATTCTTATGGCTGGACAGCACCCCGCTGTGTGGCTGTCTCCTAGTTTATTCAACTCATCTCTTATGCTCTGACATTTAGGTAATTTCCTATATTTTTGCCATTACAAATAATGCTGCCGTGAGCATGTGTACTTACGTATTTTCATACTGTTGAGATGTGTCTTCAGGGTAAATTCCTAGAAGGGGGTTACTGAGTGGAAAGGTAAATGTCTATGTAGTTTTCTCAGATGTCGACAAATTATTTTTCATGGGATTTTGCCATTTTTCATTTCCACCAGCAATGAATGTCTAAGAGGACCTGTCTCCCCACCGCTCTCAGCAGCGTGGATTGTCAAGCGATTGCATTTCTGCCTATCTGATGAGTGACTTTTAATTAGCATTTCTCTTAATATGAGTGAAGCTGAACATCTTCTTCTTTGTTTAAGGGCTATTTTTGTATCTTTTATGTGTGTGAATTGTCTGTTCCTATCTTTTTACATTTTCTTATAGGATTTTAAGTCTGTTTTCCTTCAGTTTGTCCATATTCTTCACTTGTTAGGGACAGCTCATTTTATTATTACTGTGTATTGCGTGCCTTCTCTGTGCCAGGTGCCATACTGGGTACTAGGAGTCCTGGGTCTGGGACAGCCATAGTTTAGAAAGAAAGATAAACTATGACACCACTACCTCAGGGTTGTAATAGGGGCATGAAAAAGGTGGGAGGGAATTCTCTGCCTGATAGAATTCAGGAAGGCTTCATGGAGGAGGTGACCTGTAGAAAGCTAACTATCAAAACTACAAAACATGGAAAGGCAAATAGACCCAGTGGGGAAAGGCCAGAGCCCCGCTCCATGACTCTCTCCAGCACCTTTGACACCCAGGCTTGGAACTGAGCTCAGACTCTCCCACCTAGACCTCCTCCAGGGTCACCCCAGTATCCTTCCCTGGAGTCCCAGCTCTGCCTGGTGTGTGGTCCACCAAGGTCTGCCAGCTGCCGCAGCAACTCTCACTTACCCACGTGGGTGAGGACCCAACTTCTCAGCTGTTTCAGGCACAACTGGCCTCACTATCTTGTTTGTGGGTCTGAAGACGTGCGTGCACACACGCATGCCTGTGTGTCCAAGAGAAGAGTGAGAGAGTACATAGAGGCTCATACCCAGGAGAAATGTAATCCATTACCAAGAGGTCCTGTTTCCTCCACGTGCCTGAAATCCGTGGGTTTGTAGCTAAAATTAGCCTTCACCTTCTCTCTGCGACCTGGGACTTTTACTATCCCAGTCTGGGAGGATCCACATCCCTGTCTCCCCCATTTTTCCCCCCAGGAAAGAATCCAGGAATGGGTTCATGGACTGGCCAGTCTGTGAGGGATCAAGCTGTCAAAGGCCTGGCCTGCAGTGCTCAGGGAGGGCTTCTGAGCAGGCAGCGGGTCTGAAGTAGACTGGGAAAATTGAGGGGGATTCAGAGAAGCTGAAGAGGCAGTGAAGAGTGTGAGCAACACAGGAAGACATGAGTCCTGCACCCGGCACAGTGTGCACATCCAAAAAAAGTCAACAGCATTTGTAGGATGAATGGGTAGATGGGTGGATGGATGGAGGAGTCCAGCAACTATGGAGGCCTAAGCAGGGACAGACTCAACAGGGGTAATGATGTGTGCAGGTACAAGCCTGGGAATGCTGAGTATTAGGGCAGGTAAACAGCTGAGATAACCAGGCCCTAGATGCAGAGAGGCTTGAACACAGTAGAAATCTATTTCTCCTGTCCGAGTCCAAGGCACAGTCCAAGTCCCGTCAGGGGGCAGCTGTCTTCCTTGTGATGATTCAGGCACCCAAGCTCATTCTCTTCTGTGGTTCCACCAACCCTGGCCTAAGGCCTTGTGGTCTGCAACTGTGCAGTGGAAAGAAAACTTAGAGGAGGCACACCCACTTCTTAAAAGCCCCAGCCTGGGGTGGGGAGGGGGCGGGATTAGAGAGATGTCTATCAAAGGATATGAAATTTCAGTTAGGAGGAGAAATACATTCAAGAGAGCTATTGTACAACAGGGTGACTATAGTTAATAAAATGCTGGACACTTGAAAATGGCTAAGGAAGTAAATTTTAAGTGTTCTCACCACATACACAAAAATGATAAGTGCATGTGGTAATACATATATTAATAAGTGTGATTTAGCCATTCCACAATGTTTACATATTTCAAAACATCATGCTGTATAGCATAAATATATGCAATTTTTATTTGTCAATAAGTAAATAAATAAAACCCAGCCCACAAATTCCCACCAGGGACACACATCATTTCCACTCATGCTCCTGGAGGTGGTGGCCACTCCTCCACGTACTTGGGGCCCTGAGCCCTTTTCTCTTTAATGGGTCCTGCCAAGTGACAGGCCTCAGGCCCCTCCCCTGCTGACCATGGCTTCTATAAACCTGAGCCTGCTCTCTTGGGTCCTCCAAGAGGTTTGCTGGCCTGCACCTCCATATTTCCTGGTGACAAAAACTGCAACCTTGGGCTTTCTTCACTGGGTAAATTTGGGCCCTAACCACCCCTTCCCTCATGGCTATGTGTACACAGGTGCTTGCCTGTGCATGCACACACACACACACACACACACACACACAAACACACACATGGGAACTGGCTGGCTCAGGAGGAGACTCCAGCCTGCCCACCACACTTGCCCCTAGAGGAGCCTCCTCCACAGGGCATGAAGAACAATGCCCAGCTCCAGGTTCAGACTCATGCCCCTTTCAAAGGTACTCAGAGAGACCAATCAAAGGAGTGTACGCAGGAGGTCTCGCATGCCCTCTTGCAGATGAAGGGGTCCAAACCAGCTACCCCTGCTTCCAGAGTGCACAGCACTCCTGCCCAGCCTGCTCAGCCTCTGGCTTGGTGCTTCTGGCTTCTGGTGCTCGCCTCCTTCAGGAAGCCTCCTGGATTGGCAGTCTCTGACCACAACCCACCATGCAAGACCTCAGTGAGGGCTCACTTATTTGGTTCATGCTTGCTTTGTGAAACGTTCTGGAGTCATTTAGTCTATGGGGCTCCTCTTCTTCATTGGAGAGTAACTCTCCAGTGCAGAGTGTGTGTAATTCTCCATCCTCTTTTTTTCTTTTTCTAGTTCAGGTATCACCCTGGAATCGTCTCGTACCTTCACATGGTCAAATTCTGACTCTCTCTGATTCCACTTGCAGGTGGCCTTGATACAGGGGCAGTGCGGCCACTGTAATGGCATGGGATCAGCTCAGACACACCTGTCCCTTCCTATGCACAGAGGGACTTCTTTTCTTTGTTTCTACCACGTTTTAAAGAGAACATTCTATCAGTCCTTTGCCCTTTGCCCTGCAAGCCATGAAACAGCCTTCAGGAAAAAGAAACACACACACACACACACACACACACACACACACACACACACACACACACACACGTCTGCTTTTAAAAAATGCCTAACTAAGACCTGGTGTGGTATGGCTCATGCCTATAGTCCGAGAGATTTGGTAGGCCGAGGCAGGAGAATCACTTGAGGCCAGGAGTTTGAGACCAACCTGGGCGACACAGCGAGACCCCCAACTCTACAAAAATATAAAATATTAGCTGAATGTGGTGGCGCACGCCTGTCCCAGCAACTCCAGAAGCTGAGGCGGGAGGATCACTTGAGCCCAGGAATTTGAGGCTGCATTGAGTTGTGATTGTGTTACTACACTCCAGCCTGGACGACAGAGTGAGAGACCCTATCTCAAAACAAACAAACAAAAAACACTGACCAAAACAATTTTCCATTTTTGAAAATCGTATAGGCTTTATTTTATGTGAAAAAAATATATATATATGTTAAATAAATCCAAATTTTATTCCCAGAGGAAACATTCAGAAGTGGCTTAAAGAGTTTGCTTGCTTTCATTTTTCTTCCTTTTTCCTCTCCCTCTCTCTCTCACTCCCTCTCTCTCTTTGTTCTCTGATTTCTTGTTGACCCCACTCCCTACTCTCTTCCTGTCTGCTCCATGGGGCACCTTGCTAACAGACTTCATGTTTTTATACATGCACATCCTCGTTTGGGGCACATTTATTTTAATTAATGTAAATGGGTTGTGTTGTGCATCTCACGCTGACTTTCTTCTCTCGGCTCTGTTTTAAGCTCCTCCATTTGGCCGTGCGTACATCAAATCTGTTACTTCTGACTGCTGTGTGTGGGGAGGAAGGAACACTGGCTTTGGCATCAGATGGATCCGAGGATAGAACAGGGAGGCTGGTGTCCAGGACACGGGATGTGTGAGGACCTGGGGGTTGAGTTAACTCAGAGGGCAGCACCAGAGGCCTTCAACACTAGAGCCCCTTCTGCCCTGCTCCAGCAGGGCCTTCCTCCTTGGTCACATTTATAAAATGCATGCTGTGGTTCTCATGTGTCCAGCCAGGGGCTGCCCAGTAGCCTGGCTGGATCAATTTCAGAGGGATTTGTTTGTTGGGGGTGGTGGCCGCGGCAAACACAGCAGAGAGTGTGGGACCTCCAGTAGCATTTCAGGGTACAGGAGGGAGTGATGGTAGGGACAGGAGGGATAATATGGAGTGACAGTTCATCTCATCAGCCCAGTTGGGCTCTGGGGACCCTGACTCTAAAGTGCTCTCATCCCTAATCCCTGGCGCAGGGAGGCAAGAGTGTTGGGAATAGGTGGGGTTAGATCTTCATTTCTGTCCCCTTCCTGCAAGCTCCCAGGACCAGGAAACAGAAAACCCCCAGACAAGGGCTGGAGACCTCAGGTTTGGGGCAGGAAGGGTCTGGCACACGGTCCATGCTCAAACACCGGAGTGGGTCCTCAGGCCTGCAGCCAGCCTGGCAGGATGGGCAGACGAGAAGGCTCCCCCTCAGTCCCCACCACCAAGGGCGCAACAGAAATCTGGTGACAGGGTTCTGAGTTCAAGTGCTGACTCTGCCTTTCTTGGCTCCAGGAGTGGGGGGTGGGGGGCGGTTGGCTCCCAGGGGAAGGGGACAGGGAGTGGATGGGCCTCAGAGGCTCTTGTGGCTGAGACTCCCTGGCAATCATCTCTCCTTTGCTGTTTGGTCATGCTTCCCTAGCCCCAGGGACCCAAGGGGTACCCCTGGGACTGCTGTGTGTGTGGCAGGGATGATGCCAAGCTCCCAGTCTCTTTCCAGTCTGAGCACTTGAGTAAGGAACATTTGAAGAAAGGGCTCTGGTGCCAGTTGCAAAATCACTACAAGGTATTGCCCCATCTTAAATGCGACACTTAATGGGTGTGGTTGACTGAGCCCTTTTCCCCTGCATGGAGGGCGCTTTCGTAGTGTGAGTGCCTGCACACCTTGGGGATCAGGGCTGCCAAAAAAGAGGGAAGAGGGGATTCTGGGGAGTCTGTGAATGTGCCTCCTTCACAGCCCTGCCAAACCCACCCCCAGCCCCCCAGCATCCTTCTCTGGTTCCAGGCTTCCCACCTGTTCATGCTGAAAAGGAATGCCTGTCTGTATGGCTCTCCCCTCACTGAGAACAGCCCCCAGAAGAGACAGAGCGCGGGTGACACTAGAGACTCTCCGGTTCCCCAAACCAGTTTCCCCAGCTTCAGACAAAGGAGGGTGGTCCCAGCTCCAGCCTGAAAGGAGATCTGGCTGGGCTGGATTTCCGGAGGAGCCTCTAGCCATTGGCATCTCGCCTGTGAAGGAGGGAGAAGAGTCTGCAGCTCGCTTGAGCCCCAGAGCAGAGAATATTCCTTCCCCTTCACCCTTGTCTGATGTCACCATTGGAAATAACAGCAGTGGCTAACATTCTTGAGTGTGGTGTGTCAGATTCTGTGCTAAGTGAGTTATCTCACCTGAGGTAAGGGCTTCCGTGATTTCCATTTTGTAGATAAGCAGGCAGAGGACTTCAGGGTCAAGTGACTTGCCCAAGGTCAAATAGCTCCTGAGGAGGTGGACCAGGGAAGTCTGGCTTCCCAGCCCTGGCTGTATACACAGCCCTGACTCCACGCTCCCCTAGGAGCAGGTGGTTACCTTCAGCCGTGAGCAGATCTGGGTCCCCACGAACTTGTTACTCCCATGAGCCCCTTGGGCTGTGGTTCTCACTCTGAGAATGGATGGGTATCAGATTTGCCTGGGAAATTTTCCAAAATGCACCTGTCTTCTCCCTATCCCTGCTGGTATTAGAATAGGTTGGGATAAGGTACACAGCACATATATAAGAAAAGCTCTCCAAATGTTTCTGATGCTGTCCCCTTGCCCAGAGATTTGCTGTCCAGGGATCTGTGCCCATCAGACCCCAGGGAGACACAGCCTCAGTCCTCTCCATGCTCAGAAGCATCCCATCAGCTCGGCTGCAGACAGCCCCCCAGCTGCCACTGGCTTCCTGCCCCCACCCTGAGGATCAGAGGTGCTGCCTGTTTCTAAGCCAGGCGGAAGGATGCAGATGTCACCACATAATTACACATGTCATGTGCCATGAAGTGTGGGGACAGCATGGAGAGAGGAGTCAAACTGCAGAGATTATACGTCTGGCCCTGCCATTCCGGAGCCCAGTGCCAGGGAACCTCACCAAGCCCATCCCGCACCGTGTGCCGCGGGTATTCACCTCCTTTTGCATACATTCAAACACTGCCACAATGAAAACATGGAGTTTTTCCCTAATGGTTTGCAGTAAGGATCAAATAAAGCCACGTGCTTTTGCCTCTGCAGGTGTCAGGGACGACCGAACAATTAACAGGATCATCTCTTTAATTCTCCCTGGAAGAGGGTTCAAGGCAAGGTCAGGGCCCCATCCCTGCCTAGGAGGAAGGACACAAGGCCCAAAGAGAGTGACCGAGTCATGGGTCTGCAGTTTACTGGGGGCGGCGGGGGAGGTTAGGTAAGAAAAATAACACCAAGGCCGGGCGCGATGGCTCACGCCTGTAATCCCAGCACTTTGGGAGACCAAGGCGGGCGGATCACCTGAGGTTGGGAGTTCGAGACCAGCCTGACCAACATGGAGAAACCCCGTCTCTACTAAAAATACAAAAAATTAGCCAGGCATGGTGGCACACGAGCATAATCCCAGCTACTTGGGAGGCTGAGGCAGGAGAATTGCTTGAACCCGGGAGGCAGAGGTTGCAGTGAGCCAAGATCGTGCCATTTTACTCCAGCCTGGGCAACAAGAGGGAAATTCTGTCTCAAAAAAAGAAAACAAAAGAAAAATAACACCAAATAACTAATACAAAATTAGCACAAACACGACAATTTATTAGGAATGAGAAAAGAAAGCATAACAAATTACAAGTGTTAAAAAGCGGAGAACTACCACAAATATCACAAAATCCAGAAAAATAAAACAACCTTTTTATTAGTTAACAGCCCAATCCACCTCTATTAAAATTTTCCTGTATATTTTTTGAGGGGCTGCATACCTTTTGATTAGCTCTTCTTGGGACAATTTTGTAATGTTTTTTCCATGGAGAAAATAGAAAGATATTTTAGTCTTTTCTCTAACATGGTTAATCCAAATTTGGTTTTTATTATGGACAGTTTAGAAAATTCACATTCACAAATTATTATTGGTATTGTCATGTAACTGTTGAGGGTTGTTGCTAATGTTGGGGAAACCTCTATCAGTTTTTGGACATGAGCTATAAGATTTGAGGGCATTTCAAGTTTTCTTGTTCAAATCAGCCAGAAAATTGCACACCAAAAAATCTGATTCTATTACAGAATAGAAATATATTCTATTACATATGATTCCCACTTAAAAAAAAAACAAAAAACAAAGTATTGTTACCAGGCGAGGTGGCTCACGCCTGTAATCCCAGCACTTTGGGAGGCTGTGGCGGGTGGATCACCTGAGGTCAGGAGCTCGAGACCAGCCTGGCCAACATGGTGAAACCTCGTCTGTACTAAAAATAAAAAAATTAGCCGAGTGTGGTGGCAGGTGCCTGCAATCCCATCTACTCGGGAGGCTGAGGCAAGAGAATCACTTGAACCTGGGAGGTGGAGGTTGCAGTGAGCTAAAATCATGCCACTGCACTCCAGCCTGGGCAACAAGAGTGAAACTCTGTTTCTCAAAAAAAAAAAAAAAAAAAAAAGTATGGTATGCATTATAGGATTGTACTTCCATTGAGACGAGCCCAAGCTTCTGATGTTATGCATTTGATGGTCAGAAGAATGTTCCCCAGACCAGCTTCTGGCTCTTTCATTTCAAACCTTACTTCTCCAACACTACCCACATATACCACAGTCCAGCCTCACCAGACACACTCATATTGCAAACAGCTGCTGGCCCTAAGCCTTCATGTCATGGCATTGGAGGAGTCAGTAGTGAGCCGCAGGAGTCGCCTGAGAAGCCATTTCTACACTAGGATGACTAGCAAGAAGCAAAATATACACGGAAGTGGCTGTGAGCCACGTAAGAGAACCCCACTTAACCCTAACTCAATGTACCTCCAACTCCACTTCCCCTTAGCCAGATCCCCAAATACCCAGAGCCACCCCAACACCATCTGTCATAAGAGGAAGTGTGACAGGGGGCAGCAGAGGAAAGGGACAATGGACTGAACCAGTGCCATTTAAAACTATCTTAGTCAAATTTACCAAACCAGATGGCCATGTGCACACCGTGCTAGGGCCTCTCCTGGTGCAACCTCTCCAGGTGGGGAGCCTCCAGTCTGAGGTGGGTTTAACCTCTGCCTCCCACCTTCAATTCAGCAAACATTCTGACCACTTGACCACCTGGCACAAAATATCATCCTGGGCGTGGTGTGGAGGAAGGACTAAGAAACTAATATCCAGGCTCCATTGTTAGGTGTTTCTTAGTGGAGGGGATGAGTGTGTCCAGCAAGGTGCTAAGGGTGGAAAGTTCAATGAACTTGGCTTCAGGAGTCCTGGGTCTGGTCCAGCTCTGCCACATGACCTCCCCAGGCCTGTGTGCTGTGCTGCAAAATGAGCATGGATGAGACCTTTTTTGAGATAGCGGCTGGGAAAGCACACTGTGAGCTGCAGATCCCTGTGCAGGTACCAAAGGTGACAAGAGTCGGCGGGTATGGCAAGGGTGCTCTGAGGAGAAAAGCTCCTGGAGGCGATGGCACTGAGCTGGGCCTGGAAGGCTCAGAGCAGCCAGGAGATGGCACTCCGGGCAGAAGACCCTGTGTGCAGATGTAGGCCCCCCGCTGGCTGCCTCTGAGGGACAGTGGGAGAAGAGAGGCAGGTTCTTTTGCTTTTTAATAGAGATGGGATCTGGCTTTGTCGCCCAGACTGGAGTGCAGAGGTGCAATCATAGCCCACCGTAAACTTGAACTCCTGGGCTCAAGGGATCCTCTCGCCTCCGCCTCCCAAGTAGCTAGAACTACAAGTGTGCGCCATCACACCCATCTTTTTATTTTTTGTAGAGACAAGGTCTCACTATGTCACCCATGCTGTTCTTGAACTGCTGGCCTCAAGCAATCCTCCCACCTCAGCCTTCCAAAGTGTTGGGATTACAGGCATGAACCATTGCACCCAGCCAGAGAGGCAGGTTCTGAATGACCCCAGCAAAGAGGGGTCCTGGAGATGTGGGGAGTGACTCCCTGAGAAAAGCAACACTGCAAATCAGCCAGTGGGTACGATGGGAGCTGGGGGTGGCCTGTTCTTGCTAAATGCCTCTCGAGGAGTCGTCTGATCATAAGGAATGAAAAATGCCCCAAATTGTCTGTCCTGGTCTGCAGGTCAGGCAGCTGGGGAAGGTGCCAGGTCAGTGTCTGGGCCACTTGCTTCCTGCTATTCCTCAGTGGTCAGTGGCACTGAGTGGTGTGTGAGCCCCTACTCAGGCAGCCTCGAGGGCCACCTACTCAGTAGAAATGTGCTCTCCCTTCATTCTGTCCCCACCCCCTAAACACTCCTATGATCTCTAAGATTACTACATCTGCCTTCTCACTGGTCTTGACTCTACGCTCTCTCCCCACTAATTTGCTTTGCATTCATTCATTTGACAAATACTTACCAAGTCCTGTTATGTACTGGGCACTACATTTTTCACTGGGGATACAGCTCTGGCCAGAAAGAGTGTGTGAAGGGAACAGACAAGTAAATTGACACCATGGTGAAATAAACTCCATGACCCAGAAAGGATGGTGCTCTAGGAGTGTGTAGACAGAACTCTTAGGCTGTGGGGAGGGGAGTAGGAACCCTATGCCAGGACTCTCTTTCAGTTATCTGGCTGTGACTTGAGAGGCATCAAAACCTTTCCTGGCGATAGCAAACACAGCGGCTGCATAGCAAGAAATATTTGGGAAGGCTCCAGAGATCTGTTTTCCCTGATACCACTCACTCTTCCCTGATATCCCCATTCCAGTCAACGAGGAGACATAATCCACAAACTAAAATCAGATTTAGAAATGATGCCAGGCATAGTGGCTCATCCCAGCACTTTGGGAGGCTGAGGCAGGAGAACTGCTTGAGGCCAAGAGTTTGAGACCAGCATGGGCAATATAGTGAGATCCCCGTCTGAATTAAGAATTAAAAAAAAAAAAATAGCCAGGCACTGTAGTAAGCATCTGTCATCATATTACTGGGGAGGTTGAGGCAAGAAGATCGCCTGGGCCCAGGAGTACAAGGCGGCACTGAGCTATGATCATACCACTGCACTCCACCCAGGGCAACAGAGCAAGACCCCGTCCCTTAAAAAAAAAAAGAGAGAGAGAAATAGGCTGTGTCAGAATTTTGCTCCTGTAATTGATCAAGGCAAATGGATTTCTGATCCTTCAGCCATCTCAGATGAGTGGCTTTTGGCAGAAAGGATTCATTACATCATGGCATATTTATTATTCTCTATCTACTTTCTGCCCTGGCTTAAAGTTTTTATCTCCACCTTTTAACACCTACACATATTAGAAATACATTCATATAGTGTATTTCTCTAAAATACACTGATGTAAAACATAGTGCTCTTTCACTGTTAAATTCCCTAACACTGGGTGGGTACATAGCCTGAGTCTGAAAAGAGCCACGGTTTCAGTGATGTCTTTACTGCCAGACCCTCCAGGATGTGAGAATGCATGTTACCCTTCACCTCACTTTTGCTCAGTCCATCTCCCACGGACCCCACAACAGGACTTCAGAAGTGGGCTGTAGCCAGGGGCTAGACCACTGGAGGACATGCAGACAGTCCCCTCCCAGTATGTCTCATCTTGGCCCTTCTTGGCATACCTATCTCATTTCTTCCTCACCGGGACCTGGCCCTCTTTGATGCCCAATTCACAAGATAGGATATTAGACCCGCAGCTCTCAAATTTACAGTGACTGCAAGAGATCACTGAGACTGATGCCAGCCAGTGATCTAGTGTCCCAGTTCCAAATTCCCTGGAGGGACTCTGAACATCCCAGTTTGGTCAGGATTCCATCCCTGGACCAGTCAACTCTGGCCTGACAGACAGGTATGTCCTCATAACTCTTCTTGCTGTAATTATGTAGACTGGGATGGAGCAGTTTTCAGAAGGGATAAAGATTAGTTGGGCTGACAGCCCTACAGATGTGCAACCAGCATTTTTGTTTTTTGTTTCTTTTTTTTTTTTTTTTTTTTTTGAGACGGAGTCTCACTCTGTCGCCCAGGCTGGAGTGCAGTGGCATGATCACGGCTCACTGCAGCCTTAACATCCCAGGATCAAGCCATCCTCGCACCTCAGCCTCCTGAGTAGCTGGGACCACAAGTATGTGCCACCATGCCCCGGCTAATTTTTTATTTTTTATAAAGATGAGATCTCCGTATGTTGCTCAGAGTGGTCTCAAACTCCTGGGCTCAAGCAGTCCTCCTGCCTCAGCCTCCCAAGGAGCTGGGATTACAGGCACCCAGCCCCCAACCAGCTTTTAAGGAATGCTGGAAATAAATGCAAACACAAAGTAGACTGAGAAGGACCATGCCATCGTTTCGCCACCATATCGTAGACCTTGTTTTTCCATCTGCTGGGAATGATTTCCACCATCCATCCCACCCATGGACCATCCCAGAGAATTCTCCGTGTGCCCAATTCAGATGTCACCTCCTCTCTGGTGTCTTCCTTGACCCCTACAGACTAGAATAATTGTACCTCTATCTGGGCTCACAGTTCACATTACATTAGTCTGTTCTAAGTGCTTTCATTGCTTACATTTGTGTCTCTCCTCTCAGACTGTCGTTTTGTGGATGCCTCTGGGGTGATGGCTACGTCTCTTCCTTGTAGCTTTAGCATTAAGCAATATAGCTGGCATACGGTAAGAATTCAGGGTATGTTTATTGCAACAAAATGTTGATTAATAATTATTCTTCATTTGAGGTTCAGTTCAAGCCCTTCTACCCACAGAAACATTCCCATTACTTACCTAATGTATGTTGAGTGCCTACTGTTTACCCTACCCTGTTCAGGGTAATGAAAAGAACCCTTAGCGCAACTGCGAAGCAAGCAAAGGCTTTCTTTAAATATCACCAGAATTCCTATCCTCACCACTCCTGTTCCTGAGACTTAGATCCCTCACCCAGATTTTCAGGGACCTGCTAACTGACCTGATGAATTTAACTTTCATCTTCCAGGGTGTCCCATACTCAGCTCCCACAAGACCTAATTACATCATATGCACATCAGCGTCTAGCACATAGCTAGGGCTTCATAAATGTTACTAAGCTAAATGAATGAATAAGCAAATGAATGTCACTATCTTAAGAATCCCATGAGGCTCCCAATTGTAATACTGATCGTTATGGACTGAATGTGTGTGTCCTCCTGAAATTCATATGTTGAAGCCCTAAGCCCCAAGGTCATAGTATTTAGAGATGGGGACTTTCAGAGGCAATTAGGTTTAGATGGGGTCATGAGGGTGTGGACCCTATGATGAAATTGGTGTCCTTATAAGAAAAGGAAGAGAGTATGGCGTTCCCTCTCTCTACCAGTCGGGACAAAATGGAAAGGTAGTCGTCTGCAGCCCAGGAGGAGAGCTCTCACCAGAACCTGAACTCTGATGGACTTTGATCTTGACTTTCCAGCCTCCAGAACTGTAAGAAAATTAATTTCTTTTATTTAAGCTACCCAATCTATGGTATTCTGTTATGGCAACCCAAGCTAAGACATGATTTTTCAGAGAGTTTTGCAATTTCAAATACTGTATTCTGTCCTCTTATCCCCATTAACATGCTATTGTTTGTTAGATTATCAGTCCTGAGTTTGGTTTAGCAAATAAAGTCATTTTCATTGCCACTATAGTGACCTTCAAATCTAAACAGTCCTGCCTGACTTTCAAGGCCCTCTGCAATCCATCCCACCCTATGTACATACCTACAAAAAAACTCCCTCCTGCCCCTGCCCTAATCTATTGTTTCAGTAGAGAAAGTACTTCACACATGTAGCAGATACATTACTGGGTTTTAAAATAAGTCAACTGTAGAAAAGTTGGAAAAATCAAAACAATCCAAAGGTGAAAACATCTCCCACAGTCCAAGCATTAATATTCACTTCTTTGCCATCTCTTTTCAATGAATTTAACTATATTCTTCCAACAAAATTGAGAGCACACTGTTTTGCATCATGTTTATTTCCCTTAGCGATAACTAAACACATTTATTTCTGCCTCCATGTCTTCACCTATAGATATACAATCTTAGCATTGAAAGGAGCCAGAGAAGGGCAGGGAATCTTCAGTAACATTCAGAGAAGAAAGTGACACAAGAACTAGCTTCCACTGAATACTCCCAGGAATGGGCACTCCCCTCCCTCCCAAGGCAGCCTGACCCCTGAGGGAGAATTTCTTCCTGGAACGCTCTTCCCATTGTCCATGAGCTGAAATTGGCCTCTCTGAGCCTCTGTGTTCTACTCATGCCCCCTTGAATGGTACCCGATAGACTACAGATTCTTCCTGACAGCCTGTTGACTCCTCAAAAACTGAGAGCATGACCCCTTTTCTAGGTTCAACAATTCTGAACCCCTTGCCATCTTCTATATTACCTAAATTCCACTCTGCCGGTAATTCTTGTCAGCCGTGTTATTAAATCATGCCATTCAGTTAGAATTGTAGGTGTCTTTTAGTTACTTCTTTACAATCTTCTGTATTTTCCCAATTTCTTACCATGAATGTATATTACTGCCATTATTACAAAGAATAATTTCATGTATGATGTTACTTCTCTGTTGTCCTGCTATTGCTTTTCACTCTTAAATGGCTGGCGCCTCCAGAGCCACTGACATTCTCTAATGTGCCATCCCTCCCCATCAGAGAGAGGGTCAGGGTGCTCCTCTGACCCTCCAGTGACTGGATTAGAGCCCCTTGGCTTCCACTGTCATGGACTTCGCCTAACGGGACATCCCCCTGTTCACACATCACTTTCTCATGACCACACAGAGAGCATGGGAGACTTCGTTCAGTGCCTTGTGATGATACCCTTTGCATTTCCTATGATGCTGACAATAAATATGTGACGTGAATGAAAAAAAATTATTGGCTGAGCACGGTGGCTCATGCCTGTAATCCCAACACATTGAGAGGACAAGTGGGTCACCTGAGCCCAGGAGTTTGAGACCAGCCTGGGCAACACAGCAAAACCCTGTCTCTACACAAAATACACACACACGCACACACACACACAAGAAAAAAATTAGCCGGGCATAGTGGTGTGCACCTATGGTTCCAGCTACTTGGGAGGCTGACACTGGAGGATTGCTTGAGCTCAAGAAGGCAAGGCTGCAGTGAGCCATGATTGTGCCACTGCACTCCAGCCTGTGTGACAGAGCAAGATCCTATCTCAAAAAAAGAAAAAAAAAAAAAAGGAAGAAAAGAAAGAAAAAGAAAACAAAATTATTTGATAACGCAAGTCCCTGGGAGTTTGATTTGACATGATTTTAATGAGTTAATTCCAGGATGGGCACAGTTCTTCGCAAAGTGCTCCCAAACCACCTGTTTAATAATTCTAGAATGCTACTGAGTGTCGTTAAGCTTACATCCCAGGAATCATGTTCTTCACTTTTTGGAAATCGGGACATTTTGCTCCCTCTGGCTGGTTGGTCCTTCCTCTCTTTCTGAACTCATCCTAAAAGTCCTGTCTCCTTCTCCGGCCATTCAGGACCACTCGGTGGACTCTCCCTTCCTGCAATTGTGGTAATTATTCAGAACCAGAATGAAACAACAGCAGTAGTAATAGCTGCCACATACTGGGAGCTTGCTCTATGCCAGACACCACGCTCAAGGACTTCACAATGCTTCATCACGTGTATCACTTAGCACTGTATCATACTTTTGAATATATATGTGTGTGTGTAAAGTTTTAATCACTTGAATAACAGCTGCTATTATGACCATTTAGCAGATGAAGAAACTGATTCAGAGAGGTTCAGGCTCCTGCACTGAGCCTTAGACAGTGAACAATTTCAGGGTCCAAACCTGGGTTTATCTGGGTCCAAAGTCCAAGTTCTTACTTCCTCTACCCTGGCATTGTTTCTGGGGCTTTCTATGATTTCTGAGGCTTCCATCTGAATATTTCTGGCACGTCCTGTGCAGCACCTAACATGGCCATAGGCACACAGTAAGGGAGTCCTTAGGGGCCAAGTGGTTTTTCTAGAGCACTGGCCGTGGTCCTGCCTCTTGTGGGTGCTGGTGTCATCTTTCACCTCTACCTCCAGGCACCGGGAGAAGCTGACTGGAGGGGATTTGGCAGAGGCCAAAGAGGGCTCAGCCCAGCTGTCTCCACCTCTCTTGCTGGATGGGAGAGGCACCACATTACAGAAACTGATATACCCAATGCCCTGAGACCCAGGGAGGGCAATCCTGTGAGAAGTTTCCACCCTTTGTTCTCTCCCACCGAGCCCCCAGGGGCTGATAATCTAATTCTCAACAAGTCCTTCCTGGCTGGTAATTGAATTGTGTTTTCCTCCCAGTCCAATCAGGGCCCTCATCCTACATCTGTCTGACAAAACACTAGGCCAGGCATCTTGGGAGGGGCAGAGACCTGGGAGGCACTTTTCAGCTTCCAGGAGCTTAATATTTCAGTTGCCACAGGTGCAGGGACTGACATCCTATTGACTAGCAATCCATGACTGCTGCCCACTTCCAGGACAATCGCTGAGGTCAGGAGGGCTCAAGGCGGTGAGCCTTAAAGGAGGGTTGTGTTGTGGAGGAGGGGATGATGGTCAGCTGGGTTCTGGTAGACAGGGAGGAAAG
The DNA here is from genome assembly GCF_000001405.40 of Homo sapiens. NCBI lineage: Eukaryota > Metazoa > Chordata > Mammalia > Primates > Hominidae > Homo > Homo sapiens. The sequence goes on along the minus strand of NC_000018.10, from coordinate 46,283,601 downwards.
GCGGAGGTGTGGGCAAAGTCCTGGAGGTGGGAACATGCACGACACATTCAAGTAACAAGAAGTAAGTCTGCCTGGATGGGCCTTCACTGTCTTCAACCGAGGGATGACGAATGACTCCAAAACACTCAAATTGTTCCTGGGAAGTCGGGTGGGGGGAAGTGTGAGTCAGCAGGCTCCTCTCACTATGCCTATGGCCCAGCCTCGGTCTACAGAACAGAGAGAGCCTGGTGCTGGAACTGGGTGTGCAAGGGTGCCCCAAATCAGGACACAACCACCTCATTCGTCCAGCCCAGAAATAGGGACATTTCTTCATCTCCTCTCCCACTCCTACCTAATCTAATCTGTCTCCAAGTCCTGCCTATTTCACCATCTCAGCTCTTCAGTCATCTCTCTGGCAGGCAGGCACTGTCACATCTCCCCCGTCTCTTGGGGACGAGCCCCTCCCTGATTGCTCTCCTCCACCTTGTTGCTCTCTGGCACATCCACACATATCTCCATGTGGCTCCCCCATGCATGCCACTTTCCATGGCTTCCCAGTGCCTTTAGGTCCAGAGCCTTTTGTGGCTTTGTCCTCTCATCTGGCTGGTGCCATCTCTTGCGACTCTTAAGCTCCCCAAAACATTCTGGTTTAGTGCTGGGCCTTTAGCTCAATTTATGATTACAACGCCCATACCACCAGTGCCTTCTATATGTGCTTAATCCTCACGGAAACCCCGTGTGGAAGAGGAACAGAGAGGTTAAGTGACTTGTCTGTGGTCACACAGCTGGTAAGGGCGGAGCAGGATTCGCACCCAGGTGACTTATTCCCATAGCCCAGCTTCTTTATTTTTAGAGACAGCGTCTTGCTCTGTCACCCAGCCCAGAGTACAGGGACATGATCATAGCTCATTGGAACATTGAACTCTTGTAGTCCAGCTTCTTAACACTAGATTATAGTCTCTTCAGAAATGTCTATGGACACCAGTGGCCTCCTAGCCCTCCACATTCCCCTCCAACGTATGTTCACTATCAAGTCCCAACTGCATTTAAGGTTTCTGCTTATCTGACACCCCTCCACGAAGCTTTCTCTGGTGCCCCACTGTCCAGGTTTGGGTTAGGGTAGTGGTTCCCCTACTTTAATGCACACTGGAATTACCTGGGAATCTTTGTAAAAATCCTGCTGCCTGACTCCCACTCCTAGACATTGCGATTAAATCAGTACAGGGCGCACCCTAGACAAAAGCTCCGTAGATGACTGTAACTTGCAACAAATCTGGTAACAAAAGGCAGTGCAGTCATTCTGAAATTGGAGCAGGCATCAGAATTACCAGGAAGGCTGATGAAAACAGATTGCTGGGCACGGCCCCAGACTTTGATTCTATACATCTCGGTTAAGGTCCGAAAATATACATTTCTAGCAAGTTCCCAGGTGAGACTGCTACTGCTGTGGGTCCAGAGACCACATTCGGAGAGCCGCTGAGCTAAGGAGTCCTCCAGGTGCCCAAATGATCCCAGAGCACCCGGTGGTCATCGCCACCTAAGCCCTTATCACATCTATTCTAATTGTCTGTGTGCTCCTCCACTACCCCGGCCAGGCCACAGCTTTCTCTGTTATCTTTGGTAACCAGTGTCAACAGAGGTTGGGTCAATGAATCCACGAGACACCCAGGCAGGCTGCGCACTCCACAGCAATCCTTGTTTCTAACTGGAAAAAGTTAGAAACTGAACGCCTCCTGGGGGCAAGCACTGTCCTAAGCACCTCACACCAACGGCCCCTTAATCTTCACAAGCACTCTACAAGTAGGTGCTACTACCATTCCATTTCAGAGACCCTCAAGGAAACCTGAACACAGAGGGGTGGAGTAACCATTGTGCTGGGAGGCCCTTTATCAGGTGACCCCAAAGCTCTCCCCCACCACCGGACCCACATGCCCAGTCTAGACTCCCAGTGGGTTTCCGAGTACAAGTCTCCATCTATTGGTGGGTTGTGAGATCAACCAGTGGGTGTAAGCAGCATCTTTTAAATGACCCAATCTGGCAGACCTGAACAGAAATAGACAAGAATACACTCAGGTAGTGACAGTAAGTGTTGTTCAGCAAAACATCCATGTGCATAAGCCTATACTGGCTCATGATATAAAATCTATGTCTGACTGTGAATCATAGTCAACAAAGTTTTCAAAACATTAGCTTAGAGAAACAGCCTCCAAATCTCCAAGCAAGTCCTCCGTTCTCCTGCCAGAGACGGAACTAGGGAAGAGCTAGGTTGGCCTCTGCTGGGCACTGCCGGGACTGCATCATGAGCCTGGTAAAGTGCCCCTGGGCAGGAGGGCTCTGCTCTGCGTGGCTGTGGAGAGGGAGTTCCAGTTTCAAAATACAAAATAATAATAATAATAATCAAATAAATAAAATAAAATGTTAATTCATTTTTATTTCCAAAACAAATTCTTCCCTGGCCATCAGTCCCACACTGTCTCCGCTGTGGTCGATGGCTTTGTCTGTAATCATTTCATCTTCTCAGGTAGAGCAGAGGCTCCTGAGGGGCCCCAGGGATTTGTGTCTCCACCCAGACCACTGTGGCTGGCTGACTGGCCAGCATGGAAGAAGGAAGCTGTTGAATCATTTAGCTCATCATGTAGAACCATTTAGCTTATGATACTGAACATCCAAGCAAGAAATATTAAGGCCTGGGCCTTTCTCTTGTTGCAAAATCAAAGACGGGATATAGTGTGTAAAATATATTAAGTAGCTGACCGCGCACAGTGGCTCACACCTGTATTCCCGGCACTTTGGGAGGCCAAAGCAGGAGGATCACTTGTGGCCAGGAGTTTGAGACCAGCCTGTGCAATATAGTGAGATCTTATCTCCTGCCAAAAAATTGTTTTAAATAGCCGAGTGTGGTAGTTTGCACCTGTAGTCCCAGCTATTCAGGAGGCTGAGGTGGTGGGGATCACTTGAGCCCAGGAGGCAGAGGTTGCAGTGAGCCATGATGGCACCACTGCACTCCAGCCTGGGTGGCAACAATGAGACCCTATCTCAAAAACATATCAAGTAGCTACTGAGGCAGGTAAGCATATATCCTATATCACCAAATCTTTGTTCCCACCTCACTATACTCACTTTACAGATGAGAATACCAAGGCCTAAGATAATAGGCTGATAAGTAGAGTAGCAAGTTCCAGAAGCCAGGCCTCTGGACCTCTAGGCCAGTCCTCTGGAGACAAGCAGAGGGGGCAGGGTTGGCCGGGACCCTCTTCCCACCTGGGCCTTTCATTTGCCTCTACCTTTGCTGTGCCTTTCAACTCCCTACAGTGTCCCTGGCAAAGCTAATTCCTTACAGATGAGACTATGGTCTTTGAAGAGTGGGGCCTTCCCAGTTGAGACCTCTTTGAGGTTCCCAAACCCTAACTACTCAATTTGTGGCCTTACAGATAGTACATTTTCACTATTTTTCACAATAACCGCCTTCTATTGGAGCGTAAATTCGACTAAAAGGAGGCTTTCTTATCTACTGTGCACCATGATAGTTTGAGCTAAGCCTGTTTCGGGGTGGGGAGCTCAGGACAGCTGGGTAAATAGTCGAAGAGGGATTTGGAGATGGGGAAATTTGCAGGGAAACAGATGAGGAGCAGTGAAGAAACGAGGATCGCAAGGTGCTCACAAAATGGTACGAGGGTACTACAAGATCTACAGTAGACCCAGCCCACACCCAAATGCTTGGGCCCTGGCAGTTCTGTGGAGTAAGAGAAAGGTTTCATGTCCAAGTTTGAAGTCCATGGCAGAACAGAGGGAGCACATGCAGACACAGGAACCAAGAGGCAGAGGTAACCCCAAGAACCTACACCTGAAGTCCACAAACATCTTGGAGTGAACTTTGAGTTTCCACAGGGCTTTCCACAGAGAAGACGGGAGTCTCAGCTGGCATCTCAAGAGAAACCCGAGTTTCTGGGATAGCCCTGTGTTTACCTCTAAAACACACCAGGAAAGAAGGACAAACTTCCCAAGAAGACCCTCGGGAAAGCAGAGCAATGCAAACTGCAGTAAACCACCATATGTAATCAATCAACAAGGAGGTATTAATACCAGGCCTCCTACCTTATCACTTCTGCACTTATAGCCTGCAAAACAAGCAAAGAACAAAAAAGGCTCACAGGTTAACTCTCTCGACAGTCTACCCTTCCTCCCTGACAACTGTAGGTATAACTATGCCCACCCTTGCCTCCTTCCAGCTTCCAGGGAAGGTTTTCCTTACCTGATCCAAGTTAGTTCATCTGGCTTTGAGTACCACATTATGTCCCGGGGCTCTCTCTCTTCCATCAGTCATCCCTTTCTGGTGTCCCAACTGGTGCTTTGTCATCAGCATATACAGGATGTTTATCATTCCAGTATCTTTTAAAACTCTTCCTTGACTCTACAGCTCCTTCTGGCTAAGCCCAAACACTTGCTCTTTTCCTTCCCCTCAAAGCTCCTGGAAAGAGTCTGTACTCATCTTCATCGACTGCCTTCAAGGCACTGGCTTCTGCCCCATGGTGCTGAGCTCAATGGGCAATAATTGGTTCTTACTTCCCATGGCCCCTGCAGCACTGCCTGCTGGCCCCTCTGGCTATGTGAAACCAGCTTTCACAGCATCACTCTCATGGTACTTTGCAATGCCCTTAGAACAGGTTTCTCAGCCTCGGCACTAGTGATATTTTGGGCTGGATCATTCTTTGTTATGGGGTTCTGACCTGTGCACTGTAGGATGTTCAGCAGCATCCTTCACCTCTACTCATTAGATGCCAGTAGCAGGTTCCTGTTCCCGTTGTGACAACCAAAAATGTCCTCGGGCATTGCCAAATATTTACTGGGGGGTAAAATGGCTCGTGGTTGAGAACCCCTGCCTTGGAAGGATGCCTCTGCACTGGCCTCTTAGGAATGCATTTTCTCTAGCCTGTGGTTTTATCTGTCACCACATGCTGATACATAAATCAGCATCTCCAAAAGTCACGTGGCCACTGCCTGCTGCACATTTCCACGGGATGTCTCTTCAGCACGTCAAGCTCAGAGTGAACTTGACCTTTTCCTTCCTGTCTTAGTTTGAATTCTCCTAGGAGCAGAGATTGAGACAAGGATTTAGATGCAGGTGGTTTAACTGGGAGTTGATCTCAGGACATAGAAGTGAGGAATTGAGGAGAATGAAAAAGTGAGAGTGAGGAGGAAAAGCCAATATAAGGTCCATCATCAAAGTCACTGCCATGAGCAATGGGGGCTCAATTCCGCTGGGATCTCCTGAAAAACATACAGAATGCTTCCCAGAACTGTCCAACTCAAAGAGGCTGGGGCATATGTCTACCGGCTCCCATCCTCCATTGTTGAGGGTTGTCCCAGGGCCATTAACTCCCCTAATTTCTGGGCTCTGCTTGAGTCACACAAGCCAAACAGACTCCTGGGACTTCGGAGGAGGAGCTGAAATAGAAATCTGAATGATGCACTCCGTGTGATGGAAATCGGGGTGCTGTCAGCATGAGTCCAAGCTCACACAGAACTGCCTGCCACAGCTGCAGCTGGTCAGAGGCCGAGGAAGGGGATGTGACGCAGGACATGGAAAGTGGTCTACTCCCTGCTTGCACCACTCTGATCCACCCATGCCCCACATTCATTAAGTCCATTCTGTTACTGGGTCTTCAAGGTGGTAGCCAGACATCTAGCAAAAAGATTTCATACAAGAAAGTTAACAGAAGGAGCTACAACCCTGCTCCCTGCTGCTGTAAATCCAGGGGCTGACGTTGCTGTTCATTGTCTTCCTTCTCCAGCCTCTATTCAGGATTTTCCTCATTTTCAGCATTTGGGCTGTTCCAGGTTGCTTGCCTGATGGGTTGACACTTATTGATATCCCTGGGGGTCTGAGCCCTCAGGTGACTTCGCTTTTTCAGGCCATGCTTGCTACAAGGGCCCATGGCACCAAGAGACATTCTCCTGGATTTCAGACCTATTCTTGAGTGTATTTTCTGAATGTTAGACATTCTTTCACCTTGGTGCTAGTGGATCACTGAGAGTGATGGTGAGAGGGACCAATCCTGTATCTACCCTTGATTCCCGAATCTGTGTGTTCCAGCAACTGGTACCACGTATCAGCTATATCCTGAATGACAATAGCCAATCCCAGTGTATCATCCTTGAGTTGGGAACCTTAACTGAGTTTTTAAATATATATATATATATATATATATATTTTGTTGTTGTTTTTTGTTTACCTTTATGGTTTGACTCTGGGAAACTGAGTTTTTAACAAGCCATCCCATCATTCTATTAGGTCCATGGCTTCCCCTAGTTGCGGTATATAACCACATCAGTGAACCCCCGGTCATGCAACCCTTATTGCACCTAATTTGCCACAACATGGGCCTCTTAATCTACAGTGATGTGATGAGGCATCATATGTAGATAAATCAGGCACTCCAGAAACCCTCAGCTTAACACCAGAGGTAGCAACACCAGGAAAAAGGATTTGCTGCCCTTTCCAAGGTAGAAGGGCCCTGGTGTAGTCAAGATGCCTCAAGTGGCTGGCTGATCAAAGGCACAGGGCCTGTCTCTGCACTGACAGATCACCAGTCAGCAGTGGCAGTAGCTATCTCCGTGGGCCCATGCCTCACCTCCATCCTGGTCACCATGGCTACTCCATTCATAGGCTTACTGTGCAAGCCCTGGGGACAAAGCTGGCCTCTACAGGGTGAGTCACATTGTCCATCTTGCTGTTCGGCACCCTTCCCATGGTGGATGCTCTCTAGGAAGCATTTGTGCCCACTCCCATGGGATCATCCACATGCGTCTTCCCCAGACCTCCTTGTCTCCTTTCTCATCTTTTCCCTTTCAGGCCCCTTACTGACCAACCAAGCCATTTGCTGCCCAAGATTCCATATGTATTCTTATGGAACCCTAAGTCATACAGTCCAAGCAACAGAAATACATACACTCCTATGTATTGCAATAAGGACAATCTAGAATAGAGAGAAGGAAGACAATGAACAGCAATTTCAGCCTCCAGATCTGCTGCAGCAGTGAGCAAGGTTGTAGCCTGTTCTACTTTCCTGTACAAAGTATTTTTACGAGATGACTGGCTGCCACCTTGAAGACTCAGTGGCAAGACAGTCTTAATGTGGGGCATTAAGTGGCTTGGAGTGGTAGATTTATCCCATGCCAGGGAGGCTCAGAGAGTGTGCAGTGGGGAAGGTGGCACTTCCAATCCACCCTATTTTTATTTCTTCCTGCATCAATAGGTCTTTTCAAGCTGTATATTCAGCAGGCCTGACCATGGCCACACACGAACATTTACAAATCAGAAATTTCATCGCATCCCCTTCTTCAACCTCTGATTTCAGCTACAACTGTGACAGACAGTTCTGTGTGGCCTGGATACTTTTCCCCTCTTTTCTAAGTTGGTGAGCAGGCGTACATGAACAGGCTTGAAGCTCTGCCCACTGCAAGAATTTCCCCTACCCACTGTCTTTCAGAGCTACCTTAACTGGGGCTTTAAGTAGAAACAGCAGTCCATTTTGGCTAACACCAACACAATGAACTAGGCCTAGGATTATTCTAGAGTAGTCACAAGAAAATCTTTGGTGTGAAGTGAAGGAGAGTCATTAATGCCACAAGGTGCCAGCCTTGGGGGCCTGAGGAAGAGGCATGTGCAGCTTACTTTTACCCTCTGGCCCTGCTCATGCCTGATCCCTGAGCTGTACACCTTCCATCTTAGAATGAATTGCTGTTGGCCTGCTTGAATTTATGACCTGAGTGGCACAAAACCCAGCTCATGATAAACATCTCTGATGTCTTGATTAATTATATCCAATGGTCAGATGCTCTGTCTCTACCAGGACCCAAAACACATTGGGATCTGCTTTTCAAAATGTTTATAGTTCTCTGCTGCAGAAGGCATAGCCTTGCTCCAAAATCCTTAGGAAATCTATAACACACCTCTCCTATTGCAGCTTGCCAGAGACTCCACACTTCATGTCTCTCCACTGGGAATACTTCCAGCATCGTGGATTTGCTGGGTCATATGGTCCAAGTGACAGGGCAGCTAGCATCGTAGCCTGGCTTGTGCTGCAGAGCCTTTCCTTGCTCCAAGTCATGCAATAAATGGCTTGGAGCAGTATTTCTAAATATGGTATGTGTTGTGTTCCAAAGCCAAAGAGCACCATGTGTTCTTCTTAATGGCAGAGCAAGGGTCCCCAACCCCCTGGTCGCAGACCAGTAACCGTCTGTGGCCTGTTAGTAACTGGGCCACACAGCAGGAGGTGAGCAGCAGGTGAGCAAGCATTACCACCTGAGCTCCGCCTCCTGTCAGATCAGCTGTGGCATTAGATTCTCATAGGGGCACAAATGCTATTGTGAACTGCAAATGCGAGAGATCTAGTTTGCATGCTCCTTATGAGAATCTAACTAATACCTGATGATCTGAGGTGGAGCAGTTTCATCCTGAAACCATTCCCCCCATCAGCCCCCAGAAAAACTTTCTTCCACAAAATGGGTCCCTGGTGCCAAAAAGGTTGGGGACCACTGTGATGGAGGATACAAAAGGCAATTAATTTATCCTCACCTCAGAGGGCACATGTGACCCAAAAGCATCTGCTACACTCTCCAAACCTGATGCCTTTTCTGTATTTCCTACTTAGCGAATGCAACATCTGGCAGCCTTTCTTCCTTTCTTCCTCACCCATGGGCTCTGCACCTCATCCCTCACCCCTGCCAACACTGCATGAACAAGTCCTACAGATTCAAACTTTATTCATTCTGACCTCTCCTTTCCATTTCCCCTCCCACTGCCTTGATTCAGCCTTCATCATTTATCTGTTTTGATGCCTGCAGAAGCTTCCTAATAAAATTCCCTACTTCCAATATCAATTCTCCTCTAATTCACTCCACTGCCAGGGAGAGTGGCTCTTATTCCTCTCTTCTATACAATACTTACATTGTTCCCCATCATTTCAGAGGTACATCTTTGTTGCATTTATGTATCTAGATGCCCATTTTCTACCTCCAACAGTAGGCTTTTTGCAGGTAATAAACATGTTCTATTGGTTTCCAGAGGTGGAATGTCTGTGGAATGTTAGTGAGGCATTCAAGGTCCTTTGCCACATAGCTCTTACGTCTCCAGCTTGCTCCCTATCACTTCTGCTTTCTCCCAACTACTAGTCCCTCTACTGAGCCATGCTCTCTCTCACCTCCATGCCATGCCTGAACTTTGAATCTGAATGACTCCTACCCACACCCTCCACTCTTTACCTCCCTGGATTCCATTAATTCCTACTCATCCTTCAAACTCAGCTGAACTATTGCCTTCTCCAGGAGCTCCTCCATCATTCATTCATTCCATCCCACCAGCTAGTTTAGGGAGCCTTTTTGTTCTCAAAGCACCCTGCATTGAGTGCTAATCTTAGCAGCATTTGTCAGGTTTTGTGACAATAGTTTGTTACACCAGACAGAGGTAGTTACCTGAGGATGAGGATTGCCCCAGGGTCTGGCTGAGTGCCTAGCACATAGCAAATACCAAGCACTGGCTCAACCAGTGAAATGTGCATAGTCCAGAGGTAGTAAACCCCCAGCCCTCAAGCTAAACCAGTCCTGCAGACAAGTGTTGTTTGGCCCACACAGTTCCTGGCTGAGAGGACAAACAGGATTGATCCAGGTTATAAGACTTTCAAGACTGATGACCCAGAGCTGGCCTCCATTCTCTTTGGTTATCTGTCTAGCCAGCCAGAGATGTACACAGGAAACGTCAGACCAAGGATGCAAGTGACCACAGCTCCCTGGGTGCACTCAGTCCCTTACAGCAGTACCTCAATTAAAACTCCAGGTCTCAGTAGTCTGCACAAAAATGGGGGTCAGAACACCAGAACCACCCTAGGCTGTTTTTTATCCCGTGCCAAGAAGGCTCACAGTGTGGAGTGGGGAAGGTGGCACATCGGTGACAGTCCACCCAATTTTTCTTTCTTCCTGCACCAACAGGTCTTTTCAAGCTTTATATTCAGTAGACCTGACCATGGCCACACATGAACATTTACAAATCAGAAATTCCACATCTACATTTTTAAAATCCAGATTTCCATCTTTTCTTGAAAAATCCATAGATATGGCAATACTGAACATTTACTTTCATAACAGTTGCAGCTTCCTCCTTTAGACTGGCATAAACTCTATCCAGTTTGCCACACTCCCCATTTATCTGGACCAACGAATTATTTCCATTAACAGCCTTGCTTCTATAGTCATCTGAATCTGCAAATTCCAAACTGCTGTCTTGTTACCTTATTTGATCCCTCCCCCCAAATCTAGGGACGGTGGTAGGCATACAACTATCCTCCCTTTTAGAGATGAAGAAGGTAAGAACCAGAGAGGTGGCTGGCCTCGTAGGTCACACAGCTTGTTAGCAATGAAGACATGACCCAAAACTAGATCTTGGGACTTGTGACTTTTCACCACCCCAGGCCAGTTATCACATACCCAACTGTTGCTTGCTCCTTTCTCTAAAGTACTTCATTTATGTCTCAAGGATGCATGTAATGCTTTAACTGTGTTGCTGTGAAATAGACGGCAGGCCTACAGACAGATTTTGTTATGCACACTTCTCAGCTGAGCTAGCCAAACAAGGACCAATGTAGAGCTGACAAGATGGATGGAGTGAACTAGGCCTCCACTCATTAACTCTTTATGACAATCCTGTAAGGTAGGAACTATTATCCCCATTTTATGAGTGAAGAAGTTGAGGTCCGGGGAGGTTAAGCGAATGTATTCTTTGGTTCTATTGGCTGTTAAAACAATGACATACTTCAGTTCCAGCTGGTAAGGGGCCCCTGCCCTGAGCTGCTTGAGTGCCTTCCTCACCACCCTGGCAGCCCTGCCAGGATTCACACAGTGTAGCAGTGTTAGGGTTAATTCCATATCTGTCACAGACTGCGGTTGCCAGGAACTTGTGGCAGCCACACCTCCAGTGTTAATTCTAACTGGTTGGTGCCTGAAAGGATGCTGAAAAATTTTTGAATATTTCACCTGAATAAAAGGTTTGCATTCTTAAGATATCCACTTTTAATGTTATGGCAAATGAATCCACTCTACCAAGAGCCCAAAGAGCTAATCAGCAAGAATTTAGCCAAGACTTGAGGAGATGTAGAAGACTATTAAATAGACCAAAGAGAAGTGCCCAGCACTGACTGAAGCCAAGGTCCCAGCATGTTTTCTGCCTTCACAGCCCTAAGGAATGCCACGAAATTTCAGCAGTTATGACAGTGACTCTCAGAGCTTGCAACCAAGAGAGGGAGTGGGAATCATGGAAGCAGCATCTCAGAAGGAAAGGGCATGTATAATGAGAAAGCATCCCCATCCCCACCTCACTGCCCAAGGATAGAGTTATGGGCTCTCTGGCAGGTATGTCGGAGCGACTGCAAAACTTTCTGGGCAAAAGCCAGGGGAAGGCCCAGGAACTCACAAGCTATGGTGATGTTCTTGCCCAGAGGGGAAAAACGCCTGCATCCTTCACCCCACCTCCCAAAAGCCTGTCTGTGGAACACTCCCTGGAAGTTGATAAGCACTCTAATTTCAGCAGGGAATAAAGGTTAGTTTCTTTCTGAATAATCTTCGCCCTTGGGTGGCAGGTTTGGAAGGCACAGAAACCTCAGCAAGCTACATTTCTCTTCACAGAGGATAGGTCTCCCACTAAAGGCACATCTCGGGGTCAGGGAAGCCTGCAGCCAGGGAGAAAGTTGGTCATGCTTGCCTTCAGTAACTGCCATCTTGGTCTTTGGGGTCCCCTGTAGCTGAGTTATACCTTCCTACTATCCTTTCTTCCTCCACTATCTCAACTCATTTTCTCAAGTGTGGTACCTATTCACAACATGGTATTAACAGCTTAAGGCACTATACCCTCAATTCCAAAGGTTATGTGTATTTTCATGTAACAGCTTTATTGAGATATAATTCACATACCATAAAATTCACCCGTTTATAGTGCACAATTCAATGCTGGTTAGTACAACAGTCCCCTTATCTGCCGGGGATAGATTCCAAGACCCCTAGTGGATGCCTGAAACCATGAATAGTACTGAACCCTATATATAGTGTTTTTTCCTATGCATATATACCTAAAGTTTAATTTATAAATGAGGCACAGTAAGAGATTAACAAAATAGAATTTTAACAATATACAGTAATGTTATATGAATGTTGTCTCTCTCAAATCTTACCGTACTATACTCACTCTTCTTTTCATCAATCTTATAAACAAGACAGCTAGTAAGTATCTAAATGAGCAGACAGCATATACAGTATGGATGCGCTGGACAAACGGATAATTCATGACCCAGGTGGGACAGAGAGGAACGGTGTGAGATTTCATCATGCTACTCAGAACAGTGTGAAACTTAAAACTTATGAATTATTTCTGAAATTTTCCATTTAATATTTTCAGACTGCAATTGGCAGGTTACTGAAACCACAGAAAGCAAAACCATGGATAAGGGTGGGCTACTGAAATGTTCAGAGATGCAACCATCACCACTCTACTTTTAGACTATTTTCAAGACCCCAAAAAGAATCCCCTTACCTATGAGCAGTCACTCCCTATTTCTACCTCCTTCAGCCTCTGGCAACCACTAATCTACTTTACTTCTATAGACTTATCTATTCTGGATATTTTCTGTAAATGGAATAATATGTGGTCTTTGGTAACTGGTTCCTTTAACATCGTGATTTCAAGGATTATCAATGTTGTAGAATGTATTGGCATTTCATTGCTACTTACAGCCGAGTAACATTCACTTACACGGCTACACCATATTTTGTTTATCCACTCATTGGCTGATGGACATTTGGGTTCTTTCTCCTTTTGGCGATTATGAATAATGCTGCTATCAACATTCATTGTAACTCTTAGGTTTAACCATTTGAGGAACAGCCAAACTCAAAGTGGCTGACCATTTTATATTCCCACCAGCAATGTATGACAGTTCTGATTTCTCCACTTCCTCACCAATACCTATCTTTCTTATTCTAGTTATCCTAGTGGGTATGAAGTCGTATCTCATTGTGGTTTAGACTGGCATCTCTCTGATGGAAATGTTAAGCATATTTTCATGTGCTCATTGACCAACTGTATATTTTCCTTGGAGAAGAGTCTATTCAGATCCTTCGCTGATTTTTTAATTGGATTTTTTTTTTTTTTTTTTTTTAGAATTGAGTTGCAAGTTTTTTATATATTCCAGATACAAGTCTCTTATCAGATTCAATATTTCCAAATATTTTCTCCCATTCTGTGGGCTGTCTTTTTACTTTCTTGATGGTGTCCTTTGAGGCACAAGTTTTTTTTTTTGATAAAGTCTAATTTATCAATGCTCACGCATTTGGTGAACATAGCTAAGAAGTGTTGAGAGTTTCTAAAGGGAATCAGCTTCAGATCTTATTTGTTTCCACTAACATTGGGAAAGTCACAAAAGAGTTTTCATTCTCAGGAAAAAATTTGATTATGAAATATTTAAAATATACAAAAAGGTACAATGAATAACATACATTTGTGTCCTTGCTACCCAACTTATGAAATTTTACCAATAAAGCTGAAGTCCTCTGTGACCCCTCCATACCTCCCCTTCCAGAGGCAACTATTACCCTGAATTTGGTGTTTATTATTCTCATGCATGTTTATACTCTTACTAGATGTGTATGTATCCTTTATCTGTATGCAGTATTATATTGTCTTTTAAAATTTCAAACAAATAGCAGCATGTAGTGCATATTCTGCAACTTGCTTTTTCTCTGCCCCAAGTGAAGAAGCAGAGAAAATGGGCAGGAAAACCAGAAAATTGAGGTTTTGTTTTTCTGAACAGTTAAAAGGTACTAATTTGAGTCATTTTTTTAAAACATCTACTCTCACAAAGTCTACCTATGTAAATCCAAATACACAGTTATTCTTCTGTTACCAGTTTTCCCATCTGTAAAATTAGGATAATAATCTGTACTTCTTACCCCATGTGAAACTTTTGAAATAAACATTCTTTTAAAACTTTGAAAATCGCTTGTAGAAATTCAAGGTTCTGTTGGTGTTAGTCATCCAAAGCCTTCCCAAGGCTTAAGTGAGATGACAGAACTACAGTCTTTTGAGCAGTTTTTTGGAGTAAGCAGCTCTCTTGAGTTACTGCTTGAAAAGCCTGATGGCTCTGCAGAACAATGAATCATCCCCTAAAATCACATAGCCTTTTACTTTCAAAAAAGAAACCCAAGACATTCTTCATTTTACAGGTGCAGAAACTAAATCCTATAGCAGTCACTTGGCCTTTCTGGGATCTCCTGTTCCCTGGGTCAGGCCTAAACTCACTCACCTGGCCTCTGATCTAACCCTCTCATGCTGCAGAATTCAAGATCCATCCTCAAGTCAGATTTGCTTGCTTTAGAATCAGTCACAAAAGTGAGGGCTCAACAGTCCACTACACTTTACCTTTCCACTCTCGGGATGGAGCAATCATGAAAGGGGAACAGATGTGACTCTGAGATGTCAATTACCAAAGCACAAAAGAAAAAGCTGGTATCTTCTAAAAGCTTCAGCAAGGCCAATGGGGAAAAAAAAATTTTAATAAAAAAGAAAAAGTTGGCACCAAATAGCTTCCTTCACTAAAGGGTAAGAAGCTAGACAGATATAATTTACAACCAAGGTGTGTTCCCAACAGCAGGCCAGGGTCTATGAGCAGATTATACCAGCTGCTGCTGCCACACTTCCTTTCTGAGGGCTGACTTCGCTGCCAGCACTCACTCTCATCATTCACACTACCCTATCAAATGGGTCCTCAAGGCTTGGCAGGGAATCCTCATCACACAGAGAGATCCCTGCCTAAAGCCATCACCACCTAGAAGGCATGTCACGTGTACAATGAATTAAACCAACAGAGAGTATCAGGTGAATGGGTGCTCCTTCCAAATTTCTGACACTCATGATCATTACTTGCATCTTTTTCTGAACTCACTGCTCCTACCACTACTTACTGTTGCTTTCTTCTGCTCCAGGCAGATTCTCCCAGCCAAAGTTCCACTATAGGCCAGAACCTCTCTAATTCTATGAATCAGTGCTTTCAATCATGGAATCATGAAAAAAAAAAAAAAATCGTGCCTACCAATGACCTAGGAGGATCGCTCTTTCATAGAGCACTTGGTTCCAAGTGTGGTTAAAACAAAACCTAGAAGAAATTCACTTTACTTAGGTTGCAAAAATGGAGCTGAAAAGATACATATATATTTGGTAAAGATTCTTTATCTGTAATTAGACTATAATTATAAATAGTTGGTATCTACTCTGAAAAACAAAACAGTAAGGGAAGGAAAGGCCAAATGCCTGCAAAAGAACAGAAAGAAGCAGCCCAAATGACATAAAGCACTAGCTACAGGTTATATTACTTACTTGTGCCTAGTTTCTTCTTCAAAAGCAGTATCCAAGGGCAAAAGGGTTCAAACGTGAGATCCTAGGTAAACAGTTTCCTTCTAGAGTCAAAGAAGAGTTTTCCTTTTTTTATTTTTATTTTTTGTTTTTTGAGACAGAGTCTTGCTCTTGTTGCCCAGGCTAGAGTGCACTGGCGCGATCCTGGCTCACTGCAACCTCTGCCTCCTGGGTTTAAGCGATTCTCCTGCTTCAGCCTCCTGAGTAGCTGGGATTACAGGCACACGCCACCACACCCAGCTAATTTTTGTATTTTTAGTAGAGGCGGGGTTTCGCCATGTTGGCCAGGCTGGTGTCGAACTCCTGACCTCAGATGATCCGCCCACCTCGGCCTCCCAAAGTGCTGGGATTACAGGCGTATGAGCCGCTGCACCCAGCCAAAGATTTCTTATAGGTATTAATATGTCTACGTCTCAGATACAGGGTGGTATAAAAGAACAATTTCAAAAATCTGAAGATATTTCCTACTAGTTAATATTGTGTTTCCTAATTGTTAACAGATCATTTTCCAGTACAAGCAGAACCAAAAATTCTTGAGGAAAACTAAGAGATTCAGGAGTTGAATGTTTTAATAAAAAGAGGTTTCACTCTCCCTGGTTCCTCATTCCCCTTTATGTGAAGATAAGTTACAAACATCATGAGGTGTTAATATGGTAGTTCCTATCATTTTAATAACCAAATTAAAAATCTGAAAATAGAACCAAACTATGGAAAAAATTATTCAGTCTATTTTTCAAACACCCTATACCTGCTTCAATGTTTAACCACATGCAAAGTGCATGCCGTTGCAGCATCTTACCTTGACTCTCTGATCTCTGCAAAGTAATAACCAGCAGTGAAGTTTTGTTGCCAGGAGTAAAGGTGCCCAGAACAATAAGTCTTTGGCCCTCTTTGAAATCTCAGGTGGGGTTACAGGAAAGCTAATGCAAAGCTATTTTTATCAACATCCAACAATTATCCAAGGTTACTTGCAAAACTTCTTGGGAGTAGTTTTGCAAGTAACCTTGCAAGGATACAGCTCTTGCTTTGAAAACTCAGACATCTTATAAAGATAAGACTTGTTAACAAAATAGAATCCACTTTCACATTTAAAAGGTAACTTGGAAATTGCTCCAGGTACCACCTAATTAACTGAAGCAGATAGGGACAAAGAAAAAAAAAAAAAAACCTCAGAAGATATCATTGTTTAAATACACTCTATTTTATTTTGTCTTAAAATAGTTTAACCTTTATGCTACAGACTTATTTCAAAAAACAGAAAATCTTATCTTGCACCAAAAAATATATATATAACACTCTGTTTTATTATTTTTTCTCCAAAGACCATTAAATACTAAAGGGAAACAAAAACGAAATAATGAATGTAAAGAACCAAATTTTGTTTTAAAAACTAGAGTTGCACATTTGAAAACATTAATTCTAAGCAATGATTTGTCATCACTGCATCAAGTCCACGCTCACACTCCAGCAACAGCAGATCCATTAACTGCCAAGTGCATTGGTTCCTAGCCATACAATGGCTAACATTTCATTTTCACGGTAAGAGGAGCAAAAGGCTTCAATGGCCTCTGTACTCTTTAAGAAACAAAACAACAACAAAAATATTTCCTAGTTATCCAGTGATTTTTTTTTAAGATCACTACCTTTTAAAATTTGTTAAGAGAATAAGAAGTAAGTAGTGTTTTAAATAAAATGAAAAAATACAACAGCATCAGACTAAAATACGTGATTATTTTAAACAAACAGTGCACAATCTGAGGAAGTTTGGTTAGGGCACAATCATTTTTATATCTACATGGAAGTCACATCATACACATATTGGAGAACAGGGATTGGGGAGCTTGCTTTGCCTTAAAAAAGTTTAAAACTAAAAGACAAAATAGTGTCCCCAGCTTTTTCAAAAACCTTTGTGACAGTATAAAAAGCAGGTAACAAACTTAGTTTTAAGTTAGTTATGGTGCTAATCTGCTAAAAGTAAAGATGAACAAATGACTACATTAGTAAACCAGACAATTCATATTCATAATTGATAATAAAAGCAAAGTTTATGGGATGTTTGATTGCCAAGAATAAACTGAATGAAATAAATTGAATAAAAAAGAATGCATTATTCATTCAGTCTGGCCCCTACCATCAAAATGAAAAGACAATTACTGGAGAGCAGCAATTACAGGTTACATGGCAGTCATGATGATGCAACAGCTAGGTCACTGCTCTGTTTTTCACAAATTGGAGGGGGTGGAAACTTAACCAAGTCAGTGGCATAAACCAATCTGTGACCCACATGTACCATTTTAGCAGAGAGATTACTCTGAAGACAATGTCCTGTGAAGCATAAAGAACTACTTATGCTACCAAATGTAAAACTTTGATTAAGAAAAACCCCTTTAAAAGAAACTTCAAATGTCACAGGAGCTGTATACCACGGAATTGTATCATTAATACCTTGCCTGAAACCACACTCTCCACTCTTCTGGAAACAGCAATGAAAAGAGAGTTGAAACACAGTCTCTCTATAGTTATTAGGGGAAATGACCCAACCTAGTAGGGGAGAGCTGTCTATCTCTACCATCCCTTCCCCTCCCCCTCTGCATCTTAATATCCAAATCTCCGTTCTGGTCCATTAAGTCAGGCAGTTGGGAGCTGGACTAGGAATAAGTGAGGCAAAAGTGCAAGCTGACATAAAGGCAAAGGGCCAGAGAAGAGACTGGTTACAGCTCCACTCTGTTCCTAATCCACAGTGCACACAGCACGCCAACTCTGTAGAGGATGACTATATTAGGGACTATGAAGAAAATATGTCACACGGGAAATCACCTGCTGTGTGGAATTGGGAAAAAAAATATGTGGTTAACATAAGAACAGGTCATGCAAAAACATTCATTAAAATGGGCCTCTGCCCTGACAGTGGGGGAAAAAATAAGCTGCAAAAACTTCAAGTCACATCATCCACTCTATTCTCTTCTCTATGAATTTCCTGGAAAACACAGACCAGAAATTGTACATTTCTGCTTTGTCTAGTATTTTAATTCAAGTCAAAAACTATGTGTAACAGTAAAATTCAATAAATTAATCCTAAAGTAAAATGTGAAGGTCCAAGGATACACCAGTAGTGAATCTTCAGAAGGTCCTACTTTGCTCTGGCCTCTGGGTCTTTGGTTTTTGTCTAGAATTGTGGCCATGTGAGAGACTGATATATGAGTTGCTAAAGCTGGAGGTTCATGATCTTAAAAGCCTTATCTAACAAAAGCAGAAAATAAAAATAAAAAAAATAAAAGCTGATGAAGGACAGAGGCCAGATCAAATGAGATGCTATCAGAGAAGATCAAAGAACATATGCACAAATACATTCCTGTGGAAGAAGGAACATACAGGAGAACTAATGCAACAAGAAGCGTAAAGGAATAAACTTGTCTTTACAAAAAAAAAAAAAAAAGAAGAAGATGAAGAAGAAGAAGAAGAACAGGCTGGGCAGGTGGAGGCAGGCAGACACTGATGCATGTGTATGTGCGGTGTGTGTCATTCATCTCAGCAGCCCCCAGAGCACCCACCCCTCACAGTGCCTTATGCAGAGCAGGCACTTGGTAAATTTGTTTGCTGAATGAAAACTGAAAATGGTAATTCTCATACTCTTAATGATAAGAAGAGCCACCAGGGGATTTGGAGAGACAGGCAAAGGGCCATAGCAACGGTAACAATGGAAACAAAAACAAAAACAAAACAAACAAAAACCATGAAAAACAAAAGGTGAAGTCTTCTAAGCCAATATTACTTCACTCCCCCTGTGCAGAGTACATAGTGTTCTAACTCTAGGTATTGCTTTTAAAAGAATTCACTAGTAACTACAACATATTATAAGAAAGAAGGTAGTAACTAATGCCACAAAATTCCAATGCTGGCATTTCCTGAATTCCCTGAAGCTCCTGCTACCCTTTGCTAATCCTTTTAGACTCTGTAAAACTTACCAATGACATTAACGTGCTTTGCATCTGATTTCTTATGGTACATTCTGATTCTTCTTATGGTATTTTTTTTTAGAAGGTAGAGGAGAAAAATACCCAAATACAGCATCAGGTCCACTTCATCTCGGATGTTAAACAGTTGTTGCTACATACTCTTTATACAGAGACCAGCTATGAAAGACGGCACTTTCCTCTCGGATTTGCAAGTGCCTGTAGCCTCAGAGGCCACATAACTTTTCATATTCTTCCCAACAGGTTTCTATGTTCACCCGTTATTTGACTAAACCAGAAAAAAAGGCGAGGGAGAGAGATTTTTCCCACTGAACTCTTAATACCTTCAGATGCCCAGAACACCTCATGGTGGGTATCTATCTGAAATGCCTCTGTCTCAAAGGAGACATTTTGCAAAGAGTTATTAATTATTGCAACAAGGAGAACAACTAGGTCACCTTAGTAGTATTTATAAACACAAAGGGACATGTCAATTATCTGTGCTGTGGGAAGTCAACAGGAGCAAACTCAAGAAAGAAGGCAGAAGACTTAAAATAAAAGAAAATATAATTTTAATACTTCTGTCTTCTATTTTTAAGGACAAGTTTTTAAATGCACATGCCCTACTAGGTGCCAATAAGGACCTGACTGATATGTGTGCGAATGCCCTAAGATGGGAGTGCCAATGGGGTGGGCAGATAGTGGTCAAGTCTAGATATTAATTTCATTATACAGAAAAATAAATACAAGATTCAAAAACTGAAACCCATTTTGCCTGGCAATTAAAATATTATTCTAAAAGGAAGGCAGAGTTTCCTAAGATTAAAAGTCACCAAGTAAAATAAAGTTGTCTAATAAAATTCATCATTCTATATTCCTACTGAGGGAAAGAAGAAATTCTTTTCTCTGTGATGTTATTTTCCTAAGTGACTTCTTTTAATTAAAAAAAGGGGGGAAGAGGAGGGAATTTTCCATGAGTTTGAATCCTACAAATGCCACAAACAGCTTCTGAAGCTGAAGCTATGACAATGAACTTCCATGTCACAAAGAGGATGAGGAAGTGGAAGGGAACAGTGCAGAGGAAACACAGTGACATTGTATTACAGTAGGTATTTACGCCTGCTATCCTCATCCAAGGTAAGGTCAACAACTTCTGCTGGTGAAGCCCAAGTCTGCTGGGGAGTCACAGCAGTCCATGACTGTGTTTGCCTGGTGCTAACATACTGCGTGCCCGAGCCATGCTTCCATGAAGAAACACTCTGAATCACACCACCTCGAGGATGAACACACCTGCAATTGAGATGAAGAACAAAAGCATGGTTAATTCCACCACAGGAAAAACAGAAGACAATATGACCTCAGTTGTACTTATCAACATTTTTACTAAGATAAACCTAGTATGCAAGTTCATAAAACCCACAATCAATATCCTTCCCTCCATCTCTGTCTCCCTCTCTCCCTACCCCACCACACCCCACTTGGTCCCTCTCTCAGTTTAGCCTTAAAAAGGCCAAGGGTCTTATCTCAGCCAGAAACTCCTGAGTTGTGTCACTGACCATGGGTGACAGGATGTTTCTCTGGACTCATTTACACCTCTGGGATCTTCATGATAGGGCAACACATAAATCCAGAACAAAGTTAAGATGCCCAAACAATCTTAGTCTGAACAAATCAAACAGTAAGAAAAATAGTTAAAACTTGTTCTTAAAATAAGCTTTATAATTGGTAATAATGCCTTCAAAGACAGTGACAGTAATACCCTTTCACAGATTAAATTTCTAAAAGTCTGTAAGTAATAGATCATGAATAAAGGATCAATTTCCCTTGTCCTGAAGGTCACAACAGAAGCACTTGGTTCATTCAACAGAATCGCTTATAATTTGGTTCCGTGAAAGTAACACAGCTGAATCTTCAGTTTAGATCCACTAAAAGGGTTCTATCGGAGGGAGAGAACTGCCTTGTTAGCAAGTCACACCAAGAGTTCACTGAAATAAAATTGTTTCAGAAACACTGACAGTTTGAATTCCACAGTCCAGTCAAATGATAGAATTGTGAACCTCCAGGCCAAAACACTAAGTTCTGACTCAAATGAGAGGAAGGCAGGCAACTCATGTGATCAATGCTATGTCCTCTCATCTAAACTTCCTGACCAGCCCTCAGGTAGCTTATGTGAGAAGTAACAAGTGGCATGAGTCTAGTCACTAAACTACCACAGTGGCTCCTGAGCAGCTGTTTGACAATCTGTAAGCAACAAATAATGCTGGGCCACTTGAGAATTTCAGCTTTGGTTTAATGCTACCTACACCACCAGATTCAAAAGAACATTAGGGTAACAATGGACACGATTCAGTTGCAAAACTGCCCCAAGGACCCTTAAACTCCTGCAAACATGCCCTACTCCTACAAAGGCTTAATCTGATAACTTCTCCCTTACTAAGAAAAATTCCTAAGAACAGATCTCTCAGGGCCAGAGCAGAGGGCAGAACGCAAATTTGCTACAGTACCAGAAGCCCGTCATCTGTCCAGAGATGGGCTATGTAGTTACTAACCCAGAGGCTACTACCTTTTCAAAGATTAGCTAGAGAAATAAATAGGGACATTAAAATAAGGGACATAAAGCCCAATGTCTAATTCACATCTGTTCAACCCATTATATAAATTCATATTAAGTGACCATGTAGTCATGGAAAAATGTCAGCCAAAGGAGTCCATTCAACATTTATAGAAATGGTTTTGATGACTGAAGGCCAACGGAACACTACCTTTACTAAGCAGTTTCACATATATTATCTCATTGGACAATTCTGACAGACCTATGAGGTAAGCATGGAATTTACTATCCTCACTCTACAGAGAGGGAAACTGAGGCTTAAACAGGTTACATGATTTGCTCAGAGTCACAATGCTTGAAAGTGATAGGCCAAGGAAGACAGGTCTGATTTTGGGTCCAATGCTTTCCATATCATGTTGTTGCTTTACAGATGTGTGTATTAAATCGGGTGCAGCAAAACACAACAAGAATCATCAGAGTACAAAAATAGACCCAAACTAACAATTTAGAAGTATAAAGTTACTTGACAATTCAAAAGCTCACCTGTATAAGCACTAATTGAAGTAAAGCTGGCTAGAAACCTGGTAAGAATTCAGGCAACGAGTGGCAAAGAGAGTCAATGTAATCTTTGGCAGAATTTCTAAAAATATCTCCGAAGTAAAAGAAGTATATAGTCCCAATTGTTTATCTGTATTGCTCACTAAGTAATCATACAATGTAACGTCAAGCAGTGGCTTTTTAAAAAATCTGATCTAATCTGTTTATTATACAGAAGAAAAAACCTAGGCCAAAAGACAACCATCCAGGCTCTTAAACAAGTTAAGCATAGAACTGGAGTAAAATCAGGTCTCCACTCGAGGGTTTATTTTCCACTGAATAACAATGCCTTCTTCAGGCTATACCTGAAGTTACTACATCATGTTTGACTGAAAGAAGCACTGCCTGGTTCCCAGGGCCATTCAATAAGCGGCAAAGAAGAGTTTAGAAAGTGTCTGGCATAGGAAAAGAACTAGGAGAGTGAGAGGTTTAGAGACCTTATTTCCTACTGAGGAATGGCTGAAGGAGAGAGAATAGGAGACAGGGCACTTCAACTATCTAAAAATAGATCACTTCTGAAGTTATGTTACAAATGGTTCCAGTTACCAAAAACCAGCTTAGGCTACTTTAAACAATGAAGAGAATTTATTAGTAGGACACTGGGCACCTCAAAGAGCCTAAGATGATGGAACAACCCCTAACCCTCTCTATTTCTCCTACTTCAAAATTTTAGATTATCTGGAGAATGTGATGATACTATCTTCGGTCAAAAGC
Source organism: Homo sapiens (assembly GCF_000001405.40). Classification (NCBI taxonomy): domain Eukaryota; kingdom Metazoa; phylum Chordata; class Mammalia; order Primates; family Hominidae; genus Homo; species Homo sapiens. The sequence continues at coordinate 46,260,356 of NC_000018.10, read as the reverse complement.
TTTCCTAACTCTAATTATTAATAGTTGTACATGGAATTCCCAAAGGGAGAATCACTGTGAGGTGGAAGCCACCATGAAAGGTACTATTTCATGCTCGAGGCAAACCACTGAGAGCATGCTTAGAACCATGAATCAGTTTCTAGAAGGCAAGTTTCAGATAATCATTGCTATAGAACAAAGCCACTAAGAAATGGAATGAATTGCCTTTTAAGTACTCAAGTAATTGCTGAGGCATCTGTCAGGAATGTTAAGGAAAATTTTAAGATGCCCTCCAAGCTCAACAGTGACTTTAAGATTTGTTCAAAAACAGGCAAAACTATCAATAAAAGTCAGAATAGGCTGGCACAGTGGATCATGACTGTAATCCCAGCACTCTGGGAGGGTGAGACGGGAGGATCACTTGAGCTCACAAGTTCGACACCAGCCTGGGCACCATGGTGAAACCCCATCTCTGTCGCACACACACACACAGACGGGAGGATCACTTGAGCTCACAAGTTCGACACCAGCCTGGGCACCATGGTGAAACCCCATCTCTGTCAAACACACACACACACACACACACACACACACACACACACACAGTAGCTGGGTGGGGTAGTGGGCACCCATAGTCCCAGCTACTCGGAAGGCTGAGGTGGGAGGATGGCTTGAGCCTTGGCGGTCGAGGCTGCAGTGAACAGAGATCATGCTACTGCACTCCAGCCTGGGTGGCTGAGCCTCGGTCTCAAAAAATAAAAACAAAAAAATAAGTCAAGATAGTAGTTACGGGGAAAAGAAAAGGGGGAGGTTGTAATTAGAAAGTAGTGCAGAGTGGCTGGGCGCGGTGGCTCACGCCTGTAATCCCAGCACCTTGGGAGGCCGAGGTAGGCGGATCATGGGGTCAGGAGATCAAGACCAGCCTGGGTAACACGGTGAAACCCCGTCTCTACTAAAAATACAAAAATGAGCCAGGCACGGTGGCATGCGCCTGTAGTCCCAGCTACTCAGGAGGCTAAGGCAGGAGAATCGCTTGAACCCAGGAGGCGGAGGTTGCAGTGAGCCGAGATCGTGCCACTGCACTCCAGCCTGGGTGACAGAATGAGACTCTGTCTCAAAAAAAAAAAAAAAAAAGAAAGAAAGAAAGCTCAGAGTGACTTCTGTGTTCTGATCTGAGTGCTTGTTACTTGGGTATAAGCAGTTTGCAAAAAAGGTACGTTATTAGTTATCTGTATGTGTTATTAGCCAATAAAATATTCACAAAAATTATTTACTTTAATGATCTCAAACACACTGAATAAAATGGGAGTTAGGAGATGGATGAGGACAGAACAAGGCTTTTAACACATTTTTTTTTAACTACAGAGGGAAAAAACAGTCAATCTAGTAAACAGAAGGGTGCTAGAGAAATATTTCAACTATTTTATAAGAGAATATACATTACACAAAAATTTATACCAGATAGGGAAAAAAATTCAGGAGAAAGAGGGAGCACAATGGTTGTTAAGCCTCTGGAGTGGTCCTATAATGGATGCAAGAGGCTCGAAATTTTGTGACGCAACATAAAAAAAAATAGTTTCATGTATTATCACATATGCTTTTTCTGTATCATGAAAGACATGAGGTAGGAACATACTCAGCTGGTTTTTAATTGGTCCAATCAATTGTATTACTAATCTGTATTAGTGCAGATACAGGCTTTGTTCTCACAAAGTGTTTAACCTGCATGCAATTGGTGACAGGTATGAAACACAACCTAGAGCCATACTTTGCATTTTATAACCAAGAAAATGCTTGGGTCTTGCTTCCCAAAATGTTAGGAAAAAATAATTATAAATAATATGGTTTGATAGAATAATTTCCTGTTCTTCATACACTAATATCAATAGAAAGGCTGCACAGTGGAAATGAAGTGTGTGCGCGCACACACAGCAGGCTCTGACGGTCAACTTTTGATATAGTTAGCTTACCATTCTAAGAAAACAACATTAAAATTAATCAATTTTACTCTCATTTACAGACAGCCTGAAGGTGACCTCTTAGATAACATTTCTACTTCTTTTTCCTAACTGAAGAGGAAATGAATCCTTGTGATTGTAGGGAAACACTCATCTGTATCACTAGTTTTTTTTGGAGTTAATATTAGCAACAGGCCTGGGCATGGTGGCTCACGCCTGTAATCCCAGCACTTTGGGAGGCCGAGGCGGGCAGATCGTCTGAGCTCAGGAGTTCGCGACCAGCCGGGGCAACATGGTGAAACCCCATCTCTACTAAAATACAAAAATTAGCCAGGCATGGCGGCGTGCACCTATAGTCCCAGCTACTTGGGAGGCTGAGGCAGGAGAATTGCTTGAACCCAGGAGGCAGAGGTTGCAGTGAGCCGAAATCGTGTCACTGCACTCCAGCCTGGAGGACAGGGCGAGACTCCATCTCAAAAAAAAAAAAAAATTAGCAACTGGTCCTATGAAGCAATGAGTCTCAAATACAGCTTCCTACACCAATTACTTTGCTGAGGAATAACCCAACATTAACGCCAATGATCACAGGATTAACAGACTAGAATGAGGTCCTCAGAACAGGTACCAAAAGGAACTGTTCCAACACGGTTCCATAACATACAGATCTGTGCTATATGTATTCCTCTTCCTAGAGCAATTACCAATGAGGTCGGTAGAAGGAAAAAATAACAGGACCAACGACAAAAAAAAAAATTATTGGCCTGAGGTTTGTAAATTAAAAGTTTTGGCAAAATTAAGTGGGCAGAGAAGAACTAGAGATGCTGGGAAAGTCTCCATCTCACTAGCAAAGAGCATCTGTGAAACTGGACTGTCCAAAAATTAACATCTGGAAATAACATTTAGGTAACCAGGAGTTCAACACAGCAATACAAGGCAATCATAAAATATGCGTTCAACCATTAGCTCAGAAAGCATGCTTTCTAGTCTAGGACTAGAGGATACACAAAAGAGAAATGAATACATCAAAATCTAAAATAAAAGAATAGGAGAAGATATTAGCATGCAAGAAAAGAAAAATAACTATCAAAAAAGGAGGGGGAGAGGCATATCACAACTAGAATTACTGAGTGCAAAGGCCAAACAAAATGCTTCCAATATGGAAAAATGGCACCCCACACAAGTCAGGGCAGCCACAATTCCAGAGAACAACTCAAGGACCAAATCTGAGTTCTTAAAAACTCTTAAAAACCCAACAACAAGGTAGAATATGAAAAGAAAAAATAAGAACAGGACAACTAAATCCAAACAAAACATCTACTCTATACATGCAAATCAAATGAGAACAAAAAGATGTGGATCAAAACCTAAAACCTTTTTCCAAGTGATAACCCTGCCAGAAGCACATCAATACTTCATAACTGCAACCCTAGACCCGTAAAAGAAATAAATTCCAGATGAGATACAGGCAGCCAAGGGGCAACTCTGAAGCAACCAACAAGAAAGCCTCTTCTCCTACTTGCTTCTCAGCTTTTTAATCCCAATGTTTGAAAGATTAGCAGGCTACTGATACAGAAGCTGCTGAGGGAAAAAAACATCAGAAAGACTCAGTCCTAGACCCAAGATCAATATAAAAGACACCCTCACAAAATAATAAAGGAGTCAGTGAAAAATACCCCAAAGAATCTGTAAACTCTACATTCCATTATACGGACAATTTTAACCACCACTGAGGTTTTAAAATGGATGTCACCTACAAGATACGATTTCCCAGGATTCAAACCAATAAGTAAGAATAAAACACAGCTTTATGCTTCAGAGCCTGTAAGAAAAAATCCTTGAAAATAATGTAACGTTATTTAAAATGTAGACAAAGTCACTTTGTTCAAGTGTAGAATAGGGATTGTGTGTGTTAGGGGTGGGGAGAACTGAGAATTTAAATTTCCAGGTTTTCATAGAAATATAATGATAACTGTAACTCCAGATACAAAAATATTTTTTTTTAAAAAAAGAAGATAAACATTTAATGATGAAGAAACATTGAACAAAGAAGCTAAAAATAAGTGTGGTTCATGCTGTAACATTTCTAGGCATAAGGAAACAATAAAAAGGGAGACGAGTTAGAAATTAACAGAGAACTTGACCAAGTGATATGTCTTAGCACAGAGTAAGAGACTAGATAAACAATACAGGTTACTACCTATTCCTTCCCTATTTAAGTAGGAACACATAAGTACAATGAATTAAAATTTGAAATGTAACTCAAAAGGAAGTTGGTGAATGAATAATATGTCCCTGGCACATTTGAAGATAATTCACCCACACTGACCTGTCAATGGGCAGGGTATCATAGTAGGAACCCTAAAATTTAAAAATACAATAGTCTAGAAAGATCCTGACATGGGGCTTAAAAGGATAATTTATATCATAAGCAACAATGGTGAAATAAACCAAAGACAAAAATTTGCTGATGTAAAGGAAGAAATCAGTAGTTCTAGCTTTCTCATCTGGTAGGTAAGTCAGCCTAAACAGAAAAATGGAAAAAAGGAAGAGAATTTAATAGGAAAAAATTTGTAATTAAGGCAGAAAACAGAGAGTAAAGGAAAGACTGAAAAATAAAAATTATTTCCCACCGGAATAGGGAGAATAATCATTAAAAAAAAAGAAAAAGAGGCCAAGCGCGGTGGCTCATGCCTGTGATCCCAGCACTTTGGGAGGCCGAGGTGGGTGGATCACCTGAGGTCAGGAGTTCAAGACCAGCCTGACCAACATGGAGAAACACCATCTCAACTAAAAATACAAAATTAGCGGAGCGTGGTGGCGCATGCCTGTAATCCCAGCTACTCAGGGGCCTGAGACAGGAGAATTGCTTGAACCTGGGAGGTGGAGGTTGCAGTGAGCCAAGATCGTGCCATTGCACTCCAGCCTGGGCAACAAGAGTGAAACTCCCCCTCAAAAAAAAAAAAAAAAAAAAAAAGAAAAGAAAAGAAAAGCAAAGAAAAGAAAAGAAAAGAAAAAGAAAAAGAAAAACTGAAGCAGCCGTACAGGCATACTTACAGAATAAATACAGAAGGTATAAATACAGAATAGAGGATGAAGTGCTAGGACAAGACTAGTTCTGAAAAAGCCAGAATTGGCCACTTTTGGGGAGACGGCATGTTAAACTACAAATTAACTCTACATCCTTAAAGTTCCAATTATTTGACTGAAAAATGCTCTCAAAGTATACTTAGATCTCTCTAGAAAAAGATACCCTTAACGTACATGTATCTGTATTTCATCTCCACTCTATACTTTTAAGTTTGTCTTTTATATAAGAGACAGAAGAAATGCTGGCAAATGTGTTTTATTACCTGGGTAACCAGAGTAAAATCAGATCAAAGAGCCAAGTAATGAATACACTATGTTATATACCTATTTACCAGAAAATCACAACTTCACTCTTGTGGCATGGGAGAAAAGTTGTTTGCTTTATACAAAATACACAAGTTCTAAAGTCTAAATTTTGGGGGGTGGGTGGGTGTGTGCATGTGCGGCAGGGGAGGTGGGGAAAGGATGTTCCAGAATGTTTCAGAAGAATATCGCTGAAAGGGTTGGAACCAATTATTATGAACATACCTTAAAGCAGGAGTCAGCAAATGTTTTCTGCAAAGGTATTGACTTTTCAGACAGTACATATCTTAGGCTTTGGGGAGGACATATAATCTTTGTTGAAACGATTCAACTTTGCCAGTGGAGTGCACAAACAGACATCGATGATTATATATAAAATGAACAAGCATGGTTGTTAAAATAAAACTTTATTTATAGACTAAAATTTTAATTCCTGTAATTTTCACATGTCACAAAGTATCAGTCTTCATTTGATTTTTTTTTCCCACCAGCCACCTAAAAAGGTAAAAATCATTCTTAGCTCACAGCCCAGACTAAAACAGGCAGCAGGCCAGAATTGGCCTATGGGCCACAGTTTGCTGACCCCTACCTTAACGAATGCCAAACTTCATAAATTATGTTTATAATGCTACACACCAACTTGATGTCTTGTGGGGTTTCTTTTAATCCTAAGAAAAAAGACTCCCTTAGTTATATGAGCATTACTGGAAATACACTCTGTAAAAACAGACCAAAATAACTTGCAAGTTTGCTTCTAATGAAAGACAAGGAGAGTTGCTCTAGGAAACCAGTCAAAAAGGCATGATGTCAGATGCATGTTTCCCAACTGTTTGCTCCTAGTATATTTCCAGGTAAAGTGAAAGGCAAGAAAGTATAAACGTGAGAGAAAAAAGTACAGTGATACTTCTGCCTTAAATGAAAAGTCTGTCAAGCTAACTAAACATTTGCTTAAAAGAAAAAAACATCAGCTCTAGTTCACAGACATGTATGGTTGAAATGTCCTTGATATGAGACAATATATAACACACTCTAAGGCTCATATCATGTCTAAACAAAAAGTGTTTCTTAAACAAAACAAAACCAAGAACTCCCATCATTCATTCATGCCAGCTATGCCATAAAGTCTACCATTTTCTTTTAACTTGTTTTCTGGTTAAAATAGAATTTATAACTTAAAATATCAGACTACTCCAATTAGTATCCTACCTTGCATGTTCCTGAACTCCCACAATCTCTACTTCACTATCTGAAGACGCAATGTTAATTTCTTCATTGAGTGGCGCATTGCCAGCAGATGTTTTGTCACTTGCTAGGAATCCTGGATCCAAATGACCTGAGAGAGAAGGGGAGGAAAAAAAACAAGCACTATAATTTTATTCCTCACAAACAGTGGAAACAACTCATTGACAGATTTGTCATCTAGGTTTAGTCACAGAAACAGAATCACCCTGTGAGAGCTTGCCACAGCAAAACTGTCAAATAAGCTGGGGCAGTGTTCTTTGTTCAAAAAATATACAGAATATATGCTCATGATGTATATTCAAACAACATGGCAGTACATAAAAGTATGAACTCAAAGTCTCTCACTCGCTACTCCTTAGGATAAAAAAATTTAAATGCTTTGGTAAATACCTATATCTGTCTACCTAAACCATAACAAACTCTATATATTTTATGCTGTAATGCTTTTTGCATTCAACTCCAGTCAGCTTTTAAACGACCTGCGTAACCACCTAGAAGGCAGTGGGGCTCTCTACTGCTTATCATTTTAATAGAACCAAACTCTAAACCAGAAAAGCCCAAAGGCACATATAGAATAATAGAAGTAATCACTAATACCATATTTATACTGAGATGCTTTGTGAAAGATTTAGCACATGTCCTCTCTAAAGAAACATAGATTTGACAAAATCTGACCCAAAACTACATCTAAAAAGGAAGGCTGGAGGTAAATCACAATTTTGGCTCTGAGCAACTGAAATGTAACTTGTACATTGCTGAGAGTTCTCCTTAGAAACAAACCACACACTCTGGAAAAACATAACAGTTTGTGGCACTGGGGGATGTAAGGACTTCTTTACAAGAGTCTTCCCAAAGCACGTATTATATGATGCAATAAAATACATTCTCCAACATCACAGAAAACATGAGCTTCACAGAACTCTCAATAATGGCTAATGGCATGGCATCAAAGTACATGGCTCTAAAAACAATTCTAGCAAGAGCTAAAATAATTCGGCCTATGTACCAGCTCTTGAATGTTCTGATTTAAAAGGCTGAATTTTAGAATACCTAGGAGTTAACATAGAATAAACAGAGTTGCAATGAGTACAAATTCTCATTTACCCTCTAAAGGGTATTTTTATTTAAATATATTGTGATCTGATACAAAATTATTTCCCATATTTAAAAAAAAAATCTACACAACACCTAATCTAAACTAAACCAATGTAAATAAAATAAAATTTTGGCTCATGCCTGTAATCCCAGCACTTTGGGAGGCCAAGGTGGGCGGATCACAAGGTCAAGAGATCAAGACCATCCTGGCCAACATGGTTGAAACCCCATCTCTACTAAAAATACAAAAATTAGCTGGGCATGGTGGCATGCCTGTAGTCCCAGCTACTCAGGAGGCTAAGGATAGAGAATTGCTTGAACCCAGGAAGCAGAGGTTTCAGTGAGTCGAGATCGCGCCACTGCACTCCAGGAGCCAGGCGACAGAGGGAGATTCTGTCTCAAAAAAAAAAGAAAAGAAAATTTTACATGCAACTCTCTTCTCCCTTTACTCAACCCAATGCTTCAAGGTTATTGAGAAATCTTGTACCTTTTTTTTTTTTGAGATGGAGTCTCGCTCTGTTACCCAGGCTAGAGTGCAATGGCACAATCTCGGCTCACTGCAGCCTCCGCCTCCCAGGTTCAAGCAATTCTCCTGCCTCAACCTCCCGAGTAGCTGGGATTACAGGCGCACGCCACCACACCTGGCTAATTTTTGTAGTTTTAGTAGAGATGGGGTTTCGTCACGTTGGCCAGGCTGGTCTCAAACTCCTGGCCTCAGGTGATCAGCCCACCTTGGCCTCCCCAAAGTGCTGGGATTACAGGCTTAAGCCACCGCACCTGGCCAAATCCTGTACTTTCATACTCCTGTCACCCTTGAGTGTAAACCTTTTGGAAGCTACAGACAGTCTCAAACCAAGGCTTACAATTTTTATACCTTCTGACCCTGTAAACCCATCCCTAATAATTTACTCCTTAGCCTTTAAATAAGCAAAATGTTATATCCAAAGATATTCATTACAGTGCTATGTAGCAACTTGGAAAAATGTATACTAACATATAAAGTATTACACATAACACTATAAAAATATGTAGATTCTGAGTAAAGCTGTGAAAAATAATCAAGTTTGAATATGATTGTGGGTCTTTTTCATAATTCTTTAGTACTATTTTTACCTTTTATTCTTCGACTGAAAATGATGCATATATGTGAAAAATTTTTAATGCTTAGAATGGCTCCTAGATAAACCAGTGATTGAGATTATATATCACAGTTTGCGTGGGTTTGTAATCCAGATTATGTGGCACTAGCAGTGGGCACATATCTGGACCCTATAAGCATACAAAAGGTGGCATTCACCAGATAAAACTCTGTTTTATTAAATCTAGGGAGGCTGCTTAAATGGAATTGGTTAAGTCTTGCTTTCGTAAACCTAGATTCTTGCTCTGATCCCCAATACCTTGCTTGTGGCCAAGTCTTCATCCAAGTTCTACTTCAATGTTTTAGTTATTCCTATCCTCATGCACACTGTTCCAACTGTACTGCTAAGGAAGAATACAAAATCACAGACTCTCTTCTTTATAGCCTTCAACTTTTCCATATTCAATAATTCAAACAGTCTTTACTGTTTACTTTATTTGTTTGTACCTACAATAAATACTTGCGACATGCTATGCACTGTGCTAAGTGCTAGAAATACTATGGGGAACAAGGCAGGCATAGTCTCTACCCTCAATGAACCTGCGATATATGCAGAGATAATAAAAAGCAGTCTATTGCACCATGGCTTGAAAACTGCTCTGATAGGGAACATTCACCAGACTTGAGGGTAATCAGGGAAGCTGGGTTCTCAAGGAAGAGTAGGCACAGATGAGGGGAAGTGGCATACAGAACATTCTGTTGTCCTTTAAGGTATAAAAGTTTGGTGAGATTTGGGGGTAACAGTCAAAAGAGTAATAAGAAACAAGGCTACCAAAGTCAGCAGGTCAGATCATGGTAAGCTGTCTGGACTTAGCTTTGAGAAGTAGGAAGCCACTGAACCATTTAAGCAGAGGGTAAGCAGAGGGGTGACGTCATCTGGTTTTGCATTTTAAAGAATTTCCTTTCAGAGTATAGAAATGAAACTGATAGCAAGCAGGACAGGAAATACTGGAGGCAACAAAACCAGTTAGACTGCTGCAGCTTCCTGGGTGAGAAATGACTGTGGCTGAACTAGGAAAAAAAAACAATGGAAAATACTGTGTGTGTGTGTGTGTGTGTGTGTACGAATGGAGGGTTAGTAATGTTGGGAATTAGGCAAATGAAAGAACATAGAAAGTCAAAAATGATGCTTAGGTTTCTGACTTAGGTAAATGGATAGAGTTACAGTGCCATTCAGTGCACTAATAAAAGCTGAGGGTGGTTGCTCAGGGCATGATGATTATGTGCCTTTAATATGTCCAATAAGCAGTTCACATAACTTTTCACATAAATAATGAGTGTTCATGATAGCAGGACTTGCAAGCAGAGACAGACTAAGACAGGTGCCAGGAATGTTTCATAAATGAGTGAAACTATCACGGAGTAAGCAGATGACAGTCAATGGTACAATCGGTACTGTTCTAAAGCTCAGGTCAGAGGTCTAAAGAGGAAATACAGACTTGTTAAATCCTCAGCAATAGATGAGAGAATAAAGATCATCCTGAAGAGTAAAAGTGGTCTAGAAAACACAACCCAAGTATTGATGAACATAAATAATTAAGAGATGGGGTGGGGCGAGGGGGGCGGGGAATTAGACGTGGTGGTGTGCAACTACAGACTCAGCAACTCGGGAAACTGAGACAGGAGGATTGCTTGAGCCCAGGGAGTCAAGGCTGCAGTGTGCCATGATTGCACCACTGCACTCCAGCCTGGGAGAAAGCCAATATAGCAAAGCAATCTGAAGAATAATGAAAGGGAAGGAAGAGCAAACACAGTTTAAGAAGTTTGGCTATGGAGGAAAAGGAGATAGGATGGTACTGAGTAAGGAATATGGGCTTGAGGGAAGGGTGTTTGTATGTATGTGTATATACATAGTTTTTAACAATGAGAGAGACCTGTTCATATTCCAAAAGGGCAGAGAATAGGTTTGACAGCAGAAAGCTGAGGTAATCTGGATTTTGAAGAATGTGGCAAGGCCATCTGCAGAGAGTAGGTGTGGGCAGGTGCAGAAAAGCGAAGTAGCCACTACGGAGAAAGAATGCAAGGCCGGGCGTGGTGGCTCAAGCCTGTAATCCCAGCACTTTGGGAGGCCGAGGCGGGTGGATCACGAGGTCAGGAGATCGAGACCATTCTGACTAACACAGTGAAACCGCGTCTCTACTAAAAATACAAAAAAAAATTAGCCGGGCGTGGTGGCGGGCGCCTGTAGTCCCAGCTGCTCAGGAGGCTGAGGCAGGAGAATGGCGTGAACCTGGGAGGCAGAGCTTGCAGTGAGCTGAGATGGCGCCGCTGCACTCCAGCCTGGGTGACAGAGCAAGACTCCGTCTCAAAAAAAGTAAAAAAAAAGAATGCTGCCTAAGGAAAAGGGGGAGTTTCTGGGAAGCGCTGAGAGCCTGGATGAAGCCGCAGACTAGGAAATTAAGGCAACCTTTAACTCTGTGACAAAGTGATTTTCTCCAGCTATGCTTAGCATGGGGGATACAGGCTCAAAGTGTGCATCCAGGGATCAGACTCTGCCAGGTAAGTACAACAGGAAAGTCAACTCTATAAGTGACATTGGCAAAGGACAGCTGGGCCTATATAGGCTTGATAGGGAAGGACAGGAAGCTGGGAGAGGACTGATAAAGGGATGGGGGATTGGTCCAATGAAGTAGAAAAGTAGTGTGGTGGAAGTAGCTGCGTAAGAGTATAGAGGCCAGGCGCAGTGGCTCACGCCTGTAATCCCACCACTTTGGGAGGCCAAGGCAGGCAGATCATGAGGTCAAGAGATGGAGACCATCCTAGCCAACAGAGTGAAACCCCATCTCTACTAAAAATACAAAAATTAGCTGGGTGTGGTGGCACATGCCTGTAGTCCCTGCTACTCCGGATGCTGAGGCAGGAGAATCGCTTGAACCCAGGAGGCGGAGGTTTCAGTAGTGAGCCAAGATCGTGCCACTGCACTCCAGCCTGGTGACAGAGCAAGACTCCGTCTCAAAAAAACAAACAAACAAACAAACAAAAATAAAGAGTATAGAAAAGCCTACGTGGAAAAGGAAAAAGCAGTAAGGAGGGGTAGAAGGAAAACCAGTGGTCATGAGAAGTAAAACACTATACTTTCACCCTCTTAGCTACCTACAAAATATAAGCACCTGGGATCATCCATTTTTTGCCATCTTATCCCCAACTCTGTTGTCTTCCTTTGCTCCAGCCACCCACTGCTCACCCTCCTACAACTTTACCTTCTGGAATGCCAACTCCATGGTAAAATACACTGAACTTTCTCTCCACCTCCTTGTGGAAACCTGACTGACGTTCCTGAAGACGTTGTCTCCCCTGCAGTCTTCTGAAGAGGAAGCTGCTCTTAACCCCCAATGCTGGGATGCAGATCACTTATAAATTACTCATCTCCATCCTCATGTACCAACACCAGCAGGCAGTGCCTTCCAGGAGGTTACCGTTTCACTGCCATCTACTGACTCCATGACTGTTACTCATTCATGAAACAGTCCTGGCACCTATGTTAGTCTCTCTCTACTTACAAGTCCTGCTATCATGAATACTCATTATTTATGTGAAAAACCACCTCAAAACTGTGCCTACTCACTAAGAAGCAAGAAGCTGGATTGGGCTCCATGGCTCACACCTGTAATCCCAGCACTTAGGGAGGCCGAGGCAGGCAGATCACTTGAGGTCGGGTGTTTGAGACCAAGCCTGGCCAACATGGCAAAACCCGGTCTCTACTAAAAATACAAAAATTAGGCAGGTATGGTGGTACGCCCCTGTAGTCCCAGCTACTCAGAAGGCTGAGACAGAAGAAGTGCTTGAATCCAGGAGGCCGAGATTGCAGTGAGGTGAATTATACCACTGCACTCCAGCCAGGATGACAGAGCAAGATGCCATCTCAATCAATCAATAAGCAACCAAGCAAGGAGCTGAGCTCCAAGAGGTACTAAAAGCCACTTGTGGCAGACTCACAGTAAGGGGTTCAGCCTGTTGGGATCCTAAAAATAAATAAATGAAATTAATTAAACCAAATTAAAAAGGCAGAGTGTAGACAGGCAGGATCACTATAACCAAACTCTTCCTCCTTGATCACTCAATGCTTTTAAACAATGGTAATTAAGAAAATACAACAAGAATATGATGGAATTAGTTAATTCTTAGTATCTCTTTGCTCGGTTCCTATAACCATCGTTCTAATTTATAATTCTACCCTCTCTAGCAGGAATGTTTTGTGAAATATCTGTCATCAATATTTCTGAATAACCAGTCTTCACTGACTAGGACCCTGCCATCCTCACCTTACTACCTCCAATAGCCTTATTCCAGAGCTAGAAATGTCATCACTTTATTTTTTATGAAACGAAAAGTTACTATGCTACTTTTGTTAATTTTATACTGTCTTTTAAAAAAAAAACAAGGTACCATCACCAATATTTCAGATTCTTCTAACTTTATTCATTCATTATGGATCTAGAAACTAGTAATATTCCTTCCACATTGTTAGATAATCCAAACAATTCTGGTAGTGCAATTTTTGCCATAAAAATTGCAATCCAAACCTGCTGGTATTTAACATGGTTACAAAACCCAGATGATATGCTAAAACTGGTCACTTTAAATTGGGGTCTGCTATTTTTTTTTTTTTTTTTGAAATGGAGTTTTGCTCTTGTTGCTCAGGCTGGAGTGCAAAGATGTGATCTCAGCTCACTGCAACCTCCACCTCCCGGGTTCAAGCGATTCTCCCACCTCAGCCTCCTGAGTAGGTGGGATTACAGGCATGCACCACCACGCCAGGCTAATTTTGTATTTTAGTAGAGACGGGGTTTGGCCATGTTGGTAAGGCTGGTCTCGAACTCCTGACCTCAGGTAATCTACCCGCCTCGGCCTCCCAAAGTGCTGGGATTACAGGTGTGAGCCTCCGCGCCTAGCCTAGGGTCTGCTCTTATCTGTAATGCTTGGTCAATATACTAGTGCAAGATAAGAGGCATGAGAAAGTGATGGGGGTGCTAAATACAGACTGCCTCGTGAATGTTAACAACTCCTAGACTAATAGTGTGAGACATTTGCCAAATTTCCTGTCAGAGCCTTAGATAAATTGTGCCACACAGAAAACAAATCAGCTAGGACCCACACCAAGGCAATGAGATGCCGTGCTCTACAAGAGACACCAAAGGCATTCTGGGATGCCTCTGCCTCTTCCTTCTTCTATTTCAGAGCCAGGACCATTAGTCCTTTTCTGTCACTGTAACCCTCTTCAGCATCCCACACATTCCTTTGGGAGCTCCAGTATAGAACCTGACATTCTCTGGCCTTTGGGCCTTTTCTGCTCTGCCCCTCCCCACCCCGCCTCACCCCCCATGGAGGACTTCACAGGATTCCAATGGCAGAACAGTGCCTAAAGCATACAGAAAAGTGAGCCAAAGATGCTATGAGGTTCTTCAAATACTGTCAGTGGTAGTAATCTTTTCCAGTTCTAAGACAAGAACAAGCCCTGTAGAGAAAAATGTAAATACCGCAATTACCATATATTAAACTGAAAATAAAGCAGAGCACTTATATTTAGCTATTGTGACAGCTGGCTGTCTCTGTGTAGGTCTCTGCCTGTGTAGGTCTTTGGAAAGATAACTTCTTTCACTATATGAGAAAATTCTAAATTTTGTCCTCCCACTACAGACCTTTTCAACAAGAAAGGGTAAGAAAAAGTTACCAAGAAAAGGTAGTTATCAAAATAGGGTAAGAAAAAGAAGCACAGAAAAAGTAGTAACTAAATTATCATGGAAAACAGTTTCTTTCTGTCTTTAAAGGAAATAATCCAGCTACTTTTTAAACTGTAAATCCACTGGGTAAGAACTAGGCCTGAGCTTTGCAACACACTGAAGAGAAAGTAATACTACATACTGTATGACAGTCGCATGCTAGGCATAAAAAAAATAAAAAAATAAGTCACTACTCATTTAGCTTTAAAAACAGCAAATTACTACTTTTAGTTCTTTTTTTCTTTCTTTTTTTTTTTTTTTATTGAGACAGAGTCTCACTCTGTCACCCAGGCTGGAGAGAGGTGGTGCAATCTCGGCTCACTGCAACCTCCACCTGCCGGGATCAAGCAATTCTCCTGCCTCAGCCTCCCAAGTAGCTGCGACTACAGGAGCCCACGCCACCGTGCCCAGCTAATTTTTGTATTTTTTTTAGTATAGATGGGGTTTCACCATATTGGACAGGCTGGTCTCGAACTCCTGACCTCGTGATCTGCCCACCTCGGACTCCCAAAATGCCAGGATTATAGGCGTGAGCCACAGCACCCAGCCTACTTTTAGTTCCTTAAACAGCACGTTAAACAACCTTAAAAAGTGAAGGAAGAGGGCTGGACATGGTAGCTCACGCCTGAAATTCCAGCACTTTGAGATGCAGAAGTGGGCAGATTACTTGAGATCAGGAGGGCAAGACCAGCCTGGCCATCATGGTGAAACCCCATCTCTACTAAAAATATAAAAAAATTAACGGGGCGTGGTGACGGGTACCTGTAATCCCAGCTACTGGATAGGCTGAGGCAGGAGAATCACTTGAACGAGGAGGCAGATGCTGCAATGAGCGGAGACTGCCACCGCATCCAGCCTGAGCGACAGAGCTGGAATCCATCTCCAACAACAACAACAAAAAAGAGTGAAGGAAGAGCTCAAAAATCTAAAATCTGGCTGGGTGTGGTGGCTCATGCCTGTAATCTTAGCACTTCGGGAGGCCAAGACAGGCGGATCACTGGAGGTCAGGAATTCGAGACCAGTCTGGCCAACATGGTAAACCCTGTCTCTACTAAAAATACAAAAATTAGCCAGGCGCAGTGGCACACACCTGTAATCCCAGCTACTTGTGAGGCTGAGGCACGAAAATTACTTGAACCCGGGAGGCAGAGGTTGCAGTGAGCCCAGAATGTGCCATTGTACTCCAGCCTGGGTGACTGGAGACTCCCTCTTAAAAAAAAAAAAAAAAAAAAATCTAAACTCTTACCATCAATTTGATGCAGATAAACATGAAGAACATGACCATACTTCATCTCCTTCACTATACTGATTCTGAAACATGGCCATTCTGGTCTAATTATTAAAAACCCTACACTAGGAACAGGAAACCCAGGATTCATTTCTCTGTACTGCCACCATGTTAGGGACAAATCAAGATTACCATCCCTATTGTAAGGATGGGGAAAATGCTCAGAACCTACCTTCTTGACAAGAAGGCTGATGGAAAAGATAAGGTATTTAAAGTTTTAACTTCCCAGGGAAAAAAATCCTAAATAAGTTCAGTTTACCACAGCTATAAGCCTTCCTCACCAAGACTTCTGCTTCTTCTTGCCCCAACTACATTTGTTTGCAGTGAGCCCTTACTAGCAACAAAAATGAAGCCATTTTCAGATATATTAATACAGTTTCCTAAACATGCTGGATACAAGAGTTACCTGAGGCTATTATTAAAAAGAGATTCCCAGAAACCATTTCAGATTTATTGACAGAATCATCAGGAGAAACCTAGGAGTGTGAATATTTATAAACACACTGGGTAATTTCTACGCTCTGGCAAAATTTAAGAAGTACTTGTAGCAAGAGCAACTCGTTGCAGTGCAAGAGAGTAATTAGAAATCCAGTGACTGAGCCACTAATCACTTCCTTACTCAGTCTACTTCAGCATATTAACATAATGCTGGTTAGCATTTCTGAGGGCCTACTATGTGCTGTCCTCCGTAGTAAACACACTGTATTTCACTTAGTGGTAACAATAACCTTTTGGAGTAGATACTATAAAGGTTGTGCCCCAGTTTTGTAGATAGGGAAAACTGAGGCTTTATATAATTTACCTGAGGACATGCAGTTTCTAAGTGGCCACTGGTTCAAAATCACCCACTACAGTGTTCAATTCCAGCATCAACTTAAAAAAAGCAAACACATGGCAAGAATTGAAATGGAAAATTCAGGTCTTTTGTTGATCAGTAGCTTCTCTAATTTCGACTTACTTTTTAATCCCTGCATGTGGTTCAAGTCTTTTGCCTAGGTTAAAACTAAAACTAAATATATATTTTGGATGCAAGATAATCATCTAATTGCTTGGAAAAAGGCAACCTACTCTATCTTTAGTGCGTACCTATGTGATCCTAAATGGGATGGGGCTGTGGACCTGGGTTGAGATGCTGCTGTTGATTAAAGTGAACCCCTGAATAGTCTGCTCAATAACTAGGCTTGCTATTTTGTTGTGAAAGGGAAAGACAGGACCCAGATTAACCATTAAAATTTTAACTTACACTCACACCATAAGAATGACCATCTGACTAATAGTCCAAGCCTCAAAACTATTAACTGGCTCCTAAGCATAAATTCTATTAATATTTTATTGAGACACTGTAAGCACATTCAGATATCTTCACAAGATGAGTTCCACTATGATAATCACATCAAGACTACAGTATTATTTTTATTTATTACCCACATACCAGTATTGTCAGATTTAAGAAAAAAAAATGCCTTTGAAAGAGCCAATAAGCTTCATAACAAAATGTCATGGGGATCTGCTGAGCAGTGGTGACTGCATCCTATGATATACAGAAACCTACACAAAATTTATAGTCCAATATGCACAAATGCTCTCTCTATATATTAATTATATCCTAGAGAAATTATCATATACATATACCAAAAAACACATAAAGAAATGTTAAGAGCAGTATCACTTAAAATAGCACCCTAAATGTCCAACAAGAGAATGGGTAAATTGTGATATATTCATATAGTGGAATACTAAATAGCAGTGGAAAATGAATGAACTAGAGCCACACATAACAACAACAAAACTCATAAAATGTTTAACTAAAAAAGCACATTTCAAATGATTACCTTCAATGTGATACCAATTAGTTTTAAAAACATGCTTATTTAGATATATAACAAATGTAGTACAAATATATAAAGAAATACACAGGAATACCACACATTAAATATCCAATTTAGGATAGCTTTGGCATGGGAAGGGCAAAGGGAAGGAAAACATCTGAAGCCACAGTTGTTTTCCTCCTCACATACTTTTACCACGTTTTATTTCTTAAAAAGAATGGTTGTAGTTTCTTAAGAGTGATTTTTAAATAGGCTAACAATTACTTGAATCTGAAAATGTGAATGCCATCCCAAAAGCTAAACTTTAATGATATTTTAAAACCGCAAACTTTGCATTATTCGGTCAAGTCATAAGAAATGGCTGATTTTTTGTAGGTCAAAAAGTCAAATATTAACAATTCCATACGGTTCAATCTAATATTAAGAATTCTGCATATGAAGAGCAAAACGTTGGTAATCATTCATTTTTTACCCCAAAACTTTACCATAAAATGGTCTATATTTAACGGCAAGACTCAGAAAACAGAGAAATAAAACTGAAGTGGAATGGATGACTTAATTGCCAAAGGATGAAAAACAAAGATAAACCATCTAATATACAAATTACAAGGCTGGGTGCAGTGGTTCACGCCTGTAATCCCAGCACTTTGGGAGGCCAAGGCAGGCGGATCATCTGAGGTCAGGAGTTCCAGAGCAGCCTGGCTAACATGGTAAAACCCCATTTCTACAAAAAATTAGCCAGGCGTGGTGGTGCGCGCCTGTAATCCCAGCTACTCAGGAGCCTGAGGCAGGAGAATCGCTTGAACCCAGGAGGCGGAGGTTGCAGTGAGCTGAGATCGCGCCATTGCACTCTGGCTTGGGCAACAAGAGCGAAACTCCATCTCAAATAAATAAATAAATAAATAAATAACTTAGAAACACATATTGTACAAAATGTGGCCAAACTACTTTCCACTGATATAAAGCATTATTACTTCTTTTTTCTTTTTTGGGGGGATACAGTCTAGTTTTGTCACCCAGGCTGGAGTGCAGTGGCACAATCTTAGCTCACTGCAACCTCTGCCTCCCAGGTTCAAGCAATTCCACAGCTGAGATTACAGGCGCCCACCACCACGCCCACCACCACACCCATCACGCCCAGCTAATTTTTGTATTGTTAATAGAGACGGGGTTTCACCATGCTGATCAGGCTGGTCTTGAACTCCTGACCTCAAGTGATCCTCCCACGTCGGCCTCCCAAAGTGCTGGGCTTACAGACGTGAGCCACTGTGCCCAGAAGCATTATTACTTCTTTTCAAAGTATTTGTATTAATACATATTAATAAATCCTTAAAAGACACTTGTTGGGCAAAACAAGGATTTATACATATAAAAACTGAAGTCCAGAGGAGAAACAACTGGTCCAAGGACAAACAGGCAGCAGTTACCAGTCAAAAAAAATCAAAACTAAATTCAGGTTCAGTTCCAAAATTAGCTACAGTAAATCAATCAGGTCAACAAACAAGTGATTTTTCTGTAATTCCAATCAAAGATTATGAAAGGAATAATTTAAGACAACAACAATCAATGGAGTTCTGTCTCAATATAAAAAGTTCTAAACTATAACTCATTTTTTTGTAAAACTCATTTTTCATAAAAATAACTTTAGGTAGTGATTAAACTATTAGATTAACTCATAAAACCAATGCATTTATAAATTAACTAGAAAACTATAATCTTTCAGCAACACTGAAGAAATTATACACTGCATAAGCAGTCTCTCAATCCCCTTCTCTTCTTAAATGTTCAGTGCTAGTATTTTCACAACAACAACAAAACAAGGTTTAAATTAGAATGCTGAAAGAAACTTTTGAAGAAAATATTGAAGAAGACTTGGAGGTATTGTGAAAGTTTTTCAAAGGTAACAGCAGTGGATTTTTTAGTGAATAAATACCACCTTAAAGAATAATCACAAAACTAAAAAAATGTAAGACAGGGACAGAGATTTTTTTTCCTGAGCTAACAGAGACAGAAACTAAAAGAAAGGAGTTAGAAAAGACAAATGAGAACTTACTGACGAGGAATTAACAGGGTCACTCCACAGCAAGAAGCACAAGAAACAGCGGCAGCGCTGTGTATGAACAGCCAGCCCCACAGGGAGAGATTCAACGATTCCCTATCCAAGCTGCAAGGTCACTACCCAGAATTAAAGTGAGAGAAAGAACTGGCCAAAGAATATGAGCATATCTGGGTCATTTTTGCAAATATTGGGCATTTTTAATCCAAGAAATATGCCTACTGAAACCTACCAATACCTACAATTAATGTCTTAAATGCTCTTATTTCTACTTCCTTCTGAGTAGGAAAGATGAATGACAAGCTATCCAAATTGTTTCAGGTATAAATGGCAGCCTGGATAGTCACAACCAATCATTCAATGCCAGATGTCTCTGGTATGACCTGTTCTCCTCATCAGGGTCCACTACAAGGAAAACAGCTCCAGGACACATGCATATTACACCGTTAGAGAAGGGGGATGGGGAAGACCAACCTGCCTCTGCATTCAGCTCCTCTAGAAGCCCGCTGGTCCTCCAGGTAGCTCCTGTGTCCTGGCCGCCTACAGAATTACTGTGCTCTTGAACTACTGCAGCCGCCAATAAATTGTCCACATTTACCACTTCTGGGTCAGAGTTGGTGTCAGACATATCATAATGAGCTACAACTGGAGGTCCATCTAGGGAGGAAAGAAAATGTATACTTGTATCTAACGTGTGGGGTGAAAAATACTTCTGAAACTAGTAAGAGCCCTCTAATGTCAGTTGCCTTCATTATTCTATCTCATCAGAAAAGCTGCACTTTATAGATCTAATATTTTGTACAAAATGTGAAAGTGAAAAAGATAATCCAAGCTTACAAAGATGATGGACACATTTTGGAAGGAGGAAAAGGAGTGTTACTATGAAGAACAGAAGACAAGACTATACTCAACAATGTTACACTGAATTCCTGTCATACTTTTAAAGAGCAAGATTAAGAAAAAAAGGATGACTCCACAGAGAAAGTGGAACTGATTTCTTAAAGGAAAAAACTGATGCAAATTATTAAAACCCAATTTATATTTTTTAAAAGAATGAATCTAGTTCTTTCTCTTACTGGGTAATATAAAAAGTCTCTAGTAGATTCAGAAAAGAAAATCAAATATATTTTCCTATGTCCTAAAGAAATAAGGTTAACACTAGAGCTCTGTTTGACTAACATATCTATTTCCAGTAAAGTCCTTTTATAAAAACAGGGATGTTATACACTTTATGACATTCTGTAAAAAGACAATACAACAAATCCATTTTCAGGATTTTGCTTTGGATATCTTATGAGGGATATTTCTATTTCCTTTTCCTTAAGAAAGACAACCAGCTCATACTCCAACTAAACAATATGCAATCTTATGGGTGATTTTACAAGAAAATATTGAAGTTCTTACTGGAAGAGGACCCTTCCACCCTCAAATCCCCCTAACTGGCTGAAAAAGGCAGCTGAGTTTCAAAGTAAATTAATTACACTGCAGCAATTCATGCTAAAATAAGTCAATATTCATGCTTGTAGAATAGATACATGCTTTAAAATGCTAATTCTACCCCTTTTTTAAGAAAAACGTTAACAGCAAAAAGCAAACATAAAGTTTTCCTTCAAGTAAGAAATCCCTCTACTACCCCTATTTTAATATAAAGCAGAAATAAACGAATGCTGTTTTCTCCCCCAAAGGCTATTTATGAAGCGCAAGCAAACTATTTCCATTAAGGTTTTTAAGATATCATCCAACAAATGAATATTAAACACACCTATTTTATGAAACTCTTGACTATGAAGGAATGCATCTGTGCCAATGAATCATAAAAATGTAACACAATGAAGTATTACTATTTTAATACAAATATCCATTGTGTCAATTGTCACTGAACAAAAACACACTTTGGGTAGTGATCCCTTAAAACTAAACTACCAAACCACAGGTTTATGTAGTAATATTTTTTAAATAAAAAATGACCAAACATAAAAGTAAATGAGTTGTTAGGTGCCACTGTATAAAGAACAGACATGTCACAATATGAAATTCTGACGATCATGACAACTTTAGTTGACTACTTAAAAATAATTTCCAGATCCCCTTAAGGGGTAAATCAAGTTCAATGACCATAAAATTCAACAGTGTGGCCTTGGTATCAGTTGGTAATTGATTTTAGTTTAAATAGCAAGAAAATGATTCGTGTTTCAGGTTTTTCTTTTCTAAAAAAAGAAAAGAAAGCTGCAATATTCAATGGCGTTCTCGTCAGAGTTCAAAATGATTATTATGGAATCAAGATACTGTGTGATGTCCAAATACTTGGATACAGAAGATATAAGGGCCAAGTACAATATTGACTATTTGACCATATGTTCTATTTTTTAAGGGCTTTTTCTTAGGTGTTTGTACTAAGTTATTTTAGTGAGTTATTTTAAAATTTATATGACTAATACCATTCAGAGCCTCTTGCCCTCATATTCTCCACCCCTACCCCCAAATTGAGGCAACAGGTCAACAGTCAAGTCAAAATTGTACCACTCCTACATGTATAATCATGCAAAAAAGTATAAGTGTATACATGCAGAGTGACATCACCTACCCATGAAAATAACTCGTCTGAAAGTCTTCATCAGTAGGAAATACAAGCATAAACTTGTTATCTGGCTTCATTCTTGTTTCTTCCATATTTCCAAACAGCACACCTTATAACTTAGCTTAAATTTAGTATTCATCATAAACAGAGACAGCAATATTTTCATATATTACACTTAAAATTGAAAATAAATTATGATCACTGTCATTTTTCATTTTCAATATATTCAAACAATGACAAGTCAATACTATATAAACTTCAGTAAAATAATGAAATGGTTGTCCTTCCAACTTCATCTTCCAACAAGAAGCCACAATTAAGGATCTTGTGTTCCAAGGTCATTTTACACTATCATTAGGAAACCAAAATTAAGTAAGATTTGTTTAAAGCACTTGGGGCCAGGTGTGCTGGCTCACGCCTGTAATCCAAGTACTTAAGAGGCCAAGGCAGATGGATCACTTGAGATCAGGAGTTTGAGACCAGCCTGGCCATCACAGTGAAATCCCATCTCTACTAAAAATACAAAAAATTAGCTGAGTGTGGTGGCGCACACCTGTAATCCCAGCTACTTGGGAGGCTGAGGCACGAGAATCACTTGAACCTGAGAGGCAGAGGTAGCAGTGAGCCGAGATCGTGCCACTGAACTCCAGCCTGGGCAACAGATCAAGGCTCTGCCTCAAAAAAAAAAAAAAAAAGCACTTGGCCTCAGGATTTGCACTCTGAGCTACTATACAAATATTAGCTAACTTATGGTAACAATTTGTGATATTCTTTTAAAATGTGATTCTTGCTATACAGAAGTAAATGACAGGTAAGATTCTGCAGTTATTTTATCTGCTTTTTAAAAGAAATATCTCTTGAAGGGAAAAAAAAATCACTAGGGAGGAACTAGGAAAATTCAGCACATTATTAACAGAAGCTGACTGAGCATGGTGGCTCACACCTATAACCCCAGCACTTTGGGAGGCTGATGCAGGTGAATCACTTGAGGTCAGGAGTTTGAGACCAGCCTGACCAACATGGTAAAACCCCGTCTCTACTAAAATTACAAAAATTAGCCGGGTGTGGTGGTGCGTGCCTGTAATCCCAGCTACTTGGGAGGTGAGGCAGGAGAATCACTTGAACCCAGGAGGCGGAGGTTGCAGTGAGCTGAGATCACACCACTGTACTCCAGTGTGGCCAACAGAGCAAGATTCCATCTCAAAAAAAAAAAAAGCAAAAAACAAACAACAACAACAACAACAAAAAAAAAACAGAAGCTGCTATCTATTTGACTCTATCAGTTCATTATAGGATAGAATAAACACGGGGATACTGCCCTTGCTCTGACATGATTATTCCTCTATGCTACTAAAACAACTGCATTGCTACAAAGAGACTGTTTTGACTTTCAAAAACATCAAAGTAATTACTTCAAATAAAGTTATACATGAAAACATTTCCAATTTAAGATTCAGTCATTAACAGAGGCACATTCCATCCATGCTTACAACATTTAAGTTATCCAAGCTGCACATTCTCCCATCTGCCAGCTCTGATGTCTGTCACAATCTTAAAACATAAATTTCTAATATTGAACTTACTGGTTTTTCTACAATCATTAAAAGCATCTTTCTCTAGAGGTAAATGTAACACATCTGTGTTAAATAATTAATAACCATTCAATCTGTGGTTAACTCAGGTGCTATTTCTCCTCCTGATCAAATTCTTTTGAAATGTTTGCTGTTACAATCACAACACAAGAAAAGTTAAAGGTCAAAAACCCACGAATGGCTGGGCACAGTGCCTCATGCCTATAATCCCAGCACTTTGGGAGGACGAGGCAGGAGGACTGCTTGAGCCCAGGAGTTCGAGACTAGCCTGGGCAACACAGCAAAACCCCATTTCTACTATTAAAAAATAATAACGATAAAATAAAATTTTAGAATTTTTAAAAAATCTACCAACTACTTTTTATTTAAAAACATCAAGTCATCCATTTTATGCTAGAAATGGATTTGTACTGTCTCACTAAGCTTCTATCCTATAATAAATAGGTTCGAACTTTTCAAATACCAAAATATAGAAGTATCTGTGTTGTCACATATTCCTGATACAGTGAGGTCTACCCTCTTATGACCTTAAGCCTTCTTCGTTGTTGCCATCAAATGTTTAATTTTACGAATTAGTTTCCTTTTCAAGTATGTTCTAAATCTCATTAGAAAATTTGAATCACAAAAACAAATCAAAACAAAACCTAACTTTTCCTTTACTGTTTATCCCATGACAAATTCCCCTTTCCAGGTTTGACAATCAGAAGCACAAGATTTTAAAACTAAACAAACACTACTCTCATTTTACAGATGAAAATTTGAGTCCTAATTAGGTGAAACCACAATAGACTATAATTGTTCTCATTGTTGAAGGAAAGAAGAATATACAGGATGAGACTGGTAGCAGCATAGGAAGTACAGATTTTTGGCAGCAGACACAAGTTAAAGCCTTGCCTACTCTCTCTTAGCTACATAGACCCTGGTAAACTATTTCACTCCTCAGTGTCTTCACGGAGTTATGGTGAGGGTTAAAGAAGACGTTAACAAAGAACACAAAAGCAATTTAAATATTGGTCCACTGCCCTACCTTTCCATTATACTTAGCACCTGCCCTATTTTGTTGTTTGTTTGCTTACTTTTGCATGTATACTCTGCTGTACACCACTGGCATGCAAGAAGCTCTGAGGAACATCAGTGCCTAGGCCAGTGCCTCATGTTGGTCATAGATGAACCCAACTCGGTAAGTAAATGCTTTGGCTAGGATTCATAGTTGAGTAAGGTCATCACAAATGTGACTTTTGTATTTTTGTTTGAAGTGAAATATCAGCTTGCGTGTATTCATAGAAAAATGTTTCAAAGCCAAATGGAAATTGCTCTGGATTAATCTATATTTAGCATCATCTTGCCTACAAGAGCACCCCCACTAACACAAGTGTTGTCACTCTCTCATTATGAACTCTAAATCTAGGAAACAGGAATAATTCTTGTAACCCAGAGACACATGGGACTATCATTCCCCCCTCCCTTTCTATTGCTAAGTCTAAGGCACAAGGAAAGGTGGGGCAATGGACAAATACATGGTTGGCCCCTTTGACCCCCATTTCAATGTCTATGCAGCCATAGTAATATACAATAAAGCGTAGAGGAAATTCCCTTCCTCCTCTTTGCCATACCTAATCTTGCCAATCTCCTCACTAAGAGAAGAAAAAAAATCTGTCTTGTTGCTGTCAAAAGACCCTATCACAGGCCCTTTGATGGCCTAGGCCCGGTTCTGTTATCCACACAACACCAAGAGAAAGAAGGAAGGGGTAAACATCATACTTAGCCTCAATCCAGACAGTGAAAAGCAAAAAATCTTACACCTTATCTAGCCAAGGAATCTAAATAGGGGGAATAAGGTGTGGGCATGAGGGACTGAGGGAAAGAGGCAAACCTCAAGAGCTACAGAAGGAAATTTGCATTTTAATACTCAAGACCTACTCAAGAAAAAAAAAAAAGCAGTTTTATTACACATCAGAATATTTACCAAGATGAAAATGTATATTTACAAATGAGGCCGGGCACAGTGGCTCACGCCTGTAATCCAGCACTTTGGGAGGCCGAGGTGGGTGGATCACTTGAGATCTGGAGTTCGAGACCAGCCTGGGCAACATAGTGAAACCCCCGTCTCTACTAAAAATACAGAAATTAGCCCAGCAGAGTGGCATACGCCTGCAGTCCCAGCTACTCGGGAGGCTGAGGCAGGAGAATCACTTGAACCTGGGAGGCAGAGGTTGCAGTAAGCCAAGATTGCGCCACTGCACTCCAGCCTTGGCAACAGAGCAAGACTCCATCTCAAAAAAGAAAGAGAAAAAATAGTAATAAAAATACCAATCATCGCTTCTCGGCCTTTTAACTAAGATCAAGTGTAAAAATATCAATCAAGAAAATAGAAAATACATGCAGAATAATTTGAAAAGAAAGCAGTCATTTTCAAAACATCTCTTAGAAAAGAAGAATTTCATCAACAAAAGATAAAAATCTATAAAGGGCCATTTCCAGAAAAAAGCCTTAAATACCAAAAACTACATGTGTATTATTTTCTTCAGAATAACATCAGAAAATTATTTCAGTAAAAGGAAAAATGTCTAAGATAGGGCTACATGGAAACGAAATGCAGCAATATGCACTGAAACTTTGTTTCGGAATTAAGTCGTTTTTAAAATAAAACCAAATGAATGTATTTTGTACTTTTTCCATTATACTCAATTATTAAAAATTTAAACTTTTTATTATAAAGTTTCCAAGATGAAAATAAGATTTTAAGGATTACATTTGTCCTTATACTGGTAAATGTTACATCATTTTGTCCACCCAGGAAAGCTATTTATGATATTCATGAAGGGTTTACCATTTTGAAAAGATCAAAAGAGGTAAAAGCAAAGATCCAAGATTATCAGAGTAATGGAAAAGCTGATCAAAAGAAAAAACAATTTAATGTGTCACCACTAACTATAAAGTTATGAAGCCTCTGATTCAAGTGGGGTTATTTGGAAGATAACTCAGGTAATTCATCTGGATATTTAAGAGAAGCTATAAATACAGAAATGAGGCACCTGAAGAGGTCACCATCTTTCAATTTATCTATTTCAGGGACAAATCCATGACCTACTGCTTTGAGGATTTAGATCCATAGATAAAAAAACTAAAATATCTGTACTACATACAGCAAGAAAGAGCACAAAATTTAGATATATTAGCCACATCCCTATGTCTATGTACCCTGCTAAAGAGTCATCCATTCCACATTCTAGCCTTTTGATTTCTCCTTGAATCAGTCTAAATTTTGCTATTTTTCCAAATATCCATCAATTTTTAATAGGACAGTTTAGTAGGACATATAGTTTAAAGAAAAAGAATCTTGACTTTTTATGTTCACAGTGGTATTCTTTTTTTCAATTACCAAAAAAACTAAAAATAATCTGCCAAATATGCAAAATCTATTGTTATATTAACTAGAAACTAATACCATTTATTTCATTACAGAAAAGCAAGTTTCTTGATTCAGGAACACCTAATGTGAATTAACTGGTAGGGAACCACATAACCCCATCCTCAACAGAGTAACAGGAAACATTTCTTTTTCAAAATTTTTATTCATCTAGGTTACATGTCAAATGCACAGTGAGGAAAAGGATATTAAGAAAATGCAATAAAATAAAAACAGTAATTTCATAACATTCTTCCCAAATCTTAAAGTTATATTAGGAATAAGACTTAATTGCCATAGAATACACTTCTTTGTGGATTATTCCTTCACTTTTTATGACATCTTCTATTTTACACTGTGGTAATTTAATACAACATGAGAATATCTACTCAATACTAGCAAACAAACAGTTTGGTTGCAACTTCCACTAACTTTCCTAAACTTCAGAGGAAATAAAAATAGAAATCGGGGGAAAAATGAGTAAAGAAACTTGGAAGTTATTCCCTGTTACTTACAATTCACAATCTCGTAACTTCTAAACAAATTAAAATGACATGTTTTTTATCTGTACTAGGATTAAGGGCATATGGTATTTTTGAAGAGGATTTTGAGAAAAAAAATTTACTGAAATTGTTTTGACACTGTATTTTCTGACATGTGGCATTCCACAAAATCTTTTTCATTTCACCCTCACTGTACTATTTAAATAATTTTTTAAAAGGGGAGATGAAAATCAACATAAGCTAAATAAAATATAAAAGGTACAATTAATTTAAAAGGCTACCTTTTTGTAAGATAACTTGCCCATAATTTGCTATTTTAAACAAATGATAACACAAAGCCTGTTTGCCATCTTTCTTATAACATTCATGTAACTGTATACCTTTAGGCAAAGTCAGCTATATGTTAAAAATAAAAATTACCAGTAATATCAATTTAGGGTACTTTGGTTAAAAAAGAATTCACTATATTGTTTCTTTCATTAACAAGCAGACTTAATACACTTTAAATCATTCTGCATACAACTTTTAAGAAATAAATCAGACTGAGCGCTGTGGCAGCACTCTGGGGGGCCAAGACGGATGGACCACCTGAGGTCAGGAGTTCGAGACCAGCCTGGCCAACATGGTGAACCCCTATCTCTACTAA
This sequence comes from Homo sapiens, assembly GCF_000001405.40. Lineage (NCBI taxonomy): Eukaryota > Metazoa > Chordata > Mammalia > Primates > Hominidae > Homo > Homo sapiens. Next base: position 46,231,933 of record NC_000018.10, on the reverse strand, counting down.
AAATACAGAAAATTAGCCGGGCATGGTGGCAGGCGCCTATAATCCCAGCTACTCGGGTAGCTGAGGCAGGAGAATCACTTGAACCTGGGAGGTGGAGGTTGCAGTGAGCCGAGATCATGCCATTGCACTCCAGCCTGGGCAACAAGAGCAAAACTCTGTCTCAAAAAAAAACAAAAAACAAAAAACAAAAAAAAAAAGAAAGAAAAATCGTATGTAAATTGAGATATACCTAGACCCAGAGACTCTTGCTGTTAAATCTTAGTAACAGCAGGGAATGACAAAAGCAATACTCAAAATAAATTAGTTACTGTATATTCTTCTATTCGGTCTGCTAGTGAGATTTAAAAAAAAAAAAAAAAAAAAAAAAGCCCCAAACCTTTAATCATTTTTAAAAAGACATTTTTTCTCAAGCTTAATTACCATAACTAGGTTTATATGTAGGCAACTTTTATTTTCTTACATACCTTTAGGAAGCAATAAACAGGTATTATATTAATAATCTGAATCCATTCGAAATCACTGTAGCAACTGTACAGTTATCTGCCTCCAGCCATTTGTCAAGTCTAATATTAATGAAATTCAGTTACTTCAGAATTCTGAAGATGGGTACACACATGCATACACACATCCCTGAAACCAGGCTAATTTCTCTTAGTAAAAATCCATACAAACAAAAAACAGATAACACTTTCCCTTGGAGCCCTCCAAATAATTTGTATGCTACTCCTAATTTTTAAAAAAGTAAAACTTCATGTAAAATATTAAGCCTTAAGATTTTAACTTGACCTTGTTGGGCTCTAAATTAAAATTTTATGTGGGCTTTAAAAATTATGCTCAATTTTAATAATGTACAAAAAGTACAATCAATATGATTAAGAGAGTTATTATTGTCTAATAAGTGGCTCAAATAACCAGATCACTCTAATCCGCTGGTTGAATTCTCTTAAGATGATTAGATATCTAATGTCCTAGGACTGAGCTAGCACAAACTAGGCAGAAAGCAGGCTGTAGCTAGATTATCAAAAACACATTTACCTTTAGTGAGAGGATAATGGCCTCTTAAATGCCAACTAAAAAGAAACACTAAAAGGAAGTATCAACATGTAACAACCAGTAATAAAATTATAACTGTGGTAGTTAAAACTATAATTTGTTTCCTAACATTTCTCAAGTTATTCTTTTTACAACATTCGGCGATTTTTTAAATGAAGTAACTTTTTTAAAAGTCTGCAGCTTAATCCTTTTAATTCTCTCCCATGAAAACAAGAGAAAAAAATTATCTGATAGATTAGACAAAGGGAAAATTCCATATGCACATATTAGAGAGATACAATAGTCCGGATATGGGATTTTATTCTTAAATAAAAAAGCATTTCAACCATTTCTGGATTAGTGTTGTAGGTTGAAAGAGATTTCTTTCCAGCATTAACCCTTCATAGAGTACAAATAAATACAAACAGGACATGGTCCTTAACCTTCTTAAAATTCTAGGAAAATTAAGGGAATTCAGAGGAAACGAAGGGAGGGCCACTAGGGACTTAAACAATAGCTACATAAAAATGCCGTCATGTAATCCAAAAGTAATTCCCACTTATTACTATTATTAGTACTATACATGTAATCTTGAGAATACAGACTGCCTCAGGGAAAGAGAATGCAATAACCTACACTAGTCATGTAAAAAATGTACATATTAAAACTACTTCACAGGCCAGGCGCGGTGCCTCACGCCTGTAATCCCAGCACTTTGGGAGGCTGAGGCAGGCAGATCACCTGAGGTCAGGAGTTTGAAACCAGCCTGGCCAGTATGGTGAAACCCCATCCCTACTAAAAATACAAAAATTAGCCGGGCCAGTTGTGGGCACCTGTAATCCCAGCAACTCAGTAGGCTGAGGCAGGAGAATCGCTTGAACCCAGGAAGTGGAGGTTCAGTGAGCCAAGATCGTGCCATTGCACTATAGCCTGGGCGACAAAGCGAGACTCTGTCTCAAAAACAAACAAACAAACAAACAAAAAACACTACTTCACAAGGCGAGGCGTGGTGGCTCGTACCTGTAATCCCAGCACTTTGGGAGGCCGAGGCTGGGGGATCCCTTGAGCTTAGGAGTTTAAGACCAGCCTGGGCAACAGAGCAAGACCCCACCTTTGCAAAAAATAAGAAAATTAGCCAGACATGGTGGCACACATTTGCGGTCCCAGCTACTAGGGAAGATCACTTGAGCCTGGGAGGTTGAGGGTGCAGTGAGCTGTGATCGTGCCACTGCACTCCAGCCTGGGCAATAGAGCGAGACCTCATCTCAAAAAAATTAAAAAAACAACACCAGCACTTTGGGAGGCTGAGGCAGGCGGATCATGACGTCAGGAGATCGAGACCATCCTGGCTACAGTGAAACCCTGTCTCTACTAAAAATACAAAAAATTAGCCGGGCGTGGTGGCAGGCACCTGTAGTCCCAGCTACTCAGGAGGCTGAGGCAGGAGAATGGCATGAACCCGGGAGACGGAGCTTGCAGTGAGCTGAGATCGCGCCACTGCACTCCAGCCTGGACGACAGAGCGAGACTCTGTCTCAAAAAACAACAAGTACTTACCATATTGACACTTTTTTAAATGTCTGTAATATAAAAACAAAGTATGTTGAAAGGGGAATTTTTTAATTGCACTACCTGGAAAAGGTGTAACCACTTTAAAGCAAAATCTATTTTTTTTTTTCAAAACAACACTCCTTCAGACAGCAATGTATTACCTTCAAAGCACTCTGCAAAAACTGAAAATCAAGATAAAAATTTTTCATATATATGATTCTGTTATAAATTACTCCTAAAGTTAAACTCTCCAAACCACAGAATGTCAAATTTTACTTTAGGAAAAATTTTTAATATTTTGGTATAGGTTCTAAGAATTTAATCAGTGTATTCTGGCATTCCTTATCTTTCTGCCAAAACTTCTTTTTCTTCCTTTCCTCAAAATTTTGTAGAAAAGGCTTTCCAAAATTATTAGTGTTCAACACCTTTTCAAATATTCAAAATGTTATTCTTACCTTGAATATAACTATTAATACCTATGTTTTAGGCCAGGTGCGAATCCCACAGAATCTCAGCACTTTGAGAGGCCAAGGTGTGCAGATCGCTTAAGCCCAGGCGTCTGAGGCCAGCCTGAACAACATAACAGAACCCCGTCCCTACAAAATATATAAAAATTAGCCAGGTGCTAGTCCCACCTATTTGGGAGGCTGAGGCGGGAGGATTGCTTGAACCTGGGAGGCAGAGGTTACAGTGAGACAAGATGGCACCTCTGCACTCCAGTGTAGATGACAGAGTGAGACCCTATCTCCCAAAAAATAAAAAAGGCTACCTATGTTTGTTAATTCCATTCCACTGAAATTTTTTTCTTAAAGGCAAAAAAAAATCTACAGAGCTCTTGCCTGATTATTCAATAACAATAAAAATCAGAATGGATCCAGTCAATACAATACTAGCAATAAGTTGTCTATGTTATTCTTAAAAGATTAACCTTTTCTATCTTAAAATGCATTTCAAAGCATGCTTAATATATTAATTATCGTATCATAAAACAAAAAAGAAGCCTGTTAAGTGCTTGAAGCAGTTTACACATGCATAGAAAAGTAGTCCTTAACATGATGAAATTAAATTAATATTTTCTTACATCTAAAAATCCATGTCTAATAAAAATCTGGGTTTCCAGGAAGAAGGTGAAGACAGAACTTCCCTGAAAACACCTAAACTTCAAGTAAAGACTGTAGATTCATTAAAATTCAGTCAGTCATCCAAAACCAATATGCTCTTCCTGTTGATGTAAAACTTAATTTTAAAAAAAATCTGTTTGAGGAAATAGTTAACCAATGTTGCACTATAATTTCAGAGGGAAACCCATCAGTTATAATAAACTCATATATTTTATACTGAAAAATCATACTAACATTATTTATTGTAAGTTGCTTGGTGTTCAAACCTTACCTCTACTGGTCAAAATTAAGTTCAGAAAATCTAAAAATCATTACACACAAAAAAAAGAGATCGGCCAGGCACAGTGGCTCACGCCTATAATCCCAGCACTTTGGGAGGCTGAGGCAGGCAGATCACCTGAGGTTGGGAGTTCAAGACCGGCCTGACCAACATGGAGAAACCCCATCTCTACTAAAAATACAAAAATTAGCCAGGCATGGTAGCACATGCTTGTAATCCCAACTACTTAGGAGGCTGAGGCAGGAGAATCACTTGAACCTGGGAGGCGGAAGTTGCAGTGAGTCGGGTTCGTGCCATTGCATTCCAGCCTGGGCAACGAGAGCAAAACTCCATCTCAAAAAATGGAAAAAAAAAATGCAGAGACCTCTAGTCATATGTATATATTTATATATGTATCCTTATACAAGGATGTATATATCCCTAAACAAAAACTGAGCACAGAAATAAGCCATCCCCAAAGTTAACTTCCAATTCTCATAAAACCAGTTCTAAAAGGAAAAAAACAAATAAAGCAGTAATTTTTCAATTCAAAACCAGAAAAGGAAAAAATGTGGTTCAGTCTATTACTGGTAATTTACAAGTTACAAATATGTGGATATAGAACTGAATTAAAACAAAGTGGTGACATTTTTTCTGAGTAACGTTCCTAAGAAATATTGAGACATCGAAGATCTTGATTGTTTATATACGACTCTAAATATACCGCCTATACTTCCTCTTAAAAAACACATGCAGAATTACGTTTTTTTCCAAAGTGGCAACTTCATTAAATAAAATGAACCTTTTTCATATTGATGTTATTATAAATGTGAAAGAATAATTTCCTCTCAAAAATAAATCCAGGCCAGGCGCAGTGGCTCATGCCTGTAATCCCAACACTTTGGGAGGTGGAGGTGGGTGGATCACCTGAGGTCAGGAGTTCGAGATCAGCCTGGCCAACATGGTGAAACCCCCATCTCTACTTAAAATACAAAAATTAGCTGGGCATGGTGGCAGGCGCCTGCAATCCCAGCTACTTGGGAGGCTGAGGCAGGAGAACTACTTGAACCCCGGAGGCAGAGGTTGCAGTGGGCCAAGATCCCACCATTGCACTCCAGCCTGGGCAACAAGAGCGAAACTCCATCTCAAAAAAAAAAAAAAAAAAGTAAATCCAGTGGAAAACCCAGTTTTAAAAAACCACTTAGTGTCAGCAAACTTACAAATTCCTATTGAAGACTGTCATCCTAATTTAGCTGTGTCTCACAGTATTACTAGAAATCTTTAAAAGATAAAATGCCAGCATTTACCAATCCCAGGCTGCACATAAAAACATCTATCATGTTGCAAGACCTTCAATCCTGTGGTATTTTCTATCTTTTGACACACTCTATGAGCTCTTTAACATAACTAAGGCCCATTTATTTTTAGTTTGAGGATTGAAAACAAAATTAAACTGGTAGTACATTCATTAATAAACTTAGTCACTAGCAATTTAAAACCCCACCCAATACATACCCTTGATATAGTGACCATTTTATCTTTACCCTCTACAGGTATCCTTTACAACAGAGTACCAGAAATTCCACTGGCTGATGCCTACCAGATTATTGCCTTGGGCACTGAGCTTTAAATTAAAGCTCAAAATAAAAATCCATCTCCATATCAATGAAAAATACTATTTTTCTCATGCATGAAATCAAGCTGCAGTCTAATCTGCTTTTCCTACATTATCTTGCATAGTAGGCACATAGCAAATATTTGCTCAGAAACGAATTGTGTTCTTCCTGCATACAAGTAATACGGAATATAATTCATGAAAACTAGCAACAAATTAGATTATTAAATGACATGTGGAATAATGACACAAAAATGTTCATGGAGTAACTATGATCTTTACAGTTAACTATGAGGTCCCCCAATTAGAAGCAGAAGTCAACAGTGTCTGTAGAGAGTAAGTGCTAAGAGATTCTCAAGGAATTAACCATCTACCTATTTGGGTTCACTAAAATTTTCAGTTTTTTGTTTTATTTATATTTTTGGTAAAAAGCAAGGAAGAGGATGGCTCCCACTATTGTATAAATATGGTTCTATGTTCCCACCATACATAACAAAACTCAAGCTAAAATTTACCAAATTCTGGGGCTTTCTGTTGTGAATACCTAATTTTTAAAAAAGAAACTGTTTACTACTGCAGCTTTTAAAACATCATCAGGGCTGGGCTCGGTGGCTCAAGCCTGTAATCCCAGCACTTTGGGAGGCTAAGGTGGGCGGAGCACGAGGTCAGGAGTTCGAGACCAGCTTGACCAACATAGTGAAACCCTGTCTCTACTAAAAATACAAAGAAAATTAGCCAGGCGTGGTGGCGGGCTCCTGGAATCCCAGATACTCGGGAGGCTGAGACAGGAGAATCGCTTGAACCCAGGAGGCGGAGTTTGCAGTGGGCCGAGATCGCGCCATTGCACTCCAGCCTGCGCGACAAAGCGAGACTTCGTCTCAAAAAAAAACAGCAACATCATCAAAAGAAACTTACAATGGGCAAAAGCATATTATTTCTTACACAATCCAAAACGCAGATTGTCAATACAATTAATTTTGTGATAGATTCAAAGGTTGTTCTGTAATATTTCCATTTCCAGCAACGTTAACTAGAAAATTGCAATTATACATCTTTGGGAACTCTGACATACTGTCAATATTTGGACAAGTCAGGTAAGAACCAAAGGGCTGCTGTGGCAGTACTTGGAAATCAGGCATCTGCCATGTAAGCACTTGATGGGGTGACAGGGAAAATTCTTTGGCCAACTAGTTGCATCTTAGGTCCCCTGGGTTCCAGTAGCTGCTTGTTCTCTTCGCCAGTGTCAAGATGAGTTACCTTTTCCATCCACACGTGGAACTTCTCTGTCTGCCTCTGCATCTTGGAAAAACAGCTCCTGGCCTCTTCTAGGCCACTGCCTGTGCAGTTCCTATCACACAGTACCCCTGTCAAGTAATCCTGTAACTTCCCTGGGCACTCCTTCAGATCCCGCAGCATGACTGAAGGCACCTTTAAAGACACTGAGGCCATTTCATAAAACATTATTGCTTCGGAAATTGTATTTTTATTAAGACACACTTACTCAGGAAAATGACACAAGCATTGCTAAGAAGAGCCTGATAGATCCAGCATTCATAGGCAGTGATTAAATTCATTAATCAAAGTCACTAATTCCAAAAAAATAAAATGACTAACATTATCATTTTTCATAGCTTTAATTTATCTACCTAGCAGCATGTATTCTGTTACTACACAGACTGAATACAACTGACTGAATCTTTAACAGTAGTTTCCAACCTTTGCTGAACAATAAGAACTGGAGTGGCTTAACAAATACCAAAACCTAGGGTGGCTCCAAGTCTTCTAAGATTTGTTTCGGTTTAAGCTCCCCAGGTGATTTTAATGTATGTCCTTAGTTGAGAACCACTACATTCTTGAGTATTTTAACTCCTTTCACTTTAAAATTCTAAAAAGTTGTTTTGTCAGCTGGCCCATACTCAATCATTACACAATCACTCTTAGGTGATGATTCTTATCACACAAAAGATCTGTTTTAATTTTTTTTTAATTCTTATGGAAAACCACAGGAAGGAGATGATACAGAATACCTCTGGGTCAGCTTTTACAAACGCTGGTCTGTGTGAAGTGTTAAAATGCATGCCATACACACACACAAAAAAATGTAGTTAAGTTTGGGATATACTACAAATCACATCCTTCCCCTCTGGAGAGCACATTCATTAATGGCTGAAGTGCCCTGTGGTTTAAAACAAAAGGCATCTGTTAACACATAATCCAGCACTTTCCAAACACCTGAACATGTGTACAACTATTAATACCCAGTAGCATAGTGGTCCAGTTTAGGATATGGCCCCATATATATATAATTTCATCCTTGAACTAGGCTAGATTATCTTTGGTTTGGGTCACCTATAGTTTGGGTCTCTAATAAAATAACTATATTGAACTCTTCATTCTAAGGGACCTAATAAAAATGTTACTTCCTCAGATCATTCTTGACTAAAATAGCTTTTCTACCCCATTCCTAATCTTTATCTCTTATATCCTGCTTTATTATTATTCACATCATATATCCCTACCTGATAACATATGATAAATTCATTTATTGTCTCCTCATGAAAGATTAAGTTCCATGACAACAGAGACTTCTTTCACTGTTGTATCCCCAAAGCCAATGGACTGGGTGCTCAGATACTTGCTGAATAAAAGAATGATTGATGGAATCAACCAATCTTAGCCTTATACCATCAACCTACATCAAGAGTCTTATAAATAATGCTCTTATGAAATGCTCTATTGAGCATTTGTTAAACTAATTTGTGAAAACATGGTTTGCTTTATCACATAGTGGCCTTTTATGAAGATGCAAAGAGAAGTTTCCCCTGTCTCACTATCAAATATAACTGTTTCTCCTAGATAAAAAAGAATGTTTAAATCAGTCAGGCCACCTATTTTCAATGCCTAAAAGGCTGTGAGACAAACATTTAGCCCAGCTCTATCCAGCAAACAAAAACCTCATGAAGTCGGTCACCAACCTCTGCCTAATTTCATAATGTTCCTTTTCCTCTGATTACTCCATCCCCTATGCTGTTTTCACTTTTTAAAAAAGTTTTGTTTATACGAAAACTCCCTCAAGAAGGACATACCTTTCCCCAAAGGTTAGTATGTTTAGCTTATGGAAAAAAAGACTAAATGAAATCTAAAGTTTAACTTCCTTTAAGCCCCATTATAAGTGCTGGGCAAACTTAAGCATAGGACAGGAAATCGGATGGCTCCTTTGATCTGCTTTAGATTCTCGCATTACTTATTTCTCAATGAATACTAAAAATGGGTATTTAAAAGCTGATAATGGTATAAGAACATTTATGCTGGGGGCAGTGAGATAAGTTGTAGCCTCATAGATTCCTACAAGCAATAATCACTGATAAGCAAGACATTTTGAGCCCTTAAAAACAGGAACCACTTACGCATTTATCAAAGCCCACAGAACTTACAACACCAAGAGTGAACCCTAACAGTAAACTACAGACTTTGGGTGATAATGATGTGTCAATGTAGGTTCATAATTGTAACAAATGTCCATTCTAGTGCAGGATGTTGATAGTAGGGGAAGCCGTGGCTACGTGGGAGAAGGGGGTACATGGGAACTCTCTGTCTCCTCTGCTCGATTTTGCTACGAACTTAAAACTGCTCTAGAAGCAAAATCTATTAAAAAACAATGACAAAAAAAGGGACCACATTCTCACCTTAAACACACACATGCTCTTTTATTAACACTAAGATATATCCTATTTTGAGAAAAAGACCTTTTCCTTTTACAAAGTTAATATAGGCACTCACTTCAGAAAATAAGCAGGCCAAAAATAGTATCTTGGTGCTTCAACATGAGAAATTGCCAAAGGATACCCACCAGTAAGACTTCAAAGCTTTTTAATTAACATCATCTAGACCTTGTAGCGTACAGAAAACCACATTTAGACATTGCATGCTTTTCAAATAATCGCTTAAATGAAGTAAAAGAGGGCACTTAATGCTTGTTAATTAATATAGAACTGTGCTGTGATTTATAACTAATGTAATTTCAAAAAAACCAGACTCCACTGTTTAGAACTTGATACCCATTAGCAGTAAGAGAACTTAATTGAACCAGACTACCAGTTTCACAGTGATTTTCAGATACAGGAAACTTAACATATCACTGCTTAACTGAGCGGTTCTGAGCCCTGGCTACTCAGTGTCATCACCTAAGGTCAATCATTTAAAGCTGATGCCTGGGGTCAGACCCCAAAGATTCTGATTGAATGGGGCTAAAGTGGGGTCTGGGCATCAGATGGTTTAAATACCACCCAGCTGATTCTAATACATAGCCAGATTGCAAACCATATGTATTTTACCCATCTGATTTGCATTTACCAATCTGAAAATAGACAGTTTTTACCTGATTATTCTGTGTCAGTGTTTTGTTATCAATGTATTTTGTGAGTCTCTTAAATAGCTACCAAACTACAACCAGATTACAAAAGGCTTAAAATAGGGACATGAGGCTTTTAGCCACTGAAATCCTTTGATATTCAATCTAGGAAAAAGGTCAATTACTGCGCTTCATGGATTCACTATGTGGGTTTGGGATCTTCAACCATGAATCCTCCTCACTGCCTTATATTTAAAATTTGCCAAGCAATTAAACCCCCAAAAGGTTAAAAAGCCTCAAAAATTAGTAAGAAAAAACACGTCAGAAGAAAAATGTGCAAAGAATATGAACAGACTTTACCAAAGGAATACAAATAGCTAAACGTTTTTCAATTTCACTAGTGATCAAAGAAATGCAAATTAACATCAAAATACCTTTTTTTTTTTTTTTAATGGAGTCTTGCTGTCACCCAGGCTGGAGTGCAGTGGCATGACCTCGGCTCACTGCAACATCCACCTCCCAGGTTCAAGTGATTCTCCTGCCTCAGCCTCCCGAGTAGCTGGGACTACAGACGCGCGCCACCACACCCGGCTAATTTTTCTTTTTTTTTTTTTGTATTTTTAGTAGAGATGGGGTTTCACCATGTTGGCCAGGCTGGTCTCGAACTCCTGACCTCAGGTAATCCATCTGCCTCAGCCTCCCAAAGTGCTGGGATTACAGGCATGAGACACCACACCAGCAAGATATCATTCTTCTATCAAATCAGCAAGCTTTTAAAAAAAATTAATATTCAATAGCAAGAATACAATGCATGAACACTCAAGCTCCCAGGTGAAATAAACTTATTTTTGTTTTTGTTTGGATTTTTTTGAGACAGAGTCTCGCTCTGTCACCCAGGCTGGAGTGCAGAGGCTCAATCATGGCTCACTACAGCCTCTGCCTCCTGGGCTCAAGCAATCCTCCCACACCAGCCTCCGGAGCAGCTGGGACTACTGGTACATGCTGCTACACCTGGCTAACTTTTGTATTTCTAGTAGCGATGAGGTTTCACCAAGTTCACCAGGCTGGTCTCAAACTCCTGGCCTCAAATGAACCACCTGACTTGGCCTCCCAGAGTGCTGGGATTACAGGCGTGAGCCATCGCACTCAGCTTAATTATTTTTTAAAAGCAGTATGGCAGTATGGCAGTATGGCAGTATGTGGTCAAGAGCCTTAAGTGTTCATACCCTGAACGTATAACAGCAAAAACTTAAAAGAGCCCAAAGGACCATTAGGGAAGTTATTTTTATAATTAGCTAAATTATTCAAAATCCATATGTTCTAGGGAGAATATTTAGTGTTCTGGTTAAATGCTCAAAATGCAATATTAAGAAGGAAAGGACGACATATGCAATACCCAGACAAATTTTGTTATATATCATGGAAGACAACATATTCAAATGTTAACAAAAGCAGAATTGTGGGTGATTTTAACTTTCTACTTCAAATATTTCTATTTTCAAAAATTTCTACAAAGAATTTGTCACTTAAAAATATTTTTTAAATTTCTAAGCAAGAGTTAACTGATCAAGCATAATAAGTTAATTATCTCTACCAGAGAAAAAAACTATGAGGTAAGATGATAGCTGGTCATGATGCAGCTCACTGCATAAATATGTATGGTGAGTAATGGGTGCTGAGATTTTGTCTTGAAGTGGGGCTGAGCTGGTCTAGCCTGGCTGCATGGATTGAGAATTCAAGTAAACTTAAACAGCTGTCCTCAGTAGCCTCAATGACATTCTCCAAAAGAAATGAGATTTTCAAAGGCAAACAAACCAAGACAACCGACTCTTACCTGCCACGAGGGGTATTATTTTTGGAACTTCGGTGTGAATAAGCATTTAACCACAAAGCAGGTCATTAAAGACAAGACAAGATAAAGCTACCCTGTATGGAGGTCCACTCTGCTAAATATTTATGAAAAACAGTTACTGGAAAAACTTTTCCCCACTGACCATGTACACCGATGCACGTATGTTAGTATGTTCAAAAAATTAACTTTTTCAAACTGAATGAAGGCTAATGTCCATTATTTACATTAAAATCAAAATCCCTCCAACTACAGATTTTATAGAGCTAGTCTCAAAACTGCTTTTACAGAGAAACTGACCCCCCATGAACAGTAATACTCTAATCATAAAACTGCAGAGCATGATCAAAGCACAAAAAGATAATGCATAAGGAAACCACTTGATAATGGCCGGGCGTGGTGGCTCACACCTGTAATCACAGCACTTGGGAGGCCAAGGCAAGCGGATCACAAGGTCAGGAGATCAAGACCATCCTGGCCAACATGGTGAAACCCCGTCTCTACTAAAAATACAAAAAAATTAGCTGGGCATGGTGGCACACGCCTGTAGTCACAGCTACTTGGGAGGCTGAGGCAGGAGAATCGCTTGAACCTGGGAGGCGGAGGTTGCAGTGAGCAGAGATCGCGCCACTGCACTCCAGCCTGGTGACAGAGCAAGACTCGGTCTCAAAAAAAAAAAAAAAGAAATCACTTGATAAAAAGCCTTGATACTCAAGATAACCATCACATAGTACTTTTACATGAATTCACTATAAAATATTATAAATTTACTATAAAATGCCCTTTACTCAACTCTAAGTCTGCCAAATGAAAGTACTGCCAGCATTATTTTGATATGATACCTCCAAACAGATTCTTAAAACATCAATATATTTCCAAAAACTTCAAAGAGAGATGATCTAGTGCCGATACTAAGCTGCCTGTCAGTTAACTGCTAACTTTAAAAAATCGTCATAAACATCTGTTGCCCAGATATCAAACTCAATTAAAGTATGATCATGCACTACACTGGTCTGCATTATTAATTATTTGCACTCTCTAAAAGAATATGCATTAACAGTTACAATTATTTGGCATAACATTTAGGATTAAGGTATTAGGATATCCTAACAGGAATTATTTAGGATAATGCCTTCAACTTTTAAGCTGAGCCCAAACAAAAGCTTATAAAGAGCATTTTCTGAATTACTAAATTGGTTGTACCTTAATGAAAGAGTATGGCAATAATCGGTTTTTACTTTTCCACTTGGTTTCCATTCTGTGTAAACAGCTGAATTAACATTCCGACATCCAAGAGATTCTGTTAGGCCCATCCAGCTTAAGTTCACCTGAATGTCCATGTTGTTGAACTCAAGTCAGTTCATAATTTATCCTACCTTTACAATTTAGGCAACTTTTCGACAACTGCTCTTACTATAAGGTTGAACGTGCCTCCTCTCTTCCCCAAAGTCATAAGGTGACTCAGTAAACTGAAAGATACATCACTGTTACATTAAAAATTCACAATGTCACAATTTTTCAAGAGACAACAATATGGACAATTGAAATGAAATTCCTAATATTTGAACTCTAAGTTGTTCCATTTTTGCTGCTTTGCATAATTCCAGTAAAGATCATTCATACCTGTCTTATGGGAATGGCAGGTATACCATAAGACCTCCCAAAACTGCCAGCACACACACAGGCAGTCACATACAGTGACCCTGTACCTCAATCTACCATTTGATTCTCCAGGATTACCTTAGAAAACTATGTGTATTTTCAAAAGCCACAAAGTTACTAAATGGTGTGAACAATAGAAACCAAACTATAGATTCAAATTAATTTACTTTGGTGTTCAGTTAGTACACAATTCAGAAGAGACAAGAAACAGACACTGGTGTTTTAAGTTTTAAGCAGTGGTCAAGATACTCAATTAGAAAGAAGATTAGGAAAATATGAACAAAGCACATCTAACCTATTTAAGCAAAACAGGGAAAGTGCCTATGAAGACATTTCTCAAGCCACCTTACAATAGGGTTCTGACTTTAAATTTTGTTTACCCACCTTCTTCCTTTCCACAAAAAGGCAAAGTATTGGGGTAGTTACATAAAATCCTGCTTAGTAAGTGGAAGTAAGTATTGTATTAAGAGTTCCATCAAGGTCTTGATTAAGAGGTTAGAAGAGGATATAGGAATGCACAATTTTACAGGTATTAATAAGGTTTTTTTAAAAATATTAATACATGTAAAACTAAAATATATACCTAAAACCTGCCTTAGAACAACCCCAAAGTCTGTTTCTCTCATACATTTAACTGATGAGCTTCATTGAAATCCCCCTCCCGGTAGTTTTATTACAAGGAACAATAGCAAAGGAATCCAATAGAGATATTAAAACAGTAAAAAGCATTTCTAAAGATCGTTTGAGACTCATATTTATATTATATGGACAAGACTTATTATCAGAACTTGAACACCTATAAAGTGCTTTAAAACCAATCATTCTTGTTACTGAATTTATATAAGTTTGGGAAGCTATAGATTCCATTAACCAATATGATTTCTCTTGAAATGTTCTTTGTATATCAGCAATATGCTGTCTTCACATGTAGAAACAGAAAGCTTTCAGAAAACAGGGAGAGAAAAAACATAGTCACCCATAAAACTTTAGAAAACCCAAACTTGCCCCTCTTCAATGTGGCAATAAACAATACTGCCATGACCTATTCAATGCCATACAGTTTACAAAATGTTCCTGATCATATTGTAAGGATCTCTTGGATAATAAGAATTCACTACTTAAGAACCATTCAGATACATCTTTCTTCCACTATGAAATCTCAAGACTGCCTTTGTATTATAGTACACAGTACCAGATGCAATAAGAATGGGGAAAGCAGATTTACCAAATATGTAATAAGTTACAGACCCTTATACCAATGAGAGCTAGAACAAGCGGATTTCTAACAAACTTTTTTAAAACTTGGGGAACTAATGGGAAATTTTTCAGAAAGACATTCTTTTCAACGTGAGGATAGAAAGATTTGTAACAAGGATAACTAGCTTCTCATGCATTGAATATGGGGGAAACACATAAAACTACTGTTTTTGGAGGAAAAATTATTAGAAAACTTTAACAAAAGATAGAATGTGTTATTTCAGACACTATAAGCTCAAGTGCAGTGGCTATATAATAAAGCAAGGTGCCTATTCCTGAGGAGAATGTACTCAGTAATGATGCCGAACAGTGAGTATTAAATCTAAGCAGTGCCAAAAAGGCAATGATTGGGAGTTCAGGTAATGTGTTACAGACAGACTTATGAGAAATTCCATTACTTAAAAATAATCTTGTCCCTATCATTAACCCTTTAATTTTGTTTTTCCTGATGTGCTAAAGTTCACTGGAAACCTCAGAACAGGTTTTATAAATTGGCCATGTCTTGTTAATAGACTGCAGTCTTCAAATTTACACAGAGCTGCAGGTCTCCTGGATTTTTTCAAGTGTCACTCATCTAACTGAACCTGATAGCTGAGAAATGCCATCAGGTACTTTACAGTCAGTTTAAAAAACATCCTCTACCTGGTATCTCTGCAGTGATTGTCTTGCTGCTCCCTGAAACCTCTTCATCATCATCTGATGAGCTCGTGCTTGAGTCACAAGTCAGGTCACTATCACTGGTACTACTGTCCTGCAGCAGGTTATATTTCTTCCTTGCAGCAGCCTCCCGTTTCTGCCTCAGTAGCCTGATCCTCTCCTTGTGCTTTTGGCTCCGATGACCTTTAACCTTGGCGACTCGGCCATTCTGTTTATCACTGGATTGCCGGTTTTTCTTGGCAGCCATAGTGGAAGTTTCACTTTCAGATCGGGACCGCCTAGACTTGCGCCCAACTGTGGCACCAGACACTCCTGAAGGGTCTCCTTCTACCGCCGTTTCTGCCTGAGAGGGTTCATTCTCTTCTGCGGAAGACAACGTATCTGAATCAGCCAGGTGACCACTAGAGGAAGGGGAAAGCATGCAGTGATTAGAGGAGTCACTCTCATAAACTCGGCCAGTTGTAGGCTTGTCACTCTCTGTGGATGCTAACTGAGACTCAGAAGAGTCCCTTCTCAGTTCCATCAACAAGCAGGGCATTGAAGAAATAACTGTAGAATCCGCTACACCATCTTTCTGAACTTGAGATTCCAGTTCTACAGATCCATCTTCCTCCTTGGCTGTCTCTTGTTCAGATGCTTTTGGTGGGGCTTCGGACTCAATGAGTTCTTCAACTTTTCCCACTGCCTCCTCCATCTTCATTTCAGAATTTCAAGTTAAATCATGGAGTAGAGTCTAGGAAATGATATCAAAGATGCAACAGGAAAGCAACCTGTACAAAAACACACAAAGTCAATAAACAGAATGCCAGATTATTTAGTCAACACAACATGCCTACCTTTCTAAGTGGGTGGGGCAAAACTTACTATTACACAGGCCTTTAAAATATATATATATTATTATCTGCTTGTTTGATCAACAGTCAAATTCAAAGGACTTAATACGGTCAAAATCTAAGCATACTGAGCTACTAAAAATGCCATAATATTAATCCTCTAACTTGAAAGGCCAACATGTAATGAACATTTTCAAGTTTACAATTTTATTTAAAGTGTTCTACAAAGAAATCTTCAAAACTCTGATATAATTAATATGCATTCATTGACTTTGATATAAATGAAAAAGAATGCTTTAAAACTAGTCTAGAAATGCATTACCTGGAATGACTACTTTTACATTCAAATCCAAAAAGAAAGGAGGTGGGAGGAGGGGAGTTACAATAGAGAAACATCAAATGTTTTTGTTTGTTTGTTTGTTTGTTTTTGAGACAGGGTCTTACTCTGCCACCCAGGCTGGAGTGCAATGGTGCAATCTCAGTTCACTGCAACCTCCGTTGCCCTGGCTCAAGCAATTCTCTTGCCTCAGCCTTCCAAATGGCTGGGACTACAGGCGCACACCACCACACCCGGCTAATTTTTGTATTTTTTGTAGAGACAGGATTTCACCATGTTGCCCAGGCTGGTCTCGAACTCCTGAGCTCAAGTGATCCACCCACTGTGGCCTCCCAAACTGCTGGGATTACAGGAGTAAGCCACCGTGCCTGGCCCCTACATTTATGTTTAAAAAAACAAAAACACAAACACACTCCAACTACATGCATTTGGCAAATGAGCAACCAAATACTATGCATCCAACTTGTCTGCAGTCCCCTCAATAGGAGTTGCTCTAGTGAAGCATTAAGATGAAAAGCCAGAATTTGATGCTTCCTCAATCCTACCTAGCTCCCACATACCTCATCATGCTGAATTTGAGTCTAGTGTTTAAATAGATGTTTTATCCACAATGGTCACTAAATACAGAACCCAGAAAGCCTAGTATATTCTATGAATGAATAAAGGGATTTAAGAGAAAATACTCTACACCCATTGTACACTTTGTATGCTAAATTTAGAACCTAACACTCTACCACCACTGTGAGTGATACAACTCCAATTAACCATACAGGTACAGGACATAATATTTAACCTCAAAAGCTTATGACCTATATACAGTTAAGTCCTTACTTAACATTGTCAACAGGTTCTTGGAAACTGAGACTTTAAGTGAAATGACATTTAACAAAACCAATTTTTCTCATTAACCTTATAACTAAAGGACATCATTCAAAGACCAGCAGTATCTTGTTCCATTTAAAGTCGCAGTTTCCAAGAACCTATTGAAAATCTGGTGGTTTTTAAAGAGGATGCTAAATATGGAAAACAAGTAAATACCTTGCCCTGTATGTGTTACATTACAGAAAGCAACTATCATGTCCATAGGTCACAGACACACATAACCATTATTCTATACGGTATGCTAGGTGCAATATGGCATCTCCATCATCTCACTCCATCAAGTTACCTAGATAGTTCAATCTATAGCAGACAAAAACTAGGAAATATTTGCAAAATCCTTTAAAACAGATCTAACATGCCAAGCCCACTTTTTGCTTAATACAAACATAAATATTCTATATGCCTGTTGTTTTTCATAGCCCTGTTCTCAGCTGTTGATAAAACAGGCATTCTGATTAAGTTTCCTTAACACATTCATGGAAACCAGAACATTCATGGCCACTGAAACATCTGTTAATTTAAAACAATCCTAGGCCAGGAGTGGTGGCTCACACCTGTTATCCCAGCACTTTAGGAGGTGGAGGCAAGTGGATCACCTGAGGTTGGAAGTTCGAGACCAGTCTGGCCAACATGGTGAAACCCCGTCTCTACTAAAAATACAAAAATTGGCCAGGCATGGTGGCGAGCGCCTGTAGTCCCAGCTACTCGGGAGGCTGAGGCAAAAGAACTGCTTGAACCTGGGAGGCGGAGGTTGCAGTGAGCCAAGATCACGCCACTGCGTTCCAGCCTGGGTGACAGAGCAAGACTCCATCTCAAAAAAATAAATAAAATAAATAAAAAATAAATAAAACAATCTTGTGTGTAGCCTACTTCACAAGCATATTTGTATCAATTATAATACTAATGTTGGAGGCTAAGTGAAAATCAGCATAAATATTTTTTCTGACACCATTACAAAAAAATGTAACACCTCTGAAAGCCAACAGAGGGAGTAACAGTTAAACCAACGGAGACCGTTATAAATAAAGCATGCTGTCAATACAAACACGAAATAAAATATTCACAGATACAAAATACCCCCAGGTATGAGGAATAAACCCAAGTTCTTTTTTTTAAGCCAGTCAAATTTAGCAGTGGGGGGGACAAAGATTTTCTAACTGAATAAAAATGAGAGTTAATTCTATTATGGAGATTCAAATTGTATATTCTGGAATAATGATTCTTCTTAAGGCTGGGCACGGTGGCTCACGTTTGTATTCCCAGCACTTTGGGAGGCCGAGGCAGGTGGATCACGAGATCAGGAGTTCAAGACCAGCCTGGCCGAGATGGTCAAAGCCCATCTCTACTAAAAATACAAAAATTAGCCAGGCGTGGTGGCAGGCACCTGTAATCTCAGCTACTTAGGAGGCTGAAGCAGGAGAATCACTTGAACCCGGGAGGTGGAGCTTGCAGTGAGCCGAGGTCCCGCCACTGCACTCCAGCCTGGGCGACAGAGTGAGACTTAGTCTCCAAAAAAAAAAAAAAAAAAAAAAAAAAAATTCTTCTTAAAGCTAAAATATCTGAGAAAATATACTCAGATGGAATTAATGTCAGCTATATAGGACAAGCATCAAAAGTCTCAATTTGTGAAAGAAGGCAGCACTGGATATTTTCAAAGTACATAATACAGCATCAGACTAAAAAGTAAATTTGTTAAAATGACCATACAACGCTTGTTTCTTCAAGAAATAAGTTGTGTGGATAAAACAGGTAAATCTAGATTGTTTTTCCCTGTTAAAAAAAAATGACAATATGGCACATCATTCAATTTAATGATTATCTTTCAAGTTCCTTAAATTTGAGTGTTAACTGAGATTTAATTTATACTACCTAAATTAGTAACCGGTATTGCAGTCAAAACCACTTAAATATGCTCAAATCAATCACAAAAGACTAGTATTGACCACAAACAGGACAAAAGTTAGCTCATCATGGTATGTTCATACAATGTGGCCATTAAAAAAATGAGAAAGCACTTTATATAGAGAGGTAAGAAACAGTTCTCACGCAATTTTAATGAAAAAAGATACATTATAGCATTTATGTAAATAAATAACAAAACTATATTTACATGAGTTTATCTGTAGATGCATAGACTCTGGAAAGATACTTAAGAAAATAGTAATACCAGTTGAGAAGGAAAGCAGGTGAATAAGGGAACAGGAGAAGACAGTGTGGTATGCAGTTTTGTATCTCTTGAATTTGTGATGTATACAAACATTATCTATTCAAAAATCCACTCTGACATAAAAGTCTTCTGAAGAAAAAGAAGTTGTGCTTTTCTGGGGCCATAACACTAGACTACTCTTTGGGTCAAGCTTAGTCAATAAATTCTACTATGCTTTCTTCCTATAGTGGAATTTTGCTATAATTAATTAAATACAGGAGAAAAAAGTCACAGAAAGTGAAAATATAAGCTCTGACTAAACTCCCTTCAGTGGAATAAAAACGAAGTGCCCTAACCACAGGGGGAAATGATGTCATACATAAAGATTAATCTTTCCATACAACCAGATTATTTACTGCATATATTGTTTTTGGTCAAGGGGAAAAAAATAGGTTTTTCTGGTAGGAACAGTCAAGTAGCTAGCAGTATAAAATGATATAATTGTCAAATAGGAATTGCATCACATAAATGGCATAAAAGGCTATCAACCCTCTGGGTTAATGTTGACAGTAAATTTATATTCAGTGAAGTAATAAATACACAACATTTTTCCTATTAGAACAGCACTTTCCCCCATGCTGTTCTTCCCTCCAATCTAAACGCAACCTCCTCTACATGAGTACTAGAGCTCATCTCCCTCTCATTTCCCTAATATCTTACATTATTGATTATTCCTTGGCTCTCGTCCACCTGCCACACCCAACTGGACCATTCATTCATTTTTGAAATCCTCCTTTGACCTATCACCTTCAATCTCACATCTCCCTCTCCAGGTATCATGCTCGTCTTTCACAGTCAATCTTATTGTGAGAGTTGTATAAACTTCTATTTCCTTAACTCTCACACTCCCTTCTGCAACCCAATGCAACCTGACATCTCCTTCTATCAAACCAGTGGAACAAGCCTAGGCAACATGGCAAGACCCCATCTCTACAAAAAATTTAAAATTTAGCTGAGCATGGTGGCACATGCTGTGGTTCCAGCTACTGGGGAGGCTCAGCAAGGAGAATGCCTTGAGCCCAGGGGGTCAGGGCTGTCATGAGCCGTGTTTGCAACAGTACGTTCCAGGCTGCATAACAGAGCAAGACCCTGTCTCAAAAAATAAAAACAAAAGTAAAAAAAACCAGTGGAACATTTATTACCAGGGTCATTAATGACCTCACTATCTCTAAATCCAACATATTTTGGCCCTAATTTTACTTAATATTTAAGCAACATTTTATGCCTGACGACTCTCTCTGCTCTTTAAACCAATTAATGCCTTTCTTTGGCTTCAAGGTTTCTCTATTCTTCTGGTTAGTCCTTCCCAATCTACTTTGTAGGCTTAACTTCCTCTACCAAATCTCAGGATTTAATCCTAGGTCTAGGTCCTTTTCCCATCCACCAACGTGAGTTCTTTTTTTTTTTTTTTTAAGACAGGGTCTCACTCTGTCGCCCAGGCTGGAATGCAGGGGCGCCATCCTGGCTCACTGTAACCTCTGCCTCCTTGGCTCAAGTGATCCTCCCGCCTCAGCCCCCTCAAGTAGCTGAGACTACAGGTGCAAGCCACCATGCCTGGCTAATTTTTGTATTTTTTGTAGAGACGGGGTATCACCATGTTGCCCAGGCTGGTTACACACTCCTGAGTTCAAGTGATCGACCCACCTCGGCCTCCCAAAGTGCTAGGATTACAGGTGTGAGCCACAATACCTGGCCCAAAGTGAGCTCTTCTAAACCCACATTTTCCAATACCATCCCTAGACTAGTAATTTTATTTCTCCAACTCAGATCTCTGAGCTCTATACCAGTCCACCCAAATACCCAGTTGACATCTGTATTTAGATTTTGGAAAGGTACCACAATCACATCATATTCAAATCCAGATCATCTCTGATCTACCCCACTCTGCTCCTTCTCTGGCTTTCTCTAGCTCAGTAAATAGTACTACTATTGCTATTATCTCAGTTGCTCATGTCAAAAGCCTGAGTTATCTTTGACAATGCCTTCTTCTTTACTCACTGCATCCCATCATTCACCATGTCCATCATTCACTAACTCCTATCAATCCCACCTCTTTAATAGTTTTCTAGTCTGTCCACTATTCTCCATATCCGCTGTCACCACTCTAGACACAACCTCCATCATTTATTTTCAATAGTATTGACTATCATCACCTGTCTCTTCAAACTCAGTCTTTCTCCTATGCACCAACCTGTTCTCTACATAGCAGGCAGAACAATATTTCTACAAGGTAAATATGTTCTCTTTATGAGAGAAAGTATTTTTTTTTAAGTCCTAGAAGGTAGGGTAGAGGAGGATGGGTAAAGGCAAGTTGAGATTTATCTGATGTTTTTCTCTCCTTTTAAAAGGGGATTAAATATTGCTTTTTGATCAGTGGTGAATGTGGAGGAAAACAGATTATATGCAATAATCTGAAAAAACAGTTTGTTGGCCAGGCACGGTGGCTCACGCCTGTAATCCCAGCACTTTGGGAGGCCGAGGCAGGCGGATCACGAGGTCAGGGGTTCAAGACCACCCTGGCCAACATAGTGAAACCCCATCTCTACTAAAAATACAAAAATTAGCCGGGTGTGGTGGCGGACGCCTGTAGTCCAAGCTACTCGGGAGGCTGAGGCAGAAGAATCACTTGAACCCGGGAGGCAGAGGTTGTAGTGAGCCAAGACCACGCCACTGCACTCCAGCCTGAGTGACAGAGCAAGACTCCATCTTTAAAAAACAAAACAAAACAAAAAACAGGTTGTTAATTATGGACAATGAAAATGAATTCACTTTTTAGCCCTTGTACTCTTTAAGAAACTAAGATGACAAAAGATGTGTACAGCTCAAAGAGTTAAACCATGGAATTTAAGCAGTATACAGTGCTCAAACAGGAGACAGGAACTATAAAGTATAAAGCTGAATGAGGCTACTTGTGAAAATCTGGAAGAGAAAAGTTGAGGAAGTTCATATCAGACCTCCTTCTTGGTCAGCAAAGCTTAATACAAAGTGGAAAGAAGGCAGGCTTGGGGGTTTGTAAAAAAAAAAAAAAAAAAGTGGAGAAGTATTATAACATCTGCTACAGAGAATCTGACAGAGATTAAAACTGCTGAGTACAATAATTCATATAGTCAGAACAATTCACAATGCTCAATTTCCAAACTATGGGATTAACACAAACTTAAGAGGGAAAATGTGATTGCTTTCCCCTGCTCAAAACCCCTGCCCACCTTTCTAGTTTTCATCTCGGACCACACACACCCTAGCTCCCTCCAACTACCAAGAATGTCACATAAAAAGAGTTTTTTCCAGATCTCTGGCCTTTCACAGTCATTTTCATTTTGTACCTATCTTCTTGCTGGCTACCCTTCAGAAATTAGAATAACCCTTTGGTAAATGATACAGGCTAATATTTTTAGCCTTTGGTAAAATTACATACTAATATTACCCCTATGAAATGCATATTACCCACATTATCCTCCTTCACAGTACTTTGCACAATTTAATTAAGTAACTGTATACTATAACTGTCTGATGTCCATTCCACATACATAAGGACACATAAAAGATTTAAGAACAGAGCCGGGCATGGTGGCTCACGCCTGTAATCCCAGCATCTGGGAGGTCAGGGTGGATGGATCACAAGGTCAAGAGATCGAGACCATCCTGGCCAACATGGTGAAACCCCGTCTCTACTAAAAACATAAAAATTAGCTGGGCATGGTGGCACATGCCTGTAATCCCAGCTACTCGGGGGGCTGACGCAGGAGAACTGCTTGAACCTGGGAGGCAGAGGCTGCAGTGAGCCGAGATCACGCCATTGCACTCTAGCCTGGTGACAGAGCGAGACTTCATCTCAAAAAAAAAAAAAAAAAAAAAAAAGATTTAAGAACAGAAAATCCCATAACCAACTACCACCCCAGCTGATTTATCTCTATCTGTAATACACAAAACAGACCTTAACACAAAAAATATTATCACGAAAAAAGGCATCATTCTAATTTTGCATGGACTAATGATAAACATTATAAGAACCTGTGTATGTTTTCCCTGGATTGCAAATTTCTTAAAGCATAAAGCAAGGTCATTAGTTAAGGTGAGGATGAATGAGGTAGTACTGAAGTTTATCAGAGGACTAGGTGTGAAACAGTACTAGGAAAGTGAAAGAACCAGGGAAGTACAACATAGTATAATACAATTTCCAGGCAATAGTAAGGGCCCACTCTAAGGATTGTAGCCATGAACTTAAAGACTGGTATATAGGTATATGTTTTTCTCCTTTCAAGTTCAGCTGCATAAATACAAGTGCAGAGAAGGTAAAAGTTGGATTTAACCAGAATTTTAGTTTTGCCCAACAAGTAGAACGAAGCAAGAAAGAAGCAAGAGTGTATGCAAGGAAATCATTCTAATGATCACATCAAGAAAGTACAGAGCACTAAAAATGGGGTAGGCCAATGGAATGGACATCCCAACAGAGCCAAAGAATGTTGAAATCAGGGTACTGTAAAGAATGAGCTAGAAAGATAGAATCCAAGAGTGCTGTGAATGAAACAGATTATGGAAGGGTTGCAGTTATTGATAACTGACAGGATCTAAAACAATGCTACTGAAAGTGTTGTCTGTAAATCAATGTACACCTGCAGTGAAAGAAGTATAGAAGGTCAGGCGCCGTGGCTCACGCCTGTAATCCCAGCACTTTGGGACACCAAGGCAGGTGGATCATGAAGTCAGGAGTTCAAGACCAGCCTAGCCAACATGGTGAAACCCTGTCTCTACTGAAAATACAAAAATTAGCCGGGCACTGTGGCATGCGCCTGTAATCCCAGCTACTCGGGAGGCTGAGACGGGAGAATGGCTTGAACCCAGAAGGCAGAAGTTGCAGTGAGCTGAGACCACACCACTGCACTCCAGCCTGGGTGACACAGCTAGACTCCATCTCAAAAAAAAAAAAAAAAAAAGTATAGAAACTGAGTAATTACTGAGAAACTTAGAGCAACTTTATATTGTTACAACAATCAAAATCAGTACTTCAGCTACCTAGTAATCAATTTTTATCATATGTTATAAAATAATCAATCCACAGTGGACTAGAAATAAAAATATACTAGTCCTTCACAATGGATAGTTCAAGAAGCACTGGTTAGGGTACAACCATGGAAGTAGGTGACTGAGGTAAGGTAGTGGACAAAATCTTACAGGAGAGTTCCTCACATGACTTACTGAGTAGCGTCAGAAGGATCACTTATGTGTACACTGAAATCAGTAAGAATTGACCAGGTTCAGCGGCTCATGCCTATAATCCCAGCACTTTGGGAAATCAAAGTGGGAGGATTGCTTGAATCCAAGAGTTCAAGACCAGCCTGGGCAACACAGTGAGACCCTGTCTCTACAAAAAAATTAAAAATTAGTTGGGCATGGTGGTGCATGCCTGCAGCCCAGCTACTTGGGAGGCTGAGGTGGGAAGATGGCTTGAGCCTGGGAGGTCAAGACCGCAGTGAGCTGTGATTATGCCACTGCACTCCAGCCTGGGTGACAGAGTGAGGCCCTGTCTCAAAAAAATAAAAATAAAAGAAAGGGCTATGGCAGAGAGAGGAGGAGAATGAAGAGAAGTGGGTTAAAAGGTACTAACATACGGTAAGATAAAAGTAATAAATTCAATGTTTGATAGCAGGGGGAAAAAAACAAAACAAGGACTGTGTTTTAAGTATCCCCAACAACTCAGCTGAGTGATTCTCAAAGAGTTAGTGTTTAATGTCTGAGATGAAATGATTATTTAAATTACCCATAAATGAGATCAAACAGTATCAGTAAAGTCAGATTTGAGAGAAGATATTTTAAAGAGAGAGGAGACAAGTTTTCATCACAGATCAGGGAAGTTCTCTAAAAGAGAAAAAATGGGGCTGAAGACCACTCTTTGGGGGACTACAGGTAGACTACAGGAAGAGTAAAAAGTTTGGTGGTACAGCCAAGCAGTGGCTCACCCCTATAATCCCGGCACTTTGGGAGGTAGAGGTGGGAGGCTCTCTTAAGGCCAGGAGTTCCAGACCAGCCTGGGAAACATAGTGAGACTCCATATCTACAAAAAATTAAAAAACTAGCCGTGTGTAATGGTGCATGCTGGTAGTCTCAGCTACTCAGGGAACTGAGATGGGAAGATCACTTGAGCCTCAGAGGTTGAGGCTGCAGTGAGCCATGATCATGGCACTGCACTCCAGCCTAGGAGACAGAGCAAAGAAAAAAAAAGAAAAAAAAAAGTTTGGTGGTAGAGAAATAATCAACTTGGATTTGGACTGGATAATCCTCATAACACAGGTCTCTACTGGGGGCAGTGGCTCATGCCTGTAATCCCAGCACTTTGGGAGGCAGAGGTGGGAGGGTAGCTTCAGTCCAGGAGTTAAAAATCAGCCTGGGAAACATGGTAAAATCCCACCTATAGAAAAAAAATACAAAAAAATTAGCCGAGCATGGTAGCACATGCCTGTAGTACCAGCTACTAGGGAGGCTAAGGTGGAAGGATGGTGTGAGCCCACGGGGTCAAGGCTGCAGTGAGCCATGACTGTGCCACTGAATTAAATAATGCCTGCCTGGGCAACAGAATGAGACCCTGTCTCAAAAATATAAAACAAAACAAAACAACCCACAGGTCTCAAAAATATAGAAATACAGATTTTGACATCATTGGTATAAGGACAGATGATGGCTAAATACATCAGTTCATCCAGGGAAAAACCACAGTGAACACAGAAGAGACTTTAACAGAAATTAAAGTTCAAAAGATGTGAACCAATTGTTTTCATATATAAACGGATAGGCAAGGAATTATTTTTGGAGGGAAATAAGACATACCCGTAAAACACAGAGAAAACATTCCTTCTCGAAATGCGCTTTTTTGATTGTTAACAACTTCCTGTAGACTCAGATTGTAAGAAAGGACCATGATTAATGGAATCTTACCAAAGACCAAGCACTATCGGAAATCCTCCTGAAGATTTAGACATAGCAATGCATAAAATCATTAAGCACTCAATATAACTAAGACTTGCTTTTTACCCCTTTCCGTATTACCTGTGAACAACCATCATTAACCATCCTTTAACATCACTAAAATGATATAATGCTCCCATTAAAACAAATGAATAGGCCAGGTACAGTGGCTCACGCCTGCAATCCTAGCACTTTGGGGGGCCGAGGCGGGCAGATTGCCTGAGCTCAGGAGTTCGAGACCAGCATGGGCAACATGGTAAAAACCCGTCTCTACCAAAATACAAAAAATTAGCCAGGCGTGGTCGTGGGTTCCTGTAGTCCCAGCTAGGAGGCAGAAGTTGCAGTGAGCCGAGATCGCACCACTGCACTCCAGCCTGGGCGACAGGGCAAGACTCTGTCTCAAAATAAAAAATAAAAAAAATAAAAAAAAAAAGAAAAAAGAAAAGAAAAGAAAGCAGGGAAAAAAAAAACGAATAAACTAAAACTGTATCGTCCTTCCTAATGTAAGGAATGCAAAAGTCATCTGCTGTTACAAGTTTTTTGTTGCCACAGGCCCTTTTCCTTTTCAGTTGAAACCACAAGTTGACACCATAAACTGACAAAAGCACAGCCCATTAAATGATACGTTTCTAAGTAAGATTTTCCTCTACATTCATGTAAAATAGGGTATTCTAACTGCTAGCATTCTTGCATCTATTTATTTTATATTACCAACCTAGAATTGTAAGAAACACAAGCAGCTAATGCCTCAAATACGGTCTACATGAACCAGTTAACTTATATTGCTGCTCCACATGCAAAAGTATTAATATTAGATAATTCATGAATTCCATGTTGCTTTATTTTACAAAGCAACACTGAATTAAATAATGCTTTCTACTTAGACCAAAAAAGAAAGGCAACTTTAAAGAAGGTCAATGTTTTGCTAACAAAACAAAGCCTTTGCACACAAGAGGCTATAGTACTTTCCCTGTCACAGAAATTCAGGCTTACAAAAAAAGAAAAAAGAAAGCCTAACAGGTGATCCTGTTGATTCCCTTGCAATCTAGGACTGGGCCTAACAGGAAACCTTATGCTATTTATCTAATTTAGCTTCAATATCAAGTGATAGGGTATATACCAATCTCCCTTGAGAGAATGAGAGAACAAGGTATTTTGAATAGAATTTATCACAGTTTTTTCTAAGATTACTGCAGTCTTTCACTTTATATAAAATTGATACTAAAAATTCTGTAATTGTGACCAAAAAAAAAAAAAAGAACATAAAAATAAGTCTATAAGACACATACTACAGATCAACCTTCCATGCAGGTCTATTCTTACCTTCAATATTTAAATTCCTACCCACTTCCCTCCCCGTAAAAACTCAATCTATGCCCACAAATTTTCAAAAGGAATATGAGCCCACTAAAAAACAAACTAGGGGCTGAGTTCTCTGCTCTTTAAATCAAATCAGTCAGACTCCTTAAACATTTTTGGGGGTTGCGGTGGCTCACACCTGTAATCCCAGTACTTTGAGAGGCCGAGGCAGGCAGATCACTTGAGCCCAGGAGTTTGAGACCAGCCTGGGCAACATGGCAAAACCCCATCTCTACTAAAAATACAAAAATTAGCTGGGCATGGTAGTGCATGCCTATAATCCCAGCTACTCAGGAGGCGAGGCACAAGAATCACTTGAACCTGGGAGGCAGAGGCTGAGATCGTGTCCTTGCACTCCAGCCTGGACAAGAGTGAGACTTTGTCTCAAAAAAAAACCTTAAGAAAAATTTGATTGTAGTATTACCACACAGAAATGCACATCGTTAAGTGTGCATCCTGACACATTTATATAAAATGAACATATCCACGTAATGACCATATACAGAACATTCCCAACACCCCAGAAGCATCCCTCATGTCCCCTCTAGTCACTACCCACCCTAAAAAGTAACCACTTTTTGACATTTATCACAAATCATTTTGCCTGTTCTTTTATTTTCGTGTCAAGTTTCTTTAGTTCAACAATGTCTCTCAGGTTCATCCATGCAACAGTATGCAACAGCAGCTTATTTTCATCACTGCAAAGTATTCCACTGTATAACTATATCACAATTTATCTATCCATTCTACTCTTGATAGACATTTGTCATTTTTTCAGTTTGGGACATCATGAGCAACGCATTCATGAAAAGTTTCATACATGTCTTCTTGTGCACGTTTGCACATGTTTCTGTTGTATATATACCCAGGAGTTAATACAACTCCTAGATTAAGTCATAGAATATGCTTATGTTCAGCTTTACTAGAAAGTTTTCCCAAATGCTTCCATCAATTTGTCCTCCTGCCAACAATGTCTGAGAGTCTCTGTTTTTTTCATGCTTTACCAACACTAGCATGGTTGGTTTTTTGTTTGTTTCAGGCATTTATTTTAGTCATTCTGGTGGAAGTAAAACAGTATTCTCTCCAAGTCCATCATATCTAGAAGATACATGATCTACATATTTCTATTTCAGTCTCCAACAGAAAAGAAATGGGCAGGAATATCAGATCTAGTTTTCTTTTCTTTCTTTTTTTTTTTTTTAATTTTTATTTTTTTGCGACCGAGTCTCACTCTGTTGCCCAGGCTGGAATGCAGTGGAGCGATCTCTGCTCACTGCAACCTCTGCCTCCCGGGTTCAAGCGATTCTCCTCCTTCAGCCTTCTGAGTAGCCGGGATTACAGGCACCCGCCACTACGCCCAGCTAATTTTTGTATTTTTAGTAGAGACGGGGTTTCGCTACGTTGGTCAGGCTGGTCTCAAACTCCTGACCTCAGGTGATCCAACTTCCTCAGCCTCTCCACACAAATATAGTCTACACAATCTCTTCAAACAAATATAGTCTCTTCCTTCTCTATAATCCCTCCAATGACACTAATGCAGCAGTTATTTGAGAATATCTTATTTCATCCTTAAGTAAAGTGCCTAGCTCATGCTAACTACACACAAATAAATGCCTTTCCTATGTTGAATGCCTTTTCTATGCTACAAGTACATGGGTGCTAGTAGGACACTTTTCAGCTAGTGTGCATGCTACCCAAAAAGGGCAATCAGATCCTGAGGAAATTGCAACATTTTTAATATTTTGTGAACTATCAACAAAGTAAGAGAAACTCAAAGTGTACCTCCCAACAGACACAACAGTGAGCTAAAAATTGGACATAAAACAACCTAGAAATACTAGAGTTGTCCTGGGAGCAAATACCATACTAGTTTGAGAACAGAAGATTAAGCTTTAGGCCAGGGCAAAGTTAAGAAAACTAGATCTAGGCCAGGCATGGTGGCTCATGCCTGTAATCCCAGCACTTTGGGAGGCTGAGGAAGGTGGACCACCTGAGGTCAGGAGTTCGAGACCATCTCGGCCAACATGGCGAAACCCCATCTCTACCAAAAATACAAAAATTAGCCAGGCGTAATGGCGCCCGCCTGTAATCCCAGCTACTCAGGAGGCTGAAGGAGGAGAATCGCTTGAACCCAGGAGGCAGAGGTTGCAGTGAGCCGAGATCACTCCACTGCACTCCAGCCTGGGTAACAGAGTGAGACTCGGTCTTAAAAAAAAAAAAAAAAGAAAAGAAAAGAAAAGAAAACTAGATCTGATATTCCTGCCATGAGTTGGGACTCTCACAGTAGCTTATACCGCTAGTGAAAGGGAGATCTAGGGGAAAAAAAACACCTGCCAACAGAGGGCTTACCAAGAAACTTGTAGGTCAATGCTGGGAGATCAGAACTCAGAAAATTTGATACTACTTCCTTATTATTACTTGGATCTAGAATTCAAATTTACACTGTCCATGTGGTCAAGAAACCCTGAAAAAGCAAAGAAATCCGCAATGAAGGAAAGCATCGTCACCCTAGGATCTCAGAATCTCCACCACATAAATTTAACCAAATAGAGTTTATAGGACAAAAAAAAGTCCAAAATGGACAAAAAAACAAGTCTACTTCACAGAGTCTGTTGAAACTACAAATACATATTCAAACCCGCAAGGAATCATCCTACACATATTTTTTTGAAAGCCTATATGAAAAGTATTTCAAAATTAAAAAACAAAACAAAACCAAGGTCAGGCATAGTAGATCACGTTTGCAATCCTAGCACTTTGGGAGGCCAAGGTAAGGAAGGATCTCTTGAGCTCAAGAGTTCAAGACCAGCTTGGGCAATATAAGGAGATCCTATATCTACAAAAAAATATTTTGAAAATTAGCAGGACATGGTGGCATGCACCTGTGGTCCCAGCTATTCGGGAGGCTGAGGTAGGAGGATCACTTGAACCAGGAGGTTGAGGATGCAGTGAGCTGTGATCATACTACTGCACTCCAGCCTGGGTGACAGAGCAAGACCCTGTCTCAAAAAAAAAAAAAAAAAAGAAAAAAGAAAATGATGTAATCAAAATCGTAGTAGTGCCCTACTAGCACCCATGTATTTGTAGCACAGAAAAGGCATTCAACACAGAAAAGGCATTTATTTGTGTGTAGTTAGCATGAGCTAGGCACTTTAGTTAAGGATGAAATAAGATATTCTCAAATAACTGCTGCATTAGTGTCACTGTCTCAAAAAAAAAATGATGTAATCAAAATGAGCAGGGACAATGACAACAAATGCTAAAAAACATCCAGAGTTCCAATGCAATGCTTTGCAGCTGTAGAAATGAATAAGAAGCCACTTCATGGATACTGCTACCTACAGCCAGACTTCAGCTGCCCTACCTGTGCCAAAGCCCAACCATAAAAACCCCATCCTGGCCAGGTGCGGTGGCTCACATCTGTAATCTCAGCACTTTGGGAGGCTGAGGCGGGCGGATCATGAGGTCAGGAGTTTGAGCCCAGCCTGGCCAACATAGTGAAACCCCATTTCTACTAAAAACACAAAAATTAGCTGGGCGTGGTGGCACGTGCCTGTAATCCCAGCTACTGAGGAGGCTGAGGCAGGAGAATCGCTTGAACCCGGAAGGCAGAGGTTGCAGTGAGCCAAGATTGCGCCACTGCGCTCCAGCCTGGGTGACAGAGCAAGACTCTGTCTTAAAAAAAAACAAACGAACAAACAAAAAAACTGTAACCTGTGACATCTGACATCTTGTCCCTGGCAAATCCTGAACTCAGTATAAATGACTCCCAGTTTCCATAAACTGATAAAATTGATTGATTAGATAGATAGCAAATGTGGTCTTTCGGAAAAATGAATAATTCAGGTTTGGTCAGAGAAACAGAACCACCAGGTCTTAAAAATACACCCTCTGCCCCCAGCACGCGCGCGCACACACACACACACACACACACACAATAAAGAATTTTCTGTAAGGCTATCTGCATCTGATGCTGGCGCTTAAAATCCACAGGGCCGCAGGTGAGACAGAAAGATGGATGTGGCAGAGAACAAGTAGGAGAGAGCAAGAAACAACGAGCTAGAAATCACACACACAAGCTTAAGTCCACAGGACAAACTGAACTCTGTATTAGTTCTTGTTGCCTCTAACCTTGATGGTATAGATGTCCTATAGAACCAAACCTCTTTGTCAAACAGCTAAACATATACCTGGCCCAGGAGTCAGCAGAGCTGAAGAAGATTGGGAAGGAGATCTAGGGGAGAGTTAAACAGTTGCAGTCCCATAAGCTGCTTCACTACAAAGAAGTGAGGTGACTCAACAGATAAGCAACAATGTATGTAAACAACAAAATGGCCACTCTCCAAATCTCCTACAGTAATCTCTCTTGTGCCCAACCTTACAAGAAAGACACAGGAAAGTGTAATCACAGCATTTTGGGAGGCTGAGGCGGGTGGATCACTTGAGGTCAGGAGTTCAAGACCAGCCTGGCCAACATGGTGAAACCCCACCTCTACTAAAAAAAAAAAAAAAAAAAAAAAATGAGCTGGGTGTGGTGGCACACACTTGTAGTTCCAGCTACTCAGGAGACTGAGGCAGGAAGAATCGCTTGAAGCCAGGAGACAGAGGTTGCACTGAGCCGAGATCACTCCACTGCACTCCAGCCTGGGCAACAGCGAGAGATTCCATCTCAAAAAAATAAAATAAAATAATTTTTAAAAATTAAAAAGAAAGATACAGGAAAGGAGTTTCTAGGAAATGTAGTTCAGCCTGAAATAACATATAAGCCCACCATGGAAAGGTAAAAGATGGCATGAATACTGTGAAAGTTAAGATAGAGGTGCAAAACAAGCAAGAAGGTCTTAAATATTGACTGAGGGCAAGTTTCAAATTTAATTTTGTTTTATCTCATTTACTCCCAGACTGCTTTAAAATCCATAATCTTTGCGTGCTCATTTGCTGTAATTCTATGGGTTCCATATTTCCCATCTCATCTTCCAATTCTAGCTGGACTATAGATGTAGGTTTATGATTATCATGACAAAACTAAGCTACAAAAGGACTATGAATGAGGAACTCTTTTCTATATTAGAAATGATCTCCAGGGTCCATTTTTAAGAAGGAAAAAGGCTGGGCACAGTGGCTCACATCCGTAATCCCAGCACTTTGGGAGGCCGAGGCAGGTGGATCACAAGGTCAGGAGTTCGAGACCAACCTGGCCAACATAGTGAAACCCCATCTCTACTTAAAATACAAAAATTAGCCAGGTGTGATGGTGCACGCCTGTAGTCCCAGCTACTTGGGAGGCTGAGGCAGGAGAATCACTTGAACCCGGGAGGTGGAGGTTGCAGTGAGCCGAGATGCACCACTGCACTCCAGCCTGGACAACAGACCAAAACTCCATCTCAAAAAAGAAAAAAGACAAGTGGGTACAATATGGTATTTGTATAAAACATGAGGGAAGAAAATCTACCTACATTTGCGTATTTTAAAAATCTATAAGGAAACAAGAAATTAGTAATTCTTACTTGTGAAAAGTAGGAAGGTGAAAGGTAGAGAATCAAAATGGGAGAATGAACTTTTTATAATATTGTCTCATAGTTCTTCGTTTTATGGACCAATGTAAAAATCTTTCAAAACTGCATTACAATGTAACTATTAAAAATTAAATTTAAAAAAGAGTCAAGCTTCTTTTTTTTTTTTTTTTTTTTTTTGGAGATGGAGTCTGGTTCAGTCATCCATACTGGAGTGCAGTGGGGGCGATCTCGGCTCACTGCAACCTCCACCTCCCGGGTTCAAGTGATTCTGTGATTCTCGTGCCTCAGCTTCCCAGGTAGCTGGGACTACAGGCGCCACCACCATACCCGGCTAACTTTTGTATTTTTAGTAGAGACAGTGTTTCACCATGTTGGTGAGGCCGGTTTTGAACTCCCGACCTCAAGTGATCCAGCCACCTCAGCCTCCCACAGTGCTGGGATTATAGGCGTGAGCCACCACACCTGGCCCACAATTTTCAAAAATGGAAATATCGTAGGAAAAACTGGGCAGGTTAAGTAACAGATTACACACAGCTAAAAAGAAAACTAGCAAACTAAAAGACAGATTTGAAGAAAATACCCATAACGGCATACAAAAAATATGAGATGGAAAATATAAAAGAGGTGAAAGTACATCATGCAGAATCATAAGTCCTAATCAAGGAACTACCAACACACGTCCTCCTGGATTTCAGAAATGCTATTTATATCAGTGACTCCAGTGTACTTCTTGCTTTCCCCTTTTTGAAAAGAGAGTCTACAGATGTTATCCAACGACTAACTGGCTATTATATGTTGGGTATATATACAGGAGCAGGTAAGTTCTCTCTGTGGTTCACAGGTCTTCAGATCAAATGAAACTGTATTCATCAAGGAACTACATTCAAGGAACCTCACCAGAGAAGCTTCAGCCGTACTTGGACTTAATTAAATGCTGTAAAGAGAGAAGACTTTGGCTAGGCGTGG
Organism: Homo sapiens; assembly: GCF_000001405.40. Lineage (NCBI taxonomy): Eukaryota > Metazoa > Chordata > Mammalia > Primates > Hominidae > Homo > Homo sapiens. The sequence goes on along the minus strand of NC_000018.10, from coordinate 46,197,521 downwards.
TGGCTCACGCCTGTAATCCCAGCACTTTGGGAGGCCAAGGTGGGTGGATCCCTTAAGGTCAGGAGTTCGAGACAAACCTGGCCAACACGGTGAAACCCCGTTTCTACTAAAAATACAAAAATTAGCTGGCGTAGTGGTGGGCACCTGTAATCCCAGCTACTAGGGAGGCTAAGGCAGGACAATCGCTTGAACCTGGGAGGCAGAGGTTGCAGTGAGCCATGATTGCACCACTGCACTCCAGACTCCAGACTCTGTCTCAAAAAAAAAAGAAAGGGACACGACTTTTGGGCAATCTTGGGAGTTAAGTATATCTGGCATGTGGAAAAATGTAAATAACTCATGGCCACAAAACACAAGCTAAAATCTTTTTTTATCTGTTCACAAATTCTTTAATGTTCCTCCCTTCAAAAGGGTGACCTTAATTCTCCTCCCTCGAATGCAGGCTGGACTTGATGGCTTGCTTCTAATAATAGAAGACGGCAGAAGTAATGTTCTATGATTTCCAAGATGAGGTTATAAAGAAGACAGTTACCACCTGACATGCTTTGCTCTCTTTCTTCTCACTTCTCTCTCTAGGATTGCTCCCTTTGGGAGACACCAGCCACCATTCCATGAGGGCACTCTTGGAGAGGTTCAAATGGAAAGAATCTGAGGTTTCCACTAAAAGCCAATACTATCTTGCCAGCCATGTGAGTGAGTCACCTTGCAAATGGATCCTCCAGCCCATCAGGTCTACAAATAACTGAAGCCTCAAGCTGACAACCTGACTGTAATCTCATAAAGTCATAATTGACCAACTAGTTAGTTGCTCCTAAATATCTGACTCTCAGATGCTGAAATGATAACGTTTATTGCTAATATCACCCCACTAAATTTTGGGACAATTTTTATGCAACAATAGGTACAAAAATACAAGTGGTATTATCTTACAAATGCAAAATAGGCTTAACATTTACAACTCGGCCAGGCAAGGTGGTTCACACCTGTAATCCCAGCACTTTGGGAGGCCGAGGCGGGTGGATCACGAGGTCAGGAGATCAAGACCATCCTGGCTAACATGGTGAAACCCTGTCTCTACTAAAAATGCAAAAAATTAGCAGGGCGTGGTGGCAGGCGCCTGTAGTCCCAGCTACTCGGGAGGCTGAGGCAGGAGAATGGAATGAACCCGGCAGGCAGAGCTTGCAGTGAGCCGAGATCACGCCACTGCACTCTATCCTGGGCGACAGAGCGAGACTCCGTCTTGGCCGGGCACGGTGGCTCACGCCTGTAATCCCAGCACTTTGGGAGGCCGAGGCGGGTGGATCACCTGAGGTCCGGAGTTCAAGACCAGCCTGACCAACATGGAGAAACCCCATCTCTACTAAAAATACAAAATTAGCTGGGCGTGGTGGCGCATGCCTGTAATCCCAGCTACTCCGGAGGCTGAGGCAGGAGAATCGCTTGAACCCGGGAGGCAGAGGTTGCTGTGAGCCGAGATCGCACCACTGCACTCCAGCCTGGGCAGCAAAAGTGAAACTCTGTCTCAAAAAAAAAAAAGAAAAAGAAAAAGTAAACACAGACTAGACAGTAAATTATTTTATATTATTATTGTTAATTGTTGCAGATGACAATGGTATAATGGTTGGGTTTCTTCAAAAGTTTATCTGGACCAGGCACAGTGGCTCATGCCTATAATACCAGCATTTTAAGAGGCTGAAGCAGGTAGATCACTTGAGGTCAGGAGTTCGAGACCAGCTTGGCCAACATGGCGAAGCTCTGTCTCTACTAAAAATACAAAAATCAGCCAGGTGTGGTGGCACACACTTGTAATCCCAGCTACTTTGGAGGCTAAGGAGGAGGACTGCTTGAACTCAGGAGGCGGAGGCTGCAGTGAGTCCAGATCGTGCCACTGCACTCCAGCCTGGGTGACAGAGCAAGACTCCCCCTCAAAAAAAAAAAAAAAAAAAAAAAAAAAAAAAAAAAGTTTATGTGGGATGCAAGGCGTGGTGGCTCAAGCTGTAATTCCAGCACTTTGGGAGGCCAAGGCAGGAGGACTGCTTAAGCCCAGGAGTTTGAGACCAGCCTGGGTAACATCATGAGGCCCCATCTCTACAATGGGAATGACAGTGCACATCTGTGGTCCTTGCTACCTGGGAGACTGAGGCAGGATTGCTTGCTCCCAGAAATTCCAGGCTGTAGTAAGCTATGATCGAAACACTGCACTCCAGCCTGGGCAACTGAGTGAGGTTCTATCTCAAAAAAAAAAAAAAAAAAAAGGTTAAATAAAAGAATTTAGGAAAAAATTAATGAAAGCAGAAAGCATAACCAAAAACAAATGGCAAAATGTGGATAATTATTGAAACTGTGTAATAAGTAGGTACACAGGGAATCATTATTACACATCTCTGTGTATATTTTAAAGTCTTTGAAAATATATTTGAGGCCAGGCATGGTGGCTCATGCCTGTAAATACAGTACTTTGGGAGGCCAAGGCAGCTGAATCACTTGAGGCCAGGAGTTCGAGACCAGCCTAGTCAACATGGCGAAACCCCGTCACTACTAAAACTACAAAAAATTAGCCAGGCGTGGTAGCACACACCTGTAGTCCCAGGTACTCTGGTGGCTGAGGCAGAATCGCTTGAACACAGGAGGTGGAGGTTGCAGTGAGTCAAGATCACACCACTGTACTCCAGCCTGGACCACAGAATGAGACTCTATCTCAAAAAAAAAAAAAAAATTAATTAAATTTAAATTTAAATAAAAACAAGAATCCGGTCGCGGTGGCTCACACCTGTAATCCCAGCACTTTGGGAGGCCAAGGCTGGTGGATCACGAGGTCAGGAGTACAAGACCAGCCTGGTCAACATGGTGGAACCCCGTCTCTACTAAAAATAAAAAAAAATTAGCCAGGCATGGTGGCACACGCCTGTAGTCCCAGCTACTCAGGAGACTGAGGCAGGAGAAATCACTTGAACCCAGGAGGCGGAGGCTGCAGTGAGCCGAGACCATGCCATTGCACTCCAGCCTGCGTGACACAGCGAGACTCCGTCTCAAAAAAAACAAACAAAAAAAAAAACAAAAAAAAGATTCTGTAATAGCTCCTTTTAGTAGAGATGGGGTTCCACCATGTTGGCCAGGCTGGTCTTGAACTCCTGAACTCGTGATCCATCCGCCTCGGCCTCCCAAGGTGCTGGGATTACAGGCGTGAGCCCCCGCACCTGGCCTATTAAAGAATCTTAAACCTCCCCTCCATAACAGGAAAGACATGGGAAAAATCAAAAGAAACCAGAGGGCCAGGCATGGTGGTGGACACCTGTAATCCCAGAGCCTTGGGAGGCCAACGCAGGAGAACTGCTTAAGTCAAGGAGTTTGAGACCAGCCTGGGAAACATAGCCAGACCCCATCTATACAAAAAATTTAAAAATTAGCCAGGCATGTAGAAGGACTGCTTGAGCCCAGGAGTTGGATGTGGCAGTGAGCCTTTGCACTCTGGCCTGGGCAACTGAGCAACACTGTCTCTTAAAAAAGAAAGAAACAAACAAGAAAAGTTAGGGGCACTGAACTTAAAACCCAAGAAGAGATTTCAAAGTTTCATTTGAGCTAATTTAAAGGTGTGTAAATATCCACTACAATATAAGGTTAGGGGACCCGCACCGTGGCTCACGCATGTAATCCCAGCACTTTGGGAGGCCAAGGTGGGCAGATCACTTGAGGCCAGGAGTTCAAGACCAGTCTGGCCAACATGGCGAAACCCCATCTCTACAAAAAATACAAAAATCAGCCAGGCGTGTTGGCATGCACTTGTAATCCCAGCTACTCAGGAGACTGAGACACAAGAATAGCTTGAACCCAGGAAGTGCAGGTTGCAGTGAGCTGAGACTGCACCACTGCACTGCAGCCTGGGTGACAGAGCAAGACTCTGTCATTAAAAAAAAAAAAAAAAAAAAAAAACCCGGCTGGGCGCAGTGGCTCACACCTGTAATGCCAGCACTTTGGGAGGCCGAGGTGGGTGGATCACTTGAGGTCAGAAGTTCAAGACCAGCCTGACCAACGTGGTGAAACCCCATCTCTACTAAAAATACAAAATTAGCTGAGCATGCTGACACATGCCTGTAATCCCAGCTACTCGGGAGGCTGAGGCAGGTGAATCACTTGAACCCTGGAGGTGGAGGTTGCCGTGAGCCGAGATCATGCCATTGCACTCCAGCCTGGGTGACAAGGGCGAAACTCCACCTCTAAAAAAAAAGCAGGGGTGGGGAATCTGCATGAACTCACAGAACCAATACTGCCAATGCTGTAGGTAGTACTGTAGAGTCAGGATTTTAAATAAAGTCATTCCAGAGTCCACATTCTTACATTCTTTGTTTGTTTGTTTTGAGACAGAGTCTCACTCTGTTGCCCAGGCTGTAGTGCAGTGGTGCAATCTCAGCTCACTTGCAACCTCCACTGCCCAGGTTCAAGCAATTCTCCTGCCTCAGTCTCCCAAGTAGCTGGGACTATAGGAACGTGCCACCATGCCCAGTTTCACTATTTGGCCAGACTGGTCTCAAACTTCTGACCTAAGGTAATCTGCCCACCTCAGCCTCCCAAAGTCCTGGGATTCCAGGCGTGAGCCACTGCACCTGGCCCCAGAGTCCACATTCTTTTTTTTTTTTTTTTGAGACAGTCTCAGCCGGGCGTAGCGGCTCACGTCTGCTGTAATCCCAAGACTTTGGGAGGCCAAGGTGGGAGAATTATTTGAGGTCAGGAGTTCAAGACCAGCCTGGCCAACATAGTGAAACCCCATCTCAACTAAAAATACAAAAATTAGCCAGGCATGGTGGCGGGCCTGTAGTCCCAGCTACTCTACTTGGGAGACTGAGGCAGGAGAATCGCTTGAACCTGGGAGGCAGAGAATGCAGTGAGACGAGATCACATCACTCCGGCGTGGGCGACAGAGCAAGACTCTGTCTCAAAAAAAAAAAATTGAGATGGAGTCTTGCTCTGTCGCCAGGCTGGAATGCAGTGGCATGATCTCAGCTCACTGCAACCTCCACCTCCCGGGTTCAAGCAATTCTTCTGCCTCAGCCTCCTGAGTAGCTGGGATTACAGGCATGCACCACCACGCCCAGATAATTTTTTTTTTGTATTTTTAGTAAAGACGGGGTTTCACCATATTGGCCAGGCTGGTCTCGAACTCCTGACCTTGTGATCTGCCCACCTTAGCCTCCCATATTGCTGGGATTACAGGCGTGAGCCACCTCACCCAGCCAGAGTCCACATTCTTAATCACTCTCTGCTCTACAGCAAATCCTACCTACCACTACATCCTATAATAATGAGCTGTATCAATAAATTGGTAAAGTCAAGAGAAAGGATGCTTCTGTTATAATTATGCTCTTTTAACATTATGATTTTCAGTCAAAAATGCTGAAAAACACACTACCAAAAATTGGAAGCAACCAACTGGAAGCAAACATACTATCAAAAATTGGAAGCGACTTACTATCCTTCAGTAGGTGAATGGATAAACTGTGGTCATCCAGACAATGGAATATTATTCATCCATAAGAAGAAGTGAGCTACCAAGCCACAAAAGAAACTTGAATACTATCACAAAGTGAAGAAACCAATCTGAAAAAACTACATATTGTATCATTCCAATTGTATGACATTCTGGAAAAGGCAAAACTATAGAGACAACAGATCAATGGTTGCCAGAGGGTGGGGGAAGGGAAGAATGAAGAGGCCGAGCACAGAGGATTTTTAGGCCAAACTACTCTGTATGACGCTGTAATGGTAGATACATGTCATTGCAAATTTGCCCATACCCCTACAATGTACAACACCAACAGTGAACTCTAATATATAACCTATGAACTTTGGGTGAGAAGGACAAGTTAATGGAGGTTCAACAATTGCAATAACCGTGCCTTTCTGGTGGGAGATATTTTACTTGGCATTAGGCATTTGTCCAAACCCACAGAACTGTTATTTGGTTTTATTCAACATAGACTCTCCGTATTAATCAATACAAAAAGAGTGAACCCTAATGTTAACTACGAACTTTAATAATGTATCAGGCCAGGCGTGGTGGCTCATGCCTGTAATCCCAGCACCTTGGGAGGTTGAGGCATGAGGGTTGCTTGAGATCAGCCTGGGCAACACAAGATGAAGTTTTGTAGAGACCCCATCTCTACCAAAAAAAAAAAAATTAAATAAACAATAAATAATAATGTATCAATATTGGCTTGTCAGTTGTAACAAATATGCCAGACTAATGCAATATGTTAATAGGGCAAAATGGGTTGAGGACCGTCTGTACTTTCTGTTAAATTTTTCTGCAAACCTAAAACTCATCTAAAAAATAAAGTCTATTAATTTTTTTTCTCAATACTGAGGAAATGAGTTAGTTGAGAGCTACTGGGGGTCAACTCTGCCCTCATGAGAGGAAAGCCTGGCTGAAAATAAAGCCCAAAAGCAGTACACAGAGCCAGTACCCAAAGAGATAAAAAACAGTGCCGAGATAATATCAAATGAGTGCTGGATCCAATTGGGCCAGAGACCAGTTGCACACTGGATTTGTCACAGTTAAATGAATCTATTAAATCTCACTTTTGCTTTAAAAAAAACCACAGATGATGCATACACACACACTACAGCCATCTTCTGCAAAAACATGTCTCATAGGAGCTAGGGTCATAGCATACAGAAAACCAGTGCAGTTAATGGGTCTACATACAGACTTGGATAAGGCAATATGGGAGCAATCTGTACTACCTTGGCCTTTGCTTCTTAGCATTAAAACTAGTGCCTCCACGCTACACTACAGGGGTGTCACTGGGGCTGCTGGTAAACTTTAGATACAGCATAATCTTACTATGAATTAGCTGAGATCTCAATGTTTTCAAAAAGTTTCAAGAAATTTTTTTAAAAGATGTAGGTAATTTCATTTCAAAAATCCATCCAAAGAATGCTCTAGACACTAATGATTTTTTTAAAATGATGAATGTTTTACCACATATTTGCAGGTTTTTTGAAAAGCTGTAATTGTTTTTTTTTTTCGGGGGGCCGGGGGACAGAGTTTCGCTCTTGTTGCCCAGGCTGGAGTGCAGTGGCGTGATCTCAGCTCACCGCAACCTCAGACTCCCGAGTAGCTGGGATTACAGGCATGCGCCACCACGCCTGGCTAATTTTTGTGTTTTTACTAGAGACGGGGTTTCTCCATGTTGGTCAGGCTGGTCTTGAATCCCCGACTTCATGTGATCCACCCGCCTCGGCCTCCCAAAGTGCTGGGATTACAGGCGTGAGCCACCACGCCCGGCCTGAAAAGCTGTAATTTTAAAACACTACACAAGATAAAAATGGCCTTCCCATGTTGACAACTATCTCTAAAAAATTCTATTTAGGTTTTCAGAACATTTTAATTATTTTCATTAATTATTGCTCATAGCTAACCTAAAATGTATAATCCTGATTTCTAAGAAAAGAATATGTAGGTCAGTGGCCAAAATATATTTAGATAGATATATTTAGAAGAGTTTCTGAATTTCCAACCTGCCTCTCAGGATAAGACTAGATCGTGCTACACAAGTAGCCTTCTTCAACCAAACATAAAAGTTCTGAATGTCTGTATCTTTACAAAAGATAAATTAGGTTATACACATTTAAAAGATAAGGTTTTCTTTTTTTCCTTTTTTGAGACAGTGTCTCACTCTGTCACCCAGGCTAGAGGGCAGGGGCATGATCATCACTCACTGCACCATCAAACCCTCAGGCTCAAGCGATCCGCCCACCTTGGTGTCCCAAGTAGCTGGGACTACAGGCACATGCCACCAAGCCCAGGTAATTTTTTATAGAAACAAGGATTTCACTATGTTGCCCAGACTGGTATCAAACTCTACCCTCCCTGGTCTTGCAAACTACAGGGATTACAGACATGAGCCACCACACCTGGCCAAAGATAAGGTTTTATCTGGGCACCATAGCATGTGCCTGCAGTACCAACTATTCAGGAGGCTAAGGCAGAGGATCACTTGAACCCAAGAAATTTAAGGCCAGCCTGGGTAACATAATGAGACCCCATCTCTTTAAATAATTTTTTTTAAAAAAAAGTTTTAATACAGACTCCTTTAAAGTAAGTTTTCCTAATGTATTTGAAGGTTGCTATTTAGAATTTGGTTGCCCACAAATACACAAGAATACACCTTTTGTGTAAATAAAAGCACATCTACATTTCATACATAAGAAGGGGAACAAAACAGCTCCTTGCCTTGACCTATACTTTCCCTATACGTGTTTCCTTCCAATTAGAATAAACTTTGATTTTTTTTTTTTTTTTTTTTTTTTTTGAGACAGTCTCGCTCTGTCACCCAGGCTGGAGTGCAGTGGCATAATCTTGGCTCACGGCAATCTCCACCTCCCAGGTTGAGGCGATTCTCCCGCCTCAGCTTCCTGAGTAGCTGGTATTAGAGGCACCGGCCACCACGCCTGGCTAATTTTTTTATTTTTAATAGTGATGGGGTTTCACCATTTAGTCTAGGCTGGTCTCGAACTCCTGACCTCAGGTGATCCACCCGCCTCGGCCTCCCAAAGTGTTGGGATTACAGGCGTGAGCCACCCCGCACCCGGTCAACTTTGATTTTTTTTTGAAGCCCAGATATGTGTCACTCAAATCTCATCAGCAGCATCATTTGCCCTCATTAGGCTCCAGATCTTTCAACATACCAAGATCTTTTCTGACTCAGGATCTTGAACTCCTGGGCTCAAGTGATCCCCCGGCCTCTGCCTCCCAAAGTGCTGAGACTATAGGCATGAGCCACTGCGCCCAGCCAACATTTTGATTTTTTAAAAGATAAGTTGACATTTCAAAATCTTATATTTTTATGTTAGTAATTCCCTAACCACTTAAAATTTTTGCCAGGCATGGTGGCTCACACCTGTAATCTCCAGCACTTTGGGAGGTCAAGGTAGGAGGATTGCTTGAGCTCAGGAGTTCGAGACCAGCGTAGGCAACATAGTGAGACCTCGTCCCTACTAAAAATAAGAAAAACAAGCTGGGCCGCCACATGTCGCGGCTCACGCCTGTAATCCCAGCACTTTGGGAGGCCTATGCAGGTGGATCACCTGAGGTCAGGAGTTCCGAAACCAACCTGGCCAACATGGTGAAACCCCATCTCTACTAAAAAAACAAAAATTGGCCGGGTGTAGTGGCAGGCACCTGTAATTCCAGCTGCTCCGGAGGCTGAGACAGGAGAATCACTTGAACCCGGGAGGCAGAGGTTGCAGTGAGCCAAGATCGTGCCATTGCACTCCAGCCTGGGCAACAAGAGCAAAACTCTGTCTCAAAAATATATATATATAAGATTTTAAAGGACAAAATCTGTACAAGTGGACAGTTACTCTTTACCTCAGTTACTCTTGCCTGACATTATCTGCCAAGGCATCATAAAAACAGTATGTGCCCTTCAAATAGGTTTAATAATACTAGGCTTACAAAAAACTTCCATACTGTGCTTACTTAAAATTATGCTCAATGTATGCCAAATGCTTAATCAATAAAAGAAAAACTATGCCATACAAGGAGGGAAGAGGGAGTTATTAAGCAAGGGAGTTACTTAGCGGGGGAGTTCCAGTTTAGCCTCATAGCAGTTTAGTCTAAACAAATTTTTTAAGTTATTTTTTAATAGGCTTAGCTTGAAAACCCAAAAACTGTCAGCTGGCTTACAGTTTAAATATTAAACCATGTTATGTTTATTACTGAATCTATTATTCAAAAATTATGTACTATCCTAGCACCAAAAATCAAGGAAACTGGGCACTTCTCATATGAATGAAACTAAATAAACTGAAGTCAAGAGACCACAAACAAGAATATAGTTAACTCCAAGAAAATAAAAATTTCTGCCTTTAAGACAGTTATTGGCCGGGCACAGTGCTCACGCCTATAATCCCAGCACTTTGGGAGGCCAAGGCGGTCGGATCACCTGAGGTAGGGAGTTCAAGACCAGCCTGACCAGCATGGTGAAACCCTGTGTCTACTAAAAATACAAAAAGTAGCCAGGCGTGGCGGCGTGCACCTGTAATCTCAGCTACTCGGGAGGCTAAGGCAGGAGAATTGCTTGAACCCGGGAGGCGGAGGTTGCAGTGAGCCGAGATGGCGCTACTGCACTCCAGCCCGGGTGACAGAGCAAGACTCCGTCTCAAAAAAAAAAAGACAGTTATCATATAAAACATTATAGTTGGCATCTACTGCTGATTTTTTGTTTGTTCGTTTTTTCATGAGACAGAGTCTCGCTCTGTCACCCAGGCTGGAGTGCAATGACGCGATCTTAGCTCACTGCAACCTCTGCCTCCCGGGTTCAAGCGATTCTCCTGTCTCAGCCGTCTTTTTAAAAAAGTAGTAGTAAGGGCTGGGCAAGGTGGCTCATGCCTGTAATCCCAGCACTTTGGGAGGCCAAGGCGGGCGGATCGCCTGAGGTCTGGAGTTCGAGACCAGTCTGACCAACATGGAGAAACCCCGTCTCTAACAAAAACACAAAATTTGCCAGTCATGATGACGCATGTCTGTAATCCCAGCAACTCGGGAGGCTGAGACAGCAGAATCACTTGAATCCGGGAGGCAGAGGTTGCAGTGAGCCTAGATCATACCACTGCACTCCAGCCTGGGCAACAAGAGAGAAACTCCATCTAAAAAAAAAAAAAAGTAGTAGTAAGTTCTTTAATAGTTGGGAGTAAGGTTAAAAAAACAAAATTCGGCCGGGCACGGGGGCTCACGCCTGTAATCCCAGCACTTTGGGAGGCCGAGGTGGGCGGATCACGAGGTCAGGAGTTCAAAACCATCCTGGCTAACACAGTGAAACCCCCTCTCTACTAAAAGTACAAAAACAAAATTAGCTGGGCGTGGTGGCGGGCGCCTGTAGTCTCAGCTACTCGAGAGGCTAAGGCAGGAGAATGGTGTGAACCCGGAAGGTGGAGCTTGTAGTGAGCCGAGATCCCGCCACTGCACTCCAGCCTGGGCAACAGAGCGAGACTCCGTCTCAAAAAAAAAAAAAAAAAAAAAAAATCACCAGTTGGGTGCGGTGGCTCACTCCTGTAATCCCACCACTTTGGGAGACCAAGGCAGGAGAATCATGAGGTCAAGAGATTGAGACCATCCTGGCCGACATGGTGAAACCCAATCTCTACTAAAAATACAAAAATTAGGTGGGCATAGTGGCGTGCACCTGTAGTCCCAACCACTCGGGAGGCTGAGGCAGGAGAATCGCTTGAACCTGGGAGGTGGAGGCTGCAGTGAGCCGAGATAGCACCACTGCACTCCAGCCTGGCGACAGAGCAAGACTTTGTCTCAAAAAAAAAAAAAATTCATGATAATCAGCTGTCCATCTTTAAAAACCACTCTCCATAAACTTTTAAATCAATCAATAAAAATAATAAAATAAAAACACTCCTAGCTCTTTGTGAAAGTTTGCCTATTCTATACCTAAACACTTCAAAAAAATGCCCCCCCTCCCTGTCCAAAATGCCCAACTTAAGGTATTTTCGAAGTTTTGCCTGTTTTTTTATTTTTATTCTTTGAGACAGGGTCTCACTCAAGCTGCCCAGGCTGCAGTGCAGTGGCACGATCTCAGCTCACAGAAACCTCCACCTCCTGGGTTCAAGCGATTCTCCTTCCTCAGCCTCCTGAGTAGCTGAGATTACCAGTGTAAGCCAGCAAGCCCAGCTAATTTTTGTATTTTTAGTAGAGTCGGGGTTTCATCATGTTGGCCAGGCTGGTCTCAAACTCCTGACCTCAAGTGATCTGCCCGCCTAGGCCTCACAAAGTACTGGGATTACAGGCATGAGCCACCACGCCCGGCCTTACCTGGTTTTTTAAACAAGAATTGAGGATAGGGAATATGCAGACTGGAAAACAAGAGACAAATTGCAATGCATGAAGATAAAACTAGAATGAAGCAGGGCTTTCAAACATTATTGTGGACCTACTTCCTGCTGGCTTTAGCAATTGTCACAAAAAGACTTAAAAGTTATTTCAGTTAGACAAGTTGGCTAGCACAGTAGAGAGCTATGACAATGGTGGAAGACAATCACAATACTAGTAATCATCCAAGAAAATTAACACCTAACAATTATTACCTGATTTTTCTGACTGTGGCACATGTGCACACACAGAGCTATCAGAGGAAATTTAAGCCCAAGAAGTTAAGAGTTAACTTTATACATGAGGGAGGAGAATAAATAGCACACTATGAGAAAGACAACTGAAAAGAAACAAATTATGCACCTAAATGTTTTTACTTACTCCCTCAGCCCTCTATGTTGCATCTCCCATGAAAACAGGGATCATGTTCAGTATCAGTTCACTCACAGTTCCTAACACATAATCAATATCTGATATTTGTTGAATTGATCAACTGAATCTTTTAAACCAAGACCACTAATGAAACAACTTGTTTGCTTAAAAGTACTATTCATTTGTATATGAAAATACATTCCATTACATAGAATCAACATGATTTCTCACAGAGTAACTTCCCTTTTCTTTCTACATAAAACCTAAGACAAAAACTGACTCAACTGCTAATAGCCTAGTAAAGCTGTTTCCTTACATTTAGAATACTGCATTTAAAGTGATTGTGTGTGTATACGCAAATATGCAAGAATCAGGCACTATGAAACTAAGTATCTTTGGCTACATAACCACAAAATGAGGTAGAAAGCAGTATCTTACTAAAATTCAAATGAAGGCCCCTCTCCTTACACATTCAATTCTATGAAGAGACTCCATTGCATTCATAATACTCATCTTCCTAAATCTTTGTTGTTGTTGTTGTTGTTGTTAGAGACAGGGTCTCACTTCTATCACCCAGGCTGGAGTGTAGTGGCACAATCACAGCTCATTGCAGCCTTACCTTCCTAGGCTCAGGTGATTCTCCCACCTCAGCTTCCTGAGTAGCTGGGACTACAGCCGCATGCCACCAAGCCAGGCTAATTTTTGTATTTTTAGGAGAGACGGAGTTTCACTATGTTACCCAGTCTGGTCTCAAACTCCTGTATTTAAGCCATCTGCCCACCTTGGCCTCCCAAAGTGCTGAGATGACAAGTGTGAGCCACAACACCTGGCCATAAATTTTGGTTTTCGAGGCCGGGCGCAGTAGCTCACGCCTGTCATCCCAGCACTTTGGGAGGCCGAGGCAGGCAGATCACAAGGTCAGGAATTCGAGACCAGCCTAGCCAACATGCTGAAACCCCGTCTCTATTAAAAATACAAAAACTGCTGGGCGCAGTGGCTTACACCTGTAATCCCAGCACTTTGGGAGGCCAAGGCAGGCAGATCACGAGGTCAGGAGTTCGAGACCAGCCTGGCCAACCTAGTGAAACCCCGTCTCTACTAAAAATACCAAAAATTAGCCAAGCGTGGTGGTAGGCACCTGTAATCCTAGCTACTCAGGAGGCTGAGGCAGGAAAATCGCTTGAACCCAGGAGGCAGAGGTTGCAAGTAGCTGAGATCATGCCACTGCACACCAGCCCGGGTGACACTGTGAGGCTCCGTCTCAAAAATAAAATACAAAAATTAGCCAGGCATGGTGGCACACACCTGTAATCCTAGCTACTCAGGAGGCTGAGGCAGGAGAATCGCTTGAACCCGGGAGACGGAGGTTGCAGTGAGCTGAGATCGCGCCACTGCACTCCAGCCTGGGCGACAGAGCAAGACTCTAACTCAGAAAAAAATTTTTTTAAAAATTTGGTTTTGAAGGACTTCTTTCAATTATTTGCTGGGATTTTGAGTCAGTTTTCCCACCAAGAAGCTGCAGCATAGACAATGCAGACAATGCAAGAACCAAAGATTAGGACTAAAATAAAAAACACTTACAGAAATACAATATAGTAGAAAGAGCCCTTTTCTCCACAGCAACTCATCCCTTCCCTTAATCCTCAAAAGAAAGAAAAGTTTGAAGAAGCTATAAACAAGCATAAAAGACTCAAACTAGGACTGATGAGAGAGGATGCCCCATTCAGAGTAAGGAATTATGAGTAACAAATTAACACAACTGGGCAACGATCACCAACAGCTACTAACATCACAGGGAACCAAATATTATGCACCTACTGATCCAAGTACCATCTATAAAGTATTCCCCTCATCCCCTGCAAAAGAAGCAAGAGAAAGAATATATATTATAGAAACAATCTGATCAAGCTTCTAAATCTAATACCAATTAACTAGAAACCCAGGGGTCAGAGAAAAACGTTTACCACCACCACCACAGAAATCCAAAGGAATGTAACTGCTAAATCCACACTGGGAAAACTTCTTTTGTAACTAATAATCTGCTAGGGAAAAGAAATGGAGGGGGAACCTACAGATTACAAAACAATGCAGAGACCTTATTTGGCTCTTGATCTGACACATTTATGAGATAAGAGGGAAATCTGAACACTGACTATCATATTACATTAAGGAACTCTTCCTTTTTTTTTTTAGTGTGGTAAGTTTTTCGGTTTTCTTTCCTTCAACAGTGAAGCTGACTGGGAAACTGGAGTGCTAAAAAGTTAGAGTACAGAAAGGGAACTCTAATATTAATACAGCTGAATGGATCTGTCCATAATGCACTGAATTTGGCCTACCCGGAACTTAAATATAAATTGTGAGATTGCAACCACCAGAGATCAGCTTTGCTTGCTTGCCAGCCAACTTTTTCTCCACTGATATAAACTCTATAAATAGGTCAAAGGTGATAATGGCTGCTCAAATCACTTCATATTGCAGATATTACTACTTCTGGCATGTACCTGGACCTGCACCAGGGCTGTGAATAAACTAGCATCAAGTAAGAAGCCAAAGAAGTTATCAAATGCAAAAAAAAAAAAAAAAAAAAAGCACTGTGGCTAATGACTCTCTAAAGTACTCAAAAGCATCATCAGTGTAAATCAAGAATAATTTAAAACAGAGGTTCTTTTAATTTTTAAAAATAATTTTTTAATAGAGACAGGGTTTCACTTTGTTGCCCCGGCTGGTCTAAAACTCCTGGGCTCAAGCTACCCTCCCAACTCTGCCTCCCAAGGTGCTGAGATTACAGGTGTGAGCTACCATGCCTGGCCCTAAAACAAAGGTTCTAAATTTTCTCCAAGATTTCTGCCCTGGTCATTTTCTATCTCCTTCAGAAGACAATTCACATAAAGATGGATAACCACATGCCAGGAACTGAGGTCCCAAGATAAAAGCTGCCAAAATTCTCTCCACTATACACACCTTCAGGCTCACTGCAAAGTGCTTAGTTGATTTCAGCAGAGAAAAATAGTAAGAAACCCTTGACACTAAACTGTTGATTTAAGAACAAGCTATGATTCTATGCTAGGTTAAAACTAAGGCAGACAGGATACTGCTTAAAATTTTAACCACATGAAGTTTTTGTTCTTAATACAGAAAGAAAAACAATCCTGTTTTCCTTAAATTTTAGTCCACACCCAACTTCCCTATCCCCGACAATACCTTTCTCTAATTATAAGGCACCTAACAAAATGCAGACTCCAGACATTATTGTAAAGGTCATTTTTTTAAACTAGTCAACTCAGTAAAAAAATAACTTCTACTGGTCACTTTGGTCAGTATCTTGTTTCTCTAATGCTAATTATGCTAATAAAAACTTAATTTCAGCCAGGCACAGTGGCTCACATCTGTAATCCCAGCACTATGAGAGGCTGAAATGGGAGGATCACTTGGGCCCAGGAGTTGGAGACCAGCCTGGCCAACATAGTAAGACCCCATCTCAATCAATCAATCAATCAATCAAAATAAACTTAATTTCTAGACTACCCAAGCACAATTCTAGTTTTTTGTTTTTTTTTGAGACGGAGTCTCGCTCTGTCGCCCAGGCTGGAGTGCAGTGGCGCGATCTTGGCTCACTGCAAGCTCCTCCTCCTGGGTTCATGCCATTCTCCTGCCTCAAACCTCCCGAGTAGCTGGGACTACAGGTGCCCGCCACCACGTCTGGCTAATTTTTTGTATTTTTAGTAGAGACGGGGTTTCACCACGTTAGCCAGGATGGTCTCGATCTCCTGACCTCATGATCCGCCGCCTCAGCCTCCCAAAGTGCTGGGATTACAGGCATAAGCCACCATGCCTGGCACAATTCTAGGTTATATACATTCTTAGGAATGGCTGCTCTAAGTTTTAACAGATTTAATGTTGTTTCTCTCTGAACAACAATCAGAACTTAATACATGAACTTGAATTACAAGCAAATGTATTTTGTAAATGAACTGGCATTACAAAAAAACGACATTTCCCCCCCCACCTCCCGAGAGGGAGTCTTGCTCTGTTGCCCAGAGCTGGAGTGCAATGGCATGATCCCTGCTCACTGCAACTTTCACCTCCCAGATTCAAGCAATTCTCCTGCCTCAGCCTCCCAAGTAGCTGGGATTACAGGCGTGCACCACCACACCCATCTGATTTTTGTATTTTTAGTAGAGACACGGTTTCATCATGTTGGCTAGGCTGGTTTCGAACTCCTGATCTTGTGATCCACCTGCCTCGGCTTCCCAAAGTGCTGGGATTACAGGCGTGAGTTACCATGCCCAGCCCAAAAAACGACATTTAAGTTTCCAGCCTTTTAAAGCTTAGAGATACCAAGAAAAATGCTATTTTCTAATACCTTATTTAAAATGAATTTATAAGGGAAAACACTAGTTCCATACTACAGTTGTTTTGTTATGCAGTACTTTTTTCCCTTATAATCTACTTTCTCTTCTCCACATTTTAGAGCAGGAAGGAAACTCAGAAATCATCTGGTTCACTAGGTTGAGTTCTGTGGGCAGAGACTGCTTGCTTGTTTTGTTTTTATTGTTGTTTTTTTTTTTGAGACAGAGTTTCCCTCTTGTTGCCCAGGCTGGAGTGCAATGGCACAATCTTGGCTCACCACAGCTGCCTCCCAGGTTCAAGAGATTCTCCTGCCTCAGCCTCCTGGGTAGCTGGGATTACAGGCATGCGCCACCATGCCCAACTAATTTTGTATTTTTAGTAGAGACAGTGTTTCTCCAAGTTGGTCAGGCTGGTCTCAAACTCCGAACTTCAGGTGATCCGCCCGCCTCGGCCTCCCAAAGTGCTGGGATTACAGGCGTGAGCCACCGTGCCCTGCCCCAAACTGCTTATTTTATGTGCCCATTACCACCTGGCATGTAAATGCTCAGTAAATGGGTTTTTAATTTAACCAGGTATAAATACCACATATGCATTAAGTCCCTGCTGATAGATTTCCACTTTAGATTAATTGTCACTTAACTAGAAAATACTCATTTAGGTAGGTTTTAAAATTATTTAAAGTCAAGTTAATAATTTAGGAATTTACACCATCTACCTATTAAGTGGCAGAGTCTGAGCAAAGAGGAATGAGGTCCCTTATTTTGAACAGACATGAAAGAGAACAGAAACAAAACTTAAAACACTGTAAATTAAAGCCAAAATTCCTAACAACTAATCAAACAACTTATCAAATCTCAGTTATATTGGCTACTTTAAAGTATTTTAAAATCACATTTACTATTATCAGCTGCTACAAATATGTTCCGATAAATCTGTATAACACATAGATCACATAGTTTCCTCTCCTAGCAGTTCAGGAATATAGAAGAGAACTTTAGGCCGGGCGCAGTGGCTCACACCTGTAATCCCAGCACTTTGGGAGGCCAAGGCGGGCAGATTACCTGAGGTCGGGAGTTTGAGACCAGCCTGACTAACATGGAGAAACCCCTTCTCTACTAGAAATACAAAATTAGGCAGGCGTGGCAGCACATGACTGTAATCCCAGCTACTCGGGAGGCTGAGGCAGGAGAATCGCTTGAACCCAGGAGGCGGAGGTTGCGGTGAGCGGAGATGGCGCCATTGCACTCCAGCCTGGGCAACAAGAGCGAAACTCCGTCTCAAAAAAAAAAAAAAAAAGATAACTTTAAAAAAGCAAGATTACTTTTTAGTTTCACCCTGCTCCTGCTCCTTACTTTTACAAGGCCCTGTAGGCTGAGTGTGAAAACTGACTGACTGAACATCAATCCCACTTCTGCTGAGAGAAGCTGCCCACACAGAAGTAAAAAACACTGCTTCTTTAAGTGGAATCATAAGAGTTCTGAAAAAGTAAGGAAAAGAGGTACAGGTAAAGGCTAAAAGGATTCAGAAGAGTATCATGACAACAGTCAAACTCAAAACCAAGACTGGAAATTGACAACTAAAGAAAAATAACTATCAGATTTATTTAATCTGATGACCAAGAAATCAAAATAAATAAACCAAACTAAAATAAATAAAACCAATAAAATTTATATTCACTGGGCTGGGCTCAGTGGCTCACCTCTGTAATCCTAGCACTTTGGGAGGCCAAGGTGGGCGATCACTTGAGGTCAGGAGTTCAAGACCAGCCTGGCCAACAGGGTGAAACTTCGTCTCTACCAAAAATATAAAAAATTAGCTGGGTGTGGTGGCACGCGCCTGTAATCCCAGCTACTCGGGAGGCTGAGGCAGGAGAATCACTTGAACCCAGGAGGCAGAGGTTGCTGTGAGCAGATATCCTGACACTGCAGTTCAGCCTGGGTGAAAGGGCAAAACTCCATCTCAAAAAAAATTTGTATTCACTCAACTTAAGGATAATAAAGAAAAATATTTTTGTTGTTTTTTTTTTTTGAGAAAGAGTCTCAGGCAGTGGCATGATCACCACTCACTGCAGCCACAAACCCCTGGGCTCAACTGCTCCTCCCATTTCAGCCTCCTGAGTAGCTGGGACTACAGGCGTGTGCCACCACACCCAGATAATCTTTTAATTTTTCTGTAGAGACGGTTCTGCCATGTTGCCCAGGCTGGTCTCCTGGGCTCAAGCAATCCACCGGCCTCAGCCTCCCAACGTGCTGGGATTACAGGCATGAGCCACTGCACGTAGCCCCAGAAAAATCTTTAAAAAGTTATGTCAGGGCCAGGCATGGTGGCTCCCGCCTATAATCCCAACACTTTGGGAGGCCGAGGTGGTGCATCACCCGAGGTCAGGAGTTCGAGACCAGCCTGGCCAACATGGTGAAACCCTGTCTCTACCAAATACAAAAATTAGCCTGGCATGACGGCACATGCCTGCAATCCCAACTACTCGGGAGGCTGAGGCAGGAGAATCACTTGAACCCAGAAGGTGGAGATTGCAGTGAGCGGAGATTGTGCCATTGCACTCCAGCCTGGGCATCGCAGTGAGACTCTGTCTCAAAAAAAATAAATAAATAAAAATAAAAGGAATGCCTATCTCATTCTTCACATTCTACCTGGAATTCTTTCCTCCAAAAAGAAGAAAATTCCCAACCCATTAGCGGACTAATAAGGTACCTTTGCAACTTGGCCCTATCTCCATCTGCCCTATCCATTCCTTTTGAAAACTCAAGGCACTGGCCCCACTTAACCATTCAAGTGCACTGATAATCATGACTTTGGTTAGGCTGCCCTAGCCTGGCATGCTCACCTGGAAATCCAACTCGAACCTCAGGTTTAAATGTCTAAGCTCCTTAAGCACCAGGTGGCCTTGTTGGTCTTATTCACCACTATAGTTCCTGCAACTAGAGCACTGCTGGCACACAGTAAACACTCAATAAATTGTTGTTGTGAGAATAAAGACTCTCCATATGAATTATTATTTTTTGAAACAAGGTCTCACTTTGTTGCCCAGGCTGGAGTGCAGCGGCACAGTCACAGCTCACTGTAGCCTCAACCTCCTGAGCGATCCTTCCACCTCAGCCCCACAAGCAGCAGGGACTAAAGATGCATACCACCCCACCCAGCTAAGTTTTTAAATTTTTTATAGAAATGGGCTCTCAAGGCCGGGCACGGTGGCTCACACCTGTAATCCCAGCACTTTGGGAGGCCGAGGCAGGTGATCACTTGAGGTCAGGAATTCGAGACCAACCTGGCCAACATGGTGAAACCACATCTCTACTAAAAATAAAAAATTAGTCAGGCGTGGTGGCAGGCGCCTGTCTTAGCTACTTGGGAGGCTGACATGGAAGAATCATTTGAACCCGGAAGGCAGAGTTTGCAGTGAGCCAAGACCGCGCCACTGTACTCCAGCCTGGGCAACAGAGTAAGACTCCATCAAAAAAAAAAAAAAAAAAAAGTAAAGAAAAAAAGAAAGAACAAACGAACAAAAGAAGAAAAAGAAAGGGGCTCTCACTATGTTGCCCAGGCTGATCTCAAACTCCTGAGTTCAACTGATCCTCCCGTCTCAGCCTCCCAAAATGCTGGGATTAGAGGTGTGAGCCACTGTGCCCAGCCCCTTACAAATATTTTATCCACTCTATTTTCTATCCCCCTTCTATATAGCTCTCCCCTTTTATAGTCTCACAACTTTTTATTCATAGTATCATATGTACTTCATTTTGCCTAGAGAATTACAGTAACCCAAGAAACTTTATTTGGTCCCAAACTCTTTCCTAAAATAACAGAAGATAATGAAATCACTATTCCTTAAAGGAACACATTAAAAATCCAACATTTAGGCCGGGTGCAGTTGCTCACAACTCTAATCCCAACACTTTGGGAGGCCAAGGCAGGAGGACTGCCTGAGCCCAAGAGTTCAAGACAAGTCTGGGCAACATAGGGAGACTCCATCTCTACAAAAAATTTAAAAATTAGCCAGCCGTGGTGGCTCACACCTGTAATCCCAGCACTCTGGGAGCCGAGGCAGGCAGATTGCCTGAGGTCAGGAGTTCGAGACCAGCCTGACCAACACAGAGAAAACCCGTCTCTACTAAAAATACAAAATTAGCCAGGCGTGGTGGCACATGCCTGTAATCCCAGCTAATTGGTAGGCTGAGGCAAGAGAATCGCTTGAACCCAGGAGGTGGAGGTTGCGGTGAGTGGAGATTGCACTCCAGCCTGGGCAACAAGAGCAAAACTCCATCTCAAAAAAAAAAAAAATTAAAAATTAGCTGAGTGTGGTGGCGTGAGCCTGTGGTCTCAGCTACTTCGGAGGCTGAGGTGGGAGGAATGCTTGAGCTCGGGAGGTTGAGGCTGCAGTGAGCTGTGATCATGCCACTGCACTCCAGCCTGGGTGACAGAGCAAGAGTGTCTTTAAAAAAAAAAAAAAAAGCACACACACACACATTTTTCACCTTTACAGGTTTTTCTCAAGTACTGTCTATTCAGTAAACATGAATACATGCTATTTCCATATCCTCAGTTATGTGCAGGAAAATGAGGAAGATCTAAGATGATTTACCAAAGGTTTGGGTCTCTAGTGTACATGAATTCCAAACTTTAGAAAGAAGAATACTGAAATTGCCTATTTATCAAGTCTGTTCATGCACGTGTCAAAAAAAGCTGTAAGATTGGGAATCCCAACAAAACAACTTCTTGTATAATGAGTAACTACAGAAGCGCACAGAATTTACTAGTCACACAATAAAGAGACTGAAAGTACCAATATCACTATTAATATTAGAAGCAAGAAACCTTTGAAGGACACGCATTAGCCCTCAGTTCTAATGGAACTGCATTAAATTAGAACCTAAAGCTGAATTTATCTTTACTATATGGGTTTTGAATTAATCATAACCATAAAACAAAGAGTATTATGACAGTTACTCTCACATAAATGCATGTTAAATATAAAGTGAATAAGTAACAACTACACGGTGAACTTATTCTAACAATGGAGAAAGTTTCCAGCTCCAATATCCAGTCCATCCTATTTTCCACAAAAAGTTGTCAGAAAAAATTTTTTTTCCCATTAAGAAATCTGATTCAGTCCAGGCGCCACGGCTCACGCCTGTAATCCCAGCACTTTGGGAAGCCAAGGCGGGCAGATCACGAGGTCAGGAGGTCAAGACCAGCTTGGCCAACGTGGTAAAACCCCGTCTCTACTAAAAATACAAAAATTAGCTGGGCGTGGTGGCGCGTGCCCGTAATCCCAGCTACTCGGGAGGCTGAGGCAGGATAACTGCTTGAACCATGTGTTTTTTTTTTTTTTGTCCTGAGACTCCTCAGGACATCAGGCAGTAACTATCAATTGTAGGCCTCTAAAAATGCTTGTTAAACCAAAAGGCAATGCTCTGATTACTGGAGGAATCTAGATTGCCAAGATCAGCAAAACTACATTAGAAAGTTAATAGCTTCCATCCTTAAAATATCCCAAGAGAAGAAAGGGAGTGATTCTGTTAGCATGTACCCAATACTACACAATAAAAGCCTAAGCAAAATTGGCAGATGTTTTTGTAATTAAGAGGTCCAACCTTGACGAAGTATCATCAGTAGGATTTTAATTCTACTGGGTAAGAGGATTCAGAAAGCAAAAGGTCAGGCAAAAAACGAAAAACCCATCCAAACAGAAACTGCTCAAGGATCTGGTAGGGCTCGTACCGATGTTCTCTACTTCAACCTGTGAGCATCAATTTTGTGATGGGGGCTGCCGGGGACGGGGGTCGGGGCGGGGGGGTGGACAATTTTAAAGTGAGAATGAATGGCTTGCGTAAAGGCGATAGTCTTTAACACGGGTTCGTCAGTGTACATCCTCGCCGGTTTTGAAATAAAGTTGACAAACTCCCCAGAAGCGGTCTATTTTGGAGACTGACACATCTCTCGCATTGACTGGAGGCGCCTGCCGACCGAAGGTAGTGGAAGCGCCGAGAGGCAGGCGGCGCCAAGCCTATAAGAAAGCCTTTTCTCCCTCCACCAAGGCCACTGCGGCCGCGGCGCCGGAGCTCTCCGCTGCAGGGGCAGGTGTCGGCGCCAGACCCCCTACTCTCGGAGCTGGCGGAGTTGCCGCCACTGCTTCCCCCGCGGGCCTAGGAGCCGGAAAGTTGCGTGAAGACAACTCCAGGGCCGTGAAGTCGCTTCCCCCCGCAGCCCGGGGACTGCGGCACCTCCAGCCTCCCCTCAGCACCCCCGGAAAAGGACTCGCCTCAACCCGGCCCCAGCGTCTGGGGGCTTGGAGTGCCGGAGCCAACTCCGCCGGGCCGGGAGGACGCTAGGGTCACCAACGGCGGACGAGCAAGGAGGTCGGAGAGGTGCGATGCCCCAGCGTCAGCCGGCAATCCAGGCTGCGAGTTCCCGGCGCCCACCAGCCAGGCCCGCTAGGACCCCAGCGTCCGGACGCCGCAGAGCCCTCACCGCGGCCCGCAGCCCTCCGATTCGCCCCGACCCCTCCCTGGGACGCAACCCGGGCCCCCCAACTCGACCAGTAGCCAGGCCGCGGCCCTGCGCCCCTTCCCGCCTCACCTGCGCTCCGCGGCGACTCCGTGCCTTCTCGCTCGCTTCGCGCGCGCCCCGTCGGGGCACGCACCGAACCCCCGGCCGGGACTCTTCCCCGCTGCGGTGACTCAGGACGCGACGGCCACCGCCGCCTTCTCCTCCTCGGAACAAGCCCCGGCAGCGAGCAGTGGGTCGCGGTCAGAGCCCCTGCCGGGACCAAAGTGAACCTCGCCGCCTCCGCAGCCTCTACCACCAAGTCCCTTCAGTCGTCCGCGCCGCCCCCAAGAAAATGTCACCAGAGGCCGTTCCGCTGGGCGCCTCACTTCCGCCCGGAAACACAGAGCCCGCGTCGGCCGGCTAGAGAGGCAGCTGCGCCGGAGACCTCTGGAGACTGGCGCCCGAGGCCCGAGAAAAGCCAGACAGCGCCATCTGGCGCGATGGAACCCGCGCTCCTCCCGCTGCAGACCGCGGGGCGTGAAGGCGCCGGCTCCCCGGGCTTCTTTCCCGCGCTCCCTCCTTCTGTTGAGACCGTCACCTTCCCGAAATGTCTTTCCCGGGGGGTGGGAAAGCCACTCAATGCAAGCCAAGGACAATGCCTTCAGCAAAGGACAGCGCTCCCTTTTCTGTGCGCTGCTCAGTACTCACCCCCTCCTGAAGCCCTTCCGAAAGCAGCTTGCGGTGTCTGAATCCCAGAGTCGCTCCAGCGGAGAGCCCGTGCCCTTCTCTCCCCGCTTTTTCGCGGATGCCGATAGCTGGGCTCGGGGAGACTCGGCTGAGCTCTTCTCGGGCAGCGGCACCAATATCTGCTCAAGTTTCTGTCCGGGCACCTTGCAGGCCTTGCAGATCGACCGCCACCTGCTGGTGGGACGTGGCCCGCTGGGGAGACCCCGCTCTGCCCCGAATTCCGCCTCTGCAGTCGCCCTCCGATTTGCAGTCAGCCCTGGGGAGGGTGGGGGAAACGAGGTGGACCCGAACCCCGAAGAAGGGGAGGAGGGCGCAGGCCCACTGGCGGGTGGAGCGTTTCCCAAGGAGGAGCAGGAGATGCTGAAGACATATCTCAAGACTCAAGATCTGGCCAAGGACCCGCGCTCCCCCAAAGCAAAGCAGTGTTTTGAGAAGAAAAATAATAATAATAAAGCTTTGAGGAGGAAAATGTAAACGGTCTTTACCTTTACAGAGCTGTGCTGGAACCTCGGATGAGACCCGTCAAGAGGAGATTCTGAAAATCTCACACCACTGGGTCCGCACTCCCCTAAATATCAGTCTCCCCCTTCAGACCAGGCCCCTTAGTTCCCCCACTTCACTCATTTTTTCTGACTGCCTACAGGAGTGCGAGTTTTTCATCCCCAACTACAAGAATAAATTAAGAAAAGAAAATAATTTTATTATACCAGGCACCTTGCATTTAAATGGGTTAAATCCACTGAATCCTCATTACAACTCATAACAACCCTATGAGTTGGATGGCGTTACTAGTCCCAAATTGCAAAGGTGGAAACTGAGGGACAGAGTGACCTGCCCAAGATGACACATCCAAGTAAGTGGCAGTGTTGGATTCCAACACAGGCAGAGCTTACTTTCTTAACCACAGCCACCAACTGCCTCACTGAGAATCACAGAGAACGTAGTGTGTGCTAGCTAAGTAGTTTATCCGTGTATGTTATTTCACTCGTTCATTCATTTATTTACTTTCTGCTACCTGAGTCCTCAAGGGATTTGAGAGGTTATGGGGTAGTGACAAGAGCCCAGCCTATTTCAGGAAAAAAAGAAAAGAAAAGGAAAAATCACACTAAGATCACAACTTTCAGTCTGGAAATGAATGAATGTGGACTAATACATTGAGTTTTTAAAAGATTCCTTGACAGTCTGATCTAATCAATGCTGCAGAAATACTGAAGTAGGACCCTGACTACTGAGATACCATCTTGGGTCCTTCTCCTGTTTTTTGTTTTTTGTTTTTTGCTTTGTGGTTGTTGTTTCTTTGTTTTTTGTTTGGTTGGTTGGTTTTGGTTTTTTGGTTTTTTTCTTGAGACAGAGTCTTGCTCTGTCGCCCAGGCTGGAGTTCAGTGGCGCGATCTTGACTCACTGCAATCTCTGCCCCCCGAGTTCAAGCGATTCTCCTGCCTCAGCCTCCCGAGTAGCTGGGATTACAGGTGCACGCCACCACACCCAGCTAATTTTTTGGTTTTTTAGTAGAGACGGGGTTTCACCATGTTGGCCAGGCTAGTCTCAAACTCCTGACCTCAGGTTATCCACCCACCTCAGCCTCCCAAAGTGCTGGGATTACAGGTGTAAGCCAGCGCACCCAGCCCCTTCTCCTGTTTAATACCAATAAGTCAATTTCCTACGTCGAATGGCCTTTGTATATTTTTGGAGGCTAGGGCATTTGATATCCTAATTACTAATATTTTTATTACTACTATATTTCCATTATTAAATGGTACAGTTACTTGCTTCTTCCCCTTCTTCTGTAGGAGCAGAAGGGATCCTACTTCTGCCTCAAAGTCTTCTGTGTATCCAATACTTAGCTCTACAAGCTCCTGAAATGCCATCTCTCCCATAAAACCAGCTCAGCCCAGACACAACCCCCGTCACCACTACCCTTATTACCCCCTCCATCCTGGCCTTCCACTGTGGGTCAGGACTCCCCTGCTCACACACACTCTCCTACAAACATGTCTGCCCTTGGTCTATCTGTAGGGTTACTACTAAACCATATTCGTCATCCTCTCAACTTCTGTCATAGCCCTAGAGGCCAGAGCCAAGCCTGTCAGAATCACTCTTCACCATCATTTTTTGCACCTGATATACCGCCTAGCCTGGGGCTAAGCCTGCAGCAGGTACCTGCCAGCTGTGGTGGCCTGGACAGTAGCATCAGGGCGTGGCTGGTCTGGCTTTGACTGTAACCTGATCTCTCCTGACTGAGCAGGTTACTTCTACCATTTGCCCTGTAAAATGGACACAATTATGAGAACCACTCTAGAGATGATGAAAGTAGGGGGAGACGAGGGGAGGGAACCCTCATTTCTGGGCTCTGGGCTGCCCCCTCCCTTCCATCTCAGATTGCTAAGAATTGGGCAACCTAAGGCCAGGCGTGGTGGCTCACGCCTGTAATCCTAGCACACTGGGAGGCCAAGGTGGGCGGATCACCTGAGGTCGGGAGTTCAAGACCAGCCTGGCCAACATGGTGAAACTCCATCTCTACTAAAAAAAAAAAATACAGGCCGGGCACGGTGGCTCACGCCTATAATCCCAGCACTTTGGGAGGTTGAGGCGGGCAGATCACCTGAGGTCAGGAATTCAAGACCAACCTGGGCCGGGCGCGGTGGCTCACGCCTGTAATCCCAGCACTTTGGGAGGCCGAGGCGGGTGGATCATGAGGTCAGGAGATCGAGACCATCCTGGCTAACAAGGTGAAACCCCGTCTCTACTAAAAATACAAAAAATTAGCCGGGCACGGTGGCGGGCGCCTGTAGTCCCAGCTACTCGGGAGGCTGAGGCAGGAGAATGGCGTGAACCCGGGAGGCAGAGCTTGCAGTGAGCCGAGATTGCGCCACTGCAGTCCGCAGTCCGGCCTGGGCGACAGAGCGAGACTCCGTCTCAAAAAAAAAAAAAAAAAAAAAAAAAAAAAAAGACCAACCTGGCCAACATGGTGAAACCCCGTCTCTACTAAAAATACAAAAAATTAGCCAGGTGTGGTGGTGCACACCTGTAATCCCAGCTACTCCGGAAGCTGAGACAGGAGAATCACTTGAACCCTGGAGATGGAGGTTGCAGTGAGCCAAGACTGTGCCACTGCACTCTAGCCTGGGTGGCAGAGCGAGACTCTGTCTCAAAAAAAAAAAAAAAAAAAAAGAAAAGGCTGGGCACTGTGGCTCATGCCTGTAATCCCAGCACTTTGGGAAGCCGAGGCGGGCGGGTCATGAGGTCAGGAGTTTGAGACCAGCCTGGCCAACGTGGTGAAACCCCGTCTCTACTAAAAATACAAAAACAAATTATCCAGGCATGGTGGCAGGCACCTGTAGTCCCAGCTACTCAGGAGGCTGAGGCAGAAGAATCACTTGAACCCAGGAGGCGGAGCTTGCAGTGAGCCCAGATCACGCCACTGAACTCCAGCCTGGGCGTCAGAGCGAGACTCTGTCTCAAAAAAAAAATTAGCCGGGTGTTGTGGTGCACTCCTGTAGTCCCAGCTACTCGGGAGGCTGAAGCAGGAGAATCGCTTGAACCTGGGAGGCGGAGGTTGCAGTGAGCTGAAATTGTGCCACTGCACTCCAGCGAGACTCCGACTCAAAAAGAAGAAGGGGCAACCTGGCCTCCCTCAACGTAACCACCCACCCCCACCATAGCCAGCACCCACTAGGATCGCCCAGGACCTGCTAGAAGGCAGTGGCCTCTGGGGAAATGCTGACCTTCTGCACAATAGTAGCCACAGAACCTCAGACAAGTCACCGCTTCCAGGGTTAACATGACTCGCTCTGCCTCACAGCGTCATTCCATAGGATTAAATGGCCTCCTCCAACACAAGGACATCCAGAAGCATTCTAAGGACTCTGAGTAGTGGAAGATCAGACAGTTGTCAGGACCAGGGGCTCTGGGGTTTGACAGATGTGACATTGGACTGAGTTCCACCTCTCTAGCAGAGTGACCCTCAGGCAGTTATGTAACCTCACTGAGCCCCATTGTCCTCGCCTGCCAGACATGGATGACCCCCCAGTACTCCCTTGCAGGCTCTGGAGGAGTGAGGGTAGAATGACTCATGATTTCAGCTCTCAGCTCCATGCTCGGCTCAGACAGAATGCTCTAGAAAGAGGCTGCCGCTCTGATGGCAGCACTCCAGGCCAGCACCTTCTAGGCCACAGACTCTCAGTGGTCAAATACAGTGAAATTTCCATCTCAACAGACTCATTTTTCCAGAGCAGCAGGTTCACGTGGAACCAGAATGGAACAGTGCAGAAGGATACCATGAAAGTGTAGCCAAGGGTGACTGGGAGGGGGCCCCCTTTCCCCCACAAACCTCTAGCTCCCCACCCTGGTTCTCTGGGCTGGCCAATTAAGACTGGTCTGTCTTGGGTAAAGTACTCTGAAACTCAGCTCCAAGTCTCTCTTTCTAACCAGGTGATTCCCCTGAAACTCCATCTATTTAGAAAGTCTGTAAGTTCTGAAAATGGGGGAAAAAAAGTGAAAATAAATGCAAAGGACAGTTTCATTTTTTGTTTGGTTGGTTGTTTTTTGTTGTTGTTGTTGTTGTTGTTTTTTGAGACCGGGTCTCACTCTATCTCCCAGGCTGGAATGCAATGGCACAATCACAGCTCACTGCAGCCTCAACTTCCTGGACTCAAGCAATCCTCCCACTTGAGCCTCCCAAGTAACTGGGACTACAAGCACATGCCACTATCCCCAGCTAATTTTTTAAAAAATTTTGTAGCCGGGCGCGGTGGGTCATGCCTGTAATCCCAGCACTTTGGGAGGCCAAGGCAGGCAGATCACCTGAGGTCGGGAGTTCGAGACCAGCCTGACCAACATGGAGAAACCCCGTCTCTACTAAAAATACAAAATTAGCCGGGTGTGGTGGTGCATCCTTGTAATCCCAGCTACTCGGGAGGCTGAGGCAGGAGAACCGCTTGAACTCAGGAGGCGGAGGTTGTGATGAGCCAAGATATCGAGCCATTGTACTCCAGCCTGGGCAACAAGAGTGATACTCCCTCTAAAAATAATAATAATAATAATAATAATAATAATAATAATAATAATAAAATAAAAATGTTTGTAGAGACAGGGTCTCACTATGTTGCCCAGGCTGGTCTTGAACTCCTGGACTCAAGACATCTTCCCACCTCGGCCTCCCAGTGTTGGGATTACAGGTATGAGCCACCATGCCTGGCCCAAAGGACAGTTTTTAAATTTAACAAGTATGTATAAGCCTCTCATATTTTAATGAAAAGAATTGCCCTGTGTGACATAGTGCCTGACCTTGGGGGACCTCCTGGGTGGAGCAGAGGGTCCTCTGACACCCCATTTAAACTAGCACCCACACTCCCCATTACTGCACCCGTCTTCTTGTTAACACGTGCCCTCATGTGTTCCTGCTTTGCATGCTCTCTTTCGCTTTCATTGGACACACCAGAGGGACGAGCGGCCAGGGGGCGGGGTCCATGCTGTCTGATCGTGCTCAGTGCCTCACGGAGAGACCCCAGACACACTCAGTGCAAGTGTAGTGAATGGAGGAAGTAGACCTAAGATTCCGAAACCTACAAGGATGTCAAAACAAGGAAGTGGTGCCAGGTGCCAAGTGGGTTAGAAGCCAGGAGGAAGGAGGGACCCCTGCAGACAAGGCAGTAGGGGAATGCCTCAGGGAGTGTCTGAAACCTGCCTGCAGGTGGTTAAAAAGGAGGAAGACTCAGTGCCTTGAGGGCAGAGCCAGGTCATCCTTCTTCACTGCCCCCTTGGTGTCCAGCATAGAGCCTGGCAGATGTGACAGCCAAAAAGAGTTTGTGTGTTTGAAAGGACAAGTGTGGAGAGAAGTGACTTTGTGGGAGGGGTGGGTAAGAGGTAGAAAATCCCCTGGGATGCTGGTCGCGGTGGCTCATGCCTGTAATCCCAGCACTTTGGGAGGCCGAGGCGGGCAGATCACGAGGTCCGGAGATCGAGACCATCCTGGCTAACACGGTGAAACCCTGTCTCTACTAAAAATACAAAAAAATTAGCCGGGTGTGGTGGCAGGTGCCTGTAGTCCCAGCTACTCAGGAGGCTGAGGCAGGAGAATGGCGTGAACCTGGGAGGCAGAACGTGCAGTGCGCCGAGATGGCGCCATTGCACTCCAGCCTGGGCGACAGAGCGAGATTCCGTCTCAAAAAGAAAAGAAAAGCCCCTGGGATATTTGGAGGACAACTACCCAAGGGCCAGATGCCTGCAGCTGGACAGCAGAGGAGTGAGTAGAGAGAAGGCTTCAAGGGAAGTTGGGGGATTGAATGAGAGCGTAAGAAGCCTGGGATTTATTTTTTATTTTTATTTTTAATTGTATTTAATTTTATTTTATTTTGAGACAGAGTTTCGCTCGGTCACCTAGGCTAGAGTAGTGCAGTGGCATGATCTCAGCTCCCTGCAACCTCTGCCTCCCGGGTTCAAGTTATTCTCCTCCCTTAAGCCTCCCAAGTAGCTGAAACTACAGGCGCCCACCACCACGTCTAGCTAATTTTTGTATTTTTAGTAGAGACAGGGTTTCACCATGTTGGCCAGGCTGGTCTTAAACTCCTGACTTCAAGTGATCGCCTTCCTTGTCCTCCCAAAGTGTTGGGGTAACAGGCGTGAGCCACCGCGACTGGCTGAGACACTGTTTTGGAAGAAAGGGCTTGGTAAAAGCTTCAAAGCCCTTGTAACATCAGCTTTATAGAGACTGTCTTCACCTTCCTCTCCCCAGCTCCCAAAACTACAGTATTTAAGTAAAGACAAAATTAGGGTATCTGTGGTAGAATAAAAAATACGCATTTGGTCTTTGCCCCAGTTCCTAGCACAAAGCTCTTAAGAGCCTCAGGATCTCCTGAGTAGTAGGAATGTCCTTTGTTATTCAGGACGAGCTCCTTTCAGCCACACCTGAGTCTGGCTCTTGGAGAGTCCCTATATAGCTTCTGGATGAGGGCTGGTCACCACAGGAACCAACCATATGATTAGAGAGAGGGTTGGAACATTCAGCCCCCTCCCCACCCACAACCTCCCAGGATGGAAGAGGGGTTGGAGATTGAGTTCAATCACCAAAGGCCAAGGAAACTTCAGTAAAATCCCCAAAACCACGTGTCAGAGAGTTTCCAGTTGGTGCTGGGAGGATGGCCCACTGGAGAGGGCATGGAAGCTCAAAGCTACCATCTGCCTTTCTTCCTTGCCTAAGGCAAGGAAGGATATTATAAAGGATCCAACTCGGGACCTCCCATTTAGGTTCCTGAATTGAATCCTTTATAATAAGCTGGTATTAGTAAGGAAAGCACTTTCCAGAGTTGTGAGCCCTGCTAGTGAATTATCGAATTTAAGGGGGGAGAGGTCATGGGAACCCCCAAATTCACAATCTGCTAGACGTAAGTATGGGAGCCCAGGCACCTCACTTGTGGCTAGCATCTGAAGTGGGAGCAGCCTTGTGGTACTGGGCCCTTAGCCTGTGGGGTTCGAAATAACTCTGGGTGGTTAGTGTCAGAATTGCGTTAAATTGAACTGAATTGCTTGGATACTCACTTGCTGTCAGAGAATTAGAAAACTGGTACCAGAAAAAAAAAATACAGGATTCTAAAACTTTGACTTCATTCTACTTTTTTTATTTTTATTTTTATTTTTGAGACAGAGTTTCGCCCTTGTTGCCCAGGCTGGAGTGCAATGATGCAATCTCAGCTCACCGCAACCTCTGCCTCCCGGGTTCAAGCGATTCTCCTGCCTCAGCCTCCTGAGTAGCTGGGATTACAGGCATGCACCACAATGCCCGGCTAATTTTTTGTATTTTTATTAGAGATGGGGTTCTCCATGTTGGTCAGGCTGGTCTTGAGCTCCCGACCTCAGGTGATCCACCTGCCTCGGCCTCCCAAAGTGCTAGGATTACAGGCGTGAGCCACCGTGCCTGGCCTATTTATTTTTATTTTTATATTGTTTTTAGAGACAAGGTTTCTCTATGTTACCCAGGCTGGAGTACAATGGCATGATCATAGCTCACTGTAACTTTGGATTCCTGGGCTCAAGCAATCCTCCCACCTTAGCCTCCTAAGTAGCTGGGACTAGGGGCACATACCACCATGGCCAGCTAAATTTTTTTTTTTTTTTTTGTAGAGACAGGGTCTCACTATGTTGTCCAGGCTGGTCTGGAGCTCCTGGCCTCAAGTGATCCTCCTGTTATGGCGGGGGCGGGGGGGGGTCCTTGCTCCCAGAGCTCCCAAGATGACAGTGGGCTGCTTCCAAGATGGCGGCAAGCCTTTTGTTCTCTGACCTGGGGTTCTTGGCCTCACGGATTCCAAGGAATGGAATCTTGGGCCATGCAGTGTTATAGCTCTATTAGAAGCCGTAGGTCATGGAAGAGAACCATGGAACCCAGTGACTAGCGTTCAGCTCGATTAGGACAAACCCGGGCACTTAGCTGTGCAGGAACAATGGCAAGCCTCCAGCCTGATTGGGAGTGGCAATGGGCGCCTCGCTGGATCAGGAGCACAGAGGACACCCTGCCGGATCCAAGGGATGGAAGTCAGCGGCGGGTCTGCAGCAGCGGCAAACAGCAGTGGTGGACGGCGAGCCAAAGCTCAGCTCCAGCCGTAACAAACATGGACCAGAAGAGAGTGCAGTTGCAAGATTTAAGAGTGAAAACAGAGCTTCCATACAAGGGAGGGCACCCAAAGAGGGTAGCAGTTGCCAACTGGAATGCCTGGGTTTATATCCCGATCATTATCCCTCCAACTGTGCTCTCAGGCAATAGATGATTGGCTATTTCTTTACCTCCTGTTTTTACCTAATTAGCATTTTAGTGAGCTCTCTTTACTATCTGATTGGTCGGGTGTGAGCTAAGTTGCAAGCCCCGTGTCTAAAGGTGGAAGCGGTCACCTCCCCAGCTAGGCTTAGGGATTCTTAGTCAGCCTAGGAAATCCAGCTAGTCCTGTCTCTCACTCCTGACTTGGCCTCCCAAAGAGCTGGGATTATAGGCATGAGCCACTGTGGCTGGCCTGACTTTAAACAAATATGTTATATGTGGTTTGAACTGGATATGTTATATTAAGCAAGACCAGTCATAGGGCAAATCTCTTATGAGGATTCCTTGCCTTCCTTCTGTGTGACCCTCTCTACCTTTTATTTAGGTGGCAGTCAAAGCGGCCATTCCCCCAGACACCAGAAGGTGAGTTGGTTTCATGCTCTGCCTCTCCCAGGGGTCTTGAATTATAAAGGAGTGCCTCTGAGGTGGAATCCATGGGAATTCATCTTTCCTGGTGACATTTCAGGTAAAGTAGTGGGTGGGGAAAATATTACCAGGTGGGGACCATCCCAACATTCCTTGTATGCACACATGATTACGTGGCCGTCTTCTCTAGGTGGGTATTAAGAGAGCCAAATGATGCGTGTTGTTCGATTTTATTCTAAAGGTATTCGTTGGAAGCCTGCCCACTAACCACAAGGCACATTGTTAGGCTCTTGTCATATAATCCTCATGACAATGAGCAGGACAGGTAGGTTTTACAGAGGAGGAAACTTAGGCTCAGAGAAGACAATTCACCTAAGCAAGTCACATGGGCTAAAGGTCAGGGAGGGAGTCAGGATTCCTGGAAGAGAACATGGTCACCTCCCTCAAGATTACTGCTGTCTGTCTAAGAACAGGGCTCAACCTAGAAACACATCACAATAGCAGAGGGGGTCGATGCAGAATAGGGACATGTCGCATGGAGAAATTAATTCCCAAGAGCACCAAGGACTTCTTGGAAGAGGAAGCTTTTGACTAGGGCCTTGGAGAAAGAGCAAAGCTTCCACGGATAGAGATGAAGAGAAAGGTATCCTGGGCAAAGTCTGGCATAAGGGAAGGCTGGTATCAGGAAAGTGCAGGGCACAGCCAGACTCCAAAACAGGTGTGTCTCTCATACAAATGATACATAAGGGTCATGTGTTGGGCCCTTATCCCCTCCCCTCCAATTTTGTTTTTGTGTTTTTGCTTATTCATGCCAAGAATGTACATTTATATAGAGCTTAACTTGAACCCTCTTATAAGGAGGATTTCATTAGCTCCTCTAAACAGCCATGAAAGGTAGTTAGGTTAGGTGGGTATTGCTACCATTTTGCAGAGATTATACAACTGACACCAAAAGATTTCAAATAAATGCCTATTGAATGAGTGAATGAATGAATGAATGAATGACTTGCCCAAGGCCACAAGCACTAAATGGGAGAATAGGGACTAAACCTCATTTTGCTCCTCCAAATCCCAAACTCTTTTCACTACTGTACATATCTGGGGGACTTAGCAGTGCCATCGTGTCTGTGTATTGGGGGTGGGGAATTAGACTCATTATTGTGTTTTATAATGTGCTGATCATCTGAAAAAACTCCGGGCAGGAGAACAATACAAGCATTCATTAAAGTACTTCAATAGACTGACAGCAGCAACAATAACCTAAAATTAAATGAAGCAGAGTATCTCATGTGAGTCTTCTCTTGAGGAGTCCGGTGCAAAGGCACCAGGCCATGGGGAAATAGAATGGGACTCCCTAGGAGAAAGACAAATAAGAGATTTACAGAATCTGGTTGGAGGTAGGGGACAGCAGGCTAGGAGGGCCCCCACCAGCCAGGCGACAAACCACCAGGACCACAGGTCTCTGGGCAGCTTTCAAAAGCTCCACAATTCATGATAGCTATAATTTACTGGTAACCACCAGTAAGCACCAGCCTAGAAGCAACCTCAGAGATCACTATCGTATTTTAAAGAGTCCCATCTGGGCGCGGTGGCTCACACCTGTAATCCCAGCACTTTGGGAGGCTGAGGCAGGCAGATCACGAGGTCAGGAGATCGAGACCATCCTGGCCAACACAGTGAAACCCTATCTCTACTAAAAATACAAAAAATTAGCTGGGCCTGGTGGCAGGCGCCTGTAATCCCAGCTACTCAGGAGGCTGAGGCAGGAGAATGGCGTGAACCTGGGAGGCGGAGCTTGTAGTGAGCCAAGATCATGCCATTGCACTCCAGCCTGGGCGACAGAGTGAGACTCCGTCTCAAAATAAATAAATAAATAAATAAAGTAAAAAAAAAAGAGTCTCAACATAATGGCATCTTTGTACTAACTTCACTTTTTGGAGAAATGTGTCCTTAAAGTGCATAGTACAGCTGTTCTAGCTTTTTAATTCTGCTGGTGGTTTCTTTCATTAGTTCTTCGAGTCACCAGAAGGGCAGAAGGCCAGCTCTGCAGGGAGGCTTACCTAAATCCATCCCTGGGATATCAGGGAGGCCTCACAGAGTGAGGCCAGGCCCACCACAAGTCCAGGATGCCTGTAAAGCTGGAGGGTGAGCTGCAAATCTGGCCCTATCCCTTTAACCCAAGAGAGCACACACCCATGCACTTTGAGTCAGACTGAGGGGTATATAAGGTGCATACGGCCAGTCTCTGCCTGCAGACAACTAAGACTGTCAGAGGTGTTTGAACCAGAGCGACTCCATCTTGAATAAGGGCAGAGTAAAATAAGGGTGAGAGCTACTGGCTGCATTCCCAGGAAGTTAGGCATTGTAAGTCACAGGATGAGATAGGAGGCCGCCACAAGATACGGGTCACAAAGATCTTACTGATAAAACAGCATGCGGTAAAGAAGCTGACCAAATCCCACCAAACCAAGATGGTGACAGAAGTAACCTCTGGTTGTCCTCACTGCTCATTATAAGCTAATTATAATACATTAGCATGCTAAGAGACACTCCCACCAGTGCCACAACAGTTTACAAATGCCATGGCAACATCAGGAAGTTACCCTATATGGTCTAAAAAGGGAGGAACCCTCAGTTCCAGGAGAATTACCCATCCTTTTCCAGGAAAACTCATGAATAATCCATCCCTTGTTTAGCATATAATGAAGAAATAACCATAAAATAGCCAACCAGCAGCCCTCGGGGCTGCTCTGCCTATAGAGTAGCCATTGTTTTATTCCTTTCCTTTTTTTTTTTTTTTTTTTGAGACGGAGTCTTGCTCTGTTGCCCAGGCTGTATGGCACAATTTCGGCTCACTGCAAGCTCCACCTCCCGGGTTCACGCCATTCTCCTGCCTCAGCCTCCCAAGTAGCTGGGACTACAGGTACCCACCACCATGCCTGGCTAATTTTTTTGTATTTTTAGTAGAGACGGGGTTTCACCACGTTAGCTACGATGGTCTCCATCTCCTGACTTCATGATCTGCCTGACTTGGCCTCCCAGAGTGCTGGGATTACAGGTGTGAGCCACTGCACCCGGCCTTTTTTTTTTTTTTTTTTTTTTTGAGATAAAGCTTCACTCTTATTGCTCAGGCTGGAGTGCAATGGTGCAATCTTGGCTCACTACAACCTCCACCTCCCAGGTTCAAGTGATTCTCCTGCCTCAGCCTCCCGAGTAGCTAGGACTAGAGGTGCCCACCATCACACCTGGCTAATATTTTGTATTTTTAGTAGAGACAGGTTTCGCCATGTTGGCCAGGCTGGTCTCAAACTCCTAACCTCAGGTGATCCACCCACCTCAGCCTCCCACAGTGCTGAGATTACAGGTGTGAGCCACCACACCCGGTCTGTTCCTTTACTTTCTTAATAAACGTGCTTTCATTTTACTGTATGGATTCACCTGGAGTTCTTTCTTGCGCAAGATCCAAGAACCCTCTCTTTGGGTTTGGATTGAGACCCCTTTCCGGTAACAAGACCTGTTAGTGAAATGATCAGAGGCCAAGCAAGGTGGCTCACACCTGTAATCCTAGCACTTTGGGAGGCTGAGGTGGAAGGATTGCTTGAGCCCAGGAGTTCAAGACCAGTCTGGGCAACATAGGGAGACACTGTCATCTCTACAAAAAAAATTAGCTGGGCATGATGGTGTGTGCCTGTAGTCCCAACTATTCTGGAGACTGAGGTGTGAGGATCACTTGGGCCTGGAATGTTGGGGCTGCAGTGAGCCATGATCTCACCATTGTGCTAAGCCTAGGTAACACAGTAAGACCCTGTTTCAAAAAAAGAAAAAAGAAACAAACAGCAGTTTCCTGAATGAGTTGCCTTCACTACAGGAAGCCTTACCTAAGCAAATATATGAACCCAAAGTTTGTCTTTGGTGTGTCCTTCCCTGCTATGCTCATGACCTCTTAAACCCAGCCAGTGCCTTCTCTCATCATTCAAGGCCCCAGGACCTTAGCCCTCTTTGCCCCTCCTCACTTCCAATAACCAAACCTTCCTGGCCTAGGACTCAATCTCTAAGGCTTCCATACTCCATGTCTTAACAACGATTAATTACAGAAACTAATTCTTACTAGAGTGGTAGCTGGCTAATATACTGCCCTTCCCAGGTGACAAAATACTCTGTCTGTCTAAAACAAACACTTCTCTAGAGGCAGTCAAGGAGTGGCATACAGGGTAGGAATTTCAAAGAGTAAGGCAGCTCAGCTCGGGAGAGGGAGATCTTTTTGTTGAGTCACATTTTTTGTTTTGTTTTGTTTTGTTTTGTTTTTGTTTAAGATGGTCTCACTCTGTTGCCCAGGCTGGAGTGCAGTGGCGATCACAGCTAACCACAGTCTCGACTTCCCAAGCCAGGTTTTTTGTTTTGTTTTTTCCTCACTGCAACCTCTGCCTCCCAGGCTCAAGGAATTCTCCTGTCTCAGCCTCCCTAGTAGCTGGGACTACAGGCACACACCATCATGCCCGACTAACTTTTGTAATTTTAGTAAAGACGGGATTTCACCATATTGGTCAGGCTGGTCTCAAACTCCTGACCTCAGATGACCCACCCGCCTCGGCCTCCCAAAGTGCTGGGATTACAGGTGTCAGCCACCGTACCTGGCCCCCAAGCCAGGTTTTATAGAATCCTCAAATTATAACATTCTGGTGGCCTAAGAAAGCCAGTCTAACACACACACACACTCGTGGATTCTTACTGATTCACAAATCCAACTATTTTCTAGTCCTGGTGTACCAGGAACCAGGAAAACACAAAGCTCCAGAATTTATTTATTATTATTATTATTTTTTAATTTAAAAAAAATTTTTGAGTCTTACTATGTCACCCAGGCTGGAATGCAGTGATGCAATCTCAGCTCACTGCAACTTCCGCCTCCTGGGTACAAGTGATTCTCCTGCCTCAGCCTCCTGAGGAGCTGGGACTATAGACATGCACCACCATGCCCTGCTAATTTAACTCTAGAATTTATAATACAAAAAGACAAGAATAACTTAAAGGAAAAGAACAATAAGAAGACAATTGAGCTGGGTGCAGTGGTCCATACCTATTAGCTACTCTGGAGGCTGAGGCAGGAGGATCACTTGAGACCAGGAGTTCGAGGCTGCAGTGAGCTATGATTGCTCCACTGCACTCTAGTTCTGGATGACAGAGCAAGACATCTTCTCTAAAACATAAACATAAAAAAATTAAATTTTAAAAAAGAGGACCATTGAGAGCTAAAGCTAAATCTGTGCATTGATATTATTAGAGCTATATTAATTCACAAAGGGAAAAGATCATTGTGGAAATGAGCCCACAATGGACTCATAGTGTGGAAAGAGTCCCACACTATTGTGGGATAAGACTGGGTCTAAAGTGTAGATAGAATACAAGTATGGAATGTTCCAGGCCTTTACAAAGGGTACTGAAAAGGTTCCCCTGGAACCCTTTTCTTACTTTTCCAAAGATTTCCACTTAATTTCAGAAGCTCCTAGAATCCATCTCCTCAAATCCATCCAATCCTGGGGGCTATATTGATGGCGGGGAGCAACCTTAACCCTAACTTGGGGGGCCACTGCCACAAGAACTGTAGGAAACTTGTTTCCATTCTAGCAGGTCATGACCCTTTTATAATCCTGTTCCTTCAGCCTGCCCTTTGGGAGAGGTGTGTTCTCAGCTAGAAACTCTAAATTGGTATTGTTGAACTGGAAGAGTCAGGAATGCTCAGGAGACAGCTTATCATCATGGGAGGCCCAAAAGAGATTGCCCCAGGCTACAAGGGGGTGGGAATGTACAGTTACTGCCAGGGCCACTCATTCCTGCCAGTGGGCCTGCCAGAGTCTTGTAGCAGCAAGAACTCTGTACATTTCAGGGCTTATTCTCACCCTAGCCAGTTCTAGGAGTTCGGCAGAGGCCCCGGCTGCTGAAGGGCTGCCTCTGCCCTGCTCACGTCTCTCCCTGAAACAAGGACTGTTTATGGTTGCTTTGTCTTCTCCTCAGTTGTCCTCCTGAGACTGCCCCCAGAAGGCTGACAAGAATTGTATGCTGGGTTCTGGACAGAAATATAGTTGTAATTAAACACTAATCAGGCTGCACTCTGCCCACTTTCTTGTTGCTAAAAGTCACTAGTTCCTGACCATTTGCATTGCCTTTTTGCCTACAGGTAGGATCTCTGACATTAGGGTCATAAGACTAATAATTGATTTGCATCCCCATGGTTCCTGGCTAGAGTGCAGTGGCGCCACCTGATCTCAGCTCACTGCAACCTCCGCCTCCTGGGTTCAAGCGATTCTCCTGCCTCAGCCTCCTGAGTAGCTGGCGTTACAGGCAAGCACCACCACACCGAGCTAATTTTTTGTATTTTTAGTAGAAACAGGTTTTCATCATGATGGCCAAGCTGGTTTCGAACTCCTGACCTCAAGTGATCCGCCCGCCTCGGCCTCCCAAAGTGCTGGGATTACAGGCGTGAGCCACTGCACCCGACCTAAAAGGTTTTTTCAGACCCCCCAATTCCAGCACCCAGTCTGAAGATCCCCACAGAGGAACGGGATCCCCGTGAGAATACAGCTTATTCCTCTCCCTGTCCCAGGACTTCAGCCTGCAGTCTTCCACCAATCAATGATCTCCGCACTTCTGCCCACTCCAAAACCCTTAAGAACCCTAACCCCAAATTCCTTGGAGAGATGGAGATGAGGTTTTCTCCCATCTCCTCATTCAGTGACACTACAGTTAAACCTCTTTCTCTGCTTCAACCCGGTGTCTCGGCATATTGACTTGCTGTGTGCATCGGGCAAGCAGATGATGATGGCTCCACTAACCTCGTTTTTCCCTCTAATCTCCATTTTGTGCTGCAGCTTCTTCCTCACCCTTCTCTTTTGTATGGTGCCCCAGCTCACACCTTGGTCCACATTTACCCTCCAGTCATTGTTGCAGTTGCCTGTAGGTATCACCTGCCCCGGGGTTTCCCTCCTGGGACACTCTGGATTGCATGTGGACAAACCTAGAAGACAGAAGGAGTTAACATCCTATGGGGCAACCTTGACCCGAGGGGGCCAGAACTGGTGGATAAACATCCTCTATTATTTCCCTCAGACGAACAATTTTGAAGCTCGTTCTTTGGTTCTCTTTAGGGGCAAACAGGTGGACCACGCCCAGGCGGCCTCCCTGGAGATGAGCTTGATAAGGCAGCACACATTGGAATGGCTCTCCCTCCTTCCTTGGGTCACTCTCTCCAGTTCCTCACTCCTGTTCTGGGGTAATTCCCAAAATTAATGACCTGTGTGCAAGCTCTTGTCTGAGACTCTGCTTCTGTGGGAAACCCCAGCTGAGAGCTCTCCTTTCTCCCCAGGCCCCACTCTGTTTTTCCTTCTCTGTGCTGCTGTTTTTCTCCTCAAGTTCTGTTCTCCTCAGTCAGCCTTGGAGACACTGTGTTCCCAGGCAGGCTGCACATGACGAGGTGGGAGAGTACACCTCCACTTGGCTCACTGGAAACCAAGGGAACCAAGGTCAAGGAGGGCAGCAAGCACAAGAGAGGGACTACAGAGGGGAGGGGATGCTTCCAGCCCTGAGAAGTCTTCTTTGGAATAGAAGTGACTGGTCTAGCCTGAGAGAGAGTACGGCCTGATGTTCTTCCTGGATACCCTGCGCTCCTTGGATGTAGGCCTGGTGCTGGTTGGTGGCATGATCTGCAGGTCTCGGAGGATCCTTCCTGTCCTGCTCAGCTCACCTGGGCTTTCTCTGTGTGGGGCTTCTTCTCCAGCCTCCAAGTATACAACTTGACCTTGAGCAGCCCTCTGTTCTCCATCCTCACTGAAGACACAGCAGAAGGACTTTATTTACATTTAGTCTGTGGCAGGAAGGACCCATCCACTGAAGGGGTTCCCCCTCTGTGTCAGGCTTTGCTCAGGCTGTTGTAAGAACCTGTCACCATCTAGTCTCAGGAATGGTAAAACACTCCCCAGGCCAGGTGTGGTGGCTCATGCCTGTAATCCTAGCACTTTGGGAGGCCAAGGCCAGCCAGTTTACTTGAGGTCAGGAGTCCAAGACCAGCCTAGCCAATATGGTGAAATGCTTTTTCTACTAAAAATAAAAAAAAACAAAATTAGCAGGAAATCGCTTGAACCCAGGAAGCAGAGTTGCAGTGAGCCAAGATCGCACAACTGCACTGCAGCCTGGGCAACAGAGCAAGACT
The DNA here is from genome assembly GCF_000001405.40 of Homo sapiens. Taxonomy (NCBI): domain Eukaryota; kingdom Metazoa; phylum Chordata; class Mammalia; order Primates; family Hominidae; genus Homo; species Homo sapiens. Next base: position 46,156,298 of record NC_000018.10, on the reverse strand, counting down.
CTGTCTCAGAACAAAACAAAACAAAACACACTCCCCAAACGGTCACATTCCAAGCAACAGGTAAGGGAACAATAGAGTAAATTCTGGACTGATTCAAGCCTTGACAAAATTTCTAGGGTGGAAGAGTGAGAAGGAGAGCAACATTTCATGAAAAAACAAGGTCAGAATTTATTTGCAGTGAATAATACTCTAGCCCTCCAACTCAAGTATGCAAGAAACATCACTTTCTTCATTTCCTAGAAATCAATTTGATTTCTACTTTAAGGCCCCCACCTGGCAGGAGAATTCATACCAGTCATTGCTGAGGTTTCATTTGCCTTCCCCACCCAGGAAACCCCAGACACAATAGTTCTAAGAAGACATAGATGTGGCCAGAGGAACTTCCAGGTACAGCACTCAACCTAGTCTGCTCTATTGGGTAAGACGGGCATGAGGTCGCCTCCCATTAGGACTAGTGATAGCATAATAGAATAGAGTCCTAGAAACTGAGACAAGGAAGCTGCAAACTCAGCCTGAGCTCCTTGAGAAGGATTGACTCACTGAGGGGGAGAACTCTGAGCCATGACTCTAAGAATGACAAGAATTTTGCCTCATAGAGAAGAGGAAAAGCATTCTGGAAAGATGTCACAGTGGAATGAAAGGACTAGGTCATTTTGGGAATGAGTGCCCAGAGGCTGATACTCATTTGGATGTGGAGAAGGCAAGGGTAAGGGAGGAATTTAGAAAAAAGAAAAAAATCTCCTTTGAGACAAGCCTGGCCAACATGGTGAAACCCTGTCTCCACTAAAAATACAAAAATTAGCCGGGTGTGGTGGCACACTCCTGTAATCCCAGCACTTTGGGAGGCCAAGGCAGGTGGATCACTTGAGGTCAGGAGTTCGAGACCAACCTGGCCAACATTGCAAAACCCCATCCGTACTAAAAATACTAAAAATTAGCTGGGCATGGTGGCGGGCACCTGTAATCCCAGATACTCGGGAGGCTGAAGTGGGAGAATCGCTTGAATCTGGGAGGTGGAGGCTGCAGTGAGCCCAGATCATATAGCTGCACTCCAGTGTGGATGACGGAGTGAGACCCTGTCTCGAAAAAAGAAAAAAAGAACAAAATCCCAAGGAAGACTTATAACGTGGACTGTGATTTTTTTTTTTTCTCTTGCTAGGGTTGGGGCCTGTGTAATAAATAACCCTTTCTCTTTCTCTCCTCAAGTTTGGAAGCAACTAAAAAATAAGATGCAGGAAACAGGCGAACACTTAAATGTCAACTTTATGGCAGATCAAAGCTGGATTGGGGGACACGGTGCAAATGAGCAGCCTCCATGAACTTCCTATCCCATTCCTGTCACAGCAAATGTAGACAGACTATTCAACCAGTCACAGGAGCGCTGCCCTGTCTGAGCAGCCCAGAATCTACTCTCAGGCAAGTCCTAAAGAGAATACCTGGTGAGGCTTCCCACCTCAACTTCTCCCTTGAAATCTTCACACCAGAAGGTGATCTGGTTTCATGCTCTACCTCCCACCATGGTCTTGAAATATAAAGGAGGGCAGCTGACATGAGATCCATGGGGATTAATATTTCCTGGTGACATTTCAGGTAAAATATTGGGTGGAGAAAATATTACCGGATGGGAACCATTCTTCTTGCCGGGAGAGTCAGGCCAGAGAGACTCCAGGAATGTGGCTCCAATAGAGACCCCTCCACAGGGAAGCAAGAAGTAGGGGATGGAGTTTCCATTTCACAACCCATATCCACCCTGTGGGCACTCGCATTGTTATTGCTTTCTGAAATAAAGAACTACCTCACATCTGCGTAGAAATCAAACTTTTCAGAGTACTTTCACATCCATAAAACAAGAACATAGATACAAAGTAGAAGAGTTTTCTAAAATCATCTAAGCCTATTTCTCCTTTTACAGATGATAAAATTCAGGCTAAGAGCATTAAGAGACCAGGCAAGGTGGATCACCTGAGGTCAGGAACTCGAGACCAGCCTGGCCAACATGGTGATGGATGCCGGTAGTCCCAGCTACTTGGGAGGCTGAGGCAGGAGAATTGCTTGAAACTGGGAGGCAGAGGTTGCAGTAAGCCGAGATCGTGCCACTGCACTCCAGCCTGGGCAACAAGAGCGAAACTCAGTCTCAAAAAGACAGAGACCAGCCAAGGGCTACACAATTAGTGGTCACCTGTCTCTCAGCATGACCAAAAGTCACAAGTTCCTTTGGCTTTAGATCCCCAACACAAAACCTTCCTCCATCTTTGAATTCTCTTCTCTGCAGCAGCTATCCTGAAAATCAACACAACTGTTGGAAAAGAGGGAATGGAAGGAAAAGAGCTCCTGGGAGTGGCTAACTGCTCTGGGTGGACTCACGACGCTTAGCCTATAAAATCTATTTGTCTATATTTGCATTGCCGGTATTCAGCAGAGGGGCTGATAGAGTGCTACGTAAGGTCTCCATTCTGACGAACCGAATGAATGCTTGCATGAATAGATGAATGGCTGAAGAGCCAGAAAACCGGAGATAGGAAACATTTTTTCGGAAATGGGTGAAGAAGGATTCTTTAAACAGCAGAGCAGTAAACTTGGCATTGCTCAGAGGCCTGTGTTGGGCTTGTGCTCCGGCTGGCGCCTCTCCCCATTCTCCAAGCATCTTTAAAGGTCATCTTGGGTTTTTTCCTCTCCTCTCCTTCATCCCTGTATCAAATTTGTTTCCAAGTTCTCTCATATCTCCTTCTTTTCCATCTCTGTTGCTACATCCTGGCCTAGGTGCTTATCACTTTGTGCTGGCCTGGACTCATATGTTGGGGCAGGGCTGAGCACAGAGGCCTGGGAGGCAGTTAGGAGGCTATCTCCCTGCATCAGGCTGCAGCTGACACCTGCTTTTGTCTCCCCTCTCCCTCCACTGCCTGTGGCCTCCTCCTTATCGGCTACCCTCATGTGCACCTTCAGCCTCCTCCCAGCCAGCTCTCAGCTCTCACCAGGCCAGGCACTTCCCACACTTTCAGGCTCGCTCCACCCCCTCACCCGTGCCCTCCCCTCCCCCAGCCCCTTCCTCAGGTTTCAATTAACTAGCTGCCCATAGATTGCAGCAAATTTATTCTCCCTGAAATAGAAGTGACCCATAACAAGGCTTAATGAGATCATCCCCCAAGGAATTTAATAAGGGACAATCCCTTTAGCCAGTCAGATGAGCGTGTCAGCTGTGTGTGAGGGAGTATTGGGGGAGGGAAGGCAGACAGTGGGTGCCCCACCTCTGGGGTGTGTTGGTGGTCCGGGCCCCTGGGGCAGGCGGCAGCGGGTGTGGGAAGCAGAGAGACCTGGCAGACCGGCTGGGTGGGACAGCACAGAAGCACAAGCTCACCTACTTCAGAAGTGTGCCAAGAGCTAGCAGGAAACCTGATGCCCTCCCTGACTCAGCTTCCCAGGAGCTCCCCAGGGCAGTCCTAGAGGTCACAAGCCCAAGAGTTTTAGGTATCATGGGAGGAAGATTGCAGAGTGGACCCTTTGCCCCCCAGTAAATTAACAGAGGTGGGGATGGATGCCCAGCATGGTTGCACGTCCCTTACAGAGCAGGGGAAAGAGGACATTTGTTTTTCCTGCTCTTGAAAGCTGATCGCCTCTGCAGCCAGGCGTGGTGCCAGTTGTGGTCAGCGTCTAGCCTGCTGGCAGATGGGTCATCAAGGACTCAGGGTGAGTCCTCAGCTGTCTGCATTTTGCAGCAGCCACCTCAACGACACACCTCCTTGGCACCCACAGCCCCCCACATGAGAGCACTAGCCTGCTCACCCATTAGAGAACGATTCTTCCTTCTCACAACGGTGCAGCACTCAGCATCTGCCCATACAGAGTCTCCAAAAGCTAGAGCCTGAGAGGCTCCTAGGTGTGACCCGGTTCAACCATTTCCCTAATTTACAGATGCACAACTGGGACCCAGGGAGGTTAAGAGACTTCCCTAATGTACTGGCTTTCTGTGTTGCCCACAAATCATCTAAAAATGATTGTCATATAGCAGATTAAAATAGCACATACTTAGCGTCATTTCTATGGGTCAGGAACCTGAGCTCAGCTTAGCTGCCTCCTCTGCTCCATGGTTTCCCCAGGCTGAAATCAAGGTGTCAGCTGGGGCTGGAGTCTCATCAGAGGCTCAAGCAGGGAAAGACCTGCTTCCAGGCTCCCTCAGGCTGTTGGCAGAATCCATCTTCTTGCAGCTGTAGGACCGAAGTACCCATTTTCTTGCTGGTGGTCAGCCGAATGTTCTCGCAACTAAATGCTGCCCCCTCTTCCTTGCCAAGTGGCTCTTTCCATAGGTCTTCTCATAGCAGGTCAGTTTCTTCAAAGCCAATAACTGAGAGAGAGTCTCTAACCTCAGGGAGGGGCCAGTCCTTAAAAGCCTTTTAAGGCTTTTAACTGATTGAGTCAGGCTCACCCAGATGATCTCCCTTTTGATGAAATGAAATCAACAGATTTGAGACCCTAATTACATCTTCAAAATTTCTTTACCTTTGCCATATTCTGTTTGTGAGAATCAAGTCACACAAAATTTGAATGTGTCCCACCCACATTCCAAGGGAGGGGATTATATCCCAGCTACTTGGGAGACTGAGGCAGGAGGATTGCTTGAACCTGGGAGGTGGAGGTTGCAGTGAGCTGAGATTGCACCACTGCACTCCAGCCTGGGCGACAGAGCAAGACTCTGTCTTGAAAAATAAATAAATAGGCCAGGTGTGGTGGCTCACGCTTGTAATTCCAGCACTTTGGGAGGCCGAGGTGGGTGGATCACGAGGTCAGGAGTTCGAGACCAGCCTGGTCAACACAGTGAAACCCTGTCTCTACTAAAAATACAAAAATTAGCTGGGCGTGGTGGTGCACACCTGTAATCCCAGCTACTCGGGAGGCTGAGGCAGGAGAATTGCTTGAACTCGGGAGGTGGAGGTGGCAGTGAGCTGAAATCACACCACTGCACTCCAGCCTGGGCGACATGGCTAGGCTCCACCTCAAAAATAAATAAATAAATAAATAACATGAAAAGTAGCAGATGGGAAATTTTAGGGCCATTCTAGGGTCTGTCTACCACATCTAATGTCACACAGCTAGGTAACAGCAGAAACAACATCTAGAACCTAGGTTTCTTATAGAAACAGGTCCCTGGGGCCAGTTACATTTCAGAATTCAGAATGTTCCAGATTTCAGATAGGTAATCAGGTGCTTATACCATAAACATAATACCCCCAAGCAGCGCCTGGAGGAACACCCAGGAGTCACACGCCTTAGAGTTCTGCAGTAGACCAAAATGGGGGTTCAGGTGAGGTTCTGCTGCCAAATGAATTCAGGTCAGATCAGGTTTTGTCAAATGAATTATGAAAAACCTTTGGGTTTTAGAGCTTTGGGGGCTTTGGAAATTCCAGTAAGGGATTGTGAGCCCATAATTGACACTCATTGAGTTCTGACCATATGCCAGATTTGGGCTAAGGATGTGCATTCTCACAGCCCTGTGGGAGAAGCAGGTTTTTGAGATTTTTTATTTTATTTTATTTTTGAGATGGAGTCTTGCTCTGTAACCCAGGCTGGAGTGCAATGGCACAATCTTGGCTCACTGCAACCTCTGCCTCAAGGGTTCAAGCGATTCTCTTGCCTCAGCCTCCTGAGTAGCTGGGACTACAGGCTTGCACCACGCTCAGCTAATTTTTGTATTTTTAGTAGAGACGGGGTTTCACCATATTAGTCAGGCTGGTCTTGAACTCTTGACCTCGTGATCTGCCTGCCTTGGCCTCCCAAAGTGCTGGGATTACAGGTGTGAGCCACCGAGCCCGGCCATTTTTGCGATTTTTAAACCATTTTCCTTCCTATATATCCTTCCCTTCACTTATTCTCATTCAAGTCAGAATAAGGCTCTGCATTCATTGATGTGGAGGTGGGAGGAGGCTGGGTAGAGCCTGAAAATCTCTCTTGCTTAATTTTGACAAAGCTGCTCAAGCCTCAGACTGGGGAGGAAATGTAGGCCTTTGATAAAACACTTCTGATAAGCAAAATAAATACATAAATAAGTAAAAAACACAAAACAAACACAAACACCAAAGACTGGAAATAGATCCCACACACCAGGCTAGGTAGAGGAAGGAGAAGGGCTGGGGGCTTCTGGCAGCATTCCCAAGCCGGCAACACTCCCTGAAGGCTGCATGCTGTGTCTAAACAACTGGCATCCTGGGTGCCTCTCAGTGTGCTTCCCTGGGAATGGAGGGAAGGGGCATCCTGGCTAGACACTGCTTGGCTCAGGATTGTCTTTCATTTGCTTTCTCATTATGTTGTGTAAGTGAGTCTTCTCTTTGCACCAGAGCAAGTCTATTTCTCTCTAGCCCAAGTACAGAACTTGTTGTTGAATAGATATTGCTCAATAAATGCTCATTTAGGGCCGGGTGCTGTGAGAGGTCAAGGAGGGTGGATCGCTTGAGCCCAGGAATTTGAGACCAGCCTGGGGAACATGACGAAACCCCATTTCTGCAAAAAATACAAAAAGTAGCCGGGCATGGTGGCAATAACCTATAATCCCAGCTACTCAGGAGGCTGAGGTGGGAGGATCTCTTGAGCCTGGGCTGCAGTGAGCCATGATCACACACTCTAGCCTGGATAAAAGAGTGAGACCTTGTCTCATAAAATAAAAAACAAAATAAAATAAAATAAGCTCATTGAGGGACTCTCTTCAGTGAGTACTGTGGGTCCCTGGCCCCTCCCTCTAGGACTTCCTGTGTAGTTTACATGCTCTGAAATATTTGCTTTGGTTAGGAGACCCTCTGTTTGTGTGTTTTTTGTTTTGTTTTTGTTTGTTTGTTTTTTTGAGATGGAGTCTCGCTCTGTTGCCCAGGCTGGAGTGCAGTGGCGCTATCTTGGCTCACTGCAAGCTCCGCGTCACAGGTTCAAGCAATTCTCCCTGCCTCAGCCTCCCGAATAGCTAGGATTACAGGCATCCACCACCACGCCTGGCTACTTTTTGTATATTTAGTAGAGACAGGGTTTCACCATGTTGGCCAGGCTGGTCTCGAACTCCTGACCTCAGGTGATCCACCCACCTTGGTCTCCCAAAGTGCTGGGATTCCGGGCGTGAGTGGCACCCAACCCTCTGATCTATTTCATCAAGGCTTCTGTCAGATTTCATGTATCATCCTCCCCTCAAGGGACCAGAGCCTCATGCTAAATGAGTGCAATCCCCAGGCCTAAAGTAGGAGAGTGGTTTGAGTGCTAGGCTTGTCCTTTTGGGAGCGAATCTTACCATGTGATTTGACTTTGGCCCCAGAATCCCAGGGATAGCCTTTGAAGGACTGGTTTTGTCCTTTTCCCCTTCACTTTGAAAGTATCTTAAAGATATGACTGCCCTCTGGTGGCTAAAATTATATATGTCAACGGCCCCCTGCCCTTCAAACATGATCCTAACAAGTGATTGAATGTCCTAGGAAGGAGTGAGCTGCAGGGTTAGGTTATGGGGTTTGTTTGGGATTGGGGTGAGAGAGTAGGCCATAACACTTCTCTCTGTGTTTACTGGCATAAATACCAGACTTCGGGTAGTTAACAGGATCTGGGTCATTTTGGGTGTAAAGTTCTTGAGGGCAGGGAACTACTTCAGTTTGGCTCAATGTTTTATCTAGTGCCTAGCAGAGCGCCGGGCACACAATACCTGCTCAAAAATGTTTATTGAATGAATAAACTGCTCCCTCAAAGGGAGCAACCACAACCTCGTTCATTATTACCTCACTTTGCTGCCTTTTCATAGATGATACAAAGGCATTTGAAAAAATTCACTACCTATTAAAAAAAACCAAAAAACAAAGCCAGGTGCAGTGGTTCACACCTGTGAGCCTAGAACTTTGGGAAGCCAAGGTGGGCAGATCACTTGAGCCCAGGAGTTCAAGACCTGCCTGGGAAACATAATGAGACTTCGTCTCTACAAAAGATAAAAGCAAAATTAGCTGGGCATGGTGGTGCATGCCTGTGGTCCCAGCTACTCAGGAGTCTGAGCCAAGAAGATCACTTGAGCTCTGGGGGTCGAGGCTGAAGTGAGCAGTGATGGTGCCACTGCACTCCAGCCTGGGTAACAGAGTGAGACCCTGTCTCAAAAAAAAAAAAGCCAGCCTCCCTGGGTCCTGGGACCAAGGGCGGTGCAGTTTAAAATAAAAAAAATAAATAAATTTTTTAAAAAAGAATAAAATTGGACTAAAAGGATTTCCTTGACATGATAAATAAATAAATCTGAACCCAAGCTTAAAGGCAAAACCCCTTTAGTAGAAGAATTTCCATTCAACTTAGGAGCACAATAAGGCTGTTCTTTCTGGCCGACTGTTTTCCAAAGGTGGTTATGTGCTTTTCTTATGATGTAATCCTAACACTCCACCCATTGTGGGGAGTCTATGTCCCCTTCCCTTGACTCTGGGTAGACTACTATGACTGCCTTGATTGATATGTATGGTGGAAGTAATTCTTTGACTCTGGGTGGACTACTATGACTGCCTTGATTGATATTCCATGGTGGAAGAAATCCTTTGTGACTTCCAAGGTTAGGTCATAAAAATGCCATATACTTTGTTGAGACATTTACCCTTAAAAACCAGCCGTAACGTCAAAATAAACTCAAACTAGCCATCACAGAGGAGCTACTCAGAGAGGTCATGTATAAGCGTTTTAGCCAGAGGCTGAGATCTTGACCAGCATTCAGACATGAGTGAAGACATCTCCAGGTGATTCTACTCCTCAGCTATGGACTGGATGATTCTTTAAATATTGCTAACTTGAGGCCCCAGATAGTAAGGAGCAAAGATAAGCCATGTCCACTGTACTCTGTCAAAATTTCTCACCCCAGCAGATGTGATTGTTTTATTCCAGTTTTCAAGTAGCTTGTTATACAGCAGTAATGACTAAAACACTTATTATCACTACCACCACCACACTGGTATTACCTGTTAAACATAAACACAGCTGCACAGTAGTTAAAGTGGTGAAAACAGATTTTACTGGCCAAGGGCCTTGGCTCATGCCTGTAATCCTGGCACTTTGGGAGGCTGAGACAGGAGGATTGCTTGAGGCCAGGAGTTTGAGACCAACCTGGGCAACACAGTGAGACCCTTGTCTCTACAAGAAAAACAAAAACACAAAACTCGGGTTTTATTCAGCAACTACTGACAGAAGAAAGAGCCAGACTCCATTCTGCACTTGATCCCAAAGGCCGAGAAGCCCAAGCTCCATTCTAATTTGTGCTGAGATGACTGGGCCTTTTAAAGGCAGAATGACAGAGGAGACAAGTGAGGTCCCGCTAAAGTCAGCGAAAGGAAAAATTGCAAAGGGTTGGTCAGTATCAATGCAATTAGGCCAGCTGTGCCTGCTAGCTGGCAATTATGCAAGTTAGGGATTCTGCCCTTCCACAGCAACTGGGAGACAGAGGGCCTATCCTTTTTTGATGATTATATTTCAAAGGAATGGCTCTCTGGTCCTTGAGAAAGACACTTCTGAATTGGAGGAATTATATATATACCTCAAAGGGAGAAATGAAGTATTCTTAATTTTAAGCCCTTCTTACTAATGCTCTGAGAAACAGGGGGTCTATCATTAGAAGTTTGCTAGAACAAACAGTAGATTCTCCTGGCAGCATCGAGCTTGCTTTCTTTTGTTTTTATGTTCAGTTTTTGTGAGTATATATATTTTGTAAGTATATATGTATGGGGTATATAACATAATTTGATACAGACATACAATGTGTAATATTCACATCAGGGTAAATGGGATATCCATCACCTCAAGCATTTATCCTTTGCATTATGAACAATCCAATTATACTTTTGGTTATTATTATTATTATTTGAGACGGAGTTTTGTTCTTATTGCCCAGGCTGGAGTGAAATGGCACAATCTCAGCTCATCAAAACCTCTGCCTCCTGGGTTCAAGCGATTCTCCTGCCTCAGCCTCCCAAGTAGCTGGGATTACAGGCATGCGCCACCACGCCCGGCTAATTTTGTATTTTTTAGTAGAGACAGGATTTCTCCATGTTGGTCAGGCTGGTCGTGAACTCCCGACCTCAGGTGATCTGCCCACCTCAGCCTCCCAAAGTGCTGGGATTATAGGCATGAGCCATCGCGCACACCTAGTTATTTTATTTATTTATTTGAGACTGAGTCTCACTCTGTCGCCCAGGCTGGAGTACAGTGGTGCAATCTCGGCTCACTCAACCTCCGCTGCCTGGGTTCAGGTGATTTTTCTGCCTCAGCCTCCTGAGTAGCTGGGACTACAGGCACGCGCCACCATGCCTGGCTAATTTTTGTATTTTTAGTAGAGACGGGGTTTCACCATATTGGCCAGGCTGGTCTTGAACTCCTGACCTTGTGATCCGCCCACCTCAGCCTCCAAAAGTGCTGGGATTATAGGCGTGAGCCACTGTGCCTGGCCACTTTTAGTTATTTTATTTTAGACAGGACTCTGGCTCTGTCGCCCACACTGGAGTGCAGTGGCACAATCTTGGCTTATTGCAACCTCCGCTTCCCAGGCTCAAGTGATCCTCCCACTTTAACCTCCTGAGTAACTGAGATCACAGGTACGCACCACTACACTGAGCTAATTTTGTTTTGTTTTGGTAGAGGTGGGCTTTTGCTCTGTTGCCCCTGCTGGTCTCAAACTCCTGGGCTCAAGCAATCTGCCCGCCTCTGCCTCCCAAAGTGCTGGGATTACAGATGTGAGCCACTGCACCCAGCCCAAACTGTGTTTTAAAACTTTGTTTTCTTTCCTCCTTTCTCCCCAATCTCAAGATACAACTGTGAGACAAACTGCGTATGTCTTTCCTTTCATCTTCAAATACAGCTTCGGAATGTGCTGTGAACCTCCAATCCTTTTCTTTTCCTATTCTATGTTCCCAAGCCTTACATATACATATTTACTTAGATGCATGTTAAGCACATACCATACTCACTTATCTGGTCATATATTTCCTTAGAAGCTTCAGGGGCTGGATCCTGATATGGACCAGACACCTCGAGCCACGAAGTCGCCAACCCCCTCACCGGATGGAACAATAATTCAAGACAAGCTGTTGGAGGAGGTCACGCCACCTGACACCTGCTAGCTCCCCTTCCTCTTCTGCATTCCAAACCCTCTGTGTGTGTGTGTGTGTGTGTGTGTGTGTGTGTGTGTGTGTGTGTGACAGGGTCTCACTCTGTCACCCAGGCTGGAGTGCAGTGGCACCATCACCACTCAGTGCAGCCTCTACCTCCTGGGCTCAAGTGATCCTCCCACCTCAGCCTCCCAAGTAGCTGAGAATACAGGTGTGTGCCACCATACCTAGCTAATTTTTGTATTTTTTGTAGAGATGTAGTTTTGCCATGTTGCCCAGGCTGATCTTGAACTTCTGAGCTCTAGTGATCTGCCTGCCTATGCCTCCCATATTGCTGGGATTGTAGGCGTGAGCAACCACACCTGGCCCAAATCCTCTCTTTAAAACCCCCTGCATTCCCTCTACAAATTCAAAAGTAGAATTTTTTTCATTCTTTCCCTTACTGGCATGGATAATAAAGTCTCGCTCTCTTTTTTTTTATCACATCTTGTTATTATTTTGGCTTCTTTTTACACACGGTGAGCAGCCAGACCCTTTTGCCAGTTACAATATCAGGGTTGTGAGATAGATAGATGATTGATAGACAGATAGATAGATAGATAGATAGATAGATAGATAGATAGATAGATAGTTTTTTTTTTCTTGGACTATTCTTCATAACAAAGGGGTGTGATATAATATTAGCTTCCTATAAAAGGAATGTGGCCAGGCACAGTGGCTCATGCCTGTAATCCCAACACTTTGGGAGGCCGGGGTGGGAAGATTGCTGGAAGCCAGGAGTTTGAGACAAGCCCAGGCAACATAGAGAGACCCCATCTCTACAAAAAAAATTAGCCAGGCATGGTGGTGCACGTCTGTCATCCCAGCTACTCTAGAGACTGAGAGAGGAGTATTGCTTGAGCTATGATGGTGACACTGCACTCCAGCCTCTGTAACAGAGAAAAATCCTGTCTCTAAAAACAAAACAAAATAAACAAACAGAAAATGTGAACTGTAGTGGTTAACTTCAGACCTGGTGGGAAAGTATGGCGAAATCTATATTAAGTAAAAATGTAGGCCTATGTGAGTAGATGAATCCTTTTGCAGAGAACAACTAGGAAAGCTGAAAAAATGCAAAGTAAAAAATTGTTTGGGCCCAGTGTGGTGGCTCATGCCTGTAATCTTAGCACTTTGGGAGGCCAAGGCAGGCAGATCACAAGGTCAGGAGATCAAGACCATCCTGGCCAACATGGTGAAACTCTGTCTCTACTAAATACACAAAAATTAGCTGGGCATGGTGGCACACACCTGTAGTCACAGCTACTTGGGAGGTTGAGGCAGGAGGATCACCTGAACCTGGGAGGGGAGGCAGAGGTTGCAGTGAGCCGAGATCGCGCCACTGCACTCCAGCCTGGCAACAGAGCAAGACTCCGTCTCAAAAAAAAAAAAAAAATTGTTTAAAGGTATGAGAGAGCTGCCCAAGCAGCCAGTACTTGAGGGGCTAATGTTCAGAGGGAAGAGAAACTTCTTGAATGAAGCCTCTCTTTGCCCTTGAGGAATGTGCTGATTCATAAATGGTGTAGGATAGGCATGCTGAAAAGCTGAACAAAAACTGGTTGACAAGCTGGGCACAGTGGCTCATGCCTGTAATCCCAGCACTTTGGGAGGCTGAGGCAGCAGGATCACTTGAGCCCAGGAATTCAAGACCAGTCTGTCCAACATAGTGGGACCCCATCTCTATAAAAAGTTAAAAAAATAATAAAAAGAAACATCCAGCCGGGCGTGGTGGCTCACGCCTGTAATCCCAGCCCTTTGGGAGGCTGAGGCGGGCGGATCACGAGGTCAGGAGATCAAGACCATCCTGGCTAACACGGTGAAACCCCGTCTCTACTAAAAATACAAAAAAAAAAAATTAGCCGGGCGCCATGGTGGGTGCCTGTAGTCCCAGGTACTCGGGAGACTGAAGCAGGAGAATGGCGTGAACCCGGGAGGCAGAGATTGCAGTGAGCCGAGATTGCGCCACTGCACTCCAGCCTGGGCGACAGAGCGAGATCACCTCAAAAAAAAAAGAAAAAAAAAAAGAAACATCCAGACTGAAGGAGGAAAAGACAATGGGGAAAAAGAGGAGAGAAAAAGAGGGTGGAAAATAGAGAAAAGAGTGCAAAATATCTACTGAAGACAGTGAGAAAGTCTAACATCTAGGTCATTGGAGGTATGAGAAACAAGGAGGAAAAGAATGGAGCAGAGGCAATACTTAAAGAGATAATGCTGATTTTTTTCCAAAGAGATGAAATAAGTCAAGCTATTAATACAAGGAGTTCTATGAACCCTAATTAGGAGAGGTTAAAAAAGAAAAATTCACCTAGCATGTCATAGGATTGCTGAAAACCAAAGAGAGAGAGACAATCTTAAAAATGACCACAGAATGGCCAGGCACAGTGGCTCACACCTGTAATCCCAGCACTTTGGGAGGCCAAGGCGGGTGGATCACCTGAGGTCAGGAGTTCCAGACCAGCCTGGCCAAGATGGTGAAATCCCGTCTCTACTAAAAATACAAAAATTAGCCAGGCACGGTGGCAGGCACCTATAATCCCAGCTACTCAGGAGGCTGAGGCAGGAGAATCAGTTGAACCGGGCGGCAGAAGTTGCAGTGAGCCGAGATCATGCCACTGTACTCCAGCCTGGGCAATAAAGTGAGACTCTGTCTCAAAACAACATGAATAACAACAACAACAAAAACACAGAAAAAAATACACTTACTTAAAAATAAACAATGTTAGTTTGGTGGACAGATGATTTCTTGGCAGAAATTTTATGTAGTGGACAGACTCAGAGTGGTCCCCACGAGCCTTGCCTCCTGGTGTTCATGCCTTTGTGTGATTTTTCCCTCTTGTGTGGAGACAGGGCCTGTGGCCTGCTTCTAACCAATAGAATAAGGCAGGCCACTTGTGGTGGCTCAATATCTGTGATCCTAGCACTTTGGTGGGTGGATTACTTGAGGCCAGGAGTTTGAGACCAACCTGGGCAACATAGTAAGACTGCGTGTCTACAAAAAAAAAAAAAAAAAAAAAAAAAATTAGGCTGGTTGCAGTGGCTCACGCCTGTAATCCTAGCACTTTGGGAGGCCAAGGCAGGAGAATCGCTTCAGCTTAGTAGTTATGTTTTTAGTTTTTATTTTTTGAGACGGAGTCTCACTCTGTTGCCCAGGCTGGAGTGTAGTGGTACAATCTCAGCTCACTGCAACCTCCGCCTCCTAGGTTCAAGTGATTCTCCTGCCTCAGCCTCTTGAGTAGCTGGTATTACAGGTACGCGCCACCATGCTTGGCGAGTCTTCGTATTTTTAGTAGAGGCAGGGTTTCACCATGTTGGCCAGGCTGGTCGCTGGTCTTAAACTCCTGACCTCAAGTGATCCACCCATCTCGGCCTCCCAAAGTGCTGGGATTACAGGCGTGAGCCACCAAGCCTGTTCTGAGCTCAATAGCTCAAGACCAGCCTGGGCAACACAGTGATACCTTGTCTCTATTAAAAAAAATTATTTTTTAATTAGCTGGGCATGGTGGTGCTTGCCTGTAATTCCAGCTACTTGGGAGAGTGAGGTGCTATGATTGTGCTACTGCACTCAGGCCTGGATGACAGAATGAGACCCTGTCTCTCAAATCTCTTTTAAAAAAAAAAAAGGTAAAGGTGACAAGATGTATGTGATTATGTGCATGTGACTACGTGAATTACAAGATTACATGATTGTGTTACAGAGGATCATAACACTTGTCTTACTGGAGTCTCTCCTCCTTTGCTGACTTTGAGGAACAAGGAGCCATGTTGGGGACTGTCACTTGGCAAGGACCTGTGGGTACGATGAGGAACTGAGGTTGGCCTCAGCTGATAGCTAGCAAAAAACAGAAGCTCTCAGTCCTACAGACTCAAGGACCAGCATCCTACCAACAAACGGAATAAGTTTGGAAGCACATTCATTTTTAGTCAAGCCTTAGGTGAGAATGAAGTCCTGGCCAACCCTTTTTTTTTTTTTTTTTTGAGATGGAGTCTCGCTCTGTCACCCAGGCTGGAGTGCAGTGGCGCCATCTCGGCTCACTGCAAGCTTCGCCTCCCAGGTTCATGCCATTCTCCTGCCTCAGCCTTCCGAGTAGCTTCGACTAGAGGCGCCCGCCACCATGCCCGGCTAATTTTTTTGTATTTTTAGTAGAGACGGGGTTTCACCGTGTTAGGCAGGATAGTCTCGAACTCCTGACCTTGTGATCCACCCACCTCGGCCTCCCAAAGTGCTGGGATTACAGGCATGAGCCACCACGCCTGGAGTCCTGGCCAACTCTTTATTTGCAGCCTTGTAGAGGACCCAGTTAAGCCATGTCCAGATGGCTGACCCAGAGAAGCTGAGATAATAAATGTGTTTTGTTTTAAAATGCTAAGTTTGTAGTAATATTTTCACATAGCAATAGAAAACTAACACATGACCGGGCATGGTGGCTCACACCTGTAATCCCAACACTTTTGGAAAGCTGAGGCTGAAGGATCGCTTGAGCTCAGGAGTTCAAGAGCAGCCTGGGCAACATGGTGAAACCCTGTCTCTACAAAAAAATGTAAAAATTAGCTGGGCGTGGTGGCGCACGCCAGTAGTCCCAGCTACTCAGTAGGCTAAAGCAGGAGGATTGATTGAACCTCAAGAGTTTGAGGCTACAGTGAGCTATAATCGTGCCACTGCATTCCAGCAGCCTGCGTGACAGTGCAAGACCCCGTCAAAGGAAAGGAAAAGGAGAAGGAGAAGCAGAAGGAGAAGGAGAAGGAGAGAGAGAAAGAAAGAGAAGGAGAGAAGGAAAGGAAAGGAGAAGGAGAAGGAGAGAGAGAAAGAAAGAGAAAGAGAGAAGGAAAGGAAAGGAGAAGGAGAGAGAAAGAGAAAGAGAGAAGAAAAGGAAAGGAAAGGAAGAAAGAAAACCTAACACATAATGGAAGTATGAAAACACTTGAATCATGTATTGAAGCTGCTAAAAGAAAATAACCGCCAACCTATAATTATAAACCCAGTGAAAATAGCTTTAAAAATAAAGGTGAAAGCACTAATCATAAAGGAAATGATTGATAAATCAGATACTAACATTAAAATCTGTTCATCGAGGCCGGGCATGGTGGCTCATGCCTGTAATCCCAGCACTTTGTGAGGCCTAGGCAGGCAGATCACTGGAGATCAGGAGTTCAAGACCAGCCTGGCCAATTTAGTAGAGACAGTGAAACCCCATCTGTACTAAGAATACAAAAATTAGCTGGGCATGGTGGCACACGCCTGTAATCCCAGCTACTCAGGAGGCTGAGGCAGGAGAATCGATTGAACCCGGGAGGAGGAGTGTGCAGTGAGCCGAGATTGTGCCATTGCACTCCAGCCTGGGTGACAGAAAGAGACTCCATCTCAAAAAAAAAAAAAGAAAAAAAATCTGTTCATTGAAAGATGCTATTAAAAGGGCAAAAAGGCAAGCCACAGAATAAGAGAAGACATTTGCAATATTTTAGCAGGTAAAGAGCTAATATCCAGAATATATAAAGAACTGCCACAAATCAATAAGAAAAAGGCACAGTCTAATAGAAAAATGGGCAAAAGACTAAACAGCCAATTTACAAAACAGAGTATCTAATTAGCCAACAAGTATGTGAAAATGTTCTTAACCTCATTAATCATATAGAAATGTCAAACTAAAACTAGAATTGTTTACTACTAACACTCAAAAAATAGTTTAACTTTTTTTTTTTTTTTGAGACGGAGTCTTGTTCTTTCGCCCAGGCTGGAGTGCAGTGGCGTGATCTCGGCTCACTGCAACCTCCACCTCCCGGGTTCAAGCGATTCTCTTGCCTCAGCTGGGATTACAGGCACCTGCCACCACGCCTAGCTAATTTTTGTATTTTTAGTAGAGACAGGGTTTTACCATGTTGGCGAGGCTGGTCTTAGACTCTTGACTTCAAGTGATCCACTCACCTCAGCCTCCCAAAGTGTTAGGATTACAGGCATGAGCCCCTGTGCCCAGCCTAAAAAAATTTTTAATAGCAATACCAAGGATTTATGAGAAGGTGGAGCAACGGGAACTCTCACACACATAGCTGATGAAAGTGTAAATTAAAACACTCATTTTGGAAAACTTTTTGTAGATTTTTCTAAAGTTGAACATACTAGCAATTTTAGTCCTACATATCCACTTTACATAAATGCACACATATGCATACTAAATAACATGTATGAGAATGTACATAGCAGTTTTATTCATAAGAACGCCAAGTAGAAGCAACACAAATGTCCATCAACAGTAGAATGGGTAAATAAAACAATGAAGTATTCTAAAGTAGGGCACTATTGCCATTTTGGGTGAGATAACTTTTTGCTGTGAGGGGCTAACCTGTGTATACCAAATACTATTTAGCAGCGCCACTGTCCTCTACCCACTAGACTGCAGTACAACTAGCACTACCCTAGCTGTGACAACCAACAATGTCTCCAGAGATTGTCGAATGTCCCCAAGGGAGATTAAATCATCACCAATTCCCACCCCCAAGAATCACTGCTCTAAAGTCAACAGAAATAAACTAACTTCTGCTACGGGCAACGTTATAGACAAATGTCAAATACGTAATGTGTGAAAGTGGCTAGGCACAAAAGTACATGCTGTCTGATTTCATTTAAATAAAGTTCTAAAACAGGAAATACTAATCAACATAATACAACTTGGGATCTTCATGACTTTGGGAGAAGGTACTGACTGGGAGGGGACATAAGAAAGGTGGTCTCCGGCCGGGTGCCGTGGCTCACGCCTGTAATCCCAGCACTTTGGGAGGCCAAGGCGGGCGGATTACCTGAGGTCAGAAGTTTGAGACCAGCCTGGCCAACATGGTGAGACCCCGTCTCTACTAAAAATACAAAAATTAGCAGGGCGTGGTGGAACACGCCTGTAATCCCAGCTACTCGGGCTGAGACAGAAGAATTGCTTGAGCCTGGGAGACGGAGGTTGCAGTGAGCCGAGATCTTGGCACTGCACTCCAGCCTGGCCAACAGAGTAAGACTTTGTCTCAAAAAAAAAAAAAAAAAAAAAAAAAGGTGGTTTCTGATGATACTTTATATGAACCCTAATCTGGGTAATATTTCCAGGGGTGTGTTACTTTGTGAAAGTTTATCAAGCCATACCCTTCTGGTTTTGCTATATATACTCTGCTTTAAAGAAAGGTTACTCAAGAATATATGTTTGTGAATCTGGAGATGAGGAGAGACATAATTCTAGAATATGAAGCAAATGTTAAAATGTTACTCTAAAAAATACAAACAGTAGGGAATCTGACATCTCAATTTGGAAGAGAAAGAAAAACTGAGCTTTGTTAGAACAACAGGTGGCAGGAAAAGAAGTGGCAAAGCTGAGTAAAAAGAAAGAAAAGAAATCTTCTTTCCCCAAAGAATAGAAAGTGAGCTAAAGCAGAAAATTCAACCCAGGACTCGAAGGTAAAAAGCATTTCTACTCTGGCAGAAACTGCTAGTTACTCATGTTAATCCTTCCTGTCATTCTTCCTTAACTAACAGAATCGCAAATTTATTCTGTGCAACAATTTGACCACTAAAACACTACATTTTCTAGCCCTTCTCGCAAGTAACCTTTTTCAAACTGATGTGGACACGATTGCTGATGCTGCAGCAGCCATCATATAACCATAAGGTGACCTTGAGGAGGGAAATGTAGTGGAGCACAAAGAAGGAACTTTGAATCCCTGATGACTATAGAGGCTGCCACCTCCAACCTGGACTGCCTGCCTCTGGTATTTTACATAAAAGAGAAATAAACCTCTCTTTTGCTTAAACCATGTTTTTTGTGTTTTCTGTCACATGCAGCTAAATGCAATTCAAAACTGACACAGTGACCCAGAGCTGCATGTGACAGAAAACACAAAAACATGGTTTAAATAAAAAGAGAGGTGTATTTCTCTTTTATGTGATTGCATTTAGCTGCAGATGACAGGAAATATATCAAAAACAGAAAAACATTTGTCTATAATGTTGCATGTAGAAGTCTGGCCAAGAGAGAGCATTGGGAATTATAAACCTGAGCTGATGATCCTTGGCAGCAATAGAACCATAGTTGCCAACACAGCACAGCACAGGGGATGGGGCAGAGACAACAAAGTATCAAGAAGAATCCCGAATCTTTATACACATAGGAGGAAAACATGGACACTGAATGTGTACCATGTATTAAAAATGCATTAGGCAGTCACAGTGGCTCACGCCTGTAATCCCAGCACTTTGGGAGGTGATTACACTTTGTAATCACCTGAGGTCAGGAGTTCCAGACCAGCCTGACCAAACATGGCGAAATCCCGTCTCTACTAAAAATACAAAAATTAGCTGGGTGTGGTGGTGGGCGCCTGTAATCCCAGCTTCTGGGAGGCTGAGACAGGAGAATTGCTTGAACCAGGAAGGCGGAGGTTGCAGTGAGCTGAGACCGTGCCATTGCAATCCAGCCTAAGCAACAAGAGCAAAACACCATCTCAAAAAAAAAAAAAAGTGTATATTTTTGGATTTGAATAGCTAAAAGTCTAGAGGGATACACTCCAATGAGAGTAGTTACCCTTAGGGAGTAGAATTGGAGATAGGAGTGGAAATAATCTTAGACTTTTTTTTTTTTTGAGATGGAGTCTTACCCTATTGCCCAGGCTGGAGTGCAGTGGTGCAATCTTGGTTCACTGCAACCTCCGCCTCCTGGGTTCAAGGGATTCTCCTGCCTCAGCCTCCCAAGTAGCTGGGATTACAGGCACCCGCCACCATGCCCAGCTAATTTTTTGTATTTTTAGTAGAGACGGGGTTTCACCATCTTGGACAGGCTAGTCTTGAACTCCTGACCTCGTGATCCACTTGCTTCGGCCTCCCAAAGTGCTGGGATTACAGGCGTGAGCCACTGCGCCCGGCCTGATCTTAGACTTTTAAGTTTTATATATTTTAGAATTGTTGGAAATGCTTACAATAGGCAGGTATTTTTGTGGTTAAAAGTTGTTTGGAGTTTTTGTTGTTGTTGTTGTTTTATGAAATTTGTTGTTTTACATTTGAGGAGCTTGGGTATCTCCCGTCTAGATTTCTAAAGTAGATAAAAGCTAGCTATAGGGATTGAGGTTTTAATTAGAGTTTAGCCAAAGGTAAGTGATGAGGAGGAAAAATCTTTGGGATGGGAAGTAAGCAATTTGCATTCTGATCTTGACTGGCTGTGACATCTGGGCCGTCGTTTTACTTCTTTGGGCCTTAGTTTCCTTGTCTGTAAGACTAAAATTTGCACTGGACAGTCCCTTCCAGCCTGACATTCTGTAAATTTATAAATTGCCTCTCTGAGATTGAGGGGAAATTCTTATTTATCTTTGTAACTCCTCTTCTAACACATAGTGCTTATTAATACTTGTTAAGAAATGAGTGAGTGATGTGTGAGGACGGTAAGGCAGCTGTGATATCCATTTTGACATCGCAGAATTTACATGATGTCTTTAAAGATCATATTGCTAAGTAGCATAAGGGCTAGGTTTCCTGTTCGGTGTCTGAATATGCTGCAGAAAATCTGGATCCTGAAAAAGTAGAGAGAGCAATTCTCTCTCCCAACACTGTGGAGGCAGCCTGTCAGCCCACAACTGCTGCTGCAGAATTTAAAGGAAACCAAAAATGTGAGAGCAGGGTACTGCAAGATAAGTCTAAAAATATACACCTGCACAACGTGAGAGGAAGCTGCGCTAGGATCAGAAGGACGTCCATGCATCATGGTACTAAATAAAGCTGACAGACTGCCCTCTTTGGGTGGCATCTCATCTAACCCACAACATCAGCAATCCAGACACAGGGTCACAGCCAGCCTGCAGTGAGCCATCTGTCACGTGCTCCTATGACAATCCACAAGAAAAAGTTCTCCTGGCAATCAAACAAGTTCCAAGGACATTTACACACAATCCTCAGTCCACTCTTAAAATAGCTGCACATTTTCACAAGGGATATCTTTTCATTCATGATGCACTTCTTATCCAATATTGAGCTTCGCATGCTTCCCATGGAACAGAGGCTGTCTCAATTTATTCTATTCTAATGGTAACTTGACCCCTTGCCTAGGCTGCGAGTTCTTAATTAAGTAGCAGCCAACACAAATCTCTTGACTGTATTGCCCCTCCCGCAGGCAGAACTTCGGGGCAAAGAAAGTCTTGGGCTTCAATATACAATGGTTCCTAGATTTGTGCCATCCTGTCTGATCTGCTCAGACAACTGAATTTGGGAAAGAAAGTTTCATAGACTTAGACATAGGGGCCTAATGAAGCAGAACGGTCAAAACGAGGTCTCTAAAGCTGGCTTAAGACAGACACAACTACACACAATATACGATCCTGGATTGGGAAAACAACTGTTATAAAGTGCATTACAGGCCGGGCATGGTGGCTCACGTCTGTAATCCCAGCACTTTGGGAGGCCGAGGCAGGGAGATCACCTGAGGTCAGGAGTTCGAGACCAGCCTAGTCAACATGGTGAATCCCCATCTCTATTAAAAATACAAAAAAATTTAGCCAGGCATGGTGGTGGACACCTGTAATCCCAGCTACTCGGTAGGCTGAGGCAGGAGAATTGCTTGAACCTGGGAGGCAGAGGTTGCAGTGAGCCAAGATTGTGCCACTGCACTCCAGCCTGGGCAACAAGAGCAAAACTCTGTCTCGAAATAATAATAATAATAATAATAATAACAGTAAGAGCATTACAGAGACAATGGAGAAATTTGAGTATGGATTATATATATTATCAATGTTAACTTGATACTTTTCTTTTTTTTTTTTTTGAGACAAAGTCTCCCTCTTGTTTCCCAGGCTGGAGTGCAATGCCGTGATCTCAGCTCACTGCAACCTCTGATTCCCAAGTTCAAGCAATTCTCCTGCCTCAGCTTTCTGAGTAGCTAGGACTACAGGCGCTTGCCACCATGCCCGGCTAATTTTTGTATTTTTAGTAGAGACGGGGTTTCACCATGTTGGCCAGGCTGGTCTCGAACTCCTGACCTCAGGTGATCCACCCTCCTTGGCCTCCTAAAGTGCTGGGAATACAGGCATGAGCCACCATGCCCAGCCCCCAAATTGATAACATTTAGTAATATTGTATCAATGTTAAATTCCCTGTTTTTGATCATTTCACAGTGGTTATCTCAGAATGTCTCTGTTCTTAGGAGACAAGTGGAGAAGTATTTAGGAGTAACGTGGTGGTTCTCTACAGTCAGACATGCAGTGTAGGGATCAGAAGTGGAGACAAAAATATGGAGGCTCCTCCCTCTCACGCCACCATCTCCCCATAAATGTGTGTGTATTTGATGTTTCCAAGATATATGCAGGTTAGAGACCTAGAAATGGAATTATAGCAAAAATTTTAATTTTGGACTGCCTTAAATGTTTGCTTGTCCACACCCCACATTCCTCCCGGCACATCAAGGCAAAGAGACAGAAGGTCCTTGGAGCAGCTGCCCCTGTCTCCTCCAGGATCTACTCCACTCCTCTGTGCTCTCTGGACCCAGCTTTCCTGGCTTCCTGACGAGCTGCACTCCCTATCCCACCACCTTTTTTATAACTCCAAATGTTATTGGAACAAGTAAGCAAAGGAGATTCACTTTAGATTCTGGAGGCAAGAAAATATTATGAATAATGCAATCTCTATTTATTTAAAAATTTACATAACATGGCAAATTTCCTAGTCTTTTCAAAGAACCAACTTTTGGTTTGTTTATCCTCTCCTTTGTGTTTATTTTCCATGTCATTATTATTATAACTCCAAATGTTATTGGAACAAGTAAGCAAAGGAGATTCACTTTAGATTCTGGAGGCAAGAAAATATTATGAATAATGCTATCTCTATTTATTTAAAAATTTACATAACATGGCAAATTTCCTAGTCTTTTCAAAGAACCAACTTTTGGTTTGTTTATCCTCTCCTTTGTGTTTATTTTCCATGTCATTATTATTATTTTTTGAGTCAGGGTCTCACTCTATCACCCAGGCTGGAGTACAATGGCACAGTCTTGGCTCACTGCAACCTCCTCCTCCTGGGCTCAAGTGATCCTCCCACCTCAGCCTCCCAAGTCGCTGAAACTAAAGGCACCAGCTGCCACACACAGCTAATTTTTGGTATTTTGGTAGAGGCAGGGTTTCCTAATGTAGTTCAGGCTGGTCTCAAATTCCTGAGCTCAAGCGATCCTCCTGCCTCAGCCTCCCAAAGTGCTGGGATTACAGGTGTGAGCCACTGCACCCAGCCCCCATTAATCATTTTGTTACCGTTTCTTGGTCAATGTTTTTTTGTTTGTTTGTTTTTTGTATTTTGGTTTTTTCTGAGACAGAGTTTCGCTCTTGTTGCTAAGGCTGGAGCGCAATGGCGCAATCTCGGCTCACTGCAACCTCCATCTCCTGGGTTTAAGCGATTCTCCTGTCTCAGCCTCCTGAGTAGCTGGGATTACAGACGCATGCCACCACACCCAGCTAATTTTTGTATTTTTAGTAGAGACGGGGTTTCATCATATTGGTCAGGCTGGTCTCAAACTCCTGACCTCAGGTGATCCACCAGTCTTGGTCTCCCAAAGTGCTGGGATTACAGGTGTGAGCCACTGGGCCCAGCCTGGTCAATGTTTTTTATATTTACCCACATACACATATTTGCCACATTCTTTGCAGTTTATTCTCCATTGTGTTCCAGGCCTTCAATCTGGAATCATTTTCCTTCTGATAATTTTTTTTTTTTTTTAGAATTTCCATTAATGTAGGTCTGCTGGGTGTTTTTTAATTTTTTAAATTATTTATTTATTTATTTATTTATTGAGACAGTCTCACTCTGTCACCTAGGCTAGAGTGCAGTGGTGGCACAATCCCGGCTCACTGCAACCTTGTCCTCCCAAGTTCAAGCGATTCTCTTGCCTCAGCATCCCAAGTAGCTGGGACTACAGGTGCGTGCCACAATCCCCAACTAATTTTTCTATTTTTAGTAGACACAGGTTATCACCATGTCGGCCAGATTGGTCTTGAACTCCTGACCTCAGGTGATCCACACGCCTTGGCCTCCCAAAGTGTTGGGATTACAGGAGTGATCCACTGAGCCCGGACTTTTTGTTTGTTTCAGAGACAAGGTCTTGTTCTGTTGCCCAGGCTGGAGCTGCAGCCTCAACCCC
The DNA here is from genome assembly GCF_000001405.40 of Homo sapiens. Lineage (NCBI taxonomy): Eukaryota > Metazoa > Chordata > Mammalia > Primates > Hominidae > Homo > Homo sapiens. The sequence continues at coordinate 46,132,060 of NC_000018.10, read as the reverse complement.
CTGGGCTCAAGCAATCGAGTAGCTAGGACTATAGGAAGGTACCGGCATGCCCAGCTAATTTAGATCTGCTCTTAATAAACTGTCTCTGTTTGTTTGTTTGATGTCACTTTACTTGAATTCTTTTTTTCTTCTTCTTCTTTTTTTTTTTGAAACAGAATCTTGCTCTGTTGCCCAGGCCGGAGTGCAGTGGCAGGATCTTGGCTCACTGCAACCTCTGCCTCCCGGGTTCAAGCGATTCTCCAGGCTCAGCCTCCAGAGTAGCTGGGATTACAGGCATGCATTACCATGTTTGGCTAATTTTTGTATTTTTAGTAGAGACGGGGTTTCGCATGTTGGCCAGGATGGTCTCAAACTCATGACCTTGTGATCTGCCCACCTCAGCCTCCCAAAGTGCCTGGTTTTTTGTTTTGTTTTGTTTTTTAATGAGACAGGGTCTTGCTGTTGCCCAGGCTGGAGTGCAATGGCACGATGTTGACTCACTGCAATCTCTGTCTCCCGGGTTCAAGCGATTCTCCTGCTTCAGCCTCCCGAGTAGCTGGGATTATAGGCACCAACCACCATGCCTGGCTAATTCTTATTTTATTATTATTATTATTTTTTGAGGCGGAGTTTCACTCTTTCACCCAGGCTGCAGTGAAGTGACTTGATCTCGGCTCACTGCAACCTCTGCCCCCGGGGGTTCAAGCGATTCTCCTCCCTCAGCCTCCCGAATAGCTGGGATTGCAGGCGCTTGCCACCATACCTGACTAATTTTTTTGTATTTTTAGTAGAGACGGGGTTTTGCCATGCTGGCCAGGCTGGTCTCGAATTCCTGACCTCAGGTGATCCACCCTCCTCAGTCTCCTAAAGTGCTAGGATTATGGGCATGAGCCACTGTGCCTGGCCTTAATTATTGTATTTTTAGTAGAGACAGGTTTCACCATATTGGCCAGGCTGGTCTGGAACTCCTGACCTCAGGTTATCTGCCCACCTCAGCCTTCCAAAGCGCTGGGATTACAGGCGTGAGCCACCGCGCCCAGCCTTGTTTCGTACTCTTTTCTTTGCACACTTATCCTACTTAGAATTTGATAGACTCTTTGAACCTGTGTGAAATGGCTTTGTGATGTGTCAACTTGGGTAAACTACAGTTTATAGATTTCTCTTCCTAGCATGTTTCCAGTTAGAATGGGTTACAAGGGAGATTCATGAGGCTTGGAGAGTGGAAGGACAGCAGAAGACACTTTGTAGCATACATACACCTTCTCCCAGTTACTCCATCATACATTAGTCAGGTGTTGCCGTACAAGGAATTTATTTATTTATTTATTTATTTATTTATTTATTTATTTATTTATTTTTGAGACAGAGTCTCGCACTATTGCCCGGGCTGCAGTGCAATGGTGCAATCTCGGCTCACTGCAACCTCCGCCTCCCAGGTTCAAGCGATTCTCCTGCCTCAGGCTCCCGAGTAGCTGGGATTACAGGCACCTGCCACCACGCCTGGCTATTTTTTTTGTATTTTTAGTAGAGATGGGGGTTTCACTGTTAGCCAGGCTAGTCTCGAACTCCTGACCTCATGATCCACCTGCCTCGGCCTCCCAAAGTGCTGGGGTTACAGGCGTGGGCCATCATGCCTGGCATAGAAATTTTTAAATATAATTAATGTTTCAAATCAGTTGAGCTTCTGGCTTGGGCTTGCTTGGTTGATCTCTGCAGTTTGCTGGTGGCTCAATTGGAACTAGATGGCCTAAGACCTCATTCACATATCTAGCAATTGGCAGCCAGTTTTGTCTTAAGGGTTGGGGGCAAGGTTCAGTTGGAATTACTGTCTCTGCTTCATGTAGTTTCTTTTTTTTTGAGACAGAGTCTTGCTCTATTGCTCAAGTGGTGCAATCTTAGCTCACTGCAACCTCCACCTCCAGAGTTCAGGTGATTCTCCTGCCTCAGCCTTTCAAGTAGCTTGGACTACAGGTGTGCATCACCACGCCCAGCTAATTTTTGCAATTTTAGTAGAGACGGGGTTTCACCATGTTGCCCAGGCTGGTCTTGAACCCCTCACCTCAAATAATAGGCCCGCCTTGGCCTCCCAAAGGGCTGGGATTACAGGCATGAGCCACCATGCCAGGCTGTTCATATAGTTTCTTCTCCTCCAACAGACCTGTCCAGGCTTCTTTAAATGGTGGTTTTGGAATTCCAAAGAGAAGTAAGGAAGTAAGAGAGAGCAAGCCCCAATGCATAGTTTATATTCCTTTGCTTTTGTCACATCTGCTGTTGTCTCATTGGCCGAAACAAGTCATAGGGCCAAGCCAGATACAGCAGGTGGAGTATAGATTCTCCTTTGATGGGAGAAAGAGCCACGTCATGTTACAAAGGGGTGAGTGCATAGAGATGAGAAGAATTATTGTGGTCATTTCCACAATCAATCTATCAAATTGCCTTATGAAGAGCACTGCAATTAAGTCAAATGACAAACTTGGAAAAATATTTGCAAGTCCAATCACAAAAGATTAATTTAGCTAATACATAAGAAGCTTCTATAAATTGTTAACAAAAAGACCAAAAGCTAATACACAAATGGCAAAAGGATATGGACAGTTTCCAAAAGAAAATACAAATGTCTTTTTCTGGCTGACAGCAAGGGAAAGGAAAAAAGAAAAAAGCTTTAAAGACATTGAAATAATTTTTTTAAAGCTGATTGTTTTTTAATTGCATGGTACAAAACTTTAAAAGGCACAAAAAGGTACAGTGAAAAATCTCCTCCTGTACTACATTTATCATGTCCTTTGATTTTACTTACAATAGATTTTGCCATGCAGGTATTTTTATTATTTCAAAATATTTAAATAGGCCAGGCGCGGTGGCTCATACCTGTAATCCCAGCACTCTGGAAGGCCAAGGCGAGCAGATCACTTACGGTCGGGAGTTCGAGACCAGCCTGGTCAACATGGTAAAACCCCATCTCTACTAAAAATACAAAAATTAGCTGGTGTGGTGGTGCACGCCTGTAGTCCCAGCTACTTGAGAGGCCAAGGCACGAAAATCGCTTGTACTTGGGAGATGGAGGCTGCAGTGAGCCAAGATCATGCCATTGCACTCCAGCCTGGGAGACAGAGCAAGACTCTGTCTTAAAACAAAACATTTAAATATTTTAAGCACTTATTTATGGCACCTGGGTTCTGGTCATACATTTCTGACTCACAATTATTTAAAAATCAAACATTAGGCTGGGTGCAGTGGCACATACCTGTGGTGTCAGGTACTCAACAGGCTGAGGTGGGAAGATTGCTTGAGTCCAGGATTTTGAGGCCAGCCTGGGCAATATAGCGAGAACCTGTCTCTTAAAAAGAAGCCAAAACGTTAAAACTTCCCTTCAATTTCTTCTAGTACCTTTATTTTCAAATTTTTTATATTTAAATCTTTGATTCTTTGGATTATCCTGACATAAGGTGTGAAGTATGGACCTAATACCAAGGGTTGAATTATCCATCTTTCTACTACTGATTTAAAAGGTCATCTTTTTCATAAACTAAATTCCTGCATATATTAACATTTGGAGGCAGGCAGTGAGCTGATCAAAAAGAATGACAGCAAACCCCTGGAGAAAGAAGAGAGTGGGAGAAACATACTGGAGCTGTGGAACCTTTCCTTTTCACTTTAGCTGACCTAATGAATACATGCACAACTGTTGTAATGTTTGCCTTGTAGAGCTACTGAAGGATGCTTAACCACCAACCACACAGAAACAAAGTAAGAGAAAAGGCTTTTTAATATGAAAACTATGTATTTGGGCACAAAAATGCAACACACAGTAAGAAACCATATTCTATCAATTATGATATTCTGTAATCTAAGAACACAGAAAGTTTTGTTATTAGGAAATGCCAAGAGGAAAAAGAACTCTGTAAAGTCCTATTCAATTTACTTTGTTAGGGAAAAGGATGTTTATTTGGCTTTTGTCACAGTTCCATCATGTCTACTCTTCTTGTAAGTTCAGCTTCAATGCTATCCTACAGGAAGAAAGACATACCATAGATAAGGACATAAAACAGATGCTCTAACTTTTATTTAATGTTATTTAAAATAAGGGAAGCAAAAAAGGAAACATTAGAACAAAAAATTTTAAAAATACCATTATGAATATCAAATATGCTTTTAGATATTCCCTTGTTTTTACATCTCCCCTCTTCCCCTGCAAAAGCACTCAGACTCCTAAGTGATTCTAAGAAATATGTGAAGGGAAGGGAAAAAAGCCTTTAGAGAGAGAGAAATCTGTAACGACATATGAATAAATTTTTCTGGCCTTTGCTACTAAAACAATGTGCTTCCACAATGTCACTCACATCACCTCTTTTCTGTGTTTTTTTTTTTTTTTTTGAGATGCAGTCTCACTCTGTCGCCCAGGCTGGAGTACAGTGGGACAATCTCGGCTCACTCTGCAATCTCTGCTTCCCGGGTTCAAGCAATTCTCTACCTCAGTCTCCCGACTAGCTGAGATTACAGGCGCCCACCACCATGCCCGGCTAATTTTTTTTGTATTTTTAGTAGAGATGGGGTTTCACCATCTTGGCCAGGTTAGTCTTGAACTCTTGACCTTTTGATCCACCCACTTGGCCTCCCAAAGTGCTGGGATTACAGGTGTGAGCCACTGCACCTGGCCTCTTTTCCATTTTCATTGCCACTGTCCTCATTACTTCTTATCTGGCCTAAATAAGCTAATTGGTTTCTGCAATTTTCTTTCTCCCAATCTACCCTCAACAGTGGCTACAGAATAATCTTCTGAAGCACTAACCTGATCAAAAAGTATAGCTTTGGCCAGGCACGGTGGCTCATGCCTGTAATGCCAGCACTTTGGAAGGCCAAAGCAGGTGGATTACTTGAGGTCAGGAGTTGGAGACCAGCCTGGCCAACATGGTGAAACCCCGTCTCTACTAAAAAAATACAAAAATTTGGCCGCGCACGGTGGCTCACGCCTGTAACTCCAGCACTTTGGGAGGCTGAGGCGGGTGGATCACCTGAGGTCAAGAGTTCAAGACCAGCCTGGCCAACATAGCAAAACCCCGTCCTACTAAAAATATAAAAATTAGCCAGGCGTGGTGGCAGGTGCCTGTAGTTCCAGCTACTCAGGAGGCTGAGACAGGAGAATCACTTGCACCAGGGAGGTGGAGGTTGCAGTGATCTGAGATCATGCCATTGCAATCCAGCCTGGGCAACAGAGCAAGACTCCATCTCAAAATAATAAATAAATAAATAAATAAATAAATAAATAAATAAATAAATAAAAATGCAAAAATTAGCCAGGCATGGTGGTACACACCTGTAATCCCAGCTGCTCAGGAGGCTGAGGCATGAGAATTGCTTGAACCTGGGAGGCGGAGGTTGCAGTGAGCTAAGATAACGCCACTGCACTCTAGTCTGGAGGACAGAGCAAGATTCTGTCTCAAAAAAAAAAAAAAGAAAGCATAGCTTTGATCATATTTCTCTTGAGCTTAAAAAACAAGGAAACACACAGCAGCTTTCTGTGGTCCCTACATCCTCTAAGTTCAACACTCTTTATATGTTAAGGCCTTCTACATCATGAACCAATTGACCTTTTCCAACTTTATCTTACATTTCATGTTTCTAAGCAGCCGGACTTTATCACTTGCTACAGCTTGAGTAAGTCCTCCATGTTTCAGCTTATATGCCTTTGCAAATTCTTTTTGCCTAGAATATTCTATATCTCTCAATATATTCCCCTTTTTCCACTAGGGAAATGTACACAAAATTTTAAAAGGCATAAAATACTACTATGTGTTTTTTTGTTTTTTGAGAGGGAGTCTTGCTCTGTCCCCCAGGCTGGAGTGCAGTGGCGTGATCTCAGTTCACTGCAACCTCCACCTCCCAGGTTCAAGTGATTCTCCTGCCTCAGCCTCCCAAGTAGCTGGGATTACGGGCACGCATCACCACGCCCAGCTTATTTTTGTATTTTTAATAGAGACAGGGTTTCCCCATGTTGGCCAGGCTGGTCTTGAACTCCTGACCTCAGATGCCACCCACCTTGGCCTCCCAAAGTGCTGGGATTACAGGTGTGAGCCACTGTGCCCAGCTACTATATGTTTCTTAATGGAAAAAATATATACACACGTACACAGCCAAAAAAGTATTAAAAGATGCAGGAGAATGATACACAGTAACTTTAGGACTGCAGCTTACCACTGAGGAGAAAGGAAAGAAGGATGAAGAAGACTTTAGCTATATTAGCATTTATTTTCTTTTTAAAAAAATCTGAAAAAATTACAGGAACTACTTACTAGTTCTCGCTTTGCTTCTTCAATTTTCACTTGAGCAAGAGACGGATTCTTTAAAAAAAAATAAAACAAGGAAAGGTTATATTGCCTCAATTCAGACCCAAGGAGAAAAATAATGCCATAATCCTTTTCAAAAGGCAAAAATCCTCCCAGAGGGATACCCAATGTACATATAACACTGAAATTTACCACTGACTTTAAACCTTTAAAAACCAACACATTATTTTCTTTCTTTTTTTTTTTTTTTTGAGACAGAGTCTCACTCTGTTGCCCAGGCTGGAGTGCAGTGGCTCAATCTCAGCTCACTGCAGCCTCTGCCTCCTGGGTTCAAGCGATTCTCCTGCCTGTCTCCTGAGTAGCTGGGATTATAAGCGCCCACCACCACGCCCTGCTAATTTTTGTATTTTTAGTAGAGACGGGGTTTCACCATGTTGGTCAGGCTGGTCTCAAACTCCTGACCTCGTGATCTGCCCGTCTCGGCCTCCCAAAGTGCTGGGATTACAGGCATAAGCCATCATGCCCAGCCTTTTTTTTTGAGATGGAGTCTTGCTCTGTTGAGCAGGCTGGAGTGTGGTGGCACGATCTTAGCTCACTGAAATCTCTGCCTCCCAGGTTCAAGTGATTCTCCAGCCTCGGCCTCCTGAGTAGCTGGGACTACAGTTGCGCACCACTGGGTCCAGCTAATTTTTGTATTTTTAGTAGAGACGGGGTTTCACCATATTAGCCAAGCTGGTCTCTAACTCCTGACCTCAGGTGATCAGCCTGCCTTGTCCTCCCAAAGTGCTGGGATTACAGGCGTGAGCCACCGTGCCTGGCCTAAACACACTATTTTCATGGTCATATAGTACCCTCAGGGAAGGTTGGAGGAAATAATTGTTTTTTAATTCGCGAAAATTATTACCGGCATTAAGTCTAAATAGGACTCCAATTTTTTCTTCAAAGGTATAGTCTGTTGCTTTAATCTTGCCAGTTTCTGGGGGTAAAAGAACACAGTCACAGAGTAATAGAAACATTCACAATGCAACTAATACTGTCCATTTCTGAAATAAAACACAACAAAGCATTAACATTAGTATATTTTAAATAACGTTATCGAATAAAAAGCTTCAAAGATAGACAAACTCACTCCAAATGGAAACAACACCTGTTAGATGCTTAAAATAGGAAAGTTATAGTCTTATTTAATTATTATTATTATAATTTTTTTTTGAGATGGAGTCTTTCTGTGTTGCCCAGGCTGGAGTGCAGTGGTACAATCATGGCTTACGGTGGCCTCAAACTCCTCAGCTCAACCAATCTTCCCACTTCAGCCTTCCAGGTAGCTGGGACCACAGGCGTGCACCACCATGCCTGGCTAATTTTTTTTTTTTTTTTTTTTGAGATAGAGTCTTGCTCTGTCACCCAGGCTGGAGTGCAGTGGCACGATCTCGGCCCACTGCAACCTCCGCCCCCTGAGTTCAAGTGATTCTTCTTTCTCCTGCCTCAGCCTCCTGAGTAGCTGGGATTACAGGCATGTGCCACCATGCCTGGCTAATTTTTGTATTTTTAGTAGAGATGAGGTTTCGCCATTTTGGCCAGGCTGGTCTCAAACTCTTGGGCTTAAGTAATCTTCCTGCCTCTGCCTCCCAAAGTACTGGGATTACAGGTGTGAGCCACCATGCCTGGCCTTTGCTCCCATTTATTAACAATAGGATTGAAGTATGCTGTCTTAGAATAGAAAAGAATGTGATTAAGAGGAATCAAAACATAAAGGAGGCTGGGTGTGGTGGCTTACACTTCTAACCCCAGCACTTTGGGAGGCCAAGGTGGGAGGATCACTTGAGCCCAGGAGTTTGAGACCAGCTTGGGCAACATAGCAAGACCCCCATCTCTATTTATAAAAACAAGGGGAAAAAAATGTAAAGGGAGAACTAGAATCCCAAATACATATTTATGAATTGTCAACATTAGATTCCAAGAACAAAGTATGAAAAACGTTAAGAATAATAAAACAAAACAAAACCCTCTATTTCTCTCTTCCCACCAAAACAGGTAAAACCTTTATATAACCTAAAATCCCAGAATTGCATTTGGTAACTACAGGAGTTTGGAGACCTGCATTTTACTGTCTACTGAAAGAGAAGAAAGGGGAGCACCTAGATGATTAGCTCATGGTCCTTCAATAAATTTGTTTAATAAATACATCAATAATACATAAGTGACTCCAGCGGAGTTTCTAACTTATAATAAAAAGGAAACCATGCAAATGTGAGGGCATATACAGCTAAACAAGGAATAAAAGATATAAATACCAGTGAATATAAAGTACAAAGGTAAAGGAAAAGAAATCAGGTCCACAGTGAATAAAAGCCGAATAAAAAGAAACAAATGAAAAAGCAGACTGTGGAGTAAAATTTTAAAGAAAGTTAAATTAGGTTAAAATAAGCTCACCTCTGATAGTGCTACTAAGGACTGATGAGACAGAGAAGCATCCATGCCTCTGGCTGAAAGTTGCTCCTACAATTACCAAAAAAAGGAGTTCAGTTAAAAAATTATTTGAAAAGTGACCACCATCAAATATTTTTCTTTTTCTTCTTTTTTTTTTGAGACCGAGTCTTGCTCTGTCACCCAGGCTGGAGTGCAGTGGCGCGATCTCGGCTCTCTGCAAACTCCGCCTCCCGGGTTCATGTCATTCTCCTGCCTCAGCCTCCTGAGTAGCTGGGACTACAGGCGCCCACCACCACGCCCGGCTAATTTTTTATATTTTTAGTAGAGACGGGGTTTCACTGTGTTAGTCAGGATGGTCTCGATCTCCTGACCTCATGATCCGCCCACCTTGGCCTCCCAAAGTGCTGGATTACAGGCGTGAGCCACCGTGCCCAGCCCATCAAATATTTTTAACATATAACACAGTAAAGAGGAGCTACAAGTATAAATGAAAAACTGTACATGTATCTAAGCATTTGTACGTTACATGTGAATCCTTTCCACACTCACGCATTTGTGACAAGATGGGTGCAGTGTGTAAGGCCTGAGTTTCAGAGCCTGGATGCCTGAGTTTGAATCTAGATCTGCTTACTGTAATAGCTATGTAATCTTGGGCAACTTACCAACTTCTCTATAGTCCTCTCATCTGTAAAAAGGGAATAATAATGCCTAGCTGTGAGGATGATGGTAAAAAATCAGGCCGAAGAGAGCTAACTATATTCGGTCCTTCATACAAACCTCTGCAGCCTTGATTCCAAATCTGAATTCCTCTGACTTTGCTTTTAGAAAGTCCATGTTCTGACGACGATTATCAACTTTGGCCCTTTCTGTAGACAGATGCAACTCTGCTTTCTTGACATCCCTTTAAAAAGCAAAATTAAAAACATTTTCTTCTTCTTCTTCTCAGTAAAAGTATTGTACAATAGAAACTCTACTACTTTTGGATTCAATGCTGGCTTGGCCAAGAGTTGGTAACCAGGTCATCTTCCCCTCCATGTTGCACTCTGGGTTTTTTTTTTTTTTAAGAGATGAGGTCTTGGTCTGTCACCCAGGCTTGAATGCAGTGGTGTGATCACTGCAGCCTCAAGCTCCTTGGCTGAAGTGATCCTCCCACTTCAGCCTCCCAAATAGCCAGGGCTACAGACACATGCCACTATGCCTGGCTAATTTTTAAATCTTTTGTAGATGGCCAGGCACAGTGGCTTACACCTATAATCCCAGCATTTTGGGAGGCCAAGGTGGGCAGATCACCTGAGGTCAGGAGTTCGAGACCAGCCTGGCCAACATGGTGAAACCCTGTCTTTACTAAAAATACAAAAATTAGCCAGGCATGGTGGCATGCGCCCATAATCCTGGCTACTCAGGAGGCTGAGGCAGGAGAATCACTTGAACCTGGGAGGCAGAGGTTGCAATGAGCTGAGATTGTACCACTGCACTCCAGTGTGGGTGGCAGAGTAAGACTCCATCTCAAATAAAAAAAAATAATAAAATAAATAATTTTTTTGTAGAGACAGTCTCACTATGCTGCCCAGGTTTACAACAATTTTACAATTAATGTAAGCCAATTATTCTTGAAGAAAGTAAATCAGCCATTCAAAAAAAAATTGGTGCTCACTTTGGCAGCTCATATACTAAAATTAGAACGACACAGAGAAAATTAGAGTGGCCTCTACTCAAGGAAGATGGGTAAATTTGTGAAGTGTTCCACATTTTGTTTTGTGGCTTATCTAGAAATAATATGGAAAATATTGCTGTTATTTTTGGCAAAGAAAGTCAATTTTGTATAGTTTATTTCAACCTAAATAAACTGTGAATTTTGTTTAAAAAATAATAATAATAATAATAATTTAACATATCTGAAGCCAATTTGAAATAGGAGGTCCTAAATACCTCTGTACTAAATGTGACATGAAGTTCGAGACCAGCCTGGCCAACATGGTGAAACCCCGTCTCTGCTAAAAATACAAAGAAATTAGCTGGGTGTGGTGGCAGGTGCCTGTAATCCCAGCTACTTGAAAGGCTGAGGCAGGAGAATCACTTGAACCCGGGAAGCGGAGGGTACAGTGAGCTGAGATCGCGCCATTGCACTCTAGCCTGGGTGACAAGAGAGAAACTCTGTCTCAACAAAATAAATAAATAAAATAAGTAAATAAATAAATAAAAATAAACGTGACATGACAGTGCCTTGCACATATGTAGTCATTTGTTGAATAAATTTACATACCGTCAAATTACTTGTGCATATATACACATACTCCTGATCTATAGGCCCTAATCTCTGGGGCAAAAAGGAACAGAAAAAGGCCTAAAGTATCATAAGAGGGATACCCTAGCTATAGCAAGAATGCACAACAAAACATAATGTGACTTTAAGTATAAGAAAAATCACATACATTTTGAAAATTCTAAAACCCATATTATTTGTTTTTAAGAAAAGGCAGGAGGCTGGGTGCGGTGGCTCATGCCTGTAATCCTAGCATTTTGGGAAGCCAAGGCAGGTGGACCACTTGAGGTCAGGAGTTCGAGACCAGCCTGGCCAATATGGTGAAACCCTGTCTCTACTGAAAACACAAAAATCAGCTGGGCATGGTGGTGCACACCTGTAGTCCCAGCTACTGGGGAGGCTGAGGCAGGAAACTCGCTTGAACCCGGGAAGTGGAGGTTGCAGTGAGCCAAGACTGCACCATTGCACTCCAGCCTGGGTGTCTCAGCGAGACTCCATCTCAAAAAGAAAAAAAAATAAGGTAAGAAATTGTATGAAGTAAAATTGTATGAAGTAAAAGCTGAAAAAGTCAGGCCGGGCGCAGTGGCTCACGCCTGTAATCCCAGCACTTTGGGAGGCCGAGGCGGGCGGATCACCTGAGGTCGGGAGTTCGAGACCAGCCTGACCAACATGGAGAAACCCCGTCTCTACTAAAAATACAAAATTAGCTGGGCATGGTGGCTCATGCCTGTAATCCCAGCTACTCGGGAGGCTGAGGCGGGAGAATTGCTTGAACCCAGGAGGTGGAGGTTGCAGTGAGCTGAGATCGTGCCACTGTACTCCAGCCTGGGTGACAGAGTGAGACTCCGTTTCAAAAAAAAAAAAAGCTGGAAAAGTCTATATCCAACCATCTCCAGCTCCACTAATCATTCAACTTAAAAAAATGTTTTATGGATCCCATTTCCTAATGTTTTTAAAATCACACCTACTGCCAAAACTAAATTTGACAATGTCCTATTACTCCCTTATTTATAAATTGTCACCACTCTGAACTCAATTACTTACTCTTGTAGACATTTTTCTAATACTAAAGTTGCAGTTAAATTTTTTTCAAGTTTTTCCAGTTCAATCTTGATTTCTTCACTTTTGGATTTGGTACGAAAGAGATCAGAGGTCAAATCATTCACTGCAGGGATAAAACTAAAAGAAGAATCTGGTCATATACATGGGCTTAATGGGCAATAATTATAATTACTCCTCATTGCTAAAAATGACTTTATTGCCCTGTAGATTTTTATATAACCATGCTGTTCATACCTTTATGCCTTTTTTTACACACTGTTCCCATTGCCTGGAATGCCCTTCTTCATTCGGCAAAGTTCCATTTGTTCCTTCAAAACTCAGATGAGCGTCCCTGTCATCCTGGCATTAACTACCTCCTTCTCTGTGCTACCCAGCTATACCTTGTACATACTTTTACTGTTACAGCTGTCACACTATGTTATAGTCACATTTCTATCTCCCTTATTTGACTGTAAGCAGAGACTGTTCTTTAAGGAAGTTACTATCGTATTCATCTCGCTTCCCCAGTTATAACAGAGCTATAGTAAGAAGGCACAAAACATAATGTGACTTTAAGTTGTATGATAGTATGTAAGTATAAAAAAAAAGTTTAAAAAATTCTAAAATACACATTATTTGTAAAAAAAAAAGGCAAGAAATTATATGATTCATCCCTGCTTCCCCAGTGCTTATACAACTAACATACAACTGGTATTTGTTATCTGCTGAACTTATTTAATTCAAGTCTAGATTTCTGCTGCCATACAGTAGGGATGCTCTTATACCTAAAACACTACTCTTTGAGCTTATACATAAATTGCCTTTAAATTGACAGGTAAGCTGTTCTGCTGTGTTGTTCTCTGATTATGATAAGTTGTATTAATATTCGTAGTTCTACCGGGCGCAGTGGCTCACGCCTGTAATCCCAGCACTTTGGGAGGCAGAGGTGGGTAGATCACAAGGTCAGGAGTTTGAGACCAGCCTGGCCAGCATGGTGAAACCCTGTCTCTACTAAAAATACAAAAAAAATTAGCCAGGCATGGTGGCAGGCGCCTGTAATCCCAGCTATTTGGGAGGCTGAGGTAGGAGAATCGCTTTACCCCGGGAGGCGGAGGTTGTAGGGAGCCGAGATCACGCCACTGCACTCCAGCCTGGGTGACAGAATGAGACTCTGTCTCAAAAACAAAAACTAAAACAAAATATTAGTAGTCCTAGCTAAGATATGGCCAAAAGTGGTAGTCATATGAACTTTATAAGACTGGTTTTGAATCTCAGCTCTGCCATTTAGTAGCTCGGATAAATTATTTAACCCACACCTCCTGATTCCTCTAAAGGTTGTTGGAAGAATCATGTTATTATATAAGTAAAATGCCTGTTAAAAAGAATGAAAATTCCTGACCTACTTAACAAAAAGGTAGACATAACCAAAATTTATTATGCTCAACCAAATCATTTAGCCTACTATCTTTCTTATTATACACAGGGAACAATGTGATACTAACCCCTTTCCAAATATACATGAGAACCACCCTTCATAAATCTAATCCTGGAAGAAGAAAACACTAAAAATTAACCAATACCATATTTATCCAAATTAATTATACTCACTGGCAAAGACATGAAGTAACTAAATTCAGTGCTTTGTATTTATTGCCAATTTTTCATATAGAATTATGCTGAGAACAAAAAGTCTTTAAGACCTTATAGCAGATATGATTGCGGAAATTAAAACTGTCATAAGAATTACCTAGCTAGCGAGGTATCCTTTGTTTCAAGGGCCACCGCACTGTCAACCAAAGCATTCAGATACCTGGAACCAGTGCTAGAGAGATTGGCGGGGGAAAAATTCACACTCTCCATGAGAAGGTCTTGAAGATACTTGGCTAAAAACATGAAAGAGTTCCATAGTGACTGTTTGCTTTTTTAAAAATTTTTAACAGCTTTATCAAGACATAATTCACATAGCATATAATCCACCCACCTAAGGTATGTATGTAATTCAGTGGCTTTTAGTTGTATCCCCATCAGTACAACCTATTCTTAAAAACATTTTCATCACTCCAAAAAGAAACTCTACATCCCTTAGTCATCACTTTATTTTTCTTTATTTTTCTTTTTGAAATGGAGTCTCGCTCTGTTGCCCAGGCTGGAGTGCAGTGGCACGATCTCAGCTCACTGCAACCTCCACCCCCCGGGTTCCAGTGATTCTCCTGCCTCAGCCTCCTGAGTAACTGGGATTACAGGCGCCCACCACCATGCCCAGCTAATTTTTTTTGTATTTTTAGTAGAGATGGGGTTTCACCATGTTGGCCAGGCTGGTCTCAAACTCCTGACCTCGTGATCCGCCCACTTTGGCCTCCCAAAGTGCTGGAATTACAAGCGTAAGCCACTGCCCCCGGTTTATTTTTTCTTATAGAGACTAGATCTCGCTAGGTTGCCCAGGCTGACCTCAGGTGATCTGCCAGCCTTGGCCTCCCAAAGTGCTAGGATTACAGGTGTGAGCCACCATACCCGGCCCCCTTAGTCATCACTTCCTAATCTACCAACCCATGAAACCCTAGCAACCACTCCCTGTCTTTATTCATTTGCCTATTTGGGACATTTCATATGAATGGTATCATAAGATGTGTGGTCCTTTGCGACTAGCTTCTCTCACAATAGTTTCAAGGTTCATCCATGCCACAGCATGTACCAGTACTTCATTCCTTCTTATGGCTGAATAATATTCCATTATACGGACATATCACATTTTATTTATCCACTTAACCACTGATGGACATTTGGGTTGTTTCCACATTTTGGCTATTATAAATGCTGCTAAAAACATTTATTCAGTAAATGTTAGGTTTTGATATGAACATATGTTTTCATTTCTCTTGGGTGTAAGTGGAATTGCTGGTCATATGTTAACTCTATGTTTAAACATTTTAGGAACTGTCAGATTGTTTTCCAAAGTGATTGTATGATTTTACATTCCCATTAGAAGTGATGAAGGCTCCAATTTTCCACATCTTCTCCAACAGTTGCAATATGTCTTTTTGATTATAGCCATCCTAGTGACTGTGAAGTGGCACTGTGGTATTTGTTTTCTTGAGACAGGGTCTCACTCTGTCATCCAGGATGGAGAACAGTGGCACGATCTCAGATGATCCTCCCACCTTGGCCTCACAGGTACCTGTGGACCACTATACCTGGCTAATTTTTGTATTTTTTTGTGGAGATGGTGTTTTGCCATGTTGCCCAGGCTGGTCTTGAACTCCTGGACTCAAGCGATCTGCCTGCCTTGGCCTCCCAAAGTGTTGAGATTACAGGCGTGAGCCACTGTGCCCAGCCTAGCACTGTGGTTTTGATTTGAATTTCTCTGATGACTAATGATGCCGTGCTTTGTGACCATTTGTGTATCTTCGTAGGAGAAATGTCTGTGTATACCCCTTGCCCATTTTAAAATTGGGTTGTCTTTTTATTATTGAGGTTTTGGTTTTTTTTGTCGTTATTTTTTTTTTGGGACAGGGTCTTGCTCTGTCACCCAGGCTGGAGTACAATGGTACAATCTCAGCTCACTGCAACCTCCACCTGCTGGGCTCAAGTGATCCTCCCACCTCAGCCTCCCAGGTAGCTGAGACTACAGGTGTGCACCACCATGCCTGGCTAATTTTGGTAATTTTTTAGAGATGTAGTTTCGCCATGTTGCCTAGGCTGACCTCAAACTCCTGGGCTCAAGCAGTCTGTCTGCCTCAGCCTCCCAAAGTGGTGGGATTACAGGTGTGAGCCACTGTGCCCAGGCTTTATTATTGAGTTGTAAGAGTTCTTTACATGTTGTAGATACAAGTCCCATATCAGATATATTTACAAATATTTTCTCCCATTCTGAGGACTGTCTCTTTTCATATTCTTTCTTTCCTTTCTTCCCTTTCTTTCTTTCCTTTTTCCCCCTCCCCTCCCCTTCCCTTCCCTTTTTCTGAGACAGTCTCGCTCTGTTGCTCAGGCTGGAGTGCAGTGGCACGATCTCGGTTCACTGCAACCTCTGCCTCCCAGGTTCAAGTGATTCTCATGCCTCAGCCTCCCAAGTAGATGGGATTACAGGCATGTGCCACCACACCCAGCTAATTTTTGTATTTTTAGTAGAGACAGGGTTGGCCAGGCTGGTCTTGAACTTGAGACTCAGGTGATCCACCTGCCTCAGCCTCCCGAAGTGCTGAGATTATAGGTGTGAGCCACAATGCCCAGCCTGTCTTTTCATATTCTTGATGGTGTCCTTTGAGAACAAAAGTTTTAAATTTTGATGATGTCTAATTTATATACTTTTTATTTTGTTTGCTTGTGCTTTTGGCATCATATCCAAGAAACCAATGCCAAATCCAAGGTTACAAGGGTATATACCTTTGTTGCCTTCTATGCATTTTAGGTTTAGCTCATATTTTTTAGGCTTTTTTTTTGAGGCAGGGTCTCACTCTGTCACCCAAGCTGGAGTGCAGTGGCACGATATTGGCTCACTGCAACCTCTGCTTCCCGGGCTCAAGCAATCCTCCCACCTCAGCCTCCCAAGTAGCTGGGACTACAGGCGTGCACCACCACCCCTGGCTAATTTTTTTTTTTTTTTTTTTTGAGATGCAGTCTCACTCTGTTTCCCAGGCTGGAGTGCAGTGGCACAATCTCGGCTCACTGCAACCTCTGCCTCCCAGGTTTAAGTGATCCTCCTGCCTCAGCCCCTCTAGTAGCTGGGATTACAGGGACATGCCACCATGCCTGGCTAATTTTTGCATTTTTAGTAGAGATGGGGTTTCGCCATTTGGCAAAGCTGGTCTCAAACTCCTGACCTCAGGTGATCCACCCACCTCGGCCTCCCCAAGTGCTGGGATTACACCGTGCCTGGCCTTTTTAGGCGCTTTATTCATTTTGAGAGAATTCTTCTATTTTGTGTGAGTTTGAGTCCAACTTCATTCTTGAGCATATGGATATCCAGTTGTCCCTTTTGTTGAAAAGGCTATTGTTTTCTCCGTTGAATTGTCTTGTTACACCCTTGTCAAAATTCAATTGACCAGGAGATCAACTTCCAGCATAATAGTGTGGGAGTTGGGCTGACCTGCTCTTCTGTGAAACTGGTGAAAATCAGAAGAAAGAAAGAAAACAAACCCAAGCATTTAAAGCCTCTAAAAATGGTCCTAAGGGTACACAGCAAATGAAGAAACAACTATTCAATAAAATCTATAAAAACTCAGTAAGGACACTGAGAATTTGTGGTATTTGAACCAAGACTCCTCCCTCCCTCCTCCCTTCCAGCTCACTGAGGTGGAGACTCCACTCCAGACAGCTGCAGTCAACATGGGGCTTTCTTTGCTCCCAGCTCCCAGCTGGAAGGCCTTCTTCCTGGGAGAAGCAAGACTTTAGTGTTTTTCATCCTGCCACTAGCTATCTGCTACTGCGTCCAAGTCCCAGCGGGATGTGGTTGAGAGGTGTGTCTGCCCAGCCACTGCTCTTGGAATGGAAGCTCCTTGAGTAAGGCAAGCTGAGAATACTGGAGTCCCAATGGCCCTTGCTCCGGCTAGTGAGGTGGTGGTTCCACACCAGGAGAGGCAAGCCAAGAGGACCTAAGGCTGCCGCACTCCCTCTCTACCAAGCAGTTCCTATAGCTGGCATATCGCTCAGTGACAAACTTGACATTTTCCCTACCTACCTCCAACCCCAACTCCAGAGGCTGGGTTCAGAGATTTTGCCTCATGGGAAAATCAAGTCATAAAACAGATGGCTCTCCATCTCTTCCCAAAGGAACTGACTACATTTGCAACAGAGCTTAGAAAGGTTCAAGCCTAAGGGCAATCTCAAAAAGAGTAGAAGTTGTGGTCAAAGAAATTGGGAGCAGATTCAAGATACAGGCTAAACTGTAGGGCAATTAGTTTGTAGTTAAGACATCTAGGAGAGCCATCCAGAAGATAAAACAAATATCTAACTGACCTCAGAAACTATTCCTCTAAGAGAGCTAGAATTTGATTGGAATTGCTCGTAGAGCAGTTTATGCCCAGGGCATTGTTGAAAACAACAGCTGTAAATTAGTGGAATTTTACAGTCAGGTGTGCTCAGTGAAAGAGAGGAAGTCAGCTTGACCCAAACACTGTCAACTCAGAGTGACCTTGGAGATACTCAAGTATGTGTCTCCCTGAGGAGCTGATAACATCAGGAGTTTAACTCTGTTGGGGATAAACAGACTTCATTAAAATAATCCAGCTAGCAATCAGACAGGTAAGCCAATAACAATAACAGGAGGAAGTAAGATTAGTACCTAGCAAGGATACAATATGTTGTCTGAAATGTCCAGTTTCCAGCAACAACAACAACAACAAAAAAGAGGAATGCAAAGAATAAGACAGGAACTGTAATAGAAAAAAGCAAGCAACAGAAGCTGCCTGTGAGAATGACAAGATGTTGGCTTTATCAGGAAAAACTTCAAATATCCATAATAAGCATGTTCACAGAATTAAAGGAAACCAAATTAAAGAAGGAACATGAGGTAAGATGACAATGTTGCATCAAATAAAGAATATCAATGAAGAGAAATTGTAAGAAAAGAACTAAATGGGAATTCTAGAGTGCAATAACTGAACTGAAAAATTCACTAGAGAGAATTAACACTAGATTTGCAGCGGCAGAAGAAAGAATAAGTGAACTTGAAGATAGATCAAAGATATTATGGGCTGGGCATGGTGGCTCACGCCTGTAATCCCAGCACTTTGGGAGGCCAAGGCAGGCAGATCACTTGAGGTCAGGAGTTTGAGACCAGCCTGGGCAACATGGTGAAACCCTATCTTTACTAAAAATACAAAACTTAGCCAGGCATAGTGTTGCACGCCTGTAGTCCCAGCTACTTGGGAGACTGAGGCATGAGAATCGCTTGGACCCAGAAGGTGAAGGCTGCAGCGAGCTGAGATTCCGCCACTGCTCCAGCCTGGGCAACAGAGTGAGACCCTGTCTCAAAAAATATATATATATATATGGAATATATATATTATATATATAATATGGAATATATATATTATATATATAATATGGAATATATATATTCCATATATATGGAATATATATTATATATATAATATGGAATATATACATATTATATATATTATATATATTATATGGAATATATACACATTATATATATTATATATATAATATGGAATATATATACACATTATATATATTATATATATGTAATATGGAATATATATACACATTATATATATTATATATATAATATGGAATATATATACACATTATATATATTATATATATAATATGGAATATATATACACATTATATATATTATATATATAATATGGAATATATATACACATTATATATATTATATATATAATATGGAATATATATACACATTATATATATTATATATATAATATGGAATATATATACACATTATATATATTATATATATAATATGGAATATATATACACATTATATATATTATATATATAATATGGAATATATATACACATTATATATATTATATATATAATATGGAATATATATACACATTATATATATTATATATATAATATGGAATATATACACATTATATATATTATATATATAATATGGAATATATACACATTATATATATTATATATATAATATGGAATATATACACATTATATATATTATATATATAATATGGAATATATATACACATTATATATATTATATATAATATGGAATATATATACACATTATATATATTATATATAATATGGAATATATATACACATTATATATTATATATATAATATGGAATATATATACACATTATATATATATTATATATATATGGAAGCCAAAGAACAGAGAAAAAAAGAACAAAGGAAAATGAAAGGCCAGGTGCGGTAGTTCACGCCTGTAATCCCAGCACTTTGGGAAGCCAAAGCTGGCGGATCACGAGGTCAGGAGATCGAGACCAGCCTGGCCAACATGGTGAAACCCCATCTCTACTAAAGATACAAAAAGTTAGCCGGGTGTGGTGGTGCATGCCTATAATCCCAGCTACTCAGGAGGCTGAGGCAGGAGAATAGCTTGAACCTGGGAGGCGGAGGTTGCAGTGAGCTGAGATCGTGCCATTGCGCTCCAGCCTGGGCAACAGGGCAAGACTCCATCTCATAAAAAAAAAAAAAAAAGAAAAGAAAAGAAAATGAAGAGAGCCACAGAGAAATGTGGAACACCATTAAGCATACCAACATACGCATAATGGAAGTACCAGAAGGAGAGAAAAGAGAAAGAAGTGAAAATAATATAACAAGAAATTAGCTGGGTGCAGTGGTTAATGCCTGTAATCCCAGCACTTTGGGAGGCCGAGGCAGGCAGATCACTTGAGGTCAGGGGTTCAAGACCAGCCTGGCCAACATGGTGAAACCCTATCTCTATTAAAAATACAAAAATTAGGCTGGGCGCTGTGGCTCACACCTGTAATCCTAGCACTTTGGGAGGCTGAGGTGGGAGGATCCCTTGAGGCCAGGAGTTCAAAACCAGTCTGGCCAACATGGCGAAACCCCGTCTCTACTAAAAATACAAAAATTAGCCAGGTGTGGTGAAATATGCCTGTAAGTCCAGCTACTCAGGAGGCTGAGACAGAATTGCTTGAGCTGGGGAGGCAGAGGTGGCAGTGAGCCGAGATCAAGCTCCTGTACTCCAGCCTGGGCAACAGAGTGAGACTCTGTCTCAAAAATAATAACATTAATAATATAACAAGAAACAATGCTGAAAATTTACCATGCTCATTCAAAAGCAATAATATACACATTCAGGAAGCTCAACAAATCCAAGTAAAATAAATGTAAAGAGAACTACAAACAGACATATTAGGGTAAAAAATGCTGAAGTAAAAGAAAATCTTGAGGCCGGGTGCATTGGCTTATGCCTGTAATCCCAGCATTTTGAGAGGCCGAGGTGGATGGATCAGGAGATCAAGACCATTCTGGCTAACACGGAGAAACCCTGTTTCTACTAAAAATACAAAACATTAGCCAGGCATGGTGGCCCATGCCTGTAGTCCCAGCTACCCAGGAGGCTGAGGCACGAGAATCGCTTGAATCCGGAAGGCAGAGGTTGCAGTGAGCCGAGAATGCGCCACTGCACTCCAGCCTGGGCAACTCCGTCTCAAAAAAAAAAAAAAAAAGAAAATCTTGAAAGCAGCAAGAGAAAAAAAAAACTACCTGTTACTTACAAAGAAACCCCAGTAAGATTAATGCTGACTTCTTGGTGAAATAATGTAGGCCAGAAGACAGTGAAATAACACATTCAAAGTGCTCAAACAGAAAAAAATCTTCAACCAAGAACCCTACACCTAGCAAAACTACCTTTAAAAAATGAAGGCACAGCCTAGGCAAAATAGCAAGATCCCACCTCTACAAAAAAATTTGAAAGGCCAGGTTGGTGACTCACGCCTGTAATCCCAGCACTTTGAGAGGTCAGATGGGTGGATCACCTGAGGTTAGGAGCTCAAGACCAGCCTGGCGAACATGATGAAACCCTGCCTCTACTAAAAATACAAAATTAGCCAGGTGTGGTGGCTCATGCCTGTAATCCCAGCTACTGGGAATCTGAGGCAGAAGAATCACTTGAACCCAGGAGGTGGAGGTTGCAGTGAGCCGAGACTGCGCCACCGCACTCCAGCCTGGGCAACAAGAGTGAAACTCCATCTAAAAAAAAAAAAAAAAAAAAAAAAAAAAACCTTAAAAAAATAAGCTGGGCATGGTGATTTACACCTGTAGTCCTATCTACTTGGGAGGCTGAGGCAGGGGGATCACTTGAGCCCAGAAGTTCGAGGCTGCAGTGAGCTATGATCATGCCACTACACGTCAGCCTGGGTGACAGAGCAAGACTCTGTGTCAAAAAAAAAAAAAAAAAAAAAGGACAAAATAAAGTCTGCTAGATAGAAAAACCACAGAGAATCTGTTGCTAGCAGACTCAACTTACAAGAACTAAGGGAAGTTTTGTAGGCTGAAATCAAATAGCCCCAAATGGTAATCTGAATGCATATGAAAAAACAAAGACTGTAAGTAATGGTAACTATGGAATTATAAAGACAGCATACATGCATATTTTTTCTACTTTCTTCCCTTAACTGATTAAAAAAGCAACTGAGGCAGGGCGTGGTGGCTCACACCTATAATCCCAGCACTTTGGGAGGCCGAGGTGGGCGGATCATGAGGTCAGGAGTTCGAGACCAGTGTGGCCAACATGGTGAAACCCTGTCTCTACTAGGAATACAAAAATTACCTGAGCACGGTGGCATGTGCCTGTAATCCTAGTTATTCAGGAGGCTGAGTCAGGAGAATTGCTTGAACCCAAGAGGCGGAGGTTGCAGTGAGCTGAGATCACACCAAAGCACTCCAGCCTGGGCGACAGAGCATGACTCTGTCTCGGGAGGAAAAAAAAAAAGAAAAGAAAAAGAATACTCCACCCAACAAGAGAATACACATACTTCTCAAGGGCACATAGAACACTCTTCAGGAGAGAACAGCTTTATGCTAGGCCATAAAACAAATGTCAATACATTTAAAAGGATCAAAATAATGCAATGTATTCTCTGGTCATAATGAAATGAAATGAGAAATCAATAACAGAAAGAAATTTAGGAAATTCACAAATATGTGTGATATAGTTTGGCTCCGTGGCCCCACCTAAATCTCATGTTGAATTGTAATCCCCACGTGTCAGGGGAGGGGACTGATGGAAGGTGATTGGATCATGGGGGCGGACTTCCCCCTTACTGTTCTCGTGATAGTGAGTTCTCACCAGATCTGATGGTTCAAAAGTGTGGCACTTCCAGCTTCATGCCCTCTGTCTCTCTCTCCTGCTCTGGCATAGTGAGTAAGACGTGCCTTGCTTCCCCTTCACCTTCAACCATGATTGTAAGTTTCCTGAGGCCTCCTCAGCTACGTGGAACTGTGAGTCAATTAAACTTCTTTTCTCTTTTTTTTTTTTTTTTTTGAGACGGAGTCTTGCTCTGTCTCCCAGGCTAGAGTGCAGTTGCGCGATCTCAGCATACTGCAAGCTCCACCTCCCAGGTTCATGCCATTCTCCTGCCTCAGCCTCCCAAGCAGCTGGGACTACAGGCGCCCGCCACCATGCCCGGCTAATTTTTTGTATTTTTAGTAGAGACGGGATTTCACCGTGTTAGCCAGGATGGTCTTGATCGCCTGACCTTGTGATCCGCCCGCCTCGGCCTCCCAAAGTGCTGGGATTACAGGCTTGAGCCATCATGCGGGGCCTAAACCTCTTTTCTTTATACCCAGTCTCAGGTAGTTCGTTATAGCAGTTTGAGAACGGACTAATACAAAGTGGAATTAAACAACACACTCCTAATAACCAACAGGTAAAGATGAAATCAAACACATTAGAAAATACTTTGATATGAATGAAAATGTAGGTACAATGCAACAAAACTTATGAAATACATTGCAAATGGTATGTGGAGGGAAATTTGTACTTGTAAATTCCTATTTTAAGAAAGAAGAAGAATCTCAAATCAATAACCTAACTTTCCATTTTAAGACACTGAAAAAAGAAGAGCAGACTAAACCAAAAGCAAGCCGAAGGAATTAAATAATAAAAATTAGAGTGGGCCAGGAGTGGCTGCTCACACCTATAAATCGCAGCACTTTGGGAGGGTGAGGCAGGGTCAGAAGTTTAAGGCCAGCCTGAGCAACACGGTGAAACACTGTCTCTAGTAAAAATACAAAATTAGTGACAGAGCAAGACTCCGTTACCAAAAAAAAAAAAAAAAAAAGAAGTAAATTCCCTCAAATTGACAAAGGGTGTCTACAAAAATCCCACAGCTAACATTACACTTAATGGTGAAGACTGGATTCTCTCTTGTCTAGGATTAGGGACAAGACAAGGAGTCTGTATTTGCCAATTCTATCCAACATCATATTGGAGGTTCTAGCCAGGGCAATTTCTTCTCATTTGCCTCCTCAAGTGACAAACAGGTGGCACGAAGAATGAATAGTTTCAATAGTTTCATTTGTATTCCTCATGATTAAAAATCTCCACACAGCCAGGCACGTGGTGTGCACCTATAATCCCAGCTACTTGGTAGGCTGAGGTGGGAGGATCACTTGAACCCAGGAGTTCAAGACCAGCCTGAGCAAAATAGGAAGACTCTGTCTCTCCACTATAAAAAACAAAAACAACAACAAAACTTCATCTAAAAGTTTTATGTCCTTTCCCAATTCCTGCAAATATTTCCAAAAGTTCCAATCTCATGTGCTGTAAAGAACTGTGCTTTGCAGAAATAAAAACTGCACCTAAAAAATGATTTGGATTATTTTTAACTCAAAGGTCATTCAAGTCCAGCGAGCTATAGATGGCATTACTACTCAGTTTTTAGAATCGCAAATGGAGGAAGCTGAAACTCTTTACCAATACACATCAATGTACACTTGTTATAAAGTTCCACATATTTTTCATTTTCTGCTCAACACTTTCACTGTATAAAAGAAGGAAAAACTTAGAAAAGAGAAGTAATGATGCATAGAGCTATCAGATCTCAATGGTGGCAATGCTCTTCTAGATACCTAGACATAAAAATTGTGTTAAAATTTTGCATACATTAGTTAGAACATTTGTTATTTAATATGTATCACCCTGAAAGGTATTTAAGGACAGACATAAATAATTTTACTTTGAAATCCTTAGATTTTTGGTTACAGTATATGATAGACAAAAAAGAAAGCTCTTATAAAATGAGATTTTTCTGGGCTCCAAGTCCCTTTCTCTGCACTGTATTTTAATAATTACAAAAATAAAATCATTTAAAAATAAGACAATTTTAAAAGCACATATATGGGAGAATATGGCTATAAAGGAGTGGCACAGGGGAGGTTTTTGGGGTGATGGAACTGTTCTGCATCTTGATTGTGTGATTTCAGATTGTGAGAGTGGTTCTACACTCTAAGTGTATTAAAATGGTACACAAAAATAAAAAGTCAATTTTACTGTATGTTAATTTTTAATTAATTAATTAATTAATTTTTTTTTGTTGTTGAGAGAGTCTCACTCTGTTGCCCAGGCTGGAGTGCAGTGGTGTGATATCTGCTCACTTCAGCCTCCACCTCCCGGGTTCAAGAATTTCTCCCGCCTCAGCCTCCCAAGTAGCTGGGATTACAGGCACATACCACCACACCTGGCTAATTTTTGTATTTTTAGTAGAGACGGGGTTTTACCATCTTGGCCAGGCTTGTCTCAAACTCCTGGTCTCAAGTGATCCGCCCACCTTGGCCTCCCAAAGTGCTGGGATTACAGGCGTGAGCCACTGCACCTGGCCCTGCTGTATATTAACTTTTAAAAGAAAACTGGAAAAAAGCACATATGCAATAGAATCAAATATAAACTGCACTATATTCAAAATATCATATGTAACAAATACCATACATCTGATTAAATATAGGGCAAATGCAGGCCTCACTTCCTCTCTTTGGTGTATTCTCGTATCTAAAAAGATTTTTGTCAATCTTTACTTTTGTGGTTTGTATTATCAAAACAATAGGCATCTTGAATGCACTTTTTCTTTTTTTCTTTTTTTTTTTTTGAGACGGAGTCTTGCTCTGTCGCCCAGGCTGGAGTGCAGTGGTGCGATCTCGGCTCACTGCAAGCTCCGCCTCCTGGGATCACGCCATTCTCCGGCCTCAGCCTTCCGAGCAGCTGGAACTACAGGCGCCCGCCACCACGCCCGGCTAATTTTTGTATTTTTAGTAGAGACGGTGTTTCACCGTGTTAGCCAGGATGGTCTTGATCTCCTGACCTTGTGATCCGCCCGCCTCGGCCTCCCAAAGTGCTGGGATTACAGGCGTAAGCCACCGTGCCCGGCCTTGAATGCACTTTTTCAAACTATATATGCCCAGCAGAAAATTCTAATGCAATCTCCTGATACGTAGTCATAGAGTAATTTCGTCCAAGTCTCACATTTCATGGCCACCACCTCAGGTGTCCTGATAGGTCCGTATGACTAAATCATGGAGACCGGAAACAGAAAAAACAGATAGGTAAGTAAAAAACCACAAGGCATCTTGTGTGTCAGACTAACAAGTTTAGACTCTTTTAAGGCTTACTGTTTTGCTATCAGAGTACCAATAAGATATTTAGTATAATAACATTTATTACTTAGAGAATTACTACTGGCCAGGCAGGGTGGCTCATGCCTCTAATCCTACCACTTTGGGAGGCTGAGGCAGGCGGATCACCTGAAGTCAGGAGTTCGAGACCAGCCTGGCCAATATTGTGAAACCCTGTCTTTACTAAAACACAAAAATTAGCCGGGTGTGGTGGTGCAGGCCTGTAGTCCCAGCTACTTGGGAGGCTGAGGCATGAGAATCACTTGAACCCAGGAGATGGAGGTTGCAGTGAGCTGAGATCACACCACTGCACTCCAGCCTGGGCGACAGAGCAAGATTGTCTAAAATATATACACACACACACACACACACACACACACACACACACACACACATACATATACATATATATAAACATAAAACAATAAAGTTACTACTATAACAGAGTGGAAGAAAATCTGGGAAAAATAAAGGAGCAAAACAAGTAGTCTACAGTAAATTAATCCTGTATACTTTAGTGTTATAAAATTTGGTTACCTCTATTTATTCTCGTTCAAAACTCTGGACTTAATCTCACCTTCTGACTCGTATTCACTTGCTTTCTGCTTCAAGTCCTCTATTACCAGGTAGACATCCCTGTCCCGGACCCTGTTGCGTTCTGAAAGGTGATGTAAAATCTCTGTGGTCCGTGGGTTCACCTCATACTGTGGAATAGGATGATCTCCAAATATTTTTTTTAACCACGCAGCAACCTAACCATTAAAAGAAAGACAAATATTATAAGCCTTGTTTACTGTAATGGCTCGATGAGAATATGACAAAGAAGTGATCAAAAGCAAACTAAATGCTTTCTGTGACTATTTTGGAGTCCTACTTCACAACCTCACTTGTCTTTAGGGAGATACTAGATATCAGGAAATAAAAAGTGAGCAAGTACACAAAGAAACGTACAATACTGAAAATTACCAGAGAACAATCCGTTCTTTTCCAAATCTGCAAAAGCGGTACAGGCTAACAATTTGCCTCGCTTGAAAAACCTTAAAGCTTAATAGACCATAATAATGCGAACGCATTATTAGACCGTGCATGGTCTGAAAAAAGCAATTGTCCCTCGATCACCAGAAGCCCCGCCGCGCCGGGAGGCTCCCAGTGTTGGGATGCAGGGCGCGGAAGCAGTTCAGATGTGGAAGCCGCCGGGCTGAGCAGCGAACCGGAAGGCGGGTTTGGCTTCATAAGTCCCACTCCAGAGTCTGTGGACACGGGCTGCTCAACGCCTCTCCCGGGCCAGATCCAAACAAGGGGAGGCCCGGGCAGGAAGGGAAAGGCCTTCAGGAGAGTCTAAGCACGGGGGGCTTGCAGATAGTGACGGCGGCACTAAAAGACGGATGTGTGGAATAGGGGAGAGAAAAGTAGACGTGGCGCGCACAGGAGACCCGCTGTCGGCGCGGGGGTGTCAAAAACGCGTTTTCCAGGAGGCCAACGATCCCCATTCCCGCCCCATCACCTGCGTTTCTCTCTCCTCCTGCGGCTCCATAGCTGCGGCTCCCGCCACTTTACTAGGAACTCCTAGCGGGAGATGCGCCCCGCTCACTCCCTAGGCCCCGCCCACACGCCGTTGGCACCCGCCCCTCGCCGGGCCCGGGATTTCTGGGAGTTGTGGTTTTACCTGAGACTCCTGGCCGTTGAGCCCCTGTGCAAGGCTGGTCGAAGGCTCTGGCATTGCAAGCCTCGCTTCGTTGCCACTTCCCAGCTCTTCCCGCCTTCCGCGGTATAATCAACACTACGAGAGATAGAGCCGCCTAGAACCAGGTTGTTTTTTCTTTCTTTTATTTTTATTTCTTGTTTGAATCACTTGTCGTTAAAAAAAAGTACTTGAAACGTTTGGTTCTTGCTTAGCAAGATGTTTGTGTTTCTTCCACATTGATTGCATCCACTCAGAATTTATATTCTACCCTGGCAATATGAGCTGAGGCAATCTTAACTTGATCCGTTAGTTCCCCCAACCTAAAAACTAGGGACATTTTTTTTTTTTGAGACAGAGTCTCGCTTTGTCGCCCAGGCTGGAGTGCAGTGGCATGATCTCGGCTCACTGCAACCTCTGCCTCCTGGGTTCAAGCGATTCTTCTGTCTCAGCCTCCCAAGTAGCTGGGACTACGGGCAAGCGCCACCACGCCTGGCTAATTTTTGTGTTTTTAGTAGAGACGGGGTTTCACCATATTGGCCAGGCTGGTCTCGAACTCCTAACCTCATGATCCGCCCACCTCGGCCTCCCAAAGTGCTGGGATTACAGGCGTGAGCCAGCGCGCCCAGCTTTTTTTTTTTTTTTTTTTTTTTTGAGATGGAGTCTCTGTTGTTCAGGCTGGAGGGCAGTGGCACGATCTCGGCTCTCGGCTCTCAGCTCACTGCCACCTCTGCTTCCCGGGTTCAAGCGATTCTCCTGCCTCAGCCTTCCGAGTAGCTGGGATTACAGGTGTGCATCACCACGCCCAGCTAATTTTTTGTATCTTAGTAAAGATGGGATCTCATCAGGTTGGCCAGCTTGGTCTCGAACTCCTGACTTCAGGTGATCCGCCCGCCTTGGCCTCCCAAAGTGCTGGGATTACAGGCACTGCGCCCGACCTTTTCTTTTCTTTTTGAGATGGAGTGTTTCTCTGTCGCTTAGGCTGGAGTGCAGAGTGACATGATCTTGGCTCACTGCGACCTCCAACCCCCGTCCCCAGGCTCAAGCAATTCTCCTGTCTCATCCTCTCTAGTAGCTGGGATTACAGGCTTGTGCTAGCATGCAGGGATAATTTTTTTATTTTTAGTAGAACGGGGGGTTTCACCACGTTGATCAGGCTGGTCTCAAACTCCTGACCTCAAGTGATCTGCCTGCCTCGGCCTCTCAAAGAGCTAGGATTACAGGTGTGAGCCAACACACCCAGCCTAAAATGATTTTCTTTTCAAAGGAAACTTACTAGCAAGCCAAGCTTATTTATTATTTATTTTATTTTATTTTTAGAGACAGGGTCTTGCTCTTTCGTCCAAGCTGGAGTATAGTGGTGATCACAGTTCACTGCAACCTTGAACTCCTGGGCTCAAGCAATCCTCCCGCTTCAGCCTCCTTAGTAGCTGGGACTATAGGCGTGCACCACCACACCCAGCTAACTTTTTGTATTTTTTGTAGAAAGAGGGTCTCACTATGTTGCCCAGGCTGTTTTTGAACTCCTGGCCCCAAGTGATGCTCCCACTTGGGCCTCTCAAAGTGCTGGGATTACAAGCATGAGGCACCACACCCAGCCTGTCTTGCTTATTCTTTTTGCTTCAAACATATCTCTGCTCTGGCTGGATGCGGTGCCTCACACCTATATTCTCAGCACTTTGGGAGGCCGAGGCAGGTGGATCACCTGAGGTCCGGAGTTCAAGACCAGCCTGACCAACATGGCAAAACCCCATCTCTACTAAAAATACAAAAATTAGCCAGGCATGGTGGCACGTGCCTGTAATCCCAGCCACTTGGGAGGCTGAGGCAAGAGAATCACTTGAACCCTGGAGGCAGAGTTTGCAGTGAGCTGAGATTGAGACACTGCACTCCAGCCTGGGCGACAGAGTGAGAATCCACCACAAAAAACAAAAAAAAACAAAAACTAAATATATCTCTGCTCTGTAACCAAATTTCAGATAAACTGGTGCAGCCCTTCAGTATGGGGCAAAAAAAGTTATCTTTATGTCTTTTGTCCACTTTTATCACTACAAATTTTACAAAATATCCCTGCAATTTTTTTTTTTTTTTGAGAGGGAGTCTTGTGCTGTTGCCTAGGCTGGAGTGCAGTTGAGCAATCTCGGCTTACTGCAAGCTCCGCCTCCCGGGTTCACGCCATTCTCCTGCCTCAGCCTCCCGAGTAGCTGGGACTACAGGTGCCCGCCACCACACCCGGCTAATTTTTTGTACTTTTAGTAGAGACAGGGTTTCACCATGTTAGCCAGGATGGTCTCGATCTCCTGACCTCGTGATCCGCCCACCTCAGCCTCCCAACGTGCTGGGATTACAGGCATGAGCCACCATGCCCGGCCTTTTTTTTTTTTTCAGACAGAATCTCACTGTGTTGCCCAAGCTGGAGTGCAGTGGTCACTGCAACCTCCATCTCCCAGGTTTAAGTGATTCTCGTGCCTCAGCCTCCTAAATAGCTGGGATTACAGGCATGTGCCACCATGCCCAGCTAAAGATGGGGCAGGGGGTGCAGGGATCTCGATATGTTGGCCAGACTCATCTTGAACTCCTGACTTCAAGTGATCAACCTGCTTCAGCCTCCCAAAGTGCTGGGATTACAGGTGTGAGCCACCATGCCGGCTAATTTTGTTGTTATTGTTGTTGTTGTTTTGAGATAGTCTCACTCCTGTCGCGCATACTGAAGTGCAGAGGCGCAATCTTGGCTCACTGCAACCTCCACCTGGCTCACTGCAACCTTCACCTCCTGGATTCAAGCGATTCTCCTTCCTCAGCCTCCTGAGTAGCTGGGGTTACAGGTGTGCACCACCACCCCCAGCTAATTTTTGATTTTTTAGTAGAGACGGGGTTTTGCCATGTTGGCCAGGCTGGTCTTGAACTCCTGACCTCAGGCGATCTGCCTGCCTTGGCCTCCCAATGTGCTAGGATTACATGCGTGAGCCACCATGCCCGGCCTTGTTGTTTTTAGAAACGATATTTTTTCCTGTTAGCTTGTGAAAGTTGATTGGGTCATTCTTGTCATCCCCAACTAAAACAGTGTCAAGAGGTAAAGGGAAAAAAAAGCACTCAGGGCACATAACATTGCTCCAAAAATGTAATTATCTGTAAGCCTGGCTGCTGAAACTGCCCGCTATAACCTAAACCAGTTTTTTTGTTTGTTTGTTTTGAGATGGAGTCTCACTCTGTCGCCCAGGCTGGAATGCAATGGCATGATTTTGGCTCACTGCAACCTCTGCCTCCAGGTTCATGTGATTCTCCTGCCTCAGCCTCCCAAGTAGCTGGGATTACAGGCACCCGCCAACATACCCAGCCAATTTTTGTATTTTTAGCAGAGACGGGGTTTCATCATGTTGGTCAGGCTGGTCTTGAACTCCTGACCTCAGGTGATCCACCCGCCTCGGCCTCCCAAAGCGCTGGGATTACAGGCGTGAGCCACCGTGCCCGGCTGACCTAAACCAGTTTTATCTAATTAGCTGCTAAAAACAACCTGCAGTGACTCTAAGGATCGTTTTACCTAGTTGCCATTACTTGCCAATCAAAACTTGCCAGCTCCCCAAAACCTTACTAGTGACAATGAACTTTCTTAAAGAACAATATACAACAGTTCTCTTTTTTTGTTGTTTGTTTTGATATAGGGTCTTGCTTTGTTGCCCAGGCTGGAGTGTTCCGGTGTGATCACAGCTCACTGCACTCCCAAACTCCTGGGCTCAAGTGAACCTCTCATCTTGGCTTCCCAACGTGTTGGGATTACAGGCATGAGCCACTGTTCCTGGCTATATTTCTCTTTTACAAAAATAAAACCTCTAACCATCTGTTTGTTCTTCTGACGTACCAAAGACCACCCTGTTTGTGTGTATGCCCTGAATGGCAATTATTGCTTCCCAAATGTTTTAAATTTATAGATTTGTCTCTGTATTTTATTTTACTTGGACAGCCTTTTTCTTTTTCTTTTCTTTTTTTCTTTCTTTTTTTTTTTTTTTTTTTTTAGATGGAGTTTCACTTTTATTGCCCAGGCTGGAGGACAGTGGTGCAATCTGGGGCTCACTGCAACTTCTGCCTCCCGGGTTAAAGCAATTCTCCTGCCTCAGCCTCCCCAGTAGCTGGGATTACAGGTGCCCGCCCCCATGCCGGGCTAATTTTTGTATTTTTAGTAGAGATGGGGTTTTGCCATGTTGGCCAAGCTGGTCTCGAACTCCTGACCTCAGGTGATCCACCCGCCTCAGCCTCCCAAAGTGCTGGGATTACAGGCGTGAGCCACTGCGCCTGGCTTGGACAGCCTTTTTGTACCCCTGATTCCCAGGAGAACTGCTGCTCTATTTTCCCATGGCTTACCTTGAAAAGAGTAGGATACTAGAGAAAAGGATGGCTAATCACGTGTTTACAAGCCATGTTTCAGGAGATGACCCTTGTAGCCCGGATATTTATTTGCCTCACCAAAATTCAGGTTCTAGGTGTAAGCCAGGATTTGGGGGATGGAACTGAAAATGCTTCTCCAAACGGTGAAAAGCGGGCCCAGCGCAGAGGCTGAGGAGGAAGGATCACTTGAAGCCAGGAGTTCGAGACCAGCCTGGGCAACATAGAGAGACCTCCCCCCACGCCCTGCCCACCACCGCCGTCTTTACAAAAAAATTAGCCAGGCATGGTGGTGGGACCACAGGGGCACAGGCTGAGGTCAGAGGATTGCTCCAGCCCAGGAGTTCCAGGCTGCAATGAATGGTGATAAACCCACTGCACTCTTTCCTGGGCAACAGAGTGAGACCCTGTCTTAAATAAAATAAAATAAATAAATAAAAAAAAAAGAAAAGTGAAGGCAACGTTAATAAGTGTCCACTATGACATAATAATAACCAGCATCACACACACACACAAATCTTGCATATATCACAAAAATCTCAGTATGGTAATTCTGTGGAGAAAAAAAAAAAGCCCATCCAGGTAAGCATAGAAAGTGTTTTTTCATCATCTCCCTTTGACTCCAAATGAAGAAGCAGAGTTCCCAATAGCATGAACTAGATGTTGGCAGAGGAAAAAGCGAGTCCTCGTCCTATCCTGGTGTAAACTTCTGATTCTGGACAATTCTCAGTAGGATTGGCAATGACTCTTCTAGGCCTCCTTGTGATTGTTGATATATTTTTTTTAATTTAAAGTTCCGGAATACATGTCCAGGACGTGCAGGTTTGTTACACAGGTAAATGTGTGCCATGGTGGTTTGCTGTAACTATCATCCCATCACCTAGGTATTAAGCTCCGCATGTATTAGCTATTTATCTTGATGCTCCCCTCCCCCGGTTATCAGGATTTTTAAACAGTTTGCTCTAATTCACTGACAGGATTCTTTTAGAATGAATCTAAAAAAGCTGGGAATCTTTAACCTGAGCGCAGATCGGATCACGTGGAACGGTGCTGGTGTTTGTTAAAAATTCAGATTGCCCCGAATTTTCGACTCAGAGGGTCTGAAGTGGGGCTAAGATCTGCAGATTAACGGGCTCCGTGGGAGGCTCCCTGCTGGTGGCCAGTCCCGGGGTTTAGCTGTTCACTGTTGCTACTCGTGCTAAACCACGGTCTAACACTACCGACACTATTAATCGCCCTGGTCCTCAAGACAGCCGCGACCCCAGACGGGTGAGGCCCTCATCCTCTAGCACCAGATGGGGCCTGGGAACTGCTGCTTAGCAGATTCAGCTACCCACGTGGTCACCCGGGGCAACCACAAGGTCGACTCAAAAGACCAAAATAAATGTATAACGAATGCCAGGACCAAAGCCGGAATATATCTAATCATTCATTTTGAGGTTTAAACTTAAAAATGTTACATAAAAAAATAAGTAACCTGCCAAAAAATGCAGAGTGGCGGCGGGGGCGGGGGGAGAGGTGGTGAACGCGAGGGGCAGTACTTCCGGGTCAGGTGGGCCGGCTGTCTTGACCTTCTTTGCGGCTCGGCCATTTTGTCCCAGTCAGTCCGGAGGCTGCGGCTGCAGAAGTACCGCCTGCGGAGTAACTGCAAAGATGCTGTCCGTGCGCGTTGCTGCGGCCGTGGTCCGCGCCCTTCCTCGGCGGGCCGGACTGGTGAGCACCGAAGGCCGGCATGATGCAGGCGGCCGGGTGGGGCTGCAGGGTGGTGGTGCGCCGGCTCGGGCGCTCTCTGCAGGAGGGCGAGGGGCTGTGGCGAATGCCGCCATCTTGCACCCGTGGCTTCTCCGGCTGGACAGAGCAGGCGACACAGGTGCCCTTTTGCTCGTCACCTGCGCAGAGGCAGAATGGTACAGGGCAGACAGTTAACTCGATGGTGTCCAGAGACAGGGCCTCAAGATTCCTGTCTTCGGCTGACAGCGGCCCTAGAAGGGGGATCTTGGGTGAAGGTCAGGGCTTGGGCGCTAGCTCTCCGAGGCCTGTTCTGAATCGGTGAGGTTCCTCTCTTTCGATTCTTAGGGTCGCGTCCCGCTGAAGGTCAGAAAACTGCTGTCAGCTCTTGTTGAAGCTAGTCAGTGGAGTCTGACATTGTGTGAAGGTCAGCAGGCCCAGCATTTCACCTCTGCCTGGAGCTCAGTTTAGAGGAAAGGAATAAATGAAGGTGGTTTTTGGAATACTTACGTAGGCTTTCTCTTAGTGCTGAATACGAAACGACCGTGAAAACGTCCTGCAGGTGCAAAGAACCATTTCATGTGGCCAGCACTGTGACAACAGTGAAGCTGGTTTCTAAATTGTCTCTCCGGCAGAGTGTGTGCTTTGTGGCACTTGGACGTGTTTAAAGAATTTGTCCTTGAGTTTTCCACCTGGTTTTGAGTAATTTTTAGTGATGGAGAATTCAAGTAAAAGAGAACAAGGTTGGAAAATGGCTGTAAGGATTAATACCCTTCGTTATTTGTTTCCCTTGAAATTAACATGATTTCAGTGTAAACGCATTGACACTGACACTTTTTTTTTGTTCTAAAAGTAATCTCAATTTGAAAGGTGAAATAAACATGTTGGCTGTTTTGCTGCCTTAACAACCGCTGGTAGCATCTTGGGTTTCTGTTAACAAAAAAGCATTTTTAACGGTTTTCATCTAGCTCCTATGGAAGGTAGAGGCTTCAGAATTGACAGTGACCAGTCGCAGTATTACAACTTGAAGGAGAAACTGAAGGAAGTTCCAGGTGGCTGCAGGATTTGTTGAGAGAGTAAAATAAGTCCACATGCCACAACTCTTGGTTTCTAATCTAACTCTAGCATTTATTCAGTTTTTGTTTGCTTGTTTTTTTTTTTTTTTTTTTTTTTTGAGATGGTGTCTCGCTCAGTCGCCCAGGCTGGATTGCAATGGCGTGATCTCCGCCCACTGCAACCACCGCCTCCCAGGATCAAGTGATTCTCCCACCTCAGCCTCCCGAGTAGCTGGGATTACAGGCACCCGCCGTCATGCCCTGCTACTTTTTGTAGTTTTTCGTAGAGACGGGGTTTCACCATGTTGGCTAGGCTGGTCTTGAACTCCTGACGTCAGGTGATCCGCTCGCCTCGGCCTTCTGAAGTGCTGGGATTACAAGCATGAGCCGTCGTGCCCGGCCGCTTGTTGTCGTTGTTGTTGTTGTTGTTTTTAAGTAAAATTGGAACTACTTTGAGTTTTGCCCCTTGTAGGAAGCTGTTTATCTTAGAATTCCTGCAACTCCATTAAAATACATCTAAAGTCAAAATAATAAAAATTGGGTACCTTTAAAGGGAAAGACACTTACATTTTGTTAACAGTTGCTTTTTTTTTTTTTTTTTGAGACGGAGTTTTGCTTTTGTCGCCCAGGCTGGAGTGCAGTGGCGCGATCTTGGCTCACCACAACCTCTGCCTCCCAGGTTCAAGCGATTCTCCTGCCTCAGCTTCCCGAGTAGCTGGGATTACAGGCATGTGCCACCACGCCCAGCTAATTTTGTATTTCTAGTAGAGACGGGGTTTCTCCATGTTGGTCAGGCTGGTCTCCAACTCCCGACCTTAGGTAATCCGCCCGCCTTGGCCTCCCAAAGTGCTGGGATTACAGGCATGAGCCACCGTGCCCTGCCAATAGTTGCTTTTTAAAATACTGACTGCCAGGCCGGGTGCAGTGGCTGACGTCTGTAATTCCAGCACTTTGGGAGGCCAAGGTGGGTGCATCACCTGAAGTCAGGAGTTCGAGATCAACCTGGCCAACATGGCGAAACCCTGTCTCTACTAAAAATAAAAAAATTAGCCGGGCATGGTGGTGGTCGCCTGTAGTCCCAGCTACTCAGGAGGCCGAGGCATGAGAATCGCTTGAACCTGGGAGGTGAAGGTTGCAATGAGCCAAGATCGTGCCCCTGCACTCCAGCTTGGGTGACAGAATGAGACTCCGTCTCAGAAGGAAAAAAAAAATGTGTGTGTATATATATATTTACTGCCCAGTAAATATATATTTATTTACTGCCCAGTCTGGGCAATATGATGAAATCCTGTCTCTATAAAAAAAATAAGTACAAAAATTAGCCTGGCCAGGTGGCGCACTCCTGTGATCCCACCTACTGGGGAGGCTGAGGTGGGAGGATCACCTGAGCCCAGGAAGTCGAGGCTGTAGTGAGCCGTGATTGAGCCACTGCACTCCGACCTGGGTGACAAGAGTGAGACCCTGT
Source organism: Homo sapiens (assembly GCF_000001405.40). Classification (NCBI taxonomy): domain Eukaryota; kingdom Metazoa; phylum Chordata; class Mammalia; order Primates; family Hominidae; genus Homo; species Homo sapiens. The sequence continues at coordinate 46,095,636 of NC_000018.10, read as the reverse complement.
CCCAAAAAAGAAAAAAAAATAAGCCGGGTGCGGTGCTCACGCCTATAGTTCTAGCACTTTGGGAGGCCAAGGCGGGTGGATCACTTGAGGTCAGGAGTTCGAGACCAGCCTGGCCAGCATGGTGAAACCCCGTCTCTACTAAAAATATAAAAAATTAACCTGGTGGAGGTGGCGCACCCCTGTAGTCCCAGCTACTCGGGAGGCTGAGAATCGCTTGAGACTAGGAGGTGGAGGATGCAGTGAGCCGTCTCAAAAAAACAATAATAATAAAGTACAGACTGCATTTTAAAAATATGCGAGTGTTTACTGTGTACTAGGAGCTGTATAAAAGGTTTTCACATATATCAAAAGCTACTTTCCCATTTGACATTTTAAACAAAATGCTTTATATGTAATTAGCATTTTCACCAGTACTTTGATCACACTAAGCTGGCATTTGTTTAAGCTTGTAAGTTTTATAAAGGCTTTGTTAAAAATCAAATTTTTAAGAATACTTTTGCACTAGGTCTCCAGAAATGCTTTGGGTTCATCTTTCATTGCTGCAAGGAACTTCCATGCCTCTAACACTCATCTTCAAAAGACTGGTAAGTTATTATTTCTCAGTCTACGCCGCACTTACTAGATGAAGATATAAATTACATACATCGTATAACTGTGGTGAGTTGTTTTTCATTTGTTAGTTTTTTCTCTAGTTTGTATAGACTCTCAGGTTCTTAAACCATATTGTTACCATTTAGCCCTGTCATGGTTCTCTTGTTATAGTCAAATGAACTACTGTTACATATTTTTCTTTTGATATTAGTATGGCTTCTTTGTTCTGGTAATGGCCCTTGGGTAGAAACAGAAAGAACATACACTAGGTAATGGAATCTTTGTGACCTCTGGAAGACTTCCTTTTTCCTTTTCTAAAAGGCATTAGAAAAAATGTAAGTTCTTATTGATAGGTTTTCTTATTCGTTTTCTTTTTTTTTGAGACAGAATCTTGCTCTGTCGCCAGGCTGGAGTGCAGTGGCAAGATCTCGGCTCACTGCAACCTCTGTCTCCTGAGTTCAAGCAATTCTACTGCCTCAGTCTCCTGACTAGCTGGGATTACAGGCATGCACCACCATGCCCGGCTAATTTTTTGTATTTTAGTAGAGACAAGGTTTCACCATGTTGGCCAGGATGGTCTCGATCTCCTGACCTTGTGATATGCCTGCCTCGGCCTCCCAAAGTGCTGGGATTAAAGGCGTGAGCCACTGCACCGGTCCACTGATAGGTTTTATTTTTTCAAAGGCAGTAGCTACTAGATATTTGGCAATCTGTGAACTTGCACATTACAGATGCAGTAGAGAAGTGGGGAGGCAAGCATAGGAAGACACTATAAGTTGGGGAATTTCTTTGGAGATGAGTATTTGGACTTTTAAAATAAAGGTTAAATATATATGTGTGTGAGAGTGTGTGTGTATATGTGTGTGTGTGTGTGTGTGTGTATGTGTACACACACCCCCACGTTCAGCATATATGTTTTTCTTTTTTCTTTTTTTTTTGAGATGGAGTTTTGCTCTTGTTGCCCAGGCTGGAGTGCAGTGGCATGATCTGGGCTCACTGCAGCCTCTGCCTCACGGGTTCAAGTGATTCTCCTGCCTCAGCCTCCCGAGTAGGTGGGATTACAGGTGCCCACCACCACACCCAGCTAATTTTTGTATTTTTTGTAGAGACAAGGTTTCACCATGTTAGCCAGGCTGGTCTCGAACTCCTGACCTCAGGTGATCCACCTGCCTTGGCCTCCCAAAGTGGTGGGATTACAGACATGAGGCACTGTGCGTGGCCTCCTTTTTTTTGAGACTCTGTTGCCCAAGCTGGAGTGCAGTTGCGCCATCTCAGCTCACTGCAACCTCCACCTCCCAGGTTCAAGTGATTCTCCTGAGTCAGCTTCCCTAGTGGCTAGGATTACAGGCACGCACCACCACACCTGGCTAATTTTTGTATTTTTAGTAGAGATAGAGTTTCGCCATGTTGGCCTGGCTGATCTCAAAGCCCTGACCCCAGGGGATCCGTCTACCTTGGCCTCCCAAAGTGCTGGGATGTTTTTTTATTTTGTTTTGTTTTGTTTTTTGAGACAGAGTTTCGCTCTGTTGCCCAAGCTGGGGTGCAGTAGCGTAGTCTTGGCTCACTGGACCCTCCACCTCCTGGGTTTGAGTGATTCTCTCCTGCCTCAGCCTCCCGAGTAGCTGGTATTACAAGCATGCACCACCACAGCTGGCTAATTTTTTTTTTTTTTTTCCTTAGTAGAGATGGGATTTTGCTGTGTTGGCCAGGCTGGTCCAAACTCTTGGCCTCAAGTGGTCCGCCCGCCTCCCAAAGTGCTGGTATTACTGGCGTGAGCCACTGCACCCAACCCCTGTATGCTAAGATGAAGAATACCACCTATACTACCCTGTGTGCCTTGAAAGAGAAAGACACACTTTGTTAACAGTTGATTTTTATTTTTTATTTTTTATTTTTTTGAGATAGAGTCTTGCTCTGTCTCCAGGCTGGAGTGCAGTGGGGCTATCTCAGCTCACTGCAACCTCCTTCTCCCAGGTTCAAGTGATTCTCGTGCCTCAGCCACCCAAGTAGCTGGGATTACAGGCATGCACCACCATGCCCGGCAAACTTTTGTGTTTTTAGTAGAGATGGGGGTTTCACCATGTTGCCCAGGCTGGTCTCGAACTCCTGGCCTCAAGTGATCCACCCCCTTTGGCATCCCAAAGTGCTGGTTTTACAGGCATGATCTACCGTGCCTGGCCAACAGTTGGTTTTTAAAATATGTTTTTATTGAATTTAGCCAAAAATTCAGGTTTTAACATAGTTACAGATTTCTTAGAAATTAAAGGAGAACATTTATTTTAAGGGTTTTACTTAATTTGATTAGCTTCTTGTCTGGTTTACATTTGTTTTGTGTGGACTTTTTTTTCCTTAATCACTTGGTTTTATTTTCATAGCTTTTAAAAATAGAATCTCGTGTTACAGTGTAGAATATATATATATATATATAATTTTTGTGTGTGTGATAGTCTCACTTTGTCACCTATGCTGGAGTGCAGTGACACAATCTTGGCTTACTGTGACTTCCACCTCCCAGGTTCAAGCAGTTCTTCTGTCTCAGCCTCCTGAGTAGCTGGGACTACAGGCATGCCCGTGCCCAGCTAATTTTTTTTTTATTTTTAGTGGAGACGGGGTTTCACAATGTTGGCCAGGCTGGTCTCGAACTCCTTACCTCAAGTGATCTGCCTGCCTCAGCCTCCTAAAGTGCTAGCATTACCACTGTGGCTAGCGTGAGCCACTGTGCTGGGTCTGTAGAATATATTTGGATTATTATGATCACAAAACTAGTTTTTTGTTGTTGAGAAATGGGCTTTGAAAAGATCCGAGGACCAGATTTTTATTATTATTATTATTATTATTATTATTATTATTATTATTATTATTATTTTGAGATGGAGTTTTTGCCCTTGTTACCCAGGCTTGAGTGCAATGGTGTGATTTCAGCTCACCGCAACCTCCGCCTCCTGGGTTCAAGCGATTCTTCTGCCTCAGCCTCCGCCTCCCGAGTAGCTGGGATTACAGGCATGTGCCACCATGCCCAGCTAATTTTGTATTTTTAGTAGAGACAGGGTTCTCCATGTTGGTCAGGCTGGTCTCAAACTCCTGCCCTTAGGTGATCTGCCTGCCTCAGCCTCCAAAAGTGCTGGGATTACAGCTGTGAGCCACTGTGCCTGGCCCAGATTATTTTTTTAATTGAATTGAATTGTCTTCCATAGGGACTGCTGAGATGTCCTCTATTCTTGAAGAGCGTATTCTTGGAGCTGATACCTCTGTTGATCTTGAAGAAACTGGGCGTGTCTTAAGTATTGGTGATGGTATTGCCCGCGTACATGGGCTGAGGAATGTTCAAGCAGAAGAAATGGTAGAGTTTTCTTCAGGCTTAAAGGTAAATTATAAAATAAGATTTTGGTGTTTTAGGATCTAAGTCTTCTCAGTTATTCATTTAGCGATTCAAAGATTGTATCAGATTTTTAAAAAACTTTGTCTTAATTTGCCTCAGATTTTTTTCTTGTTATTATCATAGATTGTAAAGAGAATAAACTTAAGGGTTTGAATTAGCCAAGTTTTTTTACTCTAGGGACTGATTTATACATAACTTGTAGCCACTGGCTCCAAAATATAAAATTGAATAAACTTTCACCCCAAATCCAAGAAGTTTAAGTCTGTTCTGTCTTGCTGTTAAGATTATTTTATACAAAAGCAAAGCATTTGATAACTTCAACAAAATTTTTCTGGTGGAAATTGGAAGTCCGTGACTTTGTATTTCTAGTGAGTAGACATATTGTTCAAAGGCGAGTTTTGGTGTAGCTATCAGAAGCTCTCTAATGTAAGTCTACTTTGTATTGGGTTGAGCCTCATCTGTCAGGGTATGAGAAATAAGTTGTAGGAGTTAGGGAAAGCAGAGGATGACATCTGGATAAACTAGAGAGAGTGGAACTGTCTAGTAGGCATGCAGATATGGGAAAAGATAGTCTTGATACTCTTGGTAATGTCTACTACGGAAAAAGAGCCACTTGATGTGGAAGAATAATTACAGAGCCCAAAGTTATCATTAGCTGTAAGACATTGGCCAATTTAGCATCTTCAGTGTACAGTATTTATCTTTGAAAGGTGAGGTCGAAACAGATTAATTCTGAGTTCCCCTTTTAGCTTTTGAAATCCAAGTGTCTAGAACAGTACTGTCCAGTAGTATTGGAAATATGTAGTATTCTGCAGTGATGAGAATACATCTGTGCTGTTTAATATGGTACCTACTATACTATCACTATTAATCATGTAAAATGTGGCTAGTGTGACAGGAACTGAATTTTTAATCTTTTAAATTTGACAAATTTAAATAGCCACATGTGGTTAGTGGATGCTGTATTGAACATCAGAGATGTAGGTTAAAGTTTTTGGATGTGTAATGATATTCCATGATACTCCAAGTACTTCTCCAGAGTTTTCATTATTGACCAGACTATTCCTGGAATAGCCTTTTTGCTTCAGACATGATTTAAAGATCTAAAATATAGTTTTAATGATGAGAGATGATTTGGTGCTGTTATGTTATGAAAATTTGTATTTGATTGGTTACAGTTAGGTAGCTTTTAATTTCACTTTCTACTAACTCGAAGAGTACAGGTTTTGATTAATTTTTGAAACTGTTTATGGAGCTTCTCACACATAAATAAGATGATAATCAAATTTGTCTTAAGATTTCCATTTGGCCTTCATCACTTTATTTCATACTGATCACCCAGCCCAAGAATCATTGCCAAAGAAAATACAGTGGAAAAAAGCTTATTAACCTGTCCAATTTCTTTGCTTCTGTAATAGTTATTTGAGGATATGATAGTGAGCATATTAGGCTTATCAATGTGCTGTCCTAAGATTATTCAAAATAGCAATTTTAAAAGTCTTAATCAGAGAGGGTTGTTTGTTAGTTGGAAAAGTACTCAAGAATAAACCAGGTGAAAAGGACAATACTGCTTCCCCCCCCACCCCCCGACTATTTTCTTATGTAGTATTGGTGTATGGGGAGGAGTGCCCATTCAGCTTCATTGATGTTCAATTGTGTCTTTTGTGCAGGGTATGTCCTTGAACTTGGAACCTGACAATGTTGGTGTTGTCGTGTTTGGAAATGATAAACTAATTAAGGAAGGAGATATAGTGAAGAGGACAGGAGCCATTGTGGACGTTCCAGTTGGTGAGGAGCTGTTGGGTCGTGTAGTTGATGCCCTTGGTAATGCTATTGATGGAAAGGTAGGTTTAATGTTCGTTAGATATAGTTGCAGCTTCTAACAAACATCAAAACTGATTATGCTTAGGGTTTTTCTTTTTATTTTTTAACAGGGTCCAATTGGTTCCAAGACGCGTAGGCGAGTTGGTCTGAAAGCCCCCGGTATCATTCCTCGAATTTCAGTGCGGGAACCAATGCAGACTGGCATTAAGGCTGTGGATAGCTTGGTGCCAATTGGTCGTGGTCAGCGTGAACTGATTATTGGTGACCGACAGACTGGGTAAAGACTCAAAAGCATATTAAAAGTTCTAACTAAAATTTGCTCAATGGAAGGATTATATTTTAGTCTTGGAATGGTAAATGGTAATGGGGACATTAGAATCTAATACGAGGATTAATAGTAAAATTTCAGCTGGGAAGTGAAGGGGGCCAGCCCCTCCACACCTGTGGGTATTTCTCATCAGGTGGGACGAGCTAGCTCAGTCGGTAGAGCATGGGACTCTTAATCCCAGGGTCGTGGGTTTGAGCCCCATGTTGGGCACCAGATGAAGGGGGCCAGCCCCTCCACACCTGTGAGTATTTCTCGTCAGGTGGGTTGAGAGACTGAGAAAATAAATAAGACACAGATACAAAGTATAGAGAAAGAACAGTGGGCCCAGGGGAACGGCGCTCAGCATATGGAGGACCCATGCCGCCACTGGTCTCTGAGTTCCCTCAGTATTTATTGATCACTATCTCTACTATCTCGGTGTGGGGGATGTGGCAGGACTGTAGGGTTAATGGTGGGGAGAGGGTCAGCAGGAAAACGTGAGCAAAGGTCTCTGTGTCATAAATAAGTTTAAGGAAAGGTGCTGTGCCTTGATGTGCATGTAGGCCAGATTTATGTTTGACTTTACACAAACATCTCAGTGCAGTAAAGAGCAGTATTGCTGCCAGCATATCTCACCTCCAGCCATAGGGTGGTTTTCTCCTATCTCAGTAAATAGAATGTACGATTGGGTTTTACACCAAGACATTCCATTCCCCGGGACAAGCAGGAGACAGATGCCTTCATCTTATCTCAACTGCAAAGAGGCTTTCCTCTTTCACTAATCCTCCTCAGCACAGACCCTTTACGAGTATCGGGCTGGGGGATGGTCAGGTCTTTCCCTTCCCACGAGGCCATATCTCAGGCTGTCTCAGTGGGGAGAAACCTTGCACAATACCCAGGCTTTATTGGGCAGAGGGCCCTGCAGCCTTCCACAGTGCATTGTGTCCCTGGGTACTCGAGACTGGAGAATGGCGATGACTTTTACGAAGTATACTGCCTGCAAACACATTTTTACCAAAGCACATCCTGCACAGCCCTAAATCCGTTAAACCTTAAGTCAACACAGCACATGTTTCTGCGAGCACAGGGTTGGGGCTATGGTTACAGACTAACAGCATCTCAAGGCAGAAGAATTTTTCTTAGTACAGAACAAAATGGAGTTTCTTATGTCTTCTTCTTTCTGCATAGACACAGTAACAGTCTGATCTCTCTTTCTTTCCCCCACAGGGAAGTCCTTTTAAGTTTAGGAAGATTTATATTTACTTTCTCTTTTTAAAGGAAAACCTCAATTGCTATTGACACAATCATTAACCAGAAACGTTTCAATGATGGATCTGATGAAAAGAAGAAGCTGTACTGTATTTATGTTGCTATTGGTCAAAAGAGATCCACTGTTGCCCAGTTGGTGAAGAGACTTACAGATGCAGGTATTAAAAGAAATTTAGTCCCATTGCTATTATCTTAAGTCCCATTGCTGCTGATTGTAGAATAGCTTCTACTTAATGAAGGCATATTTTAATTACTTCCTAATGGGCTGAACTTTTTAATACAAATCAGTAGGTAAGACAATGTAAAACAGTAGTACATTTAAAGGTTTTGTTGGTTTCTTTAAAGTGGAAGCTGTTTGATTCTGATTAACTCTTTTTTTGTTGTTTGAGACGGAGTTTCACTCTTGTTGCCCAGGCTGGAGTGCGATGGCACGATCTCAGCTCACTGCAACCTCTGCCTCCTGGGTTCAAGCGATTCTCCTGTCTCAGCCTCCCGAGTAGCTGGGATTACAGGTGCATGCCACCACGTCCGGCTAATTTTTGTATTTTTAGTAGAGACGGAGTTTCCTCATATTGGTCAGGCTGGTCTCGAACTCCTGACCTCAGGTGATCACCCGCCTAGGGCCTCCCAAAGTGCTGGGATTACAGGCATGAGCCACTGCGCCTGGCCTGATTAACTCTTAATGGTAAATATTTTTAGCACTTAGGTAATTTTTATAGTAGCCTCCAATTTAAAACCACAATATTGATAAAATTGTAAAATATATTTTCTCAGATGCCATGAAGTACACCATTGTGGTGTCGGCTACGGCCTCGGATGCTGCCCCACTTCAGTACCTGGCTCCTTACTCTGGCTGTTCCATGGGAGAGTATTTTAGAGACAATGGCAAACATGCTTTGATCATCTATGACGACTTATCCAAACAGGTCAAAGGAAATAAATTTTTAGAATCCATTTATTTGTACTGAAGTAAAAGTTCACATATGCAACTTCTATTTAATAGGTTAACTTCACAAACCTATTCTGTACCATAGGCTGTTGCTTACCGTCAGATGTCTCTGTTGCTCCGCCGACCCCCTGGTCGTGAGGCCTATCCTGGTGATGTGTTCTACCTACACTCCCGGTTGCTGGAGAGAGCAGCCAAAATGAACGATGCTTTTGGTGGTGGCTCCTTGACTGCTTTGCCAGTCATAGAAACACAGGCTGGTGATGTGTCTGCTTACATTCCAACAAATGTCATTTCCATCACTGACGGACAGGTATTATTTTAATGATTAAAAGAAATGTTAAAAAAGATTTGGATAATTCTAAGGCATTGGTTGAGACTAATGGTATATTGACTGATTTGCTAAATGCATTTTACTTTTTATTATGGAAAATTTCAAATACATAGAAAAGTTAGGAGAATGGCATAGTGAAACCCCATGTATCTGTCACCCAGTTATTGCATAGAGTAGCATGTTTCGTTCTAGTTTCATTTTTAACCACTACTGTTCTCCCTTCTAGATAATTTTGAATCAAATAGAAATTATATCACTTCATTTGTATGTATTTCAGTATAAATATGTTGCCTATTATGTTTTTTTCTCATCTCATGCACATCTCCTAATTGCAGCAATAAAATATACAGGTCAGGTCGTGAAAGATTTGGGGTACTGATGCTTTGCATTGTTAGGTTTTGAGTTTCAGCTTTTTGGCATAATGACTTAAATTTGAAGATAGTTGATTTCTTACTTTAAGCTTGCTAGCGTGCGTATTTCCTTACATTATAGATCTTCTTGGAAACAGAATTGTTCTACAAAGGTATCCGCCCTGCAATTAACGTTGGTCTGTCTGTATCTCGTGTCGGATCCGCTGCCCAAACCAGGGCTATGAAGCAGGTAATTTTGCATCACTTTGGCAGTAAGGGGGCTATCATTAGATTAGCATCTTAAGGTATTAATATATTAACTATATTTGTATAGTGCTCTGTGTCACTGAGTTACAGTACAGTAATTTCTGTATTGCAGGTAGCAGGTACCATGAAGCTGGAATTGGCTCAGTATCGTGAGGTTGCTGCTTTTGCCCAGTTCGGTTCTGACCTCGATGCTGCCACTCAACAACTTTTGAGTCGTGGCGTGCGTCTAACTGAGTTGCTGAAGCAAGGACAGTATTGTAAGTTGTTCTTTTCTTCATTTGGTCAGGTTCCTATTGTGTATCAGGGTCTTCCCAGGCCTACAGAGCTGCATCACATATCACGGCCTGTACTACGTGTTGTTATCTGTTATCTTTCATCAAAGGCACTTTTACTTAAACTACATTTGTTTTTTGATTTTTGATTTTTTTTTTTTTTTGAGACGAAGTTTCATTCTTACGGCCTAGGCTGAAGTGCAATGGCGCAACCTTGGCTCATTGCAACCTCCACCTCCTGGATTCACGCGATTCTCCTGCCTCAGCCTCCTTAGTAGCTCGGATTACAGGTGTGAGCCACCACGCCCGACTAATTTTTGTATTTTTAGTAGAGACAGGGTTTCACCATGTTGGCCAGGCTGGTCTCGAACTCCTGACCTCAGGTAATCCACCCTGCCTCAGCCTCCCAAAGTGCTGGGATTACAGGTGTGAGCCCCCATGCCCGGCCCTGTATTCTGTTTTTTAAAGAGAGACAGTGTCTTGCAGTGTCACCCAGGCTGGAGTGCAGTGGTGCCATCATAGCTCACTGCAGGCTTGAACTCCTGGGCTCAAGCAGTCCTGCAGCCTTAGCTTCCTGAGTAGCTAAGACTACGGGCATGCACTACCATGCCTGGCTAATTTTTTTGTATTTTGTAGAGACAGGGTCTCACTATGTTGCCCAGGCTGGTCTTGAACTCCTGGCCTTATGCCATCTTCCCACCTCTCAAAGTGCTGGCATTATAGGCGTGAGCCACCATGCCCGGCCTCAAACTATCTTTCTTTTTCTTTCTTTCTTTTTTTTTTTTTTTTTTAATACAGAGTCTCCTTCTGTCACCCAGGCTGGAGTATATTTTTAGTAGAAATGGTAAAACCTCTACCATTTTGGCCAGGCTGATCTTGAACCCCTGACCTTAAGTGGTCCACCCGCCTCAGAGTCCTAAAGTGCTGGGATTACAGGTGTGAGTTACCATGCCCGGCCCAAACTACATTTCTTATTATCATTTGAGTGTAAATGATAGGGGCTTCACAACCAGGAAAACTTAAGTATATTTAATGTCTTCCTTTCAGGAATTAAGGCCTGTTAGAGTCCCCTCCCCCACTTGGCTATATGAATATGTAATTTGGCAGATTTAAAAGAAAGTTAATACGTTTTTATTTTGTCAAGTCATTTCAGCAAAATATTTATACTCAAAACAGTATTAACACTGTCAGATTATAAACAGTGCTTATGGACTATACTGAAAGATTATGCCTCAAGCCTTGAAAATATAAGAAATAACTGTTTTCTGTCAGGGGTGGGAGGAAGGATTATTAAGTGGAGTTCTAGGTCATTGATATTGTGAAGAATAGATAATTTACAGGGACATGTTAGGAATTGGAGAAAAAGTAAGTTTTCCTGACCTTGGTAACATGGCATTCATTTCTTTGAGCAACTCACTTGGCATTCTTCTTGTATCTTTTCAGCTCCCATGGCTATTGAAGAACAAGTGGCTGTTATCTATGCGGGTGTAAGGGGATATCTTGATAAACTGGAGCCCAGCAAGATTACAAAGTTTGAGAATGCTTTCTTGTCTCATGTCGTCAGCCAGCACCAAGCCTTGTTGGGCACTATCAGGTATGAATGCAATTGTTGGCATCTTTTTTTAAAGTTATGTTTAAGATATGAAGTTAAAATTATTTTCAAATCTGTAGTTAGGCTAGTCATTAAAACTTTTTCCAGGTCAGAACTTACGACCTGCTTTTATTTCCAAATAGGGCTGATGGAAAGATCTCAGAACAATCAGATGCAAAGCTGAAAGAGATTGTAACAAATTTCTTGGCTGGATTTGAAGCTTAAACTCCTGTGGATTCACATCAAATACCAGTTCAGTTTTGTCATTGTTCTAGTAAATTAGTTCCATTTGTAAAAGGGTTACTCTCATACTCCTTATGTACAGAAATCACATGAAAAATAAAGGTTCCATAATGCATAGTTGTTTTCTGTCATTTGTGTTATTCTTTAAAACCAAGATCAAATTGAGAAATTGGTAAGCAAATGCTTCTTGATCTATTTTACTTGAATATTGGTACAGTCAACTGGGCTAGATAATTCAAGGCTGAGCTCTTTGTAAGTTTTTTTTTTGTTTTTTTTTTTGAGACTGATTCTCACTCTGTCACTGAGGCTGGAGTGCAGTGGCACCCTGTCGGCCCACTGCAACCTCCGTCTCCGGGTTCAAGCAATTCTCTTGCCTCAGCCTCCCACGTAGCTGGGATTACAGGTGCCCACCACCACGCCTGGCTAGTTTTTTAGTATTTTTAGTAGAGACGGGGTTTCACCATGTTGGCCAGGCCGGTCACGAACTCCTGACCTCAGGTGATCCACCTGCCTTGGCCTACCTACCACAGTGCTGGGATTACAGGTGTGAGCCACCGCACCCGGCTGCTCTTTGTAAGTTTCTAGAGTACTTTGTGTTTAAGAGAAATTCCTAAACTGGATATATGTGGCAGGCTGACAATACTGAAGAGCATAGCTGGCTTCTCTGCCCAGAGGATGTACCTGCATAAAGAGGTACTGTAGGCAGGAAAATAATAGGACAGTTAAAATTCTCAGGGAAATGAAAAAATTGCTGGAACAAAAGCTGAGAAGATAGAATGCATAGGATTATGAAAACTTGTCAATATCTCTTTTGTTTGTTTTGTGACAGGGTCTCCATCTCTCTCACCCAGGCTGGAGTACAGTGGTGTGATCTCAGCTCACTGCAGCTTCTGCCACCTGGGTTCAATTGATTCTTCCACCTCAGCCTCCTGAGTAGCTGGGGTTACAGGCACATACCACCACGCCCAGCCAATTTTTCTACTTTTTGTAGAGGGAGGGTCTTGCCATGTTGTCCAGGCTGATGATGAACTCCTTGGCTCAAGTGATCCTCCTGCCTTGGTCTCCCAAAGTGCTGGGATTACAGGTGTGAACTACCATGCCCGGCCATCTTTTAATATTTTCACAGCTACTTTATTTCCTCTGTTACTAGCTTTTCATAGCCTTTGCTCATTCTTACTGCATTAAATTTTTTTTACTGATTTATTTATTTTTTTGAGACAGAGTCTTGCTCTGTCACCTAGGCTGGAGAGCAGTGGCGTAATCTCAGCTCACTGCACCTTTCACCTCCTGGGTTCAAGCGATTCTCCTGCCTTAGCCTCCCAATTAGCTGGGACCACAGGCCCATGCCACCACACCCGGCTAACATTTTGTATTTTTAGTAGAGACAAGGTTTCACCATGTTGGCCATGCTGCTCTTGAGCTCCTGACCTCGTGGTCTGCCCGCCTCAGCTTCCCAAAGTGCTGGGATTACAGGTGTGAGCCACCACGCCCAGCCTACTGATTTATTTATTTACTTTTAATTTTTCATAGCCTTTGCTCATTCTTAATGTGTTACCTTTTTTTTTACTTAGTTATTTATTTATTTGAGATGGAGTCTCCGTCGTCCAGGCTGGAGTGCAGTGACCTGATCTTGGCTCACTGCAACCTCTGCCTCCAGGTTCAAGCAATTCTCCTGCCTCAGCCTCCCGAGAAGCTGGAACTACAGGCACCCACCACCATGCCCTGCTAATTTTTGTATTTTTAGTAGAGGCGGGGTTTCACCATATTGGCCAGGCTGGTCTCGAACTCCTGACCTTGTGATCTGCCTGCCTTGGCCTCCCACAGTGCTGGGATTACAGGTGTGAGCCACCACACCTGGCCTTTTTTTTTTTTTTTTGAGACGGAGTCTCACTGTCTCCCAGGCTGGAGTGCAGTGGTGCGATGTCGGCTCACTGCAAGCTCTGCCCCCTGGGTTTGCGCCGTTCTCCTGCCTCAGCCTCCCGATTAGCTGGTACTACAGGCGCCTGCCATCACGCCCAGCTAATTTTTTTTTTTTTGTATTTTTAGTAGAGACGGGGTTTCACCATGTTCGCCAGGATGGTCTCGATCTCCTGACCTCATGATCCACTTACCTCGGCCTCCCAAAGTGCTGGGATTACAGGCTTGAGCCACCGCGCCCGGCCTCTTTTTTTTTTTTTTTTTTTTACTGATATATAAAGGCTTTTGTCTGTAAGGGTCATACATGGTCATGTTCTAAAATATTTTTCCTAGGGTTCCCCCTTCCTTGCCATTTTATTTTGTTGATGGGGATTTGCTGTACCGAAACTTCATTCTTATCCATCTCTCTGTCTCCAGTAAGTCAAAATATATTTACATATGTGGGCTCCAATATCTTTGGTAGGAAAAGGAGAGTTCTTAAAGTACTCATAAGTCCTTTTCAGTACTTAGAGGAACACTAAACTTGATAGCAGTTGGTCATTTCTGATCAACTCTTGCTTTCTAGCTACTTGAGAAATAACTTCTAGATCTGATTTTCCTTTTCTGAAATAAGGAAGTTACTTTTAGTTAGAAGGTTCTGCACATTTCGTTTTTTTTTTTTTTTTTTTTTTTTGTTTTTTTTTTTTGAGAGTTTTGCTCTTGTTGCCCAGGCTGGAGTGCAATGGCACGATCTCGGCTCACCACAACCACCGCCTCCTGGGGTCAAGCAATTCTCCTGCCTCAGGCTCCTGAGTAGCTGGGATTACAGGCATGCACCACCACGCCTGGCTAATTTTGTATTTTTAGTAGAGATGGGGTTTCTCCATGTTGGTCAGGCTGGTCTCAAACTCCTGACCTTAGGTGGTCCACCGGCCTCCCAAAGTACTGGGATTACAGGGGTGAGCCACTGCGCCCGGCTTGTTGGAGCATTTTATACCTAGTGTCAGTGGTGATTACTACTTTGGAGAAAAATACTTTGGCTAATGGATTGGAATTAATTTATTACTGGGAGTATGTATTGTTTGTTTGTTGACTGGATCTCGTAGCCCACTCCTGGCACGTAAATGCTCAATAAACTTCTCAAATGAAGACAACCATGTTTGTCCATTATAAATCAAATTCCAAATGTTAACTACTGGTCTGGTCTGATGAGATTTTTTTTTTTTTTTTTTTTTTTGAGACGGAGTTTTGTTTTTGTTGCCCAGGCTGGAGTGCAATGGCGCGATCTCGGCTCACTGCAACCTCCACCTCCTGGGTTCAAGTGATTCTCCTACCTCAGCCTCCTGAGTAGCTGTGATTATAGGTGTGCACCACCATGCCTGGCTAATTTTTGTATTTTTAGTAGAGACGGGGTTTCACCATGTTGGCCAGGCTGGTTTCGAACTCCTGACCTTAGATGATCCACGTGCCTCGACCTCCTAAAGTGCTGGGATTACAGGCGTGAGCCACTGTGCCTGGCCCACGCCAGGCACAGTGATATTTAAAAATGTGATTTTTAAATATCACATTTAAAAATATGTGATATTTTTAAAGAATATGATAGCCCAGGCGCAGTGGCTTACGCCTGTAATCTCAGCACTTTGGGACGATCACTTGAGCCCAGGAGTTTGAAACAGGCTGCAGTCAGCTATGATCACGCCACTGCACTCCAGCCTAGGTGACAGAGACCCTGACTCTTAAAAAAAGTTGTGCTAGAAGACTTCAAGATCTCCCCTAAAACTGTATAGTCCTTTCCCTGGTGTTTTTGCTGAGCTATAGAGTCCAGCCCTTTCTGTTACAGCAATGAACCATGAGATTCAAATACTGCTTTTTACTAAGTACTTACAGACTAATGACATAGGAGACCTCATAGGCACCTGGCTGTTTTTAACCAGGCAGGCCTAAATACACTGCCCAAGTGGCCCTTCTGTGTGGCAACAAAATGGCTGTCATAAAATTGTGTCTGTGTGCATTTATCTTATCACTGGGGGTGGTGAACATTTGAGAAGGCACTTGACCTTTGAAATGTGAAGTTTTATGGATTTCAGACTTGTATTTTAAAAACTATTTGTTAACTGTAAGGTCTTGTCTTTTTTGCTCTCCTGAAAGTTCTTAGCGTCTCAGCTCTATAATCTATGATTGCAAGAATATTAAGATAAGCATATCTGAAGTAGTACTTAGTTCAGCTATTAATTGAGCATTACCTATGAGATGAACACTAAAAAGGATTCAAAGATGAGTAAGACACAAAAGGACTCCATCAATAACTTACCTAACCTAGGAGTAAGGAGGAGGAGGGAGAACAAAAGACCAATTCATCATGTCTTGTAAATACTGTATAATTACTACATAGAAATACAAATAAGATGGAGTAACTAACCACTACAAAGTGTCATTTGGATTAAAAGATCTATGTTTAATGGTAGAACTAGGAAAGAATTTATGGGGGAGTTGGCCTTTGGCAAGAGTTATAAGGCTGCCGGACTTTTGACTTACTTCATGGGATGGATGTGACAAACCAAATATTGGTCATAAACCATTTTAGCAATTTAGGACAGTTGCTACCCAAACACTCACTCATCATTTGGATTATTTTAGCCCTTCCATGATGATCCATAGATTGCAGAGCTTTTAATAATGGAAGCTTTAAGGACTCAGGGAAGACCAGGTGGCCATCTAGGCTCTCCATGAGTCCCTGCTTAACACTGGATTTATATTCTTTTTTTAAAAATTTAAAAATATTTTGTACAGCTAGGGTCTCACTCTGTTGCCCTGCCTGGCCTTCAGTGATCCTCCCACCTTGACCTCCCAAAGCACTAGAATTACAGGCATGAGACATCATACCTGGCCTGTATCCTCCTAACTACCAATTTTGTTTCTCTAATTCAGGTGCATAGCACTATTTATTAAATTGGCTTTCACAGGTAATATGACTTGGACCATAAGTGTTCATTCAAATTGCATATATAAACAATTTCAGTTCTGGCTAATTCGGCATGAAAATATGGCAAATTATTTTCTTGATATTCAATTAGTTTTTATCCTGTTTATATTACCAGTTTCATAAACCAGGCAGTCTCTTCATTAGAGTTCTGAGACTTCTTATCCAGTCCAAATAATATGATCCTAAAGTTACTGGAAGCCTGTATTCAAGAGTGCTTGTCAGGGTCCATTCCATCCTTCTCATGAATCTCCTTGTTGTTTTTTTTTTTGTTGTTTATTTTGTTTTTTTTATTATGCTTTAAGTTTTAGGGTACATGTGCACAATGTGCAGGTTAGTTACATATGTATACATGTGCCCTGCTGGTGCGCTGCACCCACTAACTCATCATCTAGCATTAGGTATATTTCCCAATGCTATCCCTCCCCCCTCCCCCCATTCATGAATCTCTTTGAAGACACACTTCAGGATTTTGCTTGCTTGCAAAGAGCTTTTAGAAAATGTGTTGGATCTAAGCACTTAACTGTGGAAATGACTTGAGATGGTCATGGTTAAAGACACAGTTGACAAATTTGGTTATTTCCGTGCCTATAATAATTTAATATAATTACCATAATTACATGATAACATACCAAGACATACCAGAATTTTAGGAATCTAAAATAATTTTGGAATATGTATAACAACACATCCATAAAAATGTAACTCAAGGAGACCACCTGGCCAACATGGCGAAACCCTGTCTCTTCTAAACATACAAAAATTAGCCGGGCGTGGTGGCATGCGCCTGTAGTCCTAGCTACTTGGGAGGCTGAGGCGGGAGAATTGCTTGAATCCAGGAGGCAGAGATTACAGTGAGCCAAGATCATGCCACTGCACTCCAGCCTGGGTGACAGAGTGAGACTCCGTCTCAGAAAAAAAAGAAAAATGTAACTCAAGGTCAAACATCATTCCTTATTTGTCAGTGCTTCTTATGTTGTTTGTTTATTTATTTTTTGAGATGGAGTTTCGCTTTTGTTGCCCAGGCTGGAGTGCAATGGCACGATCTCGGCTCACTGCAACCTCCAGCTCCCAGGTTCAAGCAGTTCTCCTCCCTCAGCCTCCCGAGTAGCTGGGATTACAGGCATGCGCCACCACACTCGGCTAATTTTGTGTTTTTGGTAGAGACTGAGTTTCCTCCTGTTTGTCAGGCTGGTCTCAAACTCCCGACCTCAGGTGATCTGCCCGCCTCGGCCTCCCAAAGTGCTGGGATTACAGGCGTAGGCCACTGTGCCCGGCCTGCCATGGAATTTCTAAGTGGCATGGCTAGTTCACTGTACCGGGGCATTCTGACAAGAGTATGGGTTCCTCCCCAAAGCAAAACCTAGACTCCAGCTAGCAGTGTTAATGCTGTGTGTGGGTGACCACTGATGGGCAGAGAGGAGACACAGCAGTGCCTCACAGATCTGAGTTGCATGGGAATCTCCATTCAGACCCAGGGTTGGGGTCTGGGTTAGGTAGGAACTCCTGCCACTTGTTGGTGACATGGCCCTAAATAGGGCTCTGAGATTAGGTTATAAAAATAATATGGCCTCTGTCTGAGTTTCTTTCTCAGATCCCTTGCTCTGGGGAAAGCAGGTTGCCATGTTGTGAGCAGCTTTATGACAAAGCCCATGCCACTATGACGTTTACCTCAGGCAAACAGCCAGCAAGCAGCTGGAGACAACCACAGGAGTTAGCTCAAAGCGGATTCTCCAGTTCCTGGTGGGGCTCAGGCCCACTGCAGCCCCACCGACAGCCTGTCTACCACTTCATGAGTTGCCCTGAGCCAGACTCACACAATTCTAAAATCCCTAGCCCTGAGAAACTGTGGGCAATAATAAATATTTCTTGTTTTAAGCTGCAATTTTTGAAGTAATGTATTTTGCAGCAATAGGTAATGAGTACAGGTTGGGTGGGATGATTTCTTACTTTTTGAAGTCAGCAAGTCCTTGTAACTACAAGATAGGTCTGACTGCTCCGAGGTTCTTCCAAGTCACATCTGTTTTGCACTGATCCTGGATGGGAAAGGGATTTTAAGCAAAACAAGCAATGGAAAAAATGACAGAGGACGTCAATACATAGGGTTGTATAAACATGAAAACGGGGCCCCCAAAAATCTAATTAAATACAAATTAATTCAGTTAAATCAATGTTTATTGAGCACCTATGATGTGCTAGGTAGCGTGCTAGGCTGTGAAATACAGAGCAAGACATGTTTGCAACAAAAATGGCAAATTGGTTAAAAAAAAAAAAGGAACAAGACTTTAGGCTGGTCCAGTGGTAGTGGATTATCAGAACTTACTAACATTAGTGTCACTAAAGTTGATGTACAGTCCCCTACTGCTAAATTTGACTGGCTTTAAAAAAGAAAACTAACAAAACTTCTAGAGATAAATGGGCAAAGGACAAGGACAATTCCCAAAAGATGGCATAGCCTGAAAAAACATGCGTATGAAAAACCTGATCAAGTAGTAATTAAAACTATGCAAATTTAAAGCATAATGAGAGCGTTTCCATGATCATATAACAAGGATTATGAATGATGTTATCCAATGTTTCTGAAAAGGCAGGGACACCGCTGTAGACTACTGAGAGTATAGACTGATACAACTTTTGTGGAAAACTATTTGGTAATATATTTCAAGACCCTTAAAAATATTCATATTCTTTAACCTGTAATTCCACTATGAGTAATTTTTTTTTTTTGAGATGAAGTCTCACTCCATTGCCCAGACTGAGTGCAGTGGCGTGATCTCAGCTCGTTGCAACCTCCGCCTCCCAGGTTCAAGTGATTCTCCTGCCTCAGCCTCCCAAGTAGCTAGGATTACAGGCGCCCACCACCACACCCAGCTAATTTTTGTATTTTTAGTAGAGGCAGGGTTTCACCACATTGGCCAGGCTGGTCTCGAACTTCTGATCTCAAATGATCCACCCACCTCAGCCTCCCAAAGTGCTGGGATTACAAGCATGAGCCACTGCACCCGGCCTCCACTATGAATAATTTTAACAATGATTTATTTAAAAGATATTTATCACAGTAATATTTCCAAAAGCATTAGGGAAATGCTAAGTACATATTGGTATATCCACTTGATGGGAAGTTATGCAAAAATTAAAAATGATATTGATGAGTTTTCTTTGGGTTTATAATAAACTCACAGAGTATAAATTCTAAGGTCCAGAAGGGCATGGGATGAAAAGTAGGGCTCTCTTCTGCTCTCTCCTATCTCTCAGGCCCCAGATCCCCACTTTAGAGGGGACCATTGAAAGTGTGTGTGTGGGCCGGGCCCGGTGGCTCATGCCTGTAATCCCAGCACTTTGGGAGGCCCAGGTGGGCGGATCACGAGGTCAGGAGATAGAGACCATCTTGGCTAACACAGTGAAACCCCGTCTCTACTAAAAATACAAAAAATTAGCTGGGCGTGGTGGCAGGCGCCTGTAGTCCCAGCTACTCGGGAGGCTGAGGCAGGAGAATGGCGTGAACCCGGGAGGCGGAGCTTGCAGTGAGCCGAGATGGCACCACTGCACTCCAGCCTGGGCAACAGAGCAAGACTCTGTCTCAAAAAAAAAAAAAAAGAAAGTGTGTGTGTGTTCTTTTTTCTTCTCATTCTAGTGACAGCTTGTTTTGCCTTGTTTTTCACTTATTAATATATCTGATGATTGTTCCATATCAATACGCAAAGAGCTTCCTCATTTTTTATGCTTGAATATGATTTCATTGGATCGATATATGACAATATATTGAGCTAGTACTCCATGGATGGACATTAATTATTTCAAGTCTTTTGCCAAAATAACCACACTGCTATGAACAACTGTGTCATCTTTTACTTTGCATATGTGAGAATATATTTGTAAGGTAAGTTTTTTGACATGGACTTAATGGGTCAAAAGATAGGGGCATTTTACATTTTGATCACATGGCCAAATTTCTCTTCACAGATATTTTTATTTTATTTTATTTTGAGATGGAGTCTCACTCTGTCGCCCAGGCTAGAGTGCAGTGGTGCAAACTCAGCTCACTGTAACCTCCACCTCCCAGGCTCAAGCGATTCTCCTGGCTCAGCCTCCCGAGTAGGTGGGATTACAGGTGCTGCGCCACCTCCGCACGGCTAATTTTTGTATTTTTAGTAGAGACGGGGTTTCACCATGTTGACCAGGCTGGTCTCGAACTCCTGACCTCAAGTGATCTGCCTGCCTCAGCCTCCCAAAGTGCTGGGATTACAGATGTGAGCCACCCTGCCCAGCCCTTCACAGAGATTTTCAATTTTTATGTGCAAAATTGTCTGCTTATAAAGTGGCTAGCCCTGTATTCTATCAAACTTTTTGTTAGAAAAAATACATTGAGTGATTTTAGAAAATACTTATGAAATACTAAGTTAAAAAAGCAAGACTCAAAATTTTATGTACAGTAAGAACTTACTCTTGCAAATATATAGTTGAAAGAGAGTATGCCAAAATATTCACAGCGATTATCTTAAATGTATTATGTCTTAAATATATTAAATAATTTCATTATTTCATAATTGCTATAATATTGTTTAATTTTGTTAGTGTCTTAGTATGTTTTCTGTTGCTTATAACAGAGTATCTGACATCGGGTAGTTTATAAAGGAAAAGAATTTATTTCTCACAGTTATGAAGGCTGAAAAGTCCAAGGTTGAGGGGCCGCATTTGTGCCAGCCTTCTTGCTGGTAGGGACTCTGTGGCATGGGGTGTAACATGGCAAGGAGGTTGATCATGCTAGTTCAGGCCTCTCTTCCTCTTCTTCTTCTTTTTTTTTTTTTTTCTGAGATGGTGTCTCACTCTGTCTCGCCCAGGCTGGAGTGCAGTAGCACTCTCGGCTCACTGCAGCCTATGCCTCCTGGGTTCAAGCGATTCTCCTGTCTCACCCTCCCAAGTAGCTGGGACTACAGGCGTGTGCCGCCACACCCGGCTAATTTTGTATTTTTAATAGAGATGGGGTTACATCATGTTGGCCTGCCTGGTCTTGAACTCTTGACCTCAGGTGATCCACCTGCCTTGTCCTCCCAAAGTGCTGGGATTACAGGCATGAGCCACTGTGCCCAGCCATCTCTTCCTCTTCTTATAAAGCATAAAGCCACCAGTTTCATCTCCTGATAACCCATTAATCTACTAACCCATTAATCCATGAATGGGACTAGTGGCCCTCGTGACCCAATCACCTCTTAAAGATCCTACCTCTCTCAATACTGTCTCATTTCAGATTAAGTTTCAACAAGAATTCTTGGAGGGGGCAACATTCAAACCACAGAAGTTAGTAAAATATCCTAAATATGTCCCTTGGATATAGCACACACTTTGTTTGTTTTTTTACTCACAATACCTGCCCCAGAGATGAGCTGTTTGAGGAATGAAGAATATTTTCCAGCAGCGTGGATGACCATTTGCAATTAAAAACTTTGTCACCAGATGGCGGAAGAGGGTTAAAATTCAGGGAGCTTAGAGTCTGAGTCGCGAAAATCAAGCACAATGTACTGTGAGAGCTTGTGAAACGTTCTAATAACTTAAAATTATACATGTATTAAAAATTAAAATGTGACAATTAGAATTGTATCTAAACTATTTTTCCAGAATATTTAAAACTTCCAGGAAAAACCTTAGTGGTGTCTTCAGCTCTCCCGCTTCTATGTCCCCAGTTTGTGCCATTTCTTACCCCCTGCAGTTAAGCCTAGCTTCCTAGTGCCTACCACGTCCTCTGCTGCCCCTTGATGGTTCTGCCAGGCTTCTCTGCCTTCCTTCTAATCTCACTGCTTTCAAAGGATATGAGCAAGTACGTAAATGGATGCATCCCTTGGAGATGCTTGGTGGCTGGAGGCCACCTCTCCATCTTTGCAGTTGTGGATGACTTTATTGGTGGGAGTTCATCTGAGTGGGGCTGGCTGCAGTTTTATGGAGCAGAACTTGTTCCAGGTGCTTCACATAATTCTAGCAATTGCCCTTTCACTGTGTCTGGGTGTAGCTAGAACCTGCTCCAGGGGTGAGTGCTTGCTTCTCCAGGCTGGGCTGGTGCCAGTCTTGGCAACCTTGACCTTTATCCTCCCCACTTTGAGCACCTATTCCTCTGCCCAGGATGGATCTGCCCCAGGAAGGATGTCTGTCTTTGCATCTATTTAGAAGGGCAGAGCTCTAACCTTGAGCTCTTCATCCCTTAAATAAACTGTGATCTTGGGCAAGCCATTCAACCCCTCTGGGCCTCAGGTTGGGCTTCGGGCCTGTCGCACCAGGCAGTACTTTGTCATAAGCCCTGCATTACTATTAAAAGTCATGGCAAAAACCGCAATTACTTTTGTACCAATCTACTACAATGCAGAGAGGGGTCTGACCTGCCCTGGGGTTTTATTTGTGAGGGTGGAAGAGTGGAGGGAGAAGAAGGAATCTTGGGCCCCTCTTGCTGGGGTGGAATGGGCAGGGAAGGGTCTTGCCTTTTGAGAATGGAAAGGGAGTCAGAGAGCGGCTGAGCTCCTGGAAGCCCTGTTAGGACACCACCAAGTGACTAGAGTCAAGGGGAAACAGCAGAGATGACCTCTCCATGACATTTTAGACTAAAACGTGACCCCATTCATTAAAAACACCTGCAACAACAAAAAGTAAAATAAAAAATGAACCGTCCCCCAGGGCCTGATCTGCAGCAGGTGCCGGTGGGGCCCGCCGTGAAGCCAAGGCGTCTGCGGGAGTTGTCGGCCCCAGGCCTTCTGTAGCTTAAACCGGGTCCTCGCGACCATCTGATCAGATCCCGTCTATCACCCCGCAGAGCCTGGATTTCGTGCTGTCCAGGGGGCCTTGTGGGCAGGAACCCAAGCCAGGACCAGTTATTTCCAATACCCAAAGACTTCCAGAAGGAGGCAGCTAGCTTCGGGCTGATATATTGATCGTGGCCCGACGCTGTGGGGCTTTAAATGGGCCTGGGTCCGGGTGCGGGCTGCAGCCCCTGGCCGGGTGAGCGCCGAGGGTCCCGCCCAGGTCTCGCGCAGGGAGCGCAGAGCGCCGACGGCGGCCGTCGCAATCGGGAGTGGTTTAGGACCCGGGGGCGGCTTCCCTGCGCGAGTGTGGAACGCAGAAGTTGAGTCTGCGGAGCCGCGGGCAGTGGCAGTCAGGCCTCCCCGCTCTGTGCTACCTGCGGCCCGGCTCTCCTCCGCGCCCCCACTCGCGCTGCGATGACGCGCTCACTGTTCAAGGGAAACTTTTGGGTAAGTCGTGGGGCCGACAGCGGATCGCGGGGCTCAGGACCCGGCCCGGGCGGGAGGCCAACGCGGCGGGCGTGGGGGGCTCCCCAGCTCCGGCGCCACTCGGTGACCGCGCGCCCGGGGGCTTGGCGGAGCTCGCGCGTGAAGGGATCGGGGCCCCAGCCCCACTGCTCGAGGGGCAGACTTGGAGCGGACGCCGGGCTGCTGTTCCCTCTCTGTCCCCCGCTACCCACCGCGTGCCCGCGAGTCCCGGGGGCTCGGACTCCAGGGCCCACCCTCTGCCGCCCGCGCCCCCAGCAGCGCGTGCTCCTGAGGACGCAGAGAGCCGAGACACCTTAGAGTCAGGACATCAACCCCTCCTCTCACAGGCGAAGCAGAGACCCTTAGGGAGGCGAGACCCGTCCGGGGAGAGTCTCTGCCGGTCCCTGGAGCTGAGCCGTGAGAGGATCTGGGGGGATCTGGTGTGGGGGCTTGTGAGCTTTACCGGGTTGACAGCAGCAGCTGCCCCCCGGGATCGTCCTTTCCAGGAAACGTACAGCATAGAGGGCTTCCCTTTGCTGGAGCTTTCCCTGTTCTACAGCCTTGTTTCCCGAGCCCCCTCCCCAGGCCATTGCCCCAGCCCTTCCGTCCAGGCCCCATAGCGGGGCTGATGGTGTGGGAGACCCTATAAGCTGGAGGGGGTACCCCACCCAGCCCGGTAGGGCCAGCCCAGCCTGGAGGGAGCAGGTCTGCCTGTCCCCCTCCTCTGTCTAGTCCTCTTCCCTCTGTCCTCTCACTCCCCAGGTGCCCCTCAAGGTCCATGCCCCCTCATTCAGAGGAGCTGTCCTCATCCCTTTAAGACAGGAGCAGGAGGCTGCAAACCTCAAAGTTGACCGCAGCTGCCAAGGGGCCCTGACTCCTTACTGGGGCTCCTGCTTGCCTCCCCCCACCACCCACCCAGGTAGCTTCACAGCTGCCTAGATGGTCCCTCTACCCCACGTGGGCTGCAGGGTAGAGAAACCTGGCTGGGGACCTCAGGGACACAGTTGAGACTGTGCCTGTGAGTCCCTTCACTGGAGTTTGTGAGGTCCTTCTGGGGCACTACTCACCCTAGGGTGCAGGGTGGTGGCAGCCTCACAGAGGAACCAAGGGCACCACAGATGGCTCTCACGGGAGGCTTGCGAGTTTTTCAGGTAGAATGGAGGACTGGGGGATCCCATGGCAGGCACTGTGGGAAAAAGGCTCTGTATAATACAAACTGGAGAATGAGATGTGGGCCCCAGAAATAAGGAAGTCAGCAGAGGAACTGGTTCGTGGAGACATAAGGAGAAGGAGGCAGACGTGATACTAACAGTATTTAGTTCAGGCACAGTGGCTCATGCCTGTGATCCCAGCACGTTGGGAGGCCGAGGTAGGAGGATTGCTTGAGGCCAGGAGTTCGAGACCACCCTGGGCAACATAGTGAGACTCTGTCTGTCTCTACAAAAAAATCTTAAAAATTAGCTGGGCATGGTGGTGCATGCCTGTAGATATAGTTACTTGGGAGGCTGAGGCAAGAGGATTGCTTGAGGCCAGGAGTTTGAGGTTGCAGTGAGCTATGATCACATCACTGCACTCCAGCCTGGACGACAGAGTGATTTGTGTTTGTCTCAAAAACGAACAAACAAACAAACCCAACCAAACAACACAATCCTCAGTATTTAGCCACAGTTTTAGCACTGGCAAGGCTAAGGCCAGGCGGGCGCTAAGCCCCTCCCCACCAGCCTCCACCCCTCAGCCCCATGCCAGGGATGCTGGATACGGGGAGGTCTTAGCGGAGAGGGTGACAGGGTGAAGACAGGGTTCCAGGCCACAGAGTTTGCAGTATTTTAATATCTTCACAGCCAGTACAAACATGTCAGTGAGTACTCTCTAATGTCTGGTGGGTGACATGCAGGGTTTGAGGGGCTGGTGGAGATGGCCCCGCCCCTTGGGAAGATGTCCAGTTTTGAGAGCTTACCGAACAGCATGAAGCCTCTGAGGTGGGCTGCCCGGGCTTGAATCCAGTTCTGCCCCTTACTAGCTAGGTGACCCTGGGCAGCCTGCTTCCGCCCCCAAGCCTCAGTTTTTCCATACATAAAAATGGGGATAATAACAGTGTCTACTCCTTAGGACCGTTGGGAGGATTAAACTTGAGAGTTTAGTACAGTGCCTGACACACAGAGAGCACCTATAGTTGCCAGCTATTATTATCAGCAGTAGAGGTGACAAGTAAAAGAAGTGAGTGATGGTTATTCAAGGAGAAAGAATGAAGAGATCGGAAGTCCACAAAGAAGCACTCTTAGTGCATGCCTCTATTGATGGAGGAGGAGAAAGGGGACAGAGAAATAGAGGAAGAGATGAAGGGATACAACCAGGAAAGAGCTATCACAGGCCCAAGAGAGGGACATTCCAAGGAAGGTGAGAGGACTGTGGTCAAACGTGTTTGTACATGTTCCTGAAAAAGTATGAGTCAATACACACTTCATAAATGAATGTATTTAAATGCTTCATGAAAATATTTATTTAAAGAAATCTTCGATGAATCTGCTTCAAAAGGGAATAATCAGTGTTTAAAACTGGGCTTGGAGCTGGCGTGTGCCTGTAGTCCCAGCTACTAAGGAGGCTGGGCAACATAGTGAGACCCTGTCTCTAAAAATCATTTTAAAATAAATGAATAAAACTGGGATTGGCCCCCAATGAATTTGCCTGCTATTGGTACATACCTGTGTGTTGTTTCTCTCCCACCCTTCCCTGTTTATACCTTCTTTGTGGCACTTTGGTTAAGCAGTGCTGTATAATTTCTCTTGGTTAACTTTGATTGTATCTTGTCAGAATAAGACAGTGACCACAGTTTCCAAAGATCCAGGGAAACAGCCAGGCCACAATGAGAAAAAATTCCAGTTTTTGGGATGATCAGACACCAGTGTCCTTCAGATACGGGCATGCACGGGTGACAGTGGGACCCGTTTTGGAAGGGTAGATGAAAGCAGTGTTCTCTCACCCCTGGGGATTTCCAGGCTTCTCACTTGGGTGTGAGGTCCAAATCGTCCCTGAACCTCCTGTAGATACTTATTTTTCCTGGGCCTTCCTGATTCCCAAGGTTCTTGGTGTAGACCAGCTTCCTAGTTGCTGTTTCAGCAACCCTGTTCCTGTAGTGGGCAGGGCTTCTCTCTGCCTGGGATTGACTAGGGAAAGTCTTGGGGCTGTCTGAACTGGCTCATTGCCCTGCTGTCAACACAAGGCTGTCACTCTCATCCAAACCTTTTACCAGATTGGAATCTTGTCATTCTGGAGCCTTAGCAGAGTTTGAACTGATGTTGCCTCTGGCTTTGCTCAATGGTTTTTCTCTATACAGTCATCTCTTGGTATCTGTAGGGGATTGGTTCTAGGACTCCCATGCAGGTACCAAAATTCATGGACATTCAAGTCCTTTCTTTTCTTTTTTCTTTTTCAATACAGAGATTGGGTCTTGCTATGTTGGCCAGGCTGGTTTCAAACTCCTTGCCTCAAGCTATCCTCTTGCCTTGGCCTCCCAAAGTGCTGGGATAAGAGGTGTAAGCCGGCCGGGCATGGTGGCTCACACCTGTAATCCCAGCACTTTGGGAGGCTGAGACGGGTGGATCACGAGGTCAGGAGATCGAGACCATCTCGGCTAACACAGTGAAACCCCGTCTCTACTAAAAATACAAAAAAATTACCCGGGCATGGTGGTGGGCGCCTGTAGTCCCAGCTACTCAGGAGGCTGAGGCAGGAGAATGCTGTGAACTTGGGAGGTGGAGCTTGCAGTGAGCTGAGATCGTGCCATTGCACTCCAGCCTGGGCGACAGAGCGAGAATCTGTCTCAAAAAAAGAGGTGTAAGCCACTATGCCTGTCCTCAGATTCTTTCTATAAAATGGTGTAGTATTTACATATAACCTACACACATCTTCCTGTATACTTTAAGTATTCTCCAGATTGCTTATAATACCTAATATAATGTTAATGCTATGTAAATAGTTGTTTACACTGTATTTTTTATTTGTATTTTTTAATTGGTATATTTTTATTTTTTAATTTTTGGAATATTTTTCATCTGTGGTTGGTTGAATCCATGGATGCAGATATGGAGAACTGACTGTACAGTGCTCTAGATAAATATAGGAGGCTGCTTTAAAAAAAAAATACAGAAAGAATACAGGTTAACACCACAGAGTCTCCCTGCTGACCCCATAGTGTATTTTGTACAATGTTTAGATTGTTGCTGTAATTTTTAAATACTCTCTCGGATTTTATGAAAAGAAAAACTTCAGACTAGTTAAATTTAGCAGAGTTTATCTGAGCAAAGAAACTATTCATGAATCAGGCAGCACCCTGAACCAGTAAAGGTTCAGAGAGCTCCACAAGGCAAAAGTGGGCAGGCAATACTTACAGAAAAAAGAGGTGATACAGAAATAGCCTGATTGGTTACACCTGGGTGGTTGCCTTATTTGGACTTGACTGGGCAGTCTGCAGCCTGGGATTGGCTGAAAGCTCCCCTGTTATGATTGGCAGAGACCCAGCTACTTGTTACAAGAATATACTCTTAGTTAGGTTACGGTTTGTTTACACACTAAGTTAGGTTGTGGCTTGCTATTTATGGAGGCAGCTTTAGGCCAACATTTTTTTTTTTTTTTTTTGAGACAGAGTCTCGCCCTGTTGCCCAGGCTGGAGTCCAGTGGTGCGATCTCGGGTCACTGCAAGCTCTGCCTCCTGGGTTCACACCATTCTCCTGCCTCAGCCTCCTGAGTAGCTGGGACTACAGGGGCCCGCCACCACGCCCGGCTAATTTTTTTGTATTTTTAGTAGAGACGGGGTTTCACCGTGTTAGCCAGGATGGTCTCGATCTCCTGATCTCGTGATCCGCCCGCCTCGGCCTCCCAAAGTGCTGGGATTACAGGAGTGAGCCACTGCGCCCAGCCTAGGTCGAATTTAATTTGACAATCTGGTCCCCAGAAACACACCAGGAGGGCTGTTTCCTTTTGTCTTGCCTAGTGGCAAAAGGGAAGATAGAGTCATGAACAATTACCTGCTCTCCCATACATTCTTTGTAGAGCAGCCGGAGGGAGCTAGCTTTAAAATAATCGTCAAAAACCTCTTTTTTTTTTTTTTTTTGAGATGGAGTTTCACTTTTGTTGCCCAGGCTGGAGTGCAGTTGCGAGATCTCGGCTCACTGCAACCTCTGCCTCCCGGGTTCAAGCGATTCTTCTGCCTCAGCCTCCCGAGTAGCTGGGATTACAGGCATGCGCCACCACGCCCGGCTAATTTTTTGTATTTTTAGTAGAGACGGGGGTTTCACCAGGTTGGGCAGGCTGGTCTGGAACTCCTGACCTCAGGTGATTCGCCCGCCTGGGCAAAGTGCTGGGATTACAGGCGTGAGCCACCGCACCCGGCCTGTTCCACCCTTTTAAAGAAACTGTTCTGCTGTGACTGGCTGGTGGTCTTGCATGAGGAGAATATCATTAAGGACGGGCTCTGGCTTCTTTAGAAGCCCTATACTCAAGAAGGGGTGCAGCACAAAGCCCACACACGTGGGGCTCACCTTCTGGTGAGAGACCTTGTGACCAACGGAGAAAACACAGCAACTTGTTGAAGAGAGGAACTTCTTCTCCATTCCCCACGTAATCTCAGGCAGTTCAACTCAGCAAATGTCTATGTGAAGTCTGAGTGGCCAGCCTTGTGGTAGCTGCTGTGGGCTCACAGAGAGACAGACACACAACATCTCACCTCTAAGAGATTATTAGCTACTCAAGAAGATGAGTCTCAACATGAAATTTTAAAACAGTAGTTTTAATTTAATTAAATTATTTATTTTTGAGACAGGGTCTTGCTCTGTCACTCAGGCTAGAGTGCAGTGGTGCGATCACGGCTCACTGCAGCCTCAAACTCCTGGGCTCAAGCAATCCTCCCAAGTAGCTGGAACCGCAGGCACATGCCACCACGCCTGGTTAATTTTTGTATTTTTTGTAGAAACGCTGTTTCACCATATTGCCTAGGCTGGTCTCAAACTCCT
This sequence comes from Homo sapiens, assembly GCF_000001405.40. NCBI lineage: Eukaryota > Metazoa > Chordata > Mammalia > Primates > Hominidae > Homo > Homo sapiens. The sequence goes on along the minus strand of NC_000018.10, from coordinate 46,066,129 downwards.
GAGCTCAAGCAATCTGCCTGCCTTGGCCTCCCAAAATGCTGGGATTACAGGCATGAGCTACTGCACCTGGCCAATAGTTTTTAATATTAACATAAAATTAAGGTTATTAAAATATATATTATTAGTGATTTGGTACTTTCCCAACTTTTTTCCTCCATGCATAATTATAATCCTATAGTATCTGTACTATCTTGTATTCTACTGCTTTAATTAAAATATCGTAACTTTGGCTGGGCACAGTGGCTCATGCCTGTAATCCCAGCACTTTGGGAGGCCAAGGCGGGTGGATCACTTGAGATCAGGAGTTTGAGACCAGCCTGGCCAACATGGTGAAATCTCGTCTCTACTAAAGAAATACAAAAATTGGCCGGGCGCGGTGGCTTACGCCTGTAATCCCAGCACTTTCAGAGGCTGAGACAGGTGCATCACAAGGTCCGGAGTTCGAGACCAGCCTGGCCGATATGGTGAAACCCTGTCTCTACTAAAAATACAAAAATTAGCCGGGCGTGGTGGTGGGTGCCTGTAGTCCCAGCGACTCGGGAGGCTGAGGCAGGAGAATCACTTGAACCCGGGAGGCGGAGGTTGCAGTGAGCCAAGATCACACCACCATACTCCAGCCTGGGCAACAGAGTGAGACTCCGTCTCAAAACAAACAAACAACCGAAAACAAAAATTAGCCAGGCATGGTGGTGGGCACTTGTACTCAGCTACTTGGGAGGCTGAGACAGGAGAATCGTTTGAACCCAGGAGGCGGAGTTTGCAGTGAGCTGAGAGCATGCCACTGCACTCCAGCCTGGGCGACAGAGCCAGACTACATCTCAAAAAAAAAAAAAATTATAACTTATTTTATATATTGCTATCTACTTTCCCTAACAATTATTTAGAAAAGTTTTGTGAGTGATACAACTATTCTGTCACTGTTTGGCATTTATGTAATTTCTAGAGTTTTCTTTTCTTTTCTTTTCTTTTTTTTTTTTTTTTTTTTGAGACAGAGTTTCGTTCTTGTTGCCCATGCTGAAGTGCAATGGCACGACCTCGGCTCACTGTAACCTCCGCCTCCTGGGTTCAAGCAATTCTCCTGCCTCAGCCTCCCAAGTAGCTGGAATTACAGGCATGCACCACCATGCCTGGCTAATTTTGTATTTTTAGTAGAGATGAGGTTTTTCCATGTTGGTCAGGCTGGTCTTGAACCCCTGACCTCAGGTGATCTGCCTGTCTCAGCCTCCCAAAGTGCTGGGATTACAGGCATAAGCCACCGCACCCGGCCCAGTGTTTTCTATAATAAAGAATGTGGTGCATGTCATTCGTGTAAGGTATTTAAAATTGGGATTCTTTAAGTATCTATTTCTGGAAACTCAAGACAGAACTCATCATTGCCCAGCCATTTTACTATGTTTCTCTAATAAGTCACTCTTGCCCTTTCTGCAGTGATAATTTCATGCCTTTTCCACTCAAACCTACACATCCCTCCCACATTCTCACTGTGTTTTGGTGATCTTGCCTCTACTCCATTAAGAAACCAGACAGCAGGGCTGGGCGTGGTGGCTCATGCCTGTAATCCCAGCACTTTGGGAGGCCCAGGCGGGTGAATCACCTGAGGTCAGGAGTTGGAGACCAGGCTGGTCAACATGGTGAAACCCCGTCTTTACTTAAAAAAAAAAAAAAAAAAAAATTAGCCAGGTGTTGTGGTGGGTGCCTGTAGTCCCAGCTACTCGGGAGGCTGTGGCAGGAGAATCGCCTGGACTTGGGAGGGGGCGGTTGCAGTGAGCCAAGGTCACTCCGCTGCACTCCAGCCTGGGCAACAGAATGAGACTCTGTCTCAAAAAAAAAAAAAAAAAAAAAAAAAAGAAAGAAAAAGAAAGAAGAAAAAAAGAAAAGAAAAAAGAAACCAGAGCAGCTGGTGAAAGCTCACTTACCTTCTGTATAAATAGGATTCAGTTTGGCTGCAAGTAATAGAAAACCCCAAAACAACAGTGGCCTAGACAAGGAAGAGGTTTATTTCTCTCTCATCTACAAGCCCCTGATTGGTCATTCCAGGGCTGGCATGGCTGCCCTTGGGGTGAGGACCCACACTCCTGTCTGCTTACTCCAGTGGTGCCTGGTTCAATGCCTGGCACATGACAGATTCTCAGTAATACCTACTGAATGACTGAAAAAACCATTAACTAACAGAAGGACATTGAAAAACTTTTGATATGTAGAACCAGGATGATTTCCTAAAGAGTGGGCCTATTCTCAGTGTTCCCAATAGTATGTGCGGATGCTAGTTTCACTCTGTCAGTCATAGCTATTGTCTTTTTTTCTGCTCATTCAATAAGCAAAACTTGGTGCCTTATTCAACTTTCATTTGCGTTTTTATCACCAGGGAGAGTGCACATTTGGTTATTTTCTTGTAATTCCTCTTTTACAAATGGTTTTGTTTTCTTCCTCATGCTTTGCTTGTAAATTTATATGCATATTTTAAAATATATATTTTTGTATATATACACGTGTGTGTGTGTGTGTGTGTGTGTGTAATTCACATGTTCTAACATCCAGTATAGGCATGACACAGTGAGAGGCAGTCCTCAGGCCCTCAAGCTTTTGCACTGGACATTCCCGGGTTTGATTCCCAGTTTGGCTCCTTTCAAGCCAAAGAATGTGTGTGCCCGTGTTCAAATTATTCAGCTTTCCTCAGCTTTGCCTCCTCATCTGTAAAATGATATATGTATATGGATTTTGAAAACACTTTATACAGTCAAGTTTATTGATCTAAAGTTTTGTGATTTCTTCTATTACACTTCGAGGTTTTCTGTGGTCCAAGTTTTACTCAATATGTGTCTTATGATTGGGCGCTGTGGCTCATGCCTATAATCCTAGTACTTTGGGAGGCCGAGGTGGGACAATTGCTTGAGTCCAGGGGTTCAAGACCAGCCTGGGCAACATATTGAGACCCTGTCTCTACAAAAAAAATTTTAAAATTAGCAAGGCATGGTGGCCAGTACCTGCAGTCCCAGATAATCAGGAGGCTGAGGCAGAAGGATCACTTGAGTCCATGCGGTTGAAGCTGCAGCGAGCCGTGATTACACCACTGCACTGCAACCTGGATGACAGAGCAAGACGCTGTCTCACTAAAAATACTGTCTTTTGAGTATGAGGGCTTAAGTGTTCTGACATTTGCAGAAGTCAGAGACCTGTGTGGACCTGCAAAATGAGGAGGAGGTGGATTCCTGCCCTCAGGGTCCTACATTCTTCTTAAGGAAGCAAACAAAGATGTAGGACACTAATGGGAAACAGACTGACCTACTCTCCTTCAGGCTAAAAAGAGTGGTTTACCTGCCGGGATGGTGGCTCCTGCCTGTAATCCCAGCACTTTGGGAGGCCAAGGCAGGTGGATCACGAGGTCAGGAGATTGAGACCTTCCTGGCTAACACGGTGAAACCCCGTCTCTACTAAAAGTAGAAAAAAATTAGCCAGGTGTGGTGGCATGTGCCTGTAGTCCCAGCTACTCAGGAGGAGAATTGCTTGAACCTGGGAGGCAGAGGTTGCAGTGAGCCGAGACTGCACCACTGCACTCCAGCCTGGGTGACAGAGCGAGACTCCGTCTCCAAAAAAAAAAAAGTGGTTTACTGGGGCAAGTTTCTTTTTCTTTTTCTTTTTCTTTTTCTTTTTAGTAGAGATGGGGTTTCACCATGTTGGCCAGGCTGGTCTTGAACTCCTGACCTCACATGATCCACCCACCTCGGCCTCCTAAAGTGCTGGGATTACAGGCATGAGCCACCATGCCTAGCATACCAGGGCAAGATTCTTGGACAAGTCTGGCTGGGTGAGTGCGATAGGGTACCACTCCTTGAAGAGTGCTAAAATGGCACCAGGCATGCAACAAGATGGGGAAATCTTTGTTTTCAGAATACCTCTCAGGGAGGGGATGGTGTGGCACAAGGCTGGAAGGCTGGAAGGAAGACTTGAATAAGCTGTTCAGGGTAGGGAGACTGAGACCCCATCCCTATCTGAAGCACATGCCTTCTAAAGGGCAGGAGCCTAACTAACTTCTGAGCTTAGTTTTGCTGAGTGAGGCATGCAAGCTGAACTGCCAGAGAAAGCAGTCTCCATGGTGTGTCCTCTTTACACTTGCCCTATAGTGCTTGGTCTCTGCTTCTATTTGAATGTTACTATTGAAAGAATAGCTGTTGGAAGTGATAGTTTCATAAGTGGCCACAAATATTCGAAAACCCTAGAAATATGGGCATCTAAGTCCCTTCACTGCTTCAAACCTTGGTGGCCCCACCTCTTGTAATCTGCTCTGAGCCCTTATTATCAAATACAGATATTGTTTTCTCTGTCCCAGGAGATCCAGATCCTGCCCTACAAGGACTGAACTAGGGGTTCAAAAAGACCTAAGCTCTCAGGAATAAAAAGTATTGACTCAGGCCTTTGTCAGCACTTCCGCAGATGGCCAGATCTGGGCACTGTTGATTTGTCCTGTGGGCTGTCTGTCCCAAGCTCAGGTTTCCTCATCTACCTGTCCTATGTTAGGGCCTAACTATTTAATCAGCGTTCTTGTCTAGTTCCTGCCCATAAGAGTGGTTGACCTTTACTGTGACCAACCACAGCCCAGAGCCACTATCTTGGCTGGCAGGCCTCTCCCTGGCTGATACAGACTGGTATTGCTTTTCCCTGGGCAGCATGGGCAGGAAGTTTGTGGATAAGGGACCTTGATGCTCCTGCCAGGTCCTCCGAATCTCCATCTCATCTGCTTCCTTTGACTTAGAGCTATTGTTTCTCAGTGCGAAGCAGCCTCATTTTGGTCATGAACTTCATATATGATTTTTTTTTTTTTTTTTGGTGAAATGGAGTCTCGCTCCGTTGACCAGGCTGGAGTGCAGTGGTGCAATCTTGGCTCAGTGCAACCTCCGCCTCCCAGGTTCAAACGATTCTCCTGCCTCAGCCTCCTGAGTAGCTGGGATTACAGGCACGCACCACCATGCCTAGCTAATTGTTGTATTTTTAGTAGGGATGGGATTTCACCATGTTGGCCAGGTTGCTCTTGAACTCCTGACCTCAAGTGATCTGCCCATCTCGGCCTCCCGAAGTGCCGGGATTATAGGTGTGAGCTACCACACCCAGCCTCCTGTATGATTTTTTATTAATGTGCATCTATTGGTGCATTCCCTCTTATCTGCCAACCACTGACCATTTCATCTCTGCTGTTTTATACGTGTCATTGTCAATTAGTAATGTAATATTGATGTCAAGGATAGAGTACTATAGAGTACAAGGCACCTGCCTGTGAGCACATGGCCCTTCCCTGCAGAAACTAAGCAGAAAAGCCCAAGGCCAAAGGGCTCAGCAAGTTATTGTAGAAGCCTGTCTGCTCTCAGAGGGCAAAGAAACCAGTCCTCTGGGCGGAGCCTCACATGGGGAAGCTGGAAGCCTGGAAAGACCAGCACCCTCCCCTGCCATGTAAAGTTTGAGTGTACAAAGACTGCAGCCATTTAGAGGGAATTGTGATTGATTCTGAGAGAACAGAAAATGGAGAGGGCAAGGCCACCAGCCAATGGCAGCCACAGCTCTCCTACCTTTATTAGGAGTCATTTGGGGTCTACACGCTATTGTACTCAGACTAAATGAGTGACTTGTCCAGTGCCACCCAGCTAACCACTCTGGACTTGAGCTTCCTGTTGTGCAGTGAGGATAATGATATCTGGCAAGCCCAATTTTAGGACTACAATGTGTTTCAAATGATAAAGTACGTCATAGTTGTGTTAAGGAGGTGGAATTGTGGGTAATGTGTTAGTATATCCACAGACTAGTTTCTTTGCAGTTAAATTAATTTTTAAAAATTTAGATAATGAATGAAAATGATGAGTGGAAATCACTTTCAAAAATTTAAGGAATTGCAGTGAAATACCATAGTGAAATAGAGTCCCTAATCACTAAAAATTATGATTTAAAACAAGCACCAGGAAAGATATTTGAAATATAATAATATTATAAAGATATTTAAATGACGATTTAAAACAAACACCAGGAAAGACACTTGTAATATTAAGTTTAAAAGAAAGTTATTAAACAATTTGGAAAACAAGACCTCATTTTAATTTTATTTATTTATTTTTGAGACGGAGTTTCACTCTTGTTGCCCAGTCTGGAGTACAATGGTGCAATCTCAGCTCACTGCAACCTCTGCCTCCCCGGTTCAAGCAATTCTTCTGTCTCAGCCTCCCTAGTGGCTGGGATTACAGGCATGTGCCACCACGCCCGGGTAATTTTTTTTGTATTTTTATTAGAGACGGGGTTTCACCATGTTGGTCAGGCTGTCTCAAACTCCTGACCTCAGGTGATCCACCCGCCTTGGCCTCCCAAAGTGCTGGTATTGCAGGTGTGAGCCACCACGCCCAGCCTAGACCTCATTTTTATTAAACAAAAAATGAAGACAGTCATATGTCACTAGGAAAATATATGAGGATTACATAGCAAATATCAACTATTGTTTTCTCTGGAATTTTAGACACTTTGAAAAATATTATTTTCTTTTTTTTAATCTATACTTAAAAATTTTCAACAATAAAATAAGTATAACTTTTAAAATAAAGAAATAAGACCAGGCGCGGTGGCTCACGCCTGTAATCCCAGCACTTTGGGAAGCTGAGGCAGGCAGATCACTTGAGGTCAGGAGTTCCAGACCAGCCTGGCCAACAAGGTGAAACCATGTGTTTACTAAAAATACAAAAGTTAGCTGGGCGTGGTAGCAGGCACCTGTAATCCTAGCTACTTGGTAGGCTGAGGCAGGAGAATCACTTGACCCTGGAAGGCAGAGGTTGCAGTGAGCTGAGATCGTGCCACTCCATCCAGCCTGGGTGACAGAGTGAGACTCTGTCTTAAATTAAAAAAAAGACCTGCCTGGCCATCACGTTGAAACACTGTCTCCATTAAAAATATGAAAATTAGCTGGGCATGGTCGTGCGTGCCTGTAATCCCTGCTACTCAGGAGGCTGAGGCAGAAGAATCACTTGAACCTGGGAGGCGGAGGTTGCAGCGAGCCAAGATCGCACCATTGCACTCCAGCCTGGGCGACAGAGGGAGACCCTATCTCACAAAAAAAAAAGAAAAAGAAAAAAAGAAAAAAAAAGAATTAAGAGGATTTCCCCCTAAAGTATTAAAAGAAGAGCAAGTATACTTGTTCAGACCATAGAATACAAAAAATACCAAACCTGCAACTTGTACCCAAACCCAGATGGAAGTGGACCAGCCTCCCAGGCAGTGTCCAGGGTCCTAGGTCCTGGCCACCTGCCTGTGGCAAGGCCACAACCATTCCCTTGAGGACACAGAGGGTCCCACCCCGCTGGTGACAGGACCTGCCTAATGACAATTATCTTGCAGCGAGACCTCTCCTCAGCACCCCTGCCTTTAAGCAGAGAGAACCGCCTATGGATTCCATGAGCTATTTATTTTTCATTTTTATTGGTACCTTAAAAAACTAGGAATGTAGGGCCAGGTGCAGTGGCTCATGCATGTAATCCCAGCATTTTGGGAGGCCAAGGTGGGTGGATCACGAGGTCAGGAGTTTGAGACCAGCCTGGCCAACACGGTGAAACCCCGTCTCTACTACAAATACAAAAAATAAATAGCTGGGTGTGGTGGCGCACCCCTGTAGTCCCAGCTACTCAGGAGCCTGAGGCAGGAGAGTTGCTTGAACCCGGGAGGAGGAGGTGGCGCTGAGCCGAGATCGTGCTACTACACTCCAGCCTGGGCGACAGAGTGATACTCTGTCTCAAAAAAACAAAAAACAAAAAAAAACTAGGAATATAACACATGCTTATTGTAAAATATCAAAACAATACAGATGTATATGGAGTAAAAAACCATAAAAATCCCTCCCTTAGCCTTCAAATCCCAACCTCCAGGGGTAAATTACTCATAGAGGATCTTTTCAGAGTCTTTTCCAGGAGTCTCCCATCCTATACAGGTAGGCAAGTGTAATTGTCTACATGAGATGTTGAAGAAGTGTACTTATTATCATGCTAAGGAATGGCAGGTTAGCAAGCCATCTCTTCCTCTGACCCAGAGTTTTGTATTTTTTAAAAAACATAAAAGTAGAAATTTTACCTGGTTTTTAAGATTATGGGTGATTTTTTTTTTTTTTTTTTTTTGAGACGGAGTCTCACTCTGTCACCCAGGCTGGAGTGCAGTGGTGCGATCTCCGCTCACTGCAAGCTCCGCCTCCCGGGTTCACGCCATTCTCCTGCCTCAGCCTCCCGAGTAGCTGGGACTACAGGCGCCCGCCACCACGCCCGGCTAATTTTTTGTATTTTTTAGTAGAGACGGGGTTTCACCGTGTTAGCCAGGATGGTCTTGATCTCCTGACCTCACGATCCGCCTGCCTCGGCCTCCCAAAGTGCTGGGATTACAGGTGTGAGCCACCACGCCTGGCCTATGGGTGGTTTTTGATTTTTCTTTTTTGCTAATGTGTTCATCATAGAACAATGAGATATTCTGTAAATTAAGAAAAAATAGTTTTGGGCAGGCACAGTGGGGCACGCCTGTAATCCCAGTGCTTTGGGAGATGGAGGTGGGTGGATCACCTGAGGTCAGGAGTTTGAGACCAGCCTGGCCAACGTGGTGAAATCCCATCTCTACTAAAAATACAAAACAATTAGACAGGCGTGGTGGCGCTCGCCTGTAATCCTAGCTACTCTGGAGGCTGAGGCAGAAGAATCGCTTGAACCTGGGAGGTGGAGGTTGCAGTGAGCTGAGACTGCGCCATTGTACTCCAGCCTGGGTGACGACAGTGAAACTCTGCCTCAAAAAAAAAAAGAAAAAGAAAAGAAAAAATAGTTTTAAATGTCTCCCAAGAAAGGTGGTGGTTAAGTCATGTGCACCTTCATGTGACCAAGCAATCTTTTCTCTGAGGGAGGCCCCTGTGGAGGGAGGGAGGGGTCTCTGCTGAGTGGGACGCAGGCAGAGCCAGGGCTAGGCTGAGGCACTTGCCTTGCACGTAAAATTTAAGGGGGAGCCAAAAAAACCCTCAGTAGTTTTTTTCCTTTGAGATGGAGTCTTGTTCTGTCGCCCAGGCTGGAGTGCAATGCCCTGATCTCGGCTCACTGCAACCTCCGCCTCCCCGGTTCAAGCAGTTCTCCTGCCTCAGCCTCCCAAGTAGCTGGGATTACAGGTACCCACCACTGCACCCAGCTAATTTTTTTGTATTTTTAGTAGAGATGGAGTTTCACCATGTTGGCCAGGCTGGTCTTGAACTCCTGACCTCAAGTGATCTGCCCACCTTGGCCTCCCAAAGTGCTGGAATTACAGGTGTGAGCCACCGCATCTGGCCAAGATAAATTATTCTTTAATGTAATATTTTAAAAAAACAAAGTTAATGAGAAAAACCCTTCCAGGAACAAAATATCAAAACTTTATTTCTTTAGAGACAGGGTCTCACTCTTCTGCCCAGGCTGGAGTGCAGTGGTGCAACCATACCTCACTGCAGCTTTGAACTCTTTGGCTCAAGTGAGCCTCCTGCCTCAGCCCCCGGAGTAGCTGGGACCACAGGTGTGCACCACCATGCTCTGCTATTTTAAAAATTTCTTGTAGAGACAGAGTCTTGCTGTGTGGCCCAGACTAGTCTCAAACTCCTGGTCTCAAACTCCTGGCCCAAGCGATCCTCCCACCTTGGCCTCCCAAAGCACTAGGATTACAGGCATGAGCAACCACGCCTGGCCCCTCAAAATTGTAAAGAAAGACAGAATTGAACCCTGCACATGCACGACCATGCCTCATCCTAGTAGGGGCCCTGGAGGAGGGTGACGTTTTGGACCAATGAGTACTTTAAGGAAGCACAGGGCACAACAGAGGGAAGCATGGATTTGGGGTGGGCAGGGAAAGCCTGGAGAGGGGAGTTGGAGAACATAAGTGATGATCCATTTTGCAAAGGGAATTCCTACAGACTCCCAGACCAGCTAAGGGATCTACATTGCCGAGGGACCACCTGGACATAAGAAGCGAAGCCAGCACAGATTCCCCATCATCCCAGCCCCTGCAGGGCTGTGGAGCTGTGGGGAGCCCATCTCTGCTGTAGAGAGAGAAGGGAGAGGGCAAGTTTGTGCTTGGGGCTCCTATAGAAGCTGTCCTAGTGAGAAAATGCACCTGCAGTTCAGTTAGGTACTTACTAAACAAGAAAGATACAGTCTAAAAATACTCGGTTTTCCCGTGGAGTAGAAGCTTGTTTGCCTGCTTTCTCTACCTTTATTTTCCTAATCCTCTTTTAAAAGTGATTTTTCCAGTAGACAAATGAGAGTCTAAAAGTAAATTGTAAAAATATGGAGAACTTTTATACTTTACTACTAATAAAAAAGTCCAAATTGTACAGTTTTGCTTTTAGCAAGTTTTAAAAAGTATATCAAGTGTCAGTATCTTTCACTGGGGGAAGGTGCAGGAAATGAGCATTTAGTCATTGCGGGTAAGCTGTTAGAGTTATTTTGGAGAGGATTTGGCTGTGTGCATTATTAGCCTTAACAATCACAAATGTTGGCACTGGCTGGGCACAGTGGCTCATGCCTGTAACCCTAGCACTTTGGGAGGCCGAGGCAGGCAGCTCGCTTGAGCCTAGGAGTTTGAGACCAACCTGGGCAACATCATGAAACCTCAACGAAAAAAATACAAAATATTAGCTGGGCATGGTGGCATGTGCCTGCAGTCCCAGCTACTGGGGTGGCAGAGGTGGGAGGATCACTTGAGCCCAATGCAGTGAGCTGTGATGACATCACTGCACTCCAGCCTGGGTAGCAGAGTGAGACTATACAAAGTACAAATTAACTATTAATAATTCCAGGGATTAGGATTTGGACATCTTTGGGAGAGGGTGTCACTATCTACCTACCACATTAGGTGATTGGAGGGAGAGGCACTGGATGTGTATGAGGGACAGAGGGACCATAGAGGACTTCTCCATGGAGATGACATTTGAATTGAGATGTGGTAAGGTCAAGCTAGCCTTCTGGATGTCAGGGGAAAGGGGAGAGATAACAGTGAGGCTGGAAAGGATCAGTTAGAGGAACAGAAAGACCAGTGCGACTTTAGTAGGAAGCAGGAACTGGCCAAATTGCTGAAAATCAGTTGACAAGAGCCAATTTGCTGATACGATCAAGTCACTAAAAACTAGTTTCTGTTAATTACCTACAAAGCTAAAATATGCTGTTGCCTCATTTTCAACAATTTTTAAAAATTAGTAGGTTTTTGGGAGGCTGAGGCGGGTGGATAACGAGGTCAGGAGTTTGAGACCAGCTTGACCAACGGTAAAGCCCCGTTTCTACTAAAAATACAAAAATTAGCTGGGCGTGGTGGCACGTGCCTGTAATCCTAGATACTCAGGAGGCTGAGGCAGGAGAATCATTTGAACCCAGGAGGCAGAGGTTGCAGTGAGCCAAGATCGCGCCACTGCACTCCAACCTGGGCGACAGAGCAAGACTCTGTCTCAAAAAAAAAAAAAAATTAGTAGGTTTTATTATTTAGAGCGGTTTTAGGTTTACAGAAAACTTGAACTCAAGCCCAGATTTCCCATCCGTTCTCCCTATTTTTCCTATTATTAACATCTTGCATTAATGTGGTATATTTGTTACAATTATGCACCAGTATGTATACATTATTATTCACTGAAGCTCATGGTTTATATTAGGTGTAGCTCTTTGTGTCCCATGGGTTTTGACAAATGAATAATGTCATATATCCACAATTATTGTATCATACAGAGTAGTTTCTCTGCCTTAAAATTCCCCTGTGCTCCACTTTTTCATCCATCACTCTTCCTTAAACCCCTGGCAACCAATGATCTTTTTACAATCTCTATAGTTTTGCCTTTTCTAGAATGTCATATGTAGACATGGGCCACATAATGACGTTTTGGTCAACAAGAGACTGCATATATGATGGTGGTCCCATAAAATAATAATGGAGTTGCTTTATACAGATGTACCATTTAAAAACATCCTCTGTACAAGTATTTTTACTATACCATTTCTGTTTGATATGTTTAGATACATAATACTCACCAGTGTGAGTATTGCCTACAATATTCAACACAGTGACATGCCGTACAGGTTTGTAGCCTAGGAGCAATAGGCCATACCATATAGCCTCACTGTGTAGTAGGCTACACCATCTAGGTTTGTGTAACTACACTCTGTGATGTTCAAATAATGACAGAATCACCTAATGATGCATTTCTTACAACGTATCCCCATTGTTGAGTGACATATGATTGTAGTTGGAGTCATACAGTGTGTAGCCTTTTCAGACTGGCTTCTTTTACTTAGCGCTATGCATTTAAGATCCCCTCATGTCTTCTTGTGGCTTGATAGCTCATTTCTTCTTATCATTGATTAATGTTCCATTGTATGGATGTAGCAGTTTATCCACTCACCTATTGAAGGATCTTGGTCGCTTCCAATTTTTGGCAATTATGACTACAGCTTCTATAAACATTTGTGTGCAAGTTTGTGTGGGTATAAGTTTTCAACTCAATTTAGTTGAGGTTTAGTTTCAATGAATCAGACTTAATGGTCTGGCTGAATTGAATGTCATTTTCACATGTGTTTCACATCAAGATGTTTGCATACTCTGCTGTGCTGAAAACTCATGTAAGATGTTCATTAGATCAAGCTGGGTAAAAAATCAGCAAGTTAGAGGAGGAGAAAAGGCATTGGACTTCGATGAACATGTACTGAAAGAAACACTTCCTGTAAGTCGCTTCTAAAATCCTAACATTTAAGACTTGCTTAATTCTGAAATTTGAATATATAAAACATCCTCACTCCCATAAGTTATGGACCTGAAGTAAACTGAACTTGGGCTGGCCTCAGTGAAATGGCAGTAGTGAAGTTAGAAATAAGCTTAATCTAAAACTTAATTTAAATGAAAACTTTGGAAAAAAACCTCAAGGACAACACAAAATGTCAGTTTTATAAATAGCAAGTAGAAACAAGAGTCACATATTTCAAGGATTGGAGAAGGCTGACCCACTGAGACATGGAAGGTGAAAAGTTCTTGGAATAAACAATGGACACTGGTGTTACTTATCGGAGGCAAAGTTAATCAGTCTGATGTGTAAACTTGGAGATTACTTTTTTGTATTTATGTATTTTTGTTCATATGAAGAGTCTAAAGATTTTGGTCAACTTGCAATCTATGCTTGTTTGTTTTTTCATTTGTAAAAAGATGGAAATTAATGATATGATTGATCTCCAAGATGTACTCTACCTCTGATATCCTAGCACTCTAAAACTAGAGCACTGTAGGAAAGTAAATAGACTCTTTGATTACTTAGAACATTTAGGAGATGGGATAATCTTAGTAATTGTACCTTCTGATTCATCGATAATGAACACTGATTCATTTCTGGTTCAAAAAGTATTAGAAACTGTAAATCTACTTTTGTCTGGGAAAATCCAAGTGTGAAGAACAGAAGGGAATTTGTTTTGGAGGATTCTTTCAATTATGCTTTGGGATTTGAAGATGGATAAGATGGGAGAAACTGAATGGGAATGAATGCACTGAGGTCAGGTTTTACCTTAGAAAAAGTTTTTTTTTTTAAATTAACATTAAACATTTTCTATTAACTTGCAATTTCTTGGGATAAAGAGGTAAGCCAAGGTTCCCCAGTTAGCAGCTGTGAAATGCATCCCAGCCTTTACAGGGTTGTGGTTAGGTCTTCAAAGTTATATGGTGTCATAAGCCTTCAATATTTGTTGTACTTTGCTTATCTGGCTCAACTAGAGGCTAGCTGATAGAGATCAAAGACCTTCAAAATTGTATTGTGGTAGGGATGTGACATAGTAGTCAGAAGCTGTTTGGAATTTCTATGGGTTGGGCCTAAACGTTGTACTTGGAGTGAAAAGGAACACAAGTCAGCTGGTGAAGCAATGTTGGACATTCCCCTGGGTTTGACCTAGTTCAAGTTCCTAGCTCCTAGTTCTATATTTGCTTTTGACAGTAGTGGCAGCACATTTGTTGTTTGACCTGGCTTGCTTTCTAGAGCTGCTGAGGTTTGGTGTCTCACTCTGTTCCTCTGGTCCCATATTTGCGGACCTAGTTCCAGTTTTGGGTATAGCCACTTCCTGGCAGTTGCCTGCCTCCCCGCTCCTGTCTTGGGCATGCCCAGGGGTTCTCAGGGAATGCCATGGATCAGGAGGAGACCCGTGGGGTCTGCATTTCACACATCTTGAACGCATCACTGATTTGCCCGGTAATATGATGCATCACTAATTCTACCCTGTGATATATGTGGTTGTTCACCTCTCAGGGATATCCAACAGAACTTCAACTTGTTTTTTATTAACTGGAAAAGTCTGAACATTAACTTCAGTAATACACTCAGAGGTGGTTGAATGTTTGTGAATTAAAACACCTACTTCAATTCTCAGGTTTTCTCTTTCAATGGAATTGTGAATTGAATTTCTCATGTCCCTGGGGGTTTGGGGCTTTTCTGGGATTTGGATCATGTTGATGTTTAGATGGGTAATGTCAAACATTAACCAACTTTCTGAACATTGAAATCTACTGACTCTTATGCCTTCTATGTTAAGTTTCCAGGAATAATGGTCTTTCAAAAAGCCATGACCTTAACATACATAATAGAAAATAATCTGTGTTGTTTTCAGTTTTATGTTCAATTTTTTTTTTTCTTGAGACAGAGTCTTGCTCTGTAGCCGGGGTGGAGTGCAGTGGCGCGATCTTGGCTCACTGCAACCTCCACTTCCCGGGCTCAAGTGATTCTCCCACCTCAGCCTCCCATGTAGCTGGGATTACAGGTGCCCACCATGCACCCAGCTAATTTTTGTATTTTTAGTAGGAACAGGGTTTCACCACATTGCCCAGGCTGGTCTTGAACTCCTGTCCTCAAGTGATCCTCCTGCCTTGGCCTCCCAAAGTGCTAGGATTACAGGTGTGAGCCACTGCACCCGGCCTTATGTTCAATTTTTGTTATGAGAATCCAAACAGGCCAGGTGCAGTGGCTCAGGCCTATAATCCCAGCTTTTTGGGCTGAGGCAGGTGGATCACCTGAGGTCAGGAGTACGAGACCAGCCTGTCCAACATAGTGAAAACCTGTCTCTACTAAAAATACAAAAAATTAGCCAGGTGTGGTGGTGGGTACCTGTAGTCCCAGCTACTTGGGAGGTTGAGGCAGGAGAATGGCTTGAACCTAGGAGGTGGAGGTTGCAGTGAGCCAAGATTGCACCACCGCACTCCAGCCTGAGCGACACAGTGAGACTCCATCTCAAAAAAAAAAAAAAGAATGCACACAGTTCAGAGATAGAGATTGTCACTACTACATGTATGGTGTGTCCCTTTCTTTGCAGTTACATATAGTGGACCTGTACATTAACAAGTATGAACTCATTTATAATGGGCTCATATATATAACTTTCATTTTTCTCCTGATATATTGTATCATTATGTTAATGTATACAATTCTGCTTTGTTCTAATATCTGTTCAGTTTTCCATCATGTGATTGTACATAATTTATTTAAATAATCTTTATTGCTGAATATTTAGGTTGCTTCCAATTCTTTGTTATTATCTTTTTTATTTTATTTTGTTTTTTTGAGAAAGGGTCTCATTCCACTGCCTAGGCTGGAGTGCGGTTGTGCAATCACAGCTCACCTCAGCCTCGACCTCTCACCTTAGCATCCCAGGTAGCTGGGACCACAGGTGCATGCCACCATGCCTGGCTAATTTTTAAAATTTTTTTGTAGAGATGGGGTTTTGCCATGTTTCTTAGGCTTGTCGCGAACTCCTGGGCTCAAGTGAACCGCCCACCTTGGCCTCCCATAGTGTTGGGTTTATGATTGTGAACCACTGCACTTGGCCAGTTTTTTGTCATTATGATGCTGCACTGAACATCCTTGTGTACAAATCTTTTCATGTTTGTGTAGTTATTTCTGTAGGATAAACTCCTCATCGTCAAAGGCTATACATATTTAAAATTTTAATGGATATTGCTAATTTCCTCCTCAAAAGATTATGCCAATGTGCATTTCTGCCAGTAGAATTTGACAGTATTTCCCTATAGTTCCTTGCCAATGTTAGAAATTTTCAACCTTTCCTAATTTGATGGATGAAAAATTATATCTCGTTTGTTTGCCTTTATTTGATTATTAATATTGATTCTCTTATTTAAAAATTGCTTACTGACCGTTTTTCTTTTTAGAGTGTTGCCTGTTTATATCTCTTACCCACTTGAGAAAATTGGTTGTTCTTTTTTTTTGTTTTGTTTTTTGAAACGGAGTCTTGCTCTGTCACCAGGCTGGAGTGCCGTGGCGTGATCTCAGCTCACTGCAACCTCCATCTCCCAGGTTCAAGTGATTCTCGTGCCTCAGCCTCCCAAGTAACTGGGATTACAGGCACGTGCCACCACGCCCAGCTAATTTTTGTATTTTTAGCAGAGACGGGGTTTCGCCATGTTGGCCAGGATGGTCTCAATCTCCTGACCTAGTGATCCGCCTGCTTCGGCCTCCCAAAGTGCTAGGATTACAGGCGTGAGTCACCTCACCCGGCCGGTTGTTCATTTTTATGGGATTGATTTTTAGAGCTCATTATGCACATTAATCTTTGATTAAATATTATTGCTCTTTTTTCCTCCTTATTTGTCATCTTTTTACATTGTTTGAATATCTTTTTTTTTTAAACTTTTATTTTAAGTTCAGGGATACAAGTGCAGATTTGTTACATAGGTAACAAACTTGTGTCATGGGGGTTTGTTGTACAGATTATTTAATCACCCAAGTATTAAGTCTAGTACCCATTAGTCATTTTTTCTGATCATCTCCCTCCTTCCACTCTCCACTCTCCAAAAGGCCCCAGTGTGTGGCTCCCCTCTATGTGTCCATGTGTTCTCATCATTTCGCTCCCACTTGTAAATGAGAACGTGTGGTATTTGGTTATCTGTTCTTGTGTTAGTTGGCTATTATGCTGAATTTTGATGTTTTTAATTAAAGAAATTTAGATTTACTCTTGTAAATATAGTAGAAAGAATTCCTATGTGCTCTTCACTTGGATTTCTCAAAAGTTCTGTCCCTTTCTCTCTCCTTCTCTCTCTCTCCACACACACACACACACACACACACACACACACACACACACACACACATGCTTTTTTTCTGAACCATTTGAAAGTAAAGAAGTAGGCATGATTTCCCTTTATCCACAAACATTTCAATGTGTATTTTCTAAATATAAGGATATTTTCTTATTACACAATCAATCACAATACAATGACAAATCAGGAAATAACATCAATATAATGCTATTAGCTAATATATAGACCCTACTCAAATTTCCCCAGTTGTTGCAATAATGTCCTTTCTAGCAAAAGAAGAAAACATTTCCCATTCAGGATTCCACATGGCATTTAGCTGCCACGTCTCTTCTGTCTGTTTTAACCTGGAATAGTTCCTCAGTCTCTCTGTGTCTTTATGAATTTAGCATTTTTGAAGAGTATGGGAGAGTTATTTTGTAGAATGTGCCCTGATTTGAGTTTGCCCGTTTCCTGATGATTAGATTCAGGCCATGTGTTTTGGGAGGAACAAGGCAGGAGTGATGCTGTGTCAATCTCAGTAACAGAAGGCACGTGATGCTTATTTGCCCTATTACTTGGTGGTGTTAACTTTGATCCTTTGGTCAAGGTGGTTGTGTTAGCTTTCTGTTGCTGCTGTAACAAATTACCACCGACTTATGCTTAAAACAAGATGATTTATTACTTATGGTTCTGGAGGTCATAAGTCCAAAGTGAGTTTCACTTGGCTAGAATTGAGTTGTCAGCAAGGCTGGCTCCTTCTGGAGGTTGTAGGGCAGAATCTCTTTTCTTGACTTTTCCAGATTCTAGAGATTGCCTGTACTCACTGCCTTGTGGCCCTTCCTCCATCTTCAAGCCACCTGTGTAGCATCTTAAAATCTCTTTCTCTGGCCTCTGTATTTGTCATTGACATCTCCTATCCTGACTCTATGACCCTCCTGGCTCTTTCTTAGGACCCTTGTAAATAGGTTGGATCCACTTGAATAATCCAGGGAAAATTTCCCATCCCAAGACATTAATGACATCTGCAATGTCCTTTTTGCTATGTGTGGAAGCATATTCACAGGTCCTAGGGACCAGGATGTGGACATCTTTAGGGGCTCTTATTTAGCCTAGCATAGTGTTATTTTCTAGGTTTCTCAATTGTGAAATTACTGATTCCCCCTTTATAATTAATAAGTATCTTCAGGGGAAATATTTTGAAACCATGTAAATATCCAGTTTCTTCTCAAATGAATACTAAATCCATTAGTCTTAACATCCATGGAAAATTCTTGCCTTAATCAATTATTGCTAAGACAGTTGCCAAGTGGTGATTAAAATTTTTTCCCAACTTTATTGAAGAACACTTACTCATGTTTTAAGTATATAATTTGATAGGTCTTTTTTTTTTGAGATGGAATTTCGCTCTTGTTGCCCAGGCTGGAGTGCAAAGGCGTGACTTCGGCTCACCACAACCTCTGTTTCCCACGTTCAAGCGATTCTCCTGCCTCAGGCACATTCTCGCTCTGTTGTCCAGACTGGAGTGCAGTGGCGTGATCTCAGCTCACCACAACCTCTGCCTCCCGAGTTTAAGCGATTCTCCTGCCTCAGCCTCCTGAGTAGCTACAGGCTACAGCACTCCTGAGTACTGCAGGCGCGTGCCACCATGCCTGGCTAATTTTTGCATTTGTAGTAGAGACGAGGTTTCACTGTGCTGGCCAAGCTGGTCTCGAACTCCTGACCTTATGATCTGCCCGCCTTGGCCTCCCGAACTGCTGAGATTACAGGTATGAGCCACCGCACCTAACCCTGGACATAATTATTAATATTAATTAATAATAATCCATATATGCAGAATTTGATCCGTTTGGTTGTACCTCATAGAGTGGTAAGTAAACAGGAAAGAAAGATCAAGGTTGACAGCATAGGGAGGTAACATGAACTTCATAGTCTTTATCCCAAGTCTGCTGTTTTATGGCTCTTAATAAATAACTGAGAGATTTGGATAATATTGTTAGTTGAGAATTAAAATTTTTCATAGTGGTTGGAAGCAGTGACAAGGAAAGCGAATAAGGAAAGCTTCCTAGTGCCTTGTTTCCTCCACCTGTAAAACATAGAAAGAGCTTCTGTCTCACTGTGTTTGTGGAACATGTTGTGGTTCTTTAATGCAAAGTGCAGCGCACTTATGCACCCTGTGCCCAGGCACCAAACTGCAGCCTTTGTATGAGATGCAAAGTAACTGGCCTCCTCCCTGTTCTAGTGGGGCTCTCTGGGCTTCCAAAAGCCATCATTGCCAACTTGCATGTTTTACTCAAGATTGGAGGTTTTTTAAACAATGAAATGCAAACCATGGAGGGTCTTCTCTGGCCTCTTCTTTGCACTTCTGACAGTCATTCTCTCACCTCCCCATTCTCTAGTGTTCTTTATTTTCACAGGCCTGCATCCTGCTTTCTTCTTCTTATAAGCTCCTCTAGGCAGGAACCATGATGGTTCTTTTAGCCTTTTATATTTTGTATGGCCACAATTGTCAAACTGCATTCCAAGTCACTTGGAAGGTGTATAGAAGGGTAGAGACTGCCATGCCCCACTCCAGGTTCAGAATTAGCAGGGCTGGGGTGGGACTGAGGGGTCTGCATGTTTAACAAGCTGCCTGAGTGATTCTAGCCTGCTGATCCCTGGAGCCCATGTCTATAGAGGCTGTATAGCAGACATCATGAGAGGAACGGGCTGGAGATGCAGCACAGAACTAGATGTGCGGATGCTCAGCAGCGGGACCCGTAACCCTGTTGGTGGCTTTGGAGACTGCGGGTGCTGTTTGCTTCCCCTCTGCTCCTTACGCTTCTGCCCAGAGGCCATAGGAGGATAGAAGAGGTGAAAAGGAGCATAGAAATAAGTTCTCAGAGGCCCTGCAGCATGGAATGAGTAGAGGCTTTTCCCCCCACCAAGTTTATGCAGTTATTCCAGAGCCATTTGTTGGAAAGATTACCATTTTCCCATTGAATAGCTTTGGCAACTTTGTTGAAAGTCAGTTGACCATATATAAGTGAGTCTATTTCTGCATTCTATTCTGTTCTGTTGGTCTGTTTGTCTATCCTCAGAAAGGTACATACTGTTTCAATTACCGTAGCTTCAAAAGAAGTTGGTTTTTTGTTGTTGTTGAAGCAGGCGCTTGCTCTGTCATCCAGGTTGGAGTGCAGTGATGCAAAGCTCACTACAGCCTCAACCTCCTGGGCTCAAGTGAGTCTCCTTCTTCAGCCTCCTGAGGAGCTGGGACTACAGGTGTGGGTGTGCACCACCATGCCTGGGTCAAAAAAAGTTTCAAAGTCAGGTGGTATGAGTCCTCCAACTTTGTTTTTCTTTAAAAAAATGTTTTTTTCTTTTGTCTATTCTAGGCCCTTGGTAATTATTTATTTATTTATTTATTTATTTACTTTATTATTGTTATACTTTAAGTTTTAGGGTACATGTGCACAATGTGCAGGTTAGTTACATATGTATACATGTGACATGCTGGTGTGCTGCACCTATTAACTCATCATTTAGCATTAGGTATATCTCCTAAAGCTATCCCTTCCCCCTCCCCCTACCCCACAACAGTCCCCAGAGTGTGATGTTCCCCCTCCTGTGTCCATGTGTTCTCATTGTTCAATTCCCACCTGTGAGTGACAATATGTGGTGTTTGGTTTTTTGTTCTTACGATAGTTTACTGAGAATGATGATTTCCAATTTCATCCATGTTCCTACAAAGAACGTGAACTCATCATTTTTTATGGCAGCATAGTATTCCATGGTGTATATGTGCCACATTTTCTTAATCCAGTCTGTCATTGTTGGACATTTGGGTTGGTTCCAAGTCTTTGCTATTGTGAATAGTGCCGCAATAAACATACGTGTGCATGTGTCTTTATAGCAGCATGATTTATATAGTCCTTTGGGTATATACCCAGTAATGGGATGGCTGGGTCAAATGGTATTTCTAGTTCTAGATCCCTGAGGAATCGCCACACTGACTTCCACAAGGGTTGAACTAGTTTACAGTCCCACCAACAGTGTAAAAATGTTCCTATTTCTCCACATCCTCTCCAACACCTGTTGTTTCCTGACTTTTTAAAGATTGCCATTCTAACTGGTGTGAGATGGTATCTCATTGTGGTTTTGATTTGCATTTCTCTGATGGCCAGTGATGGTGAGCATTTTTTCATGTGTTTTTTGGCTGCATAAATGCCTTCTTTTGAGAAGTATCTGTTCATGTCCTTCACCCACTTTTTGATGGGGTTGTTTGTTTTTTTCTTGTAAATTTGTTTGAGTTCATTGTAGATTCTGGATATTAGCCCTTTGTCAGATGGGTAGGTTGCGAAAATTTTCTCCCATTTTGTAGGTTGCCTGTTCACTCTGATGGTAGTTTCTTTTGCTGTGCAGAAGCTCTTTAGTTGAATTAGATCCCATTTGTCAATTTTGGCTTTTGTTGCCATTGTTTTTAGTGTTTTAGACATGAAGTCCTTGCCCATGCCTATGTCCTGAATGGTAATGCCTAGGTTTTCTTCTAGGGTTTTTATGGTTTTAGGTCTGATGTTTAAGTCTTTAATCCATCTTGAATTAATTTTTGTATAAGGTGTAAGGAAGGGATCCAGTTTCACCTTTCTACATATGGCTAGCCAGTTTTCCCAGCACCATTTATTAAATAGGGAATCCTTTCCCCATTGCTTGTTTTTCTCAGGTTTGTCAAAGATCAGATAGTTGTAGATATGCAGTGTTATTTCTGAGGGCTCTGTTCTGTTCCGTTGATCTATAACTGTTTTGGTACCAGTACCATGCTGTTTTGGTTACTGTAGCCTTGTAGTATAGTTTGAAGTCAGGTAGCGTGATGCCTCCAGCTTTGTTCTTTTGGCTTAGGATTGACTTGGTGATGCAGACTCTTTTTTGTTTCCATGTGAACTTTAAAGTAATTCTTTATAAATTTTAGGTCTGACTTGCAAATTTCTACAGAAAAGACTTTCAGGATTTTGATGGGATTGTTTTGGATCTATAGATCAATTTGGGGAAATTGATATTTTAACAATATTCACTCCTTCAATCCACAAACATGGTATATACCTACTTTTATTTAGGTCTTCTTCCATTTCTTTTAGCTGTACCTTTTGTAATTTTCAGTGAAGAAATCTTGCAAAACTTCTTGTGTTATCCCTGTATAGTTTATCTTTTTAATGCTAATATAAATAAATGTTTACATTTTTTTCTTTCCTTTTTTTCCACCGGTATATAGAAATACAATAGATTTTTGTATATTGACCTTGTGTCCTGCAACTTTGTTAAACTGACTAGTTTTAGTAACTTTTTTGTAAACTTCTTAGAATTTTCTATGTCCATAATCATGTTGTCTACAAATAAGGCAGTTTTACTTTTTCCTTTCCAATATGTATGTTCTTTATTTCTTTTTCTTGCCTAGCACTGGCTAGGACATTCAGTGTGTTGAATAGAAGTAGTGAGAGCAGACATCGTTGCCTTGTTCCTGATCTTAGGAAGGAAGTATTCTGTGTTTCACCTTAAATAGGCTGTTAGCTGAGGCTTTTTGTAGATACTATTTGTCAGATTGAGGACATTCCATTCTCTTAATGATTTGTTGATTTTCTATTGTGAGGTGGTATTGAAGTCTTTCAAATCCTTTTTCTGCGTTGAGATTCCTCTTTTCTTTTCTTTTTTTTTTTCATTTTGAGACAGGGGCTCACTCTGTCACCCACGCTGGAGTGCACTGGCATGAACGTGGCTCACTGCAGCCTCGATCTCCCAGGCTCAATCAATCCTTCCGCCTTAGCCTCCCAAGTAGCTGGGACTACAGGCACACCACCATACTTGGCTTTTTTTTTTTTTTTTTTTTTTAAGGAGAGGTGAGGTTTCGCTATGTTGCCCAGGCTGGTCTTGAACTTCTGAGCTCAAGCGATCCTCCCGCCTCGGCCTCCCAAAGTGCTGGGATTACAGGCATGAGCCACCACACCTGGCCCCTTTTTCTTAATTAAGGATGAGGAAACTCTTTGAGTGGGACTGCACGGGTGGAACTAGGCCAGAGTTTCCTGGAAACACAAACCAAAACCACAGACCTCCCAGCTGCCAGCCTTTAAAAAACCCAGAATTGCTGCTTCAGAGGAGTGGCTGGACTACAGAGGCAACCAAGAAAGGAAATACCCAGGAGAAAACAAAGAGTGCTGAAGGCCAAGTTAAAGTGGTGGAGGACTTGTCTGGAAACTCCTGTGTATGTTACTCAGAGAACACAGGTGGTAAGTTGACTGACAAAAATAAGAATAGGAGGGCCAAGAAAAAGGGCTGCACGATGCACCAAGACATCCTCCAGTGTCTTTCTCTGGGAAGGGCAAAGACTCCTGTCTACAAACCGGTTTTGACACTGACCATTTGGTACCCATTCATTCATCACTCAGGAATCTGTTTTCATTGTTCTCTTCTAATGCATCTGGCAGCAAGCACAATAGGCCTTTTCATTCTCCAGAATTTTACTGTAGGCCTTTGATGTGAATAATAAGATTTTTTGGGAGGGGATGCAGGGGTAGTTCAAAACTTGAAAGAAGCTGCAAGCACTTGCAGTGGAGTGGGGACAGAAAGGTATTCACAGGCATAATAGCAAACAAATTCAGATGCTGGGGACTCTGAGAACCTAGAGAAGGGAGAATTGGGGCTACTCAGAGAAGACTTCGGGAAAACCTGGGAATTGAGGGGCTAGATCTGGATTCAGGAGAGGATAATGTTAGCATCATCTTAGAGCTGCTGCTGAGAGCTTCATTTCAGGGGCAGTTAGATGCCTTCCTGGCTAAGACAGAGGGGTATGTATGGAGGAGGCCAGTGGACAAATGAGGCTTTGGTGGAAGCTGTTTTTTGGGCTTTCTAAGGTCTAAATTTGTGCTCAAACAACTGTCACAAAGCATAGAATTAAACATTTCTAACTTAGATTCGTAACTTGTAAAAGTTTTGATGATTTTATAGGTCCATTTGAAAAGTGCAAGGTGAAATGGCTTGTTAGGGTGCCAAGTTGAAATCAGCCCCAGGCCTGGGTCCTGCTGGGTCTTTCTGGGACTGCTGTCTGCTCAACTAGGCCATCATAAGTGGCAGCAAATGGAAGAGAGAAATTCTGCTTCTCCAGTGTCCAGGGCTGGGTAGAGAGGTATCTTTAGAAACCCCTTATCCCATACAGAGCTACACTTCCTTCTGCAAACTGGCGCTGGGAAGAGTTGGTCTGCTTTGGCTGGGATGGCGTGGATGAGTTCAAAACTCCCCAGGGCACATCCAGAGGCCAGCTAACCAACCTCTTAGGGACTATAGTCTGAATCAGACAACCCATTGTATGCATTCAGGGGTAGAAAGGAGGGAACCAGCCTCCTTAGGGGACACTTTGGAGTGTTATTTAGTGGACTGATTTGTTGGTTTGGGGACTTGTTGGCTTGATTTTTAAAATGTACTGCATCTGAGGCTACTGGTTTGGGGGACTTAGCCTGGTCCCTCCAACCTTGGAGAGCACAGTAGAATAAAATATAAATAAACTGCTAATTTAAAAATTTGGCCAGGCATGGTGGCTCACGCCTGGCACTTTGGGAGGCCAAGGTGGGCAGATTGCTTGAGGTCAGGAGTTCGAGACCAGACTGGGCAACATGGCGAGACCCTCACCTTTACTAAAAATACAAAAAATAGCTGGGTATGGTGGCATGTCCCTGTAGTCCCAGCTACTCAGGAGGCTGAGGCAGGAGGATCACTTGAGCCCAGGAGGTGGGGTTGCAGTGAGCCAAGATCGTGCCACTGCACTCTAGCCTGGGTGACAGAGTGAGACCCTGTATCAAAACAGAACAAAACAAAACATAACATATATATATATTCCTTCTCCCCTAATTGGGGCCAGTGACCACGGAGAGCATGTTTCATGCTTCCCAGTGGACAGACAGCCCCATTCTCCCACTCCTGAATCCTGGTTCCTGGCTTCTGGCTCAGAGCTGCTTGTCTTTTGTAGAGATACCCTTGACCCTCAATAGCGCTAACTGGTGGTAGGAAGAGCTATCAGGGTCAAGTTCAGTGGCAAGTTTAAGGACAGAGTAAAAATTTTATAGCACCAGGTTACATGGTCCTGTAGCGTGAGTCAGTTTCCATCCGGCAGTATGAGGAAGCACATGACAGAAGGCTGGAGTGGGCGCCCAGCTCCTTCTCCCTCTCCTGGCCTGAATTTGGGCTTCAGTAGAGGATCCATAGAGGGACCTCAGCCTAGCCAGCTCCCTCATCCACGTGCCTGTGATTTGTCTGTCACTTCCTGTTTTGTGGCCCTTCAGTCTCATCAATTAAAAAACTCTTTCACACTACATGTGTTCTTACTTCTTCCATTGTTCTTCTTAGCTACCTGTGTCTTGGAGGTAAAGTGTTACCCTACTGAACTTGGGTCTGCTCACTGGGCACAGCAAAGCCCAACACTGACACAAATGTTTGCAGTTACAGAAAGAAAGGCATTTATTGCAGGGCACCAAGCAAGGAAAAGGGGCATGATGGCTTACAAGCAAGGGTTTTTAAAGGCAGGAATGAGGGGGTTTCCAAAGTGAGTTAGGGGCTTAGGAATTTGTGGAACTTCCTTATCCATTTTCTGGTTCCAGTCTGTCGAAGGTCAACATGACTGTGATCAGCATTTGTTATCAGGTGAGAGTCCTGGTTTCTGAAAAACAACTCAAGGATGTATGTAAAGATGTTATCTTTGTTTCTATAGGGAACCAAACATCTTGTGACCCTGACTTACTTGGGTGGCTTGGTTGGTGGATTATTCATTCACATCCCTAATTTCTGGTTGCAGGGCTAGCTAGATACCTGGAATTTTCCTTGAAGGAACTGAAACATGTTCTTTCATCTCCAGGGTGGGGGTGGAGAAGCCTGACAGGCTCCTAAGTGGGTCCCTGCGCCATCTCAAAGTGAGTCAGCAACGTTCCGTGGCCAGCTTCCCACCTCTTTTGTCTTATCTTCTCTCCGGCCTTGGGGGCTGCCTTCTGTTCCTGGTCTGATGCCATGTTGTCTTTCCCCCAGAGTGCAGACATCCTCAGCACCATCGGCTATGACAACATTATCCAACATCTGAACAATGGCCGCAAGAACTGCAAAGAGTTTGAAGACTTTCTAAAAGAAAGGTACGATGATGCTCTGTCCTCTCTGAAGAGGGTGGGCCAAGATGTCTCCACACAGACAAGGAACAATTTCCTTTTTTTCATTTGTGTTTAATGGTTCTGAAGACCCTCTCTCTGCTCTAGGTTATGGAATGATACCTGAGAAGTACATGATACTTCTGTCCTAAAGTTCTTAGAAACAAGTTTGACACATAAGATTTATGATGAAACTGCGAACGAATTATAGTAAGAAAAGAAATACACTTAGTACTGTGGTACAAATAACATTGAAAGACCCCATGATGTAGCTTTTAGACTGCTGAGGAAGAGACTGCTGAGGATTGGCAAAGAAGGAAAGGAGAGGGAAGGAAAAAGGAAGGAGAGAGGGAGGGAGGGAAAGAAAGAAGGAAATAAAATAGAGGACGGGGTGGCTTCATGGAGGAGTAGGTCCTTGTGGTGGCCCTCAGAGGGTGAGGTGGATTTGACAGGTGAAGAAGTACCTGGATATCTGGGAGAACAGCAAGCTTGAGGTGGGAATCAGATGGCCCACGTGGTTAGAGGGAGGCAGAGTGCAGCTCAGAGACCAGGAGGATGAGGAGCTGTGGGAAAGCTGTGAAGCCGATCATGATGCTCCTGGGGGTGGCAGGGCATGGTAGTCCATGGGGAACTGGCATGGTTTAGAGGATTTTCTTTTCTTCTGTTTAAAAATGGATAAGATTTTTAAAAAAACAAAACTTAGTTTTGTGGAAACTTATTGATCTAGAATATTCCATTTTACAGAGGTTCTGGATGAAAGAATATGTTAAGAGGATTTGGGGCCAAAGATCAGGATCCTTGCCAAGATTCAAATTAATGAACAGGTTCTATTTGTAAGGCAGTAAGTGAAAGGCTCAGAACCCAGAGATACAGACATCAAAGCATTTTCGGTCAACTCTCTCACTTTCTACTCAAGAGAAAATTAGGTAACGATCAAACTTACTCACACTTTGCATTTTTAGTAGAGATGGGGTTTCTCCATGTTGGTCAGGCTGGTCTCAAACTCTCGACCTCAGGTGATCTGCCTGCCTCGGCCTCCCAAAGTTCTGGGATTACAGGTGTGAGCCACCACGCCCTGCCTCTACATGTAAATTATGACAGCAACCAAGGGTTGCCCAGCCCTTGGGTGGTGAGGCCTGTCTCCTTGAGCCATTCCAAAGGTCTGGAGGACCTGGAGGCCTGAGGACGGGTGAACCAAGAGAGGCTCGGCTACTGTCAGCGCTGTGGAGCTGGCTGCTGCTCCTCCTCCTTTAAGGGAGCAGTTCCCTTCTTTTCTACCCAAGATGGTTGACAGTGTTGACACCCAGTTAAAAAGTGTGCCTTTCTTTTTACAAACACTGGCAGTGGGCTTCCTCCTTCCTTCAACAGTGCTAGGACAAAGAGTTTCATGAGCATGAAGGATCTAGAGATTGCAGAAGACTGCTTTTTTCTGTTCCTCCCCCAGTTATGGCTTCTATAAATTTCCTCCTGGGAATGAAATGGCCTTGGAATACATCTGCAGAGGAAGGAAGTGTCTGTCGGCTCAGGACCCCAGGCACTGACTGCCTGGGGGGCCATCCAAGGGTCCCCTGATACAGTGGGGTTTGTCTAAATCAGTGGCTTCCATACTTTTTTGAATGTGACCCTCAAAAAAAATGTATTTTACACAGCCACCCAGTACACACATGCATAAATAAAACAATGAAACAGGACTACCCTGTTAATTTATCCAATAGTATTTAATTTAAAAATGCTAGTCTTCCAGCTATTCAGGAGGCTGAGGTCGGGGGATCACTTAGCCCAGGAGTTCAAGGTTGCAGTGAGCTCTGATTGCACCACTGCCCTCTAGCCTGGGTGACAGAGTGAGATCCTGTCTTTCAAAAAAAAATTGCTGGTCATAATCCACTGAATTGATTTATGGCTCACAAATGGGTCGTGACCCACAGTTGAAAAACGCTAGTCCAAATAGGATCCCAAAGCTAAGATCTCGCTTTTAAAAACGATTCACAAAAATACATAAGAGTAGGAAATAAATGGAGAATAAAAATTGTTGATTATTTATATTGTATTTCTAGTATATGTTCTCTTTTCTCCCATGGGTTTTATAGCAAAAAGAAGTCAGTCTTGTGTTTTCCAATTCTGGGGAAGAATCTGCAGGCATTAGATCAGAGTGTCAGATGGGCATGCCCTGGGCGTGGAGATGCAGCCCCTGAGCGTGTGGCCTGCTTGGCTTTGGGCCTCTGTTCCTGGTGGCACGCTTGCAGGAAGGAAGCTGCTGTCATTGAGCCTGTGTGTTTGTTCCTCCAATGTGTCTTGTTCAAGGGTAATTCATGTGCAGAAGGACAGTCCAGGCTTGGGGATCCAGCTTTCCTCTTGTTCGGGTGGGTGCAGGATGCTTGTGGGAACTGGGACTAAGTTGGCTGCATTTGTGCCATCATCTAATATGACTGAAACATCCTCCTTGAGTCTTAAACATTATTTGACCGAGCTGTCATAAATTACATGTAGAGGCAGGGCGTGGTGGCTCACACCTGTAATCCCAGAACTTTGGGAGGCCGAGGCAGGCAGATCACCTGAGGTCGAGAGTTTGAGACCAGCCTGACCAACATGGAGAAACCCCATCTCTACTAAAAATGCAAAATTAGCTGGGCATGGTGTAGCTGTAATCCCAGCTACTCGGGAGGCTGAGGCAGGAGAATTACTTGAACCCGGGAGGCGGATGTTGCAGTGAGCTGAGATCTCGCCATTGCACTCCAGCCTGGGCAACAAGAGTGAAACTCCGTCTCAAAACAAAAACAAAAAACAAACAAACAAAAATTACATGTACAACTCTGGGATATTTGTGGTTCTTAGAGACAAGAGGCAAACACACACAAATACAGGGGCAAAGATAACAGACTATTGTATGTAATAATTATTTTTGAACAACCACCTCTTGTCCAATGTTATACCTTATTTATTATTTTGAGTTCATCAAGTTTAATACACATACATTTATACCACTTTTACATGGTACATGCTAAACATGCCCTATATCTAATGGGGTGCTTTTAAGACTTTCCAGAAGTGTCAGAGTCCTACCATGGGCCTCTTGAATTTCTGTCAGTTTAACCTGCCCAGAAAGTGGCAAGGGGAAGAGGGAGATGCTATACTTCCTGGTGAGCTCCCCAGCCCTGCTCTTCCCTGGATGGAACCCAGCACTGCACCCCTCCATGCCACATTTTACCTCCATTACCGAAACTAGGAAATATCCTTTTCCTTGGTCGTACCCAGGCAGATTGCAGTAAATTCATCTGCCCTCATGTGGGGTTGGACAGAACAATCACCCCAGTGCAAGGAGCCGCTCCGTGTGCTGCTCTGGAAGGGCAGGGAGGCTGCCTTTCTTGCCACCCACAGGGCAGATTCTTGCATCCAGGGTAGACATATAAAAATAAGGTTAGCTCAGAGGGTAGCTAGAGGTGGTTAAATGAGATTATATAATAGCTGATGTTTATTGAAGGCTTGCTAGATACATAGGGCAGATTCCAAGGCCCAGCTTTCCTAGGTTTCAAACCATATTACTCCTTATTAGCTGTCTGACCTTAGGCAAATGCCATAATCTCTCTGAACCTCAGTTTCTTCAATTGTAACATAAGGATGAGAACAGTTATTGTAACAACTAATTGTTACAATAATAATTAATAATTGTTAACAATTAATTGTTACAATAATTGTTTATAACTACTACATTGTTACAATAATTGTTCATAACTACTACAATTAATTGTTACAATCAATATTATAACACATTAACAATTAATATTATAATATTAATTAATATTAATTAAATAAAATGATATTAATTAAATTAATTAATACAGATAATATATAATAATTAAATAATACTGTAAGTAACAAAACACAGTAACAAACACTCCATCAGTAAATTGTAAATTTATCTAGTTTACCCTTCTGTCAGCTGGAAAAGCACAACAATAATAGAGGTGATGCTGGCAACCACAGCCAACATCTGAATAGCTACATAATATAACAACAACATTGAGGCTTACACATCCCTTTGGCACTTATGTTGGCTGCATGAGGTTTCTTGGCACAGAAGTGTAGCTTTGTAGATGAGGTTTAAGTAATTTACCAGGGGAATCTAGAAAGTGACAGAACCCAGAATGGCTCCAGGGGCTGGTGAGGATGGGGGTCTCATACAACCCCTGTGTTTATGACTCATCAACACTGGCAAAAAGGCTGGTGGCTATCTAGGGAGATGGGCTACTTCCCAGCACAGACACACTCTCCCTTTCTTTACTGTCTGTTTATACAATCTCACTCATTATACCCATTCTCTCTATTTCAGCCAGATGGGTTTATTGGTGAGCACGCTTTGGATGTCTCTGCCTGTACGTCTTTACTTCAGTATTTCCCCACCTAGAAAGTCCTCCTTTTTCCCTGATGCCTAAGTAAATTCTCCCCATCCTTCCAAGTCCAGGTCAAATTTTCCTCTTCTTTTATTTCTCTCTCTCTCTCTTTTCTTTTTTTTTTTTTAAGACAGAGTCTCACTCTGTCATCCAGGCTAGAGTACAGTGGTGCGATCTCAGCTCACTTCAACCTCCGTCTCCCGGGTTCAGACAATTCTCACACCTAAGCCTCCCGAGTAGCTGGGATTACAGGCATGTACCACCACCCCAGCTAATTTTTGTAATTTTAGTAAAGATGGGGTTTTTCCTGGCCACAGGCTGGTCTTGAACTCTTGGTCTCAAGTGATCCAGCCCACCTCAGCCTCCCAAGGTGCTGGGATTACAGGTGTGAGCCACCATGCCCGACCTTATTTCTCTTTAAAGGAAACATTCTACATAGGACTTTAGTCTGAAGTCTTTCAGCTGGTTAACAATTGAAATGAAGCCATCTTGTCACTGGTAGCCCAAGCCCATGGACTCTCCCACCCTCAGATCCCCAGATGTGGCGAAATATTATATAATGAGCTCCTGATATGAGCAGAAAATGAGAACTATAAAAATAGGGTTAATCATACCTTAGAGGGTAGCTAGAGATGATTAAATGAGATTATATTAATAGCTGCTGTTTATTGAAGGCTTACTCTATGCAAGCTACAGTGTGTTTTGTATATATTATTTAATTCTCATAAAAACTCTGTATGGTAAGTTTTCTCATCCTTATGTTATAATTGAAGAAATTGAGGTTCAGAGAGGCTATGGAACTTGCCTAAGTTCAGACAGCTAATAAGCGGTAGATACGGTTTCAAACCTAGAAAATTTGGGCCCTGGAATCTGCTATTAACCAGTACACTGTGCCCAGTACAGTAGCTGGTACACAATATATAGTGGGTAAATGGTACCCACTGATCTTAGGCAAGTTCCACAACCATTACTAATATTGTTATATTAAGTGTAGAAGGCAAGTAAGGAATATATCATTGGCTTCCTTTTACAGATAAGAACACTGAAGTTTAGTGGGCTTTAAATGACTTGCCCAAGATTACAATATGAGTAAGTAGTAAAGCTGGGATTCCTGCTGACTTCCTGTCTGATGGTTTTTCCACTTTACTTAATGGTCTCTTGAGAAAGTTGGGTGTATTCTCCGAAGAAGAACAGCAACTTGGCAGCCAAGTCAGTTCTCTTAATTGTGTGCTGCAATAGGATCCTGAGTAGGGAGGAGGGAAGCATGCTTGTGGAACACCTTTATGCCCAGAATTCTTTACCATTTGTAGATTAGCAGCTATACCTATACTCTAGGGGATCCACAGCCCCGGTGCCTCAGGACTCTGTACTCTTCCCCATAAGCTCCTGTACGTCCCATGGTCAACCTGCCCTGGCTACAGCTCTGTTTCCGGGACCCTCACTGTGGTCGGCTATGTCTCAGGACAGCCTTAAGAAGGACAGATTGCCAGGGTGGGAATGACAGATTCCCTTCGTGCATTAGCTGGTCAAGTTGTCAAGCCATTATGTACCATATTAGTTTTTTAGGACTGTTGGGACAAATTGCCTCTAACTGAATGGCTTTAAATAACAGAATTTATTCTCTCACAAGTCCATAGGCCAGAAGTCCCAAATCAAGATGTTGGCAGAATCATGCTGTCTTGAAGACTTTATTGGAGAAGGTGTCCCATTCCTTTCTCTTGGTTTTTGGTGTCATCAGCAATCCTTGGCATGTCCTGGCTTGCAGCTGTGTAACTCCCATCTCTTCCTCTATCATCCTGTGGTGTTGTTCCCCTGTGTCTTCACATTGTCTTTTTTTTTTTTTTTTTTCGAGATGGAGTCTCACTCTGTCCCCCAGGCTGGAGTTCAGTGGCATGATCTCAGCTCACTGCAACCTCCACCTCCCAGGTTCAAGCGATTCTCCTGCCTCAGCCTCCTAAGTACCTGGGACTACAGACGTGCACCACTACACCCAGCTAATTTTTGTACTTTTAGTAGAGACCGGGTTTCACCATGTTGACCAGGCTGGTCTTGAACTCCTCACCTCAGCTGATCCACCTGCCTTGGCCTCCCAAAGTGCTGGGATTATAGGTGTGAGCTACCATGCCCAGCCCACATTGTCTTCTTATAAGGACACTAGTCATGTTGGATTAAGAGGCCACCCTACTCCAGTATGACCTTATCTCAACAATTACGTCTGCAATGACCCTATTTCCAAATAAGGTCACAGTCTAAGATGCTGGGGGTTGAGACTGCAACCTATTTTGCGGGAGGAACACCTGTGCCCAAAAGAATGTACTGGAAGCTGAGAGCATCATGGGAAATAGAGTATCGGGATGGGAGTTTAGACACCTGGGTGGCCTTCTAATCCTGGCTTCCTCACTGGCCAGTGCTGATATTATTCAAGGCCCTAGACCTTTCTAGGTTCCAGTTTCGTTAGCCATAAAATTTGGATTGTATGAGATGTTCTGTGAGAGCCCCTTGGATCTAATAACATGGGTCTTCCCAAGGAACTTATCATTCAGTTGAGGTGCTGTGAATGGCATATACAGTAAAATTGAGCAAAATATTTAAGTGTTAGGTTTTATGGCAAAAGGATTTCATCTTTTCAGTTCACTCTGATTTTGGGGCAACCTGGAGCACTAGATTGAGGATCATCCTGAGGCTGCTTTCAGACCTGATGGAAAAGGCCATATCTGATGATGTTTGTCATGGGTTGTTTTTCTTTTCTTTCCTTTTCTTTTTTCTTTTCCTTTTTTTTTTTTTTTTTTTTTGACACAGAGTTTTGCTCTTATTGCCTAAGCTAGAGTGCAATGGCATGATCTCGGCTCACTGCAACCTCTGCCTCCTGGGTTCAAGTGATTCTCCTGCTTCAGCCTCCTGAGTAGCTGGGATGACAGGTGCACACTACCATACCAGCTAATTTTTTGTATTTTTAGTAGAAATGGGGTTTCACCATTTTAGCCAGGGTAGTCTCGAACTCTTGACCTCAGGTGATCTGCCCACCTCAGCCTCCCAAAGTGCTGGGATTACAGATGTGAGCCACGGCACCCAGCCTGTCATGGGTTG
Organism: Homo sapiens; assembly: GCF_000001405.40. Classification (NCBI taxonomy): domain Eukaryota; kingdom Metazoa; phylum Chordata; class Mammalia; order Primates; family Hominidae; genus Homo; species Homo sapiens. The sequence goes on along the minus strand of NC_000018.10, from coordinate 46,032,459 downwards.
CTGAAGGGAAAATGGCACATGGATTATTCCTGGTCTGGGAATTTGGATAGAAGCGAGGTCAAAGGGAGTTGGGGTTTTTAAGGAGAGCTTTGTGAAGCGTAGCCAGCTAAGTGCAAGAGGTGTGGTATTGCCTCTTCTGTTTCCTGTACTATTTTGTACATTTTCATCTGGCCCTTGTTACATGGTAGTAAACTAAAATATTGGTTTGCATCTCTCTCCTCTGCTAGATTATGAGCACCACTAGGCAGGTCTCATATTTCAGTCATCTCTGTGTTCTTAGCACCTAGTACGATGCCTGGCACATGGTGGATGTTCAGTAAATGACAAATTGATGATCAGATGAGACAGAAAAATTCAGATAGGTAGTAGGAGGGTGATCTAGTTAAAGGCCTACTTATTCAAGCGTGATTTATGTGATGTTCTAGTAATTCCTTCATTGCCTGCCTGGACCCATTGCTTCCCATTTACGGGGAAATACCCTCTCAACCTCAGTGGTTGTTCCCTGGTTTTATGAGGCTGAGATTCTAGTTTCACTTCCATTAAAGCTCCTTCTTTTCTCCAAAAAGCACACCATGATGCTTGCTGGAACTCATTACTTCCCGGGTTCTAGGAGAACATCTTGTTTCATGGGGAACAAGATGTGGCCTATGGTATGTTTAGATTCACGATGTCTTCCTCTTACAAGAAAGAAACTGAGTGAGTGACTTCTTATCTTGGAAACAACAAAAGAGTCTAAAGAAATCTTAATGGATATAATTCTGCGGCTAAAAGGATAAAATGCCTGTATATTATATATTTTTAAAAATGAAAATGGACTGAACATCTTTTTACATGTAAAAATATTAAATGTTCATTGTAGCATGTTATACATTTTTATATAGATACAGTGAACAGAGATTCAGAAAGTTAGAAACAGTTACTAGGGAGTTAAGATGCATCTTTTTCTATAACTAGAGTCAGCTTCAGGTGCACTTTACATTGTCAGGAGCTGGAAAATCTTTAGAAGTAGAGTCGAAGAATAGAGGCCTGAGAAGAAACAGGTTTCTTGCTCAAACTGTAGTACTGAGTACTGTCTAAGACCAGAAAGGCATGAAGGAGAAATCACTTGCATGGTCTCAGAGCAAGCAGATAGGGCTGCCCACAGTACCAGGAGCAAGATGAAGCCAAATCACATAACAGCCATGCAAATGCACCTCCACCAAAAAAGGAGAGAAGGAAGGAATGAAGAAATATATCAAGGCAAAAGCAACAAAGAACCAGAGCCCATAACTCAAGAACAAAGCCAATCCAACATGTGGATAACTGATCCCAAGTAGAAAATTTACCCAAAGGAATAGTGGAAGTATTCAGAGATATAATACAGGAAAAATGTCATGAAAGGAAGGACTAAATAGATCTGAAGGGCACACTATGAACCAGGAAACTCTGATACACAGTAATCAATACTGATTATGATTACATAAGGATCAATGTTAACACACATCCTGGCTAAGTTATTGAATTAAATAAAGAATTCTTCAAATATCAAGGAAGGAAAAAACAAGTTGTCTATACAGAAATAATCAGGGGAAATTTGGGATGGCCCCAGGCTTCTGTACAATGACAGAAGCCAGTGGAACAAGTTCAGCCAAGTTCTGAGGAAATATTTAAGAACATTCGTTATACCAGTGAGGTTGTCAGTCCAATATAAAGTCCACAGGTAAATAGTCTCAAATATGAAAGAACTCAGGGAATACCAACCCCCTTCCTACCCTTGAACTATTTTGGCAAAAGATTACGTAGTGATAAAATTTAGTCAAGCAAGAAATGAATCCAAATTAAAATCTTCAGGATGAATAATTGTGGTAAGAGGACAATTATTGAGCCTCAAATTCATTGTAATAAATAGTTCAGACTAAATAACTGGGGGAAATATGATTGGAGAACAGAATATGTTATACACAAATGAAACAAAATGTAAACAATATTGAGGAGGTGGAAGTACAACAATGCTCATTATCTAACACTTCCGGCATGCTGTCAAACATCTAAAAATGGTCAAAAACACAAACAAATTGTTAAAATGTTTTCATATCTCTATCCTCTTACTTTTTTTTTTCAAACAAAAGCTGCCACATGTTTATTAAGACATTACTGGTTCTTAAGCACAGCTGGCTCTATAAGCCATTTTCCATATATTATCACACATTCAGGAAAGTTTCTGAGACGATATATCAAGACAGGCTTCTCTTGTGACTCAACTGGACTTCAAATAGTCTCTTTAGAAGTCTGAGTAATGGTGCAACCTATAATCAGGGCCTTGCCCTTTTCTTTCTTTCTTTTTCTTTTCTTTCTTTTCTTTTTTTGAGTCGGAGTCTTGTTCTTGTCACGGAGGCTGGAGTGCAATGGTGCAATCTCAGCTCACCACAACCTCCGCCTCCTGGGTTCAGGTGATTCTCCTGCCTCAGCCTCCCAAGTAGCTGGGATTACAGGCACCTGCCACCACACCTGGCCAATTTTGTATTTTTAGTAGAGATGGGGTTTCTCCATGTTGGTCAGGCTGGTCTTGAACTCCCAACCTCAGGTGATCCACCCGCCTCGGCCTCCCAAAGTTCTGAGATTACAGGTGTGAGCCACCGCGCCCAGCCGGCCTTGCCCTTTTCATTCCCCAAGGCAAAGTATCCACCTCTGAGAGAAAATTCCATGGCGTAAACATGAGAAATAGTTTTCTTTTTAATGACTGGGAAGTTTGAAATACTGTACAGGAAGGAAGATGAACCAATGACTGCTTCTTTCATTTTTCCTGAAGCAATTGCCAATATTTCTGTAGTAGGATTGAATGTCAGAGAATTAACACCTGTAACCAAGTTCATTATAGCTTTCATTGGCTTTGGGTTTGTTCCTTCGAGACAAGAATCTTGATTATTTATATTTACTGCTCCACAATTAGAACCACAAGCAACTGTCCATTCCTAGATGTGGCAATGCTTAATCCATATAAACTGCCTTAATCAACAAATCTGTTAAGGCACCTCCTTGAGTTCACATCCCAAACATAAACTTCTCCATCCCCGAAGAGGCATATACTTTCTTACTATCTGAAGAGAACGTGGATGCTGCAACCCTTCCATTAATTTTCATGCTTCCAATCAGTTCTTTGGTCTTCATCGATAGCAAATGCAAATACCCAGCAATGCCATTTATGAGCAAGAAGGACCCATCTGGGGAGACATCTTCAAAGCTCCTCACTATCTTCTTTCAAACCTCTCACTTGATGCACAGGAATTAATTTCCAGCTAGCATGTCATAGACATAAAAAACCTTGCTGTGAGTACTCATGGCTAAAACTTCTTCCCCATTAGCACTAAAATAAGCCTTACAGTTTGGAAACCTTTCCAAACAGGTGCTCTGGATTTTAGGATTTGTTCTTCCATCAACCTGAAATAGTGATATAGGTTATCTAATCCAGCGACCATCACAATCTGTGCACAAGGACGGAACTGCACAGATGAGATCTGAGCAGCAGAAGGACGTTCAGCATTACCATGCTGGCAGTTCTTCATCTTCAGGATTCCTCTTGGAAGAGAAGTTGATGTGGATATGAAATTCCCAGTCCTTTGCAACAAAGCATCTTCATCCTCTTCACTTTCATCATCTGAAGTTGTTTTCAGCTTATTAGTCTCTGCCCAGGCAGGTACTCCTCCCACGGCATGCTGGAATTCTTCTTAAAGTCGCTTCTTAAGTTTGTCTTTCTAAAGTTTACTTTCACTAGCATTTTTCATCATTATCTTTCCGAAACCGATTGTTCATCATGTCAACCATTTCCTCATCTTCATCTTCTTCATCCACCCAAATTGGCTTCTTTTGAGGTGCACAATTACCTTTTGCTTCATTCTCCGCTTCTGAGTCTCCCAAGTCTTCATGTCCTTGAACCCACGGACCCCGCAGACGCCGCAGCAGCGTGTCCTCGTCGTCCTCGACATCGCCGAAGACCAGCTCCTCCAGGCACCACTCCACGGCCGGTTTGTCTTCTCCAGCGTCGGGCGGTTCCGCTGCCGGAGCCGTCTCTCCTCTTCCCTCGCCGCGCTTGGCCTGGCCGGCGGTTTTCGCTGGGATGAAGCGGCAGCCTTTTGGGGCGGCTCGCTCGGCCCCGCTCCGGCTTTCCAGTCCGCCCTCGTTCCGGGCTAACGCTTCGGCTTCGCTGCGGTTCTACTGTGCAGTTTCATTCGGCTCCTCAGTTCCCGCGGCATCGTTAGGTTTGAGGAGAAACGCAGGCGCTCGCGTGAAACCTCACTGCGCATGCGCGCCTCTTTTCTTTTTGAGACACTGTCTCACTCTGTCGCCCGGGCTGGAGTGCAATGGCGCGATCTTGGCTCACTGCAACCTCCGCCTCCCGGGTTCAAGCGATTCTTCTGCCTCAGCCTCTTGAGTAGCTGGGATTACAGGCACGCGCCACCACTCCTGGCTAATTTTTATATTTTTAGTAGAGATGGGGTTTCACCATGTTGGCCAGACTGGTCTCAAACTCCTGTCTTCAACTGATCCGCCTGCCTTGGCCTCCCAAAGTGCTGTGATTACAGACGTGAGCCACCGTGCCCGGCCCTCTTACTTATTTTCATAAACTTTTTCTTTTAACCTCAGAAAGATCTTTGAGGAACTAATTTTTCCTATGGTAAAGAGACTATTATTTCAATTTTAGTAATTCTTTCAGCTTCACTTCAGTTTTTTTTCTTCTGTGAAATTAAAATCAGATTAAAATTTCAATTTTTATTTACTTATTTTATTTTATTTTATACAGGGTCTTACTTTGTCATCCATGCTGGAGTGCAGTGGCGCAGTCACGGTTCACTGCAGCCTCAAACTCCCAGGCTCAAGTGATCCTCCTACCTCCGCCTCCTGAGTAGCAGGGACTACAGATGTGTGCCACCACACCCAGCTAATTTTTGTATTTTTTTGTAGAGACAGGGTTTCCCATGCTGCCTAGGCTGGTCTCAAACCCTTGGGCTCAATCGATCCTCCCACCTTGCCCTCCCAAAGTGCTGGGATTATAGGTGTGAGCCACAACACCAGTCCAAGCTATTTTTAAAAGGCATGTGGCATATGGTCTTATTCTTTAAAAAAAATTTTTTTAATATTTTTATTTATTTATTTATTTATTTATTTATTTATTTATTTATTTATTTTTGAGATGGAGTTTTGCTCTTGTCGCCCAGGCTGGAGTGCAATAGTGCGATCTCAGCTCACTGTAACCTCTGCCTCCCCGGTTCAAGCGATTCTCCTGCCTCAGCCTCCCAAGTAGCTGGGATTGCAGGCATGCGCCACCATGCCTGGCTAATTTTTTGTATTTTTAGTAGAGGCAGGGTTTCACCATGTTGGCCACGCTGGTCTCGAACTCTTGACCTCAGGTGATCCACCGCCTTGGCCTCCCAAAGTACTGGGATTACAGGTGTGAGCCATTGCACCCGGCCATATGGTCTTATTCTTTAAAAATTATTTGTTGCATGCATCTGTTCATCCTTCCTATTTGTATACCTGCAGAAAGAAATCCCTGTTACAATCATCATCAAATATTAATACTAATTAGTTTTAGTTGGTGGAATTTTGGGTTGTTTGTTTTCTTCTTTGTACTTTTCCTTCCTATCATAGTGCGCTGCAGCCTTGAACTCCCAGGCTTAAGTGATCCTCCTGCCCCATCCTCCCCCAGTAGCTGGGACTACAGGTATGCACCACCACACCCGTTTATTTCATTTATTTATTTATTTAATTTTGTAGAGGCGCGGTCTTGCTGTGTTGCCAGGGCTGCTCTTGAAATCGTGGTCTCAAGCAATACTCCCGTCTTGGCCTCCCAAAGTGCTGGGATTACAGGCATCAGCCACTGCACCCATGCCCAGCCTGTACTTTTCTTCATGTTTATTTTTGAGTAATGAGCATGTATCATTTTAATAAATTGGGTAAAATCATTATTTAGAAAAGACAAATGACAGGATGGGAGAAACTTTGTAACATATGTAAGAATAAGTTGTATATACATAGTCTATAAAGAACTTCTACCAAATTAATAGGAATAAGGCAAAATGCTCAGTTAAAAAGTTGGATGATAACTTACAGAAGAAGAAATGCAAATAAACAATAAGCGTATAAAATGATGCACAACCACACTAGAAATCAGGGAAATGCAAATTCAAAAAGAAGTTCTTCCTTTCTTCAACCTCCCTCTCACACTGGTAGCAATTTTAAAAGATTATTTATATCCACTGTGGGTCAGCATTCCTGGAAATGGGAGCTCCTGTACACTTTTTGTGGAAGTAGAAATTGAGAAGACTTTTTTGGAGGACACTTTGGCACTATTTTTCAAAAATTTAAAATGCATTCTTTCCCCTGACCTAGTAAATCCACTTTCTCAGAACTCTCAGAAAAACACTCTCAAGCTGGGTGTGGTGGCTCATGCCTTTAATCCCAGCACTTTGAAAGGGTGAGGCAGGTGGATCACCTGAGGTGAGGAGTTCGAGACCAGCCTGGCCAACATGGTGAAACTTTGTCTCCACTAAAAATACAAAAATTAGCTCGGCATGGTGGCGCACACCTGTAGTCCCAGCTGCATGGGAGGCTGAGGCAGGAGAATCGCTTGAACCCGGGAGGCGGAGGTCGCAGTGAGCCGAGATTGTGCCACTGCACTCCAGCCTGGGTGGCAGAGTGAGACACTCTCAGAGATGCCCGTGGATATATGTCCACAGATGTTCAGATGTTCATTTAGGTTTTTTTCTTTTTTCTTTTCTTTCTTTCTTTTTTTTTTTTTTAGTGGTAGTGAAAACTGGAAATAACTCAGGAGACTTTGTACTACAGAGAACTCCATATTGTGAATGTGGTGGATCCCTATGTGCTGATAAGGAACATTCTATATGATGTGTTACTAGGTGAAAAACAGAACAGCAAATAATAGAATGATCTCAATTACATAAACATGAAAGTTACACATATGTGTATATGTGAGATATGGGCATGTAAATGCAGAGAAAAGGGACTGGAAAGCTAACTATTAACCTTGGCAGTGGCTGCCCCTGGGGAGAGCAGTGGAGCTGGAAGAGAGTGGGAAGGTGCTGGCGTGTTTTAGACTGTCTACCTTTGTGGTGTTACAGTCTTTTACCGTGAGGATATATTCATTTATTACTTATATAATTTTTTTAAATCTGAAGAAAAAAGTAGGGTAGATGAGCCTAAATCACTCTGTCCTAATCGTATGGTTTATATAAGGCTGGGCTGAGACAGAAGTGGAGATGGTGACAAAAAGCAGTGGGGAGAGGGGAAGGGGAAGGAGGATGTTTAGTGCTGAGACCGACCCTGCAATGCTGAGTAACAATCAGTGTTTTTATAGGGCATGCTGACTGCAGAGTTTCTTTCCTGAAATCCCCCTTCCTTTGGTACAGTTTAGTTGCGTATTTGAATTGCTTGTGAATGAAGGGCTCTATAGCATGGTAAAGGGCACTCTTAGAAAAGATGGAGGAGGGTTGGGCATTTCTTATTCCACTTAAACAAATGTTCAGTTTTACTGTAATGTTCGCATAATGTCCATGTTAGGGACTTCCAGCTGGAGAAGACCACCATAGAGATGAGGGCCATCGATCTTTTTACAGTTGTTCCCTATCATACAGAGGGAGTCTTGCATTTTAGAGAATGGTGTTGTATCTGAGCTTCTATGGTCACAGGTGCAGTTTTGCTTTCCAAGGGAGGGTCATTGTGTCTTAACAAAGAGTCAGCTCTGAGAAGGACCCATAACCCTCTCTTCTGTTCCCCTAGGGCAGCAATTGAAGAGAGGTATGGCAAAGATCTGCTCAACCTCTCTAGGAAGAAGCCGTGTGGACAGTCTGAAATCAAGTATGTATCAAGTTTTTTTCTGGTTTCCAGGTTGGTTAATAATGCCTGGGAGCTCCCTCGCTTCAGCAGACAGAGTTACCAGGAGGTTGAAGTATGCTGGCTGAAAAAAAAATTTTTTTGGAGATGGGATCTCACTATTTTGTCCAGGCTGGGCTCAAACTCAAGATCCTCAGTCAGGCGCAGTGGCTCATGCCTCTAACCCCAGCACTTTGGGAGGCCGAGGCAGGTGGATCGCTTGGGCCCAGGAGTTCAAGACCAGCCTAGGCAACTTGGCAAAACCCCATCCCTACTAAAAATAGAAAAATTAGCCAGGCATGGTGGCCCATGCCTGTAGTCCTAGCTACTTGGGAGACTGAGGTGGGAGGATGGTTTGAGCCCAGAAGGCAGAGGTTGCAGTGAGCAGAGATTGTGCCACAGCATTCTAACCTGGGTGTCAGAGCAAGACTCTGTCTCAAAAAATTAAAAAAAAAGATCCTTGCATCTCAGCTGTCCAAGTCACTGGGAATACAGGCGCGTGTCACTGTACTTGGCCTGAAAAAAATTATAATTTTTTTTATTATTTTCAATTGTGAAAAATCAAGACAAGCAGAAAAATGGCTAAAGTGGACTATGAAGCCACAACCTGTTATTAATACCTTCTAAGTTTTTCTTGAAGTTTTTTATATGTACACCTTTTCGTAGGTAGGGCTATATTATATATATTTATACTACAAATTTAATAGTAGAGCTTCCTGTGTGTGTATATGTGTGTGTGTGTATTGTATGTGTGTGTTTTTTAAAAGCAAGAGAAGACAAGAGGAAGGGCAATGTCCTATTTGTCCCCATTAGGACCTCTGAAGAGACATAGACTTCTGGGCGTCTCTGCAAGTGTTGATAGCAGAGATGCCCAGAGGTCTGTGTTGATATTATTTTATAATATCTATCCTAAGTAAAACACCTATAAAATTATATATCTAAAATTGTATATAAAATAGAAAATTATACATATATTTTTTTGTTTGTGATAACTATAGGAGATTTTGCACCATTTTAAAAAAACTTTTCTTTTTGAGAAGGAGTTTTGCTCTTGTTGCCCAGGCTGGAGTGCAATGGCGCGATCTTGGCTGACCACAAATTCTGCCTCCCGGGTTCCAGCAATTATCCTGCCTCAGCTTACCAAGTAGCTGGGATTACAGGCATGCGCCTCCATGCCCGGCTAATTTTGTATTTTAGTAGAGAAGAGGTTTCTCCATGCTGGTCAGGCTGGTCTTGAACCCCCCACCTCAGGTGATCCACCTGTCTAGGCCTCCCAAAGTACTGGGATTACAGGTGTAATCCACCATGCCCGGCGAAAAAACTTTTATTTTAAGTTTAGGGGTATATGTGCAGGTTTGTTATATAGGTAAACATGTGTTATGGGGATTTGTTGTACATATTATTTCATCGCCCAGGTATTAAGCCTGGTACCCATTAGTTATTTTTCCTGATCCTCTTCCTCTTCCCATCCTCCACCCTCTGATAGGCACCAGTGTGTGTTGTTCCCCTCCACGTGTCCATGTGTTCTCATCATTTAGCCCCCACTTATAAGTGAGAACATGTAGTATTTGGTTTTCTGTTCTGTTTTAGTTTGCTAAGGATAATGGCCCCCAGCTCCACCCATGTCCCTGCAAAGGACATGATCTCATTCTTTTTTATGGCTTCGTAGTGTTCCATGGTGTATATGTACCACATTTTCTTTATTCAGTCTATCATTGATGGGCATTTAGGTCAATTCTATGTCTTCCTTGCATCATTTCATAATTGTCACAACCCATGTGAGATTTCTGTACCATAATTTTTAATTTTTCAGTCATTCATTTAATATATTGAGGATACAGAAGTGACCAGGTCATGGTGCCTACTTTAGCAATACACTCCGTCTTACACAAGGCTGGTTTCCCTGGTGTCCTGTGGCAACTCACACTTAGAAGGGTTTCATAATTGATTTAATGCCCTGCTATCACCATTCTGAAATTTTTAATAATTTATAAACAAGGGGTCTCATGTTTTCATTTTGCAGTAGGAGTCACAAATTATGTAGCCAGTCCTACTCATTTGGAAATTTCTAGATTCCTTCCCCAACATGTTGAGGGAGGGTTTAGAGAAGGAGGTCAGGCTTTCTCTTTCCAGACCTAACCACATAACATACTTTCCTGTATCCTGCTCTGGCTGTGCTATCAACAGCTTCAGAGATGCGCAGAGGTCTGTGTCCCTTCAGAGGCCCTAATAGGGACATATAGGACATTGGCCTTCCTCTTGTCTTCTCTTGCTTCTAAAACAAGCACACATGCAACACACACACACACACATACACACACACTCATCCTAGACTACAAAGAAAGGTATTGAACTACTGAGGAGGAAAACATTGGGAGATATTGAAAATATTAATAGTTATATAAACCTAAAAATCTTGTTACCCTCAGACATAGGAAATTAGTACAAAGAAGATTTATTTTTCATTGGCTAATTATATATTTTTGATGTTTTAAATGAAAATTTAAAAATCACAGAAAAGTAAAAAAACGAACATAATAAATAGCTATATACCCATCACCTAGATTTTACAGTTACTCATATTTGTCACCAAGATTTTACAATTATTAACAATGTAAATGCTTTAAATTTAAATCTGGAATCAAATATTTCTCCAAGAATACTTGGTTCTGTTCCTTTTCATGATTAATCGTATTTAGAAACCAAATTTTCAGTTCTTTTTTTTTTTTTTTTTTTTTTTTTTTTGAGACAGAGTCTCGCTTTGTTGCCCAGGCTGGAGTGCAGTGGCCCGGCTAATTTTTTGTATTTTTAGTAGAGACAGGGTTTTACCACGTTGGTCAGGCTGGTCTTGAACTCCTGACCTCAAGTGATCCATCCGCCTTGGCCTCCCAAAGTGCTGGGATTACAGGCATGAGCCACCGTCTCTGGCCCAAATTCTCAGTTTTAATGTTGATCATTGTCACAGAGGCATCATCGTATGTAGGCCCTGGCAGGGAATGGATTTTAAAAGTGTGAGTTCATACTAATATTTACAATTCTAATTTAAATTTATAGGGCTCTATATAATGTTTAAAATTTTATGTTTATATTTCTTTCCTCTTATATTGAAGACCTAACAATATTAGTATAATTATTTGCTTTATTTGGTTTTTTATATATATATACACATACACATATATATATAAATTGTTTTAAAATAATATCAATATTGCTACTAACAATAAAACTTCTAAATAGAGCTTAACATTTCTTTTCAGTTCCTTTTGATCTTAGACCATAATAGGTCACTTAAACATTTATTTGCTCTGTGTGATTATGTAACCAATTTTACTTATAGTTACGTTTATTTGTTTCGGTTTGTTTTAAATTATAGGGATTGTTTTCTTTTTCCTGTTTGACTTAGTTTTATTTTTTGAATATGTAAAACATTTGCACGTCCAAGGGTCCAAACTACATCAACTTAGACAAGTTTCACTGTAATTAAAGAATGGTTTAGAACATTTTATGGAAGATAAGTGGGTCAGTTGACCAGAAAAACTTTTTCATTTATAAAGAAAGCATAAGCCATTGGCAATATACCCAAAAACTTTTGAGGTGATGTGATGGAAAATGGCCGTATTCTCTCTACTACTTCCTGCAAAAGATATTTAGCAGAATGAATCTGACCCGAAATGATATTTCTTATATCCTTACATATTTGACGTTTGCCTTGTTACTTGGTAAATTCAGACAGACTGTAACACAGTTCTTTTCTGTTGCTTGATAAAAGCCAGTCAGTTTTCCTTCTAAGAGTATACCTCAGAGAGGAAGTAGTCATAAGATAGGAGAACTGGGATTGTTTCCAAGGCTGAAGTGAAACACTGTTTAGGTGACTTGTTTTTGTCACCCCATGACATGATCTTTAGGAAGATGTTCTAGAAGACAGTGGATGATTTTTTTTTTGAGATGGAGTCTCACTCTGTCACCCAGGCTGGAGTGCAGTGGCGTGATCTCAGCTCACTGTAACCTCTGCCTCCGGGGTTCAAGCAGTTCTCTGCTTCAGCCTCCTGAGTAGCTGAGATTATAGGCACTCGCCACCCCACCTGGCTAATTTTTGTATATTTAGTAGAGACAGGGTTTCACCATGTTGGCCAGGCTGGTCTTGAACTCCTGACCTCGTGATCCACCTGCCTCAGCCTCCCAAAGTGCTGGGATTACAGGCGTGAGCTACCGCGCCCGGCCAGATGATTTTGCTTATCCAGGGACTAGCTAGGATTTTCCACCTCATTGGCTACCCTGAGAGACTCAAATCTATAATGGAACCTGTTAGGGCTTAAGGCCAACGTGCTTTTTAAAAGAGTTGTAGAATAGTTTCCTTTTCCACAGTGAGGGAGAACACTGTGGAGAAGAGAGGGTGAATGTTGTTACGCCACCATTCCCATGGTTCAGATTCCATTCCTGGAATGTCATTTTGTCCTGAACACGAGGAATGGCAATGAAGTGATGATGGGAGACAACAAAGCTGATGACAAAGGAAATGAAGATGGGGCTGCTCTTTTAGGGGCCCTTCAATCAGTCACTGTGGTGGGAGAAAAATTTTAAACTTGGGACAGACAATTTAGCTGTAAGGCTGGCCTTTCAATCTATGACTCACTATAGGGAGAGAATTCCAGTTGTATCTCCTATCATACCCGTCTTTTTTTCCTATTCTTTGAAGACAAATAAGCATCACTGAAGAGTGGATTTATTAATTTCAGTTGACCATTGGTGCATTTGTTTGGATATGGACACTTTTTATTTTGATTTTTGTTTTTGAGATGGAGTCTCACTCTGTTGCCCAGGCTGGAGTGCAGTGGTGCAATCGTGGCTCACTACAACCTCTGCTTCCGGGGTTCAAATGATTCTTGTGCTTCAGCTTCCCAAGTAGCTGGGATTACCGGCACGTGCCACCACACCTGGGTAATTTTTGTATTTTTAGTGGAGAAGGGGTTACACCATGTTGGCCTGGCTGGTCTTGAACTCCTGACCTCAAATGATCCTCCCGCCTTGGCCTCGCAACGTGCTGGGATTACAGGGGTGAGCCACTGCACCCGGCCTCAATATGGACACTGTTATAATGCATTGTGCTCCTTGAAAAATTGTATCATAAGATGGGTAAAGTGAATGGAGAATGTGCAGTTAGGCTGTCCTGCTTAATGTATTTGTAATAACTGGCGCAAATGTTCATGTGAGAAAAGGCAGAGAGAAATAAGAACCTTTGTTTTGAGATAAATAGAGTGGGAAAAGTAAGGTAGCTGAAAGAAGGGGCCACTTGGAAAACACAAGGCCTTTAATTTCTAAAATAGTAGAATTTGCCATATATACATATATATATAAAATGATGCATGATCTTATGCTGCTGTGGTAGGGGACCGTGAGTGTACAAAATCCCAACCCTGCTTGGGTAGGTTGAGTGAGCACAGTCCACAGTTCCATGAGATCAGCCTCCATGAAAGTAGCAGTGAGCAAGAAATTTACCAGGGCCAAGGCACCTCCGAGGGAGTTCGCTTAAGGAAGTGTAGGTTGGGGGAGAACTAAAATAATGGGCAAAGGGGAGTTGATTATAAGGGAGAGGATGGGGGAGATTGAGAGAAGGAATGAAAAATGAGTCATGGTCTTCCATATCCACAACATGGTAGACTAGATATTGGGAAAGCCCTCCCATTGTAAAACACTTAAAATGCTGGTTTAAAATATATTTTAATAATTTAAAATAAATACGTGGCTATGCTGTCAAGAAAGTAAGGAAAATCGTTCCAGGCCAAAGACGAATCAAAGGTGTCTTTCAGTGGTCACTTAGCTCTCTGGATTCAAGCTTTTCTTCATCTCTTAAATCCCAGAGAAAGCCTATAAACCCAAAGATAAATAATGTCTTAATGAAAGGCTAAACCAGAGAAAAAAAATCTCAGTAAAAGATATCAAGTCATGCCTGAAATCCCAGCACTTTGGGAGGCCAAGGCGGGCAGCTCACTTGAGGTCAGGAGTTCGAGACCAGCCTGGTCAACATGGAAAAACCCTGTCTCTACTAAAAATACAAAAATTAGCTGGGCGTGGTGGTGGGCACCTGTAATCCCAGCTACTCGGGAGGCTGAGGCAGGAGAATTGCTTGAACCCAGGAGGCAGAAGTTGGGTGCGTAGGTGACAGAGTGAGACTCTGTTGCAGGAAAAAAAAAAAGATATCAACGAAAGATACCTCTCTAAGCCTTGATTATGAATGTTGGGAGTGGTTGCATCTCCTGAGAATCTGTAATTATAAGCCAGTTCTCTTGCAGATTTGGAGCTCCAAAGTACCAAATTTCATCAGAGTGGTCTGAAGAATCCTAAGCTAAAAATTTAGTTTAGAGTGGTCCTGGGTGTCAACAGAAGCAATAAATAGCAGAATTAGACATGCAAAGACTGTAGATACTAGAACTAACAGATCTAAAAAACAAGTATGTATAGTATGTTTAAAGAAAATAAAAGAGTGAATTAAGAGGATGAGTAGGGTGACTTTCAGAGGTATTCAAGAAATTTTGAAAGGGAATCAGATAGAACTTATATAAATAAAATAGAAAATACTTAAAATAAAAATTCAGTAGATGAGATGCATTAAGTAACACATTAACTATAATTGAAGAGGGAATTCAAAAATTAGAAATGAAAAAATCAGGAGAGGCTGGGGACAAGGTTTGGGGAAATGTTGATCAAAGGATACAAAATTTCGGTTAGGAGGAATAAGTTCAGGAGATCTATTGTACAACACAATGACTGTAATAATAATGTATTATATTCTTGAAAACCACTAAGAGAGTAGATTTTAAGTGTTCTCATCACAAAAAGTGTAAGTACATGAGGTAATACATATGTAACTTTGCTCTATTGAACCATTCCACAAAGTACATATTTCAAAGCATCATTTTGTACATGATAAATATATACAATTTTTATTTGTCAAGTAAATAAATACATTTCAAAAAAGAAAAGAAATTATCTGGAATTCATCACAGAAAAAAAAATCAGAGGTTAAAAGTAAAGAAAAATTAAGAGACATGGAGAATAGGATGAGAAGGTCAATGCTGAGTTCCAGAAGAGAGAATAGAAACAATGAGAAGAAATTTTTAAAGCAACAGAGCTTGACAATTTTCTAGAATTGATGGGAACCATTAATCTTCTGATTCAGGAAGCAAAATTAATCCCAAGAATGATAAATTAAAAGGAAATTCACAAGTACACAAGAATAGTCAAACTGAGTAAGATCCAAGTTAATGAAAAAGTCCTAAAGGCATCCAGAAAGAGTGATTACCCACTAAGGAACATTTATTAGAGCAACAGCTGATTTTTTCAATAGCAATGATGAAGCCAGAGACTGCAGAATTATGTCTTTAAAATACTGAGAGGAAATAATTATCAACCTGGAAAAATTATTTTTCTTGGAGAAATTATTTTTCAAGAAAGAAGGAAAAATAAAGATGTTATCCAACAAAAAATTAGAGTTAACTATGAGCAGATGTTCAATGAAGGAACTTCTAAAAAATATACTTCAGAAAGAAGGAAAATAATCCAGGACAAAAGGTCTGAGGTGCAAGACGGAATAGTGAGCAAAGAATATGGCACATATGGATAAATCTAAACAGTTTGTAAATAAATGGTATTAATGTCAACTTGGGTGATTTAAAAAACAAAATGGAGCCAAAATATTGGACATTAAAAGCTTATAACTTGTTAGGAAGGATAATCGGAGTTAAAGCATTCTTAGGTATTTTATTGCTGAGGGTAAGTATAATACTAACCTTGAGTAAGCAGATTCTTCCTCTGTCAAGCCACCAGATGAGAATGCAGCATGGGCAATACCTTGATTGCAGCCTGTGATGCTCCAAGCACAGGATCCAGCTAAACCATATTCAGACTGGCAATCCACAGAACTGTGAGATAATAAATGTGTGTTGTTTTATGCTGCTAAGTTTGTCATGCAGCAATAGAAAAATGGATACGATTTGTTTAATGTCTGTCTCCTCCATTAGACTCTGAGGTCTGGGATAAGGTCTGTCTTGTAGGACTGATTAACCAACATCTGACACAATGCCTGGCCCATGGTTTATGGTCAATAAATATATGATTATTGACTAAATGAATGTAAATGAGTGAAAAAGGAGGCAGTCAGGACTAGGTTTGAACCCTTCCTTTGTTGCCTTGTATTCATATTTTGAATTGCCATACTTTATTTATTTATTTTGAGATGGAGTTTTGCTCTGTTGCGCAGGCTGGAGTGCAGTGGTGCAATCTTGGCTTGCTGCAACCTCCACCTCACAAGTTCAAGTGATTCTCCTGCCTCAGCCTCCTTGCCATACTTTAAAGAATCACTGGTATTCTTATGAGAAAAGGATCATAACTCCTATCCTATCATTGGAGAAAATGAAACACAAAGAGTTTTGGCATGTTGCTCTCCCCAAATGAACAGTGAAGAATTTCTTGTGCCTGGGATTGAGGAAACTGGACTTAAGAAGTCTTGGTCTTTTGCTGTCTCTCTAGCTCATGGGCAAAAATTGGTCTGTAGTTTCTAAGTTAAGATATGGGCAGAGAGAAGCATGCAAAGGCATTATAATAAGATTGTGCAGAGAATTTCCAGAACTGAAATTATATATGTGCTTGTTTTTTTTAGCACCCTGAAGCGGGCCCTTGAAGTCTTCAAGCAGCGTAAGTGATTTTTTTTTTAAAAAATGTATTCACTGCCCTTGACAAGCCCTGTGTCTGTCGTCAAAGGTGTGTTTTAATTTGAACAGCAGTTTCATAGTGGGTGAAAAAAAATTAGAGCAACTCCTAAGGTGAGACAAAGCTCTGCAGGCTCGAAATGAGCTGGAGAACCTGCACACCTGCACATCATGATGTGTGTTTGCCTTACTCAGAGCCATGCTTCTCACACTTGCATGAGCATCAGAATCACCTGGAGGGCTTGTTATTGACACAGATTCCTGAGACCCATCCCCAGAGTTTCTGATTCAGGAAGTCTAGAGTGGGGCCTGGGAGTCTGCATGTCTCTCGTGTTCCCAAGTGATGCTGAGGCCTCTGGTCCAGGGACCATGCTGGGAGAATGGTTGCCTCAGAGAATCGTCTATACTTCTTAGGTCTAACTCGGAGACACTGTCATCCAAGTGCTCCTCCACACCCCCACCTGCCTCAGCCAGACTGTCTACCAACCTAACCCCTGGTATGTTCTTATGCTCAGTCTGGTTTTCTTCTCCCAGAGCCACCCCTGCAGGGCTTCAGACTTTGGGACCCTGTTGTGAGTGTCTTGCCATTTCTCCCAGATCACCAAACATTTGTATCCAGAATAAAGTTAATTACAGTAAGCATCGAAGGAAATATTGTCATGATTCCCTCACCTCTTACTCTAATCTGCCTGTAGTCCCACCACTCACCTGGAACTGCTCTCTCCAAGGACACCAGCCCTTTGGGTCACTAAGTTTAGGGGACAATTTTGGGCCTCTTCTAGCTTGACTCTTCAACAGCATTCAGCACTGTGGTGCATTTCTTTCTTCTGGAAACCTGCATCCCTCTGACTCCCTTGGATTCTTCCTGCTTCTCTGGCTACTTCTCTGTCCCTTTCCATATTGCGGGTCCTCAGAGCTTGGTCCTAGCCCTTCTCAGTCTGCCTAGAAAAACATCCTCATCCCTGACACCAGCTATCACTTTTACATGAAGAATGTACATATCCATATTTTCAGTCCAGAACTCTCTAAGGACCAGAATTTACATCCTGTTGCCTACTTAGTATTTCTTCTTGGGTGTTTCAAAGGCACCTTAAATTCAAAATATTTGCAGCTGAACTCATGATCTTACAGGCTGATTGCCTAAGGAAGTTTCATATCTGTTTATTTTTATTTTTTTTAAAGTCAGGGCATCACTCTGTCACCCAAGCTGGAGTGCTGCACAGTCACAGCTCACTGCAGCCTCACACTCCCAGGGTTAAGCGATCCTCCAGGCTCAGCCTTCTGAGTAGCTGGGCCCACAGGCATGCACCACTACGTCTGGCTAATTTTTTACTTCTCATAGAGATGGGGTGTCACTATGTTGCCCAAACTGGTCTTGAATTCCTGGGCTCAAGTGATCTTCCTGCCTTGGCCTCCCAAAGTGCTGAGATTACAGGTGTGAGACGCTGCGCTCAGCCATTGAGATCTGTCTTTTTAGAACCACATCCTGTTTCTTCCTTAAGAATTCTTATTTATTTATTCTTTTCTTCCCAGGGTCAGGATGCTATGTCCTAGAAATGATCCCTTTTGGCCTGTGCGGTGGCTCACACCTGTAATCCTAACGCTTTGGGAGGCCAAGGCGGGCAGGTTACCTGAGGTCAGGAGTT
This sequence comes from Homo sapiens, assembly GCF_000001405.40. Lineage (NCBI taxonomy): Eukaryota > Metazoa > Chordata > Mammalia > Primates > Hominidae > Homo > Homo sapiens. Next base: position 46,014,242 of record NC_000018.10, on the reverse strand, counting down.
CAAGACTAGTCTGGCCAACATGGTAAAACTCCATCTCGACTAAAATACAAAAGTTAGCCAGGCATGTTGGCATGTGCCTGTAGTCCCAGCTACTCCAGAGGCTGAGGCACGAGAATCACTTGAACCTGGGAAGTAGAGGTAGTAGTGAGCAGAGATCTTGCCACTGCACCCCAGCGTGGGCGACAGAGTAAGACTGTTTAAAAAAAAAAAAGATCCCTTCTTTACTCCTCTCCTTCAGCCTCTTAAGAGGAGAACCCAGTGGGAGGTAGTTCCCTCCTGTTTGGATTTATTTTCTTGGTTTGAATCGGGTATTCTAATTTTATCAGACTTCTTGAGAATGGTAAAGGCTAATTTAGAAAGGAAATAGAAAGTCTTTGGAAATACCAATGTCACAGTTGTCAGAGTTCATCTCTGTTGGGGTGAAGTTCTATTTCCCTTCATCTTTTTGAGGCTAAGGAGTCATTTTCTTCCTGTGTTGGTCATCTTTGCTTTTCTTGGTATGAGAAATTATTATTTATTGATATGAGTCTGGAGGGGAAATGGAAGACATAAGTCATAGTGCCCTCAGCATCCTTTCTTAATTTCTCAGTTCTCATTTCCACTTTGTGGCCTTTGGTTATAACTGCAACTTGGAATTCAGCCAACAGATTTTTATTTAGCTCCTATTATTCTAATGTGATGACAAGCAGAAGTTGGGCGATCCAGGGTGAGGCACTGGCACTTTGGTTTTCAAGGGGTCCTATCCAGTTCTAATATTCTTCAGGCCTGTTACTCAGAACCTGCCTCTAAAGCTTTCTGTTTTTCAGAATACCTGGCCCTTCCAAGCTAAGGATTTTAACACAGCATAGTATGTTTAATGCTTGCTTAAAGTGTTTCTGTAGCTAGTTGAGTAATTCTAGACGTTTGTAAATGTTAGCTAAATATTCATATTAACTTTTACATAGAAGGTGTCTTCTTCCCTCCGTAACTCATCAATGAATACATTTCTCAGAGTAGAGACAGTAACTTTTCACGTTCCTTATATGCACTGTGAGGCCAAGTATGGCATGGCCCAAAGTCAAACCTCAGCGTAGGCTGGGTCCCCTAAATCATTTTTTTGGCTTTACTTGTTTTCTTTTTTTCTAAAAAAATAAGTTTTATTTTCTTATTAAAATAATATATATATTTATCTTAAAAATTAAAATGAGACAACTAACTGTAAAGAAGATAGTAAGCACTGGAATTTTCTTCTCAGTGATTGTCTCCAGACAGTTTAATGCAATTAAACATATATGTGTATAGTATATATGTGTTTATTCATATACATAAGTAGTATTATACCATGGCAGTGGTCCACAATTTCTGGGATGGGGCCAGATATGTTTTTACATTGTTTTGAAAATGAAAACAATCATTTTAAAATCATGCTAGTAGTTTGGTATATATTTCCAGACCTTTCTCTGTGCATTTACAACTCTCTCTCTCTTTTTTTGAGATGGAGTCTCGCTCTGTTGCCAGGCTGAAGTGCAGTGGCACAATCTCGGCTCACTGCAAACTCCACCTCTTGGGTTCATGCCATTCTCCTGCCTCAGCTTCCTGAGTAGCTGGGACTACAGGTGCCCACCACCATGCCCGGCTAATTTTTTGTATTTTTAGTAGAGACGGGGTTTCACCATGTTGCCAGAATGGTCTCAATCACTTGACCTCGTGATACACCCACCTCAGCCTCCCAAAGTGCTGGGATTACAGGCGTGAGCCACTGCGCCTGGCCAACTCTTTTTTAATTGTAGATGCACATATGCATATAGACGTGAATGAGTTTTTATGCTGTTATACTATACATCTCTCTCTATAGTTTGTTTTACTTAACAATATATCATAGACAGCTTTTCGTTTCAATTCATATAGATCTGCCTCGTTCTTTTACATTTAAAAAATTTCGTTTCTAAAAAATGCCAAATTTCCTCCAGAAAGGTTGTGCTGTTTTTTTTTTCCCCAACAGTGCTGTTTTGTCCCATGCTTGCCAATATCAAGAATATTTGTGCTTTAAAAATTTTGCCCAACTGAAAGGTTTACATTTTAAAGTTTTGCATTTTTTTCAGTAGTTTTAAGGCTGGGTGTATTTCCAAATGTTTATTGGCCATTTAGCCACTCTTTTTTGAATTTCATGTTCTTTAACTGGTTTTTAAATACTGGAATATGTATTTTTCTTTTGATTTGTGGAAGCTCTTTTGATATAGCTAATTGCTCTTTGTTATATAAATTGCAAATATGTTTCCAGTTTGTCATGTATCTTTTAACCTTCTTCAAGGTTTTGATACCCACAAGTTTAAATTTTTTTCTTAGATCAATCTGACCATCTTTCAGTCTTTCTAGCTTTATCTGTCAGACTTTTTAGCTTTAATGCCATGCTTTGATTTGTTTTCTTAGAACAAGTATTTATTCTTTTCTTTTACAAAGGCAGGCCATACTCCTTGTATAGATCTTAAAAAATAAGGGGAAAAATCAGCAATAATCTTTCTACCCAGAGATAACTATTGGTAGCCAAAATTTTGGCATATGACCTTTCTTATAAACATTTAGGCTCATGAGACATTAGAGATGGAAGGAAACTTAGAGGTCATCTACAGAGAATGAAGAGTCAAATTTGAAATTGTGCTGGCTTTGGTAATGTCTCCTAGGATGTAACCTTCATGAAATGGAACTTTGGCTGCTTTTCTCCCTAGTCCTGGGCACCCTAGGTTAGTAACAGTAGTGGTAGGAGGCTAAGCTAAAGATCTTCTAGCTTTGATCCTGGTGGCCAGGGCTATGCTGGACATATGGAGAGGTTCAATACATGTTGGTGACCAAATGAAGTGATGTTGATTTTACCACTTACTCCAGTATTTTGTATATACATATTTATTTTGTATGATTTTATATATTTTAATTCAGACATATGTAGACCTTGATTTTTTTTTTAATTCTTTTTTGCAGAAGTAGACAATGTGGCACAATGTCACATTCAGCTTGCACAGAGTTTAAGAGAAGAGGCCAGGAAGATGGAAGAATTCAGGGAAAAGCAAAAACTACAACGAAAAAAGGTTGGATTTGCATACGTGTTAAGGTGTTTCCTTTCCTCCTATAGAAAACCGCAGGCTTGTTTGTTCATTATACTCCTCAGCTCAGCTCCCACCATCATGTAATCATGACCTGAGAAATTACTTACTGGAGTCCCCACATGGGGACTCAGTCCAGATGGGTATATGCATTTCTACACCCCAGGCCAGTTGTCCTTTTTTAAAGTTCACATAGGATTCAGAGGTCCAGCTTGCATTCCTCTTCAGGTCTGCTGCCGCTATTCAGACTATGAATGGAAAGGGGAACCCTCTGAATTCAATAGACTCTAGCACATCCCAGCTGGACGGCTCCCAAAACCACACTCCTCATCCTGGACAAGGCAATAGGGGAAGGGAGAAGTAGTGGAAGAGACTCCCGCTCCCCCTGAAGACCATAATGTAGTCCAACTACTCTACTGTACAAATGGGAAAACTGAAGCCCTGGGAACTCCGAGTACTCTTGTCTTCAAAGCAGCTATACATAGGCTCTTTTTCATTCATGAGATTTACTCTGACCAACTACATGGAAGAAGACAAGGGTGAACAAGAGTTAATAAAACTGACAAATATTTGGGATCAAGAAAAGAAGTCCAGGTTTATATCAAAGTGTTAGTTAGACTAGACCAGCCACAACTCTGTTCTCTTCTATTTTGTTCCTGAAAGACTGGATATTCAGGCTGATCCTGCAGCCATGTAGGGTCCTTAGAGAATTTTTTTCTGTGTCTGGTTTTCAAGACTGGAACCTGGGCCTCACATGGGAGACAAGCTCTTCTCTATCTGGCACCCAAAGATGTCTAACCAGGTCTCCCGGCACAGCTCTGCGTGACTTTTGGTGACCTCTTTCACCCTGCCCGGGGGTCCCTTTGGAAACCTTTCCTTATCCTGGGCCTGAGCTTGCTGTCTGCAATGAGCATATCTGATAAGCAGCCAGCTGTTAAGGCTGATTCTACCTTGACCTCAGTCTCAGCAACTTTGCCTGTGGTTCTGGGTTGGAGTCTAGGTCCAGCTTCCCTGGCGGCCACTGGCCTCTATGGTGGGCAGCAGCATCCTAAGAGCCTTCCTGCTTTACCCCTATTGCTGTTTCACCAGCTGCTTTTAGCACACTACTGCCTCTTCCATCTTACACCTGTACTTGTGCTGTTCCTTTTACCAGGAAGGAAGGGTAGAAATGAACATGGGAACACCCTGTCAGGTGCTTTGACATACTCTCTCAAGCTTGATGTATCAGGTTTGAGGAGTGCCTCTGACCTGAAGCCTTTTTTCAGAGCAGAAATAGCATGTGTATTAAACCCATTGGATGGTCAGACCCTTTTGGCTGACATAGCCAGGACTGCTCACCCCTCTAGGGGAATTACAATTTTTCAGAATCAAAAATGCCTTAGACAACCAGAGTCTAGGCACGCATGACTTCCCCTCAGAGGAGAGGAGAATCATTTCCTTGCATGTTTTAAGTGCCCTCCTTGGTAGCCCTAGTCCTTTCAGGGAGAGTTTGTTAATTTTGCAAGGTTTCTGAAACTTCCTCATCCTAATAAGCTACACAGACCAAATTATTTTAAGCTAGAACTGAACTCTGCTCTGAACTGTGTTAAGCAATAGTGTAAGTCACCTGTGCTCAGTCCCCTGCCACCCTCTAAGTTCCCTTTATTCTGTGTGCCATCTGCAGTGGGATAATACCTTCAAAGCTTTCTTTGAGAAGTCCACATTTTATTAATAAAATTGTAATTACTTGTGTCAAAATGAACTCTGGGTTTTACCACTTCCGTATTTAGCTAGGTTTTTTTTTTTTTTTTTTTTTTTTTTTTTACACCATAAAACTTTGGAAGAAAATGTGCCAATGCTAACTTCTCATTTTTCACTGGTCAGACACACGCTTTGGTCTTTCACTTCTTGGAAATTAAGCCATTTCCACTTAAGGAAAACCATCAGTTGGTTTCTTTTAATAAATGAGGGCACAAGAGGTGCAGGTCCTGGAAGGGCTGGCCAGAAGTTCATGGTATGGTCCCTCGCAGCTAATGTTTTATGAAGGTGGTGACCAAGACGTACATGGTCATCCTTCTCTCACTAAGCATGAGAGCAGGGCCAGATAGACGGATGTGACCCAGGAATCATGGTAAAGCGTGATGTGCCTTACATGATGGGGGGGAGGAAGACGCTATCTGAACACACAGTGGGAACACGTAATGTCATCTGGAGGCTTGGGAAGGCCTCCCAAAAGAAGGACATTGATGCTAAAACCAGTGGGGTGAAAGGCTGTATAGAGGAGTGAGATACTCACCCCAGGGGGTTGGCAGGGTAGGGAGGGGTCTTAGGAGCCATTCTCAGCGGTATTGACACTTGAGGGTCATGAGGTTTCTTCCCCAGTCCATAACTGTCTGTAGCATGACAATGACAACACATGATCAGACACTGTACTCTGGCACCCACATGGTTTTATCACCTCAGCTAAGATTGGGATGGTCATGGGAGAGTTTCGTGCTGCCTGTGTGGAGAGCGGTCTCCAAAGAAAGGAACCTCCGTGGTTACAGAGGCGATGCTTCCAGTTTTTAGAATACAGCTTAAGGCTGGGCAAGGTGGCTCACGACTCTAATCCCAGCACTTTGCCGAGGTGGGCGCATCACCTGAGGTCAGGAGTTTGAAACCAGCCTGGCCAACATGGCAAAACCCCGTCTCTACTAAAAATACGAAAATTAGCCAGGTGTGGTCACTCATGCCTGTAATCCCAGTTACTCGGGAAGCTGAGGCAGGAGAATTGCTTGAAACCGGGGTGGGGGGTGGGCAGAGATCACGCCACTGCACTCCAGCCTGGGCAACAGAGTGAGACTCTGTCTCAAAAAAACAAAAAATAAAAATAAAAAATAGAATACAGCTTGAGTGTGAGTAGAGAGAAAAACGGGCCATGAAGCAGCTATTCCAATAGTCTCTCTCAGGGTTATAGGGGTCACTTGCAAGTTTCCTCTTCCTTTCTCCCTCTCTTGCCTTTCCCCACCCTATGGCAGAGATAGTTGTGTTTCTGCATTCCTTTGTGTTATCAGTAATAAAACCCAATCACATTTCCATTGGATTTGGTCTGAGCAGAAAGTCTGAGTCTCAGAAGAGACACTGCCCTGAGGAGCTCTGAAAGGGCACCTTTGGCTCACTGGGGTCACCACAAATGTCACCCCATAAGTGAATATGGACACAAGGACACGTAAATCCAGGTAGTGTAGCAGACAGAGCTGGACCTGATGTCTCTGCCACTAACTCACGAGTGACCTTGAGCAAAGTGTCTCACCTCTTGGGCCCCAGGGTCCACGCCTGTCAAGTTAGGGAGGTGGATGGATGCTTTCTAGATTCCTACCAAGTTTCAAAGCCCAGGAATCCTTGAAGGCAGAGACAGGAATGATAGGAGGTGAACAGGGTTGGCTGGTGGTGGAATGTTGCAGCCACCTGAGAGGTGTTTGAAGCAAGTGTTATATAGATCTTACAGGTAAGGTGGCCTAGCTGGGGCCACAAAATATAATATAGTAGCAGCTCCCAACTATAAGAGTGGCCATATGTATATTCAGACTAGAAAAGACTTTGGAATAGACCAACGTTGCTAACTGATCTGCTCTGTGTAGCCTGGGAAAATTGGGAACCATTATTAAATAAATAAACCCAGCTTCTCCTCCTGGCAGAGGGACACAGTCATGCATGTGAACCGCAGGTTCCTGACTGCAGTGGCAGGGATCTGCCGTGTGTCTTTCCATGCTGGGCTCCTCTTGGAACCTTGTCTATTCTCTATGTCTCTGCTGCCTTCGCCATTAGCAGGCGAATGGCCAGCACCTGGCACCTGACTTTCACATGGGCTGGAAGATGACTGCTGGGTTTTCTGAGGGCTCCTTTGAAGCTCCTCCAAGGGAATTTCATGTACTCCACAAAGCTCATATTTGAAGTGAGACCATTCCCAATATTCCTTCCGGATATCTTCAAAATTCTTCTAACAATGTTTATGTGTTATGGTAGCAGACAAAAACTTAAGTTTTCTCTGTCTGGAAGGAACTACATTTGAATTTTATTTTCAATGTTATATCATTTTTGCACAGCGTTAGTGTCATTGCTCATTTTGAATTTTCGCATCTTTTCGTTGTTTACAGTTTGGTTTTATAGAGCTATCATAAGGATAATGACAATTTGGGTAATAATGAGAAACAAAAGGGCACTGGAGTCAGGGCTACTGGGTTCAAATTTCAATTCTATTACTTGCTGACTGTGTTACTTTGGTATGTTAATCAACTTCAGTACCATCAGGAAAATGGGAGTGATAGTACTCACATAGTTGTGATGCATGAAAACTGCTTAGCGCGTAAGTGCTTGATAAATGGAAGCTACTATAATTATGTCTGGGAGGTACATCTTTATTATTAACACCATTATTTTTGCTAACAAGTATTAACAGCACTGCCACAATAAAGAATTTACTCCCAAGCGAGGCATTTACCTCACTTGGATGGGGTATAAAAAGTAACAGGGAGGCCGGGCGCGGTGGCTCATGACTGTAATCCCAGCACTTTGGGAGGCCGAGGTGGGTGGATCATGAGGTCAGCAGTTCGAGACCAGCCTGACCAACATGGTGAAACCCTGTCTCTACTCAAAATACAAAAAAATTAGCTGGGCGTGGTGGCGGGTGCCTGCAATCCCAGTGACTTGGGAGGCTGAGAGGCAGGAGACTCGCTTGAAACCAGAAGGCGGAGGTTGCAGTGAGCTGAGATTGCACCACTGCACTCTAGCCTGGGCATTAAGAGCAAACTCTGTCTCAGAAAAAAAAAAAAAAAAAAAAAAAAAAAGTACCAGGGCTGGGCATGGTGGCTCATACCTGTAATCCCAGCACTTTGGGAGGCCGAGCTGGGTGGATCACCTGAGGTCAGGAGTTTGAGACCAGCCTGGCCAACAAGGTGAAACCCCATCTCTACTAAAAGTGCAAAAATTAGCCAGGTGTGGTGGTGCAGGCTTGTAATCCCAGCTACTCTGGAGGCTGAGGCACGAGAATTGCTTGAACCCAGGAGGCAGAGGTTGTAGTCAGCTGAGATCATGCCACTGCACTCCAGCCTGGGTGACAGAGTGAGACTCTGTCTTAAAAAATAAAAAAATGGAATAAAAGAGTAACAGAACAGCTTCTTTTAGTTGTCTTACAAATTCTTTTTTCCTTCATACTGCCCGGGCACCCTGATGGTCATGGATGTGTCACTGATGGGCTGCAGAAATGAATGTTTACAAGTACCGAATTTAACTGTGCTGATGTATACTTATAGAATAAAGACCTCTTTTAAAATATAAATGGCACTTTAACAAAAGTTTTAAAATTCCTTTTTGAAACCAAAGTTCCTTGATTCCAGATTTTACTGAAGAGACTGCTCTAAGGTGATCAGTGAGTCTCCACTGTGTCTGAGAGTTCAGGCTTTGGTGTTTGCCTGCACAAGTTCAAAGATGGGCCCCGTTATTAGCTAGGAATAAGAGCTTAGGCAAATTGTTTGGTCTCTTTTCTCTGAAGATTGTGAAATGTGGGTAATCATTTTGAACACTTAACCCTCAAGATAAGCTGGTATTGATAATGATTTCTGTTTTTATTAATAATGATTTGTGTTTTTATTAAGAGTGTTTATGATCTCTTTACAGACAGAGCTCATAATGGATGCTATCCATAAACAAAAGAGCTTACAATTCAAGAAAACCATGGATGTGAGTCACATTTTATTGTCTTTTTTGGGATAATGGTGACATTTTCTGAAATCCTGTGCTGTGTATGAACATATTCCTACTCAAATAACATTTCAAAAATGTTATTATTTATTAGTGCAGTGTTTTAGGGAAAACAACCTTAAATGCTTTGGGTTTTCTTTTTTGTTGTTGTTGTACATATTATTACATTACCCAGAGATTAAGTTCAGTACCCAATAGTTATCTTTTCTGCTCCTCTCCCTCCTCTCACCCTCCCTCTCAATTAGACCCCAGTGTCTGTTATTTCCTTCTTTATATTCATAAGTTCTTATCATTTAGCTCCCACTTATAAGTGAGAACATGTGGTATTTGGTTTTCTGTTCCTGCATTAGTTTGCTAAGGATGATAGCCTCCAGTTCTATCCATGTTTCCTCAAAAGACATGATTTCATTCTTTTTTATGGTTGCATAGTATTCCATGGTGTATATGTACCACATATTCTTTATCCAGTCTGTCATTGATTGGCATTTAGGTTGATTCCGTGTCTTTGCTATTATGAACAGTGCTGCAATGAACATTCACGTGCATGTGTCTTTAGGGTAGAATGCTTTATATTCCTCTGGGTGTATACCCAGTAATGGGATTGCTGGGTCAAATGGTAGTTCTGCTTTTAGTTCTTTGAGGAATCTCCATACTGCTTTCCACAATGGTTGAACCAATTTATACTCCCACCAACAGTGTATAAGGTTTTTCTTTTTTTAAGGCCTTGGAAAGATTGAAAGTGACACTAGATAGTGGAAATGCAACAGGGTTATCTTTCTGGTAACCCGAGAAAATATAGCAAGTCAGTTCAAATATTTTAGGCAAAGATACAAAAACATATATAGTGTACAATACCCTTTATCTTATAGAATTTGCAATTTTACCCTGTTACTATTTTGAATCTTGATTGCTTACCTATTTTATTGAGTGATCCCTTTCTGTTTTAAGATATCTGAAAATTATAAAAACTTTTCCTTTAAGTAATTTATTTAAAAAATGTTGGCAAGACAGAGATTGGACAAGTTGCTAGAAATCTCTCTCTAGCTTTTATGTATCTGTTGACTCTGGATACAACAAACTCTGTTATTAGAACATATATGACTCCATCTTGACACCGAAGTATCATCATGATATTCTACGAGTAGGATGTAATAGGGAAGTGTCACCAGTGTTGATAGCATATGCAATCTGTTCTGCTGCATTCTTTTTCTCCTTGATGCAGAAATCCCTCAAAAACAATTGATAAATAGGGAATGATGTCAGTGTAATACAGAAATAGTGTTAGTTGATAGATGATTTTTCCCAGACCTTTTATATTTTAAACAATCTGGGGCAAGATTTTTTATAATTAAAGAGAAAGGCTTATCAAAATATAACTTTCTGGCTGGGTATAGTGGCTCACACCTGTAATCCCAGCACTTCGGGAGGCCGAGGCAGGTGGATCACCTGAGGTCAGGAGTTCGAGACCAGCCTGGCCAACATGGCAAAACCGCGACTCTACTAAAAATACAAAAAAAAAAAAAATTAGCTGGGTGTGGTGGTGTGCACCTGTAATCCCAGCTACTTGGGAAGTTGAGGCAGGAGAATCGCTTGAACCCAGGAGGTGGAGGTTGCGGTGAGCCGAGATCGCACTATTGCATACTCCAGCCTGGGCAACAAGAGTGAAACTCTGTCTCAAAAAAAAAAAAAAAAACTCTGAAAGGGGGAGAGAAGAAGGCACACTGGCTAGTGACCTTGGACTCAAAGAACAACCTGACAAGGGTTCCCTGGGCTTTCTTTTTGCCTCATTTATCACAGACTGAGTGCCAAAGAAGCAGGCATCCCAGAAATGCCAATGGTCATAGACCAAAAATTAAAAAAATAAAAAAAATAAATAAAAAGCTCCAAGAAAAACCTGTTCTCTCTAACCAAAAGACCAGAAAAGGGGCAGCCTAGCAGGACAGAAACTTTAGAAAATAACCATTCTACTGCAGCCAAACACCACGTAAAAAACCTGGGGACCCACCTCCACACATCAGCAAAGGCCAAGTGGAGAGTCTAAACTTCCACCACACCAGGCTGTAGAGAGCACCCAACTCCCCTGCCAAGGTGGCAACAGAGAACAAATAGGGGACCAGGACTTTCACTCCCACCAGGAGGTAACAGAGCCTCCTCTACACAGTGTTATTGGGAGCTATGTGGGGAACCCTGACTTCCACCTGCACCGGGAAATAATGATGTACACCCTCTCCCTCCTGGGATGGTGTCTAAGGAGGTCTAGTGGAGAGTGAGAACTTTAACCACTTTCCAGTAGTAACTGGGTCACACACACTCTGTGGTGTCAGTGGAGACCAAGGAGGGGAAACCTGGACTTTCACACTCACATGACAGTAATGAGATGATGCCTCACCTTCCCCTGCTGGAGTGGTGTCCTGAGGAAGCTAGCTAAAACAGAAGCCTTAAATAAAATCCAGAGTCTTGTAACATAATACCAAAAATTCCCCCAAATCAATCAAATATCACTCTTCATACCAGAAAGATACGAAACTCCATGAAAAGAAAGACAATCAATAGCTGCCAAGATCTAGATAACAGAGATGTTGGAATTATGTGACGAAGATTTTACAGCATCCACTATCAAAATATTCAGCAAGCAATTACAAAGACACTTTTTTTGAGATGGGGGGGTCTCACAATGTTGCCCAGGCTGGCCTTGAATTCCTGGGCTCAAGTGATTCTCCTACCTCAGCCTCCTGAGTAGCTGGAATTACAGGCATGTGCCACTACACCTGATTCACACTTGAAACAAATGAAAGAAACAAAGGAAGGACTGGCAAAGAAATAGAAAAGCTCAGCAAAGAAATAGAAGATATAAAGATGAACCAAATGGAAATTTTAGAACTGAAAAATATAATAATCAAAATTTTAGAAAACCCAATATGTGGGCTTAAGAAGAGAATGGAAGAGACAGAAGAAAGAATTGGTTAACTGGAAGACAGAATAATATAAATTACCAGACATGAACAACAGAGAGAAAATAAGCTGAAAAAAATTAACAGAGCCTCAGGGACTTTTTGCACTATAAGAAAAGATCTAACACTAATGTCTCTGTGATACTAAAAGGTGAGGAGAAGGAAGGTGGGCTGAAAAAGCCCAGCTTTATGTCATTATTTGAAGAAATAATGGCTGAAAAATTTCCAAATTTAGCAAAAGACATAAATCTATATATCCCAGAGGCTGATTAAACTGTAACCAAGATAAACCCAAAGAAATCCATACCAAGACATATAATCGAACTTCTGAAAACTAAATGAGAGAGAAATGACACCTTCACTAAAAGGGAAAACCTAAAAGGGAAAACCAATGACAGCAGATTTCCTATTAGAAACCATGGAGACTATGAGGAAGTGGCACAACATATCGCAAATGCTGAAAGAAAAGAACTGTTAACACATAACCCCATATCCAGTGAAAATATCTTCTAAAACTGAAGGGGATGATAGCATGATATGGTGATTATAGTCAATAATCACTTAATTATATATTTTTAAATAACTTAAAGAATGTAATTGGATTGTTTGTAACTCAAAGAATAAATGCTTGAGGGGATGGATGCCCCATTCTCCATGATGTGCTTATTTTGCATTGCATGCCTGCATCAAAACATCTCATATACCCCATAAGTATATAAACCTACTATGTACCCACAAAAATTTTTTTAAATTAAAAAAAAATAATGAAAGGGAGACAGAACATAGAATGGTGGTTGCTAAGGGCTGGGGAAAGAAGAAGTTGAGATGTTATTGTTTAACGGGCATAGAATTTCAGTTTTATAAGATAAAAAGAGTTACGGAGATGGATGGTGGTGATGGTTATGTAACTTTATAAATGTATCTAATACCACTGAATTGAACACTTACAGTGGTTACAATGGGAGAAAATATGCAAATTATTCATCTGACAAGAGACTAATATCCAAAATACACAAGGAACTCAAACAACTCAACAGCAAAGAAAAAAAACAAACAATTGGTTAAAAAAATGGGCAACGGATCTGAGTAGACATTTCTCAAAAGAAGACATACAAATGGCAAACAAATATATTTTTTAATGCTCAACATCACTAATCATCAGAGAACTACAACTTAAAACCACAATGAGATACCATCTCACCCCAGTTAGGATGGCTGTTATCAAAAAGACAAAAAATAACAAATGCTGACAAGGCTTTAAAGAAAAAGGAACTCTTACACACTGTTGGTGGGAATGTAAACTAGTACAGCCACTATGGAGAACAGTATGGAGATTTCTCAAAAAACTACAAATAGACTTACTATATGATCTAACAGTCCCACTACCAGGTATTTATCCAAAGGAAAGGAAATCAGTAGATCAAAGGGTTTATTTCACTTAACATAATGTCCTTCAGGCTTATCCATGTTGCCACTGATGACAGGATTTCATTATTTTTATAGTGGAGTAGTGTTCCATTGTGTATATGTGCCGTATTTTCTTTATTTATCTTAGTCAACCATTCTTTCTCATCATTTTTATTTATTAGCTAACTGATTCACAGCTTTGTTGGTTTTCTTCCCACTTCCTGGAATTAAGATAAAACAGCTTTGGTGTTTAAAAAAGTCTTTGCTTTCACAGTTGAAACAGAAAATTATTTTTATGATTCACTAATGATTATAGTTTGTGATCTGTTTCCATAATACTGGTGGCAATGGTAGCACACGATAGACCATGGCCTACGTTTAAACTACATAAAACAGAATTCTTTAAATAAAAAAAGAACACTGGCTGGGTGCAGTGGCTCATGCCTGTAATCCCAGCACTTTGGGAGGCCGAGGCGGGTGGATCACCTGAGGTCAGGAGTTCGAGACCAGCCTGGCCAACATAGTGAAACCCTGTCTCTACTGAAAACACAAAAATCAGCGGGGCATGATGTTTGCTTGCCTGTAGTCCCAGCTACTAGGGAGACTGAGGCAGGAGAATCGCTTGAACCCAGGAGTCAGAGGCTGCAGTGAGCCGAGATTGCACTACTGCACTCCTGCTTGTGTGACAAAGCTAGACTCTGTCTCAATAAATAAATAAATAAGGAACATGACTATCTTTAAGCAAAATAAATGATGGCATTGGTAACCTGCCGGCTGTTCACATGCTGTGGTGAATATTGAGGCCTCGTTAGAATTAGAGTGAGTTGGTGCCAAATAACCAAGTGTTTGTACAGGCATTCTTAGGATTATGAATGTTTCATAAATTTTAGACCACACGTTTTAGAGTTACGTAACTATTTTAATTGTTGTTGTTGTTGTTATTGTTATTTTGAGACAGGGTCTCACCCTTTCGCCCAGGCTGGAGTGCAGTGGCATGATCATAGCTCACTGCAGCCTTGAACTCCTGGGCACAAGCGACCCTCCCAGCTCAGCCTCCCAAGTAGCTGGGACCACAGGTGTGTGCCACCATGCCTAGCTAAGTTTTGTGTTTTTTGTAGAGATGGGGTTTCATTCATTTTGCCCAGGCTTGTCTTGAACTTCTGGGCTCAAGCAATCCACCCACTTAAGCCTCTCAGAGTGTTGGGATTACAGGCGTGAGCCATGGTGCCTGGCCTTAATTTTGTCTATTTCAAATTCCATCTTTCGTTTCAGTCCATTTTTAAAGCTCATGTACTTTATGTTGCCAAATAGGAGCTATTACTTCCTTGATCAGGTTGCCACTATTACATAATTTGAAAAAGGGCTAGAGAGAGAGAGTGAGCTTTCAAAGACTGATAAGAAAAAGCATCTGCCCTCTGGGAGCCCATGGCTTAGTGACAATCAGAGCACTAATCAGACGGCCCTGTCCATGCTGGACTTCCTGGGCCAAGGGGGCTGCATTTCATGGTTACACTCTGTTCATTTGTTTTGGTTCTCTTTGTTCATAATGACAAAGGCAAAGAAGAACTATGAGCAGAAATGCCGGGACAAAGATGAGGCAGAACAGGCCGTCAGCCGGAGTGCCAACCTGGTGAACCCGAAGCAACAAGAAAAGGTACCCAGGAGGGCTAACAACCCGAAAAATCTGAGACTGACCTATGTCAGGCTAAAGCCAATTATGAATCTTCATAAGAAATGAACCTGTATCCTAAACCCCTGGAAATATCTTCCTTCATGTATTGGGGGTCTTCTGAACCTGAAAAACCACTGCCACATATTTGGGGGTTAGGGGAAGAGCGACAGAAGCATGGCTATGAGGGAGGGAGATGGGGTGATAAGAGGTTGGAGGGATTTCCCAGTTGTTGTCATTTTTCTTAAAGACTCAGTTCATGTATTCTTTGTAGTCAGGCTGCCTTTTGCTTGGGTGGATTACAAATTTAACTTTGTAAAATCTAGATACAAGATTTCTGCAACCAGAGGGCTGGGTGTGTCTTTAGGAAGACACTGGGCAAGATGCTTTATGGATATTTTCCAAGATTGATAAGATTGCAGGGCACGTTGAATGATTTGCTCATGAGGGAAATGTACACAGGACTTGCACTAGACCTGGTCTCTTCATAGTTACTGCTTTTCAATCTGTTTTGCCTGTGGAAGCCTCGTCCAGCATTCCCAATGCTTGCTCTTTTTTTGTTTGTTTGTTTGTTTTCACAGCTTTTTGTGAAACTGGCAACTTCAAAGACCGCAGTAGAGGACTCAGGTGAGGGGGCAGTTCCTACGGATGGGGGAGGGTTGCTGGTGGGGTTTACGTTATCCTAAATGTGTCCCTGAGAAAGGGAGTTTTATATACCTTAAAGAGAGAATATATGGATATTCAGCAGGATTAGTGAGATATCTGAAGGGAAAAAGGGAGGAAGGAAGGGAGAGAGTAAGGAAGGGAGGGAGGAAAGGAAAGAAGAGGAGAGAGGAAGGGAGGGTATATTAGAACCCCGGAAGGTGGGAGGAGGCTATGAGGCCACTGTTTCTGGCTTCTGTCTGCTTAGATCTTGCTGCCTTACATGGGAGTGAGATGGTGGAGTCATGTGGTAGCGGCTTTGCAATCAGGTGCTTCCTCTGATGTATTGGGGCATCTATCTAAAAGACCATTTCAGCCCCGGTAGCTCTTATCTGCTGTGAAACAGCCAAGCTGCAAGGCCTTGTTATCACTGAAATCTAAGACCCAAACCAGGCATTTGCAAAAGCTTCTAATTCCCAGAATATCCTGCAGGAAATATCCCTCATGACTGTGGTGGTTATGTACATCTTAATCTCTACATTTGAAACTAAAGTAACTTGGTGCCCCTTTAGGGCTCAAGGTAGTTCTCTTCTCTGCATCCTTCATCAGACAATTTTGAAAATGAAAAGCGATGGGAAATACTGAGGTGGAATTACACAAACAAAACCCTGGCTGAGGTTTCTTATCAGCTTTCACTTCTTCCTTAGAACCTTTCTTTCTCAATGTTAGGTCCAATGTTTAAAAAGAAAGTGATACCCTCCTTTGCCTACTTCACCAAATATGATGAGGGTGAGAGATGCAATAACTCCCAGTGCTCAGAGTCCTGGGGGCCTTGTAAGCTCAGCACAACTCGGATGAGTTTCTTTTGCCATCTGAGACCAGCCTGTGGGTGTATCTGCGAGCCACCTTCCTGTCTAGTTTCTGACCCAGGTCTCTCCCTTCTGTTGCAGACAAAGCATACATGCTGCACATCGGCACCCTGGATAAGGTCCGAGAAGAGTGGCAGAGTGAGCACATCAAGGCCTGCGAGGTACCCGTAACCGGAAGCTGCTCAGGACTGGGGTGGGTGGGTGGGGGTGTGTGTAACAGGAAGCTGCTCAGGACGGGGGGGGGAGGGGAGGAGGGGGAGGGGAGGGAGGGAAGGGGGAGTGGGGCCGGGGGTTGGGGGAGGACGAGGGGGCGGGAGGTGGGTCTTCTGCCCAGAACCTGGAGAGTCTACTTTTGTAGAAATGATCTGCCCGGATTCTCATAGGGTTACAGAGCTTGAGGGCAAATTAGAAATCAGAAATTTGGCCAGGCACGGTGGCCCATGCCTGTAATCCCAGCACTTTGGGAGGCCGAGGTGGGTGGATCACCTGAGGTCAGGAGTTCAAGACCATCTGGCCAACATGGTGAAACCCTGTCTCTACTAAAAATACAAAAATTAGCCGGGTGTGGTGGCGCACACCTGTAATCCCAGCTATTCTAGAGGCTGAGGCAGGAGTATAGCTTGAACCTGGGAGGCGGAAGTTGCAGTGAGCCAAGATAGTGCCATTGCACTCCAGCCTGGGCGACAGAACAAGACTCCGTCTCCAAGAAAACAAACAAACAAAAAAAGAAATCAGAAATTTAAGTGAAGAATGGAAGGAACTGGAATAGTTTTCCCCAAACCTTGTCTGCCTCATCCCCATCCTGACCATGCTGTCCAACAGTTCAAATTTTAGTCTAATGTTGGGTTAGCACAAGCATAGAATAGCTGAATCAGTTAATGGTCGATTAAGTAATTATCTTTGGAGAGCCCGGCCTCAATAGGCTCTAAAGGGAATGCCAACAGCAAGTGAGTAGGCTTTGGAGATTTGTTTGTTTGCTTTTTGTTTTGAGTCTGGGTCTCACTCTGTCGCCCAGGCTGGAGTGCAGTGGCATGATCAGAGCTCACTGCAGCCTGAAACCCCATGAGCTCAAGTGAAGTAGATGGGACTACAGGCGTGCACCACCACGCCTTGTTAATTATTTATTATTTATTTTATTTTTAAAGAGACAGGGACTTGCTCTGTTGCCCAGGCTGGTCTTGAGCTCCTGGGTCTCAAGCAATCCTTCCACCTTTGCCTCCTGAGTTGCCAGGGTTACAGGCATGAGCCACCATGCCTGGCTGGAGGGTTTTCTTTTTTTTTTTTACTCTCCTCATACCTTCAATTTCACCACTGCTCCCTTTCTTTTGCAGCAAATGACCTCACAATTTCCAAGAGAAAATAAAAAACATAACTTGGAAGCTTGCTTAAGTTTCTGTCATCCTGCCTACACATTTTCTTCCAGTGGTTCTCAAAGTGAGGTCCTAGGACTGGTAGCATCAGCATCACCTGGGAACTTGTTAGAAATGCAGGTTCTCAGACCAACCTCAGACCTACCGAATCAGAAACTCTGGGGGTAAAGCCCAGCAATCTCTGTGCTAATAAGCCTTCCAAGTGATTTTGATGGGAATTCAAGTATAAGAATCATTGACAGACACGCCTGCCCCACTCCTTTTTTCCTGTTAGCACAGAAAAGGGGCTGTTCCTTCCTTGTTCAAGATCTTTTTTCATCCAGCTTGCCTTTCCCCACCTTCTTGGGCATGGAGAACTTGTCAACTTCTGTTATCTTGCACACAGACTCAACTCTCTCCTAGCTTTAAAACCCACCAGTTCAGCCAGGCATGGTGGCTGCTAATGCCTGTAATCCCAGCACTTTGGGAGGCCAAGGCAGGCAGATCACCTGAGGTCAGGAGTTCAAGACCAGTCTGGACAACATAGTGAAACCCAGTCTCTACTAAAAATACAAAAATTAGCTGGATGTGGTGGCAAGCACCTGTAATCCCAGCTACTTGGGAGGCTGAGGTGGGAAAATCACTTGAGCCCGGGAGGTGGAGGTTTCAGTGAGCTGAGATCATGCCACTACACTCTAGCCTGGGCAACAGAGTTAGACTCCATCTCAAAAAAACCCAAAAAGCAAAAAACAAAACCAGCAGTTCTTACTTTCTATCTACGACCCCTACTACCCCCGCCCTTCTTCACAGCCACGCTTTTTGAAGGGGCTGTCTCCAAGTCCATGTTGTCCTGACTGCCCCAGCCTGCAGCATCTGGGATTTGCTTCCCTGCAGCTGCTGTCTTGGAGGGCACCAGAATCCCTTGGCATGAGGGCCAGTGGGCCTTTGCAGTTTCTAATCTTATTTGATCTCTCTTTGCCATCTGATACTGTAGGTTATTATGCTTCTCCTAAAACACTGTTTTCTGCTTTACTTCTGTAACTCCACACTCTTAGGGGAAAGCCTAGAATGAGGCCATTTTTTAATAAGGTTTAAAAACATGTAAAGCAATATCATGTACATATACAGATACATATATAGTGTAAAAACCTGCATAAAGGCCAGGTGCGGTGGCTCACACCTATAATCCCAGCACTTTCAGAGGCTGATGCGGGTGGATTGCTTGAGCCCAGGAGTTCAAGACCAGCCTGGGCAACACAGCGAAATTTTGTCTCTACAAAGAAATATAAAAATTAGCCGGGCATGGTGGTAGAGGCTACTTGGGAACCTGAGGCGGGAGAATTGCTTGAGCCCACGAGTTTGAGGCTGCAGTGAGCCATGAGCGCACCACTGCTCTCCAGCCTGGGTGACAAAGTGAGACCCTGTCTCAAAACAAAACAAAATAAAACCCCCCAAAACCAAACAACGAAACAACCCCTTCCCCATAAAAAACAAAACAAAACAAAACAAACCCTGCATAGGAATGATACAATTCAGGATAATGGCTATCTGGGGAAGGAGGAAGGTGATAGAAACTGGGTAAATCACACAGGGGCTTTTACAGAATCTGAAAAAATATGGCTGAAGTTTTTGACAAAGCTAGGTAGTTGGTATATAGGTATTTATTATACTGCTTTCTGATTCTATGTGAAATATTCCATAACAACAATAATGTAATATTATTAAATTATTATACTATGTTATATAGATATAAAAATATTTAGAGGTGAAAT
This sequence comes from Homo sapiens, assembly GCF_000001405.40. Lineage (NCBI taxonomy): Eukaryota > Metazoa > Chordata > Mammalia > Primates > Hominidae > Homo > Homo sapiens. The sequence continues at coordinate 45,994,788 of NC_000018.10, read as the reverse complement.
AATGCATTTGCTTCAAAATACTCCAGAGAGTAGGGTAATTGGTAGAGATATAGATAAAATAGAATCGGTTGTGAGTTGATAAATGTTTAAGCTGGTGATGAGTACATAGGGATTCATCATACTATCTGTACCTCTCTACACTTGTATATGTTGGAAGTTTTGTTTTATTTTATAACAAGTTTTAAAATGTAGCAAATTTTAAAAGGCATTCAAAATTTTTTGGTTTTGAATAAAACCTGTAGTATGAGATATGAAATTGAATCAGAAACTGTGGGGGTAGAGCTCAGCAATCTCTATGCTAATAAACCTTCCAAGTGATTCTGATGTGAATTCAAGTATGAGAACCACTTATAGCTATACCTGTCCCCATCCTTTTCTCCTCATAGAGTGGAAAAGGGGCTGTGGTATATAAAAGCTATGGTATGTAAAATTCATTCATGTTAAAAATAGCTATGGTATTCAATATTTTAAAAATACACTGATGTATCACATCCACTGTTGAATAGAATACCATCTGCTTCATAGAACAGCTTGATTTTTTTAAAGGTGATATTTGTTTATATCCAAAATACTGTATCTCAGGCAATGACTTTTATTTTAACCCTTTTTTTAAGGAAAAACAATTAAACATACACAAAGACAGAAGACAAGTACACGGCCTCCCATGTACTCATCAATCAGCATCAACAATTATGACCATCTTGCCAGTCAAACTCATTCATTCCAGGGTGGGAGGGGCAGCATTTTGAATCTGAGGCTCTGGCAGGCTGCTCAGGTGGAGATGATGTTAGATAGTTGGAAATGTCGGTAGGAACTCAGTTAGAACATTGGTATCTGGGATCATCATTACTTTTTACCCTCAGAACTATTTCCAAGCCTGTTTGTGTTACTGTGATATTAGGATTTGTTTGCATTCTTTGTGATATGAGTTTATGAGTTTCCTCAGTGGTGGGGGAGAAGCATTCTAAATTGGACAATAAGTTTACAGATAACTGAAGGTTGACACTGTTTCTTAAGTCACAGCTAGCCAAAATGAATGGTCCTTTTCCTTGCATATCTATGTACACGTAGCTATTTTTCTGTAGGCATTTGAGGCTCAAGAATGTGAACGAATAAACTTCTTCCGGAATGCATTGTGGTTACATGTGAATCAGCTGTCACAACAATGTGTCACCAGTGATGAAGTAAGTCAGAGGCATCCACTGAGGATTGTCGTGTGCATGTTGGATACATTAGAGTAGAAGGAACTATAGATATTGATTGGTTCACTTTGCCCTTGGTGAAGTAAGGTGACTTGCCTAAGGCCATACAGTGAGTTGACAGAAGGATGCAGATAACATGTAACCTGACTCCTGGCTCATTTGCCACCATGATTTTCTCATTAAGAGATTCATGGCTGGGAGCGGTGGTTCACTCCTGTAATCTCAGAACTTTGGGAGGCTGAGACGGGTGGATCACCCGAGGTCAGGAGTTTGAGACCAGCCTGGCCAACATGGTGAAACTCCGTCTCTACTAAAAATGCAAAAATTAGCTGGGCATGGTGGTGCACCCCTGTAATCCCAGCTACTCAGGGGGCTGAGGTGGGAGAATTGCTTGAACCCAGGAGGCGGAGGCTGCAGTGAGCCAAGATCGTGCCACTGCACTCCAGCCTCGGCGACACAGTGAGACTCCATCTCAAAAAAAGAAAAAAAATTCAGCCAAGGCTTTTGTCCTGCCACAAAGATACATTTTCTGTCATCTTTAAAAAATTAATAGTAAATGTAGGCTGGGCACGGTGGCTTACACCTGTAATCCCAGCACTTTGGGAGGCCAAGGCAGGCGGATTGCCTGTGGTCAGGAGTTCGAGACCAGTCTGGCCAACATGGTGAAACCCCGTCTCTACTAAAAATGCAAAAAAAATTAGCCAGACGTGGTGGCATGTGCCTCTAATCCCAGCTACTTGGGAGGCTGAGGCAGGGGAATTGCTTCAGCCAGGGAGGTGGAGGTTGCAGTGAGCTGAGATTGCACCACTGCACTGCACTGCAGCCTGGGTGACAGAGCGAGACTCTGTCTAAAAAAAAATAATAAAATAAAAAATAAAAAATTAATAGCAGATGTGCATCAGAGAAAAGCTCCAATATGAATCTGGGACTTTGGAATGTGTTCTTTTTTTTTGAAAACAAGAAAATTTGGAAGAGTCAGCTCTCTATCAAACCCATGTTTTTTTGTTTTTTTGTTTTTTTTTTTGAGACGGAGTCTCGCACTGTCGCCTGGGGTTGGAGTGCAGTGGTGTGATCTTGGCTCACTGCAATCTCCACCTCCTGGGTTCAAGTGATTCTCCTGCCTCAGCTTCCCAAGTAGCTGGGATTACAGGCGCCTGCCACCATGCCTGGCTAATTTTTTGTATTTTAAACAGAGATGGGGTTTCACTATGTTGGCCAGGCTGGTCTCGAACTCCTGACCTTGTGATCCGCCCACCCCAACCTCCCAAAATGCTGGGATTACAGACATGAGCCACTGCGCCCCGCCTCAAACCCATGTTTTTAAGGAGCTGTGTCACAATGATCTCAACATACCTCTACCTATTAATTGACCTTTTTTTATTAGATGTACGAACAAGTCCGAAAGAGTTTAGAAATGTGCAGCATTCAGAGGGACATTGAATACTTTGTGAATCAACGCAAAACTGGACAGATTCCACCAGGTGAATGGGGCAGTGGGGTGGGGAGTGTTATTTACACAATTCTATTAGCCTTTCTTGTTAGATGTCATTAAGGATGAAAGACGCCTGCCTCTTCATGTCCTGTTTCTTGGTGACTCTCCTAGCACCCATCATGTATGAGAATTTCTACTCCTCCCAGAAGAATGCAGTCCCAGCAGGAAAGGCTACAGGGCCTAACTTGGCAAGGTAATAACCAGCTGCCTTTCATATGAAGAAAAATACTTTTAACAAACATTGTTATCATGAATGTTCTAAGACATGTTAGAATTGGAACATATCTACTACTGCATCTGCTTAATAAGGCTGCTTGCTTTTTGGAAATAGTATTTTTAGGACAAATATTAAGTGGATTTTAATAGTCATAGTTCAGGGAGGAGTATATCATGCTTGAACTTGATCATTGTTATTCATGGATGAATCCTATACTTTTCTTATAGTCTGTAGAAATCCTATACTTTTCTTACAGCCAGTCAGCAAACTATGGCCCCTGAGAGTTAAATCCATTTTTATAGGGCCTGTGAGTTAAGAATAGTCTTTACATTTTTAAATGGCTGGAAAAAAGTCAAGACAATACTGTTTTGTGACATGTGAGAATTATTTGAATTTCAAATTTCAGTGTTCCTCTATCAAGTTTTATGGGCACACAAGCACCCTCACTCACTGAGGTTTTGTCTATGGCTGCTTTGCCACTAGAGTTGAGTAGAGTTGCAAGAGAGACGGGAGGTGGCCAGCAAAGTCTAAATCATTTACTACTTGGCCCTTTACTCAAAAAGTTCGCTGCCGTTCATGTAAAGGATCCTGCGGAAAGAGAAACTTCTGTTTGACATAGTCAGCTTGCAGTCTAAGCTTTTGAATTTTCACTCCAGTTTTAGTAAAGATGGGGAGTGCCTGGGAAGGATTGCATGATCATTATCAGTATTTAAGCGTGTCAGGCACTGTTCAAAACAGTTAGTGTGAATTACCTGATTTAATCCCCACAATGAGGTGGGAGCTGTTTATACTTCCTATTTTACTTATGAGGATGCGGATGTTCAAGGCACTCAGGAAGTCTTTCCTACCCAGCTAAGATTTTAATCCTGCCAGTCCGGGTTGTGGGGATAAGGCTCTGTGCTCCTAATCACTATGCATGCTGCCTCTTGCCATAGTACGACGTCTGCAACTTAGATTTCCGTAGGTCAGTGCTACAGATCATTTGCTTTAGGTGAGCTTTCTTGACCCTCCAGTGCAGAAACCAGATCTGATTAGAGTACAATAGGCTTGTAGCAAGAAGTAAAAAGATTATAAAAATAACAAGAACTTATCTAAAATACTTTGGTTTTCATTTCTTACAGGAGAGGACCCCTCCCAATTCCTAAAAGCTCACCAGGTATGCCACTAAAAAAGGTCTTTTGAAATTCTTATATTGCAAGGCAGGCAGATCACTTGAGGTCAGGAGTTTGAGACCAGCCTGGTCAACATGGTGAAACCCTGTCTCCACTAAAAATACAAAAATTAGCTGGGTGTGGTGGTGCGTGCCTGTAATCCCAGCTACTCAGGAGGCTGAGCCACAAGAATTGTTTGAACCTGGGAGGTGGAGGATGCAGTGAGCCAAGATTGCACCACTGCACTCCAGCCTGGTGACAGAGTCAAACTGTGTCAACAAACAAACAAACAAACAAACAAAAAAACCCCAAAAAACCCACGAAATTCTTATATTGGGTTTTCTTTAAAATTAAATAGCTAGAACTTTGAAATAAAGGGAATGAAAGGATTAAATAGAATCAAATTCCCAAGAGAATGAGCCTATATTAGAATCTTACTATAATACTACTTGTCACAGAGTGGAATATGATAATTGGTGGTCTATTTTATAGCTTATCCAAGATAATTCAGTTACTGAAATACCAAAAGAAACTTATTGCAAGCAGATTTTACCTAAAAGATTATTTCAACTTGGACTGTGAGAACAGCAGAACTGAGATATAGTTCCCCTTGGATTACATAGAAATACAATTTATAGAAGGCATCGATGTCAAGAAACGTGTCACTTAATGTTATCTTTAATGAGACCTTTCACTAATCACAGTAGTCTTTTTCTTTCTTTGAACGCCTATGATATCTCTGGGAGAAGTACACATCTTAGCACTTCTTATTAGTTGTATGGGATGTGAGGGCAGTCTGGCTGCAACATTTGTCAGCCCATTGATTGCTAGGGTTGATTCGGTGCATCCGGCTGGCTAAGCGGGTGTCCCCTTCCTCCCTCACCAGTCCGTGTGCATCCCTCCCGAAGCTACGTGCTCAAAGAGGATGATCATTTCTGATAGAGGAGGGCCAGTCTTTGGTCAAGAGTATATGAGTAGCTGCATTCCCCTGCAGCTACTCCAAACAAGCTCTCATTAGTTGTATGCCTTGAATAATAAGAAGATCCCAAGGTCAGGTACAACTTTGTCTTCTGTATTACTCACAACAGCTGACACAGTTCTGAGTACATAGTAGGTGTTCAACATATATTTATTATTTGAGTAAAGAAAAGATATACCTATCCATGTTCAAGAGAATGAGTGTACTAGTCTGTTTACATGCTGCTGATAAAGACATACCCAAGACTGGGAAGAAAAAGAGGCTTAATTGGACTTACAGTTCCACATGGCTGGGGAAGCCTCAGAATCATGGCGGGAGGTGAAAGGCACTTCTTACATGGTGGTGGCAAGAGAAAATGAAGAAGATGCAAAAGCGGAAACCACTGATAAAACCATCAGATCTCGTGAGACTTATTCACTACCAGGACAACATTGTGGGGGAAACTGCCCCCATGATTCAAATTATCTCCCACTAGGTCCTTCCCACAACGGTGGAAATTATGGGAGATACAATTCAAGATGAGATTTGGGTGGGGACACAGAGCCAAAACCTATCAATAAGGGAGGAGGACAGTTTATGCTGCACTTAACAGTTCACTAAAAATTTAGTGATGGAAAAAAAACTGTAGTGGCTGAAATTATATCTTTGAACAATATGAAGATTTAAGGTATTTTATTTCTTGTTGTTTTAGAATTACCACTTGGTAATGTAGGATGCTATTTCTGTCCATTTTTAAAGATGATTTTACTGTGGGTACTGTACCTGAGCATGGATGAAAAAGGGCAAAGAAGTCAGAATAGTGATTTCCAGAATGTCCTCTGGTTTGGAGTCGTGACTACCATTTATAGTTTTTGTTGGCAGATCTATTTTCTCTTTACAAAAGGATAGACACCAGAATCTGTAAGTGAAATGCCCTGGCTTGAAAAGGGTGAGATCTTATTATGAAAAATTGATGTTACTGTTGTTTTCTGTGTTCTGCCTTTTGCAGATGATCCCAATTACTCTTTGGTTGATGACTACAGTTTGCTCTATCAGTAAAATCAATGGTAAGAACCTTTATTTTTCACATAATTGAGTCATGTGTAGACTGGTAATTGTGCTATTGAAGCCTTTGAACCTTATTTATAACACTACCACAAACTAGCAAGGCCTTGCATGAGGCAGGTACACTGGCCAGCATGCTGTCCCTTCAGGACACCTCTGTGGATCCCACAGCTGGAAGCAGACTGGAGACCCCTCCATACCTATTTGAATGAGGTTATTTTTCCTTCATTGATTATTCCACAGTAACTCTTTATCTGCTTTTTTTTTTCGAAGCAGAGTCTCGCTGTGTCACCCAGGCTGGAGTGCAGTGGTGCGATCTCAGCTCACTGCAATCTCCACATCCTGGGTTCAAGTGATCTTCCCACCTCAGCCTCTTGAGTATCTAGGATTACAGGCATGCACCACCACACCCAGCTAATATTTTTTGTATTTTCAGTAGAAACAGGGCTTCACCATGTTGGCCAGGCTGATGTTGAACTCCTGACCTGAAGTGATCTGCCCACCTCAGCCTCCCAAAGTGCTGGGATTACAGGCATGAGCCACCATGCCCAGCCCTCTTTATCTGCTCTTATTAAGCTCTTTTATAGTTATTACACACCTGGATTTAAGGCAGTGCTCATCAACAAAACACACATCATCCTCACTGTTAAAGTAATTTAGATTTTAGCTTACTCTCCCACCATCTAAAAGAGGAAAAGTCAAATAAAAAGAAGTGCAAATGATATCACACTCATTATACACACAAGGTCATCATGGAGGTCATCCTGCAGATTATTATTGCTCTGAATAAGCAAACCATGAGGATTCTTAGACGAGGACTGAACACTGCTAAGCCAACTGTAGCTGCAAAGATATACTGCATGGTGACTTTTTCTTAGGCACTCAGGTGCTTGGAACATTCTCCAAGTCAAAATCATTCTTCACAGATGTGAAGAAATGCCTCAGAAGCCAAAGTAGCGATACTAAAAAAAACTCTTCATAAAGTATCATTCTTTTACCCCAGTGGGCTTATCTTGGGGTAAAAGAATTATATAGGTACACACGAGCTAAGAAAAGGTCTGAAGAGATATATTCCTAAATAGGTAATATTTTTCCTTCCTGTTTTTGAATTTGTCTGCAATGAAAATGTGTTACTGCTTTGACTAAAAACTGTTTTAAAGGGTTGATCCACTTACATATTCCTGATCTCAGTGTGGACTGAGCTACACTTCTGAACTACACGTCTTCGCATTTCTTGTTAGTTGTATGCCCTGGATAACAGTATCAGAAGACCAAGTGGCAGGCAGTGGGTGGGTGGGATGCCAGAAGTCAACAGAGAAAGGCAACAGCCTCTCTCTCACCCTTCCTGGTTTGGTGTTGGTTACATATACTGTCATTTATCAACCTAAACAGATTTTAACAGTGCTCCAGGGTGATTTTCTATAGCGTTCTATACCACCAAAGTGAGCACATCAAACATTGTTTGTCTCCAGTCCTCTAAAAACACCTACTTTGTGACTTATAGCCAACTGGCTATCTAGGACAGATGCCAACTTGTCCTAATTACATAAAAATAATCAGCTAATGACTGGGCACAGTGGCTCACGCCTGTAATCCCAGCACTTTGGGAGGCTGAGGCAGGTGGATCACTTGAGACCAGCCTAATCAACATGGTGAAACCCCATCTCTACTAAAACAAACAAACAAAAAATACAAAAAAGTAGCCAGCCATGGTGGCAGGCACCTGTAGCCCCAGCTACTTAGGACCCTGAGGCAGGAGAATCACTCGAACCCAGGAGGTGGAGGTTGTAGTGAGCTGAGATTGCGCCACTGCACTCCAGCCTGGGCGACAGAGCAAGACTCAGTCAAAGGAAAGAATCAGCTGGTTTCTATTATATTTAAACATAAGTCCTTAAATTGCTTAATATAATTGCTTAATATATTTAATATTTAAGCAACTTTGCTATAAAATATATGGAACTTGAAGACATAAAGTACCCTGTTCTTTAACTATATATAACTTAGGACCTACAAATCTACAAATAGATGCTAGTCTTTACAATCAGTCATCATTTCTTCTTCATTTCATAAGCCTCCCTCTTTCTCATGGAAAGGGGCAAGGCCCTAGTTAGAGGCAGAGTGGAAACCTGGTAAATCAATGACTTGGAATTCAGATGTGGCACCTGCTCTCTGGAGCACTGTGTAGATGATGGGCAGGTCACTGGCAGTCCTAAGTGTTTCTTTTTATTTTTTACCTTTTTCTTTTCTGTTCTTACTTGTTTGGGTAAAGAATATATTCTAGTAGCTTAATAGTACCACTTGACCCAACAACTGTAGTTCCTCAGAGTCTAAGAGTGTGATGTTTGAATGCAAGATGCTAGTGCCAACACATGTACTTGAGTTATATCATTTCACTGGAGTTCACTGGAATCTGTGCCAGTTCAATGAGTTGGGGTTCAACATATACATCAATTTCAGAAAATTTTACTAAAGGGAGTATACAACACATTCATATTCAGTATACAACATATACTGAATTTCAGAAAATTTTAAAGAAGGAAGTCTAATTTAGTGAATAACTTACTAAGCAACTTATCACAACAATTAAAATAGTTTGAATGAACTTTTGGAAAATAAATTTAAACAGGGTCCCGGTACGGTGGCTCATGCCTGTAATTCTAGCACTTTGGGAGGCCAAGGCGGGCGGATCACCTGAGGTCAGGAGTTTGAGACCAGCCTGGCCAACATGGTGAAACCCTATCTCTACTAAAAATACAAAAACTAGCCAGGCACAGTGGCGGGTGCCTGTAATCCCAGCTACTTGGGAGGCTGAGGCAGGAGAATCACTTGAACTTGGGAGGCGGGGGTTGCAGTGAGCTGAGATTGCGCCACTGCACTCCAGCCTGGGTAACACAGCAAGACTCTGTCTCAAAAAAAAAAAAAATTTAAACAAGAAGAGTTAGGAATTTGTGATTTGTTTTGTAGTTGTTGATTTTAGCTGCTATTCCTGTTGTTAATTCTAACATGTTTAGGTAAAGATAGATTAAAAATTTCAAATTTGAAATATGTATAAAAATGTAAATGTATGTATTATTTACCATAAAGCAATGCTGTTATCGTCACATTCCATTTCTCATTGCTTGGAATACCCATTCCTCACCATTTGTTTTCCTTGGCCTGCACCCTTATTCTTGTTGAATATACTCTCAAGGTAGGAGAGAGTATTGACAAGCACCTTTCATTCAGAGGAAATTTCTTTGTTATTTTCTTTCAGAAACCAGAGCTTTTTCCGGCTAGTGCTTCTGTGATATGGAAAGGGCACCCAGAGCAGCAGGACCTATAGCCACGTTATGTCAGCAATGAAGACTTTGAAGTGAACCCTTGCTATAATTTTTTAGAGATTTAAAATTTATGGTAGACATTTAGGACAACATAAGCAAGTAGAGTTCTGCAGTTTTTTGAAGTTTACAAATTGCCCCATTCTGAAGAATTATTCTTTCCCAGTTACTCAGGTTATGAATGAATTAGGTTTTCAACATGGGAAGCATGAAATCCACTTCTGGATTTGGAGCATCCACTTGAGGAGCAGAGGTGGCAGCAGAGGATTCTGAGCCACCAACTGCAGTAGTGGCTCCTTTGGCTTTGGGCAGCCTGGCTGTGGAGTTTCCACGGCGACACACAGCCTCAGTGGTGCAAGATTTAAAATTACCTTCCTTTTTGGCTGGAAGACTTAGAAGCCGCCTGATCATACTTTCTCATTTTACAGATGAGGAAATAAAGCCTACAAGTGTGAAATTAATTTCCTTACAGTTTTCCTAGCTGATGAGGGACAGAACCAGAACTAGAGCCTGAGCCCAACCCACATCACTATTCTTCTAACCCTTCCTGAAGTTGTGATGCTCATGCTGAAATTTAAGATGCCAAATATTTTTGCCAGCACTTTTTCAGTTGGGAGAATCACCAGGGTTTAAATGTCAGATTTATTTTTATGTGGATCCCTGTGTATGCTGAACTACAGAGCATGATGTTTAATCTAATTTAAGGAGCCACTGATTGTAAAACATGCCATTATTTTATGTTGCACTAAGAAGGTGGGGTCGAGGAGTTGCCAATAAACTTGGGACAGACTATTGATGGCCAAGCCCATCTGAATTTAAGATGCTAAAGTATGAAAAAAATACATCTTAGAATCAATGAAATACCATATTTTGATTCCATTCCTCAAGATAATTTTAGAGTTATAAAACCAGTCCTCAATTTTGGGTCTTCACAGAGAATCTTTCCCTTGCTAGACCCCAGAATTTTAAATGCATCCGTCTTACACTTTCACAAATATTTGGGTTTTCCTTTTTCACTCACAAACAGCAGGGAGGTCATGTACTTTTTGTACAACACCTGTGCACTATGAGAAAATGGTACCTTTTAGTTATTGACAAGTTAAAATAGCACTCTCAGTTTTTCAGTATTACAGAGAGCAAATAGTTTCCTCTCCTGCTCTGTGCAGTAGCTTTTCCAGAACTATGGACAAATTGATCAGAAGAAGATTGATTATTTCCTCATCTTTTTTTCTTTTTTTTGAGACAGAGTCTCTCTCTGTCCCCCAGGCTGAAGTGCAGCGGCATGATCTCAGCTCACTGCAACCTCTGCCTCCCGGGTTCAAGTGATTCTCCTGCCTCAGCCTCCTGAGTAGCTGGGATTACAGGCACCCACCACCACACCTGGCTAATTTTTTGTATTTTTAGTAAAGACAGGGTTTTACCATGTTGGTCAGGCTGGTCTCAAACTCCTGACCTCAGGTGATCCACCTGCCTCGGCCTCCCAAAGTGCTGGGATTACAGGCGTGAGCCACTGCGCCCGGCCTATTTCCCCACCTTTCGTGTAAGGTGCTACTGAACATGACAGCTTCTTGTCATGACAGGAAACTTGCATCAGTTGGATATCCTTTTGAGAAACTGAATTTTGCAAAGGGCCAAATTTCCCCAAACTGAACGGGCTCAGGAAATGTTCCTTTACACTCAGAACATTCTATTTTAAGTATATTATTTATTGTTGGCAGTTCCTCAGGGATTTCCCTTTTCTCTGTATTGGTCAGTGTAGTTGATGTAAAACCGTTTTGTGGATGGAAAATATTTTTATTTTATTGCTCTTTTAGTTTGGTAGGTTAAATAAAGGTTCTTGGTAATTTGGGATTTGTTTCGTATTTTTGTGTTGACCATATCGCTCTTCCAAGCTTTATTTGATCCCTTGCCACATTTGTGATTGTTAGGCTTCAAAAAGACAAACCGCTGGTCAGGGAAGCCAAATGGAGATGGTGCCGAACTACTTTGTACTAATCCTTCAGAGGTCAATTGCAGTGTTACTTCCTCTGCGAGACACCATCTCTGCCTTCAGACTAGGTTGGATCCAACTACTGTATCTCTCCTCCCCCTCCATTTTCCTTGTTATGATATGATTCACCCTTGAAATTAATTGTTCAAAGCCTGTCTTCCTTTTTAGACTGGAACCCCAATGGTAGCAGGGCCATTGTCTATTCTTTTTCCTGCTGTATCTCCAGCACCTGGCACATAGTAGAGACTATGAAAGAATTAGTGGCCCATAAGAAAACATAGCTAGAGAAACAACCACTTGAAAGAGAAATAAGGAGTGCAAAGTGAGTGAAGCCAAACGAGTACATGTGTTAAATTTAGTAAATGTGAGCTATTCTACAGACTGTTGGTATATTAATTTGGGTTCCATCAGAAGCAGACCCCGAGATAAGGATTTGTGTACAAGTACTTTTTCCAGAAAGTGCCAGTATGGAAGTGGGGAAGCCAGATAGGGAAAGGAAGAAAGGCAAAAACAGTGTGCATTATCAAGTAAGCTACATGGCAGGCAGCTGGAGCTTACTCTTGTTGAAGACTCCCAGGAAACAGTGCAGAACACACAACTGGGGCTGGGTGCGGTGTAATCCCAGCACTTTGGGAGGCCGAGGCAGGTGGATCACCTGAGGTCAGGAGTTCGAGACAAGCTTGGCCAACATGGTGAAATCCTGTCTCTATTAAAAATTAAAAAATTAGCTGGGCATGGTGCGCGTGCCTGTAATCCCAGCTACTCAGGAGGCTGAGGCAGAAGAATTGCTTGAACCCGGGAGGTGGAGGTTGCAGTAAGCCAAGATCGCGCGCCACTGCACTCCAGCATGGGCAACAGAGTGAGACTCTGTCTCAAGAAAAAAAAAAAAAAAAAAAGAACACACACACACTTAGGAGATATTGCACCTAAGCCACAAGGGAGCTGGAGTATTTATTCACCAACTCCTGTCAGTCACTGGTTGCAGAATGCTCCTAGGAGGCATTAATTTCCCAGCACTTCTGGGCTGCCTCCAACGCTGGAGAGTGGGAACAGTCTGAGAGGGTCCTTAGGCAGGAACACAGTTCCTGACAGTTGGAACTGTGTGTTTAAGGAATTGAGAGGTACTGAAGGGATGTGGATGGGGCATTGACAGCATCTGACCCCACATGGTTCAGATGCATCCATACCCCACTTTTTACTCCATCCTATCACTACTTCTTCAAGTCCCAACTTCCAAAAACAGACACACACACATACAAAGGAAACAGTTAGCAGGACCAGCTATATTTCCTGTTCTTACAGATAATCTTAAATCCATAATTGATATTCATCATCTCCTTCCTCCCCCTACTATTATGGATGAATCATGCACCCCACCCTCACACACAATTCATATGTTGAAGTCCCAGCTGCCAGCCAGTACTTCAGAATGTGGCCATGTTTGGAGACAGAGCCTTTAAAGAGGTGATTAAATTGAAGGGAGGCCGTTGAGGTGGGGCCCTAATCCTAGTGACTGGTGTTCTCCTAAGAAGAGGAAGAGGCCAGATGCGGTGGCTCATGCCTGTAATCTCAGCACTTTGGGACGCCAAGGCTGGCAGAGCACTTGAGGTCAGGAGTTTGAGACCAGCCTGGCCAACATGGTGAAACCCCAACTCTACTAAAATACAAAAATTAGCCGGGCGTGGTGGCAGGGACCTGTAATCCCAGCTACTCAGGAGGCCGAGGCAGGTGAATCACTTGAACCCCGGAAGCAGAGGTTGCAGTGAGCCAAGTTCGCGCCACTGTACTCCAGCCTAGGTGACAGAGGGAGACTCTGTCTCAAACAAACAAACAAACAAACAAAAAAAAAAAAAAAAGAAGAGGAAGAGACAGCAGGAGTACATGTTTACAGAGGAATGAGCACGTGAAGAGGCAGCAAGAGAGTGGCCATGTGCCAGTGGCAAGCCCAGGAAAGAGGCCTCAGAGGAAACCAACTCTGCACCTTGTTCTTGGACTTCCAGCCTCTGGAACAGAAAGAAAATAAATTTTGGTTGTTTAAACCACCCAATCTGTGGTATTTTTTTATGGCAGCCCTAGTGAACTAATGCACAGACATTCTAGAATCCTCTTAAACTTGGCTAGTTCATCTGCTTGTCTAGGTTGCTTGACTGGTGGGATAATCTGCATCTTCCTCCCTGGGGTGGTGGTCTTAGCCCTGGTTATCAGGCTTTTGTCCCCTGTTTGCTGAAATTGCCAGTTTATATTAATTACCAGGCATGGGAACACAAGGAAGCACCCCAGGGAAACTCCTGCCTTCCAGATATATTCATCGTTGCCCCCTTTTTCTCATGATAATCACTAACTCCTGTTGGGATTGGTATGCCTCTCTTTGCCTGCTGGTCTATTGGTATGAGGAACCCCAATAGCCCAGGCATTGGCCATAGTTTTATGGAACCCTTTCTATATCCCCTGGTATAGATATCCCCTGCCAACCTCCTAGAGTCAGGAGTTTTTGTCTGGCAGAGCCTAAAGTCGAAGGGATGGGAAGCACAAATTCCCGGTGGGTCAGTGTGAGCCATAGTGACAGACGCCACTCTTACCTCTTGGTTTCTGTGAGAGACAAACTCACCCATCCAAACCCAAAGAATGGACTCAGAGACATGCAGAACATCAAAAGTGAGACTTTTAATGATGGTCTTGCAAGATCAGGTGTCTGATAGGCAGGCACACCCAGCACAGTTTCAACAAGCAATTTATCCCCTAGTGCACAGGTCCCTCCCCGGTTCCTCAAAGGCTGAGTATTACAGGGTCACAATCTTCCTGGACATTGCCAATTGATTGTTGGGTAAAGGCTTTAGGTATTTTTTTAGGGTTGTCTTGCTGCATCTTGTTGCAGCCCAGAATGCATTGCAATCCTAGCTCAGGCGCTGTTCAAGTATTTGACTTATGACCTAAATAGCTGGGCAGGCTGATAAGAACAGACAAAAGGAACTATTCTGCAGGCTAGTAAACTTTCATCTTAGACTAAACTCCTTTGGTTCAGGTGAGGGCAACTAAGTTGTGGGGAAGGTGGAGGCCAACAAGCAGGCGTTGGCTATCCAAGCAGAGGCCTCATATATCCTGTTTCTTTTGTAGTTTGCTGATCTAAGCCAATTCAAGGCACTTTGTGTTGGAAATGGACCACTGTATACATAATTTTCTTCAGTTCCCAGACTGTGTTTTCTACCTATTGGAGTCATAACATGCAGTACCAGATTGTGGCCATTTAAACACCAATACCTCATCATCAAGGCCAGCATCCCAGCCTTGCAAGGTATTATTCTCAAGCTGCTGCACCTTTAAGAGGACATTCCAGTAATCTATCAGGACAGCATCTTCTAGGTGATGCGGTACACAGTAGACAAAGGGGAGCCGATGGGCATTTGTCTGTTGTTGTACCACCTTTGCCGTAAAGCAAATATCTCTTAGTGTAAGATGTGCGTTCTCAGCCGGATGTGGTGGCTCATGCCTGTAATCCCAGCACTTTGGGAGGCGGAGGCAGGTGGATCACGAGGTCAGGAGTTTGAGACCAGTCTGACCAACATGGTGAAACTCCATCTCTACTAAAAATACAAAAATTAGCTGGGCGTAGTGGCATGTGCCTGTAATCCCAGCTACTCAGGAGGCTGAGGCAGGAGAATCGCTTGAACCCAGGAGGCAGAGGTTGCAGTGAGCCGAGATCACGCCACTGCACTCCAGCCTGGGCAACAGAGCAAGACTCCGTCTAAAAAAAAAGCAAAAAAAAGATTTGTATTCTCAGTGGGGGCAGTATTGCCACCAAGGGGGTGAAAATTGGTTATTGATAGACAAAACAAAACTTACTATTTTTATGTATAAAGCATGGATAAACATATACTGCATAAAAAGAAATACAGCTGGGCACGGTGGCTCATGCTTATAATCCCAGCACTTTGGGAGGCCAAGGTGGGCAGATCACAAGGTCAAGGGTTCGAGTCCAGCCTGGCCAACATGGTGAAACCCCGTCTCTATTAAAATACAAAAAATTAGCTGGGCATAGTGGCAGGTGACTGTAATCCCAGCTACTTGGGAGGCTGAGGCAGGAGAATCGCTTGAACCCAGGAGGTGGAGGTTGCAGTGAGCCGAGATTGTGCCTCTGCACTGTAGCCCTGGCAACAGAGTAAGAGTCTGTCTCCAGAAGAAGAAGAAGAAGAAGAAGGAGAAGGGAGAGGGAGAGGGAGAGGGAGAGGGAGAAGAAGAAGAAGAGAGGAGGAGGAGGAGGAGGAATAATACAGTATATCTGTGGTATTAAAATTTCATGGGAGTTTTTGAATTCAGAAGGCATGTTAAAAAAAAAAGAAAGAAATAAAAAAAGAAAAGTTTCATAGGCTGACAGGAAAAAAAAGTCTAAAAAGGATATTAAGGGAGTGATAATGAAAAAAAAATTGAAGGCCGGGTGAGGTGGCTCGTGCCTGTAATCCCAGCAGTTTGGGAGGCCAAGGCAGGCAGATCCACTTGAGATCAGGAGTTCAAGACCAGCCTGGCCAAAACATGGTGAAACCCCGTCTCTACTAAAAATACAAAAATTAGCCATGCCCAGTGGCATGTGCCTGTAATCCCAACTACTCGGGGAGGCAGGAGAATCACTTGAACCTGAGAGACAGAGGTTGTAGTGAGATGTGATCGTACCACTGCGCCCCAGCCTGGGAGACAGCGCAAGACTCCGTTTAAAAAAAAAAAGAAAAAAAGAAAAAAAATTGAGAAACACTGGTTTAAGATGATGTTATGTGGAAACCATAATGTTACATTACACACTGTATAAGCTCCTGGATTGTGGTGCTGGCTGAGGCAAGGCTAGCAGGAAAGGCAAATCCATTCTTGAACTCAATCCCAGTAGACAGAAATGCTTCCAGGGTAGAATGGGTTTGATGGGATCAATTTGCCACCAAGTGGATGGTTGGTTTCCTTGAGGACTGGTAACATATTTAGAGCTCAGCCTCAGTCTCTAGGCTAATGGATCAGGTATTCAGTGGTAGTTGCTACATCGGGGTTGGTGAGCAGGGAAGTCCCCTTAGCTGCATTCCTGCCACCATGGCTACTCTGTTAATGGGCCCATTGAGGAAGCACCAGAGTGGCCAAGGACAGAGGCTTGCTTACTGCACTGGATGAGTCATCCCTGCCACCTGGTTGCTCTGCACCTGCTTTGTGATGGATATTCTCTCATAGGCCTTGGTATGAGACACAAAGAGTTGCACATTTTGTTGCCTAATTCCAGAGGCCACTTGCCTGCTTCTTCTCTAGGC
Source organism: Homo sapiens (assembly GCF_000001405.40). NCBI lineage: Eukaryota > Metazoa > Chordata > Mammalia > Primates > Hominidae > Homo > Homo sapiens. The sequence goes on along the minus strand of NC_000018.10, from coordinate 45,978,117 downwards.
CTCTTTGTCTTCAGTCTTCTATTTATTTTTATTTTATTTGTTTTAGATTCAGAGTGTCCCTGTGTCGCTCAGGCTGGAGTGCAGTGGTGTGGTCTCGGCTCACTGCAGCCTCTGTCTCCTGGGTTCAAGCGATTCTCCTGCCTCAGCTTCCTGAGCAGCTGGGATTACAGGTGCCCACCACCATGCCTGGCTAATTTTTGTATTTTTAGTAGAGACAGGGTTTTACCATGTTGGCCAGGGTGGTCTCGAGCTCCTGACCTATCTTCCTGCCTCAGCCTCCCAAAGTGCTGGGATTACAGGCGTGAGCCACCATGCCCAGCCTGTCTTCAGTCTTCTATTTCCTCCCTTGCCAATCAGTCAGGTCACGTGCCACAGCCCAGGAATCTATGTATATTATTTACTGTGGGCTATGTCTCCCTTCACAGCAAGCTGATGAGCAGCTGGACTGCTTGACTCCTGTGCTTTGAGCGTATTCCTCTTCGCTGCTGTTTTCCACAGTCCCTCCTGAGTGGACTGTCATGTGGCAGCAGTCCACACGGGTACAGAGCAACAATTAACATATAGAGCTGACCTATTCTTGACCAGGCCTGAGTTTTTCTCCATCAACTGGGTTGAAGAATGCCTTCTCTGAGGCCATAGGTATGAGGTGAGGGAGAGGCACAGATACAACAGAGAAGGGTAATTGATGAGTCTGCATCACCTTTTGGGGCAACATACTTGTGCTCCCTGGATTTGCTTAGGCCTGATCCAGAATGTACCGTTTCTACGCAGTGCAGTCATATGCACCTGCAGTCCCAGCTACTTGTGAGGCTGAGGTGGGAGGATCCCTTGAGCCCAGGAGTTTGAGACCAGCCTGGGCAACATAGTGAGATGCCGTCTCTATAAACAACAACAACAAAGAAACCAGAATGTACCATTTCCACTGCAGGAAGGATTACTGATGTGCCCTCCTGACCCGTGACTCAGGGGATCTGAAGAAAGATAAAGTAATTTGGAAGTAACATCATTTCTTTTTATATTCACGTTATCTTTATAATTTTGCAAAATGCATCTCTTTAAATGATGCCATAAGGGCTTTCTGGCTTTCCCACTATTCCCTAAGTGACCCAAGCTTGTGATTTTCTGCAGTGTGTCAACAGCAGTTGATAAAAACCAACCTACTTGATAGTCCTTAGAATTACCTTTGCCCCATATCTTTCAAGTGTTAGTAATGTTGCATGAGCTCTTCCACCTGTTTCACCCAAATTCACCACGAGTGAGGCCTCAGTAACTGTGATTCTGCAGCATAGTTTTTTTTTTTTTTTTTTTTTTGGTCTGCCTGTGCCTCTTTAATCATGACATCACATCAAGACTGAACCACAAGGGTTTGGCATTCTAATGGCTTGCATTACATATGAACATAATTGAAATGCAATGTGGTAATAGAGGCATTTACAAAGACCTGTGAGGTTCAAGGGAGAAATAATTATTTCTCATGAATGGGTGAAAGAGAATGAAGCATTTCAATATTGGTAACTGGTATCACAGGGGTTTGTTGTACAGATTATTTCATCACCCAGGTACTAAGCTTAGTATCCAATAGTTATTTTTTGAGACAGAGTCTTGTTCTGTTGCCTAGGCTGGGGTGCAGTGGCATGATCTCGGTTCACCGAACCTCCACCTCACAGGCTCAAGTGATCCTCCCACCTCAGCATCCTGAGTAGCTGGGACTATAGGCATGTGCCACTACTCCTGGCTAATTTTTGTGTTTTTTTAGAGACGGGGTTTCGTCATGTTGCCCAGGCTGGTCTTGGACTTCTGGGCTTAAACAATCCTCCAGCCCTCAACCTCCCAAAGTGCTGGGATTACAGGTGTGAGCCACCGCGCATGGCCCCAATAGTTATCTTTTCTGATCCTCTCCCTTCTTCCACCCTCCACCCTCAAACAGATCCCAGTGTCTGTTCTCCTCTTTGTGTCCATGTATTCTCATCACTAAGCTCCCACTTATAAGGGAGAACATGTGGTATTTGGATTTCTGTTCCTGCATTAGTTTGCTAAAGATAATGGCCTCCAGCTCCATCCATGTTCCCAGAAGGGACATGATCTCGTTCTTTTTTATGGTGCAGCACAGATGTTATCACCATTTCATTTCACCCTGACTGAGACCGCCTTTGCAAAAATATTAACTGAGAAGATTATGACAGTGAAAGATATCAGACCTAACTGACCCTATCTTGCTTCTAACCTCTAAACTGTCCTTGTTCATTCCTGGGCATAGGCCAAACTAGCTTTGGGAAGGAATTTAGTGATAGTTTATATAACAGCCCTTCCCAAAAGGCTAAATTGTTCTCATAAAACAAATAAAAGGGCACTAGCCACCAAGTCAAGATGAGAGGGGCTAGAATTCTTTTTGGCGTGATCTGAGCTCACTGCAACCTCCACCTCTGGGGTTCAAGCGATTCTCCTGCCTTAGCCTCCCGAGTAGCTGGGATTACAGGCACCTGCCACCATGCCCGGCTAATTTTTGTATTTTTAGTAGAGATGGGGTTTCACCATATTGGCCAGGCTGGTCTCGAACTCCTGACCTCAGGTGATCCACCTGCCTCAGCCTCCCAAAGTGCTGAGATTACAGGCGTGAGCCACCGCGCCCAGCCCTGGCTTATATTTTTGTTGTCTGTCTTTTAGTATAGTTTTGTTTTAGGTTGAAGGGACAGCTATTGCCAGAAATTTCCATTTAAGTGCCAAATACATTTAAATTTCATGGCCTTAAATATCTGGTTCTCATCTGTAATCCCAACACTTTGGGAGGCTAAGGCGGGTGGATCACCTGAGGTCAGGAGTTCAAGACCAGCCGACCAACGTGATGAAACCCTGTCTCTATTAAAAATACAAAATTAGGGCTGGGCGCGGTAGCTCACGCCTGTAATCCCAGCACTTTGGGAGGCCGAGGCGGGTGGATCATGAGGTCAGGAGATAAAGACCATCCTGGCTAACGCAGTGAAACCCCGTCTCCATTAAAAAAAAAAAAAAAAAATTAGCCGGGTGTGGTAGCAGGTGCCTGTAGTCCCAGCTACTCAGAAGGCTGAGGCAGGAGAATGGCGTGAACCCGGGAGGCGGAGCTTGCAGTGAGCCGAGATGGCACCACTGCACTCCAGCCTGGGTGACAGAGCGAGACTCCCCCTCAAAAAAAAAAAAAAAAAAAAAAAAAAAAAAAAAAAAATTAGCCGGGCGTGGTGGCACATGCCTGTAATCCCAGCTACTTAGGAGGCTGAGACAGGAGAATCGCTTGAACCCGGGAAGCGGGGAGGTTGCAGTGAGCCGAGATCGTGCCATTGCACGAGATTGCCTGGCCAACAAGAGTGAAAATCCATCTCAAAAATAAAATAAAGTAAAATAAAATAAAATAAAATAAAATTTTGGAGGAGTCAAAATTTATATGCAGATTTCAACTGTGTGGAGGATTAGTGACCCTAACTCCTGCAGTGTTGAAGGGTCAACTGTACTTGTATGACTCATTTAATGTTTGGAGATTATAAGAGGAAAAAAAGGACAAAGTTTATATGCTTTGCTGCCTATGGAAGCAAAAGTCTGTTAATGGAAAAGAGCCCACCTATGGAAGACAGTTTGTTAGAAAAACATAGGTTGTACATTTTTGGTACGTACTTGCTCTGGGAGCTAATTGTCTCAAGAAACTGAAATAATGTAGAAGCAACCTGATTCTTTCGCAATTTTAAAAAATGCATTTAGTAATGAAGAATGATGAAATAACGCCTTGTGCTGTTATGATGTACAGAAAGTAACTATCTGTATCATGAATGACTTCTCGGAAATCATATGTAAGAGGTTTCACCAAGCAGGCATTGCCACCAGATGGCAACAGAGACTCTGGAATGGAATTTTGGAAGGAGATTTAAGAAAGGTCAACCCAGCGTACCTTCTAGAGTTCAGCAGCTTTCACTGAACCTTGCTTTTACTCTTTTCCAGATGCTGGCTGACTTATGCATCATAGTCATATTATGTTATGGAATGCCATAACATAATATATGAGTTACAGTCTTTTTATGAATGCTGGTTTTTTTTTTTTTTTTTTGAGATGAACAGTTTCACTCTTGTCACCCAGGCTGGAGTGCAATGGCTCGATCTCGGGTCACCACAACCTCTGCCTCCCGGGTTCAAGTGATTCTCCTGCCTCAGCCTCCCGAGTAGCTGGGATTACAGGCATGTGCCATCATGTCTGCCTAATTTTGTATTTTTAGTAGGGATAGGGTTTCTCCATGTTGGTCACGCTGGTCTCGAACTCCTGACCTCAGGTGATCCACCAGCCTCAACCTCCCAAAGTGCTGGGATTACAGGGGTGACCCACCACCCCTGGCCGCCTTGTTCTTGTTTTTAATTGACCAGGATTTTAATCATGAGATTAAAAAGTATTTTAAATTCTTAAAGCCGCAGTGAAAATTAATACAGCCTATTAGGAGGAAATCTGGTAAATATTTATCAAAATTAAAAATGAGAATGCCTCTATGATCAAAATTGTACATCTAGGAATTGATTTTACAGAAATAAACATGCATAAAAATATATGAGTGGTCATGTATAAGCACTGATTTTTTTTGTGTGGGTGTGTTTTTTTTTTTTGAGATGGAGTCTCTGTCGCACAGGCTGGAATGCAGTGGCGTGATCTTGGCTCACTGCAACCTCCACCTCCTGGGTTCAAGCAATTCTTCCGTCACAGCCTCCCGAGTAGCTGGGACTACAGGTGCGTACCACCACGCCCGGCTATATTTTTGTATTTTTAGTAGAGACGGGGTTTCACCGTGTTAGTCAGGATGGTCTCCATCTCCTGACCTCATGATCCACCGTCCTTGGCCTCCCAAAGTGCTAGGATTACAGGCATGAGCCACTGCGCCCACCAGCACTGGTTTTAATAGTGAAACATTGAAAACAACACAATGGCCATCAAAAGTCTGTTTAAATAAGTTTTAAATAAGTTTAAATAAGTTTATGAAATATTTTATTAATTGAAGGAAAAATGAGGTAGAGGTATCTGTTTTTACAAGGAAATAGCGCTAGGATTCATTAATTAAAAGGTCGCAATCTACACATAGGCATGGAGTATTTAAGAGTGTGATTTTGTATGTGAGTAGAGCAAAGTCTTTAAGGATGTATACTGAACTGTTAATGTTAACTCTGGGGAAAGGAGTATTAACTTACTATCATAGGTACTTCTATATTGTTTGCAGTTGCATTTAGAAATATAATTTAATACAAAAATTAGCTGGGTGTGGTGGTGCATGCTTGTAGTCCCAGCTACTCAGGAGGCTGAGGCAGGAGAATCGCTTGAACCTGGGAAGGGGGAGTTGCAGTGAGCCAAGATCAAGATCATGCCATTGCACTCCAGCCTGGGCATTGCAGTGAGACTCTGTCTCAAAAATAAAATAAAATAAAAACAACAACAACAACAACCAAAAGAAATATTATAATTTAAAACTATTATAGAAATTTTTGAAGAAAAAAATATAACCTTGACATCCAGCAGTCAACACTGTGACTATTATGATTAATACAGTATCTTTTAAATGAAATATTTCTGATAGTCATCTTGGCCCCAGTGTATAAGTATTAAATATTGCAAACATGGAGACAGTAAACCTGGCTTCCTCTTCAAAGTCTGTTTATATTGTATAACTGCCTTCGTTCAAATCCCAGCTCCACCACTTACATAAGCTGTGTGACCTTAGGCAAATAATTCAATCTCTCTGAGTCTTAATTCTCTTTTTATAAAATGAAAGCAATGAAATCCTCAACATCGCGGGGTTGTTGGAAGAATCAAATGAGTTAACACATGAAAAGTACTCAGAACAGGGCCCAGCAGAGAGTAAGAGCTCAGGAAATGTTGGTGATAATTATTACAGCCCAGAGTAGCAAACCCTTCTCTGATTATTATGCCAGTGATGAACACTGCTTGCTGTCAAGATGAATTTCTTAGAATCTCTGCAAATAGTACTTATGCATAGAGAAGACATTTGTTGTTATTTTGCTAGCTGAAATTAGTATTTTAAATTATTTAAAAATTAATCTTAATTTATTAAACCCATACACATTCTAAAATTTAGTTTTTGTTAAGTCTTTTTTTTTTTTTGAGACAGAGTCTCACAGGCTGGAGTGCAGTGGCGCAATCTCGGCTCACTGCAACCTCCGCCTCCCGGATTCAAGCGATTCTCCTGCCTCAGCGTCCTGAGTAGCTGGGATTACAGGTGCACGCCACCACACTGGGCTAATTTTTGTATTTTTAGTAGAGACGGGATTTTACCATGTTGGCCAGGATGGTCTCCATCTCCTGACCTCGTGATACACCTACCTCGACCTCCCAAAGTGTTGAGATTATGGGCGTAAGCCCCCATGCTCGACCTTTTTTTTTTTTTTTTTTTTTTGAGACAGGGTCTTGCTCTGTTGCCCAGGCTGGAGTGCAGTGGTGCAATCTCAGCTCACTGCAACCTCCGCTTCCCAGGTTCAAGTGGTTCTTGTGTCCCAGCCTCCTGAGTAGCTGGGATTACAGGCAGGTACTTGTAATTACAAGTAGTACGGGATTACATGCCCGGCTAATTTCTGTATTTTTAGTAGGGACAGGGTTTTACCATGTTGGGCAGACTGGTCTCGAACTCCTGTCCTCAGGTGAGCCACCCACGTCGGCCTCCCAAAGTGCTGGGATTATAGGCGTGAGCCACCATGCCCGGCCCAGTTTTTGTTAAGTCTTCAAGTTATCTTTATACATACCTCAACATTATTTTTATAAATCTAATAGAGTTTCATAGTCATGTTCAAGGGGGAACCTTAACAATTCATCCACTCACATTCAACAGACCAAAGTCCCTTAAACAATTGGTCCCATCATCACTTAAATTCCTTCAAATGTTTTATACTACAGTATTAAATTCAAAATATTAATTTTTTTAATGTTGCCTGAACTGACCAACCAACCATTCTAACTACTTAAACCATCCTACTAAGGTCTAACAAATTTTTTTTTTTTTTTTTTTTTTTGAGACGGAGTCTCACTCTGTTGCCAGGCTGGAGTGCAGTGGCATGATCTCGGCTCACTGCAGCCTCCGCCTCCTAGATTCAAGCGATTCTCCCGCCTCAGCCTCCCGGGTAGCTGTGACTACAGGTGTGCACCCAGCCAATTTTTGTATTTTTAGTAGAGACGGGGTTTCACCATGTTGGCCAGGATGGTCTCGATCTCTTGACCTCGTGATCTGCCCGCCTTGGCTTCCCAAAGTGTTGGGATTACAGGCATGAGCCACTGCACCCAGCCACAAATTCAGTTTATAAATATGATAGATCTTAATTTCTCAGAGATATTCCATGATTATGTAAGCCGTATAAAATTATCTTATTTTTAACTAAAATATATGTAATCTAAAATCAGGTAGTAAAATACATATTTTAATTTGGAATCATAAGGTCTATATCCTTTAATTTGCCAAATTATCGTAACCAGTACAAGCACTTTAAATACAAAAAGATACAGTTTATTCCTAATTTAACACAAAAGGATTATGCTGTCAGCTTAAATTACTTTATCTGCTTTGTATTTGACTTTCCTGAGATGATACTTTACTTCCAGGAATTGGTTTACTTTTTTTTTTTTTTTGAGATGGAGTCTCGCTCTGTTGCCCAGGCTGGAGTGCAGTGGCGCCATCTTGGTTCACTGCAACCTCCGCCTCCTGGGTTCAAGCGATTCTCCTGCCTCAGCCTCCCAAGTAGCTGGAATTCCAGGTGTATGCCATGACGCTACGCTAATTTTGGTATTTTTTTAAGTAGAGATGGGGTTTCACCATGTTGGCCAGGCTGGTCTCCTGACCTCAAGTGATCTGCGCTGCTCTGCCTCCCAAAGTGCTGGGATAACAGGTGTGAACCACCACTGCCGGCCTGTTTACTTTTTCAAGCTACTGTCTCACAGGTTGGGTTTAGCAGCCCTGGGAACTCAGGTTGCTTATCAGTCAGTTGTCTGGCTGGGACATGAAATCCTTGACTGCATATGTTCGGGAACTTTTCTGAGCCCCTGCTCCCATTGTCCCTTTTAAAATTGTTGCTGTGGCAACAGAGACTTCAAGTCTATATCCTTCAAAAGGAGTAGTTTCAAAACCACCTTCTCGGTTCAAATTATATCATTACCTAACTGATTGTTGCTTTACCTTTTGTTTGGATTCTACTGAACTTGAATTGTCTGGCTGTTGGCCTCACTTTCTGAAATTAATCCAACGACAGATAACTTCGTGATGGAAAATGTAGGTCTCCTTAGTAGTTAGCCCTCTGCCAGGTGACTTCGTTTCCACCTCCCCTTATATATTGTTCTTCCTTCCTCTCTAAATTCTCTAAATCTCTGCTTATACAGAGCAATCTGGCTCTCTCTGGCCTCTCCAGTCATCATACATCATACTCACATTCACCATCTTGAGAAGTGCAGTAAGCCACATAAATGCAGCAGAAGTACCTTATGCAGTCCTAGGAGGCTGTGGTTTTGAGTTGCTTTTTTTTTTTTTTTGGAGACGGAGCCTTGCTCTGTCACCCAGGCTGGAGTGCAGTGGCACGATCTTGGCTCACTGCAGCCTCCACCTCCTGGGTTCAAGCAATTCTCCTGCCTTGGCCTCCCAAGTAGCTGGGACAAGTAGCTGGGACTACAGGCGCACGCTGCCAGGCCTGGCTAATTTTTTGTATTTTAGTAGAGATGGGGTTTTACTGTGTTGCCCAGGCTGGTCTCGAACTCCTGAACTCAGGCAATCCGCCTGCCTCGGTCTCCCAAAATGCTAGGATTATAGGTGTGAACCACTGTGCCAGGCTGAGGTGCTTTTTAAAGAACCTTCATTTCTTTCCTCCTTCTCCTCTTTCTCCCATCCTCCCTGATTAACCTCTTTTTTGTGTGGAACTCACCCCTGCCCTGGTGTCATCCCTTCATTCAGTCTTTCCAATGTATGCCTCTTTTACCAGTTAGGCGATGATACACGTATCACAATGTATCTATGCATTGTGTCTGCTTCCCAACTAAACTGTAAAACATGCAAATTGAGAGTAGGGTCAGTTGTGTTTTGCTGACCAAGTAGTGGGTAGCACATAGAGAACTTTAAATGTCATAAATGACTTAAACTGGGAGAGGTCAGAGAGCAAGGGTATTCCAGACTGGGAGAAATATCAGCAAAAGTTATGGATAGTAATGGTGGTATAAAGATTTTGTTTATATTGGCCAACTCTTTGCAGGTGATAACTTTATATACATGCACACACACACACACACACACACACACACACACACACCAGGACATACAAAGTACATGTATATTCTGAGTAGCTTAATAATTTTTGTTGTTGAGGATTTGGGAACAAAATACACGAAATTGTATTATATACTCAATTAAAATATCATCACAAACAAGCAAACTGCATCTCTGAAGTCTTTTCCATTTTTCATGCCATATTGCTGGATTTTTTATTCTAGGGTATGCTACAGGTGGGTGGATGGTCTTTTTCCTCCCTCCCATACACTCCATTTCCTTTTCTTCTTTTTCTTTTCTTTTCTTTTTTTTGAGATGGGAGTTTCGCTCTTGTTGCCCAGGCTGGAGGGCAATGGTGCGATCTCGGCTCACTGCAACCTCCGCCTCCCAGGTTCAATTCTCCTGCCTCAGCCTCCCGAGTAGCTGGAATTACAGGCGTCCACCACCATGCCCGGCGACTTTTTTGTATTTTTAGTAGAGTTGGGGTTTCACCATGTTGCCCAGGCTGGTCTTGAACTCCTGACCTCAGGTGATCCACCCGCCTCGGCCTCCCAGAGTGCTGGGATTACAGGCGTGAGCCACTGCGCCTGGCCCACTCCATTTCAACGATCTTACCCCACCGCCAGACAAAACTCATACTCATTTGTGTGATTCACGAAATATTTATTTAGTATCTACTATGTGCTACTACGTGCAGTGTTCTAAAGACCCTTGGATACATCAGGCAACAAAATTAAGAACCCTGCCTTTGAGGATCTTACATTCTGGGAGGATTGACAGACACTAACAATAAGGATACAAGCAAATCACAGAAATCCTAGAGCTGGGAAGGGAAGATGTGGACAAGTTTTTCACATCTGGAAATTTCAAATGAAGCACACTGTAAAATGTATACTAAGAATACTTTTACGGATCTTATTTATCTTGTTACCTGTTTGCCTGTCCTTTTAGGAGCACATGTCTTTTTTCCAGTCTGGGAATTTGTACAGTAATGATAATTAATAACTACCATGTACCGACATGCCTGCCGCTACCAGGCACCTTTCTGGGAGAGCCCATTAAATTCTCATGACATCCGAAAAGGCAGGTGTGATCATTCCCCTTTACAAAAGAGGACGCCGAAGTGCACACCCCGATGGGCGTCAGGGTTTCTTCCTTGCGCGCAGTGCGGATTTAGGCTAACCGACTGGATCTGGTTTATCTGAAGATGAAAAAAAAGAATGGCAAACCCACTTTCCGGATTTCTTCAAGCCGACGCGGGTGAGGTGTGCGAGCGCGCCCGGGATCCGCACTGAGTGAGGTTCCGCAGAGCCGGGAGACGGAGGAGGTGGGTCAGCCTGGGTCGCTGCCCTTGTCCAGCGCAACCCAAGACACCTGCGCGCCGGGTGGAGCCAGGGCTAGGGGTGGGGCCTGGGCTCCGGGAAGGGGGCGGGCCTGCCTTCCTCCAGTGCAAATGCGTCCTGGAGTGGTTTGTCCTACGTTGCGGCCCGTAGAGGCGCCGACTCACCGCCTCTTCTCCGGGAGTGGCGGAGATTCGATCATGTGACAGTCCGGAGGCCAGAACCGGGCAGGTTGCTTGAAGCGCAGGGGTTTGACAAAAACAAACGGTGACGGCGCCGCGGAAGGGTCTATGGCCGAGGCGGTGAAGCCCCAGCGCCGGGCCAAGGCCAAGGCCAGCCGGACTAAAACAAAGGTGAGGATCTCCCCCACCCTCCCGAGGCTCTGGCAGTGTGCTGTGTCTCCTTGCTCCTCTCTTCGGCCTCCCCAGCCAATTCTACTCCCGTTCCCTGAGCCCTCTGCATCTTCCGCCTCCACCTTCCAATATTTGATCCCACCACCCGTTGACACCGGCCCTTCTCCTCCATTCCTTCTCCATATCCCCCTGCCACACTCTGTCAGGACCCCATTTTTCCTTCTCCCTCCTGTGACTTCACTGGCCTCTTCCTTTTCTGCTCTCTTGGCTTTCCTCACCTGGGTCTGGTTTCCTGCCGTGAAATAATTTTTCTCTTTCCAGCCCCATCGTTGACTCTCTCTTTACTCTTTTATATCCTAGAACATTTTTAGTCCCTGCCATGCATAAAGAGGGAATGTTCCCCTCCTCCACGCGGAGAAGGTACCTTTGGCAGAACTTTATAAGTAGACTAGTGCTGTGCCATTTCTGATCACTTTGAAAGTTCAAGATGATAGTAGTGCTGCCTCTGTTTATTTCTTATTGTCTTGATTGTTTATAAGGGGCATGAATGGCTAGAAATTAACCCAGGGCGGGACTCACACAGTAGGGAAGTGTTTGAATTTTCTGAGTTTCCTGTATTAGACTACATGTGGTATTAGAGTGATTTTAAGTTGATTTGTTTATAAGTGCAGTCTGGATTTTCATTTTATTATAGTACATATATACACATATATACATATGTACACATATATACATATATACGTACATATATACATATGTGTGTGTGTATATATATGTATATGTATTTTTTTTTTTTTTTTTGAGACAGAGTCTTGCTCTGTCGCCCAGGCCGGAGTGCAGTGGCGCGATCTCGGCTCACTGCAAGCTCCGCCTCCCAGGTTCACGCCATTCTCCTGCCTCAGCCTCCCTCCCGAGTAGCTGGGACTACAGGCGCCTGCCACCACGCCCGGCTAATTTTTTGTATTTTTAGTAGAGACGGGGTTTCACCGTGTTAGCCAGGATGGTCTCGATCTCCTGACCTCGTGATCCGCCCGCCTCGGCCTCCCAAAGTGCTGAGATTACAGGCGTGAGCCACCGCGCCCAGCCTATGTTTTGTTTTGTTTTTGTTTTTGTTTTGATATGGAGTCTCGCTCTGTCGTCCAGGCTGGAGTGCAATCTCGGCGGAGTGCAATCTCGGCTCACCGCAACCTCCGCCTCCCGGGTTCAAGCGACTCTCCTGCCTCAGCCTCCCGAGTAACTGGGATTACAGGCATGCGCCACCACACACGGCTAATTTTGTATTTTTAGTAGAGACGGGGTTTCTCCTTGTTGGTCAGGCTGGCCTCAAACTCCTGACCTCAGGTGATCCGCCCATCTTGGCCTCCCAAAGTGCCCGGATTACAGGCGTGAGCCACCGCGCCCACCCTATTTATATATATTTTCTAAGATGAACAGATTAAATGCTGCTCCCGCATGGCCAGACCTCATAATTTTGGCTTACCTGAAACAGAGTTTACATTTGGGAAATAAGGAGGATGGTATTACAAGTACAGGACATTTTTTTCCCCAGAAGTGGGTGATGTTCCAAAGCAGGTGTAATTTAAGCATGATACTGTAATCCGATTTTCTCATGGGAACAAGGTTTTAACAGGAGGGTAGTGTTCATAGGTACCATACTTAGTAGACTGTAGATGACTTATGTGGATTTCTTTCATTATGATGCTCTTTTTTTTTCTTTCCAACTTTTATTTTAGGTTTAGAGGGTACAAGTGGAGGTTTACTACATGGGCAAATGCACACCTTGGTGGTTTAGTGTGCAGATTATTTTGTCACCCAGGTAATGAGTATAGTGCTTGACAGGTGGTTTTTTTATCCTTCCCTTCTTCCCACCTTCTGCCCTCAAGTAGGCCCTGGTGTCTATTATTCCCTTCTTTGTGTCCATGTGTACTTAATGTTTAGCTCCCACTTATAAGTGAGAACGTGGTATTTGATTTTCTGTTTCTGCATTAATTTGCTTAGGATAATTACCTCTAACTGCATCCATGTTGCTGCAGGGGACACGATTTTGTTCTTTTTTATGGCTGCATAGTATTCCATGCTGAGTATTTACCACGTTTTCTTGATATGACTTTTTAAACGGCTGTAGTGGAGTTAGACACATTGGTGTATCCAGGTCTGTGAGGAGTTATTCTGGTGAGAAAGTCATTTTGGTACCAAATTTCAGGAATTTTATTTATTTATTTTGAGACAGAGTTTCGCTTTTGTTGCCCAGGCTGGAGTGCAGTGGCGCGATCTCTGCTCACCACAACGTCTGCCACCTGGCTTCAAGCAATTCTCCTGCCTCAGCCTCCCGAGTAGCTGGGATTACAGGCTGGGTAATTTTTGTATTGTTAGTGGAGATGAGGTTTCACCATGTTGGTCAGGCTGGTCTCGAACTCCAGACCCCAGGTGATCTGCCCACCTCGGCCTCCCACAGTGCTGGGATTACAGGCATGAGCCACCACACCCGGCTCAGAAATATTTTTAAAAGAAATGCTTTTGCATTGTATTGGGTTGGTAAAGAACTATCCAGGCCCAGGAGGAAGAAAAAAGCCATTGGCCAGCTATGCATAAGATCCCTAAACCTACTTAACGATGAGACTACAGGAAAAAAAAGAAAACATACCTATCCAGTGAAGAAAAAAAAAAATTCCTGAACCTATAATGCAGTAGTGCATAACACATAAATGTTAGTTGTCTATGAGAGCAGAATCTTAAGTCTTAATCTCTAGTTTTTTTCCCCCAAGATATTGATGAAACTAAAGCCTCCGGGGATTAAATATTGCTCAGTGTCATGCAGTTCGTGAGAGAACTCAGGTTAAAGCCAGAAATCCTGACTCTCAATCCAGGAACTTAATAGTTATTTCATGTATCTGTATGTCTTTTGTCTTTCCATAGATAGAATGTTACAGATGCTTTAAAAAGTCTGTTAAGGGGATTCCCTCTTAATTTATTTTGTTTAAAACAATTTCTAAATTAAAAAGTTAAAAATCTTAAGCTTTTAGATCCATCATGAAAAACCAATTGATTATATTTTTTATCCATCTTAGGCAACTTTCCTATACAAACATACATTAATTTTTTTTTGTTAAAGTTTATGAAGAGGCCTTTATTTCAGAGGCATTTGGGCAAACCAAAAATCCTTGACATCTACTTTTGCTCACCCTCCAAATCTGATCATTCACTAAGTCTTGCCAATTGCATTTTCTAAATATTCTTTTGATTCTGTGCATTTCCTCTCCATCCTAACTAGTACAACCCTCCTCCAAGGAGGATTTCTTCTAAACTGGCCTCTTTACGTTCATTCTTGCTGCCCATTCTCTAAACTGAGCTGGATATATATTTTTCAAAACAAAACTGATCATGTTACTCTCCTCAAAACCTTTCAAAGGTTTCCCATCACTCAGAGGCTAGAGTCCAAAGCATGGACTAAGGGCTCTGTATGATCTTGCCTCTGTCTTCCTCCTCAGCCTCAGTTCTACCACCAATCCCAACTTTCTCTCTTTTCTTTTCTTTTTCTTTTTGAGACCGAGTCTCACTCTGTCACCCAGGCTGGAGTGAAGTGGTGTGATCTTGGCTCACTGCAACCTCTGTCTCTTGGTTCAAGCGATTCTCCAGCTTCAGCCTCCTGAGTAGCTCAGATTATGGTGCCTGCCACCATGCTGGGCTAATTTTTGTATTTTTAGTAGAGACGGAGTTTCACCACGTTGGCCAGGCTCTTCTCAAACTCCTGGCCTCGGATGATCCACCCATCTCGGCCTCCCAAAGTTCTCTTTTGATTCTTAACCTTTATATTCTTTCCTGCTTCAGGGCCTTTGCCCATGTTGTTTCCTCTGACACCCCTTCCTATCCCTTTTTACCTAGCCAGCTACTCATTTGTGAGGTGTCAGCTAAACAGTACTTCGTCAGAGAAGCTTTTTCTCATCTTCCTGGTGTCACTGCCTCTCCAATAGCACTCTGCTCCCCTCTGTGCCACTCATCTCATTTGTGGTTACTTTGTCAACATTTCTCTTCTCCCTTAGATTTTGAACTCACTGAGGGAGGGACCTGTCTTGTTCTCAGTACCCTTCGTAGCCTCTTTGTCACTTGATAATGTTCGTCGAATGATGAAATAAATGCCAGTAATGAAGAATATTTCCAAGCTTTGTCACTCAGAGGAATTTACTCTAGTGAATTTCCTCTGACTAGTATGAGAAAACGGATGAAAAAAGTCCATGATACCAGCAAGGCCCCTATCTTTGTCAATCTAGAAAGTTAATTCTTTTAGAATAAAACAATCTAGAAAGTAATTTTTTTTAGAGTCAATTGATGCACTTCTTAGTGCTGGTTATAGTTCGATTATAGTTATAAAGTCCTATATTAATGAAACCTTTACCATCTATAGTATAATTTGGCAGCTATTTAGGGAACCACAAACTGGTTCAAAGTCTCAGTTCAGGAAGTGGATAGTGTCATGTGCTGTTGCCTTTAGACAGTTTGAGTGGCTTCTGGATTTCACCCAGCAGCTGACCTACATTCCTCAATGTTAATCATCTGATAGCTAACCTCGGCTGCTAGGTTGTGGTTAGGTATGTGGTGCTTATCACCTGATGCCTAAGAGAGAGACCTAATAATGTTTTCATTTCTTTAGTGTCATTCTCTGCTATAAAATCCCCCAACTCTGAGCACCCTGACTTCATTGATCTTGATAATTTATAAGTACAGTAGATTCTTAGATTTGGACTTACTCTGCAGGAGCAGTGCATTTTATAGTGTTTTCTTTGACAGTTAATATTAAATTCTGAATGCCAACAACTTATTAATAGTGAGAACATCTGGTAATTGCTAAGGACAGAAAGATGTGTCCCAGAAGGTCACAGGAAAAACCTTTGAATCTCCATCCCCCTTGTGCCATGCCTAAATGATTGATTTCCACCTCTAGTTCCTTTCTATCAGGAGTGGTTATTGGTTTGAAGTTGGGGGATGCTGCATAGTATTATTTAGCTTCTTTCGTGCCTCCTAAAAGCCATTCATTTATTAAACAAACACTCATTGATCACCCATTATGTTCCGAAAACTATTCTAGGCACTTGGGATGTAAAAGAGAAAAAACCCCAAAGAACCTGGCCTTAGTGGAGCTTAACATTCAAGAGGGAGAAGACAAAAAACAAGCAAGCTAAACAAACAAAAACCCATGAAGAAGAAAATATATCATGCTTTATAAGCGCTATGGAAAAAAGAAAAAGAACAGGTTGAAGAGTTGAGGAGTACTGGTGAGAGGTTAGGATGGGTGGTCTGGATAGTTTTTTTTTTTTTTTTTTGGGACAGAGTCTCACTGTTGTCGCCCAGGCTGGAGTGCAGTGGCGCGATCTTGGCTGACTGCAACCTTTGCCTCCCAGGTTCAAGCAATTCTCCTGCCTTAGCCTCCTGAGTAGCTGGGATTACAGGCACCCACCACCACACCTGGCTAATGTTTTTTTACTTTTAGTAGAGGTTTTGCCATGTTGGCCAGGCTGGTCTCGAACTCCTGACCTCAGGTGATCCGCCTACCTTGGCCTCCCAAAGTGCTGGGATTACAGGCTTGAGCCACCATGCCCAGCCTGGCTAGTTCTTATTGAGGGTGACATTTAAGTAAAGACATGAAAGGGAAGAGAGAGTTCACTATGTGGATATTGGGGGAGAAGTGTTTCAGGCAGAGGGACTAGCCAGGAAAAGGCTGTCTGGCGGTGGCATGCCAGACCTGTCCTTGGAACTGCAAGGAGGCAGTGTGGTTAGTGCAGAGTGAGTGAGGGGAGAACAGTAGGAGATGAAGTCAGAAAAGTAGCATAGCCTGGTCATGTTGGGCCTTGCGTGAGCTTTTACTCTGAGTGACATATGGAATCAACACAGGGTTTTGAGCAGAGGAGTGACATGATTCCACTTGTGCTTTAAAGAATCACTGTGACTGCTTTTTGGAGAATAGACTGTAAGGGGGCAAGGGTAGAAGCAGAGACCATCTGAGACTATTGCAGTCACCCAGGCAAGAGGTGATGGTGGCTTGGGCCAGGATTGTCAGAGAGAAGGTGGTGAGGAGTGTTTGAAGTCTGAGAGCCAAGAGGGTTTGCTGAGGTTTGGATGTGGGATGTGAGAGAAAACAGTCAAGGAAGACCCTGAGAAGGAGAAAGCTGTGGGTGGAACAGGTTTTAGGGGGGAAAATCAGGAGTTTGGTTTTACATATGTTAATTTTGAAATAAACATGTAGCAATGTGGAGTAGCCTTGGACATGTGAATCCAAGCCTATTCTACATCTTTACATGTTTTTTTCAAGTGATGAATAGAAACTTCCCATTTATTTCCCAAAACTTAAAAAAAACTTTAGTTTTAAATGATTACTTTCTGATTCCTCATTGCTTAAAGTGTGTATGAGTGTACACATACACACACTCTCACAGTGTACAACCCAGAAATGAAATGCCCAGAATTCCATCTCCTGGAAATAACTGTTGGTAATGGTTTGTTGTATTTTTCTTTAGGTTTTTTTCCCCATATACCCACACTCCAGAGCATATTTACTGTAATGTATAGTTAAGCATGTTTTTCTCTATTTATCAACTCTTTTTGTAAAATTTACTCATTATTGTTTCTCCATTTGAATGACTTTAAAATCGTTTTTTAATCTGTATGTAACTTATGTGGAGATCAAAAATAAAGAAATAGATTTTTCTTAATATGCCTGGCATTTTTAGTTGTAAGAAATATCTTTTGTTGGCATGATGACACCAGTCTGTACTTTCAACTACTAGGGAGGCTAGGCAGGAGGACCATTTGAGCACAGGAGTTCAGGTCTGCAGTATGCTGTGATTGTGCCTGCAAATAGCCAGTGCACTCTAGGTTGGGCAACACAGTGAGACCTTGTCTCTGATTTTTTTTTAAAAAAGGAAATACCTTTGGCTTAAATTATGTTACTTGATACACATGGAATTGATACACATAGAGTTGTCTGAATTTTACTTTGTGATCTGTAATGATTATTATATATACATTATGTCTTCCTTCTGTGTCTTTATTTATTTATTTTTATAAAGATAAAGATGGGATCTCCCTGTGTTGCCCAGGCTGGTCTCAAACTCTTGGGCTCAAGGGATCCTCCTGCCTCCCAAAGTGCTGGGATTACACGTGTGAGCCACTGCACCTGACCTTTATTTATTTTTAACTGAAGTAGGTAAAGGCAGTTGCTCTTGTTGCCCAGGCTAGAGTGCAGTGGCACAATCTCAGCTCACTGCAAACTCTGCCTCCCAGATTCAAGTGATTCTCTTGCTTCAGCTTCCCAAGTAGCTGGGATTACAGGCACCTGCCACCATGCCCGGCTAATTTTTTGTATTTAGTAAAGATGGGGCTTCACCATGTTGGTCAGGCTGGTCTTGAACTCCTCACCTCAGGTGATCCACCCACCTCAGCCTCGCAAAGTGCTGGTATTACAGGCATGAGCCACTGCACCCAGGCCTATTTATTTATTTATTTATTTATTTATTTATTTATTTAGAGACAGTCTCGCTCTGTTGCCACCCCGCCCCCACCCCAGACTGGAGTGCAGTGGTGCGATCTTGGCTCACTGCAACCTCCGCCTCCCAGGTTCAAGTGATTCTCCTGTCTCACCTTCCTGAGTAGCTGGGACTGCAGGTGCCTGCCACCACGCCTGGCTAGTTTTCTGTATTTTTAGTAGAGACGGGGTTTCACCATGTTGGCCAGGATGGTCTCAATCTCCTGACCTCGTAATCCACCTGCCTCAGCCTTCCAAAGTGCTGGGATTACAGGTGTGAGCCGCCCATGCCTGGCCCGGCCCCTATTTATGTATTTTGTGAGATGGAGTCTGACTCTGTCACCCAGGCTGGAATGCAGTGGCCAGATCTCGGCTCACTGCAACCTCCGCCTCCCGGGTTCAAGCAATTCTCCTGCCTCAGCCTCGCGAGTAGCTGGGATTACATGTGCCAGCCACCATGCCTGGCTAATTTTGTAACTGCCCAAGGGGTTCACCTTGCCCGCTGCCTAGACAGAGCCGATTCATCGAGACAGGGGAACTGCAATAGAGAAAGAGTAATTGACACAGAACAAGCTGTGTGAGAGACTGGAATTTTATTATTACTCAAATCAGTCTCCCCAGCATTCAGAGAGCAGAGTTTTTAAGGATAACTTGGTGGGTTGGGGGAAGCCAGTGAGCCAGGAATGCTGATTGGTCAGAGATGAAATCACAGGGAGTTGGAGCTGTTTTCTTGCACTGAGTCAGTTCCTGGGTTGGGGCCACAAGATCAGATGAACCAGTTTATTGATCAACTGGTGCCAGACCAGGTGTGAGCTTGATGGTACTTGCAGCACCAAAGTTTTTAATTTTGATGAAGTCCAATTGATCTTTTTATTTTGTTGCTTGTGCTTTTGGTGCCATATGTAAGAAGGCTTTGCCTACCCAAGTTTATAAAGATTTTTTTGTTTTCTTCTAACAGTTTAAAAGTTTTAGCTCTCACATTAGGTGTATGATCCTTTTTGCATTAATTTTTGTATATGATATAAGGTAAGGGTCCAATTTATTCTTTCATATGAGGATATCCAGTTGTTGTAGCACCATTTGTTCAAATTTCCCCATTGAATTGTTTTGGCATTCTTGTCAAAATCAATTTGCCATATATGTAAGGTTTTATTTCTGGATTCTCAGTTTTGTTCCTTTGATCTATTTGTCCATGTGCCAACACTATACTGTCTTTATTACTGTACTTTGTAGTAGATTTTGGAATTGCCAAGTGCGAGTTCTCCAACTTTGTTCTTTTTCAAGATTTTCTGTCTGTTGTGGGTCACTTGCATTTCTGTATGCAATTTAAGTATCAGTTTATCAACTTCTGCAAAAAAAGGTAGCTAGGATTTTGCAAGGCATTGTGTAGAGTTTGTAGGTCCATTTGAGGAATATTGTCATCTTAACAATATTGCGAAAGACATAGATTGTCTTTCCATTTAAATAAATTAAGTTGCATTTAATTTCTTTCAGTAATGTTTTGTAAGTTTCAGAGTACAAGTATTATGCTTCTTTCTCTCAATTTATCCCTAGTTTGTTCTTTTTATGCTATTATAAATGAAATTGTTTTACTAATTTCATTTTCTGATTGTCAACTCACTAAAATTTGGCCTCTGCCATACTGACCCTGCCTCAGCCTAGACTAGTAGAGTACAGGGGTCACAAAGTCAAATGCCTGCAGGAGCCAGGTGTATAACCTGGAGGAGTGAAGCAGGCTGAGTGGGACAGTGGTCACTGGGTCAGCCCGTGCCTGGTTTAGAGGGGACAGCCACTCTCGAGTTCTAGTTGATGGTTGCTGTGAGGTTGTGATGGTTTAGCATTGCCACATCTTATGATTTTCCAAGAAAAACTAGAAATCTGGATTTTTGTGTGAGAAATCCTAATTTGCAAATGTTAGCAACAAATCAGACACATACACACACATGCACACACAGTATAGGCCAAGCGAATCATATGTATTTTTAAGGATGATGTTTGAAGATGATGCCAGTGAACAAAATGAGAGTGAAATGTTTGATGTACCACTCACCTCCTTAACCGTAAGCGATGAAGAGTCCCTGATGTGTCCACTAACATTTCTCTTGCCGTAGTAACCATTTTCCCTCTTAATTTTTCTTTCTGATTTCTCAGTCTAAGAACCCTGTTTATTACAGCAAGTTTGCTAAACATCATTGCAGCATAGTTTGGGCTTGCTTTTTTGTTTTATTAACACTCATATAATGTTTTTCTATTATTTGTGATTTTAGGCAGTTTAACAAAGTAGTTTGTATGAGGTATGCATTGGGTGACTGACTTCTGGATCTGATGTCCACAGTTCACAGTGGGGAGTGAAGTAATTTGGAGGGTCATATTACTTCTTGAATCATTACCATTTGTAAATGTTTGGCAGTCAGGTTCATTTCAACAAGCTGACCTCAAATTCCATGTCAAAAATATTCATCTTTTTTTTCTTTTTAATATATAAAGGCCCTACTTTTTTGGCTATTAGTCTGCTGGACATTCAGAGCAGAATAATCCAAAATAACCAAGAGCTTGTATAACTCATGTTTGCCTGCCTTAAAATTTCTTCAAGAAAGTAAGTATTTGAGTGATTTCAATGAGGTTTTTAGTCTGTTTGAATGAAACAACTTTATTTAAATGTTATTTAAATAATTTTTTCTTCTTTATTCAGCCTAACTTCCTGTTATCTAGTTTGCGTATTAATGCCTGAAGGTTTTTTTGAAACCATAACTTATTTTTTAGTGAACAGCTTTTTTATGATGATAGAGATAATTTTGTACTTAGTGAAAAGTTGCAAATATAATACAGAGACTTCCCATGTACTCTTCACCCTTCATCCTCTTGTGTCGTCATCTTATATAACCGTACATTCTATGGCATGGAACAATGATTAAAACTAAGGAATTGGCCAGGCGCGGTGGCTCACGCCTGTTAATCCCAGCACTTTGGGAGGCTGAGGCGGACGGATCACGAGGTCAGGAGTTTGGCTAACACGGTGAAACCCCGTCTCTACTAAAAATACAAAAAATTAGTCAGGTGCCTGTAGTCCCAGCTACTTGGGAGGCTGAGGCAGGAGAATTGCTTGAACCCAGGAGGCGGAGGTTGCAGTGAGCCGAGATTGCGTGACTGCACTCCAGCCTGCGCAACAGAGCAAGATTCCGTCTCAAAAAAAAAAAAATAAATAAATAAAACACCCTAAAGAATTAATGTTGGTACAATAGTAGGATGTAGAACTTATTTGAACTTCACCAGTTTTTCCATTAATGTCCTTTTTCTAATCCAGGTCCCGCAATACACTTAGTTGTCAGATCACTGTAGTTCTCTCCAGTCTCTTCCAGTTTCTCAGTCTTGTCTTTCATGACCACATTCCTTCAGTTATTTTGTAGACTGTCCCTTAGTTTGGGTTTTTGTCTGATGTTTTCTCATGATTAGATTGAGGTTACTCATTACTGGGAATATCCTATTGGGTTATCTGATGTCAGTATTACTGGTGATGTAACTTTGATCATTTGGTTAAGGCATTATCTTCCAGGATTCTCCACTGAAACTTACTATTTTCCTGTTCGTTGTTATTAAATATTTGGGAGGAGATACTTTGAGACTATGCAGATACTCTGTTTCCCTTAAACTCTTCACTTACTCACTTTAGCATCCATGGGTAGATCTTACCTGTGGCAGTTACCATGGTGTTCTTGTGGTAAGTGTTCTGTTTTTCTCATTCCTTCTGTTAATTCTATTCATTGGAATTTTCCTGTATGGAAGAATTGTCGCTTCTCACTCATTTTATTTATGTATTTATTCATTCAGGTAATTATGTCAGTATGGGCTCCTGGATATTTATTTTATTCCAGTACTACAATTGTTATGTTGCTCAAGTTGTTCCGTCCTTTTCTCCCTGAGTTTTGAGTGAATTTGTCAAGGTGAAGACAAACCTATTGTGGCTGAAGATCCGTAGAGACTGATCTATTTAACTTAACCCCTGGCAAAATGGTGTACAATCTAATTAACTTTCCCCTTCTATTTTTTGAATCAGAATTTGCTGCTTACTGTGATGTCTTTTTCTATTAGGATCAGACTAGTGAATCTCCAAATTTAACACGCTCAATATTGGATAATACGAAATATGAAACACATTTCTGTTTCATATTTGTTCATATCTGTTCAAAAACACTGATAAAGTGAATTTAGGTTTCATTTGTTACATGATGAAATTTAGATTTTATGTGCAACTTTAAAATTCCTCCTGCTGAAAGCATTAATTATTGTGATAAATTATTTCACATTATGTATGTTGTTTTTAGGAAAAGAAGAAGTATGAAACTCCTCAGAGGGAAGAGTCCAGTGAAGTCTCCCTTCCAAAAACCTCCAGAGAGCAGGAAATCCCTTCTCTAGCCTGTGAATTCAAAGGAGACCATCTGAAGGTGGTAACTGATTCCCAGCTCCAGGATGATGCCAGTGGACAAAATGAGAGTGAAATGTTTGATGTACCACTCACCTCCTTAACTATAAGCAATGAAGAGTCCCTGACGTGTAACACAGAGCCCCCAAAGGAAGGGGGAGAGGCCAGACCCTGTGTGGGGGACAGTGCAGTCACTCCAAAGGTCCACCCTGGAGACAATGTTGGAACTAAAGTAGAAACCCCCAAGAACTTCACAGAGGTAGAGGAAAATATGTCGGTACAAGGTGGACTTTCAGAAAGTGCACCCCAATCTAATTTTTCTTATACTCAGCCAGCAATGGAAAATATACAAGTCAGAGAAACTCAGAATAGTAAAGAAGACAAACAAGGCCTGGTTTGTTCTTCAGAGGTGCCACAGAATGTTGGCTTGCAGAGTTCTTGCCCAGCCAAACATGGTTTTCAGACACCTAGAGTGAAGAAACTGTATCCCCAGTTGCCAGCTGAAATTGCTGGAGAAGCACCAGCTTTGGTGGCAGTGAAACCCTTGCTTCGCAGTGAGCGACTCTACCCAGAACTCCCGTCTCAACTGGAACTAGTACCATTTACTAAAGAACAGCTAAAAATCTTGGAGCCTGGTTCATGGCTGGAAAATGTTGAGTCATATTTAGAAGAATTTGACAGCATGGCTCATCAAGACAGGCATGAATTTTATGAGTTGCTTTTGAACTACTCACGATGTAGGAAGCAACTGCTGCTGGCTGAAGCTGAGCTGCTTACTCTGACATCTGATTGCCAAAATGCTAAAAGTCGGCTGTGGCAGTTTAAGGAGGAACAAATGTCTGTACAGGTATTTTGATCAGAAGCCTGGGGAATTTGCAGCGGAGCTGCTATTCCTGGGATGTTGTCCAGGTCTGGAGTCTGTGCCTTACACCCACTCTGACCCTGCCTCAGCCTAGAGTAATAGAGTGCAGGGATCACAAAGTCAAATGCCTGCAGGAGCCAGGTGTATAAGCTGGAGGAGTGAAGCAGGCTGAGTGGGACAATGGTCACTGGGCCAGCCCATGCCTGGTTTAGATGGGACAGCCGTTCTCAAGTTCTAGATGATGGTTGCTGTGAGGTTGTGATGGTTCAGCATTGCCACATCTTATGATTTTACAAGAAAAACTAGAAATCTAGATTTTAGTGTGAGGAATCCTAATTTGCAAATGTTAGCAACTAATCAGACACATACAGACAGTGTAGGCCAAGCAAATCATGTCTCCAGCTGAAATTCAGCCCATGGGTCATTAGTTTGTGACCTTGGGCATAATGCTACCAACATCCAATGGGAAGAGAGTGTCAAGGTTGAGAAGGGATGAGGAAACTGAAGGTGTTATGATCACTTTGGCCTCCATGGGGTTGCATCCAATGGTCTTCCCCATTGAGTGGGGATGAGGAATCTGAAGGTAGTAACTGATTCCTAGCTCCAGGATGATGCCAGTGGACAAAATGAGAGTGAAACTCACCTTCTTAACTATAAGCAATGGAGAGTCCCTGATGTGTAACACAGAGCCCCCAAAGGAAGGGGGAGACGTCCTCTCAAGTTTGAGAGGGGATGGAGAAGACCATTAGATGCAACCCTATGGAGGCCAAAGTGATCATAAGCCATTTCATAGTGGCTTAGGAGAGATGGCAAGGAAGAAGAGGTTACTCTTGACAAGTTTGGCAGTGAAGGGAAGCTGGAGGGGATATTGGGGAGAAACATGTCATTCCCCTATCCCTAATCCTCATTCATTGGCAGACCTGTATATCTCTGTACATAGTAAGGAGGGAAATATTTGGAAATACTGTATTGAAGAAGAGAGGATAGAATCAAGAACACAGCTGGTGGAGTGTGTATTCTCTTGAGTAGAACTATGAAGAATGATGAGGGTAGATCCAGAGATGTTTTGAGATACCTTGAAGTTTTGGAGATATCACATTGGCTTCATATTCATAAAATAGAAGGTAAGATCATCAATCATGAAAGTCTTAGGGACAAGTTCTATTATTTTCTTGCAGCTTTCACTGCTGACTACTACTTTTTTTTTAGATGGAGTCTAGCTCTGTCGCCCAGGCTGGAGTGCAGTGGCGTAATCTTGGCCCACTGCAACCTCTACCTCCCGGGTTCAGGCAATTCTCCTGCTTCAGCCTCCCGAGTAGCTGGGATTATAGGCGCCCACCACCATGCCCAGCTAATTTTTATATTTTTAGTTAGAGACAGCATTTCACTGTGTTGGCCAGGCTGGTCTCAAACTCCTGACTTCGTGATCCACCTGCCTCGGCCTCCCAAAGTGGTGGGATTACAAGCATCAGCCACCGCGCCTGGCCCACTGCTGACTACTAGAGTTACTCTTCCCTTCTCTGAATTTGCGATGTATTTGTGATTGGCCTTCTGTTCCTTTGCACCTGATCATATATTTGCTGGTAATGTTCTCTACACAGTAATATGTCTCCTCACCATGATTATAAGCTCTTTGAAGATGGTACTGAAGCCTGTGTACCTTATACTTGCTGCCTGCTTACTTCAAATGGAAAGAGTAACTGGTTTCATATTGTACCTTTTTGTCCTCTGGTAGGGTATCTGTGCAGATCAAGTGAAAGTTTTCAGCTATCATCGCTACCAAAGAGTAGAAATGAATGAAAATGCACTGGTGGAGCTAAAGAAGCTATTCGATGCCAAATCTGAGCACCTCCACCAGACCCTGGCCCTTCATTCTTATACTTCTGTGCTCTCAAGATTGCAAGTGGAGTCTTACATCTATGCATTGCTCAGTAGTTCAGCTGTTCTGAGATCTTCAGCAATTCACCAGCAAGGCCGAGGTATGTAAGTAATGAAGCTCTCTTTCTTGTGTTTTGAAGTAAAAAAAAATTGAGGGGTATAGCCTGGTTGAA
Source organism: Homo sapiens (assembly GCF_000001405.40). Taxonomy (NCBI): domain Eukaryota; kingdom Metazoa; phylum Chordata; class Mammalia; order Primates; family Hominidae; genus Homo; species Homo sapiens. Next base: position 45,952,327 of record NC_000018.10, on the reverse strand, counting down.
TTGACTGTATAGTAATTGGTCTTACAAGGTACCATTTGTGCTTGCAGTTTTACCAGGCCTCCCCCACTGTAGGATTGAGATCTGCCTTAATGACATTTCTTGGGAGCATTGCCAGGTCTCCTTTCTCCGTGGCTGTCTTTCTCTGCTTCTCTAGGATGCCAAAAAGCTCACTATCTATCATTAATGTCCTTTGCTGTCCTAGTTAATGTGCTTGTTACCAAGTTGAGTCCAAATATAGTTTTTGATTATAAAAGTAATCATCGGAATACTTCTTCACCCTTTATCTCTTGTGGTTTGTTTGGGCTGCTTTGTTTGTAGGGCTGTTTTGTTTAATTTTCCAACAGAGGATTAATAATGTTCTGAATTTTTCATCTTATTTTGGATTTTAAGAAATTAGTCTTTATGACATGAATATTAAGTATGCTTGTTGAATTATGCAATTTTTATTTCTGGGGGATGTATTAGGGTACTTTAAAGTAAAATTCCCCCTCCCCCATTTTCTTAACTAATCAATTAACTGGGGGTAGGTCAGAGATGTACTGATTTTCAAATAAAAAATAGTGGATTATGGCCGGGTGTGGTGGCTCACACCTGTAATCCCAGCAATTTGGGAAGCTGAGGTGGGTGGATCACTTGAGGTCAGGAGTTCAAGATCAGCCTGGCCAATATGGTGAAACTCCTTCTCTACTAAAAATACAAAAACTAGCTGGGTGTAGTGGCAGGCACCAGTAATCCCAGCTACTCAAGAGGCTGAGGCAGGAGAATGGCATGAACGCAGGAAGCGGAGGTTGCAGTGAGTCAAGATTGCGCCACTGCATTCCAGCCTGGGTGACAGAGTGGAGGCTGTGTCAAAAAAAAAAAAAAAATTATGATGAGGTTGATTTTTCCATTATTTTGAAATACTTCAAAGTTAAACACATTTTTGACTTGTCTGTTTATAAAAATTTAAGTATTTTGATGTAACTTTTCTCCTTTTATCTGCACTAAATATTTTAAAGGTTTTTGTTGTTATTGGTTTAAGTGAAGACACTAAAAATTCCCCCAAAAACACCATTTATGAGAGACTCATTTAATATCTTTCATTTACAGCGTCTAAGCAGACAGAAAGCATTCCCTCTGATCTGTGTCAACTAAAGGAATGCATTAGTGTCTTATTCATGTTCACCAGGAGAGTTAATGAAGATACTCAGTTTCATGATGATATTCTTCTCTGGCTGCAGAAATTGGTAAGGGGACAGAGATAGACACAGTAGTCTTTGTTTTATTTCTTTCATAATTTAGGAATTATCTGTTATATCATTACATTTGGTCTTCAACTTTTTCAGCTAATTTATTTGATGAGTTTATTAATGACTTTTCTTTGATCATGATACATGGTAGTAAGTTATTTATCTAGTGCATTATTGAGCACAAAGTATGTTTCTCTCTAGTAAAGATTATGCTAAATGAACTCTGGACTTCAGCTTTGAAAGAAATGGAAATGCAGGAAGTATGCGAAATTGAAGACTAGATGTATATTCAGAATATAGGTACAGGTTGAGGATTCCTAATTCAGAAATCTGAAATGATCCAAAATTCCAAACTTTTTGAGTGCTGATACGATGCCACAAGTGGAAAATTCCACACCTAAGTACTTAATAGAAACTTTGTCTCAGGTACAGAATTACAAATGAATATTGTGTTCAGACTTATGTTTCAGCCCCAAATGTATTAGTCCTTTTTCATGCTGCTGATAAAGACATACCTGAGACTGGGAAGAAAAGGAGGTTTAGTTTGACTTACAGTTCCATATGGCTGAGGAGGTCTCAGAATCATGGTGGAGGGCAAAAGGCACTTCGTACATGGTGGTGGCAAGAGAGAATGAGGAAGAAGCAAGAGCAGAAACCCCTGATAAACCCATCAGATCTCGTGAGACTTATTCACTATCATGAGAATAGCATGGGAAAGACCGGCCCCCATGATTCAGTTACCTCCCACTGGGTCTCTCCCACAATGGAGAAGAAGAATTCTATCTTATTCTGGATGATAGAATTCAAGTTGAGATTTGGGTGGGAACACATCCAAACCATATCACCAAGATATCTTATTATGTTTATGCAAATATTCCAAAATCCGAAAAAATCTGAAGTCTGAAATACTTCTGGTCTTGTGCATTTTAGATAAAGTATCGATCAAAAATTTTCTATATGTCATTCTTTTTGTCGTGATATTTAATGTCATGCTTAAAAATGTTTCTTTTAAGAGAAAGAAGAAAGGTAAAAGGATTTGGAAAACTTAGGAAAGATGTTGAGTGTGTTATGGGAAGAGGGCTATTTATTTATTGGTTATGTTTTCAGTGGGGCTGCCTTGGTTGCTCTTTTTAGGTTTGTACTAGAGTTCTTAAATGAAGGATAATGTTTCAAGCATACTTATTTGGATTTAAGAAACCATTACAAACTAAGAATAGATTAAACTACTTGACTTATATCTATTCACTTGTGGCCAGGAAATTAGTGATTTGTTATTTGCCAAAGAAGAAAAAGCTAGATTTGTAGAGAATCTGCTTATGATGTTATCATAGTACTCATAGATTTGTAGGCCTCGTAGAAACTCATCAGTGAATAGTATATCTTGTGTCTGGTTACTCTTTTGAAAGATTGCATGTATTGAAGCACTGGATAAATGACTTTACTAGACCCCTAGATAAATTATTTCTTTTATTAAAAATAGTGAGATCATATGACCTTTATTGTTCAGGTATCCGTGCTACAAAGAGTTGGCTGTCCTGGAGATCACCTCTTCCTTCTAAACCATATTCTTCGATGCCCCGCTGGTGTTAGTAAATGGGCTGTTCCTTTTATCCAGGTATGATGAATCATCAACTCATTCTGAGGGGTTGGGGGAGAGGTTTTATTAGACATTATTCCTGAAGAAATTGCTGAAAAAAAAAGGACTATTTAAAAAAGAGTAATATTTAAAATAAAATTCTTAAAATATATCCAGTATACATTTATAAAAGTTCTTAGACTGAAACTTGTTGGGCTACCCATAATTGATAGTACAGACTGTACTAAGTCTGCTTGTAGTCTGGCTGGGTAGTTTCAGTCGCATTTAATTCTACACAATTCCTGTGTAGAAAGGCTCACCAGGACTTTTTTCCCGTGGTACTCAATACAGCTTCCTAAGTCAATCTGTCTTACACCACAGTTGGTACAGGTCAAACAGAAGCCACCACATCTCAAAGTTCTTTAATATTAGCAGAGATCTCAGGTCTATGTGATCAACTCTTGTATACTTAGGAGTTGACTATGTGGTTTTTAGATTCTCCTCTCTGCTGTTGCCTTTGGGTCATTTTGTTACTCATAGCAACCACTTAGAATTTGCAGGAGCCAAAATGTTTGCCAAATTCAGCTTCTCCACACCTCCTTTTCTTTAGCACTTCTGGTGGCAAGAAGTCTGAATCTTATTAGGTAGAAGGAGGATTTTTTTTGTTTTTGTTTTGTCTCTCTTTGGATTAAAGTAGCAGTAGTGTCCTTCATCCCATGTTGTTACAGATAATTGGTGGAAACTGCTCAGTTACCTCTGCTCTTTGAGTACAGCTGACTCAGTGCCACCAGGTAACCCATGGGCTGTGCTTTACTCTTGTGTATTAGGTACCAGTTTCAGCTTTGTTCTCTTAACAGCAACTTTGGTCAGAATGCTTGTGAACCAAGATTATGGACACTTGGGTTATTTGTTTTCTACAGTATGCTTTTTGCTTTTCTGATTTCAGATCAAAGTGTTGCATAACCCATCAGGGGTCTTTCATTTTATGCAATCCCTTGCCCTGCTGATGTCTCCTGTCAAGTAAGTGTGCAAGAGCTTTGTGAAGTAGAGATTGAAATGCTTCTTTCTTCTAAAGGATTGGCTCCTGAAACTGCCTAGATCCAAAGAAGAACAGCTAAGGGAAGTGTTGGCATTCTAGAATTTAACATTGCAGATTTTCTTTGGGTTTGATACTTGTTTCAAAGTGACCCTTCAACTGCTTATATATAAGCAACCATTTTTATGGGTTCCCCCTTTTAGTGGGTCATATATACTATTGTGAAAGGTGCTACAGACAAAAAAGGTGATCTGTTTCTTGGAAGAAGAGATTTAATGCCAGAAGAGAAATAGCACAGAGAGATTTAAGTGCTAAATTGCGAAGCTATGCAATAGAAATGAAGAGAATAAAGAGTTGAGTGGAGTAGTCAGAGTGTTTCATGGTAACTGAGCTGTGTTTGAAGAATGGATTGGACTGGGCATGGTGGCTCACACCTGTAATCCCAGTACTTTGGGAGGCCGAGGCAGGTGGATCACCTGAGGGCAGGAGTTTGAGACCAGCCTGGCCAACACGGTGAAACTCCGTCTCTACTAAAAATACAAAAATTAGCCGGGCATGGTGGTGTAATCACCTATAATCCCAGCTACTTGGGAGGCTGAGGCAGGAGAATCATTTGAACCTGGGAGGCGGAGGTTGCAGTGAGCTGAGATCGTGTCACTGCACTCCAGCCTGCGTGATAGAGCGAAATTCCAACTGAAAGAAAAAAAAAAAGAATGGATTAGATTTCAGTAGGAGAACGGGACAATGGAGAACATGTAGGTGGGAGAACAGTGTGAGCAAAGGCCCCAACACAGGTTAGGATAGCTGTACGGAGCACAGGTAGATCAGTGTGGCTGAAGCAAAGGTGTGTGCGGGAGCTGGTAATAGAGGTGAAGAACTCGGGTGGGTTGGATTATAGAAGTCCTTGAAATTAAATGAGGAGTTTAGATTTGATGGTTCCTCTCCCTTACTGCCTTGGATACAAGGGCCTGCTCCTGCACGTGGTAGATAATGATTTGACTCACAAGTGTTTTTGCATTTATATCTATGTTTTGGCCCTAAACAAGCCTCTCCATTACCTTTTTTCTTTTTTTTTGAGAGGGAGTCTCTCTCTTTCGCTAGGCTGGAGTGCAGTGGAACGATCTCAGCTCACTGCAACCTCTGCCTCCTGGGTTCAAGAGATTCTCCTGCCTCGGCCTCCTGAGTAGCTGGGACTGCAGGCATGTGCCACCACACCCAACTAATTTTTGTATTTTTAGTAGAGACGGGGTTTCACCATGTCGGCCAGGATGGTCTCGATCTCTTGACCTCATGATCCACCCCCATCAGCCTCCCAAAGTGCTGTGATTACAGGCGTGAGCCACCACGCCCAGCCTCCATTACCCTTTTTTATTCAGTAACTCATAGTTGCTAAAATAGTTTCCCTGGCAAGACTTTGTGAGCCTGGTTTGAGTTAAGGTCCGCAGCATATGTATTGAGGTCCTGCATCATGCAGGGAGCTGTGCTAGTGTAGCTGCTTTTCTGCAATTATTCATCATTACTAATTCAGAATGGTTGCATTCTCCACCAAAATTAGTGCAGTTTTATTAGCCTTGGTTTTTGGCCAGTTCTTATTCACTAATTTAAACCATTGGAAGATTGGGATGATGTGTGGCTCTTCTTCAGGGTGAGTAGAGAATCCACAATGCACTCACGTAGCCTACATCTAAGTGATGGGAGTGATTATTCTTGTCCTTTAGAAATCGAGCTGAGTTTATGTGCCACATGAAGCCCAGCGAGCGGAAGCCATCCTCCTCAGGGCCTGGGTCTGGGACTTGGACGCTAGTAGACGAAGGAGGAGAAGAGGTAACTTGTCATATCTGCATTATTTTGATGAATCATTGTGAACTCTTCTTATGCACCAAGTATTGTTCTAAGCACTTTTCACATAGTATCTCATTTAATTCTCTCAGCAACTCCATGAGGTAAAGACTTATGATTCCTATTTTATAGATGAGGAAACTGAGGTGCAGGGGTGTGAAGTATCTTCTCTTAAACCATAGGGTCATTAAATGTGGAGCCTCCAGAGCCTATGCTTTGAGCCAGTGTGCTGTGCTGCACCCCTTCTCTAGAATATCATTCTGTTCAGCTGGGAGAATTTGGCACCTGGAAATTAAAGTCATATTACATAAGATGTATATTAGGAGTTTTTTTATATAGTAACAAGTTGCTGGGGTTGGAGCCTCACCTACAGATGATATGAATCTGAGAAATAAAGAGCTGGAGCTTAGCAAAGTTTTCCCTTAACTCATAAACTTCTTATCCAGAAATTCTCATTTGAAAGGTAGAAGATGGTTTTCCATTTTTGGTGAGAATTTAATGATCAAAATCCAGCTTCTCGAGATCACCCTTGTTAATTTTCCTTTCTACTATAGTCATTGTGATTAGATTTGTAAGCAGTTCTGTTCTCCAGCTAATTATCAGTTCTAGTCCTTTATTTTGGTCTGAATCTTGATTTGGTGTTCTTGTCTAGAATGTCCAGTGACCGATTTATTATAATCCCTCTCTTAAAAGGAGATGAAAGTGTCCAGCCAACAGTTCTCAGAATGACAGCCGTGGCAGCTGTTGGATCGTGTCTGTGTATTTCCCAGAGTGCTCATTCAGAAGTAGGGAGCCCCCTTCACAGTCGTTTTTCTCTTCCTGAGACTTGCAGGAGGAGGTGGTCAGGTGGTGGTAAATGACGTGGATGTGCAGGCATTTTTGCTAGAAACTGAGGAGTCATTCTGAAGCAAGCTTCTTAGGAGCCAGTACAGATTGGTCTTTTAAAGATTGTAGTGGAGCAATATGTTTTTTTTAGAGTGGTCTTTCTTGGGGGAGAAGTCTTTTTTTCTGGTAGGTTTCCTGCATTTAATCCCAGACAGATAATGATTAAGGAGCGTTATAATTACATGTAATGATTAGGCGTTATAAATACTTCCAGTCAAAATATTTGATTAATTATCTCACCCTGCATTGGTGCCTGGCTCCTGTTTAGCACTCCCTAAATATTCAGTGAATTCAAGAACTTGAGGAGTAGATGAGAAAGTTGGGAGTGCCATTACCTCAGAAAAGGCTGTAGGGAGGAAGGCACTCTGAATTATCCACATCATTGGTTTCTTGTTACTAGCTATATACTAGAATCACCTGGGCAACTTGCAAACCTTGCCCAGGCCCACACCCAGACATCCAAATAGTTAAAAGCCTCCCTGGGGGTTAAATGTACCTTTGAGTTGAGAATAGCTAAGTTGAGAACTACTGCCTTAAGTAGAGTTTCTGAAATGCTTGTTAGCCATTTTAGATACATAATAAGAGTGTAAAAATTGAGTGGCTTAAGGAAATTATGAATGATTTTGCCTTAGTCCCTTGTTGAAATTGAGGTGATATATTCTTCAGGTTCTCAGGATCTTTTTACTTCCTTCCCTTTTTAATGGTAGCGTCCTTTTTAATGGTCATGTCCTAAGGGACATGAATCAACTTGGTTTCTAAGGTGACTTTAGTGCTCTGTGTCAAACGAAAAGACCGCAAAGATTTCCCCTATGTAATCTTTGTGTATGACCACTGTTATTTTTATACTGCTTTTGGCAGCAGTAATTGACAACAGAACTTTAGTCACCTATAGCAAATGTCAATTGCTTCGTCTTAAGTCTGTTGCATACTACATAGATCTTGATTTTGGGAGAAGAGAATTGCAGCTAACATAACTTTGAACTCTCATCTATGGTTCTTGTTTTTTTTGAGATGGAGTCTCGTTCTGTCACCCAGCCTGGAGTGCAATGGTGTGATCTCGGCTCACTGCAACCTCCGACTCCCAGGTTCAAATAATTCTCATGCCTTGGCCTCCTAAGTTGTTGGGATTACAGGTGCATGCCACCACATCTGGCTAATTTTTGTATTTTTAGTAGAGATGGGGTTTCACCATGTTGCCCAGGCTGCTCTTGGACTCCTGACCTCAGGTGATCTGCCCGCCTCGGCCTTCCAAAGTGCTGGGATTATAGGCATGAGCCACCGCGCCCGGCCCATCTGTGGTTCTTTAATTGATGTTATCAAAGCACTGATCCCTATAAGGTCCTCACTCTAGAGGATTTCTTTTTTTCTATTTTCTTTGGGATGGACATTTAATGAGAGCAGTTTCAATCACTTGCTGTGACCCAGATACATATAAAATTGTGCTTGGAATTTCAGGGGATTTACTGTGTAACTGTCTGTGGAACTGATACTATAAATTGCTGTCCTGGAGAAAAGGTCCATGAAGACTCATGAGGATATCACATGTATACCATTGAGACCTGTGATAATTTAGCTCCTGTAACGCTAGATCATAGTGTGATCTGATCAAATCTGCTGACATGATTTTTTGTCTTTTCCCTTAGGATGAAGACCCTGAGACCAGTTGGATTCTCCTTAATGAAGATGATTTGGTTACCATTTTAGCACAGTTCCCCTTTCATGAACTCTTTCAGCATCTTCTTGGGTTTAAAGCAAAAGGTAGACTCATTTCTCTTAAGTGTAAAATGTGGTAGTGGCAAGTGTAAACACAGGAACTCTGCATTGAGTCTTCTTTTTTTTTTTGAGATGGAGTCTTGCTGTGTCGCCCAGGCCTGAGTGCAGTGGCGCGATCTCGGCTCACTGCAAGCTCTGCCTCCCAGGTTCACGCCATTCTCCTGCCTCAGCCTCCCGAGTAGCTGGGACTACAGGCGCCCGCCACCACGCCCGGCTAATTTTTTGTATTTTTAGTAGAGACGGGGTTTCACCGTGTTAGCCAGGATGGTCTCCATCTCCTGACTTCGTGATCCGCCCGTCTCCGCCTCCCAAAGTGCTGGGATTACAGGCGTGAGCCACCGTGCCTGGCCCGAGTCTTACTTCTTGTGTAGGCTCCAACTCGGGTTTCTTGTGCCTAGCTGTTCTAGGCTCCTCTTGTGCTTGTAATTTCCCACTTGGTGCTTAAATGTGAGAAAGCTAGCTAGCTTGCACATTCCCAACTTAAATAAATTGTTTTTAATTTGGCACATTGTCTCAAGTTTTTTCCCATTTCATGTTGATATGGGAGCCAGAGTAATGAGACTGTCAGTTCTTCTCCACCTTGGCTTTGAGTCCTCATTAAAATATTTATACAGATGTATCCGTTCATGTTTTTTCATAGTAACTATGATTTTTTTCTTTTATCTGATTAACTTCTAGGTGATTATTTACCTGAAACAACAAGACCTCAAGAGATGATGAAAATTTTTGCCTTTGCCAACTCACTAGTGGAACTTCTGGCTGTGGGGTTAGAAACCTTTAATAGAGCACGCTATAGGCAGTTTGTGAAGCGAATTGGTTATATGATCAGGTAATACTGCTGTTGCTCTACCCTTCTCTGTTCCTTTCACCCTGGTCAGACACAGATACTGCATAATTGGGATGATGGACGTTTTAGTTGTAAACCTCAGGTCTTATTTCTCGTAATAGTTAAGATTTTTTTCTTCACCATCTATAAGATGGGAATTTCATAATTGCTTCCAGTTAGAGTATTTCGTTAATTATCTCAAATTTAACTGGCTTGCTAGATGATTGTTCTTGGAGTTGAGATCCCCAAAGCTGTTGCTGGGTTGAAGTCTGGGTGAGAGAGAAGGCATCTAGGAAAATACAGGCTCTTACTGCTTCAGCTGTCTTAATAAATTTAGAGAATATGTACTGCTTTTCTTTGAATTAATTTTATACTCTTTTTTCTGCTTTATTAATTTTAATTGTCTTTACTGGATCATTTCTTATAGCATATACGTATGCTGTTATTCAACTTCCTTCCCCACCCAAAAGAAACTCCATAAAACTACAAAACTTCTCTCCCTCCTTTCGCTTCCAAAACAAAATTACTTTTAATTCATTTATTTTATTTTTTTATTTTTTTGAGATGAGTCTCGCTCTTTTGCCCAGGCTGGAGTACAGTGGGCACGATCTCGTCTCACTGCAGCCCACGCCTCCTGGGTTCAAGCAATTCTTGTGCCTCAGCCTCCTGAGTAGCTGGGATTACAGGTGCGCACCACCACACCTGGCTAATTTTTGTATTTTTAGTGGAGACGGGGTTTCACCACATTGCCCAGGCTGGTTTCAAACTCCTGGACTCAAGTGATCCATCTGCCTCGGCTTCCCAAAGTGCTGGGATTACAGGTGTGAGCCACCGTGCCTGGCCTAATTCATTTATTTTAGATATGTATCCATTAGCTTTATAAATCAGTCAAGTGATTATAGGATGCCCTAAAAGGGTGGGGGTCCCTTCTTTTTTTTTGAGACAGGGTCTCACTCTGTCACCCGGGCTGGAGTGCAGTGGTGCGATCTCGGCTCACTGCAACCTCTGCCTCCCAGGTTAAAGCCATTCTCCCACCTCAGCCTCCCGAATAGCTGGGACTATTGGTGTGTGCCACCACGCCCAGCTAACTTTTTGTATTTTTAGTAGAGATGGGGTTTCACCATGTTGGCTAGGCTGGTCTCCAACTCCTGACCTCAAGTGATCTGCCTGCCTTGGCCTCCCAAAGTTCTGGGATTACAGCCATGAGCTACTGTGCCCGGCCTGGGGGTCCCTCCTGAGGTCTAGAGAAAGCCTTGAGTATAGAGTTAGGAGAATGAGACAGTGGGAGGGAGGATGGCTGGTGACTTGGAGATAAATTTGTTAAAAGCTAAAAGCCCATCTACCTGTTATTAACAGAAGTCCATCCAGACGTTCTTTTTCTGATTTTTCTTAATAAATAAGACCATAAATAAAATTTGTCCATAAGCTCACTTACATGATGTAGGATTGCGTGCTTACTGTATGCCAGGACTGTGATTTCTTATTTTATTCTCTCAGTAACTCTATAGGAAGGACGTTGGTATCATTACTGTTTTAAGATCACTGTTTACATTATTGTGTAAATAACAGCTGTAGTGTATTATGATTATTCTTTCTTTGTTTTTCTTTCCATCTGCTTACTTTTTGTATCTAGTGCAGATTCTTCTCATACCTTCTAATTGCAGAACAATTTCCCATAAGGGCTTGCCTTCAGATCGTCTATTAGTTCCCATTTTATTCCTCCATCCTCACTTGAACTTGCTTTTCCTCCCACCGCTACCCAAACAGCTCCTACAGATGAAGATCTCTAATGAACCTTGTGCTCCAGATCCAGTGGCCAGTTCTGGGTCTCTTCATCCTACTTGGCATCTCTCACGCAGCTTACATAGCAGCCTTTCTCGTAGTTAGTTGATCATTTTATCCTTAAAACATTTTCTTTCCTTGGCTTCCAGGATACCACATTCTCCTGATTTCTCCACCATTTCACTGACAGTCCCTTTTCTGCCTCCTTGGTTGTTTCATTCTCACTTCCAGGCTTCTTAATGTTAGAGTGTCTCAGGGCTCAGTCCCTGGACCTCTCTTCTCTTTATCTACACTTGCTTTTTGAGATGTCATTCATTCATCTTTAAATATCTAAACACTGTTACAATTCTCAGAGTTATATTTCCAGTCCATACCTCTCTCATAAACACATTGTATATTCAACTACCAACCGAGCACCTCCACTTGGATGACTCATTAACATTGTAACGTAGTGTTCTCAAAATGAACTCACTCTCCCCCCTTCCCAAACTACTACTCCCAGTTTCATTAAGTAGCAACTCTATTCTAGTTTCTCAGGCCAAAACACCTGGTGCCACCTGTGGCTTTTCTTTCTTTTATACCCCACATTCAATCTAACTGCAAATTTTATCATCTCCACCATCAAAATACCATCTTTTATCAAATCTAAAATGCCACCAATTATTTTTTAAGATACATTTTATATGCCACTAACATAGGGAAAATGCTGCCAAATTATGGCATCACATCATTAATATTAACATGGATTCTGACGTTCTAATTGCAGGGATACTAGTGTGAAAGACATGCATCCTTTTGAATCAATGAAACATGCTCCTTCCAGAATCTAGCTGCTTCTTACCGCCTTCACTGCTAGCACCCCATTTCATTCCTAAACCTCCTGACTTATCTTCCTGCTTCTGACTTTGCCCACCACCCGCTTCTGCCCTTTCCCCACCTCAGTGTATTCTTAAACAGCCAGTGTTCCTTATGAATTGTGAGTCAGCCCATTCACTGTCTGCCCAGGACCCTACTGTGCTCCCCACTGCACTCAGGGAAAAAGCCGACGTCCTCACAGTGGCCTGCAGGGCCCCTCACGATCTGGTTTCCTGCCACTTTTCTGATTTCATCTCCAGCCAGTCTACCTCTCAGCACATTGGCCTCCTTGCTGTTCCTAAACATACCTGACACCCCTCGGCGCTTTTGCATTGGCTGTTTCTTCTACGTGGACACTCTTCTCATAGAGACTTATGTGATTCCTCACTGTTTTCCAGACATTATCAAATGTCCCTCTTTAGTAAGCCCTTTCGTGCTCCCAACCCACCTCCTTATCCTGCCCACCCCTCCACCTCCAGACATACTTTATTCCTTTCTCTGGCTTTATCTTTCTCAGTGTCACTTACAACCATGTGACAGACTGTATATGACTTTATTTTATTTGTTGTCTCTTTGCCCTTCACTAAATGTAAGCTCCATGAAGGTAGGATTTTATTTTCCCCATTTCATTAGTTTCAGAACCTGGACAATAGTAGGTGGATAGTAGGTGCTCAATAAATATGTGTTGAATAAATGAATGTTGGAAATGTAATATAAAGGTGCAGATATTGAGCTAATGAAAAGTACTGTATTATCTTTCCTCATGCTCAGGATGACTCTTGGTTATGTAAGTGACCATTGGGCACAGTATGTGAGCCATAACCAAGGCTCAGGATTGGCCCAACAGCCCTACTCTATGGAGAAACTACAGGTTGAATTTGATGAACTGTTTTTGAGGGCTGTCCTACATGTGCTGAAGGCCAAAAGGTAAGTAAGACATATGATGATATTTAGTGAGAAGTAACTTCCTCACTAGTAAGAACCATTCGGTGAAAGCCACTTAAGTAGGTCTTTTATAATAGTTTCTTAGTGTATTTCATCTATTTCTTATTGAGGGCAAATTCTTGGGCCTTGGTTTCCTTATCTGTAGTACCCACCTGTTGACTGAAATGGTCTCTCTCTCTCTCTCAATTTCTTTCTGTTTTAAGATAACACTATTCTGGTGTCTCAGTTTTTTGCCACCCTGAACTTTTGGGGCAGCCTTGAGCAGGGGAAAACAAGGATAGATTCTATCTATCACATACCCACTGCAGTGCCTGCAGTGAGACGCAGTAGGTGTGCAGCATGTGGTGCAAATGATTTGCTGATTTTATTGTTCAATTTGCCTTCCGGTAAGGGTTTTAAGGTCTGGGAATGTCATGGATCTTGGTTCCCTGTCTTAGCTTTGTAAATGCTGTCTTTGGATCATGCTGACTGTGCCACTGCTTACAGCCTAGGACCTGTTTGAGGCATAGGCAAGGGCATAGCTGCACATCCCGTGCTCCCTTCCCTGAGCCACTGGCCAAGTTGAGGAGTGGGCTCTGCTGCAGGATTATGCCCTCCGCTAGGAGATGCGGGGCTGCCTCCACCCCCACCCAGCTGTGCTTATGAACTACTGGCTCTCCCCTGCTTTGGCCCTCTCCTGAGCTAGCTGCCTACACTCCCTCTTGCCATGTAACTCTTAGCCTTAGCCCCTGATTTATTCTGTGTTGTATAGTAAGTTTGAGTCTTGGTCTGCCATTTACTGTTACCCTGGGAAAGTCGCTTAATATTTGTGGTCTCACTTTTTTCATTTCTAAAACGGAGATGGTGATAATGATACTACTGTTCCATTAACCTCATGGATGTGTGATGAGGGTGAATTGTGGTAATATGAGGAAATACATTTTAAACCATAAAGGACTTTTCAAATGTAAGTGGGGGTTTTTCTTGTGTGGTTTCATCTGGGGAATAGAATAATCTAGAGACTTAGAGAAAGATCAGGAGGTCTTAGCTAAGTGTTAACCACTTTTAGACACTGTGAAGGCATTGAGTCTAACTTAAATAGAACTTGGGTATAGAAATTTATCTTTTTTTTTTTTTTTTTGAGATGGAGTCTCACTTTGTTGCCCAGGCTGGAGTGTAGTAGCATGATCTTGGCTCACTGCAACCTCTGTGTCCTGGGTTCAAGCAACTCTTCCACCTCAGCCTTCCAAGTAGCTGGGATTACAGGCGCTTGCCATCATGCCCGGCTAATTTTTTGGGTTTGTAGTAGAGACGGGGTTTCACCATGTTGGCCAGGTTGGTCTTGAACTCCTGACCTCAAGTGATCTGCCCGGCTCAGCCTCCTAAAGTGCTGTGATTACAGACATGAGCCACTTCACCCGGCCTTATCTTTAGATTACTCCTGTTATACTTATACCATAAATTTGGTGGTCTCATGAGATGCACCAAATCCTGTTCAGGACTGTGTCAGGGCATCAGTGCAGTAGCACCTGTCCACTGACGCTGGCCTGGTGCATGGGAGGAGTCTTCCTTCTCTGATCTGTTACTTGTTCTTGTGCTTGCTTAGTGGAGAGGCAAAGCTCTCATCCTAGTTACTTACTAGAGCTTATATATTGAGCTGTGAACCCTTGCTGTAACATTGTGTATATAATTTCACAAAGATAATTGTTTTAAAATGTTGACAGCTATTGTTCTTAAGTTTATTTTAGGAAACAAATTATATGAGAACCAGATATTTAAAGCCATGAAATTTAAATTTATTCGGCACTCAAATGGAAATTTCTGGCAATAGCTATCCCTTCAACCTAAAACAAAACTGAACTATACTAAAAGACAGACAACAAAAATATAAACCAGGGCTGGGCGTGGTGGCTCATGCCTGTAATCCCAGCACTTTGGTAGGCTGAGGTGGGCGGATCACCTGAGGTCAGGAGTTCAAGACCAGCCTGGCCAACATGGTGAAAACCTGTCTCTACTAAAAATACAAAAATTAGCTGGGCGTGGTGGCAGGCACCTGTAATCCCAGCTACTCGGGAGGCTGAGGCAGAAGAATCGCTTGAACCCCGGAAGTGGAGGTTGCGGTGAGCTGAGATCGCGCCACTGTACTCCAGCCTCAGCAGCAGAGCAAGACTCTGTCTCAAAATATATATATATGTGTGTGTGTGTATATATATGTGTGTGTGTATATATATGTGTGTGTGTATATATATGTGTATATCTATATATATGTGTATATATATATAAATACCTATATAAATATATACGTGTATGTGTGTGTATACATATGTGTGTGTGTGTGTGTGTGTGTGTGTGTGTGTGTGTGTGTGTATATATATGTATATATATGCCAGACTTCCTGAATGTCTGCCATATAGGGAATTTTATAGCCTGAAATACACCCTGTTTGTGATATTACTTTTAAGTCCTCTACAATTTCCCTTCTTTGTTTTGGGGTATAAAACAGCATCAGGTCCCATGTGAAGTGTTAGGATAATTAACTAATAAGATAGAAACCTGGCCCAACTGACCTTAGAGAAGTTTCTTAATCTCTTGTTCAGAAGTCTAGCTGGCTTTTCCAGAGTCCAGGTAAGTGTGGGTTTGAACTACCAGTTGCCTGTTTAGGTTCATAGATGTGGATTAGGCATGCACTATTCATTTTTTTCTTAAATTTGGTTTATTTGTAATTAGATAATTTGTAATTGGATGATTTGTAGTAGTTGTTTCTCAAATACGGCAACAGCTTTGAGTGCCTCGTATTTTTTTAAGTTTTTTTTTTTTTAATTTAATAACAGGTAAGTTGCTGTACATTCCTTTGCAGATTTCCTTTTTTTTTTTTTTTTTTTGAAATGGAGTCTCACTCTGTTGTCCAAGATGGAGTTCAGTGACACCATCACTGTAACCTCCGCCTCCCAGGTTCAAGTGATTCTCCTGCCTCAGCCTCCCGAGTAGCTGAGACTATAGGCGCACACCACCGTGCCCGGCTAATTTTTATATTTTTAGTAGAGATGGGGTTTCACTATATTGGCCAAGCTGGTCTCGAACTCCTGACCTCAAGTGATTTGCCCGCCTCAGCCTCCCAAAGTGTTGGGATTACAGGCGTGAGCCACCGCATCCAGCCATTCCTTAGCAGATTCTGACTTGGGGCATGGCCACCATCCTGATACAAGTGTTTTTTTTTAGTTGTGATAACATTTACATACAATTTTAATAAGCATCTATTGAGTGCTGATTGTTTTTGAGATACTGGTTTAAGTAGCAGATAATTAAAATACAAGGTTCTAGTTATAAACTGGTTTATATAAAAATGAACAAGACATGGTTTCTGCTCTCAAATTGCTGTTAGGTTAGTATGTCATATGTAAATTACAGTACCATGAGGGGTTTCTCATGTTGTGTTTTAAGAATCACTTGAGTCTGAGTCACCAAGGGTGACTATAAAGGTGTAAATTCTTGTGCCCCAGCTGTGACCTACAAAATCATGGTCTCTATAGGTGAGGCTTGGGAATCTGCATTTTCCAGAAAGTCTCCAGGTGGTTTTTCTGCCACTACAGTGTGGGGATCACTGGCAGAATGTATGATGATGGCAAAGTCAGGTATGGATGGAGTTCTGTAATAGTGCAGAGGAGGAAGTCCAAGGAGGGCTTGACCCATGGAAGGAGCCAGCCTGGAGGTGTGGGGTCTCTCCAGGCTTGCTGGAATGCAGTGGTAACTGAAGGAGGACAGAGAGGGCTGTGGTTGGAAATATGATTCAGAGCCATACTGTGGAAGCCTTTGAATGTGGGCTGAGGAATTTGAACTTTGTTCAGTGTTCAGAGAGGAGTACTGGATGGATTTCGATTTTCCTCCCACCCACTGCACATGTGTCTGTGGGCACACGTGTACCTGTGTGTGTGCTCAGACACACACATCCACAGCTGGCCTCTCTGCCACCCACTACTGTGTGTGCCTTAGTACCTGTGTGCGCCTTAGTAGCCTGTGTGCATTGGTGCTAATATCCGTAATAATAATACTTATTATTTTTGAGTTGGAGTTTCACTCGTGTTGCCCAGGCTGGAGTACAATGGTGCGATCTTGGCTTACTGCAATCTCTACCTCCTGGGTTCAAGTGATTCTCCTGCCTCAGCCTCCCAAGTAGCTGGAATTACAGGCATGCGCCACCACGCTTGGCTAATTTTGTATTTTTAGTAAAGATGGGGTTTCACCATGTTGGTCAGGCTGGTCTCGAACTCCTGACCTCAAGTGATCCACCTGCCTCGGCCTCCTAAAGTGTTGGGATTACAGGCGTGAGCCACCACGCCCGGCCATATCCATAATTATTGTCTTGGTTTTTGTGAGGATGGTTTGAGTTGATATTGTACATACATGTATACACACACACATGCACACATTGTTGTGGTTAGAACAGTCCCTGGCACAGACTGGGTGGTTTGTATTTGCTGTTATTCTTAGCCATCCTTGAGGTGTTTATGACTAAAGCATATTAGAAAAATCATAGTGTGATTTAAGAATCTTTTTTTCCTTGAGAGCCAATGGTTTGTCTACTTTCTTAGTGTAATGAAGCTGATTAATAAATAAAATGATTCCTGCTTACATGCAGACTTGGCATTTGGCTGTTTATGTCCGAGATGCCCTTTGGGACTCTGTCTGTGCAAATGCTGTGGAAGCTCTTCTACCTCATGCACCAGGTGGAGAGCGAGAACCTGCAGCAGCTCTCCTCCTCCCTGCAGCCCGCCCAGTGCAAGCAGCAGCTCCAAGGTACAGCCCCGCCGAGCAGTCGGCGTCCAGCTCTCCCTATCTTTTTGTGCTTCTCTTCAGGGCTTAATTTTTACTTTTAGAAGGACTAAGAGAAAATGTTTTACTCTACATACTCATGTGTAATGATTTTGAAATTCAGGAGACTGCTTCACAGTTTTGATGTATTAAATAGCAACTAGCATATCTGAAATCAAAATTTGATTAGTCCCAAACAGTATACCAATACACACAATATTCTAACTTTTAGGAAGCACTTTTTTGCATGTGTGTGTGAAATTATTCTAGTTGACAGTTGTATTAACAGATATGTATTAATTGTCTAGAAATTTGTTAAGGCTTTGTGCCCAGCCATTTTAATATCTTTCTTTTATTGCTGTTTTTTTAAAGTTGTATTGTTTTTATGAACTAAAGATGTAGACAGGTGTACTTTAAAAATTAATTTTGGTGAAAACTTAAGTTTTTGCGTCATACCACCTCTAAACTACAGGATATTTATTTATTTTTATTTTTTATTTTTTTTGAGACAGGGTCTCACTCTATCACCCAGGTTGGAGTGGAGTGGTGTGCTCTTGGCTGACTGCAACCTCCACCTCCTGGGTTCAAGTGATTCTAGTGCCTCAGCCTCCTGAGTAGCTGGGCTTACAGGTCCACGCTATCACGCCTGGCTATTTTTTGTATTTTTAGTAGAGACATGGTTTCATCATGTTGCCCAGGCTGGTCTTGAACTCCTGACCTCAGGTGATCTGCCTGCTTCGGCCTCCCAAGTGCTGTGATTACAGGCGTGAGCCACCGTGCCTGGCCAGGATATTTACTTATAACAAAATTATAATGTTCGAAATGAAAAACACCATTTAATTAGATGTATGTTGTAGTGATTTTAAAAAACTACCCTATACGTTAAAAAAGATAGACAATTTACTGAAATACAAGACTAAAAAAAAACACCAAAGATAATTCTGTTTTCCAAGTGTTTTTTCCTTCACAGCAGGAAGTAAAGGCTGTTTTCCAAATTTTTAAATGTCTGTATCACTTAAAAGAAAATCATATACTTTAAAAATTATTGGGCCTCTACTGTTTGCAAAGTAGTTTCTGCAGACATTCATGATTTATTTTTTTATTTCCATTTCTTTTTTTTTTTTGAGAATGAGCATTGCCCCGGCTGGAGTGCAGTGGTGCAACTTCAGCTCCCTGCAACTTCCATCTCCCGGGCTCAAGTGATTCTCCTAGCTCAGCCTCCTGAGTAGCTGGGATTACAGGTGTGCACCACCATGCCCAGCTAATTTTTATATTCTAGTAGAGACAGGGTTTCACATTGTTGGCCAGGCTGGTCTTGAACTCCTGACCTCAAGTGATCCACCTGCCTTGGCCTCCCAAAACGCTGGGATAATAGGCGTGAGCCACCGTACTCAGCCTCCATTTCTGTCTCTCTTGATGTCTTTATTCTTCTGTTTCTGTTTTTTTCTTTTATGGGGCTCTGCATGCGTCCTCTTTTGTCCCTTTCTGTTTTTCTTTCTATCTTCTTAGTGGTAGCTCTGGATTCCTTATATTATTATTCTTTGTAAAGTGCTTCTCCACTGTCCTGGGGGCAGTGCTTCTATTAGACCATTGCCGTGGTTGGACCTGGGCTTACGAGTGAGCTAGGTGAGAGGTCTCACAGCCATTGTCTGTCCTCTGGCGGCTATTTCTGTGGTTGAAATAGCTAATACAGAAGCAGACATTTCCTTTGGAAGTGCCTGGGATGGTCAGCAGCACTACTTTGTATACCTGAGTCCTGGGTAGGTCTCCTTTGTAGTGTCATCTCCCTTCATTGCGGACTTACTATCTGCCAGGCTCTGTGTTAGCATGTGGCA
This sequence comes from Homo sapiens, assembly GCF_000001405.40. Classification (NCBI taxonomy): domain Eukaryota; kingdom Metazoa; phylum Chordata; class Mammalia; order Primates; family Hominidae; genus Homo; species Homo sapiens. The sequence continues at coordinate 45,932,958 of NC_000018.10, read as the reverse complement.
GATGGAGCCGATGTCAAACAGCTCAGCTCTGTAGTGGATGTGATTCCAGACCCTGAAGTGGCAGTACCAGCCTTGCCTTGCCCTAGAGCTTTGGATCCTGCTGCTGGAGTTTTCTGTCTGGACTCCAGGCTTCCACGGCACTTTTATCTTTATCTCCCTTAGGGCCTGTATCACCTGACACAGGAGTTAGTGGCACAGTAGAGAAGTTTCATCTGCCTACTATGTTCTAGCTTTGAGAGTGGAGTCTTTGCAAAATTTGATCCTCCTGCTCTAATTTGCTGTTTTTTCATCTTCTCCTTTGCTTAATCTTTTATATATCAATTTTGTTAGGAGGCTTGATTTTTATTGTTTGTGGAAGAATAAGGCTTTCTAACATCTTTTCCCTTCCTCACTTTTTATATTTAGTAAATGCCAGAAGTGCTTATTCTTTATAACCAGTTCTTATTTATCTGTGGTAATAGGAGTAGGGTGAGCTTGAAATCAGTTTCCAGGGAACAAATTTTAACTAGTTTTAACATTTTCTAACTAGCAGATTTCTTAGCAATGATTGTTAAAAACCAGTCTGTTTTAATTTGGCTTCTTTTTGTTTATTTCTAGTCTAATCAACATTCTGACTACTAGTAAAGTGTAGCCATAAGCAAATCTGATGATAAATAACTGTAGAAATGTGTTTGTCCTTATAGTTAATATTTTAAAAGCTAATTAGAAAGTTATTTCACTTTCCCATTGTTTTTTCTATAGAGTTATTTAAAATATAAGGCCTTTTCCTTGATTTGTACCTTAAACATTGTAAGTTTGAATGATAATTCTTTTTTTTCTTTTTAAATATCCTTTCACAATATACGTTAGAATGATCATGCCAATTTTCATTATTCTGGGAATACTTTGTGTAATAATTTCCACTATAAATCCAATTTGGAGATGGAAAATGAAAATTGGTTTGGTAAATGTCCCAGAGTTATTTTGAAAATGCAGGAAATTTGGTGAGCTATCTACCTTGGTTTCTCAAATGTGTAAATATGAAAAGAATTATTGGCTTGTTGCCTTCTTACTGTGAAAAGTTCCATCAAGGATATATATATATATGTATATATTTAATTTAATTTTATTATTATTATTTTTTTGAAATGGAGTCTTGCTCTGTTGCCCAGGTGGGAGTACAGTGGTGTGATCTTGGCTCACTGCAACCTCCGCCTCCCAGGTTCAAGTGATTCTCCTGCGTCAGTCTCCCGAGTAGCTGGGACTACAGGCGTGTGCCACCACGCCCAGCTAATTTTTGTATTTTTAGTAGAGACGAGGCTTCACCATGTTGGCCAGGCTGGCCTCAAACTCCTGACTTCAAGTGATCTGCCCATCTTTGGCCTCTGAAAGTGCTGGGATTACAGGTGTGAGCCACAGCGCCCGGCCAAGCACATATATTTTTAAAATGGGCTTTTTTTCCTTTCTGCTGTAGAACTTTGCATGTAGTTTACTGTCATGTATATTTGTGAATATTGCTTCCTAATGGCAGAATTTAGTATTGCTTTTACAACATCCTTTGTGATATAGGCAAAACATATCACATTTATTATATCGTTTATGACATTCATTAGTATTTCATTTACGGTTATAACTAATTTCTTGCCCCCAGTTTTTCTTCATAAGCAAATCTCTTTTTTTTGGAATGCCCTATTTGTGCCAAGTAGTTGCTAGTATTAGCAGTTTTCATTAGTCAGGTCTTTGTTTGTCTGACAGTTACCAAGTAGCTTCAAGTGTGCCTTTGAAGTTGGCAGTACTGCCTTTGAAGGTGACTGCCTGGTGACAGCAGCAGTGCTTTGCAGTTAACTAAGCACGTCACCAGTGACATGCTATTTAACCTTCTTATTAAGTAACCTTTTGAGACAGATGTGGGTACTGAAGCTAAGAGATGTTAAATGTTTTCTGTGAGGCTACATTATATTTAGAGTTTGTTGGAATTTCAGAGGCCATCTGGTCCAGCCTTATTCCTGATGCCTGTAGAAATCTATTTTGGAACAAAGAAAGACCTTTTGTATCTTTAAATATTCCTAAATCTTTTTCTCTGGAAGAGTGATTAAAAGATATAAATTTATTCTTTCCCCACTCTAATTTTCTTGATATGAACTTGCAGACCCAGAACATTTTACCAACTTTGAGAAGTGTCTTTCTTCTATGAATAGCTCAGAAGAGATTTGCCTTCTGACTACCTTTGCTCAGATGGCTCAGGCCAGAAGAACCAATGTGGACGAAGACTTCATAAAAATTATTGTTCTGGAGATATATGAGGTTAGAATATGAAGTTTTATAAATCAGCTAAAAATGTTTTCTTTTGGATTGTCCATCTGTTGATTTTTTGGGGGATTGCTTTTACAAATTGTGACTTATTTAGCTACTGTCTACACTTCAGAGAAGGGATAGAGAATCAGTGGAACATTATTTTGCTACAGGGATTATTGAAAATGTGAATTATATCCATTCCCCAGTACTTATTATCTTTTGAAATTTGTTGCACCAGTTTCAGTAAGGGAGAGACAATGTGACACAGCCTGACACAGTTTTTATGATGTATGTTTCCCTCGCCCCCACCCCTTCAACTAAACTCTTCCACTCTGGCTAGTAGCAGAAACCTAGCTTCCCAGCCAGTTTAAATGAGATGGTGGGAAGAATATTGAACCTGGAGTTAGGATACCTGAGTTTTAACTCTGCTATTAATTGGCCATCTCACATCAAAAAAGATAACTTATTACCCCAGGCTTCATTTTCCTCATCTATAATATGAAATTACAGGCTGGGAGGAGATCCTTGCATTCTTCATCTTTTCACTGAGCCATCCGTGAAGGTGGAGGGGAGTGAAATTTGGACCCCTGAGCATCTAGGGACTAGCCCAAAGTGGTTACCAAAATGTTCATTGGAGTTTTTTGTATATTTAAAAAGCCTTGCACATTTTACACTTTAAGCTGTCATTTATCTGTTTATCTGCATACAAAATATCTCCTCCAAAGTATTCTAGTGTGCTCAAGTAAAATTATGTTTGAAGATGATTATTTGGGTTTTATTATCTTCCCCTAATAATCCAGTTTGAGAATGACAAACCTGGATGTTCTTTCCAGGATCAAATACTTGATTCAGCTGTTCCTATACTGGTACTTCATAACCATGCATAAAGTTAAGATCTCGATGGATCTGGAATTCAGACTGTCTTCATGATCTGAAAAACTTGGGGAGAGAAGACATATTTTCACAGACATTAAGTGACATTCTCAAGATCTGTTGCTAAAGTAATATTTATGCTCTTGAGTAAAGTTTCCAGTGTTTTGACCAGGAGTCACAATAAAAATTACATTCTATATTACATTCTGATCCTGTGTGTGTATGTACAATTGAAGCAATACTTAATCTACCTGTGATACACTATTACATTTTTCTATTTTATTTTATTCTGTTATTTTTCTGTATATTCCATTGTGTTAAAAAATACCATTGGCATTAATGGATTGTAACATACACTTTGGAAGACATAATTCAAAAGGAGTTGGTAAACAATGTTTTAGAAGGTCTTGTAGTTAGGGTTCTTATTCTGTAGGGGAAGCTAGGCATTTCCATGAAATGCATTCTGATTTTCATCATTGTAGTGATTTCCTCAGATTTAGAAAAGTTTTGAAACTGCAGGAACCATTTTATTGTTACCGACAGACTTTGGGATATACTTTTTGAATCCACACTTGAAGTCATTGTTATAAGAAGTTGCCATTCTCTTATATTCCTCTCCCTGCACCTTTCGGCCTCAGAGTAGACAGTTGCCTGTATGAAGTTTTAACATTTTTTGGAACATAGTGTCAATTAAGGCTCAATGTAAGATTCTTTCTGCTTTGCTTGAAAAAATGATATAAGTGTGTTTTGACTGCTAATTGATATTAAAAGTGCCATCTTCTTCCCCCTTCCCCCCATTTAGGTATCTTATGTCACCTTGTCTACCAGAGAGACTTTTTCAAAGGTTGGTCGAGAGCTTTTAGGGACTATCACAGCTGTTCACCCTGAGATAATTTCCGTCCTTCTGGATAGAGTTCAAGAGACCATTGACCAGGTTGGAATGGTAAGAGCACTGATTTTGTTTGTTTTTGTTTTTTCAAATCTTGGAGTAATGGAACATTGGCAAAAATAGGAAGGTTCTTGGGAATGATCTTGTCACTAGGGGTATAAACAGGATAAAAGGAACTAACATTTACTGTGCCAGCCTCTGTGTCACTCACCACACCAACTTGGGATTAGCTGCTGCTTATAAAAAGATGTGATTGTTTCTCTCAAATCTCAAGGTTGACTTGTCCACCTCGTTCAATAACATATTTTTACTTTACTTATGACCTATAGTTAATTAACAATTTTTATTTCATAATTTGTTTGGCTTTCATAGTTTTTATATTTTATACTTGGAATAAACAACTGACAAAGAAGGTCCTATTTAAAGTCAGCCAAAAGCAAAATAAATAGTATGTAGTAACTTAAGTTGAGGAGGACACATTTAATTTGTTTCTGTCATTTGTCACAATCCCTTTTGCAATCTTCATGTAGTTTTTCAAAAGTTTTCTTGAGATGTAATTCACATACCATACAATTTACCTATTTAAAGTATATACGTCAGTGGTTTTTAGTCTATTCACAGATATGTGCAACTCTCAACACAGTCAATTTTAGAGCATTTTCATCACCTCAAAAACCCTTAGACTTCAGCTATCACTTTTTTTTTTTTTGAGATGGAGTTTTGCTCTTGTTACCCAGGCTGGAGTGCAGTGGCTCAATCTCGGCTCACTGCAACCTCTGCCTCCCTACAACCTCTGCCTCCCAGGTTCAAGTGATTCTCCTATCTCAGCCTCCCAAGTAGCTGGGATTACAGGCGCCCGCCACCATGCCCAGCTAATTTTTTTGTATTTTTAATAGAGACGAGGTTTCACTGTGTTGGTCAGGCTGGTCTTGAACTCCTAACCTCAGGTGATCCACCCACCTCGGTCTCCCAAAGTGCTGGGATTACAGGCATGAGCCACCGTGCCTGGCCCAGCTATCACTCTTACTCTTCTATCTCCTTCAGCTCTAAGAAGCTTTCTTAGGTTGGGGTCCTAAGCACCTTTCATAGATTAGGGCCCTAAGCCCTAATCTAATGTCTGTCTCTAGATTTTTGCCTATTTCAGACATTTCATATTAATGGAACTATGTAATATATGGTCTTTGTGACTGGTTTATTTCAGCTAGCATGATATCCTCAAGGTTCATCCATGTTGTAGCATGTGTCAGCATTTACTTCATTTTTAAGCCTGTATAATAATTCCTTGGTGCGTGTGTGTGTGTGTGTGTGTGTGTGTGTGTGTGTGTGTGTATAACTTTTTGTTTATCCATTCAGTCATTGATGGGGACTTGGGTTGCTTCTGCCTTTTGACTATTGTGAATAATGTTTCTGTGAATGCGGATGTACCAATATCTCTTTCGGGCCTTGCTTTCACTTCTTTTGGGCATGTGAGAAGTAGAATTGCTGGATCATGTCATAATTCTATTTTTAGTCTTTTGAGGAGCCATCATACTGTTTTCCATAGTGGCAGTACATGGTCATTTTCCTTTTAAGAAAAACAGTGTTGGCTGGGCACAGTGGCTTACGCCTGTAATCCCAGCACTTCGGGAGGCCGAGGCGGGTGGATCACGAGGTCAGGAGATCGAGACCATCCTGGCTAACACGGTGAAATCCCGTCTCTACTAAAAATGGAAAAAAAAACAAATTAGCCGGGTGTGGTGGCGGGCACCTGTAGTCCCAGCTACTCAGGAGGCTGAGGCAGGAGAATGGCATGAACCTGGGAGGCGGAGCTTGCAGTGAGCTGAGATCACGCCACTGCACTCCAGCCTGGGCTACAGATAGAGACTCTGTCTCAAAAAAAAAAAAAAAGAAAAGAAAAACATTGTATGCTACTGCAAGATGATTATATTGAGATAAAAAGCTTTTCATATACAGTTCAATACAGTAGGAAGTTTTCTGTTGCTCCTTCTTGAGTGATTAGTGGATGAATTCCAGAGAAATGTACAGTGGATCATATGATTCTTTCAGTTTGAGCTCATGACATTTTTCTCAAGTGTTTTTCTTGTTTTTGGCTTCTTTTTTTTTTTTCTCCCAAGACAGAGTCTTGCCCTGTCACCCAGGCTGGAGTGCAGTGGTTCAATCTCAGCTCACTGCAACCTCCGCCAATGGGTTCAAGCGATTCTCCTGCCTCCTGAGTAGTTGGGATTACAGGCGCGTGCCACCATGCCTGGCTAATTTTTAGTAGAGACGAGGTTTCACCATGTTGGCCAGGCTGGTCTCAAACTCCTGACCTCAGGTGATCTGTCCACCTGGGCCCCCCAAAGTGCTGGGATTACAGGCATGAGCCATCATGCCTGGCCCAGATTTATCTTAATTTGCACACTTGGATGTGTTATTTTAAAAGTAGTGCTGTAGACTTTCTGTAAATAGGATTTAAAAATTTTTTATTGTGGATTATTTCAAATACATATAAAAGTAATGAGAATAGTATGGTATAATGGCCTATCATCAAGTTTTAACAATAGCTATCAACTCTTGGTCTCTTTGTTGATCTTGTTTCATCTTACCACCCTCCCACTCACCCCACCCCCGGCCTGGATGGCTTGGAAGCCAATAGAGTATCTTTCTAAATGCCATAGAATGAATAATTACTTAAAGTGCTAAATTCTTTTGCAAAGTGAATAGCCGTCCCCCGATTTATCATGACTTTAAAAATGTGCATTAGTGTGGTGGTTTACCTAAACTGAAGCATACCAATTTGAATATTTAAAAAGATTGATCTTTACAAAGGATTATGAAATGTGCTTTTGATGTATCATCAATTTTAATACCCACTTGATTTGGTTGTCCGTGATTTCCATTTCACTTGTCTAAAAATTAAACAAAAACTCCAGTTCCTTTTGGAGAAATTTTTTTACAAGCAGTTTAATAATATAATATTGTAGTAATATAGCATTGTTTCTAAGTCTTTATTTAATGATTATTGTTTTCTTTTTAATAAGGTTTCTCTATACTTGTTTAAAGAACTGCCTTTGTATCTTTGGCAACCTTCTGCATCTGAGATAGCGGTGATTCGGGATTGGTTATTGAATTACAACCTGACAGTGGTGAAGAATAAACTGGCCTGTGTTATTCTTGAAGGACTGAATTGGGGATTTGCTAAACAGGTATGTGTTCAAACCATTCCCTGGAGACTGGAGGTTGTACATGCATCTGTTTCAAAGAAGGATTTTGTCAAAACACTAACATTTCTGAGTACCATTTGCAAGGTCTACAAATTCTTTGTAGCTGTGTCAGAGTTTAGGATTTTCTGTTTAATTCTCTTTTGCAGAATGAGCAACTATTAAATGAGGATAAATTGTTCCACATTGAAAATTCTTCCCTTTTTCCTTATTCCCATGTATCTGTTTTTATTTTTTATTTTTTTTGTTTGAGACAGAGTCTTGCCCTGTCACCCAGGCTGGAGTGCGGTGGCACTATCTTGGCTCACTGCAACCTCCTCCTCCCAGGTTCAAGCAATTCTCCTGCATCAGCCTCCTAAGTAGCTAGGATTACAGGTGCATGCCACCACACCTGACTAATTTTTGTATTTTTTAGTAGAGACAGGGTTTTGCCATGTTGGCCAGGCTGGTCTCGAACTCCTGACCTCAAGTGATCCACCTTGCCTCGGCTTCCCAAAGTGCTGGAATTACAGGCATGAGCCACCGTGCCTGGCTGTATCTGTTGTTTTGTCTCTGGCTAGTTACTTTAGTTTCTCCTAATTGCCTCTTCTGCCTCTCATTCCTTTTTCTCCTGTAATTTGTCTTGCATGTCATTGTCAGGGTTGTTTTCTGAAACACTATGCATTGGTTAAGAGTCTGAGCTCTAAGCCAGCCTCCCTGGGTTCTGATCCCAGTTCTGCCACCTTCTGGCTGTGTGACTCTGAGCAAGTTTCCTAAACTCTTTGGGCCTTAGTTGCTTATTTGTAAACATTCATATTAACGAGTATACCTCAATGTCTCACAGGGTTGTTTTTTGTTTTGTTTTGAGATGGAGTCTCAATATGCTGCCCAGGCTGGCCTTGAACTCCTGGGCTTAAGAGAGCCTTCTGCCGAGTAGCTGGGATTACAGGCGCGTGCCACTGCGCATAGAGTTGTTGTAAAGGTTAAACAAATGAGGAAACACAAGATGTTTAGGATGATTCTTGCCACACATTACGTACTCAGTGGTGTGGTTATTATTAAGGGTTTGCTATGTAGCATATATCTTCAGAGATACATTTCAAGTGATTTTCACTGTTAAAAGACCTTCTCTGCCTCTTTACCATAGGCCTTATTTGTTAGCTCTTCCATAAGAAGATTAACATTTAAAAGGGAAAATGGTGGCAAACTCAGCCCTTTACACCTGTCTGACAGGTTTTGTTCTGAGCAAGTCATTTAGTCCTGGACAGCATGATACCTGTTGTGCAGATGAGGAAACTGAAGCCCGGGAGCTTTTCTGCTGAGGTGTCCTTGACCACTTGGGACTGCCCATAGATTCATCTGGGCCCTCTCTCATTGACATGCTCGTAGGCAAGAGCTACAGGGGGCTGTTTTCCACCTTCACATTCTCTGGCTTGTGAACAGAATCACCTAGGCTCTCCTCTTGAAGAGCTGCGTGAGAGTCTCCTTATGCCTTTGTTAAGAGTTAGGAAAGTCATCTTTCTGAAAGGTTTAAGGAATGTATTTTTCCAGGCTGCAAAGGAAGATAGTGTAGGAAATTTGATAGGCAACTTCAGGCATCAGAAGGAATATTTTACCTGTGTTGCTGAGTGTCTTATTTATTGTAACTAATGATAGAACAGGAAAAGGGAATGTAGACATAATTTATTAAATATCTTTCTCTTTTTTTTTTTTTTTTGAGTCAGAATCTCACTCTGTCACCCAGGCTGGAGTGCAGTGGCACGATTTGGCTCACTGCAACCTCTGCCTCCTGGGTTCAATCAATTCTGCTGCTTCAGGCTTCCAAGTAGCTGGAACTACAGGCGTGCACCACCGTACTTGGCTAATTTTGTATTTTTAGTAGAGACAAGGTTTCACCATGTTGGCCAGGCTGGTTTCAAACTCCTGACCTCAAGTTATCTGTCTGTCTTGGCTTCCCAAAGTGCTGGGATTACAGGCATGAACCACCACGCCTAGACAGTTCATTAAATATTTTTCTGTTTAATTAAGCATCTTCCTGGTTTGTGGCGTTGCCCTTGACCCGAAGTGTTTGTAGAGATTCTTGGGTGGAATGGGGGATGACATTCAAAGATAACCTTTTTTGGCTGGAGTAGGGGTTAAGTCAGGTTCAAACCTATCTAGGTACAGTGTTATTGCCCTTGACAGTTTTTTGCCCATTGTCATTTTATAGTTTGACTGTGTGGGATGTGATTTTTGGAACATTTAGCTTCTACATCGAAGATCCTTTGTTACTATTCTGCCTAATGTTTTGATTCAAAGGTACAAAAACAAAACAAAACCAAGGTTGTATGTTTGTGATTATTTTTCTCTTTAAAAGGCTACCCTTCATCTGGATCAAGCAGTCCATGCTGAAGTGGCTTTAATGGTTCTTGAAGCTTATCAGAAGTACCTTGCACAGAAGCCATATGCTGGGATTCTCTCTGAAAGTATGAAGCAGGTATTTCCTTCTCTTCTGATTTGGAAACATGAATCTTTATCTTCCCAAGACATTTAGAAATAAAGATGATAGACTTATACTATTGACCATTAGGTATCCTAAGAACATTTCTAGCAATTTAAGATGTTATAATTGACTTCTATGGTTTGATAAAGATTCTTCTTTAAGAAATAGCCTGTATATAACTATTCTAATATTACAGAATTTGAATTGAACTGCAGTGGTGTGTTAGAGCTTGGTTGTACTGGCTCTGGAGAACTGACTTAAATTTTTAGAAACTTTGCAAGCCAGGTTATTAAACCATTGGTAGCTTAAAATTGACCATGGTGGGAATTTTTACACCACCAAAATTGACAAGCGCTATATATGAGACCTCCGTCCTGATGGTTAAACTTATTTATCGGCACACTATTCATTGAGTATCAACTTTTATGTCACTTTTCTTTTACATGAGCTAAGATCAGGTTCACAAAGTGACTAGCAAGTAAGCGCAAGTTGCGAGTGAAAAATTGCTTTGATGTAGTGCAGTGAACATTAATTGGAGACCAGCAAGTAGAATATTCCTCTGCGTTGAGGGCATTGTTGGTCACAAAAGGAGATGAGTGTATGAGCTTACTGATTTAATTTGTGTGTGACTAATGTGGCTCAAAATAAATAATTGTTTTAGGTTTCATATTTGGCCAGTATTGTTCGATATGGAGAGACACCCGAGACCTCATTTAACCAATGGGCCTGGAATTTAATCTTGAGGCTAAAACTGCACAAAAACGATTATGGAATACAGCCGAATTGTCCAGCTGTTCCCTTCTCCGTCACTGTGCCTGACATGACAGAGTCACCCACGTTTCATCCTCTCTTGAAGGCTGTGAAAGCGGGCATGCCCATTGGCTGTTATCTAGCCTTATCTATGACAGCTGTGGGCCACAGGTACAGTGTTGGGCTGAACCACTAGGGTTACTGAACCTTGCAGATAGTTCTAGAATTTTATGTTTCATATCCCAAGTTCTGAGGCCTCTGTCAAACCTATTGCGGAGCAATTGGGCCAAATAATAATCCTTGATTAACAGCTTATCAAGGGGAGATGCTGCCCAAATTCACATACTTCAGATTTGTACAAGCAAGTCACCTAAATGTTACTTTATGAAGAGAGTTCTGCTTGTCTCCTGGAGTGGAATGTTCGTGTCAGCAGTAGATTCGTACTGTCTTCCTCAGAATTGTGATCAAATAAAAATAATTGATCACCTGTAGTAAAATTTTTGAAAAATTGATCGTAGCCCAACTCAGGCTTTTTTTTTTTTTTTTTTAAATTTTACTTTAAGTTCTAGGGTACATGTGCACAACGTGCAGGTTTGCTACATACATATACATGTGCCATGTTGGTTTGCTGCAGTCATTAACTCATCATTTACATTAGGTATTTCTCCTAATGCTATCCCTCACCCAGCCCCCCACCCCATGACAGGCCCTGGTGTGTGATGTTCCCTGCTCTATGTCCAGGTGTTCTCATTGTTCAATTTCCACCTATGAGTGAGAACATGTGGTGTTTGGTTTTCTTAACTAGAGGTCCCCTTAACTGTCTAGAAGAATGAAATGCCTGACTAGGTCAGATGCCTCTCTGATATGAGCCCATAGCTGTCTGTATGTCTTCTACTGGAGCATTTATCACACTATATCATAGTTAATCTGTTCAATTTTCTCAGAGATTCAGTTATATATAACTTCTATGAGAGAAGTGCCCAGGAATGGCATTTGTCTTGTGTTACCATTTTATCACTAGTGATGAAGACTATATCTGGTGCAGTAAATAATTGAATGCATGAATGACTTCTCAGTTGATTAAACATCCTTCTCTTTAAAGATTCTTTTCTTATGCATTAATTTTTTTCTAGTCTATTTATTTGTCTTCACACTCTTTGACCTCTGCTTTCTGATTCTTATGTTTTAGACTCACTGTAACACTTTTTAGCATCCTCATTTCAACATCTTGTTCCACAGTAAGTGTAATTTCAGTGGGATACCAGTTGCAATCAGCTGTAGTCTTCAGCGTTGTGCTATGAAGTAGGAGAGATAAAGAATTGTTTGATAGCTTTCCTTGGGTTGTTGACAGTTTTGTTGAGATGATAGGCATAAATAAATCGGCAGTACTATAGAATATAATTGCAGGCTGGATGATGTGTGGAAAGCAGTGGTTCTCAACTTCTGCTGTTCTTTAGATTCACTTTTGGAGCCTTTTAAAAATCCCAGTGCAGGGAAAAGGGTGAGAATCCTGGCCTAAGTGGGCTGGGGGCCAGTTCTCTAAGTATCTCTAATGTACACCCTGGATTGAGAACTACTTAGAAGCTGAGCAGAAAGAATGTAAAGGAAGGAGAGATCAGTATGGTGGGATACCTTCATGGAAGAGCTGACTTTTGGAAAGGAGTCTTAAATTAGACAAGACATCTGTCGCAGTTTGGATGTTTGTCCCCCTAAACCTCATGTTGACATTTGATCCCCAGTGTTGGAGATGGAACCTAATGGGAGGTGTTTGGGTCATGTGGGCTGATCCCTCATGAATGTCTTAGTGCCATCCTCTCAGTAATGAATGAGTTCTTGTCTCTTAGTTCCCATGAGAATTGGTTGTTAAGAAGAGCCTGGCACCCCGCCTCCTCCTCACTTCCTGTCTCACCATGTGATCTCTGAACCTGCCAGCTCCCGTTGGCCTTCTGCCATGTGTGGACGCAGCCTGAGGCTCTCACCAGATGCCCAGTCTTCCAGCCGGCAGAATTATGACTCAAATAAGCCTTTTTTTCTTTATTAATTGCCCAGTCTCAGGTATTCCTTTATAGCAGTGCAACATGGACTAAGACAACATCCTAGGCTGATGAGCAGAGTGATGTTGTGTTCCTCTTACAGTTACTTAGTGCCCACAGTTACTTCAAGGGCCATCTCCTGCCACCTGCAGCCCCTGTACATTCTGAACAGCACACTCACTGTGTTTTATTGTCATTGTAATCTCCCCTGCTCCTCATTGACTGTTTGCTCTATGAAGGTAGGGACATTGTCCTGTTCAATTGTGTATCTCTAGATCTTATACTTAGTAGGTATTCAACAAATGCTGGTGGGTTGAATGAATGTGGAAAGGAGCCTCAGGTGTCTGAGTGGGTAAGGGGAGAGGAAGGGAAATGATGAGGAAACACTTCTCACTGACGCCTGTGATTCATGTTGGAGAATGGAGGTGATCAGGTGTTTGGTTGGGCCAAATTATGGAGAGATTTGAAAGCTAAGTAAAAGAAGGTAGAATTGATTTAGAAAAGAGGAGACCTGATAAGGGTCCTTAGGAACATACTCTTTATATTGTTTCCAGTAGCTCTAGTGTTATTAACGGCTTCCTGTACTTCAGGTTTCCCATCTCTAAAATGGGAGTACTAATAACACCAAACTTACTTTATGAGGCTTAAGTGAGTCAGAGCACATGTAGGCCGGGTGCAGTGGCTCACGCCTGTAATCCCAGCACTTTGGGAGGCCGAGGCGGGCGGATCACGAGGTCAGGAGATCGAGACCATCCTGGCTAACACGGTGAAACCCCGTCTCTACTAAAAATACAAAAAATTAGCCGGGCGTGGTGGCGGGCGCCTGTAGTCCCAGCTACTCGGGAGGCTGAGGCAGGAGAATGGCGTGAACCTGGGAGGCGGAGCTTGCAGTGAGCCGAGATTGCGCCACTGCACTCCAGCCTGGGCGACAGAGCGAGACTCTGTCTCAAAAAAAAAAAAAAAACCACACATGTAACATGCCTAGAACAGTGTCTGACGTGATTCTCTTGAGTGCAGTTATCTGAACTTAAGTGTTTTATGATTTCTCGAATTTCTTGTATCCATTCTGGGACCATAGCCCTTTATTCACTGATACTGCTGTGGGCTCTCTCTAGAGATAACTTTTGATTTGTGCTGATCACTGAATCCTGAATGGGAGTGAGAGTGAGAATGAGCATTTCCTCTCAGGGCTGATCTCTAGTGTAAAACTCCATGGTGGGCATTTGGGATTAGGTGTACTGGAATATAGAAGTAACTTAAAACAATCTTAGGTATGGGTGGAGTAGGCAGGGACATAAGTTGTTTGTGAATATAATATTACAGACATTGTAGAGAAGTCAGAAAATCACCCAGAATATTTCCCATCATAAAATCATTGATTTTTTTTCTGTTTATTTTCATCCATCATTTTTCCTTTGATCTTTTTAAAGATGTATGTATAATTTTATATCCTTAGTTTTTCACTTTACAATTGTAAGTAGCTTCCTTGTGGCATAACCTTTGCACAATTACTTTATTTTTTGAAATGATTTTCTCCCCCAGAATTAAAGCAGTATAACCAAACTGCAGAATTAGGAAAGTGGAGAAAAAGCCACTCACTTCTGCCACTCTTGTACAATGACTCTTTTGTTGTGACATTGTCCCTGTATTCGCCTCCACAAATAACTTTTCTTTACTAGTAGTTATGATCATGAGTATAAAATTTTATGTCTTATTCCCTAGTATCTTTATAGCAGAAGTGTTTTTCCACATTGCCTTTGGTCATCATGTGTATTATTTTAAAATGATACAATAATATTTCCAATTGAAAGGATTTTTCTAAAATTGCCTTAAGTCATTTTCAACCTCTCAGTTTTAGAGTTAAAAATAAACCTGAAAAGCGCCTCTTTATATGGATCATATTTTATATTTTTTTCCGTATTTGAGATTATTTTTTAAGGATAGATTCTTTGAAGTGAGGCAGAGAATAAAACTTTTATGCCAAATTGGTTTTAGCAGAATTTTGCAGTTTATGCAGGTTGAGTATCCCTAATCTGAAAATCTAAACTTTGAAATGCTCCAAAATCTGAAACTTTGAGTTCTGACATTGCACTCAAAGGAAATGTTCATTGGGGCATTTTGGATTTGGGACTTTTGGATTAGGGATGCTCAGCTTTTAAGTATGATACGAGTGTTCCAAAATCTAAAATACTTGGTCTCAAGCATTTCAGTTAAGGGATAGTCAACCTGTACTGACAGATTGAGGTCACTTTTGAGTCTCCTCTTTGCTGTGATACCTTGTGGGAATATCCAGACAAGGAGAGTCCCTACGGCTCTTAGGAGAAGCTCTTTTTGAGAAATAAAATATGGTAGTAGAGAGCACTCTGGATTAGAAATTTGCAAACTGGCGTTCTCATTTTGACCTTACTCTAGGAAATTATGTGAATTTGGGCATGATACTTCACCTTCCTCATCCATACAATGAAAATAAAGATTAACTTTTAAGTTTCTTTGCAATTCTAGAATTCTGGGTTTAGTATTTCTGTGTGAAGATTGGGTATAAAACATGTGTTGGAGACCTGAGATAACCCAAGGTATTGAAGGCTCATAACTCATTGGAAGAACAGAATTTTATGAACCAGCTCCCTTGTGTATTCAGTGCCTTTCTCTTTTTCCATAGCATTGAGAAGTTCTGTGCAGAAGGCATCCCACTATTGGGAATTCTGGTCCAGTCAAGACATTTGAGAACAGTGGTTCATGTCCTGGATAAGATTCTGCCTTTATTTTACCCTTGCCAGTATTACCTTCTGAAGAATGAGCAGTAAGTGTGTTCCATCTATGGCAGGAGACACTCTTAAACAGTCCAGCAAGTACAAATGATTGTGTCTTCTGGTTTCTTAAGTAAAATAAAGGGAATGCTATTTCAACAGCGTATTATGGGGCAAAAATATTCTGCACCCCAGTTTAGAATGCAGGTTGATGAACAGTGATTCTAATAATGACTCCAGTTTTATTACCATGAAAGATATTTTTCCTTTTCATTTATTATAACTTTGAATTGCTTATTAAAGCTTAATAGTATATGAAGGAGCAGTTGTTTCCCTGAGATTCTGGGAATCGTGCTTCTGATATTAAGCAGCAAATGGTTTGCCATTGTAACAATAGAAAAGATTGTTTTAAATTGTTTACAGTGCACATAGTGCAGTGTTGCAAACAGATAAGATGCTAGGAAGGTGGGAAGAGAACAACCTGTCTAGGGAGGCAAGAGTAAAGCATCTGGCTGGGGCCTCATGAACAGTGATGAAAGGGGAGGTGAGGCCTCACCCCATATGGAGGAACCCTGTACAGTGGGGACATGAAGTACATCCAAAGGCACAAGGGGAGCATTACAGTTTTCCTGTTATGTGTCTTTTCAAGCAGTATGTCTCCAATTTGCCCAAAAGAGCTTATTAAATATGGATTCCCAGGTTTCTCCCCCGGAGATGTTACTTTAGTAGAAATGGGTTAGGTCCTGGGAACTACTCACCTAACCCTTCAACCCCTTTTTAAGAATCAGCACCCTGGGTATGAGGCAAGTTTGGAAACTGAATGGTTTGGAAACATCTCTGCCTTTATTCATGGAGTTGGGGAGTGAGGAGGGGAGAGTGGTGCCTTTGGGTGTTTTTCCTCTAATGCTGTTTAACTTGCATGTGTTTGTGTGTCGTGGATCTGTTCTTAATACCTCTGTGGGTAGATAGAATTCCTTTTAACCCATGTTAAATGTGAAAACTTTATTCTTCTAGAATCCCTTCTTAAATAGTGCTTTGGTCGAAAAATGGGACCAATTTAGGAATTTTCTGTTTCCTCATAAGTAATTAGGGAAAATTCTGTTGAGTTCTGATCGGAAGGTAAAGTGCGTCCTCCTGTGTGCTTGGCAGGTTTTTATCGCATCTCCTCTTGTTCCTACACTTGGACAGCGGTGTCCCTCAGGGTGTCACACAACAGGTCACCCACAAGGTGGCACAGCACCTGACAGGAGCCAGCCATGGGGACAACGTGAAGCTTCTCAACAGCATGATCCAGGTGAGGGCCTTGCAAGCCCCTAAGCACACTCCCGCCTGTCTTCCCAACCAAGACCTCTAGCGTTAGCACACTTAGGTTTTAGTCATTTCAGATCACTTGGCTTAGTGTGCTTTTGGCCAAGAAAGGCAATAGATTTGGGATTTGTAGTGGAGGTAGATAGCATTTTGTTGCTATTTAAAAAATGAGAGGCTGGTTGTTATCTTTCCCATCACATGAGCCTTTTCTCCACAGGCACACATATCTGTAAGCACTCAGCCCAATGAAGTGGGCCCCGTTGCTGTGTTGGAGTTCTGGGTTCAGGCTCTCATAAGCCAGCATCTCTGGTACCGAGAACAACCTATCCTCTTCCTCATGGACCACTTGTGTAAAGCAGCTTTTCAGCTGATGCAGGAAGACTGCATACAGAAATTACTCTACCAACAACATAAGGTAATTAACCTGTTAGAGAATTTATCTTTCAGTGATTGGCTAGATAAAGTAGCTTTCTAAAAAGATTCCCCCAAGTACAGTTTTCAGTTCTACTCTGTGGCCATTACCTTCTTTAAGCTTTGCCTTAATGGTACCTTATCCCGATAATCGTAGTCCACTAGCGTAGACCCTAGGGAAGTTGGAAAGGACAGCCCAGGAAGAGTCCCGCTTGTTACATTTGGCTGTAATGCTCTGCCTTGGACTATTGCTGCTGGTGGACTCATCCTTGAAATCTCTGTCTTATCAGAATCTTGTATTGTAGTAAGACAGTTGCTGATACTCTTGTAAAGGTCATTGATAAGATTTTCCTTAAAACCTCCTCTCTCTGCTCCACATCTCCCGGTGTAGAATGCCTTGGGTTACCACTGTGACCGGAGTCTGCTCTCATCTTTGGTAAGCTGGATTGTGGCAGGCAACATCACTCCTTCCTTTGTGGAGGGCTTGGCCACGCCCACTCAGGTAGGAAACTCACTGAGAGGATCATTTGTTATCTTTGTGAACTTTAATCTCATGATCATCCTTACAAAGAAATTACTAATTGTCTAAACTAACTTTTATTTAGCACTTATTCTAGTGTAAGTATACTTTTTCATTTAATCTTTACAGTAGCCCTTTGGTGAGGTTGTGCTGTTGCCATTCCTGTTTTACAGAGGAGTTAACTGAGTTTTTTATTTTTATTTTTATTTTTTTTGAGATGGAGTTTTGCTCTTGTTGCCCAGGCTGGAGTGCAATGGCGCGATCTCAGCTCACTGCAACCTCTGCCTCCCGGGTTCAAGCTATTCCCCTGCCACAGCCTCCCGAGTAGCTGGGATTACAGGCATGCGCCACCACGCCCAGCTAACCTTGTATTTTTAGTAGAGTCAGGGTTTCTCCATGTTGGTCAGGCTGGTCTCGAACTCCTCACCTCAGGTGATCCGCCCACCTCGGCCTCCCAAAGTGCTGGGATTACAGGTGTGAGCCACCGCGCCCTGCCTGAGTTGTTTCTTTTTTTTTTTTTTTAAATTAAAAAACATTTTTGGATACAGGGCCTCACTTTGTTGCCCAGGCTGGTCTCAATCTCCTGTTGTTAAGTGATTCTCCTGCTCCCAGCCTCCCTAGTATTTGGGGACTACAGGCACACTACTGTGTCTAGCTGTAACTGAGGTTCAGTGGAATTAAGGACTGTCTCAGGAGTAGACAGCTCTTGATCATACCGCAGCCAGCCGGACTGCAGAGACTGCCCAGCAGCACTGCAGAGAGGTTTAGAGTGGTCACTGGAACCAGACAGTCTGGGTTTCAATCTGGTTTCTGCCGTTTGTTAGCTCTGTGCCTTGGGCAGCTTGCCTACCTATCTGTCCTCAGTTTTCTCAATTGTCAAATGGGAATAATGATGGCACCTATATGTAAAGCATTTAGAACAGTGCTTCGCACATAACCAGTGCTCACTGAGTGTTGGCCATTGTTATTATTATCATCAGCAGCAGCATTATTTTTATCATTACCACCTCTTAGACTTTGTGTATAAAATTATGTCTGTTTCATCTCTTAAATCAGTAGTAATGTTCTTCAACCTCTTATTTGTCTTACTTCTTGCTCTTCTTCCCACCTCTCATGGATTGAGCTGGAACAAACTCCTTGCTGTTACCTAGACACATCCCGGGCTTTTCCTCTTTTTGTCTCTGCCTAGCGGATTCTCTTACCAGCATGCCTTTCCCTCTGACATCTACATAGAACCTTCTCTGATATAGCACTTTACCTTGACTCAGTCCTCGTCACTGCTCAACTTCACATTTTGCTTACTTATATATTAGTCTTGTCTACTCCAGTAGATGGAAGACTTCTTAAAGACAGAGCCCCTGTCTGGTCCTCTTTCCTGTCTCTCTTGCACACAGATCTTGCCTGGTAAATATGGAGTTAATGAACATCTTGTACTAAAGTAGCCTTTCCAAAGGAATGTAACATTTTCCAATGATCTATTTTATTTAAATTTATATCTGCGACAAGGATATAGGTAGGTATAAAAAGGTGTTAATTTTAGAAACTGCAAATATTTGCTGATTGAGCTTGAGATAGGAAGAGATTTAAATTGTGGAATATCAGGATGTATTTCGTCAGTGGGGCGAGCTCCTCCTTCCCCTCCCCTTTATCTGGTGTCATTATAGGTCTGGTTTGCCTGGACAGTGCTCAACATGGAATCCATCTTTGAAGAGGACTCCCAGCTCCGGAGAGTTATTGAAGGGGAATTGGTGATAAACTCTGCTTTCACCCCTGACCAAGCTCTGAAGGTACAAATAGCAGTTCTGCATTTGAGTGGTAGAAGGTGGCTTACACTTTGATGCTGATGGATTCACCCGTAGCTTTTGAGCTTTTGTGTTTTATTTTGTTGTGAATGTTTGGAAAGCTCAACAACCAAACCAATACTTAAAACTGTGTAATTGAAGAGTACTTGCTTCTCAAGGTTTGTTTAACAAGAGTCTCAGCCTAGTATTTGAAGGCTGGATCATTGCACATGTGACGGGTGTTGTCATTGCATCCCACGTACATCAGAATTCCCTGGAGAACTTGTTAAAAAGCAGATTCCTAGACCTCATCTTCTGGGATTTGGAGTCTCTGAGTCTCGAGTGGGACAAGGAGGTTATTTTTTGAAACTCCTAGCTGATTCTTAGGCTTACTAATATGTGGGAAAGACTGGAATAAGGCTTTAAAGACCTTCTATTTTAGTATAGATTTTGCTTTTGGGTTTCAGAGCCTGTTAAAGAATTTGCTTTTGGGTTTCAGAGCCTCTCAAAGAATTCAGCATTCTCGAATGTCCTTTTGAAATCTGAATTTTCAAAAGATTGATAAAGTTTGACAGTCACATAGTGACATTTTCTTTTTTTCTTTTTCTTTTTTTTTTTTTTGAGACAGAGTCTTGCCCTGTCGCCCGGGCTGGAATTTTACAATGGCACAATCTCAGCTCACTGCAACCTCCACCTTCCGGGTTCAAGCAATTCTCATGCCTCAGCCTCCCGAGTAGCTGGGATTACAGGAGTGCACCACCACACCCAGCTAATTTTTCTATTTTTAGTAGAGACAAGGTTTTGCCGTGTTGGCCAGGCTGGTCTTGAACTCTTGACCTGAAGTGATCCACCTGCTTTGGCCTCCCAAAGTGCTGGGATTACAGGTGTGAGCCACTGTCCCCGGCTTTACTTTTGGTTTTCATATCTTTCTATTCCCTTGCACTATAACGTTGTATTCGCCAAGGAATTTCAGAAATGAAAATGAGGTTAGACTAGATGACTCTTAAGACCCATACCCATTTTGGGGTCTGTGAAGTGTTTTGACAGAATAAAAAGCTGCCCTACATGTCTTGCTACCAAGGAGGTTAAAATGTTAACTAGTGGATTGGAGAAGTGAGTTTTATGTGACTTTTAAAAAATATATTATTGAATTGAAAACAGAATGTTTGGTGTTTCAGTTGGATCACTTAGAAAGAGTTAACCGTTTGCATTTATGTTCATTTTGTGGCTACTCAAAGCCCTTTCTTTTTTGTAGAAAGCCCAGACCCAGCTGAAGCTCCCCATCGTGCCATCCCTCCAGAGGCTGCTGATTTATCGCTGGGCCCACCAGGCTCTGGTCACACCTTCTGATCACCCCCTCCTGCCACTCATTTGGCAGAAGTTCTTCCTTCTGTATCTTCACCGTCCGGGACCACAGTATGGGTATGCTGCCCAGTATTGTAGGTTTCTGTGAGTCCATTTCTGCCTTTGCACTGCTCTCATTCTATGTGTTCTTAGACTGTGGAGTGTGAGTTGGAATCATTCTTTGGTGATCTCTGGTGAGGACTCTTTCTCTGTCTCTATGTTTGACATTTATTAGACTGGATCTTTATTGAGTTGCTGGTGTCTTGTGGCAGCTTCTCTTTACCATCTTCCATGACCAGTGTAGTAAAGACAACACCCTGGGATTGGGCAAGGTTTCACACAGAACTTCTGGAGATGCAAAGGGAGAGCAACTGCCTTAAACTGAGGCTGCCTGTGTGACCGTCATGGGGCTTGTAGGAGGGGACCTTGTGATGAGTGGTGCGCGTGTGAACAAAGGCCAGGCTTTGTCTGTCACCTGTAGGTTGTACTTGGGAATATTCAGCATTTTCATGGGATTCATATGAAGATACTCCACCCAGCCAGAGCCATCCACTATTACGAACCATTGCTCTCTAGCTCCTGCCTCAATTCCTCATTCCCTTAACTTACTCATTTGAAATATATAGATACTGGCTGGGCATGGTGGCTCACACCTGTAATCCCAGCACTTTGGGAGGCCAAGGAGGGAGGATCACTTGAGGTCAAGAGTTCGAGACAAGCCTGGCCAACATGGTGAAACTCTGTCTCTACTAAAAATAGAAAACTTGGCCCAGCACGGCCAGGCGCGGTGGCTCACGCCTGTAATCCCAGCACTTTGGGAGGCCGAGGCGGGTGGATCATGAGATCAGGAGATCAAGACCATCCTGGCTAACATGGTGAAACCCCGTCTCTACTAAAAAAAAAAATACAAAAAAATTAGCCAGGCGTGGTGGCGGGTGCCTGCAGTCCCAGCTACTTAGGAGGCTGAGGCAGGAGAATGGTGTGAACCCAGGAGGCGGAGCTTGCAGTGAGCTGTGATCACGCCAGTGCACTCCAGCCTGGGTGACAGAGCAAGAGTCTGTCTAAAAAAAAAAAAAAACAACCCAGCGCAGTGGCGCATGCTTGTAATCCCAGCTACTTGGGAGGCTGAGGCAGGAGAGTCAGGAGAGTCGCCAGGAGGTGGAGGTTGCAGTGAGCAGTGATTATGCCACTGCACTCCAGCCTGGGTGACAGAGCGAGACTCTGTCTCAAAAAAAAAATGTATATATATATATATATGTGTGTGTGTGTGTGTGTGTGTGTGTGTGTGTATAGATAGATAGATAGATAGATAGATTCTTAGTCGCTTCTGTTTTAGTTTTTGCCAGATTGCAAGTTCTTCAAGAATAGAAACCATCTTTATGCTGTACCTCTAAGTAGTGATGTCTTAAATTTGTGTAGCATTTCACACTTTTTAAAACTACTTTCATATACACCATCTTGTTGGACCATCAAAATAATCTTTGAGGTAGAAATAATAGGTGTTAATTTAATGGTGTATATCCACAATCACAGTAAATTGCCTTGCTAATTAACTGCTATTTTATGCCATACAGAAAGTACATCTTGTGTTGAAAGGTTATAGATCTGTGCTTGTGTTTTTTAAGGTTACCCATAGATGGTTGTATTGGAAGAAGGTTTTTTCAAAGTCCTGCTCATATCAATTTGTTGAAAGAAATGAAGAGACGTTTGACCGAGGTGGCTGACTTCCACCATGCTGCAAGCAAGGCCCTCCGTGTTCCAGCAGAGGGCAGTGAAGGGCTGCCAGAGAGCCACTCTGGCACCCCTGGTTACCTGACTTCACCAGAACTGCACAAGGAGCTGGTGAGGTGAGTATGGTTATTTAGCCACCTACATTGTTGTTTGCAGCACAGGTACTATGCTGGAGCAGTTAACTGTGTTACAAACTGCTAGATGTTATTCTCTTAACACGGTTAGATTGAATATGGAAGGTGGCTTTGATATAGATTTGCATCTTGAAATGTTTCTCTTTTATGTTCCTCAAGAGAACTGAATCAACAGTTTGGATGTACTTGTGTCGAGTGCCTGTAGTCTGAGCGATAAATCCTCTTCTACTTCTTTACGTAAAAATAGAAATAAGCCAAATTTTATCATAGCAGGTAAACAACTATT
This sequence comes from Homo sapiens, assembly GCF_000001405.40. Lineage (NCBI taxonomy): Eukaryota > Metazoa > Chordata > Mammalia > Primates > Hominidae > Homo > Homo sapiens. Next base: position 45,910,216 of record NC_000018.10, on the reverse strand, counting down.
AAAGCCTGCTAGACAGCCTGGGCAACATAGTGAGACCCTATCTCTACAAAAAATAAAAAAAAAATTAGCCAAGCCTGGTGGCGTGCACCTGTGGTCCCAGCTACTTGGGAGGCTGAGGTGGGAGGATCCCTTAAGCCCAGGAGGTCAAGGCTGCAATGAGCCATAATCATGCCACTGTACTCCAGCCTGGGCAACAGAGTGAGACTCTGTTACAAAAAAACCTTGCTAGAATAGTTCTTTTTTTAAGAAGGAGTGTCTCACTATGTTGCCCAGGCTGGAATGCAGTGGCTATTCATAGGCACGATTATAGTGAGACGATCATAGTGCACCTCAGCCCCAAACTCCTGGGCTCACGTGATCCTCCTGAGCAGTTGAGACTACAGGTGTGTGCCACCACACGTAGCTTAGAATAGCTCTTCAAAAGAAACAAATGACCAGGGCAGGGCTCTTTAAGTGTGGTTCATAGATCCTTCACGGGATTCAGGGATCCACCTGAGATGAGGGGTCTAGTAATCTCCCAAAAATATGTGCCCTATAAAATCAGGGTACAATATTTGCCTCCTCTAAAAGGTTAAGAACTCTGAAGTAGGTTTGGATTCCTTTCACACTATTCCTTCCCCTTTCATTTATAAGTTTGATATAAATCAAATACTAGTCTTACAAATAAGACTTAATAAAAATGGCTCTTAAGAATTAATCCTCAATACACAATAGCTAGGTGAGGTCCCCATTTCATCTAGCACTGAGGCCTTAGGTTTATTTGCCCTCAACCTTTTACGACTCTCTGTCAGCCTCCAGAATGATTTCTTCCCTTATGTTGCTTGTTGAAGGAGAACTTATTTTTAACCAGCCTTAACCAGTGGACGGCTTTCTCTGTGAATATTTTAGATAAGCCAAGAGAGTCTTTGATATTCCTTTCTGCCTCTGTTATATCCCCCTCCTGGTATGTGTTCATAAAGTGGCCATCTATTTCACTGAGCCAGAAGCTGGAGGAGAGAACTACTTAGCAACCTCTTCCCTGTAAGAACCCCAAAGCCCTGTCCTTGTCTGTCTTCCTGGACTGGCTGTTGCAGAGGTAAAGGAGGTAATTTTCCACTTTATTGAGTAAAGTCAGGCCAGACCATCTCCCAGTCCCCTACCCAGTAATTTGTGTATTTGCCGACTATTTTTCTAGCACTGCTGGTAAAAACAAAAGCAAAATAAAAATGAAGGAAGTATTGTATTTTTAAAAGGTTTTTACTGGAAAATTGGAATTTTTTTTTTTTTTTGAGGCAGAGTCTTGCTCTGTCACCCAGGCTGAAGTGCAGTGGCACAATCTTGGCTCACTGCAACCTCTGCCTTCCGGGTTCAAGTGATTCTCCTGCCTCAGCCTCCTGAGTAGCTGGGATTACAGGTGTGCACCACCACACCCGGCTCATTTTTGTATTTTTAGTAGAGACAAGCTTTCACCATGTTGGTCAGGCTTATCTCGAACTCCTGACCTTGTGATCCGCCCGCCTTGGCCTTCCAAAGTACTGGAATTATAGGCATGAGCCACTGCGCCCAGCCAGAACTTTTATTTTTTTAAGTCTGATTTGATTTTATTCCTTCTTGATGAGAGGGGCGTACACACATGCTGTGATATTTATTTGCGATTCTCTGAGGTGGGAGATGGTTCTTGAGCCTAAAGCTGGAAAATTCCTACAATGCATAAGTTTAAAATAGCTCTTAATATTTTCTCTGAAAATGTTTTTATTTGAATGTATTATTTTTGCTTTTCTAAGCAAAAATAACTGACTGAATTGCCTAGGAAAGAAAAGCTCCAGATTCAGATCCCAGGTCTGTGGTAAAAATCATCTTTTCCAGTTATTTTTTTCTGTGTACTGTATTTAAATCTACTTTAAGAATTGTTGTCAGAGCCCCTTCTTCATACCTTTTGTTTTAGCAATTATCGCATCATATTTGAATAATCTGTGACGTGCCTCCCCTGCTGGACCAGGAGTTCTCTGGGAGCCGTGGTGGTTGTTGGCCACATTTTCTGTATTATGGGCTTTCTTTACTCTTATGTAGGGGTGCCAGTGTTCCTAGAGATGTAAGAAGCTTTGTTTGTATGCTCATCTTTTTATGTTTCGTATAATTATGTTTTTATCTTTTAGGCTCTTCAATGTATATATATTATGGCTAGAAGATGAGAATTTTCAAAAAGGAGATACCTATATCCCTTCTCTACCAAAGCATTATGATATTCACAGGCTAGCAAAAGTGATGCAGAATCAGCAGGTGAAATTATAGCCCTCCTTTTTTTTTTTTTTTTTTTAGCATATCTGAATGTAATTTGAACTGGTCATATTCATAATAAAACAATTTATTGATAAGAAAATGGGTAGTCACTCAGATGGTCATTGTTTCTATGGTTTTGTCAGTATCTAAGTGATTATATGGAGGGAATACTCCCTTTTGAATCTCCAGCCCCACCGTGCCTTCTACCTGAAGGCTTGAAGCTTGTTCTAGGGCTTTTTACGACCTCATAAACATAACCTTCCTCTGACTGTATATTTTTTTTAATTGGAAGTTGTTAGTAGCTGAATACCTTTAAGCAATTATCTCTACTCCCATTCTTACATGCAGTGTAAGAATTTGTAAGAATTTGTAGGGATCCATATGTGATGTGGGAGGTTGGTTGCATGGAGGAGATCAGGAGCTCACCTTTGTTTGGCTTGGAGGTGCTTACTTGTCATTGTCACAGTTCTGATTGCTCTTCTGGAACCACTTGATTTCAGTCTTCGTATGTCCTAAGCTGTTCTCCCCCAGGCACTCAAAGATGTCTGTGACCCTTTTTCAGGCCAAAACTTGTGATGTCAGTTTTCTCTAAGCTTTTCTAGCCATCTTGGGGACAGGGAAAAAGTGGGGAAGATAATTCTCTTCTATTCTAGTTCTTTTTTTTCTAGGGCTGCAGTCTTTTGAGTATTGACCCCAGCACCAGGATGGGATTTAGGAAACTCTAAGAGTTGAAACACTTTCATTTGGATCCTTAAACCCTCCTACTTTCACATCATGTGTATATTTTATCTCCAGTAGGTGTCTTTTTCTTGTTTTCTTTCCTTCATTCCTTGCCTTCTTTCTTCTTGCTTTCCTTGCCTTCTGTGTGTATTTACTGAGTGTCTTCTAAGTGCCAGGTACCGAAGATACAAAAAGAAATCTGATACATTCCCTGCCTCCTAAGAGCTTATTGGCCAACAGGAGACTAAACAAACAGTTATTACATTTTGTGATCAAGATTATGGGCCAGGTGCATGGCCCACGCCTGTAATCCCAACACTTTGGGAGGCCGAGGTGGGTAGATCACCTGAGGCCAGGAGTTCAAGACCAGCCTGGCCAACATGGCAAAACCCCATCTCTACTAAAAAATACAAAAATTAGCCGGGCATGGTGGTGGGCGCCTGTAATCCCATCGACTCAGGAGGCTGAGGCAGGAGAATCGCTTGAACCTGGGAGGTAGAGGTTGCAGTGAGCTGAGATTGCACCACTGCACTCCAGCCTGGGCAACAGAGAGAGAGACCCTGTCTTAAAAAAAAAAAAAAATTACGAGAGTGGAATGCACAGGGTACTATGGAAACATAGGGGAATAGCCCCTGATTTGGATTGGGCCTGGAGTGGTGACCTTTGAGCTGAGCCATGAAGGACAAATGGGAGTTGGGCAGATGGAAAGGAAAGGCATGGTGTTAGGGAGTGGCAGAGAGGATGTTAATGGGCAGAAAGACCAGTATGTGCAGCGACATATAGCAGGTGAGAAAGGGATGGGCATGTTCAGAAAGGTGCAGGGTAGGGCATAGCACCTGAGGCGGGGCAGATGAAACCAGAGAGATGAGTAGGAATGAAATCCCTAAGGGCCATGTATACTTTTCTAAATAATTTGGCTTGTATTTTGAAGTCTTTGTTTGGAGAACTATTGAAATAGCAGCAGTTATTAAACAAATGGATGAATTAAAAATATATCGAGGAAGAATCAGATACCCAAAGACTTCCAAATTTCTGACTTTGTCCCCCAGAGATAAACCCTGGAAGAGGGGGTGCCTGAGGGGCTTCAACGAGAGCTCTCTATCAAGGAGTTGGTCAGAAGGGGAGGTATATATCTAGAATTCAGGAATGAGGCAAAGTCGGATATGTGGATTTAGTGGTAAGAGAATATGTAGATTAAGAAGAGGACTGAAGATGGAACATTGAGAGATAACAGCATTTAACGCACAGAGAAATAAGACTGAGAGTATAGGGCCAGAGAAACAAGAAAAATACACATGAGACCATGGTGTCCTGACATCCTTTGAGTTCAGTTCCATCCTCATCTTTTTATGCTTGACACCCCTCATCCATATCCAAGGCTTTGTACATGGTAGGTACTTGGTCAGTGTTTTTAAAAATTAGCCATAGCTTTCTTGGTTCTCTGAGATTTATCCTGGTTCCTCAGCATCAACAGAATTAATTGCTTGCTTTCTCTCTCTTTTTCTTTTTAAGTCAGCCCTTGCTTGGTGCTTGATGTATAATTTCTTGATCTGTAATTCAAGCTCAGGGTTGTTTTGTATTTTTATGGTTTATAAGATGTCTCTGCTTACCTATCATTAATTCCTAGTAGTTGCTCTATTCATTAGCCTCTGTTAACAGTTACTTGGCATAAAGGCAGAGAAAGTGACAGAGTGACCCTATTTAAAGGAGCATGTATGCAATAGGAGGATCTAGCCCAGCACATTGAACACTCAGCTGCATGTAGAATTCAGGATTGTGATCAGGATTACATTGGAGCTCCTCCTCTGAGTCTGGAATGCCTTGGACTGTGAGGTTGGTTTGGAAATAATGAGTTGGGACTTCACAGCAGTATGCTTATTGAGAAGCCAAGGACATTTTTTGGTTTAGAGGGATCCTTGGGCCTTTAGAACACTTAAAATCCAAAAAAAATCACGGTCCACAAACCCATAGTCCCTGTTTGCTCACTTGCTATTACTATTTAAAGTTCATTGATAATTTGACTTTTTGTTGTTGTTGTTAAAGGCAGTCCCCCATTCTAAAGTGTAGTGATCACCAAAGTGAAATATATATAATTCAGAATATGCAAGACAGCCCATGGGAGTGTAGGGAGAGGTTACTAGAGCTACTATATTTATTGTTTTCTCATTTTATTTATTTACTTATTTGACACCTGTTATTATGAAAAAATTCCATTTTATAGGAAAATAGGGAGAGCAGTATAATGGGCATGCTCTTCTCCCCCTCCCCACATATGCCATGTGTCTAGTTTCATCTATAGCCCATCCACTTCCTCTTCCATTTTATCTTGGAGGTAATCCCAGAGAGCACTTGATGCATGAAGATTTTAAAAGATAGGGATAAAAAAATGACATAACCCAATAGCATACCTAAACATATTAGAAATAATTTTTTATATCAAATATTTAGTCAATGTTCAAGTTTCCACCTTTCTCATAAATGTCATAAAAGTTTTTTTTTTATTTATTTTCATAGTTTAAATCAGGATCCACATGTTGTGATTGGTTGATATGTCTTATAAGTCTGTTTAATCTACAAGTCCTCCCCTTATCCCTTTACTTTTCCTTGCAATTTATTTGTTGAAGAAACTGAGTAGTTTGTCCATAGAGGCTCCCCACAGTATGGATTTTGCTAATTGTATCTTCACGGTGTAGTTTAACATGTTTTTCTGTCCCCTGTATTTACTGTAAATTGATAGTTGGATTTAGTGTCTTGATCTAATTCAGATTTGATTATTTTTTAACATTTTATTTTTTACCTCTTTAACATTTGCTATTTTTTACCTATGTCTTATAGTATACATAATGTATTAGCTTTATAGTGTATGTATATAATTTACAAATATACATATAGGGCTGTTAAAATTTTTTCTAATCATGATACACAATCAAAAAAGTTTTACAGCTACTGCAGGGATTGTTAGAGTGGTCATTTTAATGGCAATTTATCCTAATGGTGGAGGACTTGGAGTAGACCACTTCGTGTTGAAACTTACTGGTTCACTTTATAGTTAAATACATAGTTTTATATGTGAATCTATGACTTGTCTGTCAGAGTTAAAGTACTGTCGTTCTGTTTCAGGATCTGTGGATGGAGTATTTGAACATGGAGCGCATCTATCATGAGTTTCAGGAGACTGTTGGTCTGTGGACACAGGCCAAGCTTGAGTCCCATTCCACACCCTGCAGTTTGTCCGTGCAGCTGGACTTCACTGATCCTTTGCTGGGTGGGTCCTGGGAGCACCTGCCCCTTCGAATGAGTGAATGAATGATTGAATCAGAGCCATTGAGGGTTGAGGCTGACATACTTTATTCCCCCAGTGTTCATTTTTCCTCTGGTGCTTTAAAAAGAGATTTCAGTTGACTTACACAATGGTGTAAATTGCAACTGTAAATGTAATTACTTTGCAGTTTTGAAAATCAGAAGTCTGTCTTTTTCTTTTATAAACTCTTTTCCTTTGTACCTAGAACCCTTACCATACAAATGAATCAGATTCCTGAAGTTTCTAAGTTACTTGTTTCTCCCAGTACATTTTTCTAGAGAAACAGTGGTATAAATTACCAGTTAGTTTTCTATCAGGCCACAAAAGCCCATTTAACCTATAAAGTTGCTGATATTTGGGGTAACCTATTAATTTTAATTACTGACTATATTTCAAAAATATAGGACATATCATTGTAAATTCAATTGTTGACCAAAATATTTATTACAATATATAGTGTAAGAAGACACTGAGGTGATTCAGAGAAATGCAGAATACCTTCTTATTCCAGCTTGCCACTAACCAAAACGCGTTAGTTGTATGAAGAGAGACAAATAAGAACTTCTCTGGACTTCACGCCATTCATCTGTAAAATGGTGCTGGCTGGTTTCTTCTAAGGCTCTAAAATTTTTCCCTCCAACATTTCCTCTCCCTGCACTTTTTCTTGAAACAATAATTTTTTTTCTGATTATAAAAGATATATATTAATTTTAAATATTAAATGATATAGAAAGGTATATAGAGAAAGGGATGAAAATTGCCCTCAAGCCAACAACGTAGATTCTCATTTTTCTATTCCTGAAAGTTTGTTAAGAAGAAGAAATATATGAACAGATCTGGGAACTATTAAATGATTTCCGTTCATGCCCTTCCATTCATAGTGTTTCTATGTTGCCTGAACACTGCCCTAAAATACGAATTGTTTTCGCTGGAGTTAAGCTAGTAATTTATGAAGCCCTTCGTTTGTTCCGAGCACTGTCTCAGTGCTTTATATGCATTAACTCAGTCCTCACAAAAACCCTATGTTGTTAGGTTATCCCTATTGAGCAGATAAGAAACCCAATTTGTAAGCTGTTAGGTGACCTGCCTGCATGGGCCACATAGCTGGTTATTGGGCAGAGCCGTCTGACTCCAGAGACCTGCTGTTCACCACTCATTATTCTACCTCTTGTGTCTGGTGATACCTTGTACTTCTAAACAAAATTAGGGCCTATACTTCTAAATAGTGAGTTTCAGGTTTTTCTCAGATATAAGAGATTAGTTGATGATTATATCAAATGATTTAATTTGTGGTTATGATTGGTTGTAGGAAAAATTTCACTAGCACCCTTGTGATAGCAATTTCTTTTTCTTAAACTAAATTTGTTTTATTGGCTTCAATATTTTTGTCAGTTGTGGTCCAGAGTGGTGATTACTGTTAAATATGAATTTAGATTTTTTGTTTGTTTGTTTTTAAAATACCTTGGTTTTTCTTTTATGGTAACTTATATTGGGTTTGAAAGAGCCCCCAGTTTTCCTTTAGCATCATGGCCTCTTATGTTGCTTGAAAGGAACTTTAACATAAATAGTAACAAGTCTTATCCAGTGGTGAATACCTAACTTGGTTACATCTGTGCAAAGAGTAGTTAGTTCTAGTGGAAAAACACTAACTATAAGGGATAGTGCTGTACTTGACCTATTTGAAATGTTGAATTCCATCTGTTTGGGGTACAAACAATACAAGTCTCCTTATGCCAAGTAAAGTCATGGCTATTAATTTTTCTTTAATTTTTCTCAACAAGAATAGAAAATGGAATGTTACATCTGGAATGTAATCGGAAATTCACTGTAGTCCCTTAAGTACTTGTTGACTTGACTTACTGACTTGAAATTCCCTTGACCACTGCCTTCCTCTGTTTCTTGCTATTGAAAAGAATTGGGTAGGTAGCAGCATTTTTCTTCATGTTATTCAGTCCCCACCTGCTGTGTGGTATGTGTATAGTGTGGTGAAGGGAGAGGGAGGGAAGATAGGAATCTATTGGATATCTACTGTGTATTCAGCTCTGTACTAAGTCTAGAAGTATCAAACATTTGAATTTGATTAAACAGTATGAGATCATGTGTAATCTAGGGCAAAGTTGCATGGTAGAGATTCACCTTTGTGTGTGTGTGTGTGTGTGTGTGTGTGTGTGGCACAGGATTGCTTATTTGGACTCCATAAATCATTTGTTGAGTGAATGAATAAATGACTGATGGACTATATGACTGCATAAATAGAAGTGCTGAAGGAGCTTATGCATATGTCTTCATTCATTTTATCTCTTACTGCATCCAGTCCTCCTGTTCAAACCTTGACCTGATTTCAGATTTTTGACTCGGCTATATTCCATAACGCTTATTCCTTTTTCTTCTATTCCTCTGAATTCTGGATGATGGCATTAAAACCTTAACTGGGTGACCTGCCTCCAGACCTACTCCATTTACCTAAACCATTATTCAGATGATAGCTACCATCTGATTCAAGCTTGCATAGAGGTGTTCACTAGATCCACGTGATATTAGCGTAAGGCACTAGATAGTAGCTTTACACTAATATCAAGTCCAAACTTGTTAGCATGTCATGCAAGGCCTGTCTAGGGTAATAATTTAAGATCATGAGCTTTAACTCTTCAACTATCGTAAGACTATAAATTTTTTGAGGATAGGAATTCTACTGAATTGTACCACATGCTTCTGTTCTCCTGCTAATTCACCTGATTGCTCAGTATATATGACTTAATTTTCTTTCAGCTAAAGAAAGGGTTTTAAGTAACTTGCGGAAGCATGAGGCTCCCCAGCCTCCCCTTGCTCTGCACCCGACGAAGCCTCCTGTGCCAGTTATTTCCTCTGCTGTGCTATTGAGTCAGAAGGACGCCACCCAGCTGGTGTGCACAGACCTGAATCTGTTGCAACAGCAGGCCAGGTAAGACCATGCAGCCTCACGGATCATGTTCCCATGTTGGTGGCTTTGACAGCCTGGATAATTTGCTACCTGGAGTGGCTTCCTTGTCAGCATTTTTACAATGAGGATAGTTTGACCAACCTGGCCCAGACGGTTCACTTGGTTAACCAAGTTGTGACAAGTCTTATAATTTCACATCGAAATTATGTGGTACTCTCACCAACTATCAATTTCACATTTCCTGTGGTGGCATTTCTGAGCATCAGCAGTGCCAGCTAAGATTTTCGTATGCTTCTCATGAAGAGATCTTCTGATATTGGAAAGATGATGTTGGAAAGGTGTGAAGTAAGAGTTCCTTTCTTTTCTCATTGCTGTACTCTCTACTTCTCCATATTCTTTAAGAAATTGACATAAATATTGATTGAAGTGTGGAAAAGTCATTGTTTTGAGTTCACAAGGTGGATACAATATGATCAACCATTTAAGGTTTTGATCTAACTTGAGATCTTGTGAGAAGGAGCGTACGTGGAGTAAGTCTGTTTCATTAACAGTAAGCGAGCCTTACTTTTACAAATCCTATGTGAATCAATTTCCTTTTTTTTTTTTTTTTTTGAGACAGAGTCTTGCTGTGTCGCCCAGGCTGGAGTGGTGCAGTGGCATGATCTCGGCTCACTGCAAACTCAGCCTCCCGAGTTCACGCCATTCTCCTGCCTCAGCCTCCCGAGTAGCTGGGACTATAGGCGCCCACTACCACGCCTGGCTAATTTTTTGTATTTTTAGTAGAGATGGGGTTTCACTGTGTTAGCCAGGATGGTTTCGATCTCCTGACCTCGTGATCCACCCGCCTCGGCCTCCCAAAGTGCTGGGATTACAGGCGTGAGCCACCACGCCAGGCCATGAATCAATTTCTTATCAGTATTTTTTTCCTTGTCTGTTTTTGGTCCAGGCATTTGTTGCGTGTGTGTTGAGTGCACATATAAGCACCTGCCCATTAATGTAATGATACATACCGTTAGACCAGTTTTGACACCCCATGTATGCGATTAGCTTTCTTGGTCTTTGACATTTCGTTTTGAGTTGCTAATACCTAAGAAGTCATTGGTACTTATAATTAAGGCACCCCTTGAGGGTGATGAAGTTAGGATAGAATTCTCAGTTGTTCTTGTAGGGTCTGTTGGTATAACATGGATTCTAAATGGAGCTTTGTTTGTGGCTATCAAGTTGTCTCACTTCTCTATAGGCTTTTCTTTCATTTCTTAGCTTTCTCTTTAGCCTCTCTGCTGGGGGATGATTTGGGTAAGTCTTGGCTCACAACCTTTGGTCCTCTGTTACTATGGTTTATGTGTCTTTTGCTGCACTATAATGCTGGCTGTGGGTAACTGGAAGCCTTTATCACCTATCATATAACCTTTCCTAAGACTTTCTTTTACCTCCTGATGATGTTTTTCAGAACCGCAGCTCTTCGGGAATCTCAGCAGGTTGCTCTGGATGGTGAGCTGTTAGACACAATGCCAAAGCAGTATGTGAATCGTGAAGAACAGACCACACTACATTTGGAGTGCAGAGGCAGCAGCGGTAAGAAATGCCAAGGAGCCGCAGTTGTCACGGTTCAGGTAAGTGTTTAAATTTCTTCAGAACTGAGAGAATTTTAATTGAGTCCGTAATGTTGGCTTATCAATGAGAAAGATTGAAAGACATATATAGCACACTGTCTGTGTCCCAAACATTTACTAGTTTTGCAGGGCATGAAAACACTCATAGAGCTAATCACACATTTTTGTAGGTACCAGATGAGTCCTATAAGACAGATATTCAAATAGGAATTAAAAAAAAATCAGAATCATTGAGAAGATTCCTAGAGAGAGGGCTTCAACTGATTCCTTTTTTTGTTTGTTTGTTTTTTGAAACGGAGTCCCCAGGCTGGAGTGCAGTGGCGCGATCTTGGCTCACTGCAACCTCCACCTCCCGGGTTCAAGTGATTCTCCTGCCCCAGCCTCCCGAGTAGCTGGGATTACAGGCACCTGCCACCACGCCCGGCTAATTTCTGTGTTTTTAGTAGAGATGGGATTTCACCATGTTGGTTAGGCTGGTCTTGAACTCCTGACCTGGTGATCCACCCGCCTCGGCCTCCCAAAGTGCTGGCATTACAGGCGTGAGCCACCGCGTCCGGTCTCAATTGATTAAAAGACTTTGGTGATGATACAGTTAGAAGGAATTTGGAAATGGAGTGGCCATGATGTCATTTAGGGGTCGGTGGCTAGGTCAGCCCGTTCCAAGTGTTTTGGGGGTGTTGGTGGGAATTCACATTGGAAAGCTTGGTGTGCACCATCATTGGGAACTCTGGCTGTCTGCTGCACATGGCAGGGAGCCCCTGAAGATGAACGTGGGAAGGATATATGGGAAGCAGATTAGTTGGGTGGAACTTGCTGACAGGCAGAGGAGAGACATGCAACAATGTGACTGAAACTTGAACTGCCTCTCAGAGTTACCTTCTTGCACTGGAATATAGGCAGAATTTGGATCTGCAATATGGTATGCACTTCACAATGGAAGCTTCGCTGAAGCTAGTGTGCCATAGCATTTACTTTATGCCAGGCCCTGTCTAAACACTTTAAATAAGTTATTTTATCCTCACAACAACTCTGCAAGGTGGCCTTTATCATATTATCTTCATTTCTCAGGTAAGGAAGTAGAGTCACAGAGAAGTTAATTAAGTTGCTCACCTGAAGTGCCACAGCCCGTAAGTGGCACAGCCAGAAAGGCCCAGGCAGTCCGGCTCCAGAGCCAGTGCTCTTTTTAAAGTAGAGATGGGGTTTTGTAGTAGAGATGGGATTTTGCCATGTTGCCCAGGCTGCTCTCAAACTAGTGGGCTCAAGCAATCTGCCTGTCTCGGACTCCCAAAGTGCTGGTATTGCAGGCCTGAGCCACCGCACCCGGCCAGCCTGTGTTCATTAATCACCGCACTGTATTCCTCCTTCGAGTGAAGTCAGTATTCCTTAAGCTGAAAGAGAAATGCTTGGAGATTAGCACTGCCTATTGTCTAAATCTGTCTACACACAAATGATTCTTTTTTGTTAGCTTTTGGAAATTGGAGAAAATTTATTTTACTCCCTCTTGTTTGTCTTTCAGAAATTTCCCTTCTTTTTTTGCTAATTTTCATTGTAACTATTCCAATGTCTCCATCAATTTCCTTGGGAGACTCTTTTCTACAAAATGTCTTCTCTGAAATAATCTTTTATATGTATTGTATTTTTCATTACTTTCAAAATGTGTCTCTGATTTTTCAACATAGTTGTATTTGTCTAAAGTTCAGAAATTTGACCTAAAAGTTAGGATGAGTCCAACTTATTTTCCCGTATGTTATTGTAAATATGTGCGACTCTTAAACATTGAGTTATCTTTGGCCAGGTGCTTTATACAGTTGGTTTTCTTTTGGTGTATTTTTTTCCCAGTTACTAATGCTGTTATAGTAAGACCAAGGTAGAAATATTTAAGAAAAGATCGCTTGCTGAAGTAATAAAACTGGGAGAAAAGTTTGCCAATTTTGGGTGGAGTTCGAGTTAGTGAGGAAAAAACTGAAAATGTATCCGGTTTTAATAAAAAAAGGGGTGTCTTCACCAATTTGTGTTTTTCCATATTTTAAAACTACATATCTTTGCCAGACTGTTAATTTTATATAGAGAAGAGAATTCTAAAATGCATTTTTATAAGTGACAAGTGAGATAACTATAAAGAAATGTTTTTCCAGTTCTGGCTGATGGCTTGCTCTGTGAAGAACTGTAAATATTTACTGCCTCAGCTAAAGAACAGGTCTCTTGCCCTGACCTCCTGTTAACTCTCTGGGCCTTGCAGTGGAAAATACCACCAGGCAGGCCAGGGAGCTGAAGCTCTAAGCCTACCTGTGACTTGTCTCTTTTCCTTTACAGAAAAAGGGATCATAGTATTATATTATTTGTCTGAACCCTTGAATTGAGATTTTAAACATAATCTTTTGCTTTGTTAATTCTGAAATAAAAAGAAACACCTTTTCTAAAATGTCTTCTAGGTAATTTTGATTGGAGGGAGGTCAGAGAAAAGATGATTTATGATAAGGACTGATGTGAACATGGCTTAGATGTTTTTACAAACATACCAAAGTTCTTGTGCTTTCTTTTCTTTAAAGAAAAGTTGGGCTGAGCGTGGTGGGTCACTCCTGTAATCCTAGCACTTTGGGAGGTTGAGGTGGGCAGATTGCTTGAGCTCAGGAGTTCAGCAGCCTGGGCAACATGGAGAAACTCTGTCTTTACAAAAAATATTATACAAAAATAAGCCGGGCATGGTGGCGCACGCCTGTGGTCCAAGCTACTTGGGTGGCTGAAGCAGGAGGATCACTTAACCGCAGGAGGTCCAGGCTGCAGTGAGCTGTGACTGTGCCACCGCACTCCAGCCTGGGCAACAGAGTGAGACCCTGTCTCAAGAAAAAAAAAGAAAAATTGGTAATTGCTAATATAGCTTGAAGAAAGAAGGGGGAAAAGTAATGAAGGAGAGAGGGAAAAAAGGAGATGTTGCAGAAGCGTAAAGAATTTGAAAAAATAGCTGTATTTTGTGGCCCTAACCTCATTAGAAATATTTAAGTTTTCTTAAAGCAGGTTTTACTTTTCTGCTGGCCTCACTCGTTTGCTTAGTGCCCTGACTTTTAGTCCCACTTGGGAAGTTCCACAAGCTTGAGATCCCTCACTGATGGCTCCTAGAAGTTCAGTATCAATAATAGTATCGACTGCAGCCAGTGTTTTGCCTGATAACGCAGATTTGCCAGGGCAATTAAAAACATGGACAGTGAACAACTTTTATAGGCGGAGACTTAAATAATCTTGAAAGTTATATAGTACTGTTGTTGCTAGTTGAGGCTATCCCAGGCGGTATTTGCTGGTTGATACTTCTAGGACTTGAAGATAAAAATATGTTTTGTTACACATTAATGGCAAAGGGCAAGATAGAGGAAAGCTGAAACTCTACCTGCTATGAAGTTGGGGAATTATCTATGCAAGTTGTTCGTTTTGCTCAGATTTTTGGCCAAAGATTGTACTTAAATATGAAGCCATCCAATACCCAAATGGATAATATTGGTTATGGATGACTTTAGTTTTGGAAAAAGAGGTGTTAATGGAGGATAGAGAGGGTGAGTTCTCAGTGTTTATGACTCATCATGAAACTGTCATTGGGAGAGAGTATGTCCTGCAAAAGGTAGGTTGTGTTATTTTTATACATAAAACTGTAGCCCTCTATATAGATGTGTCCAGTGACCACCTCATGGCTATGTTCAGTAGTTTTGATTCCTTTTAACATCTTTCTGTTGTGATATTGAACTTTATGTAGTCACATCTTTTCCCTCTGAATCTCTAAGCACTTCTCAGTTTCCAGGGTTTCTTCCTCCTCAACTCAAACCCTTAAATTGCTAGTTATCCTGATTCTCTTCTTCATATGACATCATCTTCTTTTGCCTACTGTCTGTGCTGGAGTTCTTAATCTGGGGTCTGTGAATGGTCTTTAGAGAATTGGTGAAGTTCCTGAAAGTGTGCATAAATTTTTTTTTCTGGAGAGTGTATAACTCCAATAGATCTCAGAATAGTTCAAAACGAACAAAAGAGCTATTTACTCATATGTTGATAATCCTGTTCTGTTTCTCTAGTCCAGAATTCTCTCTTGAGTTCCAAATCTAGATTTCCACCTGCCTCATTCTACCTGAATGTTCCACAAATACCTCAAACTCCATATTCCCAAATTAATCTCACCTTTACCTTCCAAATCTCTTCTTCCTATAATTTCACATAGCTGGTCTCCCAAGCTGGAAACTTAGGCATCAATATCATCACTTCCAGTTACCCTACCCTACTTCATTCCTGTATTTTCCAAAGTTGCTTCCATATTGGTTCTGCCTCTGAAATGGCTTTCTGAAGCCCGTGACATTCCCTTCTCTGTGTTTCTGTTGCCATTTCTCCATGGTATGCACACCTCGCTTCTCCCTTGACCTGTTGCATTAATTAGATTTCCTGTCCATATCTCTCTCCCTGCCTAGTCTGTTTTCCATTCTCTCATTACTCATCTTTTGAAACATAGATCTGATCACATTTTCAGGCTAAAAACCCATATTTACTTGGCAGTATCAAAAGGAATATGACCCTTAGCGCCCTTCATAATCTGTTATTGATCTTTTTCTAGCAGCATCATTTATCCTCTCTCCCACTTCACAGACATTTTACTTTTCAGCCATTTAGACTTTCTGCATTTTTCTAAACACAACATACACATTAATACCTTTGTTCTTCGCATATGCTGCTTTTGTTCTCCTCCCACCCATTTCTGACCTCTTTCTTGCTCAGCCTTCAGTATTTAGTTCAGGCCAAACCTCTTTTGAAGTCTTTGCGGACTCTTGCAGTCGAATTGAGATGTTCTTTCCCTCATTGCAGCTTGTGCCTAAATGCTGTTGCAGTCACTTGCTGTTTTGTCCTGCCAGACTGAACTCTTTGGGAATAAGGTTTCCATCTTTATTTGTTTTTAATATTATTATTATTATTATTATTATTTTGAGGCAGAGTTTTGCTCTTGTCACCCATGCTAGAGTGCAGTGGCACTCACTGCATCCTCCGCCTCCTGGGTTCAAACAATTCTCCTGCCTCAGCCTCCTGAGTAGCCGGGATTACAGGCAGGTGCCACCGTGCCCAGCTAATTTTTGTATTTTTAGTAGCGATGAGGTTTCACCATGTTGGCCAGGCTGGTCTTGAACTGCTGACCTCAGGTGATCCACCCATCTCGGCCTCCCAAAGTGCTAGGATTACAGGTGTAAGCCACCATGCCTGGCCTGTTTTAATTTTTTTAGTACACCTCTGCTGAAAGGAAGCATCCTTATTTGTAACACACCACTCATTAGGCTGTGTTACAACTTATTTTGTGTTATGATTAGTTCTATGCTGTTACTAGATTTTGAGTTACACAAGGTCAGGGACTTTGTCTTATTCATGTTTGTATCATCAGTGCCTCATACAGTCAGTGCTGCAAAATGGATGTGTTTGAAGGAATGAACAGCTCTAGATTTATGCCCTTCATAAGTAAGTTCCCTGATTTTAACTACTTTGGGGAATTTTGTGGATATTGTTTGGCCATGACAGACATCATGGAAATTGGAACTTTTTCTTATTAAAAATTAACAGTTCATTCCTTGATTGTGCTTACCTTTGCTTTTAAACAACTTAATACTTTCCATACTTAAATACTCAACTTAAATACTATACACTGCTTACTGTATATTTTTACTCTAGTGTAAATGTCTCCCAAATATTCAGTCTTGGGAAGCAGTAAGGATGGTTGCACTGTCTTTCCCAGCCATGTTCACAGTACTTTTTGTCACTTGCTTGGGGCACTCTCATGTCCCTGGTATTATGCTAGGTGCTTTGCTTTCATTATCCAACTTAACTTTTTTTTTTTTTTTAGACAGAGTCTCACTCTGTCGCCCAGGCTGGAGTGCAGTGGTGCGATCTTGGCTCACTGCAACCTCCACCTCCCAGGTTCAAATGATTCTCTCTGAGGAGCTGGGACTACAGGGTCACAACACCATGCCCAGCTAATTTTTGTATTTTTAGTAGAGATGGAGTTTAATCATGTTGGCCAGGCTGGTCTTGACCTCCTGACCTCAAGTGAACCACCCACCTTGGCCTCCCAAAGTGCTGGGATTACAGATGTGAGGCACTGTGCCTAGTTTATCCAACTTAATCTTCACAGAATGAGGATGAGTTCAGAGAAACAGGTTCAGAGACACTGTGAGACTTGCCAAAGTCACATAGCTAGTGAGTAGCTCCATCAGGATTCAAGCCTGCATATGTCTAAATTCAAGACCCCTACTTTTCCCATTCAATATTGCCAGGTCGTTTTGCTTCAGCTGTTTCAGCTGCAGCTTCTGAATACTTGCAGTGTGATTCTGAGCAAGCTGATCATGACAGTTAAATCTCATGTAAATGAATATAGGTACCATTTCATTTTCTCTCTGAGTCTGTATAATAGTATTGCCTTCTTTTTTCAGTGATTAGAGAATTTGTGATCTTAACATTCTAGATTAGATCAGTTTTTAAAAATTAGCTTTATGGGAAATGACTTCAGATTTTAAATATAATTTTGAATGACTCCTTTATAAAGAGTTCAAATTATATCATGAAAATATTTTATTCCTTAATAGATTTTTTCTGGGAAAGAATGTCCTGGAAATTTCCAGCTATCTGCAAGCGTCTGAGCTATGGATAGCTTGTTTGGGGTATACAAAGGCAAATATATTTTATGGGAAGTGAGACATGCTTCTTTCTGTGTTCTCTCTTCCCAGTAGAAGGCTCTAACAATTCAGTGATGTTCCCTGGGGAAATGGGGTGATTTATAATTGGGTTCCTTTTGATGTACTTTGGTATTGTGGGTATGCTTGCTGACCCCAGGATTGATTTATTATCATGTGAAAAATTTGTTAATTCCAAGAAATGAACGATGGAAAAGACCCACTGAGGGCCTCACATTATTGTAAAAACTGGCTGAAGGACATGCTTTGTCCAACTTTTAAATTTAGACAAGGAAACTTTTAAATTTCTGTGTCCACTTAAAATGACTCAAGTGGAGGGGCTTCCACCATGCTACTTTGTTCTATTGTCTACTACTTCTTGTAATTATGAACTGATAGACATTCCATTGCTCTCACCTTCATTGCAGTAAAAAAAGAAAACTTTCAACAGTAGTGGGAACAATAAACAAAAATAAGTAGACTAGAAAATAATAATAATTTGGGGATGTTTTTTGTGAGAGGGTCTAAACTTGCCTAAACCACCTGGTTTTATTTTAGTAGTTTCTACAACATGGAATGGCAGTTGTAAAGTTTGGATTACAGAGTAGTTTTAGTCCTGTCTGCATTTTTCCAGTCAAGTGGTCTCTGGATCCTTTGCCTTTCCACCTCCCTTCATTCTGTGTCTTCCTTCCTTATCTCAGATTCTCTCTTTTCCTGTTTGGCTCCTGTCTCTCCAGGCCAGCCAGGGGATTCTGTGACACGCATAGTCCCGGTCTAACTGTATTTGGTGATGTATTGAACAAAAAGGCTGACTGCAGATACTCCTAATCACATTTTAGGATATTAAACATTGGTCTGTTATTTGAAAGATTTCAAATTTAATTCAGATACTTGTATTGATTTATTATCTAATTAAATGCAAGTAATTTCTTTTTTAATCTTTCATTTCTCCAATAGTAAAAGTTAATTATTGTTAACATTATATGTTCTAGAATATTCACTTTTGTGCATTTTGATGTCACAGAGCTTTTTTCTTTTTTAAAGAAGTTTTGTAAAGATTTTTAATACATTAATGAGTTTTATACAAGAAAGTTATTATTATCACAGTCATAAAAAATAGTTGCTCAGTGTATTGTCAGAGTTATGCTGTGCTGGGGTTCTGGGTAAGTAAAACAAATAGGAAGGACCATTGCCCTTCAGGAACTTTTTTTTTTTTTTTTTTTTTGAGACGGAGTCTCACGCTGTCGCCCAGGTTGGAGTGCAGTGGCATGATCTCAGCTCACTGGAACCTCTGCCTCCTAGGTTCAAGCAATTCTCCTGCCTCAGCCTCCTGAGTAGCCAGGATTACAGGTGCCTGCCACCACACCCAGTTAATTTTTGTATTTTTAGTAGAGACGGGGTTTCACCACGTTGGCCAGGCATGTCTCGAACTCCTGACCTCAAGTGATCCGCGCACCTCGGCCTCCCAAAGTGCTGGGATTACAGGTGTGAGCCACCATGCCTGGCCGCCCTTCAGGAACTTTTATACAGAATTTATGATAATAACCCTGGGCCTCATAAGTGACATAAGAGCCTCAGGTAATAAGTTTGTGAATTATTTACATTATTTATAAAGGATATCTTTAATCATTGCAGTGATGGCTGAAGACTGGGTTTGGGCAGGTGCATGTAAGGAAAAAATGTAGACCTTACTGCTCACCCATGTGTTTGGGGAAGACAGGAGGAGAATGTAGAGTTTAGAACTCTTGCCTTCTAAATGTTATGGTCTCTTCAGCTGTACCTGTAAGTCCAGACTCCCCGGCCTGCATTTCAAAGCCTCTCCAAGAGGGCTCTCTCAGCTCCCCAGTCTGATTTTACTGCACTCTGCAACCCTGGCCAGGCTCCTCCTTCCTGTATCTCTGTCCCATATCCCCCACAGCTGTCATGTCAGTTCTGTGTTTGTGTTGCAATCTGGGCCCAGGATGTCTTCTCTTTTCTTCTGCCTCTATCCACATCCAAAAAATGACATTAAAATTGCATAAACAAACCAGTTATGTATGTCACTATCAGTCAGAGAAAGGGTTTGTTGATGGCTTCTCAAATAAGAAAGGCTAATCTTAAAAAAGGATAATCTTTTGAGTTGAAAAAAATTTAGTTTTTTTTTAAAGAAGCTCAATAAATTCTCCTTGTTTTTCCACCTTTACTGAAAACCAATAAAAATTTTATCAAAGACCAGCTTCTAGGAACCTAAATTGGTGAATTTAGGAATTAGCCAATTGCTCTTTCCTTGGCATGGAGTTGGTTTGGGCATTTCCCCATATTTTATCTTATTTTGTTGTTTGTTTTATGATTATATATATTTTCTTCCTTTCAAAACGACATTTGTGAGCAGCATCTGTGTCATCTTTTTTTAATGCTGGGCACACATGTGTACGCAGCCTGAGTGTTTGGAGTTGAGTGTTTTGTATGTTGGATTGAGAGCACACAGAAGGGCTACGGCTGGGGAGCCATGATCAGCAGTGGAGGGGCTTCCTGTGCTTCAAGAAAAGCCTCAGTGGTGGAAGACATGGGATGTGTTTTTGATGAGGATTTCAGGAGTTGAAACATAAGTGAAATAGTATCCTACAAAAGGCTTTGAACTATTGATAAATTAATTCAAGATCTTACCAGTTTATAAGGCAGTCATATAAAGAGATACAAATTTTGGTATTTTTATAAGACAATAATTTTATTTCAGTTTGAGTCTTCATGGGAAACCTGACACATGGGGGGAAATGTCTTTTGATAACTTTAATTTTTGTTAGTTTGAAGGCATGCATAAGAATGAAGCCATAAGCCAACAGCTTCATGTTTTACGGAAGGAAGTGAAGCAGTTGCAAGCAGAAGCTGCTAAACCACCATCACTTAATATTGTGGAAGCTGCTGTACATGCAGAAAACTTGATCACGTAAGTTTTGCAGGCATTATAATTTGAAATACTGTTTTGTTATCATGAATAGTAATCATACATGCTACTATACCACCACCACCCCTGCAGCACCCACAGGTTAATTTAGTACAGACATCAGCAAACTACGGCCTTTGAGTCAAATCTGGCCTGCTACTTATTTTTATAAATAAAGTTTTATTGCAACACAGCCATCCCCATTTATTTATAATTTCTATGGCTTTTATGCTGCAGCAGAAGGATTGAGTGGTTGTAACAGAGATATAAAGCAGAAAATATTAACTATCTGGCCCTATATAGAAAAAGTTTGCTGACCCCTGAATTGTGAGATGATATAGTGCATTGAAATTCAGTTGTGGAGAGATTTAGTGCTTATGTGTTATATCAAAGTCACATTTACCCAGGAACTTATCCTTGTCAACTCAGATGACTGAACAAAGTTCATAGCACAATTATTTAGGGGAATTAGGACTCTCAAGTGTGGTTGTGAACTTGCATTTGACCATCGTTTTCTTTTGGCTTTCATTGTGGCTTTCTCTCACTGTCCTCTTTCTTTCCAAAGCCACCATGACATGACTTGGGAGGTGGGGGTTGACTCTGCCTTTACTTTAAGGTGACTGACTCCACATTCCAGTTCCAACAGCTGATCCCCTCAGTAGAGTAGGATGGTGTATGGAGGGGAGCATCGAGTCCTTTTGTGTGTTGGGCTGGGGCTCCTGGGAAGGAGGAGACCAGGCAAACAAGAGGTTGATGTTTCTTTTACTGGGAAAGGGACACAAAAAGGTGTGAGAATTGGAAGGGCTATCTTTATTCTAGGATCTTATTCTACACAGAAATCTTTATCTCAACTTTAGTCAGTGTTTTGGATTTTAAAATGTAGAGAAATCAGGGTTTTGTGTTTAAAAAAATTATATAAAGAATACAAAAAGTTAAATAACAAATTATGAATTACATGCAAAATATGAACATTTTTAATAAGGATGAGAATGTTAATTAGTTCTTATAGCTGATTTTTTTCCCCTAGGAGACTATGAAATTATTACTAAGTATTGAAAATCGGCCAGATGCAGTGGCTCACGCCTGTAATCCCAGCACTTTGGGAGGCCAAGGTGGGCGGATCACTTGAGGTCAGGAGTTTGACATAAGCCTGACCAACGTGGTGAAACCCCATCTCTATTAAAAATACAAAAATTGGCCAGGTGCGGTGGCTCATGCCTGCAATCCCAGCACTTTGGGAGGCCGAGGCGGGCAGATCACCTGAGGTCAGGAGTTCAAGACCAGCCTGGCCAACATGGTGAAACCCCGTCTCTACAAAAATACAAAAAAATTAGCTGGGCATTATGGCAGCTGCCTGTAATCCCAGTTCCTTGGGAGGCTGAGGTGTTAGAATCGCTTGAACCCTGGAAGTGGAGGTTGCAGTGAGCTGAGATTGCGCCATTGCACTCCAGCCTGGGTGACAGAGTGAGACTCCGTCAAAAAATAAATAAATAAATAAAATAAAATAAATAAAAGAAAAATACAAAAATTAGCCAGGTGTGGTAGCGTGTGCCTGTAATCCCAGCTACTCAGGAGGCTGAGGCAGGAGAATCACTTGAACTCGGGAGGCGAAGGTTGTGGTGAGCCGAGATCACACCATTGCACTCCAGTCTGGGTGACAGAGTGAGACTCTGTCTCCCCCACCCCAAAAAGAAAAAAAAAAAGAAAATCAGTTGTCAGTAAAATTGGAAGATACATATATTTACTCCATGAAATATTTCTAAAGTGACATTTTCATGGGTGCTCTGAGGATTCTTAAGAATATTGCCTGAGAAATTGTAGGGTATCAAAGAAGGCCTTGTGAGTATGGAATCTTTTACTGTAGACTGCAGTCTTACCCACATTTTCCCACAGGGCCTTAGTGAATGCCTACAAGTTGCAGCCTACACCTGGGATTCAGAAAGTTGGCATTAGCCTTTTCTTTACTATTGTGGATTACGTCAGCGATGAGACGCAGCGTCATCCCCCAACAAGGCAGTTCTTTACTTCATGTATTGAGATCTTGGGACAGGTAAGGCTATCTGTACCTTTTGCCTTGATCAGATAATGAGTCTCTGCGGTGTCTGTCTTCTTTGGATATAGTCAGCATTGACTTCAGACTTATATTACAGGTTCAGAGTCTTACCCAAGTCAGAAGCCTCTTGGAGTTGTAGGCTTCTCAAAATATGATTAGAATTGTTGGTATAGAATTTTGCTTCTCATACAAGGGAGATTATTCATATTTGAAAGTCTAGGGAGACATCAGAACTTGTCATATATCCTTGGTGTTCTTAACAATAACAGTACTAAATCTCTTCATTGTTTATAAAAATACTTCCCAGTTTGTTTAATCCTCATGGGGAATCTGTGTGATTGAGATTCCCTTCTTAAAGATGAGAAAACTAGGTTCTAGAAGATTAAGTGACTGGCCTAAAGAATTCAGCTGGTGAGTGTGGAGCTGAGACTGGATCCCAGGGCTTCTGACAACACTCAGTGCTTGCTCCACCTCCCCACTGCTGTGTCCCGGTTGCTAGTCTTGGTCAACATTTATTTGTTTGTTTATTTATTTATTTGGCTTACAGTGACATAGATAGATATTTAATAAGGGTAAGGGTAATCATACAGATTTATGAAATGTTTCATAAAAGAAAGGAAAACCTCTTGTTTGAAATATGTAAACACTAGTTAACCATGTACTCTCACCCAAATTCAACTGAATGAGTACTTACTTATTGGATGCTTACAAGGAAGTAATGCTGAACAGGTATCATCATTGATTTTTTTGTAGGAAGTTTTTTATCCTGATCATAAAATTAATGTGTGCTGGTCCGGTGGGGTGGCTCACACTTGTAATCCCAGCACTTTGGGAGGCTGAGGTGGGCAGATCATCTGAGGTTGGGAGTTCAAGACCAGCCTGACCAACATGAAGAAACCCTGCCTCTACTATAAATACAAAATTAGCTGGGTGTGGTGGTGCGTGCCTATAATCCCAGCTACTTGGGAGACTGAGGCAGGAGAATTACTTGAAACTGGGAGGCAGAGGTTGCGGTGAGCGGAAATCATGCTATTGCACTCCAGCCTGGGCAACAAGAGCAAAACTCTGTCTCAAAAAAAAAATTAATGTATGCTTATTATAAGCAATGCAGACAGCATAGAAAGTATGAAGAAGAAAACTTTCTTATAATCCTAACTACCTAGAAATACTGACTACATAGCTAACATTTCATTATAGTTTGTCTTGTATATGTGTGTCTATTTGTGTATATGTATATGTAAACATATTTCTACATATATAGAGATATATAGATATGGATAGGCACTTAAAATGGGCTCATGCTATTTTGTAACCTCCTTTTTCATTTAAACACATCTTTTAGACATTATTTCATGTTAATAAATACAGACCTATATCATGACATTGCATGTCTGTATAGTGCTCCATGATACAGATTTATTACAGTGTGTTGAGCTAGTGTTTGATGGATGGATATTTAGGTAGATTGTTTTGCTGCAATCAGGCTGAGGTAAATATTCTTGTATGTCTTTGTGAACTTGTTGGACTATTTTCTTTAGGATAATTTCTTAGAGGTATGATTGCTGTGTCAAAGGAATTTGATACACATTGTATATTTGATGTTTTACATCATGCTTGACATAGTCACTCTGCCTTCCCTGGGAATTTTGCACCTACTTATGCTATCATTGCAGTGTTTGAGTTTGTTATTCTTCATACCATAACCAACATTAGGAACTCTCATTCTTTTAAGTTTTGCTAATCTGATAAGGGAGTGGTATTTCATTATTATTTTAATTTGTACTTCTTTAAGTACTTGTTAAGTTATATGCCTTTTCATATGTTTATTGGCCATTTATATATACTTTTGTGAATTGGTGATTGTGGTCCTTTGTACACTTTCTGTTGGAGATTCTTGTTTTCCGATTGCTTTGAAAGAGCTCCTCACACTATTAACCTGGCATCTGGAATGTGTTAAAAAAACATTTTTCCAGTTTGTCATTTTTTTCCTTTAATTTTATGATATTTTTGCCTTATAGAAGTTAAAATTTTAATATATTCAAGCCTATCAGTCTTGTTCTTTTATTATTTCCGCCTGTGGTCAACCATATGAAAGCCTTCCTGCCGGTGAAATTGTTTCAATTTTTGCTTATATTCTGTACTTTTAAATATTAGAACCAAGTTAAAACAAGATGACGTCATCTTGATTATATATTATTATGGAAGTTAGTTTTTGACAGGTATTAAATATAACTCTCAGTAAAATCTATAACCTGGAAGTTTTGTTTTCTGACGTAATGCAGCACCATGTTGGGTACTGTAGTAATCATGGTGGGGACATTGCATGTTTGTGGATTCAAAGTACCCCAATATTTTAATGTCTTAAAAGTCTTGTAGTATAGTTAACTTATCATTTTTTTTTTCTTTATTGAGACGGCATCTTGCTCTGTCGCCCAGGCTGGAGTGCAATGGTGTGATGTCAGCTTACTGCAACCACTGCCTCCCGGGTTCAAGCAATTCTCCTGTCTCAGCCTCCTAAGTAGCTGGGATTACAGGTGCCCACCACCACGCCCAGCTAATTTTTGTATTTTTAGTAGAGACGGGGTTTCACCACGTTGGCCAGGCTGGTCTTGAGCTCCTGACCTCAGGTGATCCGCCTGCCTCGGCCTCCCAAAGTGTTGGGATTACAAGCGTGAGCAACTGCACCCGGACTAACTCAGCATTTTCTGTGTGACTTGTCCAAATCAGATTTATGGATTCTTCAGAATTTCTAATATTACTTCCATTGGAAGCAATAGGCTTATCTATGTTGATTTTAGCTGTCTTTTGATTGTTTCAGACTTTTGTTTAGAAAAAAATTCTATTCACCTTATTTGGTGCCCCTTAAAAATTTGCTTGCTTAAATAAAGGTTGTGAGGGAAGAATCTGGTGACATTTTTCCTTTTTATTTTTCCAAGGTATTTATCAGTGGCATTAAATCAGAGTGCAGAAAAGTACTTGAAACCATTCTGAAGAACAGCAGGCTCTGCTCCCTGCTGTCTCCTTTCTTCACTCCCAATGCTGCACCTGCAGAGTTCATACAGCTGTATGAGCAAGTGGTGAAGTTTCTAAGTGAGGACAACAGTGATATGATTTTCATGCTGCTAACCAAGGTAAGATGTAATTCCATCCTCACCATATTGTTGAAACGTAGGAATGATTGTTGCTTCCTCCTCTACAGAAATAAAAGGACCTCTGCAGTTTTGTTTCCAGGTACAGCAGAGGCTGAGAGGCCTTTTTCACAGTTTGCATGAGCTTCAAGCAGTCTGACCCCACAGCTGCTTCTTAGGGGGTGGGGCATTGGTTGTCTTGTATAGCAGTGGTCTCCAACCTTTTTGGCACCAGGGACCGGTTTTATGGAATACAGTTTTTCCATGGACTGGAGTAGAGGGGATGGTTTTGGGATGAAACTGTTCCACCTCAGATCATCAGGCATTAGATGGAGCATGCAACCTATATCCTTCACATGCACAGGTCACAATAGGGTTCGCACTTCTATGAGACTCTAATGCCATGGGTGATCTGACAGGAGGTGGGGCTTGGGGATCCCTGTTGTATAGGGTAGTCTTATTCCACTTAGTGTAAAAAGGACCTAATTCCCACCCCTTTTTAAAAACTTAATACAGTTTTGAAAATATTCATAATAGTAGTTTAGTACATCCTTTTTTAAAATTTATCCTGAATTTATGCCTAAATTGTGTTTGACAAAGGTTTTGTTAGTCTCTCTCATATTTAGAATAAGCTGGATCTAAGCAAATTGCCTTTGATCTCATTCTGAATATTAACTTTAATATTTTATTTTATATTAATATTATATTTTATATTAATATCTTAGTATATAACATTAGAATATTAACTCTGTTAGACCAAGGTAATGAGTTTACTTAAGCAGTTGAGAATTTCAGAGTCTTAGCTACTTTGCCTTCACTTGTATTTCTGTTACATCTATGAATCAAAACCTTGGCAGTTTTGGTCGGGTGCAGTGGCTCCTATGTGTAATCCCAGCACTTTTGGAGGCCAAGGCATGAAGATTGCTTGAGCGTAGGAATTTGAGACCAGTCTGGCCAACACAGAAACCCTGTCTGTACAAAAAAAAAAAAAAAAAAAAAAAAAAACACCAGGCTAGTGGTACTCCCAGCTACTTCAGAGGCTGAGGTGGGAGAATTGCTTAAGCCCTGGAGGTTGAGGCTGCAGTGAGCTGTGATTGCACCACTGCACTCCAACCTGGGTGATGGAGTGAGACCTGTTGTGAAAAAAAAAAAAAAAAAGACAACCTTGACAATTTTAGGGCCTACAGATTGATCTCAGCCTATAATGGAGGAGAACATGTTTTATAGTTTGGGATTTTGGAAGGGAATATCAACAGTCTGAATTTTATTAACTGAGACAGGTAACTGATGCAGACCAGAAACATGGCTGTTAAATTGAGACAGTTCCATAAAGTGGCTGCTTATTTGTGGCACTGTCGCCAGTGAAGGAGAGCTACGAAGTTCTGATCCAGTTCTTGGAGAGGAAACTTATTATAAGACAGAAATGTATGAGACTCTGAGGAACAGTATAAAATTATAAGCCAATAATGAATCATCAGTAAAATTTTTAAATTGCAAGAAAAGCACACAGAGCTTAGAAAACTCTGCCTCTGAGATTCTAGATAGTAACACAGAAATAGATGCATAATGGCACCAATTAGTGAACTACTTTTTTTTTTTTTTTTTTTGTTGTGAGACGCAGTTTCGCTCTTGTTGCCCAGGCTGGAGTGCAATGGCGTGATCTCGGCTCACTGCAACCTCCGCCTCCTGGGTTCAAGCTATTCTCCTGTCTCAGCCTCCTGAGTAGCCGGGATTACAGGCATATGCCACCATGCCTGGCTAATTTTGTATTTTTAGTAGAGACCGGATTTCTCCATGTTGGTCAGGCTGGTCTTGAACTCCCGACCTCAGGTGATCAGCCTGCCTTGGCCTCCCAAAGTGCCGGGATTACAGGTGTGAGCCACCGCACCCGACCCAATTAGTGAACTTCTTATATTCTTTTATGTACTTCTCTTTTTATTATTTATTTATTTATTTTACAATTAGCTTCCTCAGGTTGAATCTTTTATGTACTTGTTTATACATTTTAATTTCAATTTTTATAAAATGCTGGGTAATTTTTGGCTTTTAAACTAAATTTACACAGACCTCTCTCCTCTTAAACTATTTTTCTAGTGCAAATAAAACGGCTTTTTGTTTCTTTTTCTTTTTAGTTCGATCTTAAACAATGGTTAAGCGCCACTAAACCTCCTCTGTCTGATCGTACCAGGCTTCTGGAGTCCATTCACTTGGCACTTACTGCCTGGGGCCTTGAACCAGATGAGGATATTTTGATGCCATTTAATCTTTTCTGTAAGCACTGGACTTATCTTCTTCTCTACCAGTTTCCTGACCAGTACAGTGACATTCTCAGGCTGCTTATGCAAAGTAAGTGTCTTCATTTAATTGTAACTAACTAGATCTTAGTGAATATTTAATATCACATTTTTCATCTTACAGATGTTATTCAAAGATATGAAAGTAATACCAGTATAGGAGTTTAGAATCACTAATTGTCATCTAAAGGGCTTGATGAACAAGGCCCAAAAAGTTGTTACTGTAAATATGGCCAGTTATTGTTCTAAATTTGAGAATGGGCTCTAATTGGGCAAGGCAGCACCTCCAGTTTGGTGGAGTCCACAGTCATGCAGGTACTTCTTTGTCTTGACTTTTCAGCTGTCTTGAAGTGGGGTGGGAAAGGACTGGCTTACTCTGCAGACGACAGATCTGGCAAAGCAAGGAGGTTGTGCCTTATGATATGTTTAATATGACAGTTTGTTTCTCTGTAGTTCCAAACATTTTGGGAGTTTTTCCTTTCTAAGTCTTTTACTCTTGTTTTTTGCAAATTAATTTTATCCATATGTAATGATAGACTTTATTTATATTTACCAAGGGAAAGAGCAGCATTACAATCTCCACATTCCTGCCACTTCTGTTCCCCCTTCTTACAATTTTCTATAGCAATTTTAGAGTTTAGAGGAGAAATAAATAGGGTAGGCTTTTTTATTTTTGGAGTTTCGCTAGGCAGTAATTTTATTAAAATTTGATAAATGAGATAGTATTTACTTTTTAATGCAAACTTCATACGGTTTATAGATATAATAGCAAATGAAATTTTGCTTTATACCAAATTTTTGTGTTACATCATAGAAATAGTTTAATGGATAAGTTAATGATCCAGTGTATCGGGTTGCCCAAAGGACCTTGAAATGTGCAGCCTCTCATTTTGAAAGCACTTCAAGCTTTAATTGTTTCCCACAGAGGCAGGTTGCAGGGTGGGTGGAGAATGGTGGAAGGGAAATACATTTGTACAAATGCCAATGAATATGTGCATAGCTAATTTTTTCTCTAAGCTTTTAAAGTTTCAAATAGTGTGTGTTGTGGATTTTTCCCTGAAATCTTTTAAAGAGATTGTAAACCATTTATATTAGACCACTATTGACTGGAATTTAGCTAGAAATTTGTTCTTACCAAGAAAAGTAATTCAGACTTAAGAATAACAATATGATACCTCTCAGATGTCATGAGCTTCAGCCTCCTGGTTTCTTTCTCCTCCTTGGCTACCATGTTGATGTTCCCTTGGGAGCATCCTTTGCTCTTCTACTGCATTCATTCCCTCTGGGTGAGCCCGTTGTTTTCCCTGATGTCACTGCCACCTTCTAGGCATGTGTGATTTCCAGTGATAGCTTAATTTTGGGGCGCTGTCCTAAGATCCAGACCCCAGTGGCCATTGGACACAGACTGGCACTGTCCCCAGGTACCTCACACTGGACATATTGTAACTGGCCTCACCATCGTTCTCCTCAGACCTGCTCCATGAACCTGTTATTTTAGTTGATTCTCATGTTCGCTCTGGGTGGAAAGTACTTTAGGAGATATTATTCCTGTCCTGTGGGATGGGAAGTTATTAAGTAGCAGAGTTGGGACTAGTTCAGAATATGGGCTGCTGGACTTGTCCAGCGTTTCCATGCTGCCTCTGGGTCTTGGTTTCGGGGAATTGGGGGGCCGGTAGGAGACTCCTTCTGGAGAGCCCAGGCCCTGAGTTGCCTTCATCATGTGGTTTCCGTTGTCCTGTGACTGTTGTTTCTGTCACACTCATAGATAGCTGTGGTCCCCCAGCCAGGAGAGGCACTGCCACCATTCCCCAGTCAGGGTCGGAGGGTCAGGTCTCCCACCCCTCTGAGTGTAGCTCCACCAGCTTCAGCAGCGCTCACTCCCAGCAGGGTTACCAGGAACCAGGAAAACCAAATGTGCAGGTGGCCAGTTCTTCTCTTAGGTTCTCTTTACTTGGGCCTCCTCACCCCAGATATCCCTGTGAGTTTGTTTTGGATTTTGGCTTTATTTTTATTCCTTTATAAGGTGCTCATATTCTTTGTTACAAGTTAAAATATTCCTTTCGGGAAAGCCACTGACTTGCTCTTCCTGTCCCTGCTGGCAGGCTCCGCGGAGCAGCTTCTGAGCCCCGAGTGTTGGAAGGCCACTCTGAGAGCCCTGGGCTGCTGCGCCCCCAGCTGCCAGCAGGGGGCAGCGTCCACCGAGGGCGCCGTGCTTCCCAGCTCTTCTGATGCTCTCTTGTCAGACAAGCAGGTGTGTAGCCTTTGGTCTCTGACGTGTTTGTGCATTTCTTTTTATTTCCCTTGCTATTCATTTTTTAAGCAGTTGGAAAACTTGTGCATTATCTTTAAGAGCCATGTGTTTTTCTTTGTGTTAAGTGCTTTGGTTCCCTCGTGTCCCCTTTTTCCAGATGGCTCACCCCATTCCCCTGAGTCTAATTCTTGCCCATGTATCCAAGACAAGGGCAGGCACTCCCCTGTAGATCTTTCCTGCCCACCCTAGCCCATCGGACTCCACCCTGAGACCTCTGGTCGGGTTTCTATGATGCAGTGTCCCATGGAGCTCTGGGTTTTATCCTTTCTGTTTGATATGCATTTGCATGAGAATTTATTTGAAATAATGGTTCCACTGATTTAGAAAAGGTTTGAAACCCACTGATGGCCTGGCGCGGTGGCTCATGCCTGTA
Organism: Homo sapiens; assembly: GCF_000001405.40. Taxonomy (NCBI): domain Eukaryota; kingdom Metazoa; phylum Chordata; class Mammalia; order Primates; family Hominidae; genus Homo; species Homo sapiens. The sequence goes on along the minus strand of NC_000018.10, from coordinate 45,879,641 downwards.
ACCCCAGCACTTTGGGAGGCCAAGGTGGGCGGATCACTTGAGGTCAGGGATTCGAGACCAGCCTGGGCAACATGGTGAAACCCTGTCTCTACTAAAGAATACAAAAATGAGCTGGGCATGGTGGTGCACGCCTGTAGTCCCAGCTACTCAGGAGGCTGAGGTAGGAGAATCGCTTGAACCCAGGAAGCGGAGGTTGCGATGAGCCAAGATCGTGCCACTGCACTCCAGCCTAGGCGACAGAGCAAGACTCTACCTCAAAACAAAAACAAAAACAAAAAACCATTGATTTATTTCTCATATGCTTTATATTTTTGCCACTCTCTTATAAAGTCAAAGACCTACTATATACACCCCCATCACAGTGTATCATAACACTTTACTAAAATACATATTTAGTAAGCATTTTTTGACTAGTTGTCTCTTCCAGGTAATGGAGACTATACAGTGGCTTTCAGACTTTTTTTATAAGCTTCGGTTATCCAAGATGGACTTTAAAAGCTTTGGTTTATTCTCAAAATGGAGTCCTTATATGGCTGATGTGAAGACATTCTTGGGCTACCTTGTGAAAAGGCTGATTGACTTAGAAATGACCTGTTTGGCCCAAGACCCAACTGCCAGCAGGAAAACAGGTAATATACTTCTCATGCGATGTGGAGCTAGGTGTTTGGACTTTCCATTAAGAGAGATTTAAATAGGCACATTAAGAGATTTATATTGAGTGTCAAGGAGAGAAAGTAGAAATATATAGAACAGGCATGAGCCCATATATGTGTCATATATGTCACAATATATGAATGGATATATTCATTACATAGTGAATGTAGGGTGCTTGCTATAGCTTGTCTCTGCCCCTCCTTTGCAGGTTGGGGTACAGAGAGGTTTCAGTTTCCAACCCTTTCTGTCATTTGTCTTACTAAGATGGGGTTCTAAATCTTATACATTTATCTTTTTTAAAAGTGTGTTATAAAATTATCCATGATATTGTATTGTAATACAAATTCTTCAATTCAGAGAAATTCCAGTGTAGCCAATGAAAACGTAAACATACATAGTTACACTAAGCATGTTGTTTATACATTAACATAGGTTTATGAAGCTACAGATAATAAGAGGTAGATTTTTCTATATAATGTGAGCAGTGATATTGACAAATGACAAATGATGACCTTTGTTTTGTCTCTAAAACTTTTTAGTGCTGAAATCCCTACATTCAGTAATCATTCAGCTCTTTAAGCCATGGATCCTGGTTTTAGAGGACAACGAAAGGTAAACAGTTTTTTAGATATTCAAATTCCTTTGACGTTTGTAGACTTAAAATTCTAAATGGTATTTGGTAGAAGTGATGAGTTCACAGATTTAATTTTTTAGTGTAAGGCCATATTTAAATTTAGAAAAGGCTTCTTTTCAAAACTTAAGACATTTTCTATTTATGGAATTGCTAGTCTGGATCATCAGAGATATTATCTTGATAATAATTTTGGAACAAAACTGGACACTCATTTCCAGTTTTCCACAATAAGAGGTTGAATAAACTTTAGTGTTTAATTTCAGAAAAAATGATGCTGTTCGCTTGAGGGTTTTATGAGACTGATTTTTCTCTACTACATCAGTTGTGTTTTGGAACTAAGTTGGCTATAAAATTATTGGGTGGGAATTACCTTTAAATCTAGGACTCTTCAATTAAAGCATTATTTCACAAGCATTTGAAATACTTAGAGGTATAGAGCTGTCCAAATTCAGTGAGTTGCCTTCTGAGTCTTTTTTTTCCCTGAAAGTATACAAGCAGAAGCTAGTTGAACTTGTCAGGGTTTTATAAAAATTACGACAGTGGTAAACATCACATTATAGGAGTTGTTTTCAAAAACTTGAATTTGATTCTGAGACTCAGAGAACATGAATGTCAAACTCAAGTCTCATAGCTGGTTGGTTAGTGCTGAAGCTGCGACTAGAACTCAGGTCTTAGACTTCTGTTTCTAGACTCTTTGCATTAACCCATGATGCTTTACGAGCCACTTAAGGAAAGTATAAAAGGTTCTGAATGTTTGCTTTTGCTAGAGGGCTATCTGAATAATCTGCAAGCTTCAGGATTTTATAGTGACTGTGTACATATAGACTGCTTACCATAGTGCTGGCTGCTTGTTTATTTCCAGTAAGAATTAACGGAACCTATTTGGATATTGAGTTTTCTAGACCAGATTCAGAAAATAAAAAAAAATTTTTTTTAAGACAGAGTCTCACTCTGTTGCTCAGGCTGGAGTGCAGTGACGTGATCTTGGCTCACTGCAACCTCTGCCTCCCAGGTTCAAGCGATTCTCCTGCCTCAGCCCCCTGAGTAGCTGGAATTACAAATGCATGCTACCACGTCCAGCTATTTTTCAATTTTAATTTTTATTTTTTTTGTATTTTTAGTAGAGACAGTGTTTTGCTATGTTGGCCAGGCTGGTCTTGAACTCCTGACCTCAAGCAGTCTGCCCACTTCTGCCTCCCAAAGTGCTGGGATTACAGGCATGAGCTCCCGTGCCCAGCCAATTAAATTTTTCATATAAAGAATTTCTCTGGGCCAGGCGTGGTGGCTCATGCCTGTAAACCCAGTACTTTGGGAGGCCAAGGCAGGTGGATCACTTGAGGTCAGGACTTCAAGACAAACCTGGCCAATATGGTGAAACCCTGTCTCTGCTAAAAATACAAAAATTAGCTGGATGTGGTGGTCGGTGCCTGCAACCCCAGTTGCTCGGGAGGCTGATGCAGAAGAGTTGCTTGAACCCTGGAGGTGAAGGTTGCAGTGAGCCAAGATCGTGCCACTACACTGTAGCCTGGGTGGCAGAGAAAGACTCTCTCTCTCAAAAAAAAAAAAATTTTATTTGCTCATTTTCTATTTGTTAATATTTGGCCATCTCTTTGTTATGTGAATTTGATTTTTTTTTTTTAATGCTTTGAGTAGAGAAAACTGTTGAAGCTGACTTAGGGTGTTTTTCTACGGCATTTGAAATGTAACCAAGATGTCCAAGGGTCTAAATTTGATGTAAAAAGATGTTAATTTAAGGGTTATTTAGATAGCACATTTTTGAAATCTAATTGCATTGGAATAAAGGGTATGAAGGAGATGAAAGAAAATTATATGGCTGGTGTTACAAGCTACAATTCGCCTGCAGTTATTTACAGCCTTTTAAGTATTCTAAATGTGTGTCAGGCCTACATAATGGACAGGCTTCCAGGACTTAGGCCAGCCCTAGACACTGGGACTTAACAGTATTTTAATCACGGTTGCATTCCTAAGTGTGTGCTTCTTTTCTTTAAAGCAGCCAACAGCGGCATTACCCCTGGCTAGAGAGTGATACTGTGGTGGCCTCAAGCATTGTGCAGCTGTTCACTGACTGTATTGACTCACTGCATGAGAGTTTTAAAGGTAGGAAGATGTCAGGCTGTCTCTGCTTAGTTTTCATTTTTCCCTAAGTCAGTCAGTCTTTTTCTTCTACTTTCCTCTATTTAATTTTTATTTAATAGGCAGTTATTTGTGACTGAAGAAAAGTCGCTGATACAATTATTTAGTGTTAAGTGTGTAACTTTTTTTTTTTTTTTCTTTTGGAGATGGAGTCTTGCTCTGTCGCCCAGGCTGGAGTGCAGTGGTGTGATCTGGGCTCACTGCAGCCTCTGCCTCCCAGATTCAAGCAATTCTCCTGCCTCAGCCTCCCGAGTAGCTGGGACTACAAGCGCATGCCGCCACACCTGGCTAATTTTTTTGTAGTTTTAGTAGAGACGGGGTTTCACCATGTTGCCCAGGCTGGTCTCAAACTCCTGAGCTCAGGCTATCTGCCCGCCTCGGCCTCCCAAAGTGCTAGGATTACAGGTGTGAGCCACCACGCCCGGCCTTTAGGTGTGTAACTTCTTACCTTTTTTTGTTAGGTTGCTCTGAGTTTCTCAGTTATGGTAAATTTGCAGTCTTTCTCTCTTCCAATATTGCCTGTCCTGCATGTTGAGTTTCTTCCTGTCCTCCCTAACTCTTAACCTCTTTTTCATATTTTCTGTCTTTTTTTGCTTTATTATGGGTAATTTCTAGAGGTCTTCCTTCCATTTCTTTAGTCTCTCTCCAGCTCTGTCTCATCTGCTTAAAATATATCAATTGAATTTTTCATTGAAGTGATTATTTTTTCCATTTCTAGATCTATTTGTTTGTTTTTCAAATGTACCCTGATCCTTTTTGGTAGTATCTTTTCTTTCATTTAAAATTCTATTTTTTATTTCCTTAGAATTTGTTTAAACATGCTTACTTTATGATGTATGTACATTAATTCTATTATCTGAAATTCCTGTTGGGGGTTGTCTTATGCTGCTGTTTAATTTTCCTTTGGATTCTTGTTCTTGGAGGCATGTTTCCTTGTGTGTTTTTAAATTTTGTATTGTGAGCCCATATTTAGAGAGACTGATGGGAATCTCATAAGGCCTAGGCTGAGGGTGTGTAAGTCCTCCAGAGAGGATCTACATTTGTTGTCAATTGGAACTACTTAACTTCTTGGTTTGGGGTTTCCCGTGCTACCAGTTACATGAAATGAAACCCCAAACTCACTTGCGGGCTGGCCTCAATTCTCACAGTAAACTTTTTGATCTCTCCTGACTCACAATCTAGGGTAAGGCAGAGAAGTTTCCTCTTTTGCCCCATTCTACCCTTTCAGTAAGAATATAGTCCTTAGAAAACCTCATGTTCTGTCCTCTTGTGCTGTTAAAACTCAGCAGGCAAATAGTCCTCGGTTGGCTGGTTTCAGCATCTGTTTAACACTCTGGCTTCCTCTTTGCTTCTGGCCCATGGTGTTTTCTTCCACTGAATACACCTAGTGCCCCTGTGGCTGCCATGTGTTTGTGTGGCATTTAGTTATAGAGTGATATGGTTTGGCAGTGTCCCCACCCAAATGTCATCTTGAATTGTAGCTACCATGATTCCCATGTGTTGTGGGAGGGAGCCAGTGGAAGATAATTGAATCATGGGGGCGGTTTCCCTCATACTGTTCTCCTGGTGGTGAATGAGTCTCATGAGATCTGGTGGTTTGATAAGGGGTTTCCCGTATTGCTTGGCTCTCATTCTCTCTCTTGCCTGCTGCCATGTAAGACATGCCTTTCATCTTCCACCATGATTGTGAGGCCTCCCCAGCCACATGGAACTGTGAGTCTGTTAAACCTCTTTTTCTTTGTAAATTACCCAGTCTTGGATATGTCTTTATCAGCAGTGTGAAAATGAGCTAATACATACAGTTAAGCATATGTCATCCAGTTTTGTTTTTTTTTTGTAATAGATTTTATTTTTTGTTTAACGGACTTTATTTTTTAGAGCAGTTTTAGGTTTACAGCAAAATTAAGTGGAAAGTACAAGAATTCCTTTATACCTTCTGCCCCCACACATGCACAAGCCTTCCCCACTCTGGACATTCCACACCAGGGTGATACATTTGTTATAATTGATGAACCTACATTAAGGCATCATTATCAATGAAAGTCCATGATTTACATTAGTGTTCTCTCTTGGTAAACACATTCGGTGGGTTTTGACAAATGACAAATAACATGTGCCCACCATTGTGGTATCATACAGAGCAGTTTCACTGCCTTAAAAATCCTCTGCGCTCTGCCTGTTCATCTCTCCCTCCCCTCAACCCCTGATCCTTTTACTATCTCCATAGTGTTACCTTCTCTAGAATGTCCTATGGTTGGAATCATAGCATTTTCAGATTAACTTCTTTCACTTAGTAATAGACATTGAAGTCTCTTTATGCCTTTTCATGGCTGGATAGCTCATTTCATTTTGTCTGGCTGTACCTTATTTGTATTTCTGATTTATCTTTTATATATCTTATCTTACCTTGAAGAGGTGTAAACTCTTCATAGAATAACAGAAATGTTATTCTTTGCTTCTTTTTGCTCCCTACAAAACTAGGGTAATGCCATATTCTCAGTGTGTGTTTGATAAATAGTGGTTCAATGAGTAACACATGAAATCCTAGTAGTACTCAATTATTTTTTTGAAAGGCAGACTTCTAGCTGCTTTTTACCATCCAGAATATATTGATTACTGAGAAAAAGATTTGAGCACCAAATTATAATCATAAAGGCTATATATTTAATTTCTTTTTTTTTTTTTCCTTTGAGACTGAGTCTCACTCTGTTGCCCAGGCTGGAGTGCAGTGGCAGGATCTTGGCTCACTGCAACCTCTGCCTCCTGGGTTCAGGCGATTCTCCTGCCTCAGTCTCCCGAGTAGCTGGGACTACAGGCGCCCGCCACCACACCCGGCTGATTTTTGTATTTTTAGTAGAGACGTGGTTTCACCATATTGGCCAGGCTGGTTTTGAACTCCTGACCTTGTGATCCGCCTGCCTTGGCCTCCCAAAGTGCTGGGATTACAGGCATGAGCCACCATGCCCAGCCATATTTAATTTCTTAGTATAGGGGAAAGCACCCCAAGGCTCTCTTGCCCCTGTATATGAATAAAATAAGAAAGTGGCATAGGACAGAAGGGTTCACAGACATCAAGACTTGGTAGCTGGGTTCAAAGAAAGGAAACAGGAGAGCTTTGCAAGGTAGGATGAAGAAGTATTGCAGCTTTTTAGTGAGGTTATCTGATCCACTAGCTCCTTCTATGGATGAGAAAAGTGGGGACCTGAAAATGAAAAGAATTTATCTGACGTCACAGAATTTGTGTCTTGGCTGGAACTATCAGCTCAGTCTATCCTAAGACATCCTTCTGGATATCTTCTACATACTTACCCAACTTTATCTAAACAAAACTGTCTTTTATCCATATTTAAACGAATGCTATCATTAACCTCTGTCTTAAAGGTTGTTAAAAATGTGCATTCCTGTTCCATGCCGGGTTGTGGAATTGAGGGTACAAGCATGTTAGAAATGAGAGTTGTCTGGTACAATGTGTTGATGCTCATTGGCTTTTTTTTTGGACAAGGAGTCTCACTCTGTTGCCCAGGTTGGAGTGCGGTGGTGCGATCTTGGCTCACTGCAACCTCTGCCTCCCTGGTTCAAGCAGTTCTCCCACCTCAGCCTCCCGAGTAGCTGGGATTACAGGTGCCTGCCACCACACCTGGCTAATTTTTGTATTTTTGGTAGAGACAGAGTTTCACCATGTTGGCCAGGTTAGTCTCGAACTCCTGACCTAAAGTGATCTGCCTGCCTCGGCCTCCCAAAGTGCCGGGATTGCAAGCGTGAGCCACTGCACACAGCCTCGTTGGCCATTTTTTAAAAGATTTGTGTTGAGAAACCATCAGGTTTCTGTTCTTACTGTGTGTGGCTCTCTCTTCTTTGACTGCATTCCATTAGCATGGAACCAGAAAGTCTGAAACCACTTGTTTTAGACTAAATGTCCCTTATATAGTCATTAGCCCTTGAAGGCATTAATGGAATTGATACTTGTGAGGATAATATTGAGTAATAATCCAGGTCTCAGAAAAGCGTGAGATTTATTTTAGAATGACTTACATGAATGACAGTTAATGGACTAGTTTCATTGCACCAAGGGTTAATTAAGTTTTAGTCATTTGGAACATTTCCACCGTTTCTAAAATTAAAAAATTAATGTTATTTTTGATTAACAAATCATAATTATATACATTGATGGGTACAGTGTGATTTACAGTGTGGCATGATTAAATCAAGATAATTAAGATATCCATCACCTTGCTTACCTTTCATTGTTTATGATGAGACATTTAAAGTTGGTTCTCTTCTGATTTCGAAATACGTAATGCATTGTTGTGGACGGTAGTCACCCTGCTGTACAATAGATCCTGAAACCTATTCCTCCTGCCCTCTGAAACTTTGTGCCCTTTTGATCAGCAACTCCTCATTCCCTCCCTTTTCCCCTGACACCCCACAGCCTCTGGTAACTGTCATTCTATTCTCTACTTCAATGAGTTCAACTTACTAGATTCCACATATGAGTAAGAGCATGTGGCATTTGTCTTTCTGTGCCTCGTTTTCTTCACTTAGCATGAGTTCTCCAGATTCATTCATGTTGTTGCAAATGACAGGATTTCCTCCTCTTCTAAGGCAGACTGGTATTCCATTGTGTATATACACCACATTTAGAAAAATCCATTCATCTTTTGAAGGACACTTAGGTTGTTTCCATATCTTGGCTATTGTGAATAATGCTGCAGTGAACATGGGAGTGTGGTTATCCCTTCTCCCTATCGATTTCCTTTCTTTTGGATATATACCCAGAAGTGAGATTACTGGATCATATGGTAGTCTATTTTTAGTTTTTTGACGAACCTCCATGCCTTTTTCCATAATGGTTGTACTAATTTACACTCCCCCCAACAGTGTTTAAGAGTTTCTTTCTCTCCAGATCCTCTCTAACACTTGTTATCGTTCATCTTTTCGATAACAGCTATCCTAACAGCTGTGCACTGATACATTGTTGTGGTTTTAGTTTGCATTTCTCTAATGATCAGTGATGCTGAGCATTTCTTCATGCACCTATTGGCTATTTGTATGCCTTCTTTTAAAAAATGGAACATTTCCTTTTGAGGGATTTTGGATTTCTCCTGAGTGCCAAATGAATGAAGCACTAAATGTGTAAAACTGAATACATACTGAGGGCAACAAGCTGTAGGAGTGTATTTCAGTTAAAAAGCCATACGTTTAGAAATTTTAAAGAAAAGCTGATTATTTCCCACACAGCATCTGCTCATTCCAGTTACCCGAGTGGGTAATTAAAGTACCATTCTTTATTACTAATCTGCCAGTAGTCCCCTTAACCACTCTCCCTACATGAAAATCTTTGAAATTGGGTCAATCATGAGAACCTTAGATTTTAGACTTTTAGTTCAAATTTGCTTTTTTTTTTTTTTTTTAAGGTAAACCAAAGGTCTTCAGCTCTATTTTCTTTTCACATTCTAGATAAGCTGTTGCCAGGTGATGCAGGAGCCCTTTGGTTGCACCTGATGCATTATTGTGAAGCATGTACAGCACCCAAAATGCCAGAGTTCATTCTGTACGCTTTCCATAGCACGTACCGGAAACTGCCATGGAAGGACCTGCACCCTGACCAGATGCTCATGGAGGCCTTCTTCAAAGTAAGCCCTTCATTCCCGGCATCGCAGCCTAGAGAGATCTGGCTTCTAGGGAGCAGCCTGGTCACTGTGGTTGTTAGGCATAGTGGCAGTGTGTGCTAGCGTGGACCATGAATACATTCTGTGTTGCCTCGGTGGTGCCTGTGGAAAACAGTGTCTTGTGGAAGTCATTTTATCGTGTTAAAACATCTACAGGACCATTTTTAAAACCCAGAGAAAGATTTTATCTATAATATGTCAGTCATCCCCTAGACTTTGTCACGTGTGAGTACGTAGTTTAATGCCTCCGTTATGCTTAATCTTGGTTGTTATTGATGTGTTTGTGTCATTACAGTTTGTGTCAACAACTGCTTATCGTTAAATGTCCTATTAAAGCAAATGTAAATTGGTACTGAAGCTATTAGTTTCTTTTAGCAGTTATGCAAGTGAATAATTTGATTATAGGAGATAAAATGCATTGTGACAACCGATGATGCATCATAATCGTGTGCAGACCTGAAATGACTTAAAAAAAGAGAGTGCATGCGAGTCTTTGCAGTAGAAGCAATGGTTACAAAACCAGAAAACAGAGAGTGTAGTGTAACTTACATACTAGTCAGGCATTTGGAGCTGTTGTTGTTTTTCTTCTTTTTTTTTTTTTTAATTACACTCTTGTCTTAGGTTTTTATGGTAGTTTCAGTTCATTTGTTCATAGTCTCATCAGTTAGTGTTTACTCTTACTGTCACATTTATTGTTGAGACACCTTAAGTGCTTTGATACAGATCTACAGTTATTTATGAAGGTTAGCAAAATATACTTAACTTTTTTAGTGCCCTTAATGGAACCCCATCTGTGCTGCTCTTGTCAGCCACTCAGTAGCTGAAATGCAAGAAAAGCTGAGGGCAGTTGTTCTAGAGAAATCCCAGGCTTAAGAATGATTTTATAGCTAGATTTAGTATATGAGACGGGCATTAAGTAAATATTTATCACCATTATGAACATACTAGAGAAAGGTGGTTTAAAGAACTATAAGATGGAGTTTTAAAAAGGATGACCTTAACTATAAGACAGATTAGATAGTAGCACAGCCTGTTAAGGGATGCTGTAGACTCTGTCTCTAGGAGTTTTATTCTAATGGCAGATGACCCTGACCACCCCAGAAGCTGGGGATCTTTTAATTCTTTGTGTCTTGTTGGCATAATAAACTATATTTTTTTGGTGGGGTTGAGGATGAGGATAGAGAACAGATTATAATGGACAATGAAGAATCATTTTCTAAAAGGAAGAGAATTAGTAGTTAGCATAATATAATAACAGTAATGACAAGAAATGAATCATCACCAAATTCCATTGATCATGATTTTATAAATAGACTAGAGCTTTTAATCTTCATTTTGAAAGGAAAAATTCATGAGTAGCCATGTTTTATTTTAAACAAATTAGAAGTATTTAAATAGCTTGTAAGAGATCTTTGAGGTTTCTTATATACTTTATAGTACATCTGTTCCTCATTCTCTAATTTTTTTTTTTTTTTTGAGACGGAGTCTTGCTCTGTCACCCAGGCTGGAGTGCAGTGGCACGATCTTGGCTCACTGCAAGCTCCTCCTTCCAGGTTCTCGCCATTCTCCTGCCTCAGCCTCCCAAGTAGCTGGGACTACAGGTGCCCACCACCATGCCCAGCTAATTTTTTATATTTTTAGTAGAGATGAGGTTTCACCATGTTAGCCAGGATGGTCTCAATCTCCTGATCTTGTGATCCACCTGCCTTGGCCTCCCAAAGTGCTGGGATTACAGGTGTGAGCCACTGCACCCGGCCTCTCATATTTTAAATAGAATTTAAACATGCAGTCATCAAAAATTGTAAAGACTAATAATACGGAGACATTGTTATAATACAGCATTACATTAAAAAGGGAATATAGGCCGGGCGCGGTGGCTCACGCCTGTAATCCCAGCACTTTGGGAGGCTGAGGTGGACAGATCACCTGAGGCTGGGGGTTCAAGACCAGCCTGACCAACATGGAGAAACCCGGACTCTACTAAAAATAAAATAAAAAATAAGCAATAAAATAATAAAATAAAAAATTAGCTGGGCATGGTGGCAGGCACCTGTAATCCCAGCTACTCAGGAGGCTGAGACAGGAGAATTGCTTGAAGCCAGGAGGCGGAGGTTGCGTTGAGCCAAGATCGTGCCATTGCGTTCCAATCTGGGTAACAAGAGTGAAACTCCATCTCAAAAAAAAAAAAAAAGGAAAAAGGAAAAAGGCAATATAAATAATATACACTAGTGTAGTGGATCTCAAAGTAGTGTGGTCCCTGGGACAGCAGCATCAGCATTACCTGGGAACTTACACATTCTGGCTCCCAACCCATACCTGCAAAATTAAAAGCTCTAGGGGTAGGCCCAGCAGTCTGTTTTAATATACCTTCCATTTAGTTCTGATGCACACTTAAGTTTGGGAACTACTGACTAGTAAATTTCAACTTTGCCCTGTCCTGGCACACCTGAGGATTCTGATACACTCCCTGCAGCTCCAGTGACTTACTGTGGCAGCGATTCTCCACCCAGGTTGGGGTTAGGGAAGGTCATTCCTCGCTTATTAAGAATGATTGGAATAAATGCTGAAATCTGAACAGACAAACTAAAATATACACACATACACTGTGGAAGGAAAGATATTACAAATATTAAGTCTAAATCTCTAGGAGGTGGGATTCTAAGTGATATAATCTGGGGAAAAAGTGTTTTTTAAAAACATAATTATGAAACAATTTACATACATTTTCCAGATACATAGATAGCACAAGGCAACAGAATGATTTTAATTCATTTTCTTTTAGGTGGAACGAGGAAGCCCCAAGAGCTGTTTCTTATTTTTGGGGTCTGTACTCTGTGAAGTCAACTGGGTTAGTGTGCTCTCTGATGCCTGGAATTCCAGTCCCCACCCAGAAACCCGCAGCATGATTGTCTGCCTCCTTTTCATGATGATTTTATTGGCAAAGGAAGTTCAACTGGTAGACCAAACAGTAAGTTTGGGAAGCTTATGGCAAAAATTCGGCAAGGCTGCTTAGATCTTTGCTTTCTACTAGGTCGTAGTTTTTCATTTGTTTTTCCAGTGCCCCTATCAGTGTGAACAGATGCTTGGCATATGAGATGTACCTTTAACCAGATGCCTGATTTTCTTGGATAGCTCATTATCTGATTCTAAATTATGCAAAGAACCACACTGAGTTAGAATGTATTAATCAACTTTATTTTGTATCTCATTAATATCTACTTCAATCTCTTGTATGCTTCTTGAAGTCAATTTTGGCATGTCCCACCAGAACAGGGAGTTCTTTTGAAAGAAAAGAACCTGGGTTCCAGATACTCAATACATCTTAATATGAATGTGTTTTTGCCAAAAGTTTGGTTATTGCTTTCACTAGTACTCCTAACTCGAGTAGATACTTACTTGATATCATAACTGTTCTGTGCTTACCATAGGCCATCTTAGTAGTTATTCCACAGACTAGTTAGCAACACATATTTCTGGAAAAATTGGGGCTCTGGAACTAAAGGAATATGTGTTTTATTTTTAGGATTCACCTTTACTTAGTCTCCTTGGACAGACAAGCTCACTTTCATGGCATCTTGTGGATATTGTGTCGTACCAGAGTGTGCTAAGTTATTTCAGCAGCCATTACCCGCCGTCCATCATCCTGGCAAAAGAATCTTATGCTGAATTAATCATGAAGCTCCTAAAAGTGTCTGCGGGCCTTTCTATTCCTACTGACAGCCAGAAGCATCTTGTAAGTTGAGAGGTAGTTTAAAAGGCAGAGACTGTTCCTGGAGATTGGTAGCAGCATAAGTGCTACAAAGGACAGTCGAAGCTAGGAAGTGCTCAGCAGAGGAAGTCGGAGGATGTGTATTATCATATACTCATCTTTTGGCCTTGTAGATCTTTTGGGTTGAGTTCTCCCTTTGGGTGAACTTTTACTTACTAGCAATGTCACATGTCGATGAAAGGTCAAAAGGATTGAGGGCTGCCAGCAAGCTGCTGGTTTCATGATCTGAATGTCATTGGCAGCAGAATAGCAGGGAGGAAGGGAGGTTGGTAATATGAACTTAGGCTTGACAGGGCAAGTCCCTCAGTTTTCTCATCTGATTAGAAATAGTACCTTGCAAAGGCTGGGTGCGGTGGCTCACGCCTGTAATCCCAGCACTTTAGGAGGCCAAGGTGGGCGGATCACCTGAGGTCAGGAGTTCGAGACCAGCCTGGCCAACATGGTGAAAGCCCATCTCTACTAAAAATACAAAAATTAGCCGGGGAATGGTGGCAGGTGCCTGTATTCCCAGCTACTCGGGAGACTGAGGTAGGAGAATCGCTTGAACCCAGGAGGAGGAGGTTGCAGTGAGCCGAGATCGCACCACTGCACTCCAGCCTGGGCAACAGAGTGAGACTCCATCTCAAAAAAAAAAAAAAAGAAATAGTACCTTGTCTCAAAGTGGTGTTTTGAGGATTGAATTCGATAATGAACATAAAAGTTTTTGGAAAAGTTTCTGGCAAGTAGTTAGTGTTTGGTTAATGTTGTTATTCTTGTAGTAAAAAAGGAAGAGTATTCTGCCACAATTTGGGAAAACATGGGCCCTGGTCAAAGTGTTACCATAGATTTGCCTTTCACTAGGCCCCTTGGGCCACGTGGGACTAAGTCTTCATGTGGCTTCCTGTTCTGTCCCCTCTACTCCCTACCCAAGCATTCATTGCAGTGCCATGCTCCCAGGAAATATGCAGTTAACACTCCTTGCTTGGATTCATTTGAATGATTTTTTTTTTTTTTTTTGGTCAGGATGCAGTTCCAAAATGCCAAGCTTTTACTCATCAGATGGTTCAATTCCTCAGCACCCTGGAACAAAATGGAAAAATCACCTTAGCAGTCCTAGAACAGGAAATGTCTAAGCTCTTAGACGATATCATTGTCTTTAACCCGCCCGGTAAGTGACCAGTCGGAAGTCCTGTATTCATTCAGTCAATGCATTCCTGCTGTGCGTAAGGCACTGTGAGATCAGGAGGATGTTCAGGACACTGGCACTCCTCTTTCCAGAGAAGCAATGGTCAGAGAGGTGTTTGGACACCAGGGACTCAGCAGTGGGGAAGGATTGACACTGGCAGATGCTGTTGGGTGGTGGGCGAGACTGACCTTTAAGCTGGACAATGGGATCTAATGATTAGGAGATATCAGAGACCTTTCAGTGAGCGGCATTTCTAGGGATTTTGGCTTTTAACTGGGAGGGCACTTCAGAATCACCTGTAGACTTGTCAAGAAACTGTGTCTGGAGAACCTTCTGCTCCCAGCAGTTTGGTGGACTAGACATACTGCCTGCCTCTCCTGCTGAAGATAACTGGGTGCTGGATGAAATATTTTTAAGAAACTGGAAATTAAATTTATTAGTGGAGTGGCAAAAAGGTAAGGGAACCTCAGAGGCCAGAACCTAAGTGAAAGGAGAAACCCATAAAGGTAGGTGGAGTTCTGAGGCTGCTGTCACCCTGAAGAGTTTTGCTGAATATGTTTGGATATTAGGGGGAGGTGGTAAAGCCCAGGGCCTGCCTAAGATGGGAGCCTAAAAGGAAATCCGATGCATAATCCACAGGGTGACATTTTTACTGTAAAGATAAGCTAGAAGTAAACCTCCTCTTGTGAGAGGAAGGCAAAGACAGTTACCTGTTTTGGCCTCGTTGTTAGGTTAAATGTTTATGCAGGAAAAGAGATATCTGTTTTGAGAATTGATAACAAGCTGACCCTCATGTGGTTTTGAAGCAAGAATTCAGACTACCTAGATTGGTAGAAACAGCAGTAATAACAACAACCTCAATCTAAGAATTTAGAGTAGTTCTGGGTTGGCGGTGCCACCAGCATCTGGCAAAAAGCAACCATAGCTCCTGTTTGGAGAAACGCATCTTTAACTCATGCCTCAAAGTTCCAAGAAACTCACAGTAAAAAAAGTCACAAAACACAGGAAACAAGGTACCATGAGCAAAGTAATAGAAAACAACAGCAGCGTCAGAAATGAAAAGATTGAAGATAGTGGAATAATTAGTACAGTAAGCAAAAAAGTTATTTTTATTATATGCTGAAATAAGAGAGGATTGAAGATATCAGTAAGAAGCAAGGGATTGTAGAAATATGCAGATTTGAGAGATTTATATAATTTAGAAATGAAAAATATAAAGATTATAATAAAGTTAATGGATAAGTTCAACAGATTAAACCCATCCGAAGAGAAAATTGGTAAACTGGAAAACAAAACTGAAGAAAATACTCAGATTGCAGCACAGAGGAACAGAGAAGGAACGTAAAAGTGAGCTGGGCATGGAGGCGGAGGCAGGAGGATTGCTGATGGCCAGGAGTTCGAGGCCACAGTGTGCAATGATTGTGTCTGAATAGCCACTGCACTCCAGTCTGGGCAAAATAGTGAGACCCCATCTCTAAAATAAAAAGAATACGAAAGTGAGGTTAAAAGGCATAGAGGATAGGCTGAGAAGGTTTAATATACATCCTATTATCCAAGTAGAATTCCAGAAGGAGAGGAGATACTTAACTGGGGAGAAGCAATATCTGAAGAGATAGCAAGGCTGAAAATTTTCAGGGCTGATGAAGACAGCAATCCTCAAATTCAGTAAACCCAGCAAATCCCAAGTAGGATATATGGAAAGAAATTCAAACCTGTATACACTATAGTGAACCTGCAGAAGTACCAGTGGCAAAATTAAAAAACAAAACAAAACAAAACCCTTTACATCCAGGAAGGAAAGGCAGATTACCTACCAAGGAGCAACATTTAGACTGACAGCTGACTTCTCAGTATCAATAAAAGAATCTGTAAGACAGTGGGATAACAACTTCAATGTGCTATGAGAAAATGACTCATAACCTAGAATTGTAAACTAAGAAAAGCCACCCTTTAATGATGAAGACGAGGTAAAGAACCATACTTTCATTGAGCCCTGAGAGTGTTTGTCCCAGTAGGTGTCACTAAAGAAAATACTAAAGCATGCTAGGAAGGAGGTTGAGTTAAAAGTGTTCTAAGGTTCTACTGCTGTTTAGTGGTCAAGAGATTAACTTTATACCTTGATTAAAGTATGAATATTAACAATTTTAAGAAATTAACCAAAAGAATAGAAATTAAAATGTACAATTTCCAAGTCAGTAGAGGGAGATAAAAAGGAATGTCCAAAGTATGTTCAGTCCAAAGAAGGCAAGAAAGGAAGCATGGAGAAAGTGAGAAAAATAACCAAAATAAGATGATAAAATTCAAATGTATTGGTAAAGGGACTAATGCTTAAGTTAAAAGACAAAGATTGTTAAGGTAGGTTAATAACCAAAAACATCTAGCTTTAAGCTGTTGATAAGAAATACATCAAAAGCCTAAGGATATAGAAAGCTTTCCACAAGATGATTATGTCAGGCAAATATTAAAATAGAAAGCTGGCATAGCTATATTAATATCAGATAAATAGATCTGTAAGGCAGAAAACTTTGTAAAAGCCAGATGTTCATCTCTGTGTATTTCTGCCCCGAAGTTGCATGACAAAGAAAAAAAAATCAGTAACTAAATAGAACTAGAGGGAAAAACACTGTGGAAATTAAGAAGCAAACTTTTAAATAACTGATGGCCAAAGGAATAATCATAATAGAAATTTAAAATACTTACAACTGAATAATAAAATACAGTGCATCAAAATTTGTGGGATGCAGCTAACATGGGACTTATTATTTTAGCCTGTTCTCACACTGCTATAAAGAAAAACCCAACACTGGGTGATTTATAAGGAAAACAGGTTTAATTGGCTTATGGTTCTGGAGGCTGTACAGGAAGCATGGTGCTGCCATCTGCTCGGCCTCTGGAGAGGCCTAAGGAAGCTTACAATCACGGCAGAACGCAGAGTGAGAGTAACACTCCACATGGCCAGAGAAGGAGCAAGAGAGAGAATGAGCAAGGGGGGAGATGTTGCACACTTTTAAACTACGACATCTCTGAGAACTCTAGTATGAGAACAGCACCAAGAGGATGGTGCTAAACCATTCATGAAGGACCTACCCCCATATTCAGCCACCTCACACTAAACTCTGCTCCAACATTGGGGACTACGGTTCAACATGAGATTTGGTGGGGACACAGATCCAAACCGTATCACTTACTTTCAGGGCCTTAAGTGCTCATCATAGACTTTTTTAAAAGGTGAAAATTAAAAAGATAAGCATTAAACAGTTATTTAAAAAGACGGCAAAATTACAGTCAAAGACAGTAGAGGGGAGGAAATAATAAAGAGAAAATAAATAGGAAGAAACTAAGAATGAAGAACAATGAAACTGGTAAATGTGTGGGTAAATCTAAATGAAATCTGACTGTATAAGACAATAATAATAGAAATGGTTTGTTGGGCTATGGCAACAGTGGAGAAATGAAGTTAGAATGTTCCAAAGCCATTACATCATCTGGGAACCAATTAACATTAGACTTCAAAAAATCAGGAATGCATGTTTTCATTTATAGGATAACCACTGTCAGAATTTTAAGAGAGGATTTAGTTTTCAAGCTAAAACAGGGAAAAAGTAGAATAATGATCTAAAAGAAGCAAAAGAGAGAAAAAGAAATGTAGAATAGGAGGGACAAATAGGATACATATAGGAAGACAGTAGATTTAGACCCAGCTACATCAGTAATTAATTATAATAACTGTGAATGACTAAGATTGTCATACCAGATAAAACAAGGAAGAAAAAGACAACTTAGTAGAAAAAAATGGACAAGACCCTTGAAACGACATTCTGCAAAAGAAAATATACTGATCACCAATAAACATGAAACGGTGCTAAATGTTGTTAATGGTCATACCTGTTTCATGTAGATATTGTAAGTATTGAGTGAGATAATATCTAAAATTTTAGCATCAGCCTGGCAAGTCAGCCACATTCAATAAATCTTATGGAAAAAAACTATCAGCAAGCAATGCTGGAGAAACTGTTCTAGAGTTGGTCAGATATGATTGAACCAGGAAGGTTGAATAATAGCTGGCCAGGGAAAGGAGAGAAGGGTGTTCTGGAAAGATCTTCATCGGAAGAGTGATAGGATCAGATATGGTATTTAGGAAAAGATTTGAGAGCCCTGTTGATATGAACAGGAATGGGAGAGACTAGGGTCTGTTGTAGTAATCTATTCCTATTAGTCATAATTAAGAGATAAAATTTAAATTGCTATTCCGTTGAAATTCAGAGATGAGCCTTTATTTCCAAGAATATTTGTACCCATAGAAATACATGAAGAAATAGACAGATATACTGTTACTATCTCTCTCAAACTTGTTTTTTAAGTCCTTGCTTGATAGTAAGTAGGTCGTACAGAAAGATTAAGTGAGGGTTTATTTAACCCTGCATAAGTAGATGAATTTGTTTTGATAGATGCGATGAGTAAGATCTCTCAACTTTTTACCCTTCCTATTGACATAAATACTGAATCCTTGTGGTGTGAAAGCTACAGCTTGAGGAGAGCTAGAAGAGTTGGCAAAAATTATTCCATTTAACTCTCAGTAAAATATATTTTCTGTTTTTGAATGTGAAGATTTGCAGTTCTCTTGTAAAATGAATTCGTTCTTTTTCTTGAATTCCTCTCTCTTTACCTCCAATTTTTTTTGAAAAATTACCAGTTGGTTTACTTTCCTTATTTAAAAAACAAAGAAATAAAAGAGCTGCTGTTAGGACACTTTACAAAGGTTTTTCCTTACATTTATATTTAGTTTTAAGTAATAACCTTTAATGTGTGTAAATCACCCTAGAATATTGACAGCGGTGGCAGTGACAGTGGGTACTTTTGCTACTTGGTTTACTGAATGACTGGTGAGATCTACGTATTTGGTTTTCCATGAGCAAAGGTTGGAAAATAAAGACTGACTAGGCATGTTCTGATAAGTTACTCTTTCACACCAGCTTCAGATTTGTCTATTTATTAAGTATTGCTCTGCTATGCTGCTGTACCCAGGGAACTCACAGTAGTTCCTGCTTTTACTCTTAGTAACCGTGTGCCGCATACTACCTGTACAAACTTAACACCATCCAGAGCCTTCCTTCCAGTCCCTTGCAGTCAGCTACTAGCACTGTAAAATCTGCCTGGAGAACAGCTAAGATTGAAGCACTGTTATTCTCCTGATCACATGGATAGTACCTTTCTGGCAGCCATTCTTGAGTGTGTCTATATTCCTTTCAGACATGGACAGCCAGACCCGCCACATGGCCCTCAGCAGCCTCTTTATGGAAGTCCTGATGATGATGAACAACGCGACTATTCCAACAGCAGAGTTCCTTCGGGGCAGTATCCGGACCTGGATTGGCCAAAAAATGCATGGGCTGGTGGTGCTGCCCCTTTTAACAGCAGCCTGCCAGAGCCTGGCGTCCGTCCGCCACATGGCTGAGACTACAGAAGCCTGCATCACTGCCTACTTCAAAGAAAGTAAGAGGAGGTCATCTTACGCTCCATTGTATTGGTCTTTTCCAGAAAGATGAAAGCATTGTCATCAGCAGATATGTTTCCAGACTCTTCCCAGTGAGGGATTTGCCATTCTAATTTTCTGCTCTACAAATGTTGTGGATGTTTCTGAATATACGTATTTTTCATAAAGATCTGCAGTTAGCATGAGAACCTGTGGCCATGTCTGTTGGTACAATCACATTTCAAGGGAGAAAAGCTCTAATCCACTTCACGTTAGTTTTGGAGGGTCAGACCAACCTGTTATGATATGCAAATTGTGTTGTGTCACAGGCCAAGTCATAGTCCTCAGAACAAATGCTATATACCAGGATCTATATAATCATAGTCCATGAGGTTAATTTTCCCTGTTTTTGTCACTTTTGGTAAAAGGAGTTTTCATAGAAGTTTTTAAAATTGCTGCTTATCAGACCTTTTAAAGCATTATGAAGGGCTCATTCATTGTCACCCCTCCTTTTTAAAAATCTGTTTTACTTTCTACCTCTAAACTGTCAGACTCTGGAAGCGGCTTAGTCTGATTAAGAATTGCTGAGAACAGCACTTCTCAACTCTGATATCCAGATAACACATCACACTGCAGTCAGTGGGAGAGAAGCAGTAGTGAGAAGGAGGGTATCGGAGCAAGGATCCAGGAAGTGCCCACAACCTGCCATCTGCCCTGTCCTGACCACCCATGAACAGCACATGCCCACCCATGGAGGTGGTGTGCATGTCACCATGCCACCCCACCCTCGCTCCCCCAAAGAGTGGAGAACCATTAGGATAACACTGCTATTCCAAACTCATGTGTGTTACTAAAAATCAAACAGTTTCAATACATGAGTTAAACTAAGCTTTGATAAGTAAAACTACTCACAGATTGAGTGATAACAGTTTCCCGTCGGAAAGCATAAGTGTTCATATGTTCTTAAAAAGGGTATTAAAGTTAAAATTCTTAACTGACCAGGACAGGCAGTGTCTACATGTGGTTTTAAGGATCATAATGTGATAGAAAGGTGATTTATACGTATGCAGCCCTGAATTCTGATTTCTTAAACCTTTCTGGTGGCTACGCTGGGGACAGGCATCTGGCCTGAGGGCTATCCAGTCTGAGCCCTGAGGTATATTTGACTTTTGTAGCCTCCAAGGTCACTGTAAGAAAGGTTGTCTTGACATGAAGCTTATTATCTCATAGGTTGCTATGTCAAAAAAAAAAATCATGAAGCTTAAAGTGAAAATATTTGCTAGAGTTGTCAAGTAATTGGATTCTTGCCTATATCTTGATGTCTCTTCTTCATGTTCTTAGGCCCTCTCAATCAGAATTCAGGATGGGGACCCATTCTGGTATCCCTTCAGGTTCCCGAGCTCACCATGGAAGAGTTCCTGCAGGAGTGCCTCACCTTGGGCAGTTACTTGACTCTTTACGTCTACTTGCTTCAGTGTTTAAACAGCGAACAGACTTTAAGGAATGAAATGAAAGTGCTGCTCATCTTAAGCAAGTGGCTGGAACAGGTGTACCCAAGGTACGTTGGCCCTCAGGCTGTTACATCAAACTTGCTGTATTTGGTTAACTTGGAATTTAGAGCTTAAGTCTAGCTTTAAGTACACAGAACCAAGAGGTGCATAAAAAATAAGGTTTTAAGGTATGGTGACAGTTGTTTTGGAAAGATTCTTAATTAATAGGCTAATCTTCTGAGCAGATTTTTTGTTTCCTAAAACTGGCACTTTGAAACACCAAGCATCAGTTTCCTTACCAGTTAAGTGGAGATAGTAATCCCTACCTGATAGGGCTGTCATGAGGATGAAGTGGAAGAACACGAAGTTCATCACAGTGGCGTGTAGTAGGTGTTCCACAGATGGCGGTGGTTACAATCCCATGGCTCTATTAACATCAGCCGTTAGCCTGTGCTTTTGAAGTACTGAATGTCTCCTATCCTTCAAACTCTGATGTGGACTTGCAGTTAAATGGGAGTGGGAAAAATTTACTTCTAATTTTATTTTCCTCCGGTGCCTCCCCTAGCTCCGTGGAGGAAGAGGCAAAGCTGTTTTTGTGGTGGCACCAAGTCCTTCAGCTCTCCCTCATTCAGACAGAGCAGAATGACTCCGTCCTGACAGAATCTGTCATTCGAATTCTGCTCTTGGTTCAGAGCAGGCAGAACCTCGTGGCTGAGGAGAGACTCAGCTCTGGGATCCTGGGGGCAATTGGGTTTGGCCGGAAGTCGCCTTTGTCTAACAGGTAAGGAAGCGCCTTTCTAACACTGTTGTTCTAAATAGGCCTCAGACATCTGTACCTACTTACAGGTTGTGATATACTTCAGTAGGTTTTTCGACTTAGGATCTAGGTTCTCCAGAAAGATTAATGGAAAAAAAAAAAGAAAAAAAAAACAGAGCCTGATTACATCTTTACATTCTAAAAAGCATTTTTATTTTTTCTTACCTTTAAAAAAAATTTTCAATTCAAACAGTATTTTTAATAGTATCTCCTGTTGTGTTTGGACTTTGTAACCTAACTGCACTACTGATTTCTTTTTGGTTTTGAGCTAGTCATGGACGGTATGCGAGCATAGTTTAAAAGCCAAGTCAGCTGGGCACTTGAGGCGTTCAGGGAAATCCAGAACCTGTGAGGGACTCAGTCTAGTGAACTGTAAAGTCGTCAAGCTGGGTTAAGATCTGTTGGTGGCCAGGCGCGGTGGCTCACACTTGTAATCCCAGCACTTTGGGAGGCCAAGGCAGGCAGATCACTTGAGGTCAGGAGTTCGAGACCAGCCTGGCCAACATGGTGAAACCCCGTTTCTACCAAAAAATACAGAAATTAGCCGGGCATGGTGATACATGCCTGTAGTCCCAGCTACTCTGGAGGCTGAGGTGGGAGAATCGCTTGAACCCGGGAGACAGAGGTTTCAGTGAGCTGAAATTATGCCACTGCACTCCAGCCTAGGTGACAGAGTCAGACCCTGTCTAAAAATAAATAAATAAATAAATAAATAAACACAAATATAAAAATTAGCTGGGTGTGGTGGCAAGCACCTGTAGTCCCAGCTACTCAGGAGGCTGAGGCAGGAGAATTGCTTAAACCCAGGAGGCAGAGGTTGCAGTCAGCCGAGATCACACCATTGCACTCCAGCCTGGCCAACAGAGCAAGACTCTGTCTCAAAAAAACAGAAAAAATGAATAAAAGGCCTGTTGGTAAGAAGGATAAGTAATGAGAAGCAAGTCTGGATTTTTGTTGCAAAAAATCCCAAGGCATGGAAGAATTTGCCATTAGCTCCTGTTTTCTCTCATAATACTTACTTACATCATGGTTTCCTTTTCAAGCCCTTGTCAGTGTTGAAAAGAGTTTGCAAACTTGATGATGTCAGCATTCTTGTGGAATAGCCCATTGTGATGTTGTAACTTTGGGACTCACTCATTCCAAACCAGTTAACGTCATGTTTTTTTGTTTGCGGTGGAAGATAGCAGGACTGCGAGATTTTGTTTTACTTAAATTTGGCTTGCGTCTTTTATTCTTTTTAATTGTGATAAAATACACATAACTTAAAACTTTCCATGGTAACCATTTTTATATGCACAATTCAGTGACATTTAGAACATTGACAATGTTGTTGTAGCCATCACCACAATCTAGCTTCAGAACATTTTCATCACTCCAAAAGGAAGCCCTACACTCATTAAGTAGTCACCTCCATTCCCTTTAATCCCCGTGTCTCTAGTAACCACTAATTGACATTATGACTTTATGTATTGAATCCTATTTTGGACATTTCATATAAATGGAATCATATAATGTGTGGCCCCTTATGTTGGACTTTTTTCACTTAACATAAAGTTTTCAAGGTTCATTTATGTTGTAGCATGTATCCATACTTCGTTTGTTTTTATGGCTGAATAATATTCCTTTGTATTCCACATTTTGTTTATCCATTCATTAGCTGATGGACATTTGGATTGTTTCAACCTTTTGGCTATTGCAGATAATGCTGCTATGAGCATTTGTATACCAGTTTTTGTTAGAACATCTGTTTTTAGTTTTTTGTGTATACCTAGGAGCAGAATTGCTGGGTCCTATGGTAACTCTATGCTTCACTTGTTGAGGAACTGCCAAACTCTTTTCCCTAGTGCCTGCACCATTTACATTCCCACCAGCAATGTGCAAGGGTTCCAGTTACTCCACATCTTTGCCAACACTTTCATTCTTGAATCTGAATTATACATATATTGTTTGGATGGTGATAATGGATAAAACTTCTTCTTGATCATATTTAAGATTTTCCTGAGAAGGTGAACAACACAGTAGATCTGGAAATGTGTTCATCTTTTTATGTCATAGAAAATATGGTGTTTATTTCAAAATGCTTACTTTAATAGCCATTTACTTCTTCTGACCTCTCCCTAATGCCTAAGGTTCCGAGTGGTTGCCCGAAGCATGGCTGCCTTCCTTTCAGTTCAGGTTCCTATGGAAGATCAGATCCGTTTGAGGCCTGGCTCTGAATTACATCTGACCCCCAAAGCTCAGCAGGTCAGTATATACAATGAAGGGTTAGAAGTTTGCCTGCACATCTTCCCTAGAAGGCAGGGAGGTGGCAGCCGTAGCCTGTGCGCGTCATGACATGATGCTCTGTGGTGGTAGCACAGTGTTCCCTTTCATGTGCCCTACTTACGGGAAAATGGTTTCATGTGCCAACCTCCAAATTTTTGTAGGCAGTTGTCTAGATCGCTGCTACTGTCATTGTAGAAAAGTAAGGCCAAACGAAAAGTCTGTCTAGCATTAAATTTGGTTCTGATAAGTGTGAATATGCACTTATCTACCACATGCTTGGGCTGGGGCAGGGGCTGGAGCTGGGGACTGGGATCTCGCACAGAAGATGTGGCTACAGTTGGGATGGATGGAAATTAGCTGAGCTTTAGCTTGGAACCGAGAAAGTAGTTCCTGTTTTGTGAGTCTGAAGGTTGACTATTGTTGGCTGATGCTAGAATAACCTAACATGGACAGAATGGTAGCTAGAAATTATAGCTTCTTCTAAAAACATGGAAGGCCACATTCCTATAACCTATGGACATGCTGGCCAGGTACAAAGGTGCACAGTAAAAAATGATGATCAGCATTCGTGAGTACTCCCTCTGTGCCAGGTACTATTATAAGTTTTAACTCGACCAATATTAGTGAGTTAAAGCTTTAACTCATTTAATCCTCATAGCAATGCTATAGCACAGAAACGACTTTATTTTTTAAGACAGGGTTTTATTCTGTTGCCCAGGCAGGAGTGCAATGGTGTGATCATATCTCACTGCAGCCTTGAACTCCTGTGCTCAAGCAATCCTCCCACCTCAGCCTCCCAAGTAGTTAGGACTACAGGCATGCATTGCCACTCCTGGCTAATTAAAAATTTTTTTTGTAGAGACTGGGTCTCGCTTTGTTGCTGAGGTTGGTCTCAAACTCCTGGCTTCAAGCGTTCCTCTTAGCCTCAGCCTCCCAAGTGTTGGTATTACAGGCATGAGCCACTGCATCCAGCTGGGAACTATTATTATCCTGGTTTTTTGGATGAGGAAAGAGAGAGAGAGAGAGAAAGGCTAAGTAATTTGTCCCAAATTACACACCTAGTAAGTGTTGGGGCTGGAAGTCGCACTGGCCAGTCTGGCTCCAGGCCTCTCCCATTCCCTGCTCTGCAGGGCTGTCTCTGTAAGTGCTCAGAGCTTGAACACCTTAGCTCCTCTGCTGGGGCAACTTTGTCATGTCTAAGCCAGCCACATGCAATGTCAGATCTTGGTTATTAAGAGCAAGGATCAGACAGAATAATTAGCAGATTAGCAGGTTCTCCACAGGGATCTGGGCTTATAAAATAGCTGATAGTTGTCACTCATTGCCTAGACAGCTGCTGTTTGAATCCCCTATTGTCTTACATGAAACATCCCAGTGGGCAGATGAATATCCTGAGGGCAGGTTGTGAAGTCAGTGAGATGCAGGGTGTATTTGAGAAGACTACGTCTCCTGTGGCCACCAGTACCTGCAGCATCAGTTTCTTGCTTTAGCTGGGGCCCTGGGCTGCCCAGGCCTGGCCTCTTTGCCTTCATTTCTTTGGACTTAAAGTGATGACTCCCTGTATGTCCCATACATACTTGTCATCAGGATTTTCAGATTTGAAGAAAGTTGTCTTTTTAGAAAATGATTATCGTTAGGCAAACTGTCAAAGTAGACTGTTTGGGGGACTAAATTTAAAGAAGGAAAAGAGAGGGAGAGAGACAGAGGGACACTGTGATTCATGGGAATGCCTGTCCCAGTTGATTCCTATTCTTAAATTGAACTCTGTTTACATAGCTCTTAATTTGGTACCCAGATACCTTCAGTTTATTTTCAGCCCAAAGACTTCCATCTACAGCCCTCCTGGTAGTTAATTTCTAAAATTCTGGTTTATTTATCATCCTCAAAAAAATCCCCTCTCTTATGGTTTTTGAATCAAGCACATTCCATCTTTTAATACATATTTTCTAGTGCAGTGGTTTCTGTAAAAGGGACAAGGAGGGAGTGGGGCACTCCATGGTGGGGGATGTGCCCCAGTGAGGAGGGGAACACCGTCAGAATCCTGGGGTGGATGAGCTTGTTAAGTTGGAAAACAAAACTCCTCACCCCAAAAATCAAGAGCCATTGTTGATTTTTTGTTTTCTCCATATACAGTCTCTTCCCCTTCTCTTCTCCTACTATGAAGAAAGGAATAATCAAAATTCTGGAGTCAAAGAATGCTTTTCTTTCCTTCCTCTGAAGAGAGGCATGGAAACAGTTTCTGCCATGATTTTGTGTCATTTGTCAGATGGATTCGGGAGGAACCTATGTACTTCATGCTTGTTGGCTGATTTAACAACCTTCTCACTTACTCTTGGCAGCACTTAGCAACTGGTTCCTCTAGAATTCCTTTCCGTTAGACAGTTTCATATAACATTATCTCATAACCTAGGAACATACCCAACAGCAGATTGAACAGATTTCACCTTAGCAAGATGAGGCTGGTGCCTGGGATTTCCGGTTGCGCCCTAGAACGGAAGGAGTGGACAATCTGGTGGGGAGGACCCCACAGGTGGGACTGGGGAGAACGAGGACAAGGCAGGCTTTAGAAATCGGTGTGGCAGGTGAGGCGCCCAGCAACAAGAGCAGCCTGCCACAGCAGTGGCTCTTGGTAAGGCAAGGTTGGGAAATGGCACAGAACAGAAACAGGGAAGGCTGGGTGTGGGATGCTGCAAAGGCCACAGAGGCTTGGGCTGCTGGCCTCCTTCTGGTTGTGGTTAAGTTAATCAATGCCTGCCTTCCGGACTCCTGGCCTCAGTTCTGTAGGCCTCCTTCCCACAAGGCTCACAGTTGAAGTACACAGTGATAATGGGTGTGCTGTACCTCTGGCAGTCACATTATGTGCCTCTATGGAGTTAACCCTCTCATCTTCCGTGTCTTTTAGGCTCTGAATGCTCTTGAATCCATGGCATCAAGTAAGCAGTATGTTGAATACCAGGATCAAATATTGCAAGCCACCCAATTTATAAGGCATCCTGGCCATTGCCTTCAAGATGGGAAAAGCTTCTTGGCTCTTCTCGTTAACTGTCTGTATCCAGAAGTGCATTATTTGGACCACATACGATAGTTAACACTGAGGCTCTTGAAAAACCCATTGCTGTTTATGTTTACATTTAACTTTGCTGTTGCACAAGTAACTTTGCTCAATTGCACTGTAGAGCTCAGTTTGGCCAATGTGTAGTTGACTGAGATGCAAGTTGGGAGGCGTTAGATATTAGATAATTTTGGGGTGTGTGTGTGTGTGTGTGTGTGTTTTCTTAGCTCTTAAGACCTTCTGGGGACTCTTTAAGTTTTTATATTTATCCACAAGAGAAACTTACTAAGTTCCACTTGGGTGCAGAGCCACTCACAGTTGCCGAATGTCCCAGTCATCTCACAAGACCTCCAGATGGAGTTCTTTGTATGTTTCCACTTCTGTCTCTGTTTTATGTAAATGTTCCAGATCTGACAACCTTGGAAGTCACTCAGTACCCTTACTTTTAAACCCCATTTGTGTTCCTCCAAAGTAAAGAAGTCAATTTTGAAAAATTTCTGCATTTCTCAAATGTGGACAAATACAATAGTTTTAAAGTATTGTTTTTCTCAGAAGGGAGATAAAAATGCCGAGTTAGTTAAAGTGGGTCATGTGTAAAATACGACCACTTGATCGTGATTATAGTGGGCAGTAGAGATGATGACAAGTCAATTTCCATCCAGCCGTGTATCCTCATGGAGAAGCTGCCTGTCTGAATCAGGATGGCAAGCTGGCAGTCTGGGAGGAGCATGTTTTGCACAGATGTTTTGTTTGGTCCACTTGGTGAGGAGTGCAGACAGGGCTGCCTCTCTCTAGTCGGGAGAGTCTGTGCATTCCCTCGGGCCCTGACCCTAGCCTCATTCACATCACTTGCCCCTGTCGACACCTAAGTTTGCACCCTTTGATAGACACCATGTTCGATATCTGAAAGGCTCAGTGTCAGGAGACAGAGACTGAGGGAGACTGAAGACCTGATTCTCTGTTCCCTGCTTGTTTTTTAACTTCAAACTCAGATGAAGCCAATGGACCTGCTGAAACACTTGTCTGTGGAAACTGGGTCAGGTCGGGAGATCTACTGAAATTTGGCTTTTTTTCCATAGCCACGTGCCTTCTGTTGTTGACAGTTCATTCATTACCAAAGCCTGTGTGTAACTTTGCCTTGTTCTGTGGCCATCTTCTTGCTCATGTTATTTCTCCTGGGAATGAGCAGTTTGACTTCTGTTCCCACGTTCCTCATTCTATCAGCTCTAGATGGATTTTGCCTGCATAGCTGGCTTAATATGTCTTTGTGTATGGGTAGTCTGTAGCCTGAGAATATTTACCTAAAAATGTCTAAACAGCCACCAAGAATGTTTATAGGGGTATAGGAATATAGTTAACAGAGTGCTAATCTCTCCTCAAATGTCCTTTTGGAATGCTTCCCCCAAAATTGGGAAGTTGGTAGGAGCTTTTCTTTACTTTGAATTTCTTTACTTGGACAGAACGATTCTGCCTTAAAGACACGCTTTGCAGCTCTGATAAAGAACATCCCTGTTTAGTCTCTTGAGTTTTACAGGCCACAAAATGTCCGTCTCAGAGGGATCTGTCTCAGCTTTTCTTATTTTTGCTTCTCTCCGTTTTCAAAATTAATCATCTTGTTCTCTGTATAAGAAAATTTGAGAAGCTGTGGACAATTTAATAGTCTGATCTGGCAACAGCGATTTTTGTTTGGAAATATTTTGTGTTTTCTTTGAGGAGGATATAATTACTGATATCCTAGGATGTGAAATTTTTGAGTGACAGTATGCACATTTTAAAGAAAATTATGATTAATCTGTATAATGTTTTTTGGTCTGTAAAAATTATAAAAAATAAAATCATTTATCTTTGGTTGTAACTGTTTAAAAACCAAATTATAGGGATATCACACTATCTTGTAAAGTGTTTCAGCTGTTAAAGTTGCTGTAGGTTTTTATGCCTGATGTCATTTAATTTATTTGACATTGAACTTCATTAATAATCAGAGATGGTCAGTGAAAGCGCTTCCTCTTTAACTCTTTCTTGCTTAACCTTGGAAGGTTGACTCAACTCCTAGGTGTCTATGGGAAACTCTGGGCTAGGAACGTGCTATAAAGACACTGAGCTAGTTCAGACATGGCCATGCTGCTGTAGCCTCCTGGGAAAGAAGGGCGGCAGAGAGACCAGCCCGCCTGTTGGCTTGCAGGGGTAATGAGCCTTGGCTTGAAAAAATTGTTGGCCTCCAGAGAGCACGGGGCTGTGGTTTCAGAATCAGTGATGGGTGCCGCACATCAAGACGGGAATCAAGCAAGACCAAGGCCCTGTGGACTGAGCAGCGTGGAGGGCGAACGGCTGCAGGCTCCAGACTTCACCACAGGGTGGCCAACAGTGGCATCGGGACCAAATAAAGATGTCTAACAGCTTCCTGGGAGCAGGAGGAGGCAGGATTCTGGTTGCCATGAAAAACATCTCTCTCCCTCTCCATCACTCCCCATGCTGCAGTGCACAGGTGGGTTGCAGAGGCAGGCTGCATCCCGGAATCATGTTGTCCCACTGCCTATTAATAGAACAAGTGAAGGGCAGAATGCTGGAACACACCAGACATAGAGGGAGGGAGGTCCTGCCAGATGTGTCTACACAACTGTCTACATAGCATGACAGTAGCAGTGGATTCGGGACCCACCTGTACATGTTTCCAAAGCTCCTTCCTGCACACTCGGGACCTCAGCTCCAAGGCGTGACTCATTTCTCAGTCTCACCATCCTTTGTTGGCTCAGACATCGCATGCCTCTGCCCCACTGGGGTTGTGTGCCTGCGTCTCTCACTTCTTTGAGGTTGGGGAAAGCCTAGTCCAGAAAATGAAAACCCATAGACCAGCCTAACTTCCTTTCAACCAAGTGACGGCCTCCTGGTTCCTCTCAGTTCATCATCAAAATCAGTGTGTACATGTCATACAAGCCAAGAGTGTTCATGTCCTCGTTCCTTTCAAATGAAGGTGATATATACTTTTTCACTGAGTTTTTATTCCTGAAATTCTTTCTTCTGGAGCAGGAAGCAAATGTCCTGGAATCGTAGACTTTTACAGTCAGAAGGGTCATTCACGTTCATCTAGTGCCCCTCTCACTCTGCAGGGATCCTCCTGCCTCTCCTCTGCCCCTGTCCAGTGCCTGGTGGTCCAGCCTGTGATGGGCAGGCCTAGGCTGCCATCCGCAGGCTCTGTAGTTCTGCTTTCTATTGAACCAAGATGTTTCTACGTTGCCTATTGGTCGTGGTTCTGTCCAGAGCAGTTCAGGCTGGGGCTGTTCACTTGCCCCTCCTTGAGGCAGACCTTTAGATATTTTCAGTTTTCATCACATGTCTAACACCACTTCCACCCCACCCCTCACCTCTTAGGCTAAATCCAAGCTAAATCCCCCAATGTCTTTTTTTTTTTTTTTTTTTTGAGACGAGTCTCATCTGTCACCCAGGCTGGAGTGCAATGGCATGGTCTCGGCTCACTGCAACCTCCGCCTCCTGGGTTCAAGCTATTCTGCCTCAGCCTCCCAAGGAGCCAGGACTACAGGTGCATGCCACCACGCCCGGCTAATTTTTGTATTTTTTAGTAGAGACAGGGTTTCACCCAGCCATTGAGACAAGCTGGTTTCAAACTCCTGACCTTGTGGTCCGCCCGCCCCGGCCTCCCAGAGTGCTGGGATTACAGGCGTGAGCCACCGCGCCCATCTCCCCTGCAATGTCTTTAGTTAGACCTTTTCCACCATCATGTCTAACTGGGCTACGGTTTGGGGAAAGTGTCCAAATTAGTCCGTGTTATCCTAAAAGGGGTGTGCCCCGGATTAGCAGGGCCAGGGCTAGGGTGAGACAAATGAGGCACCTGGGGCATACATTTAAGTTGGTGCTTGCTTGCAGGTGCCAAGAGAGTGCTTCCTTGGGTTTACCCCCGTGGTGCCTCCTTTACCTCATTCTGGCCCCAGCCCTGGGGTTAGAGTCGCACCAGTGTGGTCCAAGTGGCATAATTATCTCCCTAAATGCTTGGGCAGCATCAGCTTTCAGTAGCTGTGCCCCATGGGAGGCACATTAAGCTAGTGGCAAGTTGAGACTGCAGACCTCAGCTTAATATCAGTTGTTGCCCAAGACAGATCTCACCCCACATCTTCATGACAGGCCTAACAACAAGGCACTTTGCCCTTAATCCTCTACTACTGCCTGCTCTTCATTTTGGGCCAACTGTACAGCTCATTTTGAGATAGTAGCTGATCATTTTTCTGATCAGTTAACTTTGTCTTATTAAGCAAAATGGAGAATATAATGTTGGGAAATAAGTGTGTTGATTAAAAGAAAGTATCCCCTTCTACCATCTTCCATTTGTGTCTGGGTTGTGCTGGGTAAAGTTCTAGACTTACTAACGCAGACTTCATTTTGGTCCGGTTTCCACAGCATGCCTCGGGCATCAGTGTCCAGGAGTAGCTGTATTTGAGGTTTCCTTCACTCTGGTAGGTTCCTGATTCCTGATGAAAATAACTTGAAAAAAAAATAATTATACTACTGATCCTCTTTTGGGATAATGAAATTGCGAAGGAATGTTGTTGATTATAACTTTTATTTTTTAATGTACAGATGTACTGTCTCTCATTGAGCACTGATAGAATTTATTTTTCTTTCAATAGTTTAAAATCACTTATGTGGAGACACATACTTAAGTGTGTTCAACTCGTTTTCTTCCCACATATCTAGTGTGACCTTTAAAAACCACAACTTTATTTTGGACATTAAATGTGCAATATTCACTACTTATTCATTGTTCCACATTTTTCATACTTGTACAAAGGGTAAGTTTTTATATAATGGTGAGAAACAGGAAGAAATGACAACTGGTTAAGTAAAATTCTGCAAATAAACTAGATTCGAATTTAATTTACACATGGCGGGCCTGTCTCATTGTTTCCTGCAAGTTGGTTGACAGTCTTTTCATACATTAAACCACAATAAGAAAAATTTTATATGAGAAACTTCGTAATGGATAGAATAGTTATTTTGTGACCTTTCACCACGATGGGCGAGGCCTCTAATTTCAAAGAGAAGTTTTAACTTGAGAATTTCAGAATTGGCAGGGACAGGAGGCCACCTGCTGATCTCAGAGAGGTCAGGAGGGTCTGTGATGTGGCCTTGAGCTTGGTAAGAGCAGGGCCATAAAAATTGCACAAATGAGGTGGGAGTGGGGGTGCTTCTGGCAGTGTAACCCCAGCTTGGTCATGGTCTGCTGGGGAAATCCACCTTCAGTGGTGGGATGCCCAGGGAGTTCTCTTTAGTGTTATTTTTCACTCACATTTGTAAGATGCACTTTGAATGGGCCAAGGTGTGGAGAAGGGTCTGCACATTCCATTTGAGAATTAAACCAATTTGGGATTCCTTAGGGACAGGCCTTTCTGGGAGTGGGGTATGTCTCCCTCACCCTTGTCTAAGCTTGGCAGCTTTTTAAACCAGATG
This sequence comes from Homo sapiens, assembly GCF_000001405.40. Taxonomy (NCBI): domain Eukaryota; kingdom Metazoa; phylum Chordata; class Mammalia; order Primates; family Hominidae; genus Homo; species Homo sapiens. Next base: position 45,847,039 of record NC_000018.10, on the reverse strand, counting down.
GAACCACAAGATTGAAGGGTTGGAAAGTGGCCTAGAGGCAGGTTGTCTCACTTCCTTCTAGTGCAGCAGCCAAGTTAGCTGTCTCCAGACCAGTGGGCATCTTTGTGGGGACCCTCTGAAAGAAACGATCTTTCTCCGAAAATGCTTCTCTTCTGAAGACAGCCCTTTTCTCTCTTGGTCTTTCTTTGCCACCCCTTGTTTAGCATATAATCAAGAAATAACCAAAAAAAAGGGCAACCAGCAGCCCTCGGGGCTGCTCTGCCTATGGAGTAGCCATTTTCTTACTCTTTTACTTTCTTAAACTTGATTTTGCTTTGCACTGTGGACTCACCCTGAATTCTTTCTTGCTCGAGGTCCAAGAACCCTGTCTTAGTGTCTGGATCGGGACCCCTTTCTGGTAACAAGATCTCTTTCCTCCCTGGGGGCTTTTCCTCATTTTAAAATGAGTATAATTCCAGTCTTACCTGCTGGGCTCTTAGAACCCCCGAGATCTTTTTTTTTTTTTTTTTTTTTTTTTTGAGAGGGAGTTTTGCTCTTGTTGCCTAGGCTGGAGTGCAGTGGCGCGATCTCGGCCCACTGCAACCTTCACCTCCTGGGTTCAAGCAATTTTTGTGCCTCACCCTCCCGAGTAGCTGGGATTACAGGCACCTGCCACCATGCCTGGCTAGTTTTTGTATTTCTAGTAGAGGCGGGGTTTCGCCTTGTTGGCCAGGCTGGTCTTGAACTCCTGACTTCAGGTGATCCGCCCACCTCGGCCTCCCAAAGTGATACAGGTATGAGCCACCGCCCCTGACCTCCACTGGGATCTTACAGGGCTTTGAGGATCACAGGGGGCCCAGAAACATGAGGGGCTGTTATTGAAGAGGGGGTGGGACTGGACTTTAGTGGCCAGCACTGGAGCCGGGACAAAACCCGGACGCTTGACTCTTGTCTAAAGAGCCTTCCAGCCTGAGGCTTCTGTGACTGGTGGGGGACCAAGCACCCACCCTGACCCTGGCTCTCTTGTCCTGTCTGACCAGTGAGGTACAAGTGAAAACTCAGCCCATGGTGTCTCCAGCCAACTCATTTCCATCTCAAGGCAGGGCCTACTTTCACCATAGATTATCCCCTGGGTGGTTTCTTCTCACGTAGCTACATCTAGTTTTAAATTTCAGTTGGCAGCAGGGAAAGTGTGTTGGGCTCCTGGTGGACCCAGGAGATCACCCAGGTAGTTGCCGGCCACTTCCTCTCACTGCTGTCTTCAAAGTCTGGTGGGCATTGACCACAGAGCAAAGCCTGCAGGCCGCAGCCTGCCTGTCAGAAGCCCCTGGGAAGAGCATGTTCATGGAACGCTGTGCCCTGCACTACAACAGGAAGTCCAATCTTGAAAACACCGAGTCTTCTGGGTCATTTCTCTCCTTGACTCCGTGCCGCAGGACACCATGCTGACTCAGCCTGCCGCTCGTGTCTCTGGTCTTTGTTGCCAGTGACAGAGCCTGAGTACTCTGAGAGGGTGGGTGGGGGAAGACAGGCAGCTCTGCTCCACCCAGACCTCTTACAGGGACAGTGCCAGGCTCCAAGAGCAGCCCAGAGGGTCTGGGGAGGGCCGAGTGCTGTCCCCTCACCACCCTCCCCTCTGACCCTAGGAGCAGCGGCTTTATCAGGAGGCCAAGCTGGGGGCTGCCTGTGCACTGTGTGCCGTTGTTAAAGGGGGTGCCAGCTGGCCGACCCTCCTCAACATGCTTCCCACAGCCTCTCACTGCATCTGAAACCATGCCAACAGAGGCATGTCTCTCTGAGGAATGGCGCTTCTTCCAGTCCCAAGAAGCCCTCTTCAAAATGCAAGTACCGCAGAAGGGTATGTATCAGCTAGCACCAGCTGATTACCTGGCACCGTTACACATCTGCACCATCATGCCAATGCCAGGTGCACCCAGAGCTGCAGTCTCAACCGTTAGCTTAAGAATCACCTGGAGTCAACTGCTTCCTGCTTAGAAACAACAAACTTCAAAAGGACATTTTGAAGACAGTCGTGGAAATCTGAATACGGACTGTAAAATGATACTGCATTCATGTTAATGATCTCAAATGTGGTAATGGTATTGAGGTGATAGAGCACAAAGCAGATACTTAAGAAATAATTCCTATTGCAATTTTTCTTGGCTGTGAAACTGGCCTCAAAGACCAGGCAGATGTTCCAATACACACCACTCCTGTGTCCTTAACTTCTTCCCTGGTCATGCAGGACTTTCCATAGAGGTGCCCCAAAGCATCCCCATACAAGGAGGTACACAAGCCTGCTCCTGTGACCTCTTAACAGCTCAGACAGGCTCCTGGATGAATCCCAAGGTTAATTAGGAGCCACCTCTTGCCCTGGTGAAGGCTCTGGTGAGGAGTGGAGCTTTGCAACCCACTGGCCTGCATAATAACTTGTGAAGATCTTGTGAAGATCCCTTGACCTTCAGACCGTCTCCCTGGAAAAAGCATCACTGCCTCTTTTTTAAAAAACATTTTTAATTAGTATGGGTATATGTATTTATATATTTATAGGGTACATGTGATGTTTTGATTCAGGCATACAATGTGCAATGATCAAATCAGGGATTGGCGTATCCATCACCTCAAGTACTTACCGTTAAGAACATTCCAATTCCACTCTTAGTTATTTTAAAATATACAATAAGTTGTTAACTATAGTCGCCCTCTTGTGCTAGCAAATACTAGATCTTATTCGTTCTAACAGTATTTTGTTCTCAGTAAGTATCCCCACGTTATCGCCCGCTCCCTGCTATCCTTCCCAGCCCCTGGTAACCATTATTCTATTACTCCATGAGTTCAATTTCAACTTTTTTTAGCTTCCACATGTGAGTGCGAACATGCGATATTTATCTTTCTGTGCTTGACTTATTTCCCTTAACATAATGGCTGCCAGTTCCATCCATGTTGTTGCAAGCGACAGGATTTCATTTTTTTTTTTTATGGCTGAATATTTCATTGTGTGTTCATTTTCTTCATTCATTCGTGGATGGACACTTAGGCTGATTCCATATCTTGGCTATTGCAAATAGTGCTGCAGTAAACATGGGAGTACTGGTATCTTTTCAATATACTGATTTCCTTGCTGACAGATACCCAGCAGTGGGATTACTGGATCATATGGTAGTTCTATTTCTTTTTTTTTCTTTGGAGACAGTCTCTCTGTTGCCCAGGCTGGAGGACAGTGGGGTGATCTCAGCTCACTGCAACCTCTGCCTCCTGGGTTCAAGCAATACTTCTGCCTCAGCCTCCCAAGTTGCTGGGACTATAGGCACGTGCCAGCACGCCCAGCTAATTTTTGTATTTTTAGTAGAGACAGAGTTTTACCATGTTAGCTAGGCTGGTCTCGAACTCCTGACCTCAAGTGATCCACCTGCCTCGGCCTCCCAGGGTGCTGGGATTACAGGCATGAGCCACCACGCCCAGCCTATTTTTAGTTTTTTGAGGAAACTGTACTGTTCTCCATAGTGGCTATACTAATTTACATTCCCACCAATAGTATATGGGGATTCCTCTTTCTCCACTTTCTCATCAGCATTTGTCATTGCCTGTCTTTTGGATAAAAGCCATTGTAACTGGGGTGAGATGTCTTGTTCATGGCCTCGTTATTCCCCTAGCCTGTGGCCCTTTCCTCTTGCCAGCTTACCTGGGACCCAGGCATGCCTCCCTCCTCTCCCTAAGCCCCAAGGACCACAGGAGCTAAGGTGATCAACAAATTCACCCTGAGGTGTAAATAGGGAAGCACCCCTCCAAGTCAGCCTGCCCGCGTTAGGGCAAAGGGGGTGAAGTTGCCAGTGCGTTTGGACTTCGCACGCCCTGAGAGGCTGCAGGTCAGAGAGGTCAGAGCTGTAGCTGCTTTACGCACGGACTCTCCGGCCAGACCTCCCCTCAGGTCTCCCGGCTTCAGCTCCTGAGACAGTGGTTCCCAGATACCTTGAGAGAGGGGAGCCTGGTTTCCATTTCCTAGGGGTCCCAGCTCAAGGCAATGCAGGGCAGCTGATGGGGCAAGAGTTGGGCAGAGGGTGTGGGACAGTCACAGTGGAGATCCCAGGGGGCATGGGGTAAAGGCCCCAGGCCTCTCCCTGCCACCAAGTTTCCAGGATTTGATGTTCCTCTGACCACACGTTTGCACAGCCCCTGCCCCAGGCTTGCTCTCTGGAACTCTGTGTTCTCCGTGACACTGCTGCAGGGGCCACACTTCTCCAAGAACTGACTGCACGTCCAAAGGTCACTCTGCAAAGAGGGTTCTGTCATGCCCCTCATGAGAAGATGGCTTTGTACTTTCCAAAGCCCCTTCATATCCATTATTTCCTCAGATCTTTGTAGTCCTCCCAGCCAGGAGGGAAGAATATGATTGTCCGTGTTCAACAGTAAATGAATTGAGACCCAGAGAAGTGAAGAGAGTGTCCCAGGTCCACACAGCAAGTCGGTGACAGAGGAGGACAAGACTGGGCCTCCAGGCCCTGTAAACAGTTTCCTGTCTGCTTTACTATAGCAGGTGTTCTAGGTAAGAAAGGGCAAGGGAACATTTCTGGAAGTTTCACGCTCAAGCTAATGCGTGTACTCTCTCTCTCTCTCTCTCACACACACACACACACACAGACGTATGCACATTTACGAAATGCTGGCAAAAATATCAGGGAGCTCCGAAATGGTTGTCCACATAGGAGGCCAGATGAGCCTCCTTGAGCAGGGTCTTGACCTTGAGCAGGGGAGGAGCCACCCAGCTGGGGGCTGCCAAGGTGCCCGAGAACCAGGACTGGCTGTGCCAGCCAAGCCTCGCACTGGCCTTTGTTCTTTACAGTGCTGAAATGGATGTTGGTGGCTGAGGGACTCCTCACGGTGAGCACATGGTGGCTGGTGGGCTCCGGGGGTTCATCTGGCTCAAATTTTCATAATTGGACTCCTGGGCCTGGGACCTGTGGACAGGAGAAAGTTGAATGATCATCCAAACAGGTGGGAGGTCCACAACTGCCCAAACTATATGCCAGCAGTGGGCCAAGAAGAGGAGACATTCTGGGGAGCAGTGCGGCTGGAACCGGCAGGGCTCAGAGATGAATGGCATCGGAGGCTGGGCAGAGTCAGGAATAGGGAGGGGCCCCCAAAGGCCAGGGCAGCCCAGACCATAGAGTTGCTATCTCTGTCTGAGGCCTCAAGACTGGCTCCATGTCCCTGACCTACAAATCGGAATCTCCGGCCTGGCCTCCTGGTCCCCAACTGCTTTCCTGACTTCCCCTAGGACATCTCAGTGGGAATCTCAAATCTCAATGTCCACTGTGCTACGCATGACCCTCACACCCGCCCCACTCTCTTCTCCTCTTGTCTTTATCTCAGGAAGTGGGACCCAGGGCTCAGGCTCCCAACCCCGGCAGCCTGGCTCCCTCTCACACTGTGTGCTGCCCACTGGGCTCTTGGGCAAGCCCTGCCTCCCGTCTACCCACTTCCCCACCGCCACCCCTGCACCTTTGTCCAAACAGCCAAGCCAGCCTCAGCCTTGCCAACGGCCTGCAACCAAGTCTCCTGGGCCAGCTTGTTCTGATGGAGCCATGCGTCCGCTTAAAACCATTCAGTGACTTCCCATTGCACCCACAATAACCCCCACGCCTTTCCTGCCTTCCTCCCGTCCACCCTCCAGAAATGCCTGCCTCCTTTCTGGGCCTCACCTGAGTCTTTCTACTTGCCTTTTCCTCTCCCGGGCTGCCCCTACTGTCCCTGTCTTACGTCCACACTCTAGTGGGGCTTGCTCTCTGGAACTCCACCGCTCCTACCTGCCCAGGCCCCAGCCTCCATCCTCAGGTCCCCTCAATGTCATGTCCTCCAAGAGAACTTGATCTAAAGCAGCCTCAGCCCAGCAGCGGGCCCCCTCCCCAGGGAATCTGCTGCATCACGTGTCCATTTCCTTCACAGCTCTTACTTTACGATGTCAGGTGGCGTGTTTCCATATTTATTAAAATTCTCCACAATAGGATATGAGTTCTGTGAGGTCAGGGATCTTGCTGTGTCTTTAGTACCAGTGCCTGGTATGCAGTAGGTACTCAATAAGTATTTGTTAAATGACTGAACAACGGTCGGCTTTCAGATTCAGGGGCGTTGGTGCGACAGTAAATCAGCAAACAGGGACACAGGACAGGTTGTGGGACTGTGGAGAGATCGGCAGGCAGCTGATGAGTGGGGCCACCAGCAGTGTGGCACCTCCAGCCTTCAGGGCACAGGTGGGTGGAGTTATGGGAGTGCCTAGGCTCCTCCTCCCACTCCTACCCTCTGCCAGGATCAGGCCCAGCCTGTACAGGGTCTATGAATTGAGTTCTTTCTCCTTCAACACCAGCCTTCACATGGGTGGATGCCACAGAAGAGGAGAGTATGACCCAGGAGTCAGTGATTTCCTAGGGGTCTCTGGGCCCCTCACCTAGGCTCTCAGAACCTCTAGAGATTTTGTTTGCAAAGCCTTCAGCAGAGTGCCAGGGGGGAACGGGGATGAGTGTCCCCAATGTGGTTTTTGTATGAATCTGCCTGTTCAAGAATGTGGAGGGGAAACTACAGGAAGAAACACAGCCTGGAGTCGTGGGGGAGGAGCAGGTCAGCGAGGCTTGGTCTGTCCAGGGAAGACCTTGGCAGGCTGCAAGAGGGGTGCCTTGGTGGGCTGCAAGGAAGGCCCAGCCCCTGGTCAAAGTAGGACCCCAGCCCCAGCCCTTTGCCATTTATTCCTTCTCCTGCCTGGACCCCCTGGGTGATGAGGACTAGGTGGGTGGGGTAGGGTAGGGTGGAGGCGGGGAGCTCACTTACCGTGGTGGGGTGTCCGGGGTGTCCAGATGCTCTGTGGGAGGGACAGCAAGAGAGCAGGCATGAATCTCCACCGCAGTCTGCAGCCTGTGCGCCCACCCCCACCCATGCCATGTGGAAGGGGTCTCGAGGAAACCACTGTTTTTGAAGCAAACAGCAGACTAGCAGGGTGTGAAGCTGTGCCATGGAACCCTGCTGGGGAGTTAGTGAGGAGAGGGGTGGACTGAGGAGCAATCCAGTAAAAAGTCCGTTCTTCTGAGCACCCTGAGCACAAAACACTTGATGAGTTCCAAGAAACGGGCAAGAAAGCCATTGTGGCCACAGCAGCAGCCAGGGCCACTGTGACAAAGTCTGATCTCACTAGAGTGTGAGCCTAGTGCTATGGACCTGGGGGTTCTGAGGGGCTCCAAGAAGCTCCCTCCCTCTCTGGGGCACAGGGCAGATTTCTGATCCAGATCAGAGACAGCAGGAGTGGCAATCTCAGGACACCCTGTTAGTCAATCCACCATGATCTCTGCTAGGAAGAGCGTTTCTCCTTGTTTTCCTAGCTCATGCCTACTTACATATTTTTATTTAGCTCTCCCAGCACGGCTTGTGTGAAGCCTTCTCCAGATGCCCCACCAGAGGGAGGCATACCTTCCTCTGGCTTCTGCAGAGGTAGGGTTGAGGAGAGCCCTTCTCATAGCACATTGCAATGATCTGTCTACCGCTCAGCACGCACTGCAGGGCAGGGGACCATGCCATATTCATCAGTGTATTCCTAGCACCCACACAGCACATAGTAGGTCCTCAGGAACGGTGCTATTTAGGAAGGTCTGTAGTCAGAGCCCCTCCAGAGGAATCGTTTACCGGGTGGTAGCAAAGGGACGGCTCTAGAGTTAACCGGGTCTGGGTCTCTATATCTCTGTGCTGCTATCAAAAGGCAGGTTACTTAACCTCTCTGAGCCTCAGCTTCCTTATTGCAAAATGGGATTTTTTCGTGCTGGTTACACCTGCTGGGCTTCATGCAAAGAGAGGAAAGCGCCACGATGCATAGGGCAAAAAAACCGACATTCTGGCAGTGCCAGGGGGTCAGCCAGGTGGTCTTATCTAAGAGCAGAGAGCCCCGGCCCGGCCCCTCGCGGCCACCCGTGTCTGGGGCGCACCCACCTGGGCGGCGGCGGGCAGCGCGGGCGGCCAGGACCCCGAGCAGCAGCAGCGCCTTGAAGCCGAGAGCGCCGAGCAGGAGGGCGACCGTCGAGGCCCCGCTGGCGCCATGGAAGCGGAACAGGTAGACGCTGGCCTCGGAGCGGCCCAGGCTGTTGGCGGCCGTACACGTGTAGCGGCCGTCATGGGTCAGTGCGGGCAGTTCGGCGGTCACTAGGTGGCCGTGACCCTCACGCGGGCTCCGCACGGCTGCCAAGCTGTTGCCCAGGGCCGGGCCGGACCAGGCGAGGGCGGGCGGCGGCTCCCCTTCGGCAGTGCAGAGCGCGCGGAAGGCGTGAGCCGGACTGGGCAGCACCGAGATGTTGACGATCCGCGGCGCGGCTGCAGGGGAGAAGGCGGGTGACTGTCACAAGGGCACCCCTCCCCTTAGCCCTTTGGACGCCAGAGCCGGAGGGGTGGGGGCTGGTCAGAAGGGAGGAATGGGCACTTGGGTGCCAGGCTGCCCCCGTCCCAATACAGATGTGGCCTTGGGCGAAAGATTCTATCATCTCTGCTTCTGCTTCTCCATGTGTAAAGTGAGGATCATGATAGCAGTTGCCTTAAGAGGTTGCTGAAAAGATTTGGCAAATTCATGCTTGTGGGTGCTTGGACTAGGTCCCGGCTCCCTAGCAAATGCTAAGTGGCCATTATTGTCGCAGAGCAGGGTGGGGGCTAGAGTGGAGAGCCACTGCTCTAGGGACGGGACCCTGGTTCAGGCATCTTTGTATATCAGGGTCTGGCAAAGTGCTAGGCACTACTTGGTGGGCTGTCTGTGCACCCCTGGGTAGAGGGGCTGCGAGTGTCTTTCCGGGCTGGTAGCACACACCACATTGCACCTCTTGGCATATTTAGGATTGCCATTCACTTGTCTTTCTCGCCTCTTCGTCTGAGAGCCACTGGGGACAGTCACTCTACGAGAGTCACGGCAATGCCTATTCCCGGGCCCACCTCAGCCCTTCCTGGGACCTGGATTCTGCATTTGTGTCAAGCTCCCAGGTGGTCCTAAACTACCCCCAGGTGTGAGATCCCTGGGGTAGAGGAGAGGGCTGGGTCTCGTTGCCCTTCCTGGCTCAGCACAGCGCCTGGCACCCACGTAGCCCTTGGGGCGGGGCAGGCGGGAGGGCGGGAAGGGAGGCCGGGGACCCGCTCCCACGCCGCCTCGCCTGTCACGTGCAGCCGGACGCCGTGGCGGCTCTCGTAGCGGTCATGGACGTCGCCGGCGAACTCGACGCGGCAGAAGTAGCGGCGGTCGTCAGCCAGGGCGAGGCGCTCGACGCGCAGCGAGAGGTCGTTGCGGCGCGGGTTGCCCAGCAGCCGGAAGCGGCCGTGCAGGCTCAGCGCCGTCTGGCAGAGCTCGCTGCCCCGCGCCGCAGCGCAGCGGAACACCTGCGGGCCCGCATAGGGCTCGCCCGCGCGCCAGATGGCCGTCAGCGGCCCGTCGTAGTGGCGGTGCGGGTGCGTGAAGGTGCAGGGCAGCACTGCCGCGTCGCCTGCCTCCGCGCTCACCTCGGGTGGCACCTGCATGGACCAGCGCTGCGCTGGCGAGCCTGAGGGCGGGGCGGGCTGCGTCAGGCTCGGGGCCCTGGGGTCGAGGCGCCCGCACCCGGGGCCTGGAAACCCCACGACCCAGGAAACGCTCCCCCAACCCCTAGCCTGGAAACCCCAGGACTCAGGGATCGTCCCCCACTTCCAGGGGAGCCGGAACCCCACCTTGTGACTTGAGGGGCAATTCCTGGTGCCTGCACCCCCAGGGCCTGCACTCCCTCGACTTGGGAGTGCCTGCGTTCCCGCGGCTCTTCCCTGGGACTATTCCCCTCTTCGTTTCCTAATTCACCTGCAGGCCCCTTGACCCCATATTCTTACCCTTAGTTTTTCCCCATCAAAACCTGCCCTGTGGAAAAACCCTGGGATCTCGTGGTTAAAACAGACTCCCAAGATCCCCGAGATGGTGATAATAATAAAAGCACTTACTGTGCACCTCTGTGTTGAGCAAGTTCTCCGTAGTATCTATTTTAGTTCTCACAAATGAGCCTACAGATAAACACAGTTAACCCCGGGTTACACGTGAATAAACTGAGGCTCAGAGAAGTTGAGTAACTGAAGTCACACTGCCAGCATGAGGCCAAGCCAGCGTTCAGGATCGCCTCACTCTACAGCCTGCATTCTAGTGCACTAGAGGCTGGGAACTTTGGGGCTTCTCCGAGGACACCAGCACTTCCACTTACAGAGAGGAAACAGCCCCTGCGAGGGGGCAGTGTGTTTGGAAGCTAATGCGTTGAGTTGGTGCATGAGATTCCTCTAGAATTCAGGTATACCCAAGTGAACTGTGCCCTGACTGGCTTCCCTAGTGCCTGGGCAGGGAGGGAGCTGAGAGACCAGAGAGGTGGGCTGTTTCACTGCCTCCTTGCTCTGTGCAAGCACCTCTGAACAGTTTCCCCATTCCCCACCTTGTGAACCATGGATGTGTGGTTGAGCCAGGGTCTGGAAGCAGAGCTCTGCCTCCAGCTCACAGAGGGCTGGTGAACTGCAGGGTGTGTGTGGTTGCCTATGTGTGCTGCTTTGGGGGAGAGGGGAGCGCGCCTCAGAGGATAAGGCCAGGGGTGGTGCCTCCCAAGGAGAAAGGGCAGGCTTCTAAGCCTGCCCAGCCGGTGCCCCAGGGTGCAGTTCACAAAAGGATCTTTAGAGGAAATAATACGGCAGCTCTTGTAGTTCCAAAGGGCTTTGCAGTTTACACAGTGCTTTCATAGATACCATGTCATGTGACCCTCAAAGCACCCAGTGGAGACAGGCAGGGCAGATATTATTAAAGGTGAGAAAATGAAGGCTCAGAGTCACACAGGTTGAAGATGGGAGAAATATGACTTTTCTGACCCCAAGCCCAGTGCTCTTTGCTTTTTGAGGTAATTTAGCCCAATTTGCTCCTTGGGCAGGAGTCTTCTCAGCCCTAACCCATCGCTGGCAGACCATCCTCCATGGGGACCATCCATCTATGAATAATCACAGGTCGGGACATTCCTTCTGCACAGAACCAAAATCTCCGGCCGCCCACAGGACCGCCATTGTTCTCTGGTGTGTGCACATCGCTTTCTCATGATGGCCCCGTGCAGGGTCTTGTCATGACTATCCTGGACCCATTGAGCCTTCTCTTTTCTGGTGGAAAAATCCCAGTCCCTTTCCTGGCCTTCCTCATCCTCACTGTCCTCTTCCTTCATTGTAGTGTCCTGAGCCTGGGGGCTCCAGGTGTGTGCTCTAGGTGTGCTGGACCTGCAGTGCCGTGAGTCCCACAGTGCTGCCCTGGGCTGTGGGAGCTGTGCCTGGAAAAAATCCCACTGTGTTTCATGCCCAGCTTGCCATCAGGTAAAAGTGTTACTGGATGGTTCAGTTCCAGGTTCTTGGTGCCACAAACAATTGGACATGACAGAAATAGCAAAGCAAAGCATCAAGAGTGTATGAAGTACAGTATCACACCCTTGGAGTGGGAGAGTGACTGACCTCTACGAAATGAGATCAGCACCAGTTTGTTACATTTCATGGCCTTTTATTTTTTCTCTTCTCTTCCTGAGCTGCCTAATCTCTAGCCAGCATCTGCCTTTTGATTGATAGACTGCTTAGTTACTTTGGCCCTTGTGTGCTTGTGCGTTGCCTCCATCCCATAATTTTAAGTACATGCATGAGATGCAGTCCATATGCATGAACCTTAAATAGCTAATTACCATACAGGGTCATTTTAAGTATACTTTTTCTCTCTAGTGCACATGCCCATCTCTGAGAAGCTTACCTTTACTGGTCTGGTCTGGATCTTGCCGGCCATGGGGTCTCTTACTTGCTTATCTCCCTTTTGTTTTGGCTGCTCAACTTCTGCTTCTTCTCTTGCTTTGTGTTCACCTGCCCCTTCACTTCCCTCTACTATTCTCCTGCCTCAAAACTACAAGTTCTTTTTTTCATACAACCTGCTTTTAAGCCTAATCTCCTTTTTTTTTTCTGGACAAATGTAATTACATTTTTGAACCCGAGTGGAGGACCTAACATTTTATCTCTAGAAAGAGCTTGTTTGTTCAGTTAATCATCAAAGAACCTTGCTCCAAATTTGAGAAACCCTGTCTGAAGGATTGGCTGGTTCAGTCAGTACTTCTAGATGCAGAAAGCATCTCTCCAATCTTGAGGTTGAGCCCCAGCCTTAGTTTCCCTGCTATTTCTCACTTTCTGTGACCTCAGCCTCCTCTGACCTCTTGCATCTTGCAGGCATCACAGAGCCAGGCACAGATTCCCCACATATTATTTGCTATCGTGCATTCATCAATTCAGCAAACATGTATTGGACACTTCCCCACTTTATGCCAGGCACTGGGGTACGAGCTGTGGTGACAAAGGTGGACAGGATATCTTATCAGCCTGCTGGGGCTTGCAGCTTAGAAAAGGAGACAGATTTGTAGGCACATAATTACACTACAGTCTGCCAGATGCCGTAAAGATGGGCATGAACAATATCCCTTCTGTCTGAATATGGCTTCTGGCCATGTCACTCACCAGCTCCTCCTCTTCATCCTCAGGGTTCCACTGAGTCTTTCCTACAGCAGGGGGCTTCCCTGAGCCCCAAGCCTAGGGCTGGCCTCCCTCCCCTGTGCCTCAGAGCTGGCATAGGTACTTCCTCAATATGAGCATTGCCTTTGAACTGTGTGTCTTGTCCAGACACTCAGAAGCTCTGGCAGGGCAGGGACCACATCTATCTGGTTCTATTTGTGTTGCTGTTGCCCAGCATGGTACCTGCCTCTCAGTCACTGACATTGGATTGATTTGCTATGTGAGGACAGAAGGGTGGGTGTCCAGGCTGACAGGAGAGGGTAGGGGTGGTTAGAGTAGGGGTGTATTAGGCAGGCAGGGATTGGAGAACCCTTGAGAGAGGCGATGTCACTTCAGCAGAGCCTTGAGAAAGGGAGGGGACTGCACGAAGCCTTGAGGTAGCATTCTAGGCAAAGGGAACAGCAGAGCAAAGCCACAAGGCGTGGACATCAATCAGCATAGAGGTTGCCAGGCATGAAGGCGTAATGAGGCCAGAGCACACAGTGCTCTGCGGAGTCCTCATCTCATTAAAAACAATACTCTGTCATGTGTCATGTTGCCATGGATTCATGGGTTTTTTTCCATATTTCCTTTACTTATCTTGGTTAATTTGTTCACCTCTGTATCAATACAGCATGTCATGTGCTTCATTACTACAGCACTCTAATGAATCTGGATGGTTCCCCACCTTTTCCCTCATATTCGGTCCTATATATCTATACCTTGGTCTTTGCCCTTTTATAGAAATTTTAGTTTATGAACTAACAGCAACAGCAACAATAATGACAGCAGTAAACTCTTTTTGAGAATTTGCTTGGTTTGCATTAAATCTGTACGTCAGGATATAATTCTCAATGATATCCTCATCTCATTTAAAATGCACAAGAGGCCGGGCGTGGTGGCTCATGCCTGTAATTCCAGCACTTTGGGAGGCCAAGGTGGGCAGATCAGTTGAGGTCAGGAGTTCCAGACCAGCCTGGCTAACATGGTAAAACCCCGTCTCTACTAAAAATACAAAAATAAGTGAGGCATGGTGATGGTCCCCTGTAATCCCTATGCAGGAGGCTGAAGCATGAGATTGCTTGAGCCCAGGAGGCAGAGGTTGCAGTGAGCTGAGACTGCACCACTGTACTCCAGCCTGGGCAACAGAGCGAGACTCTGCCTCAAATAATAATAATAATAAAATAAATAAAAGTAAAATGCACAACAACCCCATCAGGTGCTATCATTAGCTCCCTCTTAGAGAAGGGGAAACTGGGGTTTGCAGAACCACAGCAACTTGGTGAAGTCACAGAGCCAAGGCTTAACCCTGGGTAGTTTTGCCTCCTTTGTTCAAAGGATTTTTACCTTTACCTGTATGCTCCAGTGCCCAAGGACAAGAGCCAATTTTGAAAATGTCCTGAAGTGTGCTGCAAATGGCAGGTCTGGGCCCCTCCCTCCCTGGGTGGGCTTTGCTCTAGGAGCAGAATGGGAACACAGAGGGTCTTTCACCAAGGGTTACGATCTTGGCTGCCATTAGGAAGAGATTTGTGCTTCCTGTTTACCTGCTGAATGGGATTCAAAGAAGCGGGCACTTGGACTCCCGCTTACACAGAGACCTTTGGATAAGGCTGCCCAGAGGACTCAGGGTGAGGGTGGGAAAGACTCAGCAGGATTTGCCCAGGGAAAAAAATGCGCTTGCTTTGGCTAGAATACAAGCTCCCCAGCATCCTGTGACATTTACAATTCCCTCTGGCAGCTTATGCCTGTCTGCTAAGACAGGGGAGGGAGGATTCCTGAACTGGAATCATGGCCCCTTACTGTAGGGTCTCTAATCTCTCTGCTTTATCTCTGTCAACCTTCAGGGGTCATCAGGAGACCCACATTCTTCCTGTTGTCCAAAATACCCTCCCTCAATGGTGGGCCATAGGGTATGGCGGGAAGCATGCTAGCTTTGGCACAGCTGGACCTAGGTGGCAATTCCACCTCTGGCCATTCTTCATCAGACTTTTATCAAGCACCCAATCTGTGCCTGGCACGTCCTAGGCTCCTTCACTTACTGGGTGATCTTTGGGCAAGTTATATAACATCAGACTTTTATCAAGCACCCAATCTGTGCCTGGCACGTCCTAGGCTCCTTCACTTACTGGGTGATCTTTGGGCAAGTTATATAACATCAGACTTTTATCAAGCACCCAATCTGTGCCTGGCACGTCCTAGGCTCCTTCACTTACTGGGTGATCTTTGGGCAAGTTATATAATATCCCGGGTCTCAGGGTCCTCTGCTGCAAAATGGCGAACATAGTACCTTCCACATAGGATTGAGGATTGAATGAAACCACGTATGTAGAGCACTGAACACAGTGCCTCACACACAGCAAATGCTCCATATGTGTTAGTTCCCTTCCCTCACTAGTCCTGCACAGGGAGTGTGAACAGAGGGTGGTGGGAAAGTGCTCAGGGTGATGCCACAGGGGGTTAAGATGTTGGGCCGGGCGTGGCGGCTCACGCCTGTAATCCCAGCACTTTGGGAGGCCGAGGCAGGTGGATCACCTGAGGTCAGGAATTCAAGACCAGCCTGGTGGTGAATCCCTGCCTCTACTAAAAACACAAAAATTAGCTGGGCGCAGTGGTGCACGTCTATAATCCCAGCCACTCAGGAGGCTGAGGCAGGAGAACCGCTTGAACCCGGGAGGCGGAGGCTGCAGTGAGCCGAGATTGCCCCACTGTACTCCAGCCTGGGCAACAAGAGTGAAACTCCGCCAAAAAAAAAAAAAGATGTTGGTACCTGGACACTACACCATTTGCAGCTCAATTTAGCATGTTGGACCAGCTGAAGTATAATTGCCCAATCCTTGTCCTTAACTCACCTGGAATTTCTTCATTTATTCATTCATGTATTCACTCAATAGGTATTTATTGAGAGTTTACCATGTGCTAGAGACTCTGCTGGGTGCTGGGGATACAGTTGCAGTGGCAATTAATAGCCTCCTCGTTAGGTTGACAGTCTGGCCATTGCTCAGCCACTATTTGTTTTTTAATTTATGCACAATTCTAACACACTTATTTGGTTAGTTTCCCAGCCCAGGGACATGAAAATTGAAAAGCTAGAATGTGGTTTCTGTTTGTAGACTCTTGGAAAGCAGCAAGAAATGAGAGTTGACATTCAATGAGGGAGGCAAATTTTAGTAAAAAATAGTGGAAAGACAGCTTAGGCAGAAATGATAAATGTACAGTGTCAAAGAGACTATTTGGAGAAGGAGTGAACCCAGAAGGCTTTGAGCCATCACAACACGGCAGCAGGCGAGTGTAGCAGGTGGACACAGAGACGGCCCGAGGCACCATGGAGGGGTTCACTGCCGCAAGAGGCATTCTGCTTTGGTGGCATGCCCCTCAGAGTGGGTGTCAGGGGTCTGTCCGGGGCTCCAGCCCTAGCTCTGATGCTGACTTTGGGACATTGGGCAAGTTGCCATAGCTCTCTGGCGTCAGTAGTCTCATCCATGAGTTGATAACTCTAGATGTTTACTAAGGTGACATTAAATTCTAAAAATCTATGTCTGAAAATGATACTTGGATAAAAATGACAAGAAAGCACATAAAGCATTTTAGAAAAATGTCTAGCTGGCCAAGCGCGGTGGCTCACGCCTGTAATCCCAGCATTTTGGGAGGCTGAGGCGGGCAGATCACAAGGTCAGGAATTCAAGACCAGCCTGGCCAATATGGTGAAACCCCGTCTCTACTAAAAATACAAAAAAAAAAAAAAAAAAATTAGCCTGGCATGGCAGTGGGTGCCTGTAGTTCCAGCTACTTGAGAGGCTGAGGCAGGAGACTCGCTTGAACCTGGGAGGCGGAGGTTGCAGTGAGCTGAGATGGTGCCACTGCACTCCAGCCTGGGTGACAGAGCGAGACTCCGTCTCAAAAAAAAAAAAAAAAAAAAGAAAGAAAAATATCTAGCTAAAATAAATCAAAGGACTTTTAGGTATTCAGAAAACTGACCTGAAAGTAGCATCCATGCCTTGATGGTCTTTCATAGCGAAATTCCCCCCATAGCTCCCTTCATGCCTCCTTGCAGTGACCAATCTAAAGGAGGAAGGATTGGGGCTGCCGCATCGGGCATTAGCTCTCACATCATTGCAATCATGATCCCACTAGGGAGCAGTTGACTGATGCCGAACCTACTCTCCCAAAGCCCCACACCTGTGTTGCCAGGGTAGGCAGAGAGCTCCAGGGAGACAGAAACAGAGCTGGGGAGCCTACACCAGCAGAAGCTGCAATTGGATAGGGTCAGAAACAGAAACCTTGGTTTTGCCACAGCTGACCAAAATCTCCACCAGTTCCTTGGTAAGGAAAAAAGCAAAGCAGGAATTTGCACGGGAACCTCTGTGTAGATCTTCTGTGGGCGTAGTCACGCTTCTGTTAACTAGAGAGAAAGCTGAGCTGCTTGTCGGTTTCATGGCGGAGCACGGGTCACTTGCTCTCTGTGGATGTTTTACTAATGCCTGGAATTAAAGACCCTCTCCAGGGTGTCACAGACAGGAAAGTGAGTCCCGTGGTAGTCGTGGTGGAATAATGGCCAGAGGGGGTGCCCTTACAGAATGGCACTTTAACAAAAATTAGGTCTGCTGGGGTGGGCTTTATGTGACACGGATTTTGAGGGGGTAAGGGAAGGATGGAACCAAGTGGGCAGTCACCATAGGAAGACCACGCCTCCAGGAGGGACAGCATTGTGGCCCTCAGAGCTGGAGTCCCTCAGGCATCTTTTGTGCCCCTGCCACCACCACATGGCTGACATTACCAGCTGACGAGTGGCCAGTATGAGGAGCCCAACAATCTGGGAGGGGCTACCCTCCTTGAGGGCACCTGGGCATGCTAACAGGGTGCTCCAGGAGTGTGGCTCCGGGGGTGGCACTTCCGGCATTGTGACACCTGGAGGGCCAGGAGAGGGCATTTTGAGGGCAAGGAGAGACACTCCCATTGGCTGTCGACCTCACCTGTAGGTATGTGGGTGGAGCTGAGGCTCATTGCAGCTCAGCCCTTCCCCTCCTGCCCCTTGGTTTGCTCCCTGCAAATCTTTCTCTGGGCTTGCAAGTTGTCAAGATAGGTTATCAGCAGAGAAAGGGCAAGAATGGGGTGGAGATCAGAGAGCAGAGGAGGGAGAGGAAGCAGAAATTCCAACTGTCAGCACAAACCAGACCCTGAAGGTTCCCGGGAAGGGGTGAGGTGTGAGTAGTGAGTGAAAGGCCAGCTGGTCTCTATCTGCTTCAGGGTTATCTGGCTTCCCCTTTAACCCATGCCTCTGCCGCAGGCTGACTGTGGCGTGGGTGTGGCCCTGCTTACCTGAGCTGATGGAGAGGCAGGGCCACAGGCTGACCCTGCTGTGGGGCCTGTGCCCACCCCAGAGTGCTGCTCTTCAGAGTCCCGATGTAGCCTGTCTCTGCTGGTGCCCCCACCCCCTGCCCAGCCTCCATAGTGATCCCTGCTCCCTTCACTCCTCCCCTTCCCGCCCCAGATAGGACTTCCTCAGTTCAAGCAAACTGCTCACAACAGCCACTGGGAGAGAAGTGCCCTGGCTCATTAAACCCTCCCATTTCCTCCTGGGCTGTGACACCAGCCCATGTCCTCCGGTCCTGACCTTTGCCTGTGTCCCGAATAAGCACCCCTGCATCTTTGGGTGACCGCTGCTATTTGTCTTGCCATTTGGGTTTGTTTTTCTGCGGCAGTTCAGAACTAGCGAAGTAAATAGCTCTCCACACCAGGCTTTGCCCAGGCTCCCTGCCCACTGCAGGAGGGTGCGGGAGAGGTGGATGCACACTCAGAAGCCTCTGCTTCCCATTTAGGCTGGATGCCCCGGCAGTCACCAAATCCCCATTGCAGAGGCCAGGAGCCTCACTTGCAAGGCTGTGCTGAAGAGTAAATGAACTGTTTGTCACAGGCCTGGCACAAGGGGTTCTGAAGATGACAGTGGTTGTGGTTGTGATATCTGCCTATCACAGGCTTGAGGACCACCTGAGGCCTTGTCCAAGGTCACTCGGGTGGTTGGAGCTCCCAGACCAGTGTTCTTCCCCCTGCCCCACGTTCCCTGGCATCTCTAGCTTCCTAAAAGCAGATATGGGGGGAGATGGAGGAGGACCTGGGAGGCTATGTGGGGAGCCCCTGGGAGATTAGGGGCTGCTGGGCACTGGGTGTCGAGTATGGGGGTCTCCTGCATGAAGGGGAGGACATGGAAAGTAGAAGGGGCCTTTCTGGGACAAATGCTTCCCACTTTTCTCTCACCAAGGGGCTGTTCTGGGCTAGGGAAGGGACCACGACTGGCGGGCCTGCGTTGGCACAGGCGTCTGCTCACAGAGCCTCTGGTGCACACACGGTGGTGGAGCAGAGCCTGCTCCTCGGGCCTCCTGCCCAGGCCGTGGCCTGGATGTCTTCTGGCTGAGCCATGAGGAGAGGCTCCCAGAAGAAGAGCAGCCAGAAGAGCGTCAGGAAGTGGGGGCCTGGACCACCCTGGTTCTAACTGTGAAGCAGCTGCTGTTTGTAAAGAAAATGACTTTCTGCAGCTGAGTCGGCTCACGCGAGTGGCTTGGCTGCACTCAGTAATCTCAACAGAGAAGGTGTGTGGTTTGGCGTTTGTTTTTGAACATGTGACTCCACAGCCCATGCTTCCTCTAAATCCTTTGTGTCTTGCTGATTCATAGCAGCTGACCCGTAACAGGAGAGAAAAAAAGAAATCACCCTAAACCTAAAATCCCCAAAGCCTCGGCTCTCTTGAAACGCTGTGACTTTGGCAAGGTTTCATGGCCATTATTTATCGTGCGGCCACTGAGGGCCAGGAGCTGTGCTGGGGGCCTTTGATGTAGTGTCTAATGAATCTCCCCAGCTCCTCTTCAAGGTGGCAGGGACCCCAGTTTACAGGGACTCAAGAAAGGTAGACAGCCTGCCCAAGGCCATGCAGCCAGTAAACAGCAAACAGCAGAGGTGGGCTTCAGACCTGCCCTGCTGCCAACATCCACACCCTCAACCCCTCTCCCATTGACCACTTGGGTCTGGCCACTGTCTCAGTGGGACCCAACCCTAAATCATCCCAGAAAGATGGCTAAGTTAGGTCAACTTGGGAAAAGATAGCTCCTTCCCTGTCAGTGCCTACCAAGGGTCCATGGCTGTGTGGGGTGGGGTAGTGGGGGGGCCCAGCCAAAAGCCCCACACACCTGGGTTCAAATCCCAGCTCCACCCCTGCCACTTGTTGAGCCCCTCTGGGCCCCATGTTCTTCATCTGTGAAAAGAGAATGTTTCATAGGGAAGAGTTCCTTTCTCTGCCGGGCATGGTGGCTCACACCTGTAATCTCAGCACTTTGGGAGGCCAAGGCGGGCTGATCACTTGAGGTCAGGAGTTCGAGACCAGGCTGGACAACGTGGCAAAATTCTGTCTCTACTAAAAATTTAAAAAATTAGCTGGGCGTGGTGGCACACACTTGTAATCCCAGCTACTTGGGAGGCTGAGGCACAAGAATCACTTGAACTTGGGAGGCAGAGTTTACAGTGAGCTGAGATTGCGCCACTGCACTCCAGCCTGGGTGACAGAGTGGGACTCTGTCTCCAAAGAGAAACAAACAAACAAACAGAGTTCCTTTCTCATAGGGTTTTCAGCCTTATGTGAGTTACTAAAGTGCCCAGCATGTGGTGACAGCTGTGCAGAGGTTTGCTGTTACTGCCCAAACCAGCCCCGAGCTGGACTCCAGTCTGAGTACACGCCAGATGGGAGGGCAAAGGGGTCTAAGGTGTGGGAGTTTATCATCCAGTTATGGAGCCAGGACCCCATACAGGGAATGTTGACTAACAGCTCAGGACACCATGATGTCAGTGTGTGGCCTGTGATGGCCGAGCATACAGTGGCATGGATGCTGAGTCCTAGGATGGGGATGGGGTAAGGACTGGGATCTGGAGAGAGGTGCTCTGAGGATTGCCTTTGCCATTAATCCCAGGTGCCCTCAAATGCATCGAGTGTCAGAATCACCCAAGAAGGTGGTGAAAATGCAGATTCCTAGGACTTGCTGCCTGATACTCTGATTCTGCAGGTCTGGGGTGGAGCCAAAGAACCTGCATTTTAGCAAATGCCCTCTCCTAACCCCAGGGATTCTGATGCAGATGGTCCCTGTGCCTTTTGAAACACTGTTCCCAGGATACCAAGTCACCGAGCTAAGTGACTGATGACATTGTTGCTTAAACCTGCCACAGTGTTCCCACTCACCCACTGGGATTCCTGCTGGGAGGGCCTCTATCCCTCACTATATCCCCCACATGAAATCACCCCCTCCCATGCATCAGCACTGTCCCCAAACGCCCATGCACTCCCCGCCCTTCTTCCTCAGGCTGTGCCCATCAAAACACACGGCACTTGGGTGACAGCAGCACAAGAAGCTTGTTCAGAGCCTGTGATGTCCTCTCTGTACCTGGCCTATTGTCCTCTGGATGCTCGCAGCAATGGGTGGGGCAAGTAGCCTTTATATAGGCAGCCACCCTGAAGCCAGAGACATGGAGTGCCTGTCTCAAGTCACCTGAAATCCAAGACACAGCACTGATTTGAACTTCTGGCTTCTGGCACCACAGGCCCCAAGCGCAGCTCTTCCTCCTCCACAGGCCTGGAGGCTCTGCACACCTGCTTCCTGCCTTCCAGGGGAGACTGTACCTAAGATGCTTTCAGCATCTATTCTGTCCCGAGCATGGGCCAGAGAGAGTAGCAGACACTCACCTGTCGGGAGAACCCACGCCAAGCAGGCCAGCAGCCAGATGGACTTTTCCATGCTGTGAGCATCTGAACACCCCAGGCCAGACCCGCTCTCGGCCACCTCCCCAGTGAGGGCCCTCCCAGGCGTGGTGGGGGAAGGAAGGCGGGCGGGGGTGGGCAGGGCACTCAGATCTGCAGGTCCCTGTGGGCTCTGCGGGAGCCGGAGGAACTGGGGACAGGAAGCCTGGCAGCCTGAGGTCTGATCATTCAAGCCCCGTGGAGTTTAGTCATGTGGAAAACCAAGAGGGGAATCACTGGGATGATTTTCCAGGACAGGAAACAGGAAAGAGGGTGAGAAAGAAACAGGGCCATTTCCTGTGGCTGCCATCCCCTCACAGAAAACTGTTGTCTTTATGCTGTTTATATGTGGCTCACCCTTCCTTCCTCCCTCCCTCACTTCCTTCCTCTCCCTCCCTCCTTCCTTTCCTTCCTTCCTCTCTTCCTCCCTTTCTCCCTCCCTTCTTCCATCCCATCCTCCCTTCTCCTCTCCCTTTTTTCCTTCCCTTATTCCTCCCTCCCTCTCTCCCTCCCTCTATCCCTCTCTTCCTCCCTCTCTCCCTCCCTCTCTTCCTCCCTCCCTCCCTCCCTTCCTTCCCTCCCTCCCTCCCTCCTTTCCTACCTCCCTTCTCAAAGCTTAGGTTGGGTCTCTGGGCCTGGTCAAGAATGCAGAGGGCAGATACACAGATGTTTGCTCTTTGAGCAGTTGACCCAACTGTGGAGCAGTTTCTCCCTTAGACAGTGACCTGACACCTGCTGCTAGCCACCTCCCTGTCCTTCTGCCCCCTTCCCTTGGCACTTGGGGGTCTTCCTAGTCTCTCTAACCCTCATGTCCAATCAGCTGCGAGTCCCCAGAGCCAGACCCGTTTCTTCAGCAGCTTGCAGACTTCTCCACCTCAACAGGCCCACAGAGCCTGTTACCATACTCTCTCTGCCTCCTCTTGTCCCCCAGCTTCTAGGTTCTATGATTCGGTGGATGGCAGCATTATCCTTCTAGGAAAGCTGAGCTAGAAATGTGCAAGTCCCCCTTGACACCACCTCCTCTTCACCACACACAGCCAGTCCTGTGTTCTGTTCCTCCTCCTCCCTTTGGCCGTGCCTTGGCTCAGGCTGTATCCCTTCTCATGGGACTCCTTCAACTTCTTGGTCACTCTCTGCAAGCACAGCGACTTTTGAAAACAATGAAATTGATAATTTCTCTTCCCTGCTTAAAACCCTTTCATGACATTTCATTGTTCTCTTCTTAAAGTTCCAACTGTCACGCCTGTAATCCCAGCATGTTGGGAGGCTGAGGCGGGCAGATCACAAGGTCAGGAGATCGAGACCATCTTGGCTAACACGGTGAAACACCGTCTCTACTAAAAATACAAAATATTAGCTGGGTGTGGTGGTGGGTGCCTGTAGTCTCAGCTACTTGGGAGGCTGAGGCAGGAGAATGGTGTGAAGCCAGGAGGCGGAGCTTGCAGTGAGCCAAGATTGTGCCACTGCCCTCCAGCCTGGGCGACAGAGCGAGACTCCGTCTCAAAAAAAAATAAAAAAGTTCCAACTGGAGATCGACACAGGAGGCCCTTCAGGTTCAGGACCCAGCCCAGAGGCTGGTCTACTGTCTGTGCCTCCCCTCCTTCACCTGCCCCCACCCAACCACAGTTCCCAAGCCATCTTTGCACCTGTGGTCTTCCCAACCCATTTTCATCCTCTGGGTCAGCTCCTTCTTAACCCTCAGTCCTCAGTATCATCTCTGCCTGCAATTACATTATGTACTTATTTATTTTCTTGTTTATCATTCCTCTCCTCCCCCAGATATAAGGTTCAGGTGCTCAGCACTAGTTGCCATGTGATTCTTACCACCTAGAGCGCCACTTGGCATCCCATAGGTGCTGGAGAGGTATTTGAAAGAATGCAGGGGCATTTGCTCCCTGTGTGCAGACCTCCTTCCTCGCACGTGCTGTGCTGTGTTGTCATCGTTTGTTTGCTGGTCTGTTCCATCGCCTTTCCTTCCTACCCTCCTTTTCCTGGGCTATAATTATGGAGGAGAGAACCATGTTTCTGGTCTGTATCACAGGACTTTGTGCAGACTAGCAGTTAGATAAATCAATTAGATGAATAAAAAAATAATAAAAGAACAAAATAAAATAATATCCTCAGGAAGATACTTGAAACTTGCTAACACTCAGTGTAAATGGCCGAGGGTTGCCGGGAGTATGACTCCATTCTTGCAGGGTGATGCAGTGGTCAAGGGTTCACAGTTGCATATTAGGGTTAAGGAAATACAGCTTTACCGATGGAATGCCAAGTGTCATTGAACTGGTGAGAGAGGTAATTTAGGGACAAGGGGTCTCAATTCTTCTAGGAAAGCTCAAGTTGCCTCTTAGATCTTCCAATACTACCTCCACACTGTGGCTGTCAGAGTGAACCTTCTAAAGTGAAAATATGATCATGCACCCCTCACCCTCATCTCAGGTGTCTCCAGAGTTTCCTTAAAACCTCAGGACCAAGCTCAAATTCCTAAATTTGTTGTTAAAGCACCTCCCATCCACCTTCCATACTGTTCCTTCTGCCTGGAGTACCACCACTCCCACCCCATTGAATCTCAGTAACTCCTAGCTTGTTGTTCAAAACTCATTCCCATGGTCACCTCTCCTAGGAAGTCTTCCTTGGCAGCCCAGTCTCATTTGGCTGCCTACCTGTGTGTTTTTCCACAGTTCTCTGTGCAACCTCTACCCCTAGGTATATCCCTTGACCTAGGATCTTTGATATTTTTGTCTATCTTTCCTCTAGACTTTAGGGAACTTGGGGATGTGGCTGTGACTTTACGTCTCCCTCACCAAGCACAGGGCCAAACCATACAGGGTACCTAATAAATAGTCCCGGAAGGCATGAATGCATCAGTGAAAGTATACCCCACTTGCAGCCTGATTATATTCTGTCTTGATTTATTTTCCAGTTGTTTCTTGGGCTAACCTGTTTTCTCTGATTGGATTATAAGTTCTTCAAGGAGAGATATATTTAATAGATATTCTTTTAAAAATCTTCAATTTTTAATTGTTTTTGATTAAAAGCATTTTAATCAACACATATTTGTTCATATTTATGGGGTACATAGTGATTTTTTGATATATACAATGTCTAGTGACCACATCAAGGCTATTAGCATATCCATCATCTTAAACATTTATAATTTCTTTGTTTTGGGAAAATTCAATATCCTTCTTCTAGCTATTTGAAACTATATGATCATATTTTTGTTAACTATAGTCATCCTACAGTGCTATAGAACACTAGAATTTATTCCTTCTATCTAGTTATAATTTTGTATCTTTTAACAAATCTCTCCCTATCCTCTCCTTTCCCTACCCTTCCCAAATTCTGGTATCCTCTGTTCTACTTTTTACTTCTATGAGATCAACTTTTTTTAATCTTCTGCATACGAGTGAGAATATGCAGTATTTAACTTTTTGTTTCTGACTTATTTCACTTAATGTCCTCCAGGTCTATCTATGTTGCCACGAATGACAGGATTTCATTCTTTTTTATGGCTGAATAATATTCCATTGTGTATACCACATATTCTTTCTCCATTCATCTGATGGTGGACACCCAGGTTGATTCTATATCTTGGGTCTGTGAATAGTGCTGCCAGAAACATGGGAATGAAGATGTCTTTTTCATATACTGAGTTTCTTTTCTTTGGATAAATGCCCCCTACTGGGATTGCTGAATCATATAGTAGTTCTATTTGTAGTTTTTGAGGAACCTCCATATTGTTCTCTATAGTGGCTTCACTATATGTAATTTTTTTGTCCCTTTGGTAATAGCTATTCTAACAAGGGTGAGGTGATATCTCATTGTGGTTTTGATTTGCATTTCCCTCATGATTAGTGACGTCAAGCATTTGTTCATATACCTGTTGGCCATTTGTATGTCTTCCTTTGAGAAATATCTGTTCAGATCATTTGCCCATTGTTAATTGCATTGTTTGTTTTGTTGCTGTTGAGATGCTTGAGTTCCTTATATATTTTGTATATTAACCCCTTGCAGAGGATGAATAGTTTGCAAATATTTACTCCCATTCTGCAGGTTGTCCTTTCATTCTGCTGATTACTTCCATTGCTATGCAGAAGGTTTTAGCTTGATATAATTTCGCTTGCTTATTTTTGCTTTTGTTGCCTGTGTTTTTGAGGTCTTACTCATCAAATCTTTCCCCAGATGTATGTCTTGAAATGTTTCCCCTATGTTTCCTTCTAGTGTTTTATAGCTTCGGGTTTTATATTTAGGTTAGATATTCTCATATAAAATGCCTTCTCTTTTTTGTCTTAGGCACCTTGTGATAAATTAGTATATATTCATTCATTAATTTGATTCCTAATCTTACTGATTTTAAAATAATTCCACATATAGCAACTTTGCATAAGTAAGATAAAGTTAGTTTGTTTTAGATATCCTTGGCACTGCCCCACATTGCTGCTTTATAGTGCATGCATGGATTTCTCACAGTGCTTCAGAGAGCACAGGAAACACATGTTTACAGGTTCTCAGAGAACATAAAGTCCATTCTCCATAGATACTGCTTAGCTGATAGTCATCAACAAGAAAACCGCTCTCATTCCTTGATGCTTTTTACTTTGCAATGTATTTTCACATCCGTGAGTCTATCCTACCCTTATAATATTTCTGGGAAGTGAACAGAGTAGAAATTATTTATCTGCACTTGACAAATGTATACAGTGAAATACTGTGGAAGCAGTCTCTGAACTTTATCAGATGATCCCTGGTTTTCATTGGTTCTTTTCTTGACTCTCATATACCTCATGTACGTTGTCCTGGGGGACTACTGTTTAGGGACTTGGTAATGAGTCTTTCCCAAACAAATTCTCAAACAGGTAAGAATATGTGAATCAGAAGCCATTGTGATTTATATTCCCCATGACATCATGTGGTATATAACCTGCACAAGGGTATGCGACAATCTTGTGTGAGTGTTGGGGAAAAGGTAAGGAAGGGTTGGAACATGAAACCAGGATTGTTTCTGGGGAGCTTAAGGGCCTCTCTCAGCCACCTGCCACTTGTAAGCAGGTTTGATTTGATGAAGATGAACCCCCAGCTGGCTCAGGTCCGTGGAACAGAGGTGTCAATCTCAGCAGCAGCAGGTGGTCATGTAGCAGCAAGGAGGAATGGCAGAAGAAGCCTGCGGGAACCCTCCAGGAGGGTGCAGGGATCCAGGCTGAACTGAATTTCTCATTCCTCAGCACCTGCCAACTCCATGCCTGCCCCCAGCCAGGTAAGGTGATGCTCCAATTCAGTGGGCCCCAGAACCAGGGCCAGCTACAAGGCTTGGGTGGTTAGGAAGCCAGGGAGGTCAAATCAGGTTTCTGCCTAGAGGCTGCCAGAGAGCAGAACATTTCCTAATACATGACATGGGGAACTTGAGTGAGGTCAGTGTAACACCAGCTTATATCACACTTAGATTGGGAAGAAGGACAGAATGCTTGGGGTTTTCTAAGTCATTCTCTATCAGAGTCCATGAGGCCATGCCCTCTTGCTCATTCTGGATGGAGATAGTCATTCTTCTCCATGCCTTCTCTTCTCTGGAAAACCCGGTTATTTTCAGCTTCCCATGCTGTTTTTTCCCTCTACCCTATCCATCACATGGGAAAGGCCATATTGTGTCCTGGCAAGAGCACAGTTTCTGCACCAGATGGGGGTGAAACTGGGTCCCAGCTTTCTCACTAACAACAGGATGACTTTGGGCAAATACATATTTTATTTCCTGTGCAAAATGAGGATGATGATGGCCTCCTTATGGTATTGCTACAAGAAAGACGGAGTGATATAAAAAGGGGTGATGCCTAGTGCCTGGCTCACAGTGTCTTCAACTAATCATCAGGAAAATGCAGCATGATCTTTTTATTTTGGATCCCACCTGTATGGAATACACATCAATTCAGATTCATCCTGAAAACAACATATTTCAGAAAAAACAACGTGAGTTCAAGAGTTAGACAGAAGATAATAGTGGAAAATAGATACCTGTGAGAGGCTGATTCAAGCATTTTAGAAACAATTGGTGAACTAATTAACACACCTATCTTCTATTAATTAATGTGCATCCTCTGAGGACCTGGGCAAGTCTTCATTGTTGGTTTAGTTGTTTTGAGAAGCAACACAATTGCTTTTTAAAATACAATTATATAATTTAGATATCTATATATTTTCTGCATTCTCAGTGCTCCCTAAATCCTCACCCCAACTTCTTCTCACTCCCCAGCTGTGTTTCCTTTCTGGCCTTGAACTTCTCAGCTGCTGAACTTTTTTCCTCCTCTCAGTACTTCAACAATTTCCCTTAAAGGGACGCTTCAGATCAATGAAACAAAGAGAGTTTATAAATAGCCTGCCAAGCAGAGGGAAACATAGCATAAGATATTTCAAATTATTGGAAAGAAGTGGATTATTTAATAATTGGTACTGGGAAAACTATTTGAATAAAAACAAAGCTACATATTCTTCTCAATTCTTAATCCATATTCCAGATGAGCAATTAATTAAAGGTAAAAATTGAAACCATAAACATGCAAGAAGAAAACATAGGTGATATTTAAATGAGTCATGAAATGGAGATATTTCTAAGTTTGGGGAAAAAATCCCAGAAACCATAAGGTTTTGATAAATTTGACCTCTTAAAAATTTTGCTTTAAAACTTGACTATTTAAAAGTTTAGGCCAGGCACGGTGGCTCACGCCTGTAATCTCAACACTTTGGGATGCCAAGGCGGGTGGATCATTTGTGGTCAGCATTTCGAAACCAGCCTGGCCAACATGGTGAAACCCCATCCCTACTAAAAATATGAAAATTAGCTGGGTGTGGTGCAGGGTGCCTGTAACCCAAATTATTCGGGAGGCAGAGGCACAAGAATCGCTTGAACCCAGGAGGCAGAGGTTGCAGAGAGCCGAGATCACGCCACTGCACTCCAGCCTGAGTGACAGAGCAAGACTCCATCGCAAAAAAAAAAAAAAAAAAAGTTATGCAAAAAAACCCCAATTAAAGTCAAAAGGCAAATGACGAAGTGGGGGAAAACATTTGCAGCATGTATGGTAGATAAGGACTAGTTTCTTTTGTTTTACACACTCACACAATACAGGATAGTTCACAGAAAAGTAATAAAAATGGCTGATAAATGTACTTAATGGTAACTAAAGAATTGCAAATTCAATGGATGATGAAATACCTGTTTCACCTATCAGACTGGCAAACATTTTAAAGATAGATGAAAACCTGACAAGAGTAGGGAAAGGGACTCTTAGCAATACAGGTGAATGTATCAACCAGTCATCTCTTTAGAAACAATTAGGCATAATCAATCAAGGTTGCAAATGTGTGTATCCCCTTATCCAGCAATTCTACTCCAAGGACTTGATTCTGTAGATGTTCTCACAGAAGTTGGCAAAAATATGCATATTAAAATCTTCCAAAATAAAGGAAAACAAAAAAAAAAAATAAAATCTTCCTTACAGTATTGTTTTGCTATAATAGACAACTGTAAACAACATGTATTATCATTAGCAGGGACTGGTCAAGTATTTAAATACCCATATAGTTAGATAATTTGAATCTATTAAAAAGATTAGAACATATATGTATGTGCTGATTTAGGAAGATTCTCAAGATAATATTGAATGGAAAAAATAAGGTATAGAATAGTCTATATAGTGTGATTTTACTTATGTTAACAGAAAAAGGGGCTATAAGCTTGTGTATGCATACATACTTTCTAGAAAGACTCAGAAGAAACAATGAAAGGTTATTGTCTCTGGGGAGGTGTGATAGTTTAAGTTTTTGTACACAAGTATACTCCTTCCTTCTTTCCTTCAAAAGATGGAACTTTATTCTCCTGTGGACTGGCCTTATTGACTCACCTCTAATGAATAGAATATGGCAGAAATGACAGTGTGTAACTTCTGAAATATATCATAAACGTCAATGTGGCTTCCTTGTTGCTCTCTCTTTTGTTACTCTGGAGGAAGCCAGCTGACATGTCATGAGGACTCTCAAGCAGCACTGTGGAGAGGCCCATGTGCTAAAGAACTGAGCCTTCTCACCAATAGCAGTGAGGGCCTGAGACCACCTGCCAATAGTCAGATGAATAAAACAACTTGGAAGCAGATCCTCCAGCTTCAGTCATGCCTTCAGATGATTGCAGCCCTGAAGATGCTGACATCTTAGCTGCAACCTCATGAGATACCCTGGGCCCAGCCACTCAGCTAAGTTGCTCATGAATTCCTCACTCACAGAATTATAAAATAAATGTTTGTTGATTTAAGCCATTAAGTTTTGGTGTCCTTGTAATTAGCAGTAAATAACTAATATAGAAGTAGAAGTGGTGGTAGAGAAAAGAAAGGAAAGAAACTTTTTTGAAATTTTTCTAAAAAAGGAAAGAGAGACATTTTTATTTTTATATTCTTTCATTCTTTTAAAACAATTTTTTATTCCCATAGGTTATTGGGGAACAGGTGGTGTTTGGTTACATGAGTAGGTTCTTTAGTGGTGATTTGTGAGATTTTGGTGCACCCATCACCTGAGAAGTATACAATGCATCCTATTTGTAGCCTTTTATCCCTCACCCACTTCCCACGCATTCCCCCTGAGTCTCCAAAATTCATTGTGTAGTTATTAAGCCTTTGCATCCTCTTAGCTTAGCTCCCACTTATGAGTGAGAACATAAGGTGTTTGGTTTTCCATTCCCGAGTTACTTCACTTAGAATAATAGTCTCCAGTCTCATCCAGGTTGCTGTGAATGCCATTAATTCATTCCTTTTTTATGGCTGAGTAGTATTCCACCACATATATACCACAGTTTCTTTATCCACTCATTGATTGATGGGCATTTGGATTGGTTCCACGTTTTTGTAATTAAGAATTGTGCTGCTATAAACATGCGTGTGCAAGTATCTTTTTTGTATAATGACTTCTTTTCCTCTGAGTAGACACCCAGTAGTGGGATTGCTAGCTCAATTGGTTGTTCTACTTTTAGTTCTTTAAGGAATCACCACACTGTTTTCCGTAGTGGCTGTACTTACATTCCCAACTGCAGCGTGGAAGTGTTCCCTCTTCGCCGCATCCACGCTAACATCTACTATTTTTTTATTATGGCCATTCCTGCATTATGTAAGTGGTATCGCATTATGGTTTTGATTTGCATTTCCCTGATCATTAGTGATGTTGAGCATTTTTTCATGTTTTTTGGCCATTTGTATATCTTCTTTTGAGAATTGTCTATTTATGTCCCTAGCCCACTTTTTGATGGGATTGTTTGTTTTTTTCTTGCTGATTTGTTTGAGTTTATTGTAGATTCGGGATATTAGTCCTTTGTCAGATGTATAGATTGTGAAGATTTTCTCTCTCTGTGGGTTGACTGTTTACTCTGCTGACGATACCTTTTGCTGAAACTCTTTAGTTTAATTAAGTCCAAGCTATTTATCTTTTTATTGCATTTACTTTTGGGTTCTTGGTCATGAAATTCTTGCCTAAGCCAATGTCTAGACGAGTTTTTCCAATGGTATCTTCTAGAATTTGTATAGTTTCAAGTCTTAGGTTTAAGTCCTTAATCCATCTTGAGTTGATTTTTGTGTAAGGTGAGAGATGAGGATCCAGTTTCGTTCTCCTGCACATGGCTAGCCAGTTATCCCAGCACCATTTGTTGAAAAGGGTGTGCTTTCTCCACTTTATGTTTTTGTTTGCTTTGTCAGGGATCAGGTGGCTGTAAGTATTTGGCTTTATTTCTGGGTTGTCTATTCTGTTCCATTAGTCTATGTGCCTATTTTTGTGCTAGCACTATGCTGTTTTTGTGACTATGGCCTTATAGTATAGTTTGAAATCAGGTAATGTGATGCTTCTAGATTTGTTCTTTTTGCTTAGTCTTGCTTTGGCTATGCGGGCTCTTTTTTGGTTCTATATGAATTTCAGAATTGCTTTTTCTAATTCTGTGAAGAATGATGGTAGTATCGTTGTGAATTGTGTTGAATTTGTAGATTGCTTTTGGCAGTATGGTCATTTTCACAATATTGATTGTATCCATGCATGAGCATGGGATGTGTTTCCATTTGTTTGTGTCATCTATGGTTTCTTTCAGCAATGTTTTGTAGTTTTCCTTGTAGAGGTCTTTCACCTCCTTGGTTAGGTAGATTCGTAAGTATTTTATTTTATTTTTTGCAACCATTGTGAAAGGGTTGAGTTCTTGATTTGATTCTCTGCTTGGTTGCTGTTGATGTATAGAAGAGCTACTAATTTGTGTACATTAATTTTGTATCTGGAAACTGCTGAATTCTTTTTTTTTTCAAATATTTTTGTCTTTTTATTTTTCTATAAGGTGCATATCACTTTGGTAATATTCTTCTAATGAGAAAAAAGTTTAAATAACTTGTAGTGAGTTCTCCAAGCCCTCCACCCAGCTCCATTCATAGTCATAAATACTTTTGGACCAAAAGAAAGAAGAAAACAATGAGCAATTACTAAGACTTACTGTTGGGTGGGCATATATCACATAGATGATCTCATTTAGTCCCGTAAATATGCATGTTGTCTCCATTTTTACTGATGAGAAAACTGAGTGTCAGATGAAATAAATGGTAGCTGTGCCTGAAGTCACACAGCTAGTAACAGATCTCATCTAGCAGGTCTACCCAACTGTAAGCTCCAGCCCTTTCCACTACAGCACACAGCAGAGGGCTCTCCTGAGAGCACTCACCTCTGAGGCCATGGTCAGCACTGAGAAGGGTGAAAATAAATCAGTTCCCAGGGTCATTGTCCTCTGATGTAAGCCCACCAGAAGTCAGGGACCTTTGCATTAGCAGAAGCTGGGTCAAAGCTGTGGGGGTGTATATTGGCTTGTAGTTAATGGATAACAATGTATTTGAGCATTGACCCATGATGAACAAGAACAACCAATATCATGCACTCACTGTAAACACCTGGCCAGAGAGTCTTGGGCTCAACTCCTGGCTGGATGTGTGGTCTTAGGCAGATAATTCAATTTCTCAGGATTTTGGTCACATCATTTCAAGAAAGTAGGGTTTGGCCTACTGACTCTCTAGGGACCCTTCAACCTCTAACACTTTATGATTCTTTGATGAGTCACAGATATCATGCACTTTTCTCTTTATCCCTAAATATTTCAGGTTCTAACTTTCTCTTACATAATAACTGTATAGTTATCAAATTTACAGAATTTAACATGTATGCATTATTACATAATTTGCATTCCATATACAAAATCTGCCAACTGTCCCATGGTGTTCTTTAGAGGAATTTTTACTTCTTATCTCAAGATCCAATCCAGGATCAAATTGATCCCATGTTGCATTTAGTTATGTAGTCTCTTTAGTCTTCTTTAATCTAGAACATTTCTCGAGCCTTTATCTCTCATGAATTAACATTTTGGAAGAGTACAAGCTAGTTGTCTTGCAGAATGCCCTTCAACTGGGTTTGTCTCGTCCTTCCTCATGATTAGTGTATGTTACCTGTCCCCTCTGGAATACCATAAAAGTGATGTTGTGTCCTTTTCAGTGCCTCGCATCAGGAAACACATGGTATCTGTCTGGCTTGTTATTGGTGATGTTGATTTTGATTATTTGGTTAAGGTGATGTCTTCCAGGTTCCTTTGGTTTATAATTATAATTTCTCCCTTTACAGTTATTAAGTAATCTGTGGGGAGATACTCAGAGAATATGTAGATAACCTCTCCCATTTCAAATTTTTACTCCCTAGTTTTAACATATATTGATGATTTTTTTTCAAATTTCTAAATTTTATTGGATAATTTTATTTTTTTAATTTTTTAAATTATTATACTTTAAGTTCTAGGGTACATCAGCACAATGTGCAGGTTTGTTACATATGTATACGTGCGCCATGTTGGTGTGCTGCACCCATTAACTCGTCATTTATATTAGGTATATCTCCTAATGCTATCCCTCCCCCTCCACCCACCCCATGACAGGCCCCAGTGTGTGATGTTCCCCTTCCTGTGTCCAGGTGTTCTCATTGTTCAATTCCCACCTATCAGTGAGAACATGCAGTGTTTGGTTTTTTGTCCTTGTGAGAGTTTGCTGAGAATGATGGTTTCCACCTTTATCCACGTCCCTACAAAGGACCTGAACTCATCCTTTTTATGGCTGCATAGTATTCCATGGTGTATATGTGCTACATTTTCTTAATCCAGTCTGTCATTGCTGGACATTTGGGTTGGTTCCAAGTCTTTGCTATTGTGAATAGTGCTGCAATAAACATACGTGTGCATGTGTCTTTATAGCAGCATGATTTATAATCATTTGGGTATATACCCAGTAATGGGATGGCTGGGTCAAATGGTGTTTCTAGCTCTAGATCCTTGAGAAATCGCCACACTGACTTCCACAAGGGTTGAACTAGTTTACAGTCCCACCAACAGTGTAAAAGTGTTCCTATTTCTCCACATCCTCTCCAGCACCTGTTGTTTCCTGACTTTTTAATGATTGCCATTCTAACTGGTGTGAGATGGTATCTCATTGTGGTTTTGATTTGCATTTCTTTGATGGCCAGTCATGATGAGCATTTTTTCATGTGTCTTTAGGCTGCATAAATGTCTTCTTTTGAGACGTGTCTGTTCATATCCTTTGCTCACTTTTTGATGGGGTTGTTTTTTTCTTGTAAATTTGTTTGAGTTCATTGTAGATTCTGTATATTAGCCCTTTGTCAGATGAGTAGATTGCAAAAATTTTCTCCCATTCTGTGGGTTGCCTGTTCACTCTAATGGTAGTTTCTTTTGCTGTGCAGAAGCTCTTTAGTTTAATCAGATCCCACTTGTCAATTTTGGCTTTTGTTGCCATTGCTTTTGGTGTTTTAGACATGAAGTCCTTGCCCATGCCTATGTCCTGAATGGTATTGCCTAGGTTTTCTTTTAGGGTTTTTATGGTTTTAGGTCTAACTTTTATGTCTTTAATCCATCTTGAATTAATTTTTGCATAAGGTGTAAGGAAGGGATCCAGTTTCAGCTTTCTACATATGGCTAGCCGGTTTTCCCATCACCATTTATTAAATAGGGAATCCTTTCCCCATTGCTTGTTTTTGTCAGGTTTGTCAAAGATCAGACAGTTGTAGATATGCGACATTATTTCTGAGGGCCCTGTTCTGTTCCATTGGTCTATATCTCTGTTTTGGTACCAGTACCAAGCTGTTTTGGTTACTGTAGCCTTGTAGTATAGTTTGAAGTCAGGTAGTGTGATGCCTCCAGCTTTGTTCTTTTGGCTTAGGATTGACTTGGCAATGAGGGCCCTTTTTTTGGTTCCATATGAACTTTAAAGTAGTTTTTTCCAATTCTGTGAAGAAAGTCATTGGTAGCTTGATGGGGATGGCATTGAATCTGTAAATTACCTTGGACAGTGTGGCCATTTTCACGATATTGATTCTTCCTACCCATGAGCATGGAATGTTCTTCCATTTGTTTGTGTCCTCTTTTGTTTTGTTGAGCAGTGGTTTGTAGTTCTCCTTGAAGAGGTCCTTCATATCCCTTATAAGTTGGATTCCTAGGTATTTTATTCTCTGTGAAGCAATGGCAAATGGGAGTTCACTCATGATTTGGCTCTCTGTTTGTCTGTTATTGGTGTATAAGAATGCTTGTGATTTTTGCAGATCGATTTTGTATCCTGAGACTTTGCTGAAGTTTCTTATCAGCTTAAGGAGATTTTGGGCTGAGACGATGGGGTTTTCTAGATATACAATCATGTCATCTGCAAACAGGGACAATTTGACTTCCTCTTTTCCTAATTGAATACCCTTTATTTCTTTCTCCTGCCTGATTGCCCTGGCCAGAACTTCCAACACTATGTTGAATAGGAGTGGTGAGAGAGGGCATCCCTGTCTTGTGCCAGTTTTCAAAGGGAATGCTTCCAGTTTTTGCCCACTCAGTATGATATTGGCTGTGGGTTTGTCATAAATAGCTCTTATTATTTTGAGATACATCACATCAATACCCAATTTATTGAGAGTTTTTAGCATGAAGTGTTGTTGAATTTTGTCAAAGGCCTTTTCTGCATCTATTGAGATAATCATGTGGTTTTTGTCTTTGGTTCTGTTTATATGCTGGATTATGTTTATTGATTTGCGTATGCTGAACCAGCCTTGTATCTCAGGGATGAAGTCCACTTGATCATGGTGGATAAGCTTTTTGATGTGCTGCTGGATTCGGTTTGCCAGTATTTTATTGAGGATTTTTGCATCAATGTTCATCAGGGATATTGGTCTAAAATTCTCTTTTTTGTGTGTGTGTGTCTCTGTCAGGCTTTGGCATCAGGACGATGCTGGCCTCATAAAATGAGTTAGGGAGGATTCCCTCTTTCTCTATTGATTGGAATAGTTTCAGAAGGAATGGTACCACCTCCTCCTTGTACCTCTGGTAGAATTTGAAACTGCTGAATTCTTTTATCAGTTCTAGGAGCTTTCTAGAGGAATTGTTAGGGTTTTCTAGGTAAACAATCATATCATCAGCAAAGTGACAGTTTGACTTCCTCCTTACTGATTTGGATGCCCTTTATTTCTTTCTCTTGTCTGACTGCTCTGGCTAGGACTTCCAGTAATATGTTGAAGAGGAGTGGTGAGAGTGGGCGTCCTTATCTTGTTTCAGTTCTCAGAGGGAATGCTTTCAACTTTTTCCCATTCAGTATTATATTGGCTGTGGGCTTGTCATAGATGGCCTTTATTACATTGAGGTATGTCTCTTGTATGCCAATATTGCTGAGAGTTTTAATTATAAAGGGATACTGGATTTTGTCAAACGCTTTTTCTGCATCTATTGAGATGATTATGTGATTTTTGTTTTTAATTCTGTTTATGTGTTGTATCACATTTATTGACTTGCATATGTTAAACCATCCCTACATCCCTGCTATGAAATCCACTTGATCATGGAT
Source organism: Homo sapiens (assembly GCF_000001405.40). Taxonomy (NCBI): domain Eukaryota; kingdom Metazoa; phylum Chordata; class Mammalia; order Primates; family Hominidae; genus Homo; species Homo sapiens. Next base: position 45,810,811 of record NC_000018.10, on the reverse strand, counting down.
CATGGAGTATTATCTTTTTTTTTGTTGTTGTTAGACAGAGTCCCACTCTGTCACCTAGGCTAGGGTGCAGTGGCACTATTTCGGCTCACTGCAACCTCCGCCTCCCAGGTTCAAGTGATTCTCCTGTCTCAGCTTCCTGAGTAGCTGGGATTACAGGTGTGCGCCACAATGCCTGGCTAATTTTTGTATTTTTAGTAGAGACAGGGTTTTGCCATGTTAGCCAGGCTAGCCTTGGGTGATCCACCCACCTGGGTCTCCCAAAGTGCTGGGATTACAAGCATGAGCTACTGAGCCCGGCCGGATTATCTTTTTGATATGTTGTTGGCTTTGGTTAGCTAGTATTTTGTTAAAGATTTTAGCATCCATGTTCATTGGGGATATTGGTCTGTAGTTTTCTTTTTTGGTTTTGTCCTTTCCTGGTTGTGGTGTTAGGATGATGCTGGCTTCATAGAATGATTTAGGAAGGGTTCCTTCTTTCTCCATCTTGTGGAATAGTGTCAATAGGATTGGTACCAATTCTTTTTTGAATGTCTGGTAGAATTCTGCTGTGAATCCGTCTGGTCCTGGCCTTTTTTTGTTGGTAATTTTTAAATTACCATCTCAATCTCACTGCTTGATATTGGTCTGTGCAGGGTGTTTAATTCTTCCTGATTTAAGCTAGGAGAGTTGTATCTTTCTAAGAATTTATCCATCTCTTCTAGGTTTTCTAGTTTATGCACATAAAGATGTTCATAGTATCCTTGAATGATCTTTTGTATTTCTGTGGTTTCAGTTATAATATCTCCCATTTCATTTCTTATTGAGCTTATTTGGATTTTCTCCTTTTCTTGGTTAACTTTGCTAGTAGTCTATTAATTTTATTTATCTTTTTAAAGAACCAGGCTTTTGTTTCATTTATCTTATGTATTTTTTTGTTTCAATTTCATTTGGTTCTGCTCTAATCTTGGTTATTTCTTTTCTTCTGTTGGGTTTGGGTTTGGTTTGTTCTTGTTTCTCTAGTTCTTCGAGGTGTGAACTTAGATTATCTGTTTGTGCTCTTTCAGACCTTTTGATGTGGGCATTTAGGGCTATGAACTTTCCTCTTAGCACCGCCTTTGCTGTATCCCAGAGGTTTTGATAGGTTGTGTCACTATTGTCGTTTAGTTCAAAGAACTTTTTAATTTTCATCTTGATTTCACTTCTGACCCAATGATCATTCAGGAACAGGTTATTTAATTTCCATGTATTTGCATGGTTTTGAAGGTTCCTTTTGGAGTTGATTTCCAGTTTTATTCCACTGTGGTCTGAGAGAGTGCTTGATATGATTTCCATTTTCTTAACTTTATTGAGGCTCATTTTGTGGCCTATCATATGGTCTATCTTGGAGAAGGTTCCATGTGCTGTTGAATAGAATGTATAGTCTGCAGTTGTTAGATGGAATGTTCTGTATATATCTGTTAATTCCATTTGTTCTAGGGTATAGTTTAATTCAATTTTTTTTGTTGCCTTTCTGCCTTGATGACCTCTCTAATCCTGTTAGTGTAGTATTGAAGTCCCCCACTATTATTGTGTTGCTGTCTATCTCACTTTTTAGGTCTAGTAATTGTTTTATAAATTTGGGAGCTCCAGTGTTAGATGCATATATATTTAGGATTGTGATATTTTCCTGTTGGACAAGGCCTTTTATCATTAAATAATGTCCTTCTGTCTTTTTAAACTGCTGTCACTTTAAAGTTTGTTTGAATAGCTACTCCTGCTCACTTTTGGTGTCAATTTGCATGAAATGTCTTTTTCCACCCCTTTACCTTAAGTTTATGTGAGTCCTTATGTGTTAGGTGAGCCTCCTGAAGGCAGCAGATAGTGGTTGGTGAATTCTTATCTACTCTGCAATTCTGTGTCTTTTAAGTGGAATATTTAGGCCATTTACACTCAATGTTAGTATTGACATATCAGGTAGCATTCCATTCATCGGCTATTTGTTGCCTGTATACCTTGTTTTTTTGTTTTTATTTTTTAATTGTATTTTTGTTTTATAGGTCCTGTGATATTTATGCTTTAAATATCAAAATATGTTTTGATGTGTTTCCAAGATTTGTTTCAAGGTTTAGAACTTCTTTTAGCAGTTCTTGTAGTGGTGGCTTGGTAATGGCAAATTCTCTCAGTATTTGTTTGAAAAAGACTATCTTTTCTTTGTATATGAAGCTTGGTTTCACTGGATACAAAATTGTTGGTTGATAATTGTTTTGTTTGAGGAGGCTGAAGATAGGCCCCCAATCCCTTCTAGCGTGTAGGATTTCCACTGAGAAATCTGCTGTTAATCTGATAGGTTTTCCTTTATAGGTTACCTAGTGCCTTTATCTCACAGCTCTTAAGATTCTTTCCTTTGTCTTAACTTTACATAACCTGTTGACAACGTGCATAGGTATGATCTTTTTGTGATGAATTTCCCAGGTGTTTTTTGTGTTTCTTGTATTTGGATGTCTAGATCTCTAGCAAGTCTGGGGAAGTTTTCCTTGATTATTCCCCCAAATAGGTTTTCCAAACTTTCAAATGTCTGTTCTTCCTCAGGAACACTGATTATTCTAGGTTTGGTCATTTAATAGAATCCCAGACTGCTTGGAGGCTTTGTTCATATTTTCTTATCTTTTTTCTTTGTCTTTGTTAGACTGGGTTAATTTGAAGACCTTGTCTTCAAGCTCTGAATTTCTTTCTTCTACTTGTTCGATTCTATTGCTGAGACTTTCCAGAGCATTTTGCATTTCTATAAGTGTGTCCATTGTTTCCTGAAGTTTCTATTGTTTTTTATTTTTGTTATCTATTTCATTGACTATTTCTCCCTTCACTTCTTGTATCATTTTTTTGATTTCCTTACGTTGGGCTTTGCCTTTCTCTAGTGCCTCCTTAATTAGCTTAATAACTAACCTCCTGAATTCTTTTTCAGGTAAATCAGGGATTTCTTCTTGGTTTGAATCCATTGCTGATGAGCTAGTGTGATTCTTTTGGAGGTATTAACCTTGTTTTGCCATATTACCAGAGTTGGTTTTCTGGTTCCTTCTCATTTGGGTAGGTTCTGTCAGAGGGAAGGTCTACGGCTGAAGTCTGTTGTTCAGATTTTTTTTGTCCCACAGGGTGTTCCCTTGATGTAGAACTCTCTCCCTTTTCCTATGGATGTGGCTTCCTGAGAGCCGAGCTGTAGTGATTGTTTTCTCTCTTTAGGACCTTGCCACCCAGTAAGTCTACCAGGCTCTGGTCTGGTATTGGGAGTTTTCTGCACAGAGTCCTGTGATGTGAACCGTCTGTGGGTCTCTCAGCTGTGGATACCAGCACCTGTTCTAGTGGAGGTGGCAGGGAGGTGAAATGGACTCTGTGAGGGTTCTTAGCTTTGGTGGTTTAATGTAGTATTTTTGTGCTGGTTGGCCTCCTGCCAGGAGGTGGCGCTTTCCAGAGAGCATCAGCTGCAGTAGTATGGGGAAGAACAGGTGGTGGGCAGGGCCCTAGAACTCCCAAGAGTATATGCCCTTTGTCTTCAATTACCAGGGTGGATAGGGAAGGACCATTGTGTGGGGGCAGGGCTAGGCATGTCTAAGCACAGACTCTCCTTGGGCAGGTCTTGCTGCATCTGCTGTGGGGGATGGAGATGAGGCTCCCAGGTCAATGGAGCTATGTTCCTACAAGGATTATAGATGTCTTTACTGTGTCATGCAGGTTGTCAGAGCAGTGCAGGAAAGCCAGCAGTTACAGGTCTCACCCAGCTCCCACATAATCCGAAGGGCTGGTCTCACTTTCACTGTGCCCCCTGCCCCCCGCCTGCCAATAGCACTGAGTCTGTTTCCAGGCAATGGGCGAGCAGGGCTGAGAACTTGCCGCACGATACCTGCCTCCCAGCTGCAGTAGCAAGTATGTCTTTCCTTCTTCCCCTGCCTGTGGAGTCTGCACACCAGATTCATGCCCTCCCCTGAGTTCTGACCAGGAGAGTTCTCCACCAGTTCAAATTGTTTCAAAGTTCAGCTGAAGATGTCCTTCTCTCTGTGGCCTTTTCCCAGTGCCTCTGGCTGCCCTTCTGAAGGATCCCGTGAGGCCAGGCAGAAATGGTTTGCTAGGGGACCCAGCGAGCTCACAAGTCTTTCCTCATTGCTTCCTCTGCCCCTGTATTTTGCTAGGCTCTCTAAATTGACTCGGCTTCAGGTAAGGTCAGAGTCTTCTCCTGTATTAGTCTTCTCCTGTATTCTAGACCTTCAGTTTCCCCAGTTGGGGTGTGGGGGTGGGGAGGTGTGTTCAGGGGCAGACAATGTCCCTTTCCCACTTGTACAGTTTGGGCACTCACAGTATTTGTTGTGTCTCCCAGGCAATCTGCTTCCTTCAGAGGGTCTGTGGGTCCTGTGAGGTTTCCTGATTTATTCCTGCAGTCATTCTGGAGCAAAAATTCATGATGCAAGCCTCCACATGCTGCTCTGTGCGTCTGAGTCAGAACTGCAATCTAGTCCTGCCTCCCGCCCACCATGATCCCCTTATCTTTATATTCTTTTACACTGTTTTCATTTTTCTGTTATCTGAATATATTAATTTATGGTAAAAATAGTTTTCCTTTATATTCAGCTCTTGAAGTATCTGCTTTTCACTACCCCCAAACTAGCTAATTTGGCAAATTAATCCCTGGCAATGGGATACTATTGAGCTGATAAATTTTCCCCTCCCAGATAAGTCGCTAATAATAACCAGTAAGTATAGTGGATTTACAGTGTGCCCAGACTGGGCTAAACTATTTGCTTGTTTAATCTTTATACCAATTTCAAACAGTGAGTTTATTTCCATTTTATAAATAAAAAAGGTAGTTGGTAGCATTATTCAGATCATCTATGTTTCCTGAATTTTTATCTTAATTTTTCTATCAAATGCTGAGAGAAGGATGCTAAAATCTTCAAAACTCTACAAAAATCTATGGTTGTAGAATTGTCTATTTCTTCCTTTAGCTCTATCAATTTTTGTTTTATATATTTTAAAGTGCTGTTGTTAGGCACATGCACATACAAGACTGTTATGTTTTCCCAATGACATTTTAATCATTGTGAAATATCCCTCCTAATCTTTGGTAATACTTCTGTGTTGAATGATCTGGCTTTTTCTGGCATGGCATTGCATATACTTTTGCATCTATTTACTTTCACTCTATCTGTATAATTATATTCAAAGTGGGTCCCATTCACAGCATATCTTTAAATCTTACTTTTGTTTTTAAGCCATTACAACAAGCTCTGCTATTTCTTTTTTTTTAGCTAATTGGAAATTTTTGCCTATTAACATTTAATATTATTCTGATTATATTTTGATACACCATTTTATTTGTTTTCTTTTTTGCCCCTCTGATTTTTGTTCTTCTGTTACTTCTTTCTTGTCTTTTTTTTTTTTTTTACAGAAGCTCTTTATTTTGTTTAAATTTTAGATTTACATAAAAGTTGCAAAAATAGTACAGAGAGTTCCTGTATACCTCTCACCCAGTTTCTGCTGAAGTTAACATCTTACATTATCACAGTACATTCATCACAACTAAGAAACTAACATTAGTACACTACTATTAATTAAGTGCCAGACTTTATTCAGATTTCTTTGTTTCTTCACAAATAACCCCTTTTTCCTGTTTCAGGAGCCAATCTAGGGTACCATATTGCATTTAGTGCCTTTTAGAAATTATTATTTGGACATGTTTTAGAATTCCAGTTTAATTTACATATTAATGTTTTTTCTATATATTATTGTAGTTTTTACCCAATGTCCGCTCTAAGAATCACGATATACATTCTTAACTTTTTATAATCTGATTTGAGTTTACATTGTCCCACTTTGCATAAAATATGCAAACCTTGCAATCGTATAGGTCCTCTTATACCTGCCCCCAGCATTCCTTTGTGTTATGATTACCATATGACATTTATATACATTATGCATCCTACAATGCAAGGTCATAATTTTTGCCTTGAATAGTGATATATATTGGAAAGGAATTAGGCTGGAAAAGCAGTTTTTTCTATTTGCTAGTTTTGATGTTCTTCATGTCTAAAGATCCATATTTTCATTTGATATCATTTATCTTCAGATAAAGAACTTTCTTTAGCATTTCTTATAATAAAGGTCTGCTAGTGATAAATTCTCTTAGTTTTCTTTTATTTGGAAAGTCTTTATTCTGCTTCATATTTGATAGATATTGCTTTTAGTGCTTTGAGAATGTTGGTTCACTGTGTTGGCCTCCATTGCTTCTGATATAAGAAATCAACAGTCATTTGACTCATTATTCTCCTCTGTGTAATGTGCTGTTTTTCTCTGCATGCTTTTGACACTTTGCCATTCATTTGACTCTAATGTGCCCAGGCATGTTTTTCTTTTATTTAACTTGATTGGGATTTGCTGAGCTTCTTAGATTTGTAAATTTATGTCTTTTGCCAAATTTGGGGACTTTTTGGCCATTATTTATTCAAATAATTTTTTTCTACCCCATGTCCTCTGTTCTTCTAGGAGTTCAATTGTAGGTATGTTAGACCTTTCAATACCACCCTTTAGGTACTATCATTTTTATCTCTGTCTTTCAGATTGGATATTTTCTGTTGATCTCTCTTTAGATTCACCTACTCTTTCATCTGTTTTAAAAAATTATGTTAAGCCCCATCCAGTTAATTTTTTAAAATTAGATACTGTATTTTTTAGTTATAGAATTTCCATTTGATTATAATTTTAGGCGTCTCTATTTAGGTGATGATACTAACTATGTTTTAATCATTATAAGCACATTTTTCCTTATGTCATTTAGTATAGTAAGAATTGCCATTTTAAAATAAATTTCTATTAATTTCAATATCTGTGTCATCTTGAGCTTGACTTTTGCCTATTATATTTACTCTTGAGAATACATCACATCTTCCTGTCTCTCAATATGTCAAGAAATTTTGGATTGTACTCTGGATATTGTGAATGTCATATTGTGGAGACTGGATTCAGTTGTATTCTTTCAAAGAGTTTTGAATTTTTCATTTTAATGAGAAATTAACTTGTTATGGTTCAAACTGCAAATTCTGTTTTTTTCTGAGTGGCCCCTCATATCTGCTTTTTGTTCTTTCACCCTTAGATAGGGTGCTTACAATCTCTGCTGTACATGGGTGTTTGGGGGTCAGGCAAAAATTGGGGCAGACTTTATACATGGAATTTGGGATTTTCTTTCTCTGGCTCTCTCCCTTTGAGGATTCTCCCTCACTTTCTAGCAGCTGGGGTTGCCCTCAAACTCTGTCTGCCAGTTCTTCAGGCCAGAAAGATGGTGAGTTTCTTCTCAGTTTTAGCTGCCCCTCAGGACAGTGACTGCAGCTGACCATCAGGCCAAAAGTGGTAAAAACAGGAGAATAACCTCCTACTAACCCTTTCTTCCAAGTGTTAACTTCCCCCTGGAGCCTGCTTGCTGTTGTATACTCTCCAGGGCCTTCAGATAGATTTTGTCCTCTCCCAACCCCTGAGTTTATAGTTGTTATTGGCAGGAAGCTCAGTACAGTAAGCGTTTACTCAGCCATACCAGAAGTGGAACTCGATCCAGATCCTGATTCCTAGCCACTGAGTTGTACTGACTGTCACATAGTAAAATGGCTCTTCTGGCCTCATCCCATATTTTATAAAGGATCATTGCTCTGAGAAATGTCTCAAATGATAGGTTTTCAGATATTATGTAAGGCTGATAATGTCTTTGGAGATAGGGACTTTTCTCAATGCTTTTCAAATTACAATGCCCAGTCCATCTATAGACAAGCACCTCCACCACCACCTCCTTTTTTTCCTATAGAGAAAGTAATGACTCTGTACATAAACAGGAGATACTGACTCATGAAGGGCTAAGCTGGCCTCTGTGAGTGACTCACTATGCCTTAAGAGACTGGGGGAAGGGGCCATGTGGTCAGGCCACCTACTAATGCTGGGTTCTGACTTGACTAGATTTAGAGCAAATTGACCCTGATTTGGGAAAGGTATAAACTTGATTTACCAGGTCATTAGAAGACATTTTCTGTTCACTTTTATTTACCATCAAGAGAGCATGAGATCCTAGGATGTGATTAGAAATGAGCAAATAAATGCAATTTGAATTAAGTCATTCAGTCATGCAGAGTGAGGGTGGGGCAGAAGGTGAGGAGAGGCAGTAGGACAGTGTGGGGAAAGGTATTGGGCACAAGTGGGCCCTGTTGGGCTTAGTCCCCACCTCCTCCCTTCTCTGGGCACTGGGGTGGGGTTGGAAGTTTGGATGTAGCTGGAAAGGACCAGAGACTTTTTTTTTTGTTTTTTGTTTTTGAAATGGAGTCTTGCTCTGTCGCCCAGGCTGGAGTGCAGTGGTGTGGTCTCAGCTCACTGCAATCTCTACCTCCCAGGTTCAGGAGAATCTCCTGCCTCAGCCACCTGAATAGCTGGGACAACAGGTGCATGCCATCATGCCCGGCTAATTTTTGTATTTTATTAGAGATGGGGTTTTGCCATGTTGGCCAGGCTGGTCTTGAACTCCTGACCTCAAATGATCCACCTGCCTCGGCCTCCCAAAGTGCTAGGATTACAGACGTGAGCCACCATGCCTAGCCTGAACCAGAGTCATAAAGATCAGTGCCAGTACTTGTTGTAGCTTCAGTCTTCCCTGACTGGAGAGTGTTGGGGACTTGGATTGTTGTGGGGAGTCTCCAAGGAAGGGCCACTCCATCACATCAGCACTCCACCAAGGGAGGATCACAGGGAACAGGAGGCAAGGCAGGAAGAGCTGGGGGTAGGAGGGAGTGGACACTGCAGGGTGAGGTGCCACAGGACAAAACCATCCTTGCTGCCCCCTGTCAACCCTTCCGCCATCAGAGCTGATGAGGCAGGACCCAGAGAGCCCTCAGAGAGTGTGATAAAGCTCAGCCCTCCCTAGGGTGGGCACTGCTCCTCCCTCTCAGGAGAGCCCTGAAGGGGGTGGATGCCAAAGCTGTCCCCTGGTGGCTGTAACTGCCATCTGAACTCCTACCAGCTGGCCTTCCTTCCTGTGGACTAAGTGGCTTCAGCTGCACACAGTGACCTTCAGGAGGAGAAATGCAGTTTCCTGTACCCCTTCCTCCTGGGAGTGGGACTGTAAGTGATTAAGGGAGTAGGAGAAGGGAAGGAACAGGGGGATTAAAGACTGGGAAAGGAATGGAAGGGAGGGAGGGGAATGAATAAAACTGACAGGAATGACAAGAGGGTGTGTTGTGCAATTGTCACAAATTCTGGGTTGCACACTAAGCTCAGTGCCATCCCTTCTTCCCTGGCACTACCTTCTCCTCCAAGTTTGGGCAGGTCCTTTTCCTGCTGGTTTCCTGTTTCATAACTGTCAAGTTTTGCTCACCAGCACCCTCCATCAAATGTTTAAAAGCCAATTACTGGGAAGGCCAAGGGAGGAGGATTGCTTGAGCTCAGGAGTTCGAGACCAGCCTGGACAACATAGTGAGACCCTGTCTCAAAAAACAAACACACAGGGCCGGATGTGGTGGCTCACGCCTGTAATCCTAGCACTTTGGGAGGCTGAAGTGGGCAGATCACTTGAGGTCAGGAGTTCAAGAACAGCCTGGCCAACGTAGTGAACCTTGTCTCTACTAAAAATACAAAAATTAGCCAGGTGTGGTAGCACGCACCTGTAATCCCAGCTACTTGGGAGGCTAAGGCAGGAGAACTGCTTGAACCCAGGAGGCAGAGGTTGCAGTGAGCTGAGATCGTACCACTGCACTCCAGCCTGGGTGACAAAGCGAGACTCCATCTCAAAAAAACCGAAAAACAACCCCCCATTCAAAACACAAAAACCCAAACACACAAAACAAAAAAATTTAAGAAAGTAGGAGGAAGATGCTTTGGAGTCTATACACCACCTCTTTCAAAAATGCTCACCTGAATTTCCTGCAACCAGTGTTCCCTCCTTCCAAACAGGTATCAAGACGCTCACCTTTTAAGAGGCTTGCCCTAACTGGAGTGCTGGAGTCTGAACTTTCTTTGAACATCGTTTGATCTCAGATGCAGCCAGTCCTGTGCACAGCCTGATGGGATGGAATGTTCAGGATCATCATGTGATTCCCCTGGGTGGCCTAGCTGAGGGACACAAATTTCCCCAGGCAGAGAAGACAGCACAGGAGGAAGAAGCTCCAATATCGAGAGTGAGAGGGCTGCAAATTCGTCAAGAGCTGGCACCTCCAACCAAAAATGTGCAGTTATCGATCAATAAAACCAGCTTTTGTTTTAATTTTTGACTTTTTGATTTTTAGTTTTTTCCTCCCCAGCCATCATGGTGCTGCATGCCCATTGTAGAAATCTGAGAAAATGATAAAGAGGTTGATGAAAACTGTCTATGAAGTTACTACCCACTGTATTTTTCATCTATTTTTTTCTTTTATACCTGAGATAAAATAGTGTATACTATTTTTTTTTTTATTTTTGTGAGAGAGGGTCTTACTGTGTTGCCAAGGCTGGTCTTGAACTCCAGGGTCCTCCTGCCTCAGGCTCCTGAGTAGCTGAGATTACAGGTATGCACCACACGTTCAGCTATCCTATTTATACTGCTTTAAAAACTTAACTCCATGTCAATAGAATTTTCCCATGACATTAAAACTCTGTGGAGGTGGAGCCAAGATGGCCGAATAGCAGCAGCTCCAGTCTACAGCTCCCAGTGTAAGCGATGCAGAAGACGGGTGATTTCTGCATTTCCAACTGAGGTACCGGGTTCATCTCACTGGGGAGTGCTGGACAGTGGGTGGACAGTGGGTGCAGCACACCATGCATGAGCCGAAGCAGGGCGAGGCATCACCTCACCTGGGAAGCGCAAGGGGTCAGGGAATTCCCTTTCCTAGTCAAAGAAAGGGGTGACAGATGGCACCTGGAAAATCGGGTCACTCCCACCCTAATACTGTGCTTTTCCAACGGGCTTAACAAATGGCACACCAGGAGATGATATCCCGCACATGGCTTGGAGGGTCCTATGCCCACGGAGCCTCGCTCATTGCTAGCACAGCAGTCTGAGATCAAACTGCAAGGCAGCAGTGAGCCTGGCTGAGGGTCACCCGCCATTGCTGAGGCTTGAGTAGGTGAACAAAGCGGCCGGGAAACTCGAACTGGGTGGAGCCCAACACAGCTCAAGGAGGCCTGCCTGACTCTGCAGGCTGCACCTCTGGGGGCAGGGCACATACAAACAAAAGTCAGCAGTAACCTCTGCAGACTTAAATGTCCCTGTCTGACAGCTTTGAAGAGAGTAGTCGTTCTCCCAGCACGCAGCTTGAGATCTGAGAACAGGCAGACTGCCTCCTCAAGTGGGTCCCTGACCCCTGAGTAGCCTAACTGGGAGGCACCCCCCAGTAGGGGCGGACTGACACTTCACATGACTGGGTGCACCTCTGAGACAAAACTTCCAGAGGAAGGATCAGGCAGCAGCATTTGCGGTTCTCCAATATCTGCTGTTCTGCAGCCACCGCTGCTGATACCCAGGCAAACAGGGTCTGGAGTGGACGTCCAGCAAACTCCAACAGACCTGCAGCTGAGGGTCCTGACTGTTAGAAGGAAAATTAACAAACAGAAAGGACATCCACACCAAAAACCCATCTGTACGTCACCATCATCAAAGACCAAAGGTAGATAAAACCACAAAGATGGGAAAAAAACAGAGCAGAAAAACCAGAAACTAAAAATCAGAGTGCCTCTCCTCCTCCAAAGGAACGCAGCTCCTCACCAGCAACGGAACAAAGCTGGATGGAGAATGACTTTGACGAGTTGAGAGGAGAAGGCTTCAGAAGATCAAACTACTCTGAGCTAAAGGAGGAAGTTCGAACCAATGGCAAAGAAGTTAAAACGCTTGAAAAAAAATTAGACAAATGGCTAACTAGAATAACCAATGCAGAGAAGTCCTTAAAGGACCTGATGGAGCTGAAAACCACGGCACGAGAACTACGTGACGAATGCACAAGCCTCAGTAGCCGATGTGATCAACTGGAAGAAAGGGTACCAGTGATGGAAGACAAAATGAATGAAATGAAGTGAGAAGAGAAGTTTAGAGAAAAAAGAATAAAAAGTAACGAACAAAGCTTCCAAGAAATATGGGACTATGTGAAAAGACCAAATCTACATCTGATTGGTGTACCTGAAAGTGACGGGGAGAATGGAACCAAATTGGAAAACACTCTGCAGGATATTATCCAGGAGAACTTCCCCAATCTAGCAAGGCAGGCCAACATTCAAATGCAGGAAATACAGAGAATGCCACAAAAATACTCCTCGAGAAGAGCAATTCCAAGACACATAATTGTCAGATTCACCAAAGTTGAAATGAAGGAAAAAATGTTAAGGGCAGCCAGAGAGAAAGGTTAGGTTACTCACAAAGGGAAGCCCATCAGACTAACAGCTGATCTCTCGGCAGAAACTCTACAAGCCAGAAGAGAGTGGGGGCCAATATTCAACATTCTTAAAGAAAAGAATTTTCAACCCAGAATTTCATATCCAGCCAAATTAAGCTTCATAAGTGAAGGAGAAATAAAATACTTTACAGACAAGCAAATGCTGAGAGATTTTGTCACCACCAGGCCTGTCCTAAAAGAGCTACTGAAGGAAGCACTAAACATGGAAAGGAACAACCAGTACCAGCCACTGCAAAAACATGCCAAATTGTAAAGACCGTCAAGCCTAGGAAGAAATTGCATCAACTAACGAGCAAAATAACCAGCTAACATCATAATGACAGGATCGAATTCACACATAACAATATTAACCTTAAATGTAAATGGGCTAAATGCTCCAATTAAAAGACACAGACTGGCAAATTGGATAAAGAGTCAAGACCCATCAGTGTGCTGTATTCAGGAAACCCATCTCACATGCAGAGACACACATAGGCTCAAAATAAAGGGATGAAGGAAGATCTACCAAGCAAGTGGAAAACAAAAAAAGGCAGGTGTTGCAACCCTAGTCTCTGAAAAAACAGACTTTAAATCAACTAAGATCAAAAGAGACAAAGAAGGCCATTACATAATGGTAAAGGGATCAATTCAACAAGAAGAGCTAACTATCCTAAATATATATGCACCCAATACATGAGCACCCAGATTCATAAAGCAAGTCCTGAGTGACCTACAAAGAGACTTAGACTCCCACACAATAATAATGGGAGACTTTAACACCCCACTGTCAACATTAGATGGATCAATGAGACAGAAAGTTAACAAGGATATCCAGGAATTGAACTCAGCTCTGCACCAAGTGGACCTAATAGACATCTACAGAACTCTCCACCCCAAATCAACAGAATATACATTCTTTTCAGCACCACACCACACCTATTCCAAAATTGACCACATAGTTGGAAGTAAAGCACTCCTCAGCTAATGTAAAAGAACAGAAATTATAACAAACTGTCTCTCAGACCACAGTGCAATCAAACTAGAACTCAGGATTAAGAAACTCACTCAAAACCGCTCAACTACATGGAAACTGAACAACCTGCTCCTGAATGACTACTGGGTACATAACGAAATGAAGGCAGAAATAAAGATGTTCTTTGAAACCAACGAGAACAAAGACACAACATACCAGAATCTCTGGGACACATTCAAAGCAGTGTGTAGACGGAAATTTACAGCAGTAAATGCCCACAAGAGAAAGCAGGAAATATCTAAAATTGACACCCTAACATCACAATTAAAAGAACTAGAGAAGCAAGAGCAAACACATTCAAAAGCTAGCAGAAGGCAAGAAATAACTAAGATCAGAGCAGAACTGAAGAAAATAGAGACACAAAAAACCCTTCAAAAAATCAATGAATCCAGGAGCTGGTTTTTTGAAAAGATCAACAAAATTGATAGACCACTAGCAAGACTAATAAAGAAGAAAAGAGAGAAGAATCAAATAGACGCAATAAACAATGACGAAGGGGATATCACCACCAATCCCACAGAAATACAAACTACCATCAGAGAATAATATAAACACCTCTATGCAAATAAACTAGAAAATCTAGAAGAAATGGATAAATTCCTCGACACATACTCCCTCCCAAGACTAAACCAGGAAGAAGTTGAATCTCTGAATAGACCAATAACAGGCTCTGAAATTGAGGCAATAATTAATAGCTTACCAACCAAAAAAAGTCCAAGACCAGATGAATTCACAGCCGAATTCTACCAGAGGCACAAGGAGGAGCTGGTACCATTCCTTCTGAAACTATTCCAATCAATAGAAAAAGAGGGAATCCTCCCTAACTCATTTTATGAGGCCAGCATCATCCTGATACCAAAGCCTGGCAGAGACACAACAAAAAAAGAGAATTTTAGACCAATAACCCCGATGAACATTGATGCAAAAATCCTCAATAAAATACTGGCAAACCGAATCCAGCAGCTCATCAAAAAGCTTATCCACCATAATCAAGTGGACTTCATCCCTGGGATGCAAGGCTGGTTCAGCATACGCAAATCAATAAACATAATCCAGCATATAAACAGAACCAAAGACAAAAACCACATGAATATCTCAATAGATGCAGAAAAGGCCTTTGACAAAATTCAACAACCTTCATGCTAAAATCTCTCAATAAATTGGGTATTGATGGGACGTATCTCAAAATAAGAGCTATCTATGACAAACCCACAGCCAATATCATACTCAATGGACAAAAACTGGAAGCATTCCCTTTGAAAACTGGCACAAGACAGGGATGCCCTCTCTCACCACTCCTATTCAACATAGTGTTGGAAGTTCTGGCCAGGGCAATCAGGCAGGAGAAGGAAATAAAAGGTATTCAATTAGGAAAAGAGGAAGTCAAATTGTCCCTGTTTGCAGATGACATGATTGTATATCTAGAAAACCCCATTCTCTCAGCCCAAAATCTCCTTAAGCTGATAAGCAACTTCAGCAAAGTCTCAGGATACAAAATCAATGTACAAAAATCACAAGCATTCTTATACACAAATAACAGACAAACAGAGAGCCAAATCATGAGTGAACTCCCATTCACAATTGCTTCAAAGAGAATAAAATACCTAGGAATCCAACTTAAAAGGGATGTGAAGGACCTCTTCAAGGAGAACTACAAACCACTGCTCAGTGAAATAAAAGAGGATACAAACAAATGGAAGAACATTCCATGCTCATGGGTAGGAAGAATCAATATCGTGAAAATGGTCACACTGCCCAAGGTAATTTACAGATTCAATGCCATCCCCATCAAGCTGCCAATGACTTTCTTCACAGAATTGGAAAAAACTACTTTAAAGTTCTTATGGAACCAAAAAAGAGCCCAGATTGCCAAGTCAATCCTAAGCCAAAAGAACAAAGCTGGAGGCATCATGCTACCTGACTTCAAACTATACTACAAGGCTACAGTAAGCAAAACAGTATGGTACTGGTACCAAAACAGAGATATAGACCAATGGAACAGAACAGAGCCCTCAGAAATAATGCCGCATATCTACAACTATCTGATCTTTGACAAACCTGACAAAAACAAGCAATGGGGAAAGGATTCCCTATTTAATAAATGGTGATGGGAAAACTGGCTAGCCATATGTAGAAAGCTGAAACTGGATCCCTTCCTTACACCTTATACAAAAATTAATTAAAGATGGATTAAAGATGTAAACCTTAGACCTAAAACCATAAAAACCCTAGAAGAAAACCTAGGCAATACCATTCAGGACACAGGCATGGGCAAGGACTTCATGCCTAAAACACCAAAAGCAATGGCAACAAAAGCCAAAATTGACAAGTGGGATCTAATTAAACTAAAGAGCTTCTGCACAGCAAAAGAAACTACCATCAGAGTGAACAGGCAACCCACAGAATGGGAGAAAATTTTTGCAATCTACTCATCTGACAAAGGGCTAATATACAGAATCTACAATGAACTCAAACAAATTTACAAGAAAAAAACAAACAACCCCATCAAAAAGTGGGCAAAGGATATGAACAGACACTTCTCAAAAGAAGACATTTATGCAGCCAAAAACTGCATGAAAAAATGCTCATCATGACTGGCCATCAAAGAAATGCAAATCAAAACCACAATGAGATACCATCTCACACCAGTTAGAATGGCGATCATTAAAAAGTCAGGAAACAACAGGTGCTGAAGAAGATGTGGAGAAATAGGAACACTTTTACACTGTTGGTGGGACTGTAAACTAGTTCAACCCTTGTGGAAGTCAGTGTGGCGATTCCTCAGGGATCTAGAACTAGAAATTCCATATGACCCAGCCATCCTATTACTGGGTATATACCCAAATGATTATAAATCATGCTGCTATAAAGACACATGCACATGTATGTTTATTGCGGCATTATTCACAATAGCAAAGACTTGGAGCCAACCCAAATATCCAACAATGATAGACTGGATTAAGAAAATGTGGCACATATACACCATGGAATGCTATGCAGCCATAAAAAATGATGAATTCATGTCCTTTGTAGGGACATGGATGAAGGTGGAAACCATCATTCTCAGCAAACTATCGCAAGAACAAAAAACCAAACGCCACATGTTCTCACTCATAGGTGGGAATTGAACAATGAGAACACATGGACACAGGAAGGGGAACATCACACTCTGGGGACTGTTGTGGGGTGGGGGGAGGGGGGAGGGTTAGCATTAGGAGAGATACCTAATGCTAAATGATGAGTTAATGGGTGCAGCACACCAACATGGCACATGTATACATATGTAACAAAACTGCACGGTACCCTAAAACTTAAAGTATAATAATTATTAAAAACAAAAACAAAAACAAAAACTCTGTAACCATCATTTTCAATGGCTACATGACAACCTGCCAAAAGTATATGCTTATTTTGCTTAACAAATTTGCTTACTTTTTGCATATTTGAGTTGTTTCCAACTCTACCTTACTTTTAAGTTACTATAAGTAAATCTGAAATGACCATTTTGGTGTAGAAGTCCTTTAGGACAGACTTTCAGGAGTGGGATGACCAGGACAGGTTTCTCTTAATCCTAGGACGCTGAGTCTCAACCTCCACTCCTCTGCCCTTTACGTTCTTAAGCCAGTTACTATCTTCCACCTCATTATTTCCCCGAAGTTTGTATCAGCTTACATTCCCACCAGCCCTGGGTGGAAATTCAGGTTATTTTGAGAGGTCATTTGCAAGCTGGAAAAACCCTTCTGTTGCTGTGATCACAAGGAAAGTCACACATCTCCCTGACCTCCCATCAGGCCCAGTCTCCTGAGCCTGTCCCCAAAACAATGACACGATTAACAATCATAAGAGAATCAACAAATCTGTAGTAAATTTCAACTTCTTTCTGAGTGTTTTACATGAGTAATCTTTGCATGAGTAATGCAACCCTGATAGATTGCAACATTCCCCATTCTAGTTGTATAGATGAAGAAGCAAAGCCTCAGAGATAGGAATTTGCCCAAGGGCACACAGGTGGTGACAGTCAGAGATGTTGGCAGCCTCCTAAGACCTGACCTCTTGCCACACACTACAGGGCTTTAAAAGAAGAGAGGCAAGGACTTGTGGCTGAATGCTGAGGGTTGAATTTCCAAGAGTTTGAGAGTCATTTGCAAGTCAGGGGAAGCGGGACCTGCTGAGGTTTTCTGGATTTTGGTTTCTGTTGTGGTTTTGGCCCTAACATTTGGGTCACCTGCTACAGAGATGGAGGCCAACAGGTGGCCGCTCAAGGCTGTGCCGCTGGAAGGACAGGTCTTGTTATGCTTCTGATGTAGGCAGAGACTTTCCAAAACTTTCCAAAATTTCTGTCCCAATGACCTGGTCTAGGCTGCAGGGCCCTCAGGACTGGGTTTCCCTGAATTGAGATAGTGCAGCTACTCTACTGCTCTGAAAAACAAGACATTTTCAACTTAATATCCTTGGATATCTAACCTCCCACAAACATAAATTTAATAGCTGCAAAAATATGATTGTATATATACTCATCTCTGTGCAATTTCCCCCCCTTTATTGTTTTTTGATTTGCTCTTTATTCCTCCTTTTTTCCCTTCCTCTTGTAACAGCTGGTCTGTGTCTTGCCTGCTGCCTAGACAGAGCTGACTTATCAAGACAGGGGAATTGCAATAGAGAAAGAGTAATTCACACAGAAAGCGGGCTGTGGAGGAGATTGGAGTTTTTTTATTATTCAAATCAGTCTCCCCAAACATTTGGAAATCAGAGTTTTTAAGGATAATTTGGTGGGTGGAGGAAGTCCTGTGAGTCGAGAGTGCTGACTGGTTGGGTTGGAGATGAAATCATGGGAAGTTGAAGGTGTCCTCTTGTACTGAGTCAGTTCCTGGGTGGGGGCCACAAGATAAGATGAACCAGTTTATTGATCCAGGTGGTGCCAGCTGATCCATCAACTGCAGTGTCTGCAAGATATGTCAGGCACTGATCTTGGGAGCAGTTTAGGGAGGGTCAGAATCTTGCAGCCTCCATCGTCATGACTCCTAAACCATAATTTCTTTTTTTTAAAAAAATTTTTATTATACTTTAACTTCTAGGGTACATGTGCACAACCTGCAGGTTTGTTACATAGGTATACATGTGCCATGTTGGTTTGCTGCACCCGTCAACTTATCATTTGCATTAGGTATTTCTCCTAATGCTATCCCTCCCCCAGTCCCCCACCCTCCACCCCCCACAAGCCCTGGTGTGTGATGTTCCCCGCCCTGTGTCCATGTGATCTCATTGTTCAATTCCGACCTATGAGTGAGAACATGTGGTGTTTGGTTTTCTGTCCTTGTGATAGTTTTCTGAGAATGTTGGTTTCCAGCTTCATCCATGTCCCTGCAAAGGACATGAACTCAATCTTTTTTATGGCTGCATAGTATTCCATGGTGTATATGTGCCACATTTTCTTAATCCAGTCTATCATTGATGGACATTTGGGTTGGCTCCAAGTCTTTGCTATTGTGAATGGTGCTGCAGTAAACACACATGTGCATGTGTCTTTATAGTAGCATGATTTATAATCCTTTGGGTGTATACCCAGTAATGGGATCACTAGGTCAAATGGTATTTCTAGTTCTAGATCCTTGAGGAATGGCCACACTGTCTTCCACAGTGGTTGAACTAATTTACACCCCACCAACAGTGTAAAAGCGTTCCTATTTCTCCACATCCTCTCCAGCATCTGTTGTTTCCTGGCTTTTTAATGATCGCCATTCTAACTGGCATGAGATGGTATCTCATTGTGGCTAAACCATAATTTCTAATCTTGTAGCTAATTTGTTAGTCCTACAAAGGCAGTCTAGCCCCCAGGCAAGAGGGGGGTTTGTTCTGGGAAAGGGCTGTTACTGTCTTTGTTTTAAACTTTAAACTATAAACTAACTTCCTCCCAGAGTTAGGTCAGCCTACACCCAGGAATGAACAAGGAGAGTTTGGAGGTGAGAAGCAAGATGGGGTTGGTTAGGTCAGATCTCTTTCATTGTCTCAGCTATAATTCTGCAATGGCAGTTTCACTCCTTCCACGTTATCATCCTGCCCCCAACCTCAGGTAAACCATGTTTACAACTATTCACTCTGCCATATTTCTTCATGCCATATACGTGTGTATATATGTAACAGATATGTATGCATATAATACATGCATATATATGTACATACAAACATTTACATATACAGCATTTTGAGGTGATTAACTTATTAAAATGGATTGAGTTATGAACATTTGACTGTCGTTTGCTTTTCTTACTCAACGATGTTTGCTGAAGACTTCTTTAAGCCATTTGTTATCTTATTCATTCTTTTAAATAATGGCATAATATTTCATGGTGTGGGTATACCCACATTTATTTAGCTATGTCTCTATTAATGGTAATTTCATTTGTTTTCATTTCCCCCCCCTATGAACAATCCTGTAAGAAACACCCTCACGCATATATCCTCATGTACTGGCAATTTTATTTTTATAAGATGGATTCCCAGAAGTGGAATTGTTAGGCCAAAGGGCATACAGTTTTTGTTTTGTTTTGTTTTGTTCGTTTGTTTTTTTGAGATGGAGTCTTGCTCTGTCACCCAAGCTAGAGTGCAGTGGCGCAATCTTGGCTCACTGCAACCTCTGCCTCCAGGGTTTAAGCAATTCTCCTGCCTCAGCCTCTGAAGTAGCTGGGATTACAGGTGCCTGCCACCTCGCCCTGCTAATTTTTGTATTCTTAGTAGAGATGGGGTTTCACCATGTTGGCCAGGCTGGTCTCAAACTCTTGACCTCAGGTGACCCACCCACCTCGGCCTCCCTAAGTGCTGGGATTACAGGTGTAAGCCACCACGCCTGGCCATACAGTTTTAATTTTAGTGAAAGCCCCAGTTGGCTATCTAAAATGATTCTAGTATGTCACGTTTCCACTATAATAGAGGAAAATACCACATATTTCTCTGCATCCACACCGGCAATAGGAGTTTTAAGTTTTAATTTTCTTTTCTCATCAGAAGGGCATACGGTGATGTTTTGTAACTATGTAACATTTATTTCCATGTCTGTGAGTGAATTTGAGCATTTTTGCTGGCTTTTTGGGTTTGCTCCTCTGTGGGTTTTTAAATAATTTGATTTGTCCACTTTTCTTTGTGATGATTGTCTTTTTCTTGTCACACTTGTAAGAGCTGTTTGCATGTTTTAAGAACTAACTTTATATCATCTGTATTATAAATATTTTCCTTTGGGCAACTGCATTACTGTAAAGTTGACCCTTGAATAATATGGGTTTTAACTGCATGGCTCCACTTATATGTAGATTTTTTTCAACCAAAAGTGGATTGAAAATACAGTACTTATGGAATGCAAAAATTCCATATACAAAGGGCCAACTTTTCATATATGCCAGTTCTGCAGGACTGACTTTTGGTATAAGAGGGGGTCCTGAAACCAATCCCCTGCGTAGACTAAGGGACAACTATAGTTTGTTTATGGAATCTTTTACTGTACAAAATTTTCTTGTTTTCCTTGTAATTTTTAACAGTCAAAATATGCCTATCTTTTTTTTTAAAAAATAGCTTCTAGTTCTCAGTCTTAGTTATGAAGACCTTCTCTGCTATTTCATATACATCATGTCTTAGTCTGCTTGGTTTGTCATTACAAAACACTACAGACTCGGTGGATTAAATATCAGAAATTTATTTCTCACCATTCTGGAGGCTGGGATGTCCAAGATCAAGGTGCTGGCAATTTCAGTTTCTGGTGAGGGCTCTCTTCTTGGTTTGCAGATGGCCACCTTCTTGCTGTGTCCTCACATAGCGGAGACAAAGGAAGAGTGAGAGAAAGAGGGAGAAAGTGAGTGAGGGAGTGAGAGAGCTCATGAATGCTCTGGTATCTCTTCTTCTTCTTATAAAGACATTAATCTAATCATGAAGGCCTCACCCTTGTGGCCTCATATGACCCTAATCACCTCTCAAAGGCCCCGTCTCCTGCTGCCATTACACTTGGGGTTGGTGCTTTAACATATGAATTTGGAGGTGGTACACAAACACTCAGCCAATAACGTATTGTCTACTAGATTCTCTTTGTGAGATCTTTATTGCATTTCTGTAATACAGGAATGAGTACTACTTAAGGTAACAAGCAACTCCAAAGCCTCAGTAGCCAGCACAAGAGAGGCTTAGTTTTCAATCAGTCTTACCATGTGTGGGACAGTCAATCCCGAGCAATGAGGTGGGGACTCAGATCCCTTCCATTTGTGATGGATCTTCAACATGTGACTCCCACAGTCACTTCAGAAGAGGAAGACGGAGCAAGAGAGAGGACACCTACTCAAGGGATTTTTTGTGTTCTCTGTTACTTCCTCCTGTATTCCATTGCATGGAACCCAGCCCCACGGTCTCAACCAAAGTGGAAGAGAGGCTGGAAACTGTCTTTCTCAGTGCTCAGAAAGAGGAAAAGGATTTGTCAGGAGCTAGCCAGCCTCTACCATATTTACTTTTAATAGTCAACCTTTTAATTCAAGTGGGGTTAAAAATATATAGTATAAGACATATGTGTTCATTTAATTTTCTTCCAGATAGTTGCAGCAGCAGCAGTACCACCACCATATATTAGCTTATTCTCTTTCTGCTGAATTGAATTACTGCTTTAAAATTTTTAATTTTTTTTATTTTTCACATGAGAGCTTTTAGTTTATTAATCTGCTCATGAAAAATCCACACGATGTCTGCAGATGATGTCACTGTAGCATCTTTACTCCTATGGCTTTTCGCCAGCACCAATATTGGCCTTTGCAGTGTCCCTGGCTTTCTTCATTCCGTTCTTGTGCTTCTTTCGCTGCTTTCGTGTGGTCTTTTTCTTCTCATACAGGCCATGTCTTGCAAGTCTATGTTTGTACCCAGGCTGGCGTGTGGTAGCTATTCACAGGTGTGATCATAATTCACTCCAGCTTCTATCTCCTGAGCTCAAGCCATCCTCCCACCTTAGCCTCTTCAGTATCTGGGACTACAGGTGTGTGTCATGCTCTTGACTTCTAGTGTGTTCTTAACCTACTGGATTTGCATTTTTTTTTTTTTGAGACGGAGTCTTGCTCTGTCTCCCAGGCTGGAGTGCAGTGGCGCGATCTCGGCTGACTGCAAGCTCCGCCTCCTGGATTCACGCCATTCTCCTGCCTCAGCCTCCCGAGTAGCTGTGACCACAGGCACCCGCCACCACGCCCGGCTAATTTTTTGTATTTTTAGTAGAGACGGGATTTCACCGTGTTAGCCAGGATGGTCTCGATCTCCTGACCTCGTGATCTGCCCGCCTCGGCCTCCCAAAGTGCTGGCATTACAGGCGTAAGCCACCGCGCCCGGCCTGGATTTGCATTTTTTTTTTTTTTTTTTTTTTGAGACGGAGTCTTGCTCAGTTACCCAGGCTGGAGTGCAGTGGCATGATCTCGGCTGACTGCAAGTTCCGCCTCCCGGGTTCACTCTATTCTCCTGCCTCAGCCTCCTGAGTAGCTGGGACTACAGGCACCCGCCCCGACGCCCAGCTAATTTTTTTGTATTTTTAGTAGAGACGGCGTTTCACCACATTAGCCAGGATGGTCTCGATCTCCTGACCTCGTGATCCGCCCGCCTCGGCCTCCCAAAATGCTGGGATTACAGGCGTGAGCCACCGCGCCCGGCGGATTTGCATTTTTTAAATCTTTCTAGCCTCTGTGGAATTCTCTTCCTTTCCCACTGGCTCATAAGCATCTTTTAAAAATCCACCATTTTTAGTTGTGCTGTGTGGGAGGTCTTTTGCTGAGCATCTTGTCAGCTACATGATTGGAAAATCTGACCTGCCATCATGTAGCATAATGGCTGCTTATTTTTATGTGGCCAAATTTGTTCAGTTTCTGTCAGTGCAGCATCCTCTGCTAGACACTATGAGACACAAAGATAAATAAACATTGGTCCTCTCTCTCAGGGAAGCTTATGCTCTAACAAGCGGATGCAAGAAGACATGGGGTTTGAAGGCCTTGCTGAGTGCAAGAAGCTCTGTTCTGAACTGTGTCAATAAGTTGAGGTGTGGATGGGCTGCCCTTCAGGAACTACCTTCAGGCAGTTCTCAGCCTGAGGGAGATTTTCTTCATCTAAATTGAAATCTCCTGCCCCCCAAACTCAGCTCTGCCCTTAGGAGCTCTGCTGAAGCAATCTCGCCCTGCAGATTTTGAAGACACACATAGTTAGCCTGTGGTGTTTTGTTCTGTTTTTAGCTGCCTTTTAGTCACATCTCTATTTGGGAGAATTCCCCAGTTTGTGCGACTTAGTGGGAGGCGTTTCCTTCCCAATATGGCATCTGCAAAGGGCCAGCTTCTCTCTCTGCCTTTGGCAGCTTAGGGTGGGTTCATGACTATGTCTGGGCTGTTGGAGGATCCCACCTGGACTCTGAGCCTGGAAGGAACAATGCAATTTGCAGGGACAAGTTATAGGTTACTGATAAGTAAAGGTAGAGACAAGAGTCCAGAGACGGTGGCATCGACAGTCCAGTGGAACCGGCAGTGCCTGCAGTGCCCTCCCAACTAGGCTGCCCCTTGTGGCTGTACCGGTTGTATGACTTCCTGCCCAGCCTCCCTGGTTTGCCTTCCAAGCCTAGCTCCCCAGCATTCCAGTCATTTCTATGATCTATTAATATGTTCTTTTTTTTTATTTTTTGAGGAAGGTCTCACTCTGTCGCCCAGGCTGGAGTGCAATGGCATGATATTACCTCACTGCGACCTCTGCCTCCTGGGTTCAAGCGATTCTCCTGCCTCAGCCTCCCAAGTAGCTGGGATTACAAGGCACCCGCCACCATGCCTGGCTAATTTTTATATTTTTAGTACAGACGGGGTTTCACCATGTTGGCCAGGCTGGTCTTGAACTCCTGGCCTCAAGTTATCCGCCTGCCTCAGCCTTGCAAAGTGATGGGATTACAGGCGTGAGCCACCACACCTGGCTGATCTACCAATGTGTTCTTTTTCTGCCTAAGTTAGCCAGAGTTGATTTTTATTATTGACAAGAGCTACAACTGGTACAAAAGCTCATATGCCCAGAACCAACCCCCCTTTCGTTATAATGCCAAATATTGCTGTCCTGGCTTCTGCCCTTCCGTGAGGGTTGCCAGCCAGTAGAATGTTCTCAGATACCAAAGGAGCTCACTCCATGGTAGGAAAGCCAGTAGAGCCTTGTCCAGGGCCTTACCTAAGGCCAGCACTGCCCCTCTACTAACTGTTCCTGGGGGCACATAAGCAACCAATTCCGTGGAAGGTGTACAAAGGCCTTGGTGTACCTTATTTAAGTACAATAAACAGTGACTACCATTAATCCAAATTTGCTTCCATTGAGAAGGAAAAAAGATTTGCATGGAAGCGTCAGGGGACTCAGGCCTATGTTAGGGA
Organism: Homo sapiens; assembly: GCF_000001405.40. Taxonomy (NCBI): domain Eukaryota; kingdom Metazoa; phylum Chordata; class Mammalia; order Primates; family Hominidae; genus Homo; species Homo sapiens. Next base: position 45,786,020 of record NC_000018.10, on the reverse strand, counting down.
TCTTTTAGAGTGTCTTTCAAAACATGGCTTGTCCCCTTTAAAGAAATGTGTGTTTCCTTTTCAAATATGTCCTATTTTCCATAATTTACCAAGTATTACTGTTGATAAATCTGACGATACTTAAGATATTTATTTTAAAATGATAGGGTACAAAATATTTGAGCCTGGAGACAAACTGAGAGTACCTGGGGGCTCTCTGGTTCTTTCTCCTGAGTATGGATATTAGTCCCAGTACATGGCCAAAGGGAGGTGTGCATGACTTGGGCCTGGCTAATTGTGGAACCCAAATTCTGGGCAATGGTGATTGGTTCTAACTGTGGAAACTGAAGTATGGTCAGACCCCTTTCCTGGGATTCTTCTAGAGACCCTGGGAGAGAGAAATTCTCTCCCTCCTGGGTTTGCTGGGCTGTGGGTGGTCATCTTCCTGCCCTGAAGATAGAAGCCTAGGGAGACAAGCAGAGATGAGAAAGATTGAGAGAAAGCAAATGGGAGGGAGAAGACAAAACAGTGCAATAGTGACAGAGGAAGACGGAGAGAGACAGGCAGCCTCCTGACTGTGCTGAGACTCGCCAAGGCTCTTTCTGGCCAGGAGCCCACATCCTGCAGTTCTTCTGATTCAGAAAGTAACACCAATTGCCCTTCTTTCCAAACCCCCTCCCTCCTCACTGTCAGCTGATAGGAGTTGGGTTTATGTCACTTGCATCCAAGAGTCTTCATTAAAATACCATATTAGGCTGGAATTCATGGTGGTGTCTATTGGGCCCTTTCCAACTTGAGGACAGTTTCCTGTGGTGGAGACAAGGTGTTCGGAGAGAGATGTTGCTGAGTTTTGCTTTCTCTTTGTCGATCCTCAACATTGGAGCCTTCTTTTTGGGCCATGGGCCTTCCCCTTCCTTGATTTTCTGCTCTGTCTGAGCATAACTTGACTGGCCTCTCTGGGGTCTTTAGCAGTTTTCATAAGTCCTGTTTACTCTGGACTTTGGATATGTCTACATTATTCTTAGAATTTCTATCTAAATTTTCCAAGCTCTTCCTTCTATTTTGTGGATTTGTTCATGTATTATTAATTTTGAAACATACCTATATGTGTAATCATAAAAGCAATCTCTGTTTAGTATTAAAAAAAAACCCGTGAAAATCCAGAAATGACCAAAAGATGGCTGGTCCTGGCAGTGCGTGCTTGTAGTCCTAGCTACTTGGGAGGCCAAGGCAGGAGGATTGCTTGAGCCCAGGAATTTGAGGCTGCAGTGAGCTATGATCATGTCACTGCACTCTAGTGTGGTGATAGAGCCAGACTCTGTCTCTAAATAAAGATAAAAAGAAATGACCAAAAGAGAAAAAAAGACCAAAAAAAGACCAAGAGAAAAAATAAATGACCAAAAGAGAAAAAGAAATGTAAAATAATGTAATCTCTGCACTCAAAGGAAAATGTTGTTAATATTTTTATATGTAGTTTTCTCTTTTTTTCTATACATATCTGGTCTATGGTATTTTAAAATCCACTTCTGGCTGGACATAGTGGCTCATGCCTGTAATCCTAGCACTTTGGGAGGCTGACTCACTTGAGGTCAGGAGTTCGAGACCAGCCTGGCCAACATGGTAAAACCCAGTCTCTACTAAAAATACAGAAATTAGCCCGGTGTGGTGGCATATGCCTGTAATCCCAGCTACTTGGGAGGCTGAGGCAAGAGAATTGCTTGAACCCAGGAGGTGGAGGTTGCAATGAGCCGAGATCGCGCCACTGTACTCCAGCCTGGGTGACAGAGTGGGACTCCATCTCAAAAATAAATAAATAAATAAAATCCACTTTCAACAGCAGGGGAGAAATCACTGCCTCCCAAGGATGTCACTTTCATGACTCTGTTTGGTTCTTTCTTTTCACTCAGATATAAACACTGAGAAACCATACAACTTCCTCTTGTTATTGCCTCCCTTTTCTAACTTAAATGATCAGAGAGGCAAGATAATACCTTATTAGGCACTGCAGCTTTAGCAGAACTTGACTTCTTGGGGAGGCCCCTTTCCCATCTCCATCTGCCAGCTTGATGCATCTAAATTTATTTTAGGAGGTCTATTAAGGGAGGAATCCCATGCTTTTGATCTGGCTGTGGATGTGTTTGTGTGTGCATTTCTAGCATGAGCGCATTTCCGTTTTTGCTCATACCCTCACTGAAATAACAGCCTCTTCAGGTTAATAGATTTTCATACACGTGCACATTTTTTGTGCCCTTTGGTGCTACTTCCCATTCCTCTAGTTTAGGAGTATTACAGTCTCCGTCTCTAGGGTGGAGCAGGTCTGGATTGAACTACTGTTTTGGGCACTTAGTTCCCTGGCCCAGAACAAGTTATTTAGCCTCTCGGATCTGATACTGCTTGGATGTGAGGAATAGGGATAAGTCCATCTGAAAGAATCAGGGTTGGGCTTCTGTGAAGAAGGCAGTAATACTCAGGAATCTCAGGAATCCAGGGAAGAATTCCCTCAAGTAAGCACTGTCATAAGCACTATACAAAGTCTCACCGTCTCCTGTGCCTCAGAGCCTAAAACTCATTTTAGGAAGGATAAAGTTTTTCTCTAGAACCAGAGATAGGAGAATCTAGTCCCTTGGAGCTATACTAGACTGAGGGGTCAGTGACTGATAGGAAATCTTATGGAAGTGTTTGGATAAGAGGTAAAGGAACAGGGCTGAGTGAGGAGTAGGAGTGGGGATCATAAGGAATCGGAGTACAGCAGACCACAGACGAAGAGTCCTGGCTATGGATGCCCTGACGGTTGTTTAATCCTTTGCTGTTTCCTGAACACACTGTTTACTGAGCCAGATGCCTTGAGGTATGGGCTTTCCCATGTTCACATTTGCTCTCCTGAGCATTCTTTGTACACAATAAAATGGCTGATATTAAGGTCTTGGAAGCAATTAGATTTCAAGGAACCATCTCCTACCAGGATATGCATTAAAAATCCACAGTGGATCTGGGCCCACAGGGCACCTATTATTTACCTGAAAGAGCCCTCCAGAAGAGGGTGGGACTCTCTGGGGCCTTAAGTTTCATCTTGGAAACATACTGGCACCAGGAGGACCAGAAACCCCACTCTCCCTCCCCTCCTCCATTTACAAGTGTGTAAATGGGAGGTTGGGCTATGAGGCTGGGAGTCCCCTAGAGCTGTTATGAGTACAAATAGACACACAGTTCCCTGGCACCGGTCATCTGTCTGCTCAGTGAGTGGGAGGGCTGGTACCTTCTCTTGTTTCTGAGACCCAGGTAGCAAAGGAGTTTGGTGAGTACTGAGAGAAGCCTGGGTGTAAGAATGTAAATGAGTTTAGAAGGATGAATAAGAGGTACTCCCTTCCTTTCTTAACTTGGGATGAGGAACAGGTGAGGCAGGGGAAATCAGGAAAAGAAATATTGATGAGGCTGACTGCTTTTCTTATTCTGAGCAAAGTTCTTTGCTGCCAAAGTGCTAGGGTAGAATTCAAAGATGAACAGTGTTTATTCATTCATCCAGCAAATAACTACCAATCAGGCAGCCACTGATGTGTGTTGGTATACACAGAATAAGACAGACACAGTCTCTGCTCAAGGAACTCATTGCTCATGTATACCTCTGCATTTGTTCACACCATTCCCTTTGCCTGGCCTTCTCTCCATGTATTCCAGGGTTTCTCAACTTGGGCACTATTGGGACATTTTGGGCTGGATAATGCTTTGTTATGGGGAACTTTCTGCACATTGTAGGACTTTAAGCAGCATCATTGGCTTCTGTCCACTAAATGCTACCCCCCATCCCAGGTTGTGACATCCAAAAATGCTTCTAGACATTGCAAATGTCTCCTGGGGGCCAATGGAACCACTGACCCATTTTGAATTTATTCAACTTTCATGTCCTCATTCAAGTCCCACCTCTTCCATGAAGCTTGCTTTGGTTAATTCTGGTCATGCTAATTTCTCCTTTCTTTGGTCTCCTGTACCAATTATTGCTGCTGCTTTCCAATTTACTGTGTAATAATCCACTCCCTTCTTTTGGTCACTGTTTGGAAGGAAACAGCCTTGAAAATGGTCCTGGAGATGTAGATTTCATTCAGGCACCATGGCAAACCTGTTACATCTCCTAGAATAAGTTGCTTCCATTCTGCATGGAGACCCCAGTTTCCTCAGCTGTCAAATCAATTGCAGTGCTACTCAGAAATTTTCAGCCACAAATCATCAAAGATATGGAGGGGCCAATTGCACAGGTTTCTTAAAATGAAGCAGTTTTTATTTTTTACACATTGAGTCTCTGTATGGTGTTGGGATGGTATCATGGCTGACACATGTCCGAAACCACTAGATCATCTTAAAGGCTTTTCTAACATTTGATCATGAGATTTCATTTGTATTAAATTATTTCTCTTAATTAGGCTGTGAATGCTTTCAGTGCCTGCTACCTTGGTGATTTCCATAGTGCCACCTAGCTCAGTGCTGGCTTCACAAGAAGTTTGGTCAATATTTGCTGTTTGATCATGTTTTTAATTCTACAGCCAAAGATGATTTTGCTCAGATGCTGGGTCCTGGCATTAGGAATCTCCCTGCATCAATTAGGAGTGTTTTTGTTTGCAAATTATAGAAAGCCTACCCACAGTAGCTTGAAACAAGAGTGGTTTCTTTTTCTCACATAAGAGAAAAGCAATGTTAGGGCTGGTGCCTTGGAGATTTTCTGGGCCTTTCCTTCATGCATGTCTCCTCATGGTCATGAAAAGGCTGCTTCAACTCTATATGACACATCTGCATTCAAGTCTAGGATCAATACCAAGATCAGTGCCCGCCCCATCTGTCTCTTATTAGCAAAGCTGAAGCTTTCCCAGAACTCTCCTACCAAACTTTTGATTACATCTCCTTGGCCAGAACTGTATCACATGACCACTCCATGATACAGGTATATTGGGAGAGTGAATATTTAGCTACTGCAGCCTCTCTAATGGAAAGAAGTAAAGGGAAAGGAGGTAGAGGATGGGTGCTATGCTGCCCAAGCAGCAGGGTCTGCCATCATCCCTATTCAAAAGCTCCAGCACCTATAGCCCTGAAAGGCAGGCAGCCAGAGGACCACAGCATAGGGCACTGCACCTTGACTGGTGTTTCTGTCTCAGCAGTGCAGCCTCGATCCTCTGAACTCACCCACTGCCCCAGCATTGCTCCAGGCGGTTCTCTGAGAGCAGGGACAATGGTTCAGTGCTCCTAGAGTAGGGATTAATCCATCTGTGGTTTAGGTTTCTCTTTTCTCTTGGCAGAGTTTGCAGTTGGAATCAAAGGCTCTCCAACAAGGAAACAACTAAGTAAGTTAAACAATACTGCCTGTTTTTGAAATCCCATGGGTTTAACTGGGATTAGAAGTACAATCTGAGCATTAGCCCAATAAATTCTTTGATCCTTTATGCTGGCTGAAGCAAGGGAACCAATAAAAAGAATCATCTTCTTCCATTCTTATCTCTTTACTGACCCCTGCAACAGCCCCCTCATACACACTGCTTTCTGATTCATTTATCTGCTTATGTCCCTCTTTTTTTTTTTTTGAGACAGTCTCACTCTGTCACCCAGGCTGGAGTGCAGTGGCATGATCTCGGCTCACTGCAAGCTCCCCTCCCGGGTTCATGCCATTCTCCTGCCTCAGCCTCCCGAGTAGCTGGGACTACAGATGCCTGCCACCATGCCCGACTAAATTTTTTATTTTTATTTTTTGTATTTTTAGTAGAGACGGGGTTTCACCATGTTAGCAAGGATGGTTTCAATCTCCTGACCTCGTGATCCACCCGCCTTGGCCTCCCAAAGTGTTGGGATTACAGGCATGAGCCACCGTGCCTGGCCATGTCCCTCTGTTCTTAAAAACTTCTGATCCTCATTTCTATCCAAAGTCCATATCAGACTTCTGCTTCTAATAGAGGCAGACTAGCTAATATGGGCCAACCTTCCCTCTGAAAACAACTAACAAATTCAGAGAAAACATTTAAAAAAAATTCCCTAAAATATCAAAAGCTAATAAGATAGTGAGGAAGCAAGCCAAGATCTAGGAGACAATGAGGCTCTAGAGAGGCAAGCTTGGCATTTAGGGCTACTTTTGCCCAGGGGGCACTGGCTCATCTAAAGAGAAGACAGAGAGATGAGCCATGTTTTTGAAAACTGTGGGTGGCTAGGTGCCCATAAGTTCGAATCTACTGCTTCCTTTCTTTTCCATGGTGGAGACCCTGGTAAACTACTTGGCACTCAGAGTTGGGGCCCCGAAGGGCTGCACTGTCAGACTAAGCTGGAATTAAACTTCACATGGATTCTAGCCTTAGTCATCTGGGTGGCTCAAAAAATTTGAAGCTTTGACTTTGAATTGAAGCAATCTTTGTTGGATTACTAGTGTCTCTAGATGCCTGGCATAGAAACTGAAAATCATGTCCAGAAGAAGATATCATCCTAAGTCTCACATTATTTCTACAGATACTTTTTCAAACGTAATGTTCAACACACAGTAATAAATAACCAAGCAAATGAGGAATGAAGACAACATTCAAAGAACAGCACAAACAAGAAGTAACAGAAAGATATTCATGGTCATTATTGACAGTGGGATTACCAGGCACTCTAAAGCAACATTATAATATACTCAAGAAAACAAAGACCTGGCCGGGTGTGGTGGCTCACGCCTGTAATCCCAGCACTTTGGGAGGCCGAGGTGGGCGGATCACCTGAGGTCAGGAGTTCGAGACCAACCTGGTCAGTATGGTGAAACCCCACCTCTACTAAAAATACAAAAATTAGCCAGGTGTGGTGGCAGGCACCTGTAATCCCAGTTACTCAGGAAGCTGAGGCAGGGGAATGGAATCGCTTGAACCCGGGAGGTGAAGCTTGCGGTGAGGAGAGATTGTGCCATTGCACTCTAGCCTGGGCAACAGAGCAAGACTCCGTCTCAAAAACAAAAACAAAAACAAACAAAGAAAGTAAAGGCCAAACTTGAAATTTGTTGGCAAGGATTGGAAATTGGAAGCTATAAAAAGTAATTGTCCACATTTGATAGAGAACCTCTAGAAACACTCTAATTAAAAATATAATAACCAAAATCAAGATCTCAATGATGTATTTAGCAGCAAATAAATACAGTTAATGAAAGAACTAGGAGAAAGGTCAAAAGCAACTATCCAGACTTAACTCAGGAAAAAGCATGAAAATTCAGAGGAGTCAGAGACATATGCAGTTTGATCAGCATGTATGCTAAATGTGTACCTATTCAAATGGGATCCCCAATGGAGAGAAGAGAGTGAGCATTTGAAAAGATAATGGTTGAGAATTCCCCCAAACAGATAAAAATCCTACGAATCTCAAGCAGCATAAATAAAATGTACTCATACCTAGACATATCATAGTCCAATTTCAGAAGACCAAAATCAAAGAGAAAAATTTTAAAAGCAGACAAGTGACAATAGACAGAAGCAACAATTAGAATGCTGGTAAACCAGGTGCAGTGGTGCCTGCCTGTAGTCCAAGCTACTCAAGAGGCTGAGGCGGGTGGGAGGATTGCTTGAGGCCAGGAGTTCGAGGCTGCAGTGAGCTATGATTGCACCTGTGACTAGCCATGGCACTCCAACCTGGGCAACACTGTGAGACCCTCATCTCCAAGAACAAAAAGAATGACAGCAGACTTCTCAAAAATGATAACAGAAATAAGAAAATAGTAGAATGATATTTTCAATTTGGCCAATCTAGAATTCTACACCTAGTAAAAATATTTTTCAGTAATCATGGTAAAATAAAGTCAGTGAAATAAAAACTGAAAGAAGCTGCCACCAAGAGACCTGCACTAAAGGAAATTCTGACAGATATTCTTTGGGTAAAGAGAAGATCCCAGATGAAAGCTTGGAGATGAAGGAAAAATTGAAGAGGAATGAAAATGGAAACAACACAGGTAAATATAAATGAATACTGACTATGCAAAATGAAAATAATAATGACTAGTGGGGTTTAAAATACATACTCAAGATCCATGATAACGATAGCAAGTCAGGAGGGAGGTAATAGAGTTAAAGTGTTCTAAGGTCCTTGCATTGTCTGGGAGGACGGAAAATTAAGAGTTAACATTAATGTTTAATAAATCAATGATATATGTTGTAATTTCAAGAGTGGCCACTAATAGCCTAATAAAAGTATGAAAAATCCTCCCATCAAGCCCACTTTCAGTGGCATATGTAGTGCCACCACCAGTTCTATCTTTGACTTTCACAGCTCCCCTTCATAGCATCTCTGCTATTTGCTACAGCTATTAGATATATTCACTGCCCCAGACAATGTTGATTGTTCCAGTCTCTGTTCATTTATTAGTCTATTCTCTGCTCCTGGGAGGCTTTCTTCTCATATCTGTTCACATCCTTTTCTGTCCAGTCATCATGCAATTTCTGCCTCTGCCCCAATCATGTTTCCCCTAACTACTCTGCCACCCACAGTTTCTCTGTCCACCAAACTCCTAAATCCTTAATGGAATGACTCACTTAAGATTGGATTTATTATACACTTATTACGTTGTGGCTATTTGGAGAATATGTTTTATTTTTCCTAAAATAGAGGTTCCTTGAGGATAAGGATCATGTCTTTAATAAGTTTTTAACTCCTATGTGTCTATCACTATGCCTTGCCAAGGAGACACTTTGTGTTTTATTTGTACTCTGTGTAAATAATTTTTACAGAAATAGGTAACCATGGAAAGCCATTTAATATCTGTGAGTTGTTTTACAGCTGTTAAAATGATTAAAACAATACCTACTCTAATTCTTAAGGTTGATGAGAAGTTGAAATGGGCTAATGGATATGAAATAATTTGTATTATGTAATGTACTATAAAGAATTACTAACAGTTGCTGGGTGTGGTGGCTAATCCCAGCACTTTGGGAGGTTGAGGTGGGTGGATCACCTGAGGTCAGGAGCTCGAGACCAGCCTGGCCAACATGGTGAAACCCCATCTCTACTAAAAATATAAAAATTTAGCTGAGGATGGTGGTGGGTGCCTGTAATCCCAGCTACTCGGGAGGCTGAGGCAGGAGAATCACTTGAACCTGGGAGGTGGAGGTTGCAGTGAGCCGAGATCGGGCCTGGGTGACAAGAGTGAAACTCCGTCTCAAAAAAAAAAAAAAATTACTAACAGTAATAAGCATTGATCAAATCATTGGGGTAACACGAAGAGCTTTAAATTATCAATGATTAGAGATCAAAAAGAACCAGAAAGCCACTATCTGAGCCCTCAGTTGACAAAAGGATTCAATTCATCCATTCATTCACTCATGCATTGATGATTACTGTAGTGGCTAACATTGTGTCAGACACTGAACGTGCAGAAGTACAAGTTTCTGCTCACACCTCGCTCAGTCTGGTGGGTGACCTGATAAAGGTGGTAAATGGATATAACATTTACAAGGTGCTACAACAACACAGAAGGGAGACACCTGACCTTGGGAGGTGTGAGATGGCCTTCCTGGAAGAGATAATCACAAAACAAGTCTTACAGGACAAATAGGAGATAGTAATGGAAGAAAAAGGCTATGTCAGGAAGAGCAGCATATGTAAGCCTGGGTTTCAAAGAGGAAATCTCTTTAGAGAAAGTTTTATCAGTTTTATGTAGATGAGAAAGACTGTTGCCTTAAGAGACTGGACAGTTACATGAGGACCACATCAGTGAGGGCCTTGTATGGCCTCATGAACCACATTAAAAAGTATCAGCTCTCTTCTGTGCAAGGGACTCGCCAGATCATTTAGTCCAGTTTGTCACCAAATGACAGCATGAATCAGAAACACTTGGAGGGCTGTTGAAAGACATTCCTGGGCTCTCCGCTGAGTCCCTCATTCAGTAGATCTAGGACTGGCCTATAGTTTTCATTTCTAACGAGGTCCCAGCTGATGCTGATGTTGCTGGTCTGGGGACCAATTTGAGAACCACTTCTCTAGTCCAGCCTTTTCTTTCAGATAAACCACTGAGCACTAGAGGTGAAATTCATTAACGAAAGTCGTCAGCTCAAATAGGGCAAACTAACCGAGCAACCAGAGCTGATATCCGCCTTCCCCTAAACCCTTCGCAGTGGAGCTGTCCCTTCCAGGATCATCAGTAGCCTTACCTCCCTCCCTCCCCTTCAAGAATCCCACCCCTTCAGTGCTCTGCTTTTAGCGTCTGTAAGGGAAGGAAATTGGTTGCACCAACTTATGTTAGGATTTACTTTTAAAGAAGGTCCTTAGGAAAGGCAGCGTTTTAACCTAAGGGAGTGCATTTTCAAGAGTGGATTTTCAGGCAGGGAGCGCAGCAGGCGTTTCCCGACATGCCCGTGAGCAAGACTCGATCACGGCCCAGAAACCCTGCTTTGCAGAGGTGACCACCCCGGCCCGCCCGGAAGAACCGGGCCCGAGCTGCCGCGCCGCCACGGTGACTCGGCCATAAGACCCGCCAGACGGGTAAGGTTCCTGGTCTGAGGCTGCCCCTTCGGCTTTGCACAGCTTCCTCGTGCCGCCGCGCCCCGCCGCTGATTCCACGCTGCGAAGCGTGGGCCCAAGCACTGCGGCACTTGAGTCATAGCTTCATAAGCGACTTTCCTGAGAATGCTAGGGCTTGGGGTGATATTACGGACGGTAGCGTAACGTCCCTTCGGAAGGAACCCAGCTTCCAGCAGCCCAGTGCGCCGCCCTTCTCCTTCCCCCCATTTCTTCCCGCCCAGCCAAGAGTGTCAGGCAAACCCTTCCCGGCTGCCGGCAACCCAACAGTTCCGCCTTCTTCAGGGTTCTCAAGCTCAGAGTCTTCCAACCTTCCAAATACAGCATTCTGCCCAGGAGGTATTTCTTAAGGTTGTTGAATTCTCTGAGTCTTGAAGCTTGTAGGTCATCCCCTGTGTCTGTCTTGTTCTCTGCAGTTTAAGACAGGCTTAATAATAGCAACTAATTTTATTATTATTATTAACAGCTGCCTGAACAATGTCATGCCCTGTCTCTTTAATTGATTCAGTATATTGCTCATGGGTCTTCCATCTACATTGTCCTTCATTAGGCATGTGGGGCATTCAAACATGGACAGCACACACTTTCTGCACTCCAGGAACTTAAATATAATGTTGGGAAAACAAATACCACAGGAAGAGTTAACATACCATTCTCCAGCATTTTAGGTAGGAATGATACACACATGTTACCATCTGTGAATGGTAGAAGAAAGTCACCTGAGTGGGCAGTGGAGGCTTCAGAAAGGAGGTGGGGCTTGAAGTGTACTTTGGTGGGCTAGGTAGCTATTAGTTGGGTGGACAGGAGAAGAGGGGTCCTTTCCACATTGGAAGTGGAGTAGGAGGGAAGTGAGGTGAGGAATGACATGACCAAGGTTGGGGATGGGAAGACTGACATAGGTGGGAGGTGTATGTTGACATGTGAACCTTCATCTCCAAGAGATACAGTCCTATCTTTGTATTTTGGGTGACCATCAGCCTTAGTAATGCAACAAGATGTGACACTCCCCTCCCTATCTGGCCCCACCTGAGACCTAAGACAAAGACTGAGTAACACAGTCCTGTGGGCTCTGGCTTTTATGCCTCCCTCAAAGCCACTGGGAAATGGCACATACCTTTGGCAGGCACATGAGGTCCAAACAGAGAAACAGGAAGCTGTCTGGGTTTTATGGGCAGCCACATAATAGAAGAGTGATGTTTGTCTTCTAGGGTGATGTTTATGATTAAGAAGACCTGTTTAAACATGGTTAGTGGGTTATTCAAACCCCATTTAGGGAGAGCTAAAGGAAACCTTAGTTTCTATGGGTTCTTAGTTAATAATCAGAGCAGGGCTGGAAGAGAAGGACAGGATGTGGTGAGCAGAGGGGAAGAGAGAGGATTCCCAGGGGAAGACTAAAGTTGATAAGACACTCTGAACATTACTTCATATACTAAGGCTTTATTTATTCTAACAGACCTTTTCTCCTTGAAAAGATAATAAAATCTGTAATATCATCACTTCAAAGGAAAGGAAGCATTAAATCATTTTAGATTCAGAGGGTAGCAAGTTTTAATTAGGACTTACTACTGGGGGAGGCAGTGGGAGTGGGCATCTTCTCACATCTGGTGTAAAATTGATGATCTTTTTCTGGTTTGTGTAGAAGGCTATGAATAGAAGATGGAGAAGAAACACCAGGGAGACTGCTTGGTGTTCAGGCCCTCTCCTCCTAGGTCTCTACACAAATGCTGCATTGATTTCTCTCTTCTAGTCTTCACCTTGGAGATTCTTTAGGGCTACTAAATTCTTCTTTTAAGGTGGGGCATGGTGGCTCACACCTGTAATCCCAGCACTTTGGGAGGCTGAGGCAGGTGAATCATTTTAGGTCAGGAGTTCGAGACCAGCCTGGCCAACTTGGTGAAACCCCGTCTCTACTAAAAATACAAAAAAATTAGCAGGGCTTAGTGGCACCTGCCTGTAATCTCAGCTACTCAGGAGGCTGAGGCAGGAGAATTAATTGAACCCAGGAGGTGGAGGTTGCAGTGAGCTGAGATCAAGCCACTGCACTCCAGTCTGGGTAACAGAGTGAGACTCTATTAAAAAAAAATTATTCCTTTAAAATGAAACACTTTAATGGGAGGAGAGGAAGGATAATAGAAGGGTAAAGAAGGAAGAAGGCCAACCTGGCAAACATGACAAAACCCTGTCTCTACTAAAAATACAAAAATTAACCTGGTGTGGTGGCACACACCTGTAATCCCAGCTACTCAGGAGGTGAGATGGGAGGACTGCTTGAACCCAGGAGGTGGAGGTTGCAGTGAGCTGAGATCATGGCATTGCACTGCAGCCTGGGTAAAAAGAAAGAAGGAGAAGGAGAAGGAGAGGGAAGGAGGGGGAGAGGGAGGGGGAGGGGGAGGGAAGAAGAAGAAAGAAGAAGAAGAAGGAAGAAGAAGGGAAAAGAAAGAAGGAGAAGGAGGAGAAGAAAGAAAAAAGAAGAAAGAAGGAAGAGAGGCATAAGACCAGAAGGATTCTAAGGTTTAGGGCATCTTGAGGGAAGAAGATCTGAGAGGGGATCTTCAGAGGACCTTGGAGAGAACTGGATTGTTGGGAAAGGGCATCAACAATGAACTGAGAATGCACTAGGACAGACTTTGCCTAATGTGTGCTCAGTGATAATACAAAAATTGTGTTAAATGCCAACTATGAGAAATTTGCTTCAGAACTCATGAGGGTTTTTCAGATTTCTCTTGCCACTTGAAAAACTAATCAGAAACGTAATGACCTAAATCAATAAGCCCATTGTATTATGTCTAGTGATTTTGTGGGTCAGAAATGAGCGGGGGGGCTCTGCTAGATGATTCTGCTATTCTCTATGGAGTCTATGAAGATCACTTAATGGTACTCTGCTACCATTTAAGAGGAAGAAGTGGAAAAAGTCAACTAATAAATATTCTTTGAGCACCTACTTAGTATGGCACAGGCTCTGCTGCCAGAATGTAGCAGTCTCTTCCAACCTGTATGGCCTTGCAAGAGTCACTTAGCTTCTCTAAGTGTCAGTTTTGTAGGGAAACTTCCTCATGGTATTATTATGAAGTTCCAATGAGATCATATATATGAGTACCTATTAAATATAAGTTGGTGCTGCTGCTGTTTTTGTTTCTCTGGGAAAGCTATCTTGCTTATGTGTGGAAGCCCAAGGATATAGCAGACACGATCCCTATTATTAAGCAGCTTAGAGAGACAAGCCCTACACCACAGATGGATAATATAACAATGCACGATAGCAGTGACAAGTGCTGGCTTAACATGGGAGATTAGTGGAAGGGAGATGACTGTGATCCTACAGGACTTCATGGAAGGTGAACAGGTTTCAGATGAGTGAGTAGAAGAAGGGCATTCCAGGCTGCAGGGGAAGCCGAGATAAAGGGGAAAGCTGAAGGGATGTAGTAGGAGTATCGAGTAAGGTTCTTGTGGGGAAGTGGGGTTAGTTAAGCCTGGAAAGCAAGTGGGATGGACTGGAAGTTCTGAAATTCCACCATAAGCCCTTTATCCTGTTTTAAGTTGTTTTTCATGAATTTCCATTGAAATATTCTAAACAGGAACTTGCTGGAGTCCAAAGCTGCACCACAAGCAGGACATCTCATGGAAGTCTCATATTTCATCTCAGAAATTCATGTAATTTTTGTGTTTGGCTCAGCAATGTCTTCAGATTTATTTTTTCATATAAAAATAGTCTTTTAAATTACTTACCGTTGAGTAAAAGGGAAGGACCCAGTGAAGTATTCTTCAGCTTCCGTTCCTCCAGGCACGTGGTCTCATGCCACTGTGGGGCTGACCCCGGTGTGAGACATGAGGCCATGTAGGGTTTGGGTGAGCACAGACTGGAATGAAAGCAGTGTTCATAAATAGTCTACTGTGGGGGTGGGGGTAGGGGTGATGTGGAGACTAGTGGAGTTGCTGGAGGAGAGTGCCTGAGACTCTGAAATGAAGGGCTCGCTAGAAGCGGTGAGAGGACACCTTAATTTCTGCAGATCCAAGTTGACATCAGATGCAGTCACTTACTGGTGGCATGACCTGGTGAAGGTGTAACCTTTCTCAACCTCAGAGCTCTTACTCACTGTAAGCCAAACTTTATAATAGTGTCTTCCTTGAGGGGTTAGTGGGATTTGATTAAAGGTGATTTGTATGGTTTGGCTGTGTCCCCACCCAAATCTCATCTTGAATTGTAGCTCTCATAATTCCCACATGCTGTGGGAGGGACCAGGAGGGAGATAATTGAATCGTGGGGGCAGTTCCCCCATACTGTTCTTGAGGTAATGAATAAGTCTCACGAGGTCTGATGGTTTGATAAGGGGTTTCCTCTTTCACTTTGCTCTCATTCTCTCTTGCCTCCTTCTATGTAAGACATGCCTTTCAGGCCGGGTGCAGTGGCTCACGCCTGTAATCCCAGCACTTTGGGAGGCCAAGGTGGATGGATCACCTGAGGTCAGGAGTTCGAGACCAGCCTGGCCAACATGGTGAAACCCTGTCTCTACTAAAAATACAAAAATTAGCTGGGTGTGGTGGTGGGCACCTGTAATCCCAGCTACTCAGGAGGCTGAGGCAGGAGAATGGCTTGAACCGGGGAGGCGGAGGTTGCAGTGAGGTGAGATCACGCCATTGCACTCCAGCCTGGGCAACAAGAGTGAAACTCCATCTCAAAAAACAAACAAAAACAAAACAAAACATGCCTTTCACCTTCCACCATGATTGTGAGGCCTCCCCAACCACATGTAACTGTGAGTCCGTTAAACCTCTTTCCCTTATAAATTATTCAGTCTTGGGTATGTCTTTAATAGCAGTGTGAGAACAGGCTAATGCAGTAATAAGTAAGTTTCTAATAGTTCCTGCACCTAATGGGGACTTAGCACTGTGAGTCTTCCTTTCCAATCCTCTTTTCCGTCTTTCTCTCCATGCCTCCCTGCCTTGTGCCTCCAGCATGATGAAGTGGCAGTGGGAATTCAGGCAAGGAAGTAATGGCTGTATCTCTTCTTCCAAAGCCCACCATCAATTTCCCCTATGTTTCTGAGTCACTTAGCCTCAGTTCCAGTTTCCACATCTGCAGAATGGGAAAACTTCCTCATGAATATTAGGAGGTTCAAATGAGGTCACATATGAATACTCAGTAAATTTCAGTCCTTTAAATTGTCCCAAGTGTCTTCCATCTTTAAAAGAATCACCTTCCCGTCTCCCATCCAGCACTGGTTGCCTCCCTCTTTTAAATTCTTTACAGATTCGCTTCACCAAGGTTTTCCAACTCATTGTCCTCACTTCCTACCTCCCACCTCCCATTCTCTCTTAAATCTAAGGCTCTCTGGCTTTGCGCCCACCACTCCAAGCTGTGCCTCCCAAGATCATCAGGGACCTCTTCATTGTGGAATCTCATGGACAACCTTTTGGAAACAGTGGCCATGATTAACACTCCTTTCCTAAAATCTTTTCTTCCTTTGAATTTTGTAGTACCCACTCTCATAGTTTTCCTTCTGCCTCTCTGGTGACTCTTAGCTTTTCTTATGCCCATTTTCTTCTGTTGCAGCTTAAAGGCTGATTTTTTTCCCTGGGGTTTTATGTTCATCTTCTTCTCACTCTTAATTCTTTCCTGGGGTCATTTTATTGGCTTGTGGTTTGATTTATCATCTGCTGCCTAAATCACTGTCTTAAGTCTCAGGCCATTACGGTCAACTGCCTCCTGGGAGGCTTTACTTGGATTCTTCTGCCCCAACCTTTGCAACTTGCTTCCTTTCTGTGTTTGACTTTTCACTGACTGTCACCACCTCAGGTGCCCGAAGTAGTCATTGCTGACTATCCCCTTTGTCTTATTCTTCAAGTGAAATCAATCACTAAGTCTTAGTTCTACAACTCAAAGTGCTTTAGGGAATTTTCCTTTTATCCGTCCCACTACCATTCTCTTGTGTCAGACTTTCATTGTTTCCTACCTGGAGTGTTGCACTAACTTTCTTACTAGTCTCCCTAGTTGGAATACTGCTCTGCTACAGCCCATTCTCTACATGCAGCTAGAGTTGCTCCCCAGCCTTGAACCTTCCAGTGCCTCTCTATTGCCTTCAGGACAAAGCCCACATTCCTGTACTTGTGTGCAATGAAGGCCACTCATGCTCTCGCCTTGCTTACTTTTCCAGCCTCACCATTCACCACTCTGGGATAGGTTGCAAATGAATGAACTACCTGTAGTTTGTATACTTCATTTGATGCTTTTCTTCCAGATCTTGGTGTGTGTTAGTTCACCTGGCCAGTATCCTACAATTTCTCCAACACTTTTGTGACTAACACGTATTAAGCCTTCAGAATTCAGTTTTGCAGATGTCTTCTTGGATAAGCCTTTGATAATCTGTATGTTCCAGGTCTGTTCTAGGTCTCATTCGAGAGCTCATTGTACTTTGATTATTTTGATGGTAGTGAGATGTGCAAATGTAGGACCTCAAGATGCAGAGACCTGTACAAGGCTTTTATTTTCTCTTCATTCTATGTCAATTTAAATTTGAATATCACTCAGATCATTAGGTGCACTGCTTCCAAACCTTTGTTGGCATGATTCTTTAATGATCAAAGCTGTGTTGGGCCCAAGGGCTGGCATAGCTTTCTTGGTGCTGGGGGAAGATGTAGAGAGGGCTTCTCTGCATCCTTTAGCTAATCCCTATGCCTGATTATTCTAGCAAGTAGGTTTAGGGAAGACCTGACTCCTTTTATTCTCTTTCTGGCAAAAATTATGGGCTCATAGTGACATAGAATTATGGCTTATTTTCCTTCAGTGTAGTCTCAGAGCTCAGAAAATCCATCTTTTTTTAAAGTACCTTTTATAATGTTGTTATTCCTCTTCTATGCCAGTAATAGAAAATGACTTCCCAGTCTTGAAGCAGTTGATTAGTAATGCTTTTGGTAGAAATGATGCCTTCTTATTTTCTATGACTTTGCAAGCTCTCATTTTACATCTGAGTGTGTAGTGTCTCCTGAAATGTTACAGGTACTTTCTCATGAATGTGGATTTGTTTCTAATTTCCAAGATGTTGGACTGTTAGAGCTAAGAAGGATTTCTACTAGTCTAGTAATTTTCACAGCTGTTGGGCATGAGAACATATACACTTAAGAAAAAACTCATAAATTATCAGGCCCCACCATAGTGTTTCTTAATCAGAATTTGGGGTGGGCCCAGGAATCTGCATTTTAAGCACACTTCCAAGTTGATTCATGTAGGTAGCTCAGTGCTGGCCTGGGAAACCTCTGGATCCCAGCCTTAGACTTGCAAAGGAGAAAATAGAGGTGCAGTAGGATATGGCTTGCTCGAGGTCACATGAACTGGTAGTGGGTTCAGAACTGGCCTCAGGGATTGCTGACTGCACTATTCTTTCTTCCACAGGTGTGTTCCTGCAAGACCTCTCTTTCCCTAGGGGAAAACAGAGACATCTCATCACAGATAGCTCTAGGTTTGCCTTGGCCATGATGTCCAAGTGGTCTGCTTGGTTCCATGCCTGCGTCTGAGCTGGCTCTGTGGGAGGTGCCAAGCTGCCTTCGACACTGTGCATGGCACTTTAAAGCTCTCAATAAATATTTTTCAAGTGAAGTCAATGAAGCAAGAAAGAATCTCAACTAGTTTTGAGGTAATGGTTCAAGATGACATTCTTTCTCCCTAAGGCAATAACTCTCAAAGCAGCGGTGGAGAAAAGCAACCACTTCTTGGCAGGGAGGGGAATGATTTTTTTTTTGCTGGGGGTCAGTCATGGGAAAGGTGGCAAGGGGAGGAAGGTAAATTTAATTTGAAAAGTCATGTCCAGTATAATTACTATGTCAAAGACTGACAGTTTGGTCCTCAATTTCTAACTAAGCACATTGCTGCTGAGAATAAGGACTATATTTTCCAATTATGTGTGGCCATGTGATTAAGTTTTGGTGAATGGAATATAAGTGGAATTGTGTGGCAGCTTCTAGAAACTTTTCTTAAGTCAGCTGGCATATGCCTTTTGCCCCTTTCTTCTGTATGCTGACCTGCTTCTTGGATCACAGGTGTGATAGATGGAGTGAGAACGGGATTTCTCAACCTCCACACCGTTCCCATTTTGGGCTTAGATAATTCCTTGTTGCCAGGGGTTGTAGGACATTTAGCAGCACCCCTGGCCTCTACTTTTTTGATGCCATTGCACCTCGTCCCCATTATGACAATAAAAATGTCTCCAGACATTGTCAACTGTCCTTTAGGGGGGAAATTATCCCTGATGAAGAGCCACTGATCCAGAACCATCTTAGACTGGGAGGTCCTCTTGGGAAAGAGGGAAAAAGCCTGGGTCCTCAACTACTTGGTGGGGCACCAGCCACAGACAGCCTGCCTCCAGATTTTCCAAATAGGAGAAAGAAATTACCCACTATTACTTTGAGTCTATGCTAGTTGCAGTCATACTTAATTCTAATTGGTTAAATTGTCTGTATTTTGAAATACAAAATAAAGCTCAATAGAATTTATTCGGCAGCCATAACAAATGAAATCATGTCCTTTGCAGCAATATGGATGGAATTGGAGGGCAGTATCCTTAGTGAACTAACTCAGGAAATCAAATACCACGTGTTTTCACTCATAAGTGGGAGATAAACAATGGGTAAACATGAACACAAAGATAGAAATAATAGACAGTGGGGACTCCTGAAGGGGGGAGGTTGGGAGGAGGGCGAGGGTTGAAAAATTACCCATTGAGTACAATGTTCACTATTTGGGTAAAGGGTACAGTAGAAGCCCAATCCCCACAAATACAAAATATACTCATGTAACAAACATGCACATGTACCCCCTGAGTCTAAAATATTATAAAATAAAAAATGGATTGCATTACTATTAAAATAGTAAAGCATTGGAATTAACTTGAATCAGTAATAGAACACTTAAATGAACTACCATATATATCCATAGGATGAAATTATATTTGCTGAAAAAGGAATGACAAATATCTCTATTTTCAATTAGCACATGTATGTATGTTTGTTTGTATGTATGTATTTAGGTATATAAGTATTGATTCATGGTTTTCTATATTATTTGAGAGGACATATTACTGTTATTATTTATTTTCATGCTCAAACTGTCCCAAATTTAGCCAGTGGAAGTTCTTTCAAACTGACTTCTGTGTCTTTTTCAGTTTTCCCCGATCATTCTTCGATCACTATTTGGTTCTTTTTTGTTGTTGTTGTTACTTTAAGTTCTGGGATTCATGTGGAGAATGTGCAGGTTTTAAGAATGGCATTTAGAAGCCACGCTCTTAGTGGTAGGTATGCTCACTGCTTTTGGCATGTAAAACAACCAAGCCCTCTCAAGTGGGCAATGGTAGGACATATTATATATGTGTAATAGGTTGAATAGTGTGCCCCCTAAGGCTAATGTCTATCCAGAACCTCAGAATGTGACTTTATTTGGAAACAGAGCCTTTGCAGATGTAGCTAGTTAAGATGAGGTAACGTTGGATTAGGGTGGGCCCTACATCCAATGACTGGCATCTTTGTAAGGGAAAAGAGAGGAAAACATGGAGCCACAGAGCCACAGACACGCAAAGAGAAGAAAACCATCTGAAGATATAGACAAAGGTTGGAGTGATGCCACTACAAGCCAGGAAATGCCAGGGAACATCAAGGATTGCTGACTACCACCAGGAGCCAGTTGACAGGCATGGAATCTTCTTTCTCAGGGAAAAACACAACTCTGGCAATACCTTAGTTTTGGATTTCTGGCCTCCAGAACTGTGAGAGAATAAATTTCTATTGTTTTAAACCACACACACACACACACACACACACACTCTCTCTCTCTCTCTCTCTCTCTCTCTCTCTCTTATTCTGTTGGGAGGATATATAAACAGAATGAGAAAGTATTTTAAAGAACCATGGGTTTAAGAAAGTTTAACTCAAATGTTAAGGATTGGTTAATTAGTTGAGACTCTTAGTTGAAAGTGTCAGTTATACTTTCTATACTAGCTTAAGTAGAAAAGGTAAGGAAGCTCATAGAACCTAAAGTGGATTTGCAGGAAACTCTGGTGACCTCTGGGACTAGAACGAGAGAACTGAGGCTTCTAGAACACACACACTCTCTCTCTCCCTACCTCACTTAACCCATTGTCTAATTCTCTCCTACTCCACCTGGCCTTTCCCCACATAGTGGGGAACACGGCCTCTGACACAGCCTTGGACTCACATGGCGACAGCTGGGTCAAAAAGGAAAGGCGTGAGGTGGGCAGGTCACCCGAGGTCAGGAGTTTGAGACCAGCCTGGCCAATATGGTGAAACCCCATCTCTACTGAAAATACAAAAATTAGGCGGGTGTGGTGGCGCACACCTGTAATCCCAGCTACTCAGGAAGCTGAGGCAAGGGAATTGCTTGAACCTGGGAGGCGGAGGTTGCAGTGAGCTGAGATCACCCCACTGCACTCCAGTCTGGGTGACAGAGTGAGTGAGACTCCATCTCAAAACAAACAAACAAACAAACAAACAAAAAACAGAAAGGCATTCGTTGCCACCAGCTCCATCCAGAAGCACTGAGATTGGCAGCTGCTGTGATAAGACCACCCTGAGTCAGTCACTGTGGTTGAGGTAAAGTGCAGTGATTGTTCCAGCCTGGCTCATGCCCTTCCTCTGCAGTTAAGGGTTCAAGGCCTGAGACTAGAAGGGCCAGGGGTGGGAGATGGGCACAGGGAACACTAGTTTGCTGCCTAACTCACACGCAACCTTCTTCACACGTGCACGATCTCAAAGATATCTCTGCTTAAAATAGCTCCGCATTGTTCATACCTCCTTCCCCCGGGAGACAACCATGGCTACTGATACCTCTTCTCCCCTCCATTGGATCTGGCAAAGAGATAAGCATGTCACCCCAATGCACCCAATATAGAAACCATGATGGGGGAGAAGCAAGATAATAAAAACTTCCATTTTTAAAAAGGGGAAAGGGAACAGGAGGTGACAGCCCCTGGCACAGAGTACAGCATGTCCTGTTTGTCAGGAATAGTAAGTAAGCAGGCAGACATGTTTCTTGACTCACGGCCTGGTTGTGGGTGAGTCTGTGGTCAGTGAGTATGGCTTCCCTGTTGCTGGGGTCTCCCATCCAGGGCTCACCTTGGACACTCCTGAGGAGCACCTGGGAAGATTTTGCTGCTGGGGTGGCCCTGCCTTGAGGCCCGCTCCCTTCTGGCATGGGTTCTGGTGCTTGGGGTTTACAATCATAAGCACCTATATGTTCAGCTTAAGGTTTCTCTGGCAATACAGCCTCATAAAACTCTCACTCATTTCATTGGTTGAATCTGTGCCCAGCCTTGCAGTTCTGTCTCTTAGCTCATTTCCTTAGATCTCGGCTTAATGATCTTGTTGGCCTTTGCTTTAGATCCAGGGCCTGGAACTTACTCACTTCCTGTGAGGCCCTCTCTGAGCCTCTTTGTGAGGCTGGGGCAAGAACACAAAAAGAAGTCCCTTGCCCACCCCATCTTCTCTTTCCACTGGACTCTGTTCTGCTTAGTGGGGCCCTATGCAAGCATATGGACAACTCAGTGGGCATGTCCAAGCTCCATTCACCCCCAGCCTCCATCAGCATCTCTTAGTAGCACCTCAGGCTAAGGGGTGTGTAACCTGGAAACCCAATCCCCTTTTAGAAGGAGAACTCAGGGAAGGGGGCCTCATGGGCCCAGAAAGCAAGCTCTAGGCCATCTGGGGAGGGCATTCTGTTGTCCTAGGCACTTGGAGCATGGTCCAGAAGAGAGTCCCAGGCTCCAGGTGGACATATCCTCTTGGGCCCATGCGCTTCTTGTCCATAGGGAAGGGGCAGAGGAATGGCTAGAGGGAGGTCAGTTTGGGACATTTTAAAGCATTGAGGGGTCAGTATAGGGTCCTTCTAGCATAGGTATAAGGTCAGTACGGCCTCTGTCCCCAGGCTCTTCCCAAGTGAGTGACACTTAATTGTGGCCAGGAATTGCTAGCATTTTTTTTTTTTTTTTTGGCAAAGAAAACATTGATAATAGAAGGTGCTTGGGATCAGACTTGCCCATTTCTTTTAATCCTCCCGGGTAGTCACTTCCTAGTCAGGACATTAATTTTAATTAGGGCCAGGGACAGAACTCACTGAGGAAGGAATGAATGACTTAGCGGTGCTGCACCCTTTAAGGGGGCCTGATGGGTCAGGTTGTGGCAAAGTGACAAGGAGCTGGAAACTACTGCTGAAAGGGGCAAATCCCTCTTCCCTCCATTCTCTCTGTATTTCATCCTATTGGCAGAATCCAACAGGCAAAGGAAAACAGTGGGTTGGGCTGGGCATGGTGGCTCATGCCTGTAATTTCAGCACTTTGGGAGGCCGAAGCAGGCAGATGACCTGAGGTCAGGAGTTCAAGACCAGCCTGGCCAACATGGTGAAAACCCGTATCTACTAAAAATACAAAAATGTGGTGGACACCTGTAATCCCAGCTACTAGGGAGGCTGAGGCAGGAGAATCACTTGAACTGGGAAGGCGGAGGCTACAGTGAGCCGAGATCGCATCCATGCATTCCAGCCTTGGCAACAGAGTGAGACTCTGTCTTAAAAAAAAAAAAAAAAAAAAAAAGCCAGGCATGGTGGTTCATGCCTGTAATCCCAGCACTTTGGGAGGCCGAGGCTGGTGGATCACCTGAGGTCAGGAGTTTGAGACCAGCCTGGCCAACAAGGTGAAACCCTGTCTCTACTAAAAATATGAAAAATTAGCAGGGCATAGTGGTGCTTGCCTGTAATCATCCCAGCTACTCAGGAGGCTGAGGCAGGAGAATCACTTGAGCCTGGGAGGCGGAGGTTACAGTGAGCCGAGATTGCACCACTGCATTCCAGCCTGGGCAACAGAGCGAGACTCCATCTCAAAAAAAAAGAAAGAAAACAGTGGGTTGCAGAGTCTTAGCCCTGCCATCACAGATCAAAGTGTAGAAGGGTGGGCTTAGAACTGGGAGACAATAACTTAATAACCTGCACAGGCAGGAAGCTCAATCGTTCATCCCCCGGGTTCTTGGAGCATTAGCTAAAGGCAGAAAGAGGCAACCCCAACATGTCCATGCATCCTGCTTTAGTCTAAGCTAAAGTGATCAGTCAGAGCTCTCTAATATCCTGACATTTTCCTACCAAGCCTTTTCTAATGCTTTAGCCATGGGTACATACGGTTTGGGTCACAATATGTATCAGCTAATCATTTAACCATGTAGCAAGAACTGTCAGATCCCCGCCCCTTCTTGACTCTGCCTATTCCATCTTCTAGAGATGTCACTTGTAATATTCTGTATCAATTTTGGTTGTGTTTGAAATGACACAAACAGATTCTAACTTAAGTACCAATTCAGTTTATTGGAAAGATATGGGGCTGGGGGATAGTTAATGTTGTTATTACATCAAGGTAATAGTAACCTGGGCTTGGGAGGGAAAGAAACCAGGATGGCTCTGGGTATCTCATGGCCTTTCTCTTAGAGCACTATTCTCAGACCCAGCCTCGATTTCCCTTCATCCTGGATGTCTGTGTACTTAGATTTCAAATTCCTGCAGGGAAGAATCTTATTGCCTCAGTTTGGGTTAGGTGGCTGTCCCTTGGACCAATCCCCATGGCCAGGGGATTGAGATACTATGATTGATTACAGCTGAGTCACTGACTCCACTGTGTTTGAGATTATGGTATTGAGGCCAGCAGCCTCAGAGGACCCCATGGATGGGGAAGGAGGAGATCCCTTAAGGAAGGGGAGTCGCTGTTACTAGAAGAAGGTGGGAAGCATGCGGGGAAGACAAAAACAACAAATGGCCATTAGAGCAGGCAAGCTGGGATTTGAAGATTACAAGAAGAGGAAGTAACCACGTAAATGGCATGGAGGAGGGAAGCTGCTTCTTAGCCTGGGCTCACACCTCATTTGACTAACGAGTCAAATCCTTGCTGACTGGCTTGTCTCTTCACTGCAATATGTTCAGAGGAACACGACTTTAAATGATGCATTGTCCTGGGTTTCCTCTTGTACACCCCTCTTATGCCTCATTCCTTTCCTTTGCATGATACTCCCCTAGTTCTGGATGGCCACCTTCCTTGGATTTCCCATGAAAACTAATCTTTCTAGAGTCTTTTTCCTATAGGACTTTCTCTATTTTTTTATTTTATTTTATTTATTTATTTTTTTTGAGACGGAGTCTCTCTCTGTCACCCAGGCTAAAGTGCAGGGGTGTGATCTTGGATCACTGCAGCCTCTGCCTCCCAGGTTCAAGCAATTGTCCTGCCTGAGCCTCCTGAGTAACTGGGATTACAGGTGCCCACCACCATGCCCGGCTAATTATGTATTTTTAGTAGAGACGGGGTTTTGCCATGTTGGCCAGGCTGGTCTCAAACTCCTGACCTCAAGTGATCCATCCCAGCACTCAAGTGCTGGGATTACAGGCGTGAGCCACTGCACTGGCCAGGACTTTCTCTTGCTATTAGGCAGGAAGAAACTGGGAAGAGACCAGGTAAAACTAATTCAATTAGGATGTTGCTATCTGAGATCTTATTGTGTTGCTTCTCTCACTGAAAATTCAGGGAATGAGTGGAGAAATGTTGGGCTCCGTGGTGGGCTGCTGGTGAAGGCATCTTAGGGGACCAGCTTTGCTGCTTCTCAGTTGCATTATGCAGATGTTGGCTTGATGTGGGTGTGACTGCACGATCCTGATGCCAGGTGTTTGCATGCCCTCATGCACCTCACGCTGAGTCCAGAGTCCTTAGACCCCATCTTGCAGCCTCAAAAGAAATGATTATTTGCATTAAATTACAACCAGCATTAGGCATACAAAATTTATCTGCCGTGTGGTGCCACAGTGAAATTTAAAACCTTAATCACCTGGTAAGGCAAGGGGACTGACCAATCAGAACGATTGCTGGAACTCACAGCTGTGCTTTGTGTTAACCCTTTAGTTGCTGGATTGTGGAGAAATTCCTGAAGGTCATAGAGAGACTCAAGTGACAGGGCTCAGGGCAGTGGCTACTTACCACAAAGTGTGCAAAAGAACTGAATATTTTAATAATTTGAATGTCTGCACTGGTGTGAATCAGCAGTGGGTCAGTCCTAGATGTGGGTATAGGGAAGAATAATCTGGAGTCCTGAGGGTTGAAAGGGCCTGAATTTGGAGGTTCCTAGGATGAGCAGACAGTGGTGGTCAATTCGAGGTGTGCAGGAAGGGGGTCCTTAGGCTACCATTGGCCGTGTGGCTTGGAGCTTGCAGGGCCCTGTGATTGGCAGTGAGGGGCAGAGCGGCAGGTGATGGGCGCTGTCCATGAGGAATGTGTAGGGCAGAGGTGGGACAAGTGGGACTGGTGTGGCAGTGAAAGGAGGTCCCCAGGAGAAAGGAAGAGAAGCATAAGCTTTCCTCACATGGTGGGTGGGGAGTTGGAGGCAGGAAGTGGTGGGGGCAGGGCCAGGGGAATCACAATATTAGCTGCTTCTTTAGGCAGTTCTGTATTTATATAAAATATGGTTATATATTTCTAGGTCATCCTTACAGTTGAAAAGGAGTAAGCACACAGCAGACCATGAGGGTGATTAAGAGAAATGCCATGACATTGCCTTGGCTGTGTCAAGGTGGGGTGGGATCAAAATGGGAAGAGATGGCTATTATAGGCTGACTTGACATATGTAAGCTTTGAGCATTTAAAGAAAATAGATTCTGTGCCATGGCCACTCCCTTCTGCTCTGGCCACCTTCTCTATACACTGCCTGAACTATGAATCTTAGGCCCCACCACAACATGGCCCCTTGGTAAGAGCATCATTTCCTTGGTCTCTAGAAGTGGTTCTGGAAAGGGCGTGGTTGGGAGTCCAGGGGGAGCCCAGATGAGCTCCTAAAGCCAAGTCTAGGTGAGCCAGGGAGGGAATGTGTCAGAATGAGGCCAGAGTCACACCTTCACACCTCCTCCAGGAAGCCATCCTCATCTACTCCAGCCTCCAGGGTACTCTGAATTTTCTGAATGTGCAGTGGCTTTTATGTAGGAGGGCCCATTATGTCAATAGAGAAAAATGATGAGACAAGTCTCAATCATTTTAGGAGGTTTATTTGCCAAAGTTAAGGATGCACATCTGGGCGACAGGTCTATGCTTTTCTCTGAAGATGATTTTGAGGGCTCCAGATTTAAAGAGGAAAGGGCAGGATAGTGAGAAGTACACAATTTTCATGCAAGAGGTGGGTAGGGAGAAAATATTCATGTCTTTGTCTAGCTCAGTGAATCTGCATTTTTATGTAACATGGCCACATGGGACAGGGGAAATGCAAGGAATCTGCACTTTTACATAAGATTAACAGACAAATGGGGCGGTGGGGGGTGGGTGGGTGGGAATAATCAGATATGCATTTGTATCAGGTGGGAAGAGGGGTGATTGCACCTGTAAAGATAAGTTATCATTTACATTGCCATAGTTAATTTTTTTTTTTTTCTGTTGAGACAGAGTCTCGCTCTGTCACCCAGGCTGGAGTGCAGTGGTGCGATCTTGGCTCACTGCAACCTCCCCCTCCCAGGTTCAAGTGATTCTCCTGTCTCAGCCTCCCGAGTAGCTGGGACTACAGGCACCTGCCACCACACCCGGCTAATTTTTTGTAGTTTTAGTAGAGAAGGGGTTTCACCGTGTTAGCCAGGATGGTCTCAATCTCCTGACCTCATGATCCGCCCACCTTGGCCTCCCAAAGTCCTGGGATTACAGGCGTGAGCCACTGTGCCTGGGCACCATGGTGAATTTTAACAGAAACACTTTAAAGATCTTGGAGTTCACTAGGGATTTCCCTGTGGGCAAAATATGAGGGCAGTGTGTAGCTTTTCATCTTGTAGCCATCCAATTTAGGAACCAAAGGGGAGGCAGTTTTGCGTGACCCAGTTCCCAGCTTAACTTTTCCCTTTGGCTTAATGATTTTGGGGTCTCGAGATTTATTTTCCTTTCACTTTTCGAATCATCTGTAGTACCTTTAGTGTTGCGGGAAGTCAGAGACCCCAAACAGAGGGACCAGCTGAAGCCATGACAGAAGAACGTGGATTGTGAAGATTTTATGGACATTTATTAGTTCCCCAAATTAATACTTTTATAATTTCTTATGCCTGTCTTTACTGCAATCTCTAAACATAAATTGTAAAGATTTCATGGACATTTATCACTTCCCCAATCAATACCCTTGTGATTTCCTATGCCTGTCTTTACTTTAATCTCTTAATCCTATCAGCTGAGGAGGATGTATGTTGCCTCAGGACCCTGCAATAATTGCATTAACTGCACAAATTGTACAGCATGTGTGTTTGAGCAATATGAAATGTGGGCACCTTGAAAAAAGAACAGGATAACAGCAATTGTTCAGGGAATATGAGAGATAAACTTAAACTCTGACT